>NC_000023.11:23387488-24637488 GCF_000001405.40 Homo sapiens | reverse complement strand
TTTTTTTTTAGTAGAGATGGGGTTTCACCATGTTGGCCAGGATGGTCTTGAAGTCCTGACCTCAAGTGACCCTCCCGCCTCGGCCTCCCAAAGTGCTAGGATTACAGGCGTGAGCCACCGTGCCCGGCCCCAAAGATCAAATATTAACTGATTAAGCTGGGAGTTGAAATTAGGTTTGTCTGACTTCTAAAGCCCCTATTTCCATGACACATAGTTCACAAACTTCAGTGAGCAGAGAATTGCCTGCTCAAGCTCCCAGGTGATTCGGAAGCAAGATGTGCCTAGATGCACTTTTAGAGATGCTTTATTTAGCCCTCCCAGTCATATCTGCTGTGTTTGGGAACAGGAGTAGAAATAAATCAGATATCTGTGTTCTTTGTAGTAAAACTAGAAATTCAATGTAAATATTTTGACCCAGCAGTTGCATTCCTAAGAAATTTGTACACATGGCCACCAAAAAAACTAGTATTAGGATGTTCTTAGCAGTGTTATTCATAATAACCCCAAACTGGAAACTACCCAAATGCCCAGCAGAAGCAGAATGGATTAAAAAAATTGTAGTACACTCACACAATTTAATGCTGGGTAGCAGTGAGATTGAAGAATCTACAACCACCTGCAGGAATATGGATGAATCTCACAAATGTAACATTGAATGAAAGAAGCCAGATACAAACTAATATGCGCCACATGATTTCATTTCTATAAAATATAAAATAAAATAGGCAAAGCTCATCTTTGATGTTAGAAATCGGTGTAGTGGTAGGAGCATGGGATGGACGCTGGAAGTGTTAGGTTACGTGATATGTGGCTGTGTGTACTTAGCTTGTGAAAGTCCATTGAGCTGCACTTAGGATATGTGTACTTTTCTTTTCTTTGAGACAGAGTCTCACTCTCACCCAGGCTGGAGTGCAATCGTGCAATCTTGGCTCACTGCAACCTCCGCCTCCCAGTTACAAGCGGTTCTTCTGCCTCAGCCTCTTGAGTAGCTGGGATTACAGGCATGTGCCACCACACCCAGCTAATTTTTGTATTTTTAGTAGAGACCAGGTTTCACCATGTTGGCCAGCCTGGTCTTGAACTCCTGACCTCAGGTGATCCACCTGCCTCGGCCTCCCAAAGTGCTGGGATTAGAGGCATGAGCCACTGTTCCTGGCTGATATGTGTACTTCTCTATAAGTCTATTATTCTTTAGTGCAAAGTTTAAAGATATTATTATTCACAATAATGAAGAAAGGGAACACTCTACATTGTATTTCCCATTTCCAAATAATTCTGGTGATCTAATAAACTCTAAGGAAAGGCATCACATCCTACTTACAATTATAGCTCTTGGCTGCTAACAGAGCTTCAAAGTGCTCAGCCCTTCCAGGGGCCAGTATATCCAGCCCCAAAGAGAGTCTAGTGAGCACTTGAACGAAACACCTTATGTCTAGGACCAGTCCAGCCCTAGTCAGGTAATCTGTGAATTAAAATCCGTGGCCCCCAATTGTGTACTATGCCTGGCCTCACAGTCAGACAGGTTGTGGGCTGAGGAAATGGATGGCATTGGTTAGGTAGCAAGAGTACCTCAGAATAACCCTGCTACAGGGTGAATTCTAGAAAATAGCTGACCCAGAGCCTTTGCATCAGGGTTTGGGAAGGGGAAAAATAGAAGAGCTGTAATTAAAGCTTTTAGAATCCTCCTTTTATCTGCCTATTGCTACAGGAAATCTGGTTAAATTAATCTACTTTACCCCACAGTCTTCCAGGATGGAACCCTGAGTGACAACATTTAGAGATCCAATAGACAAAGAGTCAGGAAAAGAAGACAGAGAGTACTTCTCAAATAGGTGGGAGATCAGAGGTCCAAGGGTAAAGCAATCACCTTACTGGTAGTTACAGTTTTCTTGTAAAATATGGTTTCTGTTAAAGAAATCATCCACTTTGCAGAAAATATCATCTTTGGAACATCTTTCCTTTAGTGACTCAGAAAAAAAGAGGTTTTATTATTGAAATAGAATCTAGCAAATACCTCAAGCTGAGACATGTTAGAAATATCTGTACTTCTATCCAAGTATATTGCAAACCTCCCACACTGCATAATTTGTTCTAATGCTTGTTTCTTTCAATCTTCAACAATGTTTTCTATATGTCTTCTAAATATATTTGCTGACAAAGGAATGCATTTTAGTTTGACATCAGTTTTTTTTTCTACACATTAGAGCAGCTAGTTTTACTGTAGCATGAAGAATAGATGATTTTGCAATGGTATGAGACTTTTGTTTTTTCTCTATTGAGTTATGGAAACTCAAAAAGGCTTCTAAACATTTATCGTTACATGTAACAGTATTTTGTGACATGCTGGATTGAGTATCACATGACTCACAACATTGAAACATTAAACATGGAAAAATCATAGAGGTTTATCTTCATGTTCTGGATGCTTCATTTTAAAATATGTTAATTACAATAACTTCATACCATCATTAGCTAATATCTCAAGGTGATATTTAATGTTATTGGTAGCAGATATTTCTAATGGTCTTCTGTGAGATAATTTTCAATTCAGCTATCTTCTTGTCAGATCAGATTGGGTTGTCGTGGTTGGTACCTGATAATGTGGTGGCTGCAGAACTTTTACAGGGAGTAGAAGGGTCAGCTCTGCCATTTTCTTGTTGTTCACTTGTGTTTGCATTATCTTTGCTTTCCTATTTCATTGCAGGAAATGTTTTTGTTGTTGTTGTTGTTGTTTGTTTGTTTTTGAGATGGAGTCTCACTCTGTCCCCAGCCTGGAGTGCGGTGGCGTGATCTTGGCTCAGTACAACCTCTGCCTCCCAGGTACAAGCGATTCTCTTGCCTCAGCCTCCCAAGTAGCTGGGACTACAGGCATGCACCATCATGCCTGGCTAATTTTTGTATTTTTAGTAGAGACGGGGTTTCACCATGTTGGTCAGGCTGGTCTTGAACTCCTGACCTCGTGATCCGCCTGCCTCAGCCTCTCAAAGTGCTGGGATTATAGGCGTGAGCCACCGCGCACGGCCTGCAGGAAATGTTTTAAGCCACCTGCTGATTTATGTGCATTGGTTTAGTTAAAACTAGATAATATAATCCACAAATACCTTTATCTAGGCTCAGGTGAACTGCAGTATATTGCAATAAGCTGAAAGCAAATGAAAAAATGTCAGGCGATGCAGGCCACCCAACTTTCACATTCCCTTTAGGATACCTCATGTATTTGATGTGGACAGAAATGGGGCACCAGTGTAAACCCATATATCAGAATTAGAAGGCCAGGCGTCATGGCTCATGCCTGTAATTCCAACACTTCGGGACACTGAGGTGGAAAGATCACTTGAGCCTAGGAGTTCCAGACCATCCTGGGCAACATAGTAAGACACTATCTCTACAAAATTTTTTTTTTTAATTAGATGAGCATGGTGGTATGTGCCTGTAGTCCTAGGAGGCTGACGCAAGAGGATCGCTTGTACTTAGGAGTTGGAGGGCGCAGTGAGTGGTGATGGTGCCACCGCACTTCAACTTGGGTGACAGAGTGAGATCCTGTCTCAAAACAAGCAAACAAAAATAGATATTTTTCTTGGTTTTTGTAAAGCTTTTTTTCTTATTTTTTGACATGAAAAATAAATACAGTAAGTCCTCACATAACATTATCAAGAGGTTCTTGGGAACTGTAACTTTAAGCAAAATGATGTGGAATGAAACCAGTTTTAACATAGGCTAATTTATGTAAACAAGAGTTAAGTTCGTATGGCGTATTTCTGGCCACAACAACATCACCAAACTTCTTTTTAAAATTTTTTATTGATATATATACTGAGACGGAGTCTCGCTCTGTTGCCCAGGCTGGAGTGCAATGGTGTGATCTCGGCTCACTGCAACCTCCATCTCCTAGGTTCAAGTGATTCTCTCACCTCAGCCTCCGGAGTAGCTGGGATTACAGGCGCATGTAACGACGCCCGGCTAATTTTTGTATTTTTTAGTAGAGACGGTGTTCACCATGTTGGCCAGGCTGGTGTAGAACTCCTGACCTCAAGTGGCCTGCCCTCCTCGGCCTCCCAAAGTGCTGGGATTACAGGTGTGAGCCACCGTGCCTGGCCTGATTACATTATATTTGTATATACTTAATGGGGTACATGTGAAATTTTGTTACATGCATAGAATGTGTAATGATCAAGCCAGGGTATTTAGGGTGTCCATCACCTTGAGTATTTATCATTTCTATGTATTGAGAACATTTCAAATCTTGTTTTCTAGCTTTTTTTTTTTTTTTTTTTTTTTTGAGACATAGTCTTGCCCTGTTGCCCAGGCTGGAGTGCAGTGGTATGATCTTGGCTCAGTGCAAACTCCGCCTCCCAGGTTCAAGTGATTCTCTTGCCTCAGCCTCCTGAGTAGCTGGGATTACAGGCACGTGCCACCACACCCAGCTCATTTTTGTATTTTTAGTAGAGACCCGGTTTCACCATGTTGGTCAGGCTGGTCTCGAACTCCTGACCTCAGGTGATCCACCCACCTTGGCCTCCCAAAGTGTTGGGATTACAGGCGTGAGCCACCGTGCCCGGCCACTTTTCAAGCTATTTTGAAATATATAATACATTGTTGTTAACTATAATCATCCTACTCTGCTATCAAACATTAGAATTTATTCCTTCTATCTAACTGTATGTTTGTACCCAGTAACCAACCTCTCTTCATCCCTAGCCCCGCTCACCCACACACACTTCCCAGCCACTATCTCAATGATAGTGGTATCTATCATTCCACTCTCTACCTCCATATGATCAACTTGTTTAGCTCCCACTTATGAGTGAGAACATGCAGTATTTGTCTTTCTATACCTGGCTTAAGTGGCTCTGAAAAGAGCCTTTGCTTTTTGAAAGTAGAAGTTGTTCACTTGGAGCTGGTGTACTTGGTGAGGGCCTTGGTGTTGTGAGACACAGTGTGATTGGCCATCTCCCTAGGCAGCAGGCACAAGCTGTATGGATCTCCCTGGAGGTGATCGTCGAGTACTTGTAATGCATCAGGAATGATGCACTTGAAGATATTGACAAATGAGTTCATGATGCCCATGGCCTTCGATGAGATGCCAGAGTTGAGATGGACCTGCTTCAATACCTTGTAAATGTAGATAGAGTAGCTTTCCTTGTGGCTATGCTTGTGATTCTTGCCATCCTTCTGGCTCTTGGTCACACCACCTTCTTGGCACCCTTCTTTGGAGCAGGAACAGACTTGGCTGATTCAGGCATGTCACCACAAATCAATAACTATACTGAGAAAGAAGCCACTTCAACACCACCACACTTCTAAATAAAGACCAAAACACTGCTAGTATCATTCAACATTGAAATACATGTGAGCTATGTATACATTTAAGAAAGACTAATAAAAACAAGATAATTATTTGCCAGCTTATTCCAGTTCAGGGTAATGGGTGACTGGGACCTATCCTGGCACCTCAGGGCACCTGGTGGGAACCAGACCTGAACAGGACACCATCCCATCGCAGGGCACACTCACACACACAACACATTCATAACACTGGGACAATTTTTTTTTTTTTTGAGACAGTCTTGCTCTGTCACCCAGGCTGGAGTGCAGTGGTGCAATCCCGGCTCACTGCAACCTCCCCCTCCCGAGTAGCTGGGATTACAGGCATGCGCCACCGTGCCCAGCTAATTTTTGTATTTTAGTAGAGACAGGGTTTCACCATGTTGGCCAGGCTGGCCTCAAACTCCTGACCTCAGGTGATCCGCCCGCCTTGGCCTCCCAAAGTGCTGGAATTACAGGCGTGAGCCACTGCGCCCAGCCCACATTGGGACAATTTAAAGACACTAATTAACCTGCTGTGTACATCTTTGGGATGTGGGAGGAAACCAGAGTACCCAGAGAAAACCCACACAGATATGAGGAGAATGCGAAAATGCTTCACGGACAGTAGCCCTGACCTGGAACCAAAATATTTTTTTTTTCTCATCCACGTTATAATGAAAGGTCATCGAACAAAATGACATTATTCAAGGATCTGAGGTATAAACACAAGTGTTGCTGTCTAATGGATTGTCTTGCCCATCCCACATTAGAAAACATTGGTTTAGGCATTCTAAATCTTACCATTGGATCCAACCATCAGGGAGAAAAAAACTGTATTTTCAGGGTGCACGTTCGTTTGGCCCCTTAAAGAAAATGCTTTTCTGAACCGCTTTTTGGTGCTGGGGTTCTGCCTTACATGGAAGGCACTATGGAGACAAACATAAAAAAACAGGACTTTCTGGCTAGGCGCGGTGGCTCACGCGTGTAATCCCAGCACTTTGGGAGGCCGAGGCAGGCGGATCACGAGGTCAGGAGATCAAGACCATCCTGGCCAACATGGTGAAACCCCGTCTCTACTAAAAGTACAAAAAATTAGCCGGGCATGGTGGCGGGCACCTGTAATCCCAGCTACTCAGGAGGCTGAGGCAGGAGAATGGCGTGAACCCAGGAGGCAGAGCTTGCAGTGAGCTGAGATCGCGCCACTGCACTCCAGCCTGGGCAACAATGCAAGACTCCGTCTCAAAAACAAACAAGCAAACAAACAAAAACAGGACTTTCTGTACTAGGGGGCTGTTGTTGAGTGTATCAGTACCGATGTTACTACAGTATTACCCATCATACCCTTTAAGGTGGCACCACGGGAGGAATTTCTCTCAGAACTCAGCATCAGGAAAATGCTGTGCTTTTTCCTCAATAGCTATTTTGCTTTGTGCTTAAGGACAACATTAACTTTGTTTTCCTCTTTGCTGTGACTACTGGGAGCTTAAAGCCATTTTTGTAGTCTTACCTTTTTGAAATATAGAGGACTGTGATATGCATTTCTTTGGGCTCATTTCACCCCTGACCTTTAGAAAACAAACATATTTTGACTGGGCGTGGTGGCTCACGCCTGTAATCCCAGCACTTTGGGAGGCCAAGGCGGGCGGATCACGAGGTCAGGAGATCGAGACCATCCTGGGTGACACGGTGAAACCCCATCTCTAGCAAAAATACAAAAAATTAGCCGGGCGTGGTGGTGGGCACCTGTGGTCCCAGCTACTCGGGAGGCTGAGGCAGGAGAATGGCGTGAACTCAGGGGGTGGAGGTTGCAGTGAGCTGAGATCGCGCCACTGCACTCCAGCCTGGGTGACAGAGCGAGACTCTGTCTCAAAACAAAACAAACAAACAAACAAAAAACATCAAAAAACATATTTCTCCTCCTCACCCCAGATCTTGCAACTATTATTTTAAACTTTCAAATTTTATTTTTAAAATCACCTCAAGTTCTTTGGGGAAGGAGGTGGAATATGAATATGATATAACATTGTTATTGATGTTCACTATAAACTTAAATTCAATTATCTAAGAAAAAATTATTTAGAATGTGGAATTTTTATATCTTGGTAAAGATTGTTTTCTATTGTTAATAGCATCTATGCATTTAATGAGTCTAAGAGGCTATTCATGGTAAGTTGCACTTCCATTTCAATGGTGTTACAATGTGAAAAAATGGCCAACACTGATTTTAAGATAATATCTATTGTAAGATCCCTCCTACTCTCAGAGATGCTAAAATGTGGGGAGAAATGTACATTTTAGAATCAATGAAATGTGACTTTACTTATAGTACTATGAGTCTTCTAGCTATTTGATATTCACTCACTGCTGTGAGGTTGGAAAGTGGCCGCATGAGATGGAGTTTGGTTTATAAGTGGTCAGTGTTTTAAGGAAGCCTGTATCTCCAGGGCATAATAAAAATTCTGATCTCTGATCACCAAAAGGGCAGTATGTACTAAGCTGACCTAGATGTGAGCATTCAGGCACTGGTTTACTGGTTTAAAAAATGAACTTATTATGTGGGAACTCTAAATAAAGTTGGAAAATACGTGTTGTTTTTTTTTTTTTTTTTTTTTTTTTTTTTTTGAGACAGGGTCTCACTCTTTCACCCAGGCTGGAGTGCAGTGGCATGCAATCACAGCTTACTGCAGGCTTGACCTCCGGGGACCAAGCAATCCTCCCACCTCAGCCTCCAGAGTAGCTGGGACTACAGGCGTACACCACCATGCCTAGCTAATTTTTCATAGAGAGAGGGTTTCGCCATGTTGCCCAGGCTGCTCTCGAACTCCTGAACTCAGGCGATCTGCCTGCCTCTGCCTCCCAACGAGCTGGGATTACAAGCGTGAGCTACTGAGCCCAGCCTGGAAAATGTGTTTTTAAAAGATATTTAAGATAATTTTTAAACTGTGCTCTTGTTTTAGTTTTAACCAACTTCAAGATACTTATTCTCAACAATAGAAAAATAGGCAAAGGACAGATTATTCTCTGAAGAAAATACAAATGGCCAATAAACATTTGAAAAATGTTCAATCTTTTTGTAATCAAAATAATGCAAATTGAAACAGCATGCTACCATTTTTTGGTCTATAAAATTGACAAAGGTAATACTCAATGCCAGTGAGATGGCAGCAAGATAGGTGCTTTCATACGTTGTAATGTGAGTATAAATGATACAGCTTTTGTAGGAGGCAATTTACCAATACATGTTGAAATGTTCTTCAAATATTTATCTTTAAAATGTTCATACCCCTGATCTAAGTAATTCAGTTTCTAGGCATCTGTTATAAGGAAATAATCAGAGGTTCAGAATTATGTTTAGCATGTTATTTATATTAGTAAAGTATAAATAATTTAATATTCAATGATGGAGAAGTATTTAAATTACGGTTCTTTTTCAGTGAAATGTTTTACAGCTATCAAAATTAGTGAGGTTGAAAACTATTTAAGTGACATGATAAGATAATCATGATATATTGAGTGAAAAAAACTGTCTATCCGGCAAGATTCCAAACTTGTTAATATGTATATATGTCATACCAGAAAGCCTAAAATGAAATATAGAAGGAGTTAACTATAGTTGTCTCTGGGAAGTAGAAAGAATTATTGGTGACTTTTATTTTCCTCTCTTAACTTTCCCAAATTTTCTATAATATATATTATGATGATGATAAGAAAAAGCTATGAAAGATTGACAAATATATTTATTTTATTATTGAGTTTAAAGTCTGTATTTGTCTTTATCAATTATCATTCTCACTCCTGTGACTTTAAATTCCCCCATTCAGCAAATATTCTTAAGGACCTTCTATATGCCAGGTACTGCCCTGGGGAATAGGGATATAGCAATGAGTAGACAGACCAAGTCCTTGCTTTCTTAGAGCTTCCCTAATAGCAGGGAGAGACGGAGCTTAAATATACAATGTTTCCTCATCTGATGACCTGGACCTCTCTTCTACCTGCATCCATGCCCTGAGCTGAATGAGTGAATCTAGTCTAATGGCTTTATATATCACATACTCTCTCAGTTTCTAAACCTGCATCTCTAGCTTAGTCCTTTCTCCCAAACACCAGACTTATACATCCAACTGTCTACCTGACATCTCCACTTGGAGATCTAATAGGTGTGTCAAACCAAATCTGTGAGAATGGAATTGTTAATTTCCCCATCCTTGTTGTCCCTCCCACCCCTAGACCTACTCTTCCAGTGTTTTACCCCTCCTAGGGAATGGCAATGCCATCCTTCCAGTTCTTCAGGCCAGTAGCTTTGGAATTATCCTGATTCCTCTCATTCTTTCACACCCTACATCCAATCTGTTTCAAGTTTTATGGATCCAAAATCTATCCAGAATCTGACCACTTCTTACCACCTCCGCTGCGATCACCCTGACCCCTGCCTCTGTCTTCTTTTGCCTGATTATTACACCAGACACCTCAGTGGTTTTCTTGTTTCTACCTTTGACCTCTTACAGTTTATTCTCAACACATTAGCCAGATGGTCTTGTTAAAGCTAAGTCAGATCATTATCATGCCTTGTTCAAAACGCTCTGATGCCCAGCACTTTGGAAGGCTGAAGCAGGTAGATCACCTGAGGTCAGGCGTTCGAGACCAGCATGGCGAAACCCTGTCTCTACTTAAAATACAAAAATTAGGCAGGTGTGGTGGCACACGCCTGTAGTCCCAGCTAGTTGGGAGGCTGAGGCAGGAGAATCTCTTGAACCCAGGAGGCGGAGGTTGTAGTGAGCCGAGATCGCGCCACTGCACTCCACCCTGGGCAACAGAGTGAGACTCCCTCTCAAAAACGAAACAAAACGAAACGCTCTGATGGCTCCCATCTCCCTAGAGTGAAAGCCAGTCTTTACAGTGTCCTAAAAAGCTCACACGACTGGGTGCCTCTCATCTCCTTTCTTCTGGTCTCACCTCTGGCTACATCTTTTCTTTTTTGCTCGCTTCCTCCAAGCATACTGGCCTTCTAGTTATTCCTGGAAGAAGCCAGGCATGTTCATGCCTCATGGCCTTGGCCCTTACTGTTTTCTCTGCCAGGAATGCTCTTTCTCCACATGGCTCACTTGATCCTTTATATATTTACACATACATCAACTTCTCTGACTATCCTATTTACAGTGATACCCCCAACACTCCCTATTCCCTTTCCTTGCCTTATTTTTTTCTATAACACTTAATCACCCTTTAACTAAAATACTACATGTTTTATGTTCTTTTTTGTTGCTTGTTTATTATTTTTAAGTGTTATGAGGGCAAAATTTTTTGTTTTGTTTTGTTCCCTGTTGTATCCTCAGAAGCTAGAACAGTGCCTGGCACACAGCAAGGACTCAAAAAGTGTTTGTCTGATGTTAGAAAAATGAATTACGGGTAGATACCATGAAAGTAATTTAAAAATTTTTTAAAGCTCAAATGAGTTTTAAATATTCCATATACCTGCAAATCATATCATTTAACAGTTAATTTCTGGATAATAGTTTTTATTTTTCAAAATACTCCTCTTTTCTTAATATAGACCTCCCTCCCCCATCCCTGCTACATTTGGGAGACCTGAGCCTTGATTAAATTTTCTGCATCTCTGAATTTAAAGGAGAGGAGATATTTCTTTAAATTTATTTTTGCATTATGAACATTGCATGAATGCATTCTCATTTTAAAAATAAAACAAAATGACAGACATATATGGAATAAACAATGAAATCTCTTCATCTCTTCTCTCAAAATATTATCTCCTTCCCAAGAGGTAACCCCAATTAACAATTCAATGTGTATCATTCAAGTCCAGTGCTGTCCAGTAGAACTTTCTGTGATGATAGAAATGTTCTATATCTGCATTGCCCAGTATAGTACCCAGTAGTCACATGGGTTATTGAGCACCTGAAATGTGGCTAATGTGAATGACAAACTACTTTTAATTTTATTTAATTTTAATTAATTATAATTTGAATTTAAATAGCCCCATGTGACTAATGGCTACCATATTAGCACAGTTCTAAACTATTTCTTTTTCTTTTCTTTTTTCTGTTTTTTTGAGACAGAGTTTCACTCTTGTCACCCAGGCTGGAGTGCAGTGGCGTGATCTCAGCTCACTGCAACCTCCGCCTCCCAAGTTCAAGCAATTCTCCTGCCTCAGCCTTCCAAGTAGCTGGGATTACAGGTGTGTGCCATCAGACCCGGCTAATTTTTGTATTTTTAGTAGAAATAGGGTTTCACCATGTTGGCCAGGCTGGTCTTGAACTCCTGACCTCAGGCGATCCACCTGCCTTGGCCTCCCAAAGTGCTGGGATTACAGGCATGAGCCACCGCGCCTGTCCCTAAACTATTTCTACACAATTACCTCTCTCTTTTCTTCTTTTTCTCTCTCTTCCCCCTTCTCTCTCTTTTTACTATAAATGACATCATACTAGATAGCATGTATACATACATATTATACATATTGCTTTGTGACTTGCTTTTTGCATTCAACAAAATGTCTTAGATATAATTCCCTGTCAGTACATACGTATCTGTCTTGCTGTTTTCAATGGTGCCTGTTACTTATAACATGTACATTCCATACATAACTAAATGAAAAAAATGGATATTTCTTGGTGCTGAACCACATACTGGGCCTCTTTTTTCTTCTCTCCAGTGACATTTATTGGTGATGACTTTGCACCAGCTGCCTGATTTAAGAGTCTACATAATCAGTGACACAGTCTAAGAATCCAGTGATTCGTGTGTGTTGGGCCCATGGTTAACTATATTATCTATTTTTTTCTGTCCTCTCTATCTTCAAAAGACAAAATATTCTGACTCCACAATAAATAAGGTTTTAAAAATATGTTCAGAAACAAGTAAATATAAACCTAACAGTATGAGGCTGCTGGATTAGATTTTGTGATGTCTTTTTGTAATTCTGAATTTGTGGTTCTAAAGCTGATGAGTTTCACAGCAAAAGGCCTACCTGGAAGAAGTAGATTCTTTCTGAAGTCCTGTTCTTATCTTTTTTTGCATATCCTGATTAAAATGTTCTGTCTTTGTAAAATTCTTTTCTACCAGAGACATTCTTGAGATGGTTATAACTTTAGTTACTCTGGGTAATTCACTTTTCAATTGATTTCTATGCTTCTAACATACCTCATCAGCATTTTCTAGCTAATGTTTGAGCCTGACAAACTGTTATAGACACGGTATTAACCAAGGCTCTGTCAAGACACAGATGGCTCACTCTAAAGGTGAAATTGAAAGAGAGTTTAATAAAGGTAATACTTACAAAGGTATGGGCAGGGTTTAAGGAAACCTCAAGGAATAGTATAGTATCCTTGGCCTAGAAACAATGGGGGATTGCCATCCCCCAGGCTGGTAGGGGCAAGGGGTGAGTGTGGTTACCAGAACCTCACACAGACAGCTCTATAAAGAGGACCCCCTCACAGAAGCTGTGAATTTTGGTAAAAGGACAGAACCAACACACTGCTTCCTAGCAGAGAGGAAGCCAGGGAGACAAATACCCTGAGCTCACTCTTGTCCTGACCTCCACTGTTTTGCACGCTTCCCAACCAACTGGAAGCAGGAGGCAGAGATCCCATTGGTGCAGTCCATTGGGGAAGCCATACAGAAAAGAGTAGAGGAAAAGCATAGAGAAGGGTAGAAAGAGAGTGGATTCTGGAGAGGCAAAAGGGAAGATATTTATTACCCACACATTCTTTTAGTTAATCCTCACAACAGCTTATCCTCCTTTCATAAACAAGGATACTAAGGCTTGAGAGGTTAAGAACCAGCAATTTGCTAAAAATCAAATGTAAAAATAGGAAAGGGATATTAAATAATGGAGGTAGGATTTGAACTCAGGCCTGTCTGACGGGATTGCCCCACTGGAGTTAAGAATAGCTTAGCTTGGCCGGGCGCGGTGGCTCATGCCTGTAATCCCAGCACTTTGGGAGGCCAAGGCGGGCGGATCACGAGGTCAGGAGATCAAGACCATCCTGGTTAACACAGTGAAACCCTGTCTCTACTAAAAATACAAAAAATTAGCCGGGTGTGGTGGCGGGCTCCTGTAGTCCCAGCTACTTGGGAGGCTGAGGCAGGAGAATGGCATGAACCCGGGAAGTGGAGCTTGCAGTGAGCAGATTGCGCCACTGCACTCCAGCCTGGGCGACAGAGCGAGACTCTGTCTCAAAAAAAAAAAAAAAAAAAAAAGTATAGCTTAGCTTAAACAAGCAACTCTGCAGTTGGCCTATCACCATCAGCAGTACTGTGCTAAGTTCTGATTGGTTGATTAGCTTGTTGTCTGATTGGTCCAGTTGTCAGTCAGCGATGTACATTGCATAAGTGCAGGTTCTAGCAACCATTTTTTTGCACTTAAGTAATATTTGCATTGTCCATTGTCCAGTACCTAATAGCTTTTGTTTTAAGTAAATATTTGACAATGTCCAACTGAAGAGATTCTATACATGAAATGCTCAACATATAATGTCTTCTTTAAAAGCCTGATGAAATGTGGCTTTGGTATGATTCTATGGCATAGTTTATATAACCAGAACTTATGTGACAAATGGGTAACATATTCACCTTGTAATGACTGAGTATTTTGAAATCTTCAATTAGGTAGAAAGAAGTTTTATTGCAACCTAGCTCCAAGTCTGTGGTCTGGCAAGGCCCTTGCATATGTGAGGTCCAGGGCACTGGGCCAGGGCTTCTTAACCCTTTATGATCCTTGCTGTCTTCTGCTAAACACGTTGTGCACATGTACCCTAGAATTTAAAGTTATATATATATATATATATATATATATATATATATGTAAATCTCATGTGCCAACCAAACCCCAAATTTGGAATATGGCTCTCTAGAAGGGCATAGTCTGTCTTCTGTGATCTTCACAAGTTCAGAAGCTTAGTTTCTATGATTTTCATGCTCAAAAGAGTAGTGGTTTTCCCCAAATCTGACGTTATTGAAAACTGAACATGAACATGAACATGCCCTTTCAAACGAATACCTTCTCCCATTCTAAAACGGTCATTCTTCACTTTAGAAGATTGCTGCTGCAAAGCCAATTCTGTTCCTGCCTTTCTTATCTCTCTCCTCCATTTCTCTATCCTCCAAACCCCTAGCATCATATTAAACATGTATCATGTGCTAATAAACACTACAAAATGTGATCTGGCTGATTTAAAGTCTAACCTGAGGCTTGCAAATAACTACAAGCAAGTCATTTGACCTACTTCATTAAGTCTGGCCAAAAATATGGTTACATGCTTTTATTTCTTCAGTTAATTGTTTGAGTTACCCCTTCTCTATCAGGAAATCATGTATCCCCTTTTCGAGGTTTTTCCATCCCTATAGTCTAAAAATCCTGAGGGTTTCCTCAGCTCACAGGGAGCCAAAAAGGTAACTGAGTTTGAGGGATCTACCACTGCTGTTGCTTCTTGCTGTCACTTGGTGTCACCTTGAAGACTGGTTCAGTGAAGATAATATCTACCTCACAGAGGTGTTGTACAAATTAAATGAGCAAATACATTTAAAGTGCTTAGTATATCGATGGATACATGGCACTAAGTAGGTACTCAAAGATTTAGCTATTACCTTATGTTATCAGGCCTTAGTTTTATGTAGGGTCTACACCAGAGGATCCCTGGAAGCATCTCAGCTTTGGCAAATGGTGAAGTTAGTTCAGTTCCTGCCCCTCCCAGAAGCCTCTATCTTACTCACATTGTCCTGAAGTTGATCTGCCTCTAGTATATGGAAGAGACAGAACCTAAGGAGCATAGAATTTTTTATAAAGCAAATGATTTGTTCTGGCTCAGAGAAGGAGTTTTTTTTTAATTGTAATCTGGTGTGTTTGGACTGAAAAAACATTGTCTCAGGTCACCGGGCTGGTTGGTAGTAGCTGGGCCTTAACCAAAGTCTTCCTGAATGCAGAGCTTGATCAACTCAAGAAGTACCCTGCTGTGCTTTAGAAAGCAATGTTCTGGACAGCAAGGCTGTGGCTCATTTATTTTTTCATTCTCCCCATTCTGAGCACATTGCTTTATACATAACAAGAAATAGCTCTTCTCCATATCAACTGCTGTTAAAGATAGTCACCTGTGCACACATGCAAACACAAACACATTCGCACATTTAGGAATTCTCTCTGCCTTCCATCTCTTTGTTTCTCCTTCTTTCCTACTTCTAGGCCATAATAATTAAGAACAAAATGCACGGTGCATATAAACCTTTTCTTCCCCTTTGAGTAACTATTGTTGCTTTACAACGTTCCCTATCTCTGTTTTAATTACCAGATTTCACACCATCAAGAACACACCATTCTTGGAAAATGGCAACACCTTATCTCCTCTTTAATAAACTTTGTGAGTAGCACATACAAGATCTCCAAATAGTAATTTATTTTAGGTCATGTGAAAAAGGTTCATTGCCCACATATATTAAAAGGTAATGAATCATTAATGTAAGCTAATCCCACTTGCCAATCCATTTATCCATTTGGGTTGTGTGCTAAAAGTCCATTCATAAGTCAATTTGCAGCCAGGTGTGGTGGTTCATACCTGTAGTCCCAGCTACTTGGGAGGCTGAGGCAGGAGAATTACTTGAACCCAGGAGACGGATGTGGCAGTGAGGTGAGATCGCACCACTGCACTCCAACCTGGGAGAAAGAGTGAGACTCCATCTCAAAATAAATAAATAAATAAAAAATAAATAAAAATGAGTCAATTTGCTTGTTTCTGTGGGTAACTATATTATCTATTATTATATCATATTATATATAATAGTGAATAATAATAGCAGTAATAATAGCTACAGTTTATTAAGTACCAGGTATGTTACACATATTATCTCTGCTTTTCACAACAGCCTTGCAAAATGAATAGCCCATTTTATAGATGAAACTGAGGTTCAAATAAGTTAAGGAACTTGCTTTTAAGCACACAAAGTCAAAAATATTTCCTGCCTCAAGTATAGCTCCTCCTGAAGTGGTAGTGGTGGGTCACTCATGACTTTCCTCACCACATCTGTTGGGCCCCAGGGTGGGCGCCTGACCGAACGCCAGCCAATCCTGGTTAAGGCCTGATTTGAAAAGATGAACTTGGCCAATCAGATTCTCCCTTAGGAATTTGAATTGGGAAACATGGAAAGAGTCAATAAGTTGGTAGGAGTCTAGGGCTGAAAGGCACAATGGAAAGTTGTTAAATGAGTGTTGTGAAGAGAGGCTGAGGAGGCCATGATGGGCCGGCCTATTAGAGCTGAAGCTGTGGGGCAGTGGAAAGCAAGCAGCGGCTTTAATGCAGTGGAAGGAAATGGAGTCAGTGGGGGTGGGACAGAAAGGATCATGTGCAGAGAGCAGCCAAGTTGGTGCAGAGCACCTTCTCTGGGGCCACATTCTGCCCCTTTCCTGCTTTTCCACAGTTTCAGTTCCAGGGTAGTCTTAAAAGAAATCCTCCATCCTTTGAGCTAATGTTAGTGAGTGTCTGTTAGTGAGTGTCAGTTCCTTTCAACCAGAAGAGCCAAATTAAAGTACATGGCTAGTAAGTGCTGGAGAGGGGATCTGAACCCGGGGTTTGTGGATACAGAGTTTTTGTTCTTGTCACTGCACCCCTTTGCTACATTACAAATGCCACTGTGGTCTACCACAGCCTATGAGGTCGCCATAATGTATCTGAAAAAGAACGAATAGTGAACCCAAGTTTCCTGAATCCTTGTCCCAAGTCTTGGTTTGCTTCCAGAGCCCTGGAGGAGAAGGTGAGGGCTAAGAAAATCTCAGATAACTGGGAGGCCTCCAGACAACATTGAGCTTCTAGGGTGGAAGGGACTGCAATGGGGAGAGGGGATGGGGACAGGGGAGGGATCGGTTCTCGTCAGTGCAGAGAATGGGGGCTCCCCAAGGGCAGGGATTATTGGTCTTATCCCTACTTCTATCCCCAGATTCCAAGATAGTGCCTGCCACTTATTTGAATGAGTGAGTGAATGGATAAATAAATGGCAGAAGTGAGTCATAGCCCCTGTCCAAATGTATGGATCATTCTTCAGTCTAGTGTCCCCAGGTTAAGGAACACATCTTAACCTGTCTCCATCTCTAAGAAACAATTGATACAGCACAGTGAATAATGTTTACCATGACTGATCCACTTTAGCTTTAAAAATCACAAAGATGATGTAGTGGTGACTGCAATCACGGCACAGTTCAAAGACTACAAATGGACAACTCTGGATTGCATTTGCCTTGTTTACAAAAACACCGCTTGCTTTGTCTGGAGAGAGTGAGGTTTTCATTTTAAGAGGCTGACTAAAAAATGCAGGGCCACTTTCTGGGCAGGCTTCCAAGTGACTACATCTTTCTCACAGCGTTCCCCAGAGCCCCAGCCCAAGCTGCCTGGGGCAGGGCCTCTAGCCGCTAGTCGCTGTTGAAGCTACCACAGGAGAAGTCATCTGCAGCCTGCCCAAATTGCTGTGCTTTTAAGCCTTCCCAAGGCACAGATAACAGCTTTGGCCTTTGCATTGAAAGAGACATCAGAGTTTGTCATTGGCCAAGCTGGTGTGTGTGAAATATAGGAGATGGCGTGCCACGCTTCTGAGTATGGCACTCTTTCCAGCCAAGTCTCCTGGGTGTGGGTGAGTCTAAATGTTTGAAGACTGCCCTCGGTTGTGAAATGTTCGAAGCTGGGCATTGTGACTTTCCAAGGGCATGACTTGGCGTATTTCTTAACTCTAATGAGCCTCAGTTTCCTTTTTGTGAAATAGGGATAGTATTATCCTATGCTCTAGAAGGATAGAAGTATCTATTCATCACGGGGTGCTGCGAAGCCTAAAAGAGATAACAGCAGAGTATCTCATCTAGTACCTGGCATACTATAGACACTGAAGAGCTTTTGTTATTTCTGAAGCATCAGTAAAAAACAAACCAAAAGGTTTCAGTGATGATGCCCTATTTTTATGTCTAACAGTACAGTATTTCTCTGAGACTCAGTGGATATATTTGACTTCTTAATCATACCTGTGTAGCCAACAGGAATAAAACTTCAGAGGAAGTTAGTGCCAAAGGAAAGTTTGTCAGACTGTATTCCCTTTCTTTTTCTCCCTTCTAGACCCTGACTGCACCTGCCCCATTTGCTGATGAAACCAACTGCCAGTGTCAAGCACCCCATGAAAAACTGACCATTGCTCAGGCCCGCTTAGGAACACCAGGTGAGGCTGTACTTCTTTGTCTTAAATGGGCCCTGTCTTGACATTTTAAAGTATCAGAAAGGGGCCGGGCGTGGTGGCTCATGCCTGTGATCCCAGCACTTTGGGAGGCTGAGGTGGGTGGATCACCTTGAGGTCAGGAGTTTGAGACCAGCCTGGCCAACATGGTGAAACCCCATCTCTACTAAAAATACAAAATTAGCCAGGTGTGGTGGTGCACGCCTGTAGTACCAGCTACTTACTTTGGGAGGCTGAGGTGGGAGGACTGCTTGAACCCGGGAGGTGGAGATTGCAGTGAGCCGAGATTGCGCCACTGCACTCCAGCCTGGGCAACAGAGCAAGACTCCATCTCAAAAAAAAAAAAGTATCAGAAAGGCCCATCATTATTTGTGCAGCACTTGCTTTCAAGCAGAGAGTTGAACTTAGAGATTATAACGCAGTGCAAGGGTAAAGAAGGGTAAACACTAGCAGTGATAAACCAGACCAACCAAAGGAGCCAAGAAAAAGATGCATCAGAATACAGGGAGTTTGAGCCCCAGCTTTGTCACTTGTTAGTTCTACAGCCTTGGGCAAGTCACTAGAAAGATCTGAATCTGTTTCCTTAAAACAGGGATAACAATACCTACCTCACAAGGTTTCTGTGATAACTAGATTCATCAAAAGTACCAAAGCATTTTTAAAACCATGAAGGCATATACAAACCTAAGCTACTATAATTATTGCCATTCTTAAAAGTATGCATTTTTTAAAAAAAGTTTCTAGTGTGCCTTAAAAAGAGTGGGTTGTGCTATAGAAGTTTGTTCATTCATTCATCCCTTTAGCATTATGCCAGAGGATGGATAGGGAAGAGATTTGGAAAGAATTATAAGGTACCATCTGTTTTTCAAGAGACAAGACAACTAGATGTGAAATAAAAAACATTAGTAGCATGTGTGCAGGTGCTTAGGGGTTAAAACCTGCAACACAGATGATAACTGATTCTTAGAGAATGGCAGATTCATTTGGCCTGAGTGATCATGCAAGACTTCCGGGAGGGAGCAGAACAGACATTTTAGGAGAACTAAGATTTGGACTGTGTGGGCAGAAGATGCAAAGGTATTGCAGACAGGTGGAAGAGGAATAGTGAAGACAGAAATAGACAGCTGTGTAGGAGTGAGTGTTGTTTTAGTTGATTGGGATGGGGTGAAAAATAAGACTAGTTGAACAGGTAAACTTTAAGCCATTTAACATGGCATAACTCGGCCGGGCGCGGTGGCTCATGCCTGTAATCCCAGCACTTTGGGAGGCTGAGGCAGGCAAATCACTTGAGGTCAGGAGTTCCAGACCAGCCTGGCCAACATGGTGAAATCCCGTCTCTACTAAAAATACAAAAATTAGCCAGGCGTGGTGGCAGGCACCTGTAATCCCAGCTACTCGGGAGGCTGAGGTGAGAGAATCATTTGAATCCAGAAGGTGGAGGTTGCAGTGAGCCGAGATCACACCATTGCACTCCAGCCTGGGTGACAGAGTGAGTCTCTGTCTCAAAAAAAAAAAAATAATAATAATATAAAATAAAATAACATGGCATAACTCTATGGTTTCTAGTTGCCATTGCAGAAAACAAACAAAAAAAAAAACAAACAAACCAAACTTAAGAGAATCCATGGAATGAAGAACAGTTTGCTTAACAATAATAATGGATACTTATTAAGTACTTACTATGTATTAAGATCTTTATATGTATCATGTCATTTCACTATCACAACTCTATGTGATTAGTAGTTTTAGTATTTCACAGATGAGGAAATGAAGGTTTAGAGAAGTTGTGAATCTGCACAAGGTCATTCACTACTAAGTGGCAGTGGTTCACACTGGAGCCTGCATTAGAATCTACTAGAGGGCTTCTTAAAACCCAGATGGCTGGGTTCCACTCCTAGAGTTTCTGATTCAGTCCAACTGGGGTGGGGCCCAAGAAGTTACATCTCTAACAAGTTTCCAGGTGATGCTACTGCTCCAGGGATCACACTGGGAGAACCATTGGTAAGTGGTAAAGTTGGGATTTGGTCTCAAACCTATTGGTCTTAGAGCTTGACCTCTCAACCATGACACTGTGCTTCCTATAAGAATAGCCTTCAATAGAGTGAAGTGAGGAGCAGAGTAGGCAGAGTTAGGAAGCTTTCGTGTGAGCTGCTTTTGAAAAAGGCAAAACAAGGTTGGGGAGGTAGCACAGAGCAGCCAAAGCTGTTGTTCCCAGGCTTTAGTGTACAAAGAATCACCTGGTATGCTTGTTAAACAAGCAGATTTCCTGTTTCATTCCCTTCTTCCCAAATCTGGGATGGGGCCCAGGCAAGCCATCTGCATTTTAAACAGATAGTCAGGGTGATTCTAAAGTTAGTGGTCTGGAGACCACACACAGAAATACCAACCCAGCAATATATCCAAGGGATGCCAAATAAAAGTCCAGGTGGCTGACCGGGCGTGGTGGCTCATGCCTGTAATCCCAGCACTTTGGGAGGCTGAGGCGGGCAGATCACCTGAGGTCAGGAGTTAGAGACCAGCCTGGCCAACATGGTGAAACCTTGTCTCTACTAAAAATACAAAAAATTAGCCAGGCGTGGTGGCGCATGCCTGTAATCCCAGCTACTCAGGAGGCTGAGGCAGGAGAAACGCTTGAACCCAGGAGGCAGAGGTTGCAGTGAGCCGAGATCGCACCACTGCACTCCAGCCTAGGCGACAGCGCAAGACTCTGTTTTTTTAAAAAAAAAAAAAAAAAAAAAAAAGTCCAGGTGGTTATGAAGAAAACAGACTTGACCTAAAGTTAAAGGGTGAGCATCAGGCCCAAACTGAAAGGGCCTCTACCTTTCTAGGGAAAGGAAAGGGAAGTAGAACTTACTATATATCTGTATATATCTGCTCGATGTGATGCTCTGTACTCTTTGCAAAGACCATGTGAGATGACTATTATTGTATCCTTTCTAAAGAGGAGACAAAGGAGACTTGCAGAACTGAAAAGTAACTTGTCAAGTGTCCTAGTTGACTGGGTAGAGCTGGAATTTGACCCCAAGTCCATTTTGCCTCAAACCCCTGCTTTGCCTACTGCAACGATCTGCCTTATGAATCATGGTCCACAGCAGGCCATGGAGCTAAGTGAAAACATGCTCAGACAGTAGCTGTGATCTTCTGTAGTGGCAGGACTATGCCATGCTCACTGCTGTTTCATCAGCATCTAGAGAAATACTTGTTGCATACGCTGCGGTCAATAAATATTTTGTGAGTGAATGAATGAAAGTTTGGAGGCAGGCGGGTCACCTGAAGTCAGGAGTTTGAGACCACCTTGGCCAACATGATGAAACCCTGTTTCTACTAAAAGTACAAAATTAGCCAGGTGTGGTGGTGCATGTCTGTAGTCCCAGCTACTTGGGAGGCTGAGGCAGGAGAATTTCTTGAACCTGGGAGGCAGAGGTTGCAGTGAGCTGAGATCGAGCCGCTGCACTCCAGCCTGGGCGACAAGAATGAAACTTCACCTCAAAAAAAAAAAAAGTGTGGGACAAGAGAAGTAGTTCTTCCTCTGGAAATAGAAGCAGAGAGAGTTTGTTCTGGCATTTTGAGCTGGTATCAAGCTAACTGGGTGAAATTGGGCACCTGTACATTGCCTGCTGCCAAGCAGTTTAAGCAGTAATAAGATGGTGGTGTATTTTGAAATAATACAGGTCATTAGAGGGGGAGTGAGATGGAACAAAGATGAACTCCTGATCTTTAGAAGAGAAATTCTGCCCACTAACCTGAGGTGATGACCCTGGGAAATTATCTAAGAAAATCCGTGATGTTGATGAGTACCTAGCCAGGGTACTTGTGTTAGAAATTTCTTTATTTAGAACTTCAAATATCAGGCCGAGGGCGGTGGCTCATGCCTGTAATCCCAGCACTTTGGGAGGCCGAGGCGAGTGGATCACTTGAGGTCAGGAGTTCAAGACCAGCCTGGCCAACATGGTGAAACCCTATCTCTACTAAAAATGCAAAAATTAGCCAGGCGTGGTGGCGTGTTCCCAGGTGATGCTGCTGCTGCTACTAGTCCTGGGACCACACTTTGAGAACCACAGCATAAGAGCAACTGTCGGCAGTGGTTAGAAGGAGTGGTAGGGAGATTATCCAATATCATAATTGTTGGAGCATTGTACTGTTAGCAGAAAAGCTCGGAGAATTTTTAAGAATCTTGCTGTTTGATTACCATTTAAGAAAACAAGAAAAACGTTACTTTTTTGAAGGGTTTGTTCAAGAGTTTCAAGAAGGGTTTGGTCAAGAAGGGTTTGGTTTCAAGAGTTTCAAGAAGGGTTTGGTTTCAAGGGTAGTAAGCAATTTACCTGTTTGTGGCACTGTCTTGAGCGTGCCCTCAAAAAAGACAAAACATAGCAGAATTTGGTATTTGATAATGCTCTTCAAGATTATAGTTTTTTGTTTGTTTTTCTTTTGTATTTTTAGTGGAGCTGGTTTCGCCATGTTGGCCAGGCTGGTCTTGAACTCCTGGACTCAAGTGATCTGCCCATCTCAGCCTCCCTAAGTATTGGGATTACAGGCATGAGCCACTGTGCCTGGCCTAGATTATAGCTATAACTGGACTCTCTTACCATCTCCTACACTAGCCATATTTTATGACATAATATAATTGCCTAAAATGTGTTTTACAAATTTAGAACTGCCCAAACAGGGGCTGGGGGTACAAATTCTAGAAGAGGTAATGACAAACTCTGCCCATAGCTCTTAGCTTTTTGACCTTGTTTGTGAGGTCACAAGGGTGATGAAACTTCAAGAGAAAGAACAGAATAAATCAAAAAAGCAATCAGAATCGGCACCTTTGGTCTTAGCTAGTCCAGCTGTGGAGCTGTGCACATACACAGTGTTGTATGTATTCTGATGCATGGAGAATAAATCCTGTCTTGACATAAAGGAAAAGTCCAGGAGATTGTTTCATAGGTTCCTTTTCATTAAAACTGCCTTTCTTTTCTCTCTTTCTTTCTTTCTCTCTTTCTTTCTTTTTTTTTTTTTTTTTTTTTTTTTTTTGACAGGTTGTTGCTCTGTCACCCAGGCTGGAGTGCAGTGTTGCAATCACAGCTCACTGCAGTCTTAACCTCCCAGGCCCAAGCAATCCTCCCAATTCAGCCTCCCAAGTAGCTTGGACCACAGGCATGTGCCACCATGCCTGGCTATTTTTTGTATTTTTTGTAGAGATGGGGTTTCACTATGCTGCCCAGGCTGGTCTCAAACTCCTGGGCTCGAGCCATCTATCCACCTTAGCTTCCCAAAGTGCTGGGATTACAGGCATGAGCCACTGTACCCGGCCCTAAACTGACTTTTCTTAAAGGGAATCTCGGTTCTGATTTTCTACTTTCCTTTTCAAAAAGGAAGTTTGTATTATCTGTTTCCACAGTGTGTAGAATTTCCCTGACTACATTTTTCAAGAGCCGCCTTAATGAATCTGCCTTATTCATGTATCATCTGTGATGTAATTTACTTAATAATTTTTCTTTACATATACTCACTGTTCTAAAACTTTAATGTATTTTAAAAAGCAAACATCAATCACTATCATTTACAGAAAATAGTATCATTAGCTAGTAGCAATGGCTAATGATAAGCAGAAGGTAACTACAAAGTTTATATAAAACTACATAAATTATATAAAATAAATATGTAACTATAAGATTTTAAAAGCTTAACTTGTGCCACTTTTTTTGCACATCAGTTATACAAAAAACAGTACTAGTTGCCATAATTACTGGGTGTTTAATAATAGTTTCTGTTTTGTTTTAAAGACAAGAATTCATATCAGCATGTAGTTTTCTAGCAGGTACCAACAAGGTAGAAGAAAGAGTGGTGAGTTTGATTTGCACTCAAACATCATCGTAAATTGGTTGTATGACATTGGGTAAGATGCTTAACTTCACTGAGCCTCCATTTGCCCATCCATGAAATGATAAGTCTACTTTCACCTGGCTCCCTCATAGGGTTGATGCAAAGATTAAGTGAAATACATGTGTTTTGTGAATTGTGTGTATTTCTAAGGTACTGTTTAAATGCCTTAAAATAGCCACAATCCAAGCCTTGTTAATAGCCATAATCAAAGATGATCAATCACTATTTTATTGTTGCTTGAATCTGAAGCAAATACCAAAAAACGCCTAACATACCCCACAGTAGTGTGAATTTAAACGTAACGTGGTTGGTGATTACCTCCTGTTTGGCTGTATGGCAGGTGTGTGTTTAACTTTTTAAACAACTGCCAAACTGCTTTCCAAAGCGATTGTACCACTTTAAATTCCTATCTGCAGTTTATGAGCATTCCAGTTGCTCTGCATTCTCACCATCACTTGGTATGGCCAATTAAAAAACATTTTTTAGCCATTCTAGTGTGTATGAAGTGTTATCTCATTGTGGTTTTCGTTTGTATTTCCCTAATGACTAATGTTATTGAGGATCTTCTCTTGTGTTTATTTGCCATCCTTGTATTTATTTTCTTTAGTGAAATGTCTGTTCGATATTTTTGCTTTATTTAACTGGGTGGTGGGTTGTTCATCTTACTGAGGTTTGAGAGTTCTTTATATATTCTAGATACAAGTCCTATATTTTGCAAATATTTTCTCCCAGTCTATGACTCACCTTTTCATTTTTGTAAAAATGTCTTTTGAAGAGCAAACGTCATGAGTCTCACAGGCTGCATTTAAGGTGTCACCCCAGGCTCAGTTCTCATCTGGAGGTTAACTGTTGTTAGATCTGCTTCCAAGCTCACTCAGGTTGTTAGCAGAATTTATTTCCTTGTGACTGTAAGATCAAGGGGTGAGCTTCTTACCAGTTGTCGGCCAGAGGCCACCCTCAGCTCCTAGAGGCCACCTGCAGGTCCTTGCCATGTGGCCCTCTCCATAGGCCCTTTCACAACATGGCAGCTTGCTTCTTCAAAGCCACCAGTGCAGAAAGACAGTAAGTCTGCTAGCAAGATGGACCCTTTTTGTTTCTTTTTGTGGTTGTTGTTTTTGTTTTTTTTTGACAAAGTTTCATTCTTGTTGCCCAGGCTGGAATGCAGTGGTGTGATCTCGGCTCACTGCAACCTCTGCCTCCCGGGTTCAAGAGATTCTCCTGCCTCAGCCTCCCAAGTAGCTGGGATTATAAGCGTCCGCCACCACGCCAGGCTAATTTTTTGTATTTTTAGTAGATACGGAGTTTCAGCATGTTGGCCAGGCTGGTCTCAAACTTCTGACCTCAGGTAATCCACCCACCTCGGCCTCCCAAAGTCCTGGGATTACAAGTGTGAGCCACCACGCCTGGCCAAGATGGAGTCTTATAATGTAACATAATCATGGGAATAATGTCTACCACCTTTCCCATATTCTACTGATTAGAAGCAAGTTACA
Source organism: Homo sapiens (assembly GCF_000001405.40). Lineage (NCBI taxonomy): Eukaryota > Metazoa > Chordata > Mammalia > Primates > Hominidae > Homo > Homo sapiens. The sequence continues at coordinate 24,611,605 of NC_000023.11, read as the reverse complement.
GGTCCCACACGCACTTCAAGGGGTGGGAATTACACAAAGGCATGGGCACCAGGAGGCAGAGATCATTAGGAGCCACCTTAACGTCTCTCCACGATAGCCATGCAATAGTTGTACTCTGACATCTTTTTTTGTTTTCAATTGGCTCCTGGTCATTGCCAAACCTCCAGCTTCACAGGTCAGTGGTATCTCACATAGATGCTCTGGAATCTCACATAGATGCTCTGGAGAGTCCCCAGATGCCTAAAAGCATATCCAGAAAAATCTCAAACAAAAGATTAAAACAGATCAACATACAAACTAAAAAGCCATACTCTGTTTTTTTTTAAAGCTTTATTATAGAGTATTTCAAACACACACAGAAGTAGAACAATATAATGAACCTTCCTGTGCCTGTCACTCATACCTAACAACCACTAACCCATGGCCAGTCTTGCACCATGCACACCTCTGTCTACTCTGTCCTCTTGAATGATTTGAAACAAAATCCCAGACTTCCTAGAATTCTGTGTATATGTCTGAAAAATAAGAGCTCTGGTTTTATTAAACATAACCACTGTATCATGATCTTACCTGAAAAAACAATAATTCCTTGATATCACCAAATATTCAGTGTTCCAATTTCTAATTATCTTATGTCATCATTTATATATAGCTTGTTTGAACCCAATAATGTCCATACTTTACAGTAGGTTGATATGTTTTTAAAATCTCTTTCAATCTGCAGATCCCCCTTTCATTTCTCTTTTTCTTTCTCTCTCTCTCTTTTTTGCCTTGAAGTTTATTTGTTGAAGAGATGAAAGATCAGGGTCCTTTTTTGGCAGGGAGGGGAGTCCTGGAGAATTTCCCACAGTCTGGAAATTGCTGACACACCACAATTTTTAAAAGTGAGCTTATTGCAAAATCAACTTTGTAAATACTCTTCAGATTTACTAAATGGCCTTTTTCTCAGTAATTACGTCTTCTTTCTTTACTTTTCTTTCCTCCCTGCTTCCTGAATTCATTTCTCTTGATCACCTCTGAATCAATAACAAAAAGTTTTACAAAACTGCCATCTGCTTTCCCCTGGGGTTTATATCTTAAAACAAATTTTCCTCAATTGAATTCACATTGAATAAGAACATTGAAAGCAAGGCTCCCTCATTAGACAGTTTGTTATTTCAAAGCATTTTCTATTTACTGTGCCTTATTTAGAATACAGTATAATCCTATGAAGGCAATTCTGTTTGTTCAAATTTGTGTATAATTGGAAATAATTGCAATTCCCTATCTGACATAAAGTCTCTCAACTTTTTTTATTAGAGAAATTTAATTTATTAGAAACATTGTATCATCTGAATCTATTAATGTAACATTTCTTTATGTTCCAAATTAATGAGGTTGCATTGCATCAAGAAATAATCACAATTTTAAATCTAAGTCTTAAAGATCATTTAACAGAAGTTGGCATTGATTTCTTTTTTAAATTTATTTTTATAACATCAATGTAATACATGCATATATATATATATATAATTTGAGACACGGTCTATCTCTGCCACCCAGGCTGGAGTGCAGTGGCGCAATCAGCTCATTGCAGCCTCTGCCTCCTGAGTTCAAGTGATTCTACTGCCTCAGCCTCCCGAGTAGCTAGTATTGCAGGCGCCTACCACCATATCTGGCTAATTTTTGTATTTTTAGTAGAAACAGGGTTTCACCATGTTGGCCAGGCTGGTCTGGAGCTCCTGACCTCAAGTGATCCACCCCTGCCTCAGCCTCCCAAAGTGCATGGATTACAGGCTTGAGCCACCACGCCCGACTATTTTTAAAAGTCAGTAGTACTCCCAGCTTATAAAGAAAACTAGCGGTCCCTTTCTCCACCTTCTTCACCCCTGATTCTTATTCCCTGTAGGCACTCAACACTTGACAGTCAACTTTCCATAATGTTGTTGACATCTCTCATCCATTGTCATTGCCTTTCTTGTTTTCTCTGCCCTTGGGAGGATTATATCTTTTTAACTTAACTTTTAACTTTAACTTTTAACTCTTAACTCTGTAACTTTTAACTCTTAGTAATTGTTGTGGTGTTTCTGGGAGAAAGTAGAGATAATGTGTATGTTCAGTTCACCATATTTAACTGATGGTCTTTGTATTTCCTTTTAAAGAACATTATTAGCTCACGCCTGTAATCCCAGCACTTTGAGAGGCTGAGGTGGGCAGATCACAAGGTCAGGAGTTTAAGACCAGCCTGGCCACCATGGTGAAACCCTGTCTCTACTAAAAATACAAAAATTAGCTGGATGTGGTGCTGAGTGCCTGTAATCCCAGCTACTTGGGAGGCTGAGGCAGGAGAATTGCTTGAACCCGGGAGGTGGAGGTTGCAGTGAGCCGAGATTGCGCCACTGCACTCCAGCCTGGGCGACAGAGCAAGACTCTGTCTCAAAAAGAAAAAAAAAAAGAAAACAAAACAAAAAACACTATTGTGGCCACATATGTCTCTTTCCTTCTCACTGCAAGAATAAAATGTCTCTATGTTGTTTGTAGCCGTGGAGATGAGGTGACAAGGGTGCTTAGAATGAGAGCACTTTGATATGAGAAACTACTTCTTTCTCCTGTCATCCATTTTTGAATCTTCTTGGATTTTCACATTCTAGTTCCTTTGTTGAGAGTCTAGAAAGGTGTCAAGGTTGGCAAAATACATAGAATTTTCTATATAAATGTAGGAGGCATCTTCCAGAGTATCATGATGGGGATATAACAGAGCTGCAACTTCCTTCCTCCAACCAGTTAAAAAGAATAATTTTGTGACTTGCTTTGTCTACCAAATTGATGGAAGTCTATACCCAATTTCTCTCTCTGACTTGAAGGGGATGGGTCTTTGGCCTGGCTGAGCAATAGTGTTATCCTGGTCTCCTGGTTCCTGGAGGTGCTGTACTGAAGTGTGTCCCTCTTCCTCTTGGAACAGCACTTTTTAGAGCACTAGATGCCACTGTCTGTGTGACCTCTTCACTTTTGACCTTTCTCCCTAGGAAGGACTATAGTGTTGGTTGTTCATCTTCAGCCCTGAGCACCACTTCTACATGCAACATTACATCCTGACTCTCCTCCCTTTGAGGCGTATGTCCCTAATCTCTTATTATACCAAAGAGGTTAGGGAGTGGCCTTGCAGTGGTATGCTAGTAAAGGTTTAACAGCTGGTCCTCTAGCGGGAAATAAGCCCTGATTTGTAGCATTTGCCAACTTCTGTCGTGGAAGCACTCTATCGTGGCTGACTTCAGGCTACCAACGTGACCTGGAGTTGGGAAGAAAGGTTGTAAGGTGAGCCATGTGAACAGATTCCAGTACATCGTTGCCTTTGAGAACAGGGACTTGGGGTCTTCATTCAGGACTGCCACACCCAAGGATGAAGCCATTTGCCTTTTCCATTGAGCTCCTCAGTTACTCCTGCCTACGTGTTCCAGCTGGGCTGACTCTGCCGGCTCAGGCACCTAGACTCCACTCTGGGTCAAGAGAACTCCTCAGTGCTCTGTTTTTGTCTCTTCTGTTGGCTAAAATAGTGTGTTCCCTGGTTTGATCTTAAGTTTGTTATGTTTTTGCTCTGCTTTGATGTCTTCAGAAGAACCCCTTTAAAATCAATTTCGTGCACTGATATGAAACTGATGGTATGTAGAGATTGTGTCTTATCCAGAAAGTTTCTTACGACTGATAGAAGGTAACTGGGATTCCTCATTCTGCAGTTCTGTTAACAGTGTTTTCTTTCTCCCACAGCTGACAGGCCTGTCAGAGTATACGCCGATGGAATATTTGACCTCTTCCACTCAGGTCATGCAAGAGCCCTTATGCAAGCAAAAACACTGTTTCCCAACAGCTACTTGTTGGTAGGAGGTAAGAAGTGCATTTTCTTTTTGTCTAGAAAACTCTTTTATTGTATGCTTTCTGAAAAGAGCCCCTTTCAGAGTTCCATCAGTAAAAATCTCACATTGTTAATGCTTCCAATTCAGCCCATACTGGCTCGCTTGTTCACTGCCTGAAATTTAAAATGATGTTTGAAAAACCATAGGGGAAGTTACATCATGGGATTGTATAACCCTGATCCTCAGAGAGAGATGGACTGATAGTACCACCAAGGGTAAATGCTTCATGTTTTCCATTAATGCCTTTCTATTAGTGTTTAAGGCTTGATCCAAATTATGTTCCTAAAATTTTCTAGAGGGATAAGAGAAGCAATATTATTCTGATTTCAAATCTCAAAGAACTAAAGGGAGTTAGGATGATGAAGAACAAACAAGGTCATCGTCTATTTCTTTTGTGTGACCTGCAGCACTTAAGACAATGTTGTGCTAACACTAGTGGCTTGTAACAGCCCCACTTAGTTGAATTTGTAGCAGTGTGTTAAAGACATGGAGATTTATATACCGAGGTAATCTTGGTTCACAACGAAGGGACCAATTTACTCGCTAAGTCTATGGAAAGAGAAGGATCGTTAGATGTGGACTGAAATTTTCCTCCTCCAGGAGGCCTATTTCTTTTTGGCTAAAAGGGATAGTACCTGACTAGGAAGACCTGTATTTCACTTGTGCAGCTTCAGGAAGGAGCATATTCATTCAGAGTAATCAGTTTTTGTGGCATATAAACTAGGCACCATCAAGTCTTACACCTCTACTGGGGGAAAAAAGTACTGGTAAGAGACTACATAACTGTTTTTTAAAGAATTTTGTTACCTTCTGCAATTAAAAACCACTTTGTTTGTTTGTTTGTTTGTTTGAGACGGAATCTCACTCTGTCGCCCAACTGGAGTGCAGTGGTGCAATCTTGACTCACTGCAACCTCTGCCTCCTGGGTTCAAGTGATTCTCCCGCCTCAGCCTCCTGCATAGCTGGGATTACAGGCATGTACCACCACGCCCAGCTAATTTTTTTTGTATTTTTAGTAGAGATGGGGTTTTGCCGTGTTGTCCAGGCTGGTCTTGAACTCCTGACCTCAGGTGATCCACCCACCTCAGCCTCCCAAAGTGCTGGCATTACAGGCGTGAGCCACTGTGCCCAGCCAAAAACCACTTGTTGGACATTTAAGAGGAACTCTTCTGCAGGTTTTGCCAAGGGTGGTGACCACAGGACCATTGAATGGAGTTCTTTCCAGAAGGAGGAAATGGTGGAAGGCAATGGTTACTGGGCAAGTCATGCAGAGGGAACCCAAAACAGGCAGAGAACCCAACCCTTGCTTACTTCCCTTTAGCCTGAAAACCATTCCTTGAGAGAGCACTACCACCTGGAGTCTGGTCCTAGGCTACTGGGGCCCTGGAGAGACCTCTGCAGTGTTTGGGCTTTGGTCATTTGGGTGGCCTAAGTTTGGAGGTGGTTAGGTGTGGGTCACAGTTAACAGGAACACTAGCTGTGGCCCTGGGTTATCACATCCAAAGTAAGATAAAAGGAAATGTGTAGTTTTCAGTACGTTCTTGTAAATTGGAGGAGGCAGTCAGTTAATATCAGCAGCTCTCTAGGTCATTAGGCAACAATGGTTTCACTGACTCACTGATTTCTTCATCTGACAACTTTCTTTTTTTTTTTTTTTTTTTTGAGATGGAGTCTTGCTCTGTCACCCAGGCTGGAGCACAATGGCATGATCTCGGCTCACTGCAACCTCCGCCTCCCAGGTTCAAGTGATTCTCCTGCCTCAGCCTCCCAAGTAGCTGGGATTATAGGCGCGTGCCACCATGCCGGGCTAATTTTTGTATTTTTAGTAGAGACGGGGTTTCACCATGTTGGTCAGGCTGGTCTTCAACTCCTGACCTCATGATCCACCCGCCTCAGCCTCCCAAAGTGCTGGATTACAGGCACATGCCACCATGCCCGGCTACTTTTTTGTATTTTTAGTAGAGACAGCATTTCACCATGTTGGCCAGGTCTCGAACTCCTGGCCTCAGGTGATCCACCCACCTCAGCCTCCCAAAGTGTTAGGATTACAGGCGTGAGCCACCGCTCCCGGCCCCTTCATCTAACAACTCTTTATTGAACTCTTACTATGTGCCAGGCATTTTTCTGTACACTGGGGATGCAGCCATGAACAAAACAGACTGTCTATGTCCTCAGAGAACTTGCAGTCTGAGGGAGAGGCAGTCATTGCCCACTAAACAAGTAAATATGTAGTAGTGGTACTATGAAGAAATATAGGAAAAGAGAAAAGAGTGACTGGGCGGAGGAAGGAGGGATGTTTTAGGTATAAAGGTCAGGGAAGACCTCTCTGAGGAGGTGACATTTGTGCAGAGACCTGAATGAAATAAAAGCACTCAAAAGCCAGAACATCCAGTCTTCCTTGTGCAGGATTCTCACCAGTCAAGACAACAGTGTGAGGCAAGCAGAGAAGACATGGTGACATGTTAGTTTTTTGATTTGTGTATCTTAAGGAGGCTTTCCATAAAAGCACAGATGATTCAGTACTCAGGGAAATTAATATGGGCAGAAGTTTGGAGCCAAGAAATAAAGCAGAAGAGAAGGAGAAAAATTTCAATAAGAAATCCTGGACTTTTTAGCAGCTATAGCAAAGGGGGCCACACAGTCATTCTATCACTCTCAAACTCTAGAAGCTGAATTGTACCATCAGGAAGAACTAGTTTTTCCTGCCTGAGTTCTGAGATAACTGTTTCAGAGGGTCACTGTGTAAGGGGCATTGAGTAATCCAAAGAACGATGTCCTCTATAGTAGGTTTACACAGAATTTCAGATATTCCCTTAATGGCTATTACATGGGTTGTGGAAGTCAAGGGCATATTGAACTACTTGGATGACCATGAGACTGTATCCTTTGGTAAGTGACAAGGACTGGAGTACAGGAAGAAAATAAAACAATACAGCATCAAGCTATAAAGAAATAGTATGTAGACTTCTGGGAACAGTGACAGAGTAAGAGTGAAAGCTGGGCATGGTGGTGCATGCCTGTAGTGCCAGCTACCCAGGAGACTGAGGCAAGAGGATCACCTGGACCCAGGAGTTCAAGGGTATAGTGAGCTATGATCGTACCTCTGCATAGCTATTGCATTCCAGCCTGCACAACACAGTGAGACTTCATCTCTAAAACAAACAAGAAAAACACCAACCATGGGCAACACAAACAATAATAAATAATTTCAGTGTGTTCTTTTCTCTGTAGATTTCTTATTCTTATCATCTCATTTAAAATAATCGAATTGTAATACTATGAAATATCTTCTAACCACTCTGCTAATAAAATTCAGTGACATCCTGGCTGGGCGCAGTGGCTCACACCTGTAATCCCAGCACTTTGGGAGGCTGAGTTGGGTGAATCATCTGAGGTCAGGAGTTCGAGACCAGCCTGGCCAATGTGGTGAAACCCTGTCTCTACTAAAAATACAACAAAAAATTAGCCTGGCATGGTGCTGCACGCCTGTAGTCCCAGCTACTTGGGAGGCTGAGGCAGGAGGATTGCTTGAACCTGGGAGGCGGAGGTTGCAGTGAGCCGAGATCATGCCACTGCACTCCAGTCTGGACCACAGAGTGAGATTCTGTCTCAAAAAAAAAAAAAATTCAGTGACATCCTGTATTTCATATGTCTCCATTAATTTAATATTTGATCCCAAGTCTGTTAAATGGAATCTCTAACCTCCTGTGTATAGGCAGACTGCTATGGGGGCATGGTATAAGAGCTCAAATCCCAAGAGTGGCATTGCTGTCTGGGTGTGATTTCCCAAATGGTGAATGCCTCTTGGTAAAATTGTAAACAAAACAAAGTGCAATCTTCCTTTGATGTACATAGTAATTGCCTTCCTCTAAAATTCTGTGTCTATCATAACTGTTGCAGAAATACTTTGTGATTGTATGCAAAACAAAGGCAGATTCTAGACTCAAATAATTTTATTTTTCTAAGTTTTTTATTTAATCATTTTTTTTTTTGGAGATAGGGTCTTGCTCTGTCTCCCAGGCTGAAGTGCAGTGGAGCAATCACAGCTCACTGCAGCCTCAAACTCCCGGGCTCAAGTGATCCTCCCATCTTAGCCTCCCAAGTAGCTGGGACTATAGGCACATGCCACCATGCCTGGCTAATTTTTCTGTTTTTGTTTATTGTAGAGATGGGATTTCACTATGTTGCCCAGACTGGTCTCAAACTCGGGCTCAAGTGATCCTCTGGCCTAGGTGTCCCAAAATGCTGGGATTACAGGCATGAGCTAGCACACTCAACCTCAAATAATTTTAAATATTATGCAGGGACTTTCAAAAATCTTGCAGGGATGTGGGAAAATTCTCATGCAGAGCTGCCACATGCATTGCAAGATGACTAGCTTCATTGGCCCCTGCCCACTGAATGCTGGTAGCTGCCTCCAACCATTATGACAATTAAAGATGGCCCACAGATTTCCAAAATGCTTCCTAGAGAATGATGAAATCCTTGTTGAGGACCACTGTCTTAGACTAGGAGTCTTGAAATTTTGTTCCCCACAATCTCTAAAAGAATTTTGAAAAATCTGTATACCTTCTTATACAGTTTAAAGCAGATGTCTAAAATTTATATATCAGGCCGGGTGCAGTGGCTCACGCCTGTAATCCCAGCACTTTTTGAGGCCGAGGCAGGCAGATCACATGAGGTCAGGAGTTCTAAACCAGCCTGGCCAACATGGTGAAACCCCATCTCTACTAAAAATACAAAAATTAGCTGGGTATGGTGGCAGGTGCCTGTAATCCCAGCTACTCAGGAGGCTGAGGCACTAGAGCCACTTGAACCTGGGAGGTGGAGGTTTCAGGGAGCTGAGATTGTACCACTGCACCCCAGCCTGAGTGACAGAGCGAGACGCCATCTCAAATAAATAAATAAATAAATAAAATAAGTAAATAAAATTTAGATATCTGCTTCTTAATTTAAGTAGTTATAAAAGATGTAAATTCTGGAATATTGTGAGTATTAGCCTTTTTAAAAATTAATAAACTTTATTTTTTAGAGAAGTTTTAGGTTCACAGAAAAATTGACTGGAAAGTACAGCGAATCCTTGTATACTCCTTTCTCGCACAGGCACAACTTCCCCTACTATGAATATCCTGCCCCAGCCTGATGCATTTGTTACAATCCATTAGCCTACATTGACACATCATTATCACCTCAAGTCCATAGTTTACATTAGGGTTCACTCTTAACGTTATACCTTCTATGGGTTTGGATAAAATTTTACATTGTCCAAACTCATAGATGTACATTGTATAATGACAGGTATCCACAATGATAGTATCATACAGATACTATTTTTACTGCCCTAAAAATCCTATATGCTCTACCTATTCATCTCTTCCTCCCTGTAACCCCTGACAACCACTGTTCTTTTTAGTGTAGTTTTACTTTTTCTAGAACATCATATAATTAGAATTATACAGCATGTAGCTTTTTCAGATTGGCTTCTTTTACTTCATAATATTCAATTAATGCTCCTCAATGTCTTTTCATGGCTTGCTAGCTCATTTCTTTTTGGCGCTGAATAATGTTCCATTGTCTGGATGTACCACAGTTTATCCATTCATCTGCCGAAGGACATCTTAGTGGCTTCCGCATTTTGGCAAATATGAATAAAGTTGCTATAAGCATCCATGTGGAGGTTTTTGTATGGACATACATTTTCAGTTCATTTGGATAAATACCAAGGAGTGTGATTGCTAGACTGCATGGTAGGAATATGTCTAGTTTTGTAAGAAACTGCCAAACTGTTTTCCAAAGTGGCTGTACCAGGAGTGGGTATAGCTCAGAGGTAGAGCATTCAACTGCAGATCGAAGTGGCTGTACCATTTTGCATTCCCACCAGCAATAAATGAGAGATCCTATTGCGTCATGTCCTTGCCAGCATTTGGTTGTATCAATGTTTTGGACTTTTGTCATTCTAATAGGTGTATAGTAGGTTGTTTTAATTTTCAATTTCCTAGTGACATATGATATTGAACATTTTTCATGTGCTTCCTGGCCATCTGTAGATCTTCTTTGGAGAGGTACCTGTTAAGGTCTGTAGCCCATTTTTTAAAATCCAGCTGTTTTTTTTCTTATTGTTGAGTTTTAGAGTTCTTTGTATATTTTGGGTAGCGGTCCTTTATCAGTTGTATCATTTTCAAATATTTTTCGCCCAGTCCATGTCTTTTTTTTTTTTTTTTTCGAGAAAGAGTTTCGCTCTGTTGCCCGGGCTGCAGTGCAGTGGCACGATCTTGGCTTACTGCAACCTCTGCCTCCCGGGTTCAAGCAATTCTTGTGCCTCAGCCTCCCGAGTAGCTGGGATTACAGGCATGTGCCATCACACCTGGCTAATTGTTGTATTTTTAGTACAGACAGGGTTTCACCATGTTGGCCAGGCTGTTCTTGAACTCCTGACCTCAGGTGATCCACCAACCTCGGCCTCCCAAAGTGCTGGGACTACAGGCGTGAGCCATCGTGCCCGGCCCCCAGTCTATGCCTTGTTTCCTCATTCTCCTAACATTGTCTCTTGCAGAACAGAAGTTTTTAATTTTAATAAAGTCCACCTTATCAATTGTTTCTGTCACGGTTCATGCCTTTGGTGTTGTATCTAAAAAGTCACCACCATACCCAGAAGAAACCCATCTGGGTTTTCTTCTGTAGAGTTTTATAGTTTGGCATTTTACATTTACATATAGTTTGGCATTTACATTTGATTTTTGTGAAGGATGTAAGGTTATGTCTAGATTAATTTTTTTTTTTTTTTGCATGTGAATGTCCATTTGTTCCATTTGTTGAAAGGTCTATGTTTGCTTGCCTTTGCTCCTTTGTCAAAGACTGGCTCTCTGTATATTTGTCTGGGTCTATTTCTGGGCTTTCTGTCTGTTCCATTGATGTATTTGTCTGTTCTTTTTGCCAATACCACACTGTCTTGATTACTGTAGCTTTATAGTAGGTTTTGAAGTCAGATAGTGTCAGTTTTCTGACACTTTCTTCTCCTTCAATATCAATTTGGTTTTTCTGGATCTTTTTCCTTTCCATATAAACTTTTATTTTTATTTTTATGTATTTTTTAAGAGACAGGGTTTTGCTCTGTCACTCTGAGGCCCTACTTGAGCTCCTGGAGGTAAAACCCACAAAAGTATTTGTCCCCTGGCTTCTTGAACTCTTAGACTTGTCCACACTGAGGTGCCAGCGATTTGTCAGTTTAAATTTTCCTATCCCAGCACTGGTTCCTGGGGAGGTAGCTCTGCTTGTGGGTTTCTGCTCTAGTAAGCTAATATTCTCTCTATCTGCCTGTTTCTCTCTCCAATTTTGGGAGTAGTGGTTTGCCCTGTGACCTCAGTTCTCTGATGGATCTAAGAAGACCTGTAGATTTGTCAGTTTGTTCAGTTTTTACTTGTTGTCAGGACCGAGTGGCCACTTTTAAGCTCCTTACCTACCAGACTGGAAACCAGAAATCCAATATTGACATTTTAAAACAAAATTATGGGCCAGGCGCAATGGCTCCCGCCTGTAATCCCAGCACTTTGGGAGGCCGAGGTGGGTGGATCACTTGAGGTCAAGAGTTCGAGACCAGACCAGCCTGGCCAACATGATGAAACCCCATCTCTACTAAAAATACAAAAATACTAGCCAGGCGTGCACCTGTAGTCCCAGCTACTAGGGAGGCTGAGGTGGGAGAATCGCTTGAACCCAGGAAGCGGAGGTTGCCATGAGCTGAGATTGCGCCACTGGACTCCAGCCTGGGTGACAGAGTGAGACTCCATCTCCAACAAATAAATAAATAAATACATAAATAAAAAACAAAATTGTTACCCCATCACTTTAATGCATCTATTGGCATCTAAATACTATAATGCTTTGAAATATATCATCAACAATTTACAAAACATATAACAAGCTATTTTTTAACTTTTAAATATTTATAAGTTTCATTTTTTCCCTCAAACTTATATTTTCATTCTGCTTCTCTCCCATAATTTTTCCTAATGTGATGTGTTTTAATGTTTGCAAATCTTTTAGTGATCACTGTATCATACTTCTCTGAAACAAAAATATGTATATAAATTAGAGCATAACTAACCAAAGCACCACATTATATACACTTTGATAAATAATTGTTAACATAGACATAAATTTGGACAGCAATGTATCTCTTAATGAGATGAATAGTATGTACCTGGAGATGTACTTATGGATGAATATAACTGACTGCTAGAATGAGGCAGGGTTTAACATCAATTTTATCCCTATTTTTTCCTTGTCATAGTTATAAGTGCTGAAATATGTTGTTCATGCAAATGTGTAGATAGAATGGAAGGAGTTTGTTACAGTGATGCCACTCAATTCTTTGAACTTCTGAGTTATTTACCAAAAATAACAACATAATTTATTATTATTATTGCCATCAAAAGTAATTTTAATGGTCTATCAAGTGACAATTTGTTAAGATCCTCCTTCAAATTTGTTGCAAGCAATGGATTAGAAATGACCTGACCTGCAAAAGGATTTGTTGCCAAGCTATTAGAATCATTTGCTTTTTCTCTTTCTGGGACTTCTAACAAAAGGCTATATCAAGAGTTATTAAATGACTCTTAATTATATCCCTTATTCTTTTACTTGAAAGCAACTTATTCAACTAGATATAGCCAGAAAGGATTTGGGAAATGGAAATATTAGTAATTTAATTACATCATTGCCAATCAAGTAATTTTTGATAAAATGCTTTTATCATTTGCTTACAACCTTTTTTAAAAAACAAAATCTCAGGGCTACAGTTTCAGATTACTAACTTTGCAGAAAACACCATCCAACCAAATTGGCAAAACCAGTCCTCATTGTCAAACCTACTAAAAACCTACAAACCAAGAAAATGTCTTTTCAATTCAAATGCATTAATGTATTTTCAGTTCAAATGTATTAATGTATTTCAAGAAGCTTTATAAAAAACACTCAAAAATAAATGATAGAATGGATTATGTAAAATAGAATCAGTCAAGATTAAAATGATGTAGATCTAATATAATAAGTTATAAACAAGACAAGACAATAAATCAATGCACTTAATTTGTAGTAATGCAATGTAATTTATACATAAAATTATGTGATATTTATACGAAGAAGAGTATGATTTTTAAAAGGCATGTTATTCCTTCTCTAAATATTGGCACACGTGTGTGTGTGAGTGTGTGTGTGTGTGTGTGTGTGTGTATATATATATCAAATTCTAGTGTTTGCCTTTTGGGAATAATCAAATAAATATGAAAAACAGAAATAGTTATCTTTAGTAGATACCATGACTAAACTTTTCCTATGTATTTAAAGATAGAAAGGGGGCATATATTATTAAAAAGTAATTGGTCTGGAGGCAGATAATAATTTTATTTTTTGTTATAAAGAGGTAGAAAATAAACATTATAGACAATGAGATGAATTAGGATGACCTGTAAATAGAATAAATATTTTATGATATAAGTTGATAACACAGGTTTTTAACTTCCTTTTTAAGTAATGCGTATGAAGCCTGTAAAAAATTATGTAAATGTTTTACCCATGTGTCTATTCCAATGTATCTTGAAAAATTTGATAATTCTAGAAAATATTCTAGTCACATTTCTAAGAAGCAGCAGTACCAGCCTATATAGCTTTGGTTTATTGAAGTGATTTTCAAGTAAATAGCTGGAAAAAAGTGCTTACTCTTATCTACAAGAGAAAAGCCATTTTTAGGATTCAATATGAGTGTTAAGAATAGCTGAAAAAATGCTTACCCTTGACTACATGAAAAAGCCATTTTTTTAGAATTCACTATTTCTTTCCAATGCTCCTTTTGCTTTGAGTTCTTGGGCCTTATCCCTAAAGATCCATGTGTTTTTTGACAATAGTTGGGAGAAGAGGCAAAGTTGTTGGGCAAAAATTTGCATTATTCTCCACTCTACCATATTGAGTTTCTAACACTAGGCTTCACCTGTAACAGAAATGTGTGTAAGACAGGGAAAGACAGGAAGCTTTCATAGGTTCATGGTGCTTTGAATGGTCACTAACTGAGATTTCCATTTGGTTTGCCCTGAAGGCTAAATCGCCCTCCACCCCTTCCAATGCAACATATTAAGGTTTGGGTGGTGCCTTTCTTTTGTAAAGTGGAGTAAGCATGGCTTTGGACCCAGAGACTTTCTTGACCTAGTTAATATTAGGAAAGTGTACCACTGGAAGTTGAATCTGGACATTGATTCGTTTAAAACTAGCTGTTCATGGATACCTTTTGAAAAGTCTATGTGGCTGGGTGCGGTGGCTCATGCCTGTAATCCCAGCACTTTGGGAGGCCGAGTGGGCGGATCATGAGGTGAGGAGTTCGGGACCAGCCTGACCAACATGGTGAAACCCCGTCTCTACTAAAAATACAAAAATTAGCCAAGCGTGGTGGCACACGCCTGTAATCCCAGCTATTTGGGAGGCTGAGGCAGGAGAATTGCTTGAACCCAGGAGGCGGAGGTTGCAGTGAGCCGAGATCACGCCACTGCACTCCAGCCTGGGTGACAGAGCGAGACTCCATCTCAAAAAAAAAAAAAAGAAAAGAAAAAAGAAAAGTCTGTGTGTGTCCATGAGGGTATATGTATCGTAGTTTAAGGAGACCTTTATCTTAGACTGTCTTTCTGGAGAATGACAAACCAACCAACTTAATGGCAGACAATTCTATACTGAGGAAAGTTAGGGAGGTCTTCAAGAATAGGTGTCCTGTGTTGTTGGTTGAAAGGCTGGATCTTGATTACTGTATGTGTGGTCAACATGTAAAATGCTTACAGTGAGTTAAATGGGCCTGCCATATTAACTAGGGTCCCCTTTCCATATGCAGGTAGGTTTGCTGTAGGAGTTCCCTTGGGTGGAGCGAAGACTTCACTCATGAAACCACTTTGGTCAGGGCAAGTATGGGGACAAGTATTTGGTAGAAATACTTGGTATTTGTCAGAAATCATTTATTAAAGGACCAGAAACTGTGATAACTGGAGGTACTATAGTCTATTTCTCAACCTTAGGCAGTAAAAGGCACCACAATCGTCATGGTTTTGCCCTATGATTATAACACCAGCACTTTTTTTTTTTTTTTTTGAGATGGAGTCTCACTCTGTTGCCCAGGCTGGAATACAGTACCATGATCTTGGTTCACTGCAAGCTCCACCTCCTGGGTTCAAGTAATCCTCCCACCTAAGCCTCCCCAGTAACTGAGATTACAAGCATGCACCACCACACCTGGTTAACTTTTCTATTTTAAGTAGAGACAGGGTTTCACCATGTTGGCCAGGATGGTCTCGAACTCCTGACCTCAAGTGATCTGCCCACCTCGGCCTCCCAAAGTGCTGGGATTACAGGCATGAGCCACCGCACCTGGCCCAATACCTGCACTTCTAATTTTTTAAGCATGTAGCCAGTAATAATTTGAAAATTCTTCTATGCAAGCTTACCTTGTTGGCATTATTTTAGTGAATTGAGACTCTCCACTTGTAAAGCTCTTTTTTCCTTCATTTTAATTTACAAGTTTGTGTCATTTAAAAACAGGCCAAGGAATTAAAATTTATACTAGTGTGTTTTTTTCCCTAAAAAAATTTTTAAAGAGTCACCAAATAGCCACCTCTGCTTCGCAGGAGGGCAATAAAAATAACAACAGTAAACATACTACTACTACTATAGAAGACATAAAGATTACTCCACAAACTTGTGTTTATTTTATTATATTTTAATTGGAACTAAATATTCTTTAAGAGTCCCTTTTGCCTGACTGGTAGGAAATTCAGTCTCAGTCTTTTTTTTTTTTTTTTCTTTGAGACAGGGTCTCACTCTCTCGCCCAGACTGAAGTGCAGTGGTGTGATCTCGGCTCACTGCAAACTCTGCCTCCCAGGCTCAAGCGATTCTCCTGCCTCAGCCTCCTGAGTAGCTGGAATTACAGGCGTGCACCACTAACGCCCGGCTAATTTTTATGTTTTTAGTAGAGACGGGGTTTCACCATGTTGGCCTGGCTGGTCTCGAATTCCTGACCTCAAATGATCCACCCACCTCGGTCTCCCAAAGTGCTGGGATTACAGGCATGAGCCACTGCGCCTGGCCTAGTCTCAGACTTTACTGGGCTCTCTTTACCTCCCCAGAGTCAAACAAGTGTCCACAATGTTTATAGAAACAGGAGCGGGGCCTCCAGTCTTCAACCCAGGGCTATTTTTGCACTGCCCTCACTGTCTGAGCCCAGATAATTACTAGAAGGGAGCAGATTCATTGCACCTATCACAGTTCAGTCACCTGCAGTCTGTTCCCAGGTAGAACTCCCATGCCTAGGGCCTCACATTCTCATCTCTCTTGAGGTCCTGCCACTGGCATCTGCTGCTTGTGGGATCCATAGACATTTGGCCCTTTCCCTGCAATTTGGAGAGATCTCCTCTCTCATTGTCTTCTTCTTTCCAGAATACCCCTCAAGTTGCTCTGGCTTCAGGAAAACAGCAGCCAGGAAGGCAGGCTGTCTACTAGCAACTTGAGCTCACAGCACCTACAAAGGAGTCTGTACCACGGGGCCCTCATACCTGCTTGGAGTAGGGGGCAGGGAAAAGACAGAACACAAAATCTGAAGGAATAGATCCATGAGTGATCGTATTTTCCTACTACTATTCGTAAATGGCTAACATTATTCAGCATTACTCTCTGCTCATAAAGATGATCAAATTTAATTCTCAAAACTTCACCATGTTTTAAAGACCAGATAACTGAGGCTCAGAGAGTTTGAGTAACTTTTCCGGTAATAGCAGAGCTGGGATTAGAACCCGAGTCTGTTGGGCTCCCAAGCTCAATTCCTATGTTGTATTTTCTCTCCTGTGGGAGCACAGTGAGCTGCCAGCATAGGTTAGTTGCAGCATGAGTTCCCAGATAGCTCAATGAATTCATCCATGGAATACCGCTGCCCAGAGCTCTCCATCTGGTTGTCAGAGTGCATTTGCCAAGACTCAAGAACAACAGTGCTGCTTTGGGCGTAATTAATGTTTAGACAATAACTGGTCAGCATGTTCAGCTGCTTCTTGAGGTCACTCCTGGGATAGGAAAATAGGACCCTGTATTGGCATAAACAGGATGTTTGTTTTCTTTGTGCTCTATCAGTAGGCCATTATCTCGGTCATGTAGAAGTTATACCAAATTGCTCAGGTGCAGATTCAGAAAGGGGGAGGATGTGGCACGGCCTAGTTTTGTGCTGTTTAAAATAGAAAATGGAAAATGGATGAATCTGAAATCCATTTCTGCTCAATATGATTCTCAGGGTGGTATTTTAATAAGGTCCTAAAAGAACATTCAAAAAGTCTTAGATTGGTTTTGAAATCATATTGCATGGCCCATAAAGAATTCCTGTTTATGGGGTCAAAAACTAATATAGTCAATAAATCAACACATAGTTATTATGGCCCTACTACCTGTCCCTCCTGCCCACCTTCCCCCCCACCTCTGGGCATAATGGGTGATTTAAAGACAGGCAGAGCTCTTGACTCAAGTTATTTATAATATGCTTCAGGGTTTTCAAATGTTGTCTTCATCAGAATCATCTCTGAAGCTTGTCAAAGACAGAGCTATCTGGGCCCCACTACAGACTCACTGAATCAAAAATCTCAGGGAGTGAGCTGGGTTTCTTTACATGTGTTTAACAAGCTCCTTGGGTGATTCTGATACTCATCAGTTTTCAGGCCAGACATATGGTTGATGTTGTTTTGGTAATATAAACTTTTATAATAGAAAACATCTCAGGAAGTATGTATAGGAGATATAGAGGCATATATATATATATTTATATGCATCTAGAAGCTCATTAGTCTCTCCTTTGCGTGTATGTTGTTGAAACGTTCCTGTAGGCCAGGCGCGGTGGCTCACGCCTATAATCCCAGCACTTTGGGAGGCTGAGGCAGGTGGATCACTTGAAGTCAGGACTTTGAGACCAGCCTGGCCAACATGGCGAAACCCCATCTCTATTAAAAATACAAAAATTAGCCAGGTGTGGTGGCAGGTGCCTGTAATCCCAGCTACTCGGGAGGCTGAGGCAGGAGAATTGCTTGAACCCAGAAGGTGAAGGTTGCAGTGAGCTGAGATCGCGCCATTGCACTCCAGCCTGGGCAACAGAGGGAGACTCTGTGTCCAAAACAAAAAAAGAAAGGAAGAAAGAAAGAAAAGAAAAGAAAAGAAAAGAAAAGAAAAGAAAAGAAAAGAAAAGAAAAGAAAAGAAAAGAAAAGAAAAGAAAGAAAGAAAGGAAAGAAAGAAAGAGAGAAAGAAAGAAAGGGAAAGAAGGAAAGAGAGAGAGAGAGAAAGAAAGAAACGAAAGAAAGAAAGAAACAAAGAAAGAAAGAAAGAAAAGAAAAAGAAGGAACCTGTAGATAAATATAAATCTATTATTGTAAATAATAATAAATATTTCTTGAGTATCTATATGTATCAGGCTTTGTTAATTCATTCAACAAATATTGTTAAAAGCCTACTAGGGGCCAGGTATGGTACATCAGAAAATGAAACAAAAGTCCCTGCCCTCGGGGAATTTATAGGGGAACACCAACAATAAAACTAAATAAGACAGCTACATGAGACAAGTGTCATGGGGAGAAGTAATGCAGCAGAGGATCACAATTCAGAAGAGGGTGGGTCTACTTGGGAGGCTGAGGCAGGAGAATCGCTTGAACCCGGGAGGCAGAGGTTGCAGTGAGCCAAGATCGTGCCATTGCACTCCAGCCTGGGCAACAAGAGCAAAACTCTGTCCAAAAAACACAAACAAAAAAAGAAGAGGGTAGGGGGAAAGACTTGAGGGAGAGGAGAAGGTGAGCTCTATGAGTATTTGGAGCACAACTATTCCAGGTTTGGAGAATAGTGCAAGGCCCGGACCTGAGAAGAAGCATTCAAGAAACTGCAAGGCCGGGGAGCTGGGATACACTAGGAGACTGGTCAGGGAGGCAAGGAGTGGGCAGAGGCGTAGGTCTTGTCAGCCACTGGAGGACTTTGGTTTTACTCTGAATGAGACAGGAAGGGTTCTGAATTTGGGAATGACACAGACTGACAAGCTTCAACAGGCTCATTCTGGCCAATGAGAATAGGTTGTTGGGAGTGGGCAAGGCTGGAATCAGGAGATCAGTTAAGAGGCTACTGCAGTCATCCCTGGGAGAGATGATGAAGGGGTGGGGATGGGAGCAGTGGAGGTGCTGAGAAAAACATGGCTTCCGGGTGTGCTTTGAAGGCAGAGCCTGCAGTTTTCCTGATGGCTTGGGTGTGGATTATGTGAAGGGACTACAAAAGAAGGTTTTCCAAGGATGCTGAGTGTGACTGTTGGCTGTGCTTACTCTGTGGCCAGATTTGATTCTGGGTGTGGGTCATCATTCAGTTCCAAGAAAATGATCATATTTTTGTTCTTAAAACACATCTTGTGAGATTAGGCAGTATTTGTCTTCCTGTGTCTGGCTTATTTCACTTAACAAAATAACCTCCAGATCCATCCATGTTGCCATAAATGACAGGATTTCATTCTTTTTCATAGCTAAATAGTATTTCTTTGTGTTTATATACCACTTATATATGGAATCTAAAGAAGCTGATCTCATGGAAACAGAGAGTAGAACAGTGGTTACCAGAGGCTGGGGAAGGTAGATGACGGGGGACAGGGAGAAGTTCATCAACGAGTACCAAGTTACAGTTAGGAGGAATAAGTTCTGGTGTTCTATTGCACATTAGGGTGACTATGGTTAACAATATTGTATATTTCAAAATAGCTATAAGACAGAATTTTGAATGTTCTTACCACAAAGAAATGATAAAGGTATGAGGTGATGGATATGCTAAATATCCTGATTAGATTATTATACAATGTATACATGCATGGAAACATCACCCTCTACCCCATAAATATGTTAATTATTATGCATCAATTAAAATTTTTAAATTAAACACATATTGTACACTTAACATTAGTGAATTTGTTGGCTGGGCACAGTGCCTCATGCCTGTAATCCCAACACTTTGGGAGGCTGAGACCGGTGGATCACTTGCAGTCAGGAGTTCGAGACCAGCCTGGCCAACATGGTGAAAACCCATCTCTACTAAAATACAAAAATTGGCTGGGTGTCATGGCACGCACCTGTAATCCCAGCTGCTAGGGAGGCTGAGGCAGGAGAATCACTTGAACCTGGGAGGTGGAGGTTGCAGTGAGCCAAGATCACGCCACTGAACTCCAGCCTGGGTGACAGAACAAGATTCTGTCTCAAAAAAAAATTAGTGAATTTATTGTAAGTACATAATATTTTAAAGAAAAAAAAATTTCATTGCAAAGAGCAGTCAGGGTAGTTCTGACTGGCCACCGCAAGGCTCTCACTGGGATCTTGGTAAACAGGGACTGTACCCACAATGATATTTCTTCCTGACACATAGGAGATCTTAGGAAAGCTGCCTTGGCCAACCAAAAGATAGGATAGTGAATAGTATTTATTGTTCAGTTTGTTTAAAAGCACTTTTTTTCTAAGTTCTCGAAACATCTTTTCTAAGGCTGATAGTGGAAGATATCCCCATTTGAGGGTTCAGGAACCTGAGATCTAGAAAATATAAGAGATGTGGAGGCCGGGTGTGGTGGCTCACGCCTATAATCCCAGCACTTTGGGAGCCCGAGGTGGGTGGATCACAAGGTCAGGAGATCGAGACCATACTGGTTAACACAGTGAAAACCCATCTCTACTAAAAGTACAAAAAAATTAGCCTGGGTGGTGGCAGGAGCCTGTAGTCCCAGCTACTCAGGAGGCTGAGGCAGGAGAATGGCGTGAACCCGGGAGGCGAAGCTTGCAGTGAGCTGAGATGGAGCCACTGCACTCCAGCCTGGGCGATAGAGCGAGACTCTGTCTCAAAAAAAAAAAAAAAAAAAAAGAGAGATGTGAAAGGATGAACTCTACTAGATCAAACCTTTGATTTTATGACTTTCTTCTCTTGATTGAGTGACCTGATGTGTAGTGACTGGCCCTCAATCCAGGGAACAGAAGTATATGTATTTGTGTGTGTGTCTGTCTGTCTGTCTCACACTTGGGTTACAAAGTACAATAATCTAGTAAAATAATTGGAACTGATTGTTCAAACCATTCAAACCTCCTGTAAATCAGGCCTCTTGGTTCCTCTCCTTCTCTCCCTCCTGTGTCTGTTCATTTGGTCATTTTATTTCTGAATGGTAATTTTCACTGAGGGGTGGGATAGGAAAATAAAAAGATATGAAAGTCACATTAGGTAGTGTAGAGAATAATTTTAATAGAAGCCACAGTGGAGAATGCAGATGTAATTAGCATTAAAATGAAATTCTGAATTGTCGGTGGATTTTAGCTTACTTTGCTCTCCAAATCCTTTGTTCCCTTTAAAAACTGAGTACAATTATGACAAGCACCTAGCGAGGCTGTGCTTCTTTTGTCCTGCTGAAGAAGCCTTGTCTGAACCAGGGTGGCTGTGAGCAGGTCCTGGGCCGAGTAATGGCATTTAATGCATTTGCCTGTTTTAGTTTGCAGTGATGATCTCACCCACAAATTCAAAGGTTTCACCGTGATGAATGAAGCCGAGAGATACGAAGCTCTCAGACACTGTCGCTACGTAGACGAAGTTATCAGAGATGCTCCCTGGACACTCACGCCAGAGTTTCTGGAAAAACACAAGGTACTTCTCATTCTCCCACATTCTCTAAGTAGCAAGATTAGGGAGTCTGGTTCTGCAGCCAAGACTACGGAAAGCCCAAAGTCTCTCTCAATTTCTAAAAGAGGTAACTTCAGGAACTGTCATGTGGAACTGCTTGATGTGGCACCTTTCGTCCGCCCAAGCCCGAGGACTGGTATCCTCTCACTTCTTTGAGTGTGGGCCCTGGATCTAAACCGCCCAGGTCCAAATCCTGCCTCTATCTCTTCCTAGTTGTGGGACCTTGAACAAGATATCTAACCACACTGTACTCGCTTACCTCAACTGTAAAATGGGATGATGTTGGTATCTTCCTTGTGGACGTGTTTTGAAGATCTAAGAGGTAATCTTAGTTAAGCAGTTAGAACACTGGCTGGCCCATAGCAAGAGCTCCAAAAATGTCATTGTCACCACCATCACCACCGTCATTATTGATGCTTATCGATTCACAGGCATTCTTTTTCATGGGACAAATGAACACACATCTTATCCAGAAAGTCACAGGTCAGCCTTTAAAGAAAGAACTTTATATCTATGATTTTGTGACCCTGAGAATCCTACTGACATAAGATTTTTATTAGTTGGAAACATGAGAGATTCTTTTGATCTGCATCAAATTATGTGCTTTGTATCTCCCTACCAGCCCCACATTAGGAGCTATTCTTTCCTTTTATAAGCAGTACAAAAAAAATAAGATTAAGCTGTTCTAAGAATTTTCTTTTCTATTTTTAAAGCCACGATGCAGAAGAGAATAGAGAACACTGATAAATGTGCATGAGTAATAGCTGAAGAGACAATTTCCCAGTGAGAATAAAAAGAAAAAGGAAAAACTACAATATGATTTACTTCCAGTAATCACTACCACATTTTTACTAAGCATCTATTGTATATTCAACATGTGCTAGGCATTATGGGGGATACTTATAATGATAATGATGGCTGTAATTTATTGAGTATTTACCATGTGCCCGGCACTGTGCTAAGGGCCTTGTCATTATATGAATTGAATTCAATCTCACAGCTACCCTGAGAAGTTGTTATTATACATTGGAGAGGAAAAGGAACTAAGTTTGAGTACTAAGAATAGAATTAATAATAATAATAATAATAAACATTTATTGAGGATATACTCCGTACTAATTGTTTTTCAGCATTTTTACATAATTATGTCATTTAATCCAGTGATTCTCAACTGGGGTGAGTTTGCCCTGAGGAACATTTGGCAATGTCTTGAGACATTTGGGGTTGTCTCAGCTAGAGGGGTGCTACCGGCTTCTAGTGGGTAAAAGCTAAGCATGTGCCAATGCACAGGACAACTCCCGACACCAAAGAATTCTCCAGTCCCGAATGTCACTAGTACTGAGCTTGAGAAATCCTAATTGAATCTTTCCCCTAACTTATGAGTTATATAGCCAGCAAGTAGTGGGGCAGGGAATCATACTACTCTAAACTATCTCTAAACTACCTCTCAAGTATTTAACTACTGCTACTCTAAATTACCTCTCAAGGTAGAGTGAAACCCCATTATAAAGGGCTTGTTATACAGGGCTTTAAAATCTAGGCAAGGAGTGTTTGCTTGATGTTGCAGGAAACAGGAATAAAGATGAGCAGGCATGAGGATGACCAGAAAAAAACAAAAACAAAAACAAAAAAACCTGTTTAAGGAGGATACCCCATGTGACAGCAGGATGGCTTGGAGAGGAGGGGGCCTACAGTGAGGAAGGCCAGATACAAGTTGGTGTCAGTAATCTGGGTGACCAGGTCCTGGATTTGGTGTAGTTGCAATGGAGAGAAAATGATGGGCACACACCTACATATGCATGTGTGCACACAAACACACACACACACACACATCCCAGCAGAACCTAGGGTGAGTGAAATAAGTAGAGAAAAGAGGCTTATTCCAAGGTTTGGGTCTCCCCAAGACCCAAAATAAATAAAATAAAAGTGCCATTGGAAGGGGTCACTCGTTTTCAGGAAGATGAATTAAATTCAGGACAGGACAGGACAAGATGATTTAAAGTGACAGCAAGTGGTAAAAGAGAGGGATGCAGTGGGAATTAAGCCCACCTGGCCTGGTGCCCTGGCAGCCCGCTAAACATGGCCTGGTGCCCCAGCGGCCCACTCCAGTCTTTAAGCCTTGGGTAAATCTAACAAATTTTCTAGTTTCAGCACCTTATGTCCCAACTGAAGTAGTAACATGTGGCCTGCCCACCTCACAAGGTGGTTATGAGGATCGAATGAGGAAAGAGACAAATTCCTTTTCACAGTATAAAATGTGACCTAAGTGTGAGTGCCCATTGCCATCAATGGGACAGGAAATGAAGATTTGGGTTCCTCATCATAGGAGGGATGATAAAAATTCAAAGAATTAATGAGTTCTCTCAAGGAGAAACTTTAGATGCAGAAGGACAGAAGACCAAGAAATCCTACTCTCTGGGGTAGGACAAGAAAGAGGGACCAGCAAAGGAGAGAAACCAAAACATTTATTCTTCTAGTTCCCATTATCTCATAGAAATGAAAATAGTTGGAAATACATTTCAGCCAAGGATTCAGGTCTCCACTATAAATGTAACATACAACTGCCTTATTTTGAAAAGGCATTATGAAGTCACCATTCCCCCCTTCAAATCTGCAGACATGCACATCCATCCCAGTGGTGACATCACTCTTCTCTCTCTTCAACAGATTGACTTTGTGGCTCATGATGACATTCCGTATTCCTCTGCTGGCTCTGATGATGTTTACAAGCACATAAAGGAAGCAGGTGAGGCATTCCCCTGTGCTCACCTGTCAACCACATCACAATAATCAGGTGCAATAAGAGACATCTGTCTGCCCTGGGACATCTGCAGTGTATACAAACAGGGAGTTACAACTTTAGGTGTCCCCCAGGCGGCTTCTACAAGCCACTGTTAGCATGTGCTAAGGCTCAGTTATGGCACAGATACCATTTAGGTATTTATATAGGAATGAACCTGAGCACCAAAGTGCTCAACTTCAGGTCTAAGGCTTAATTTCCGGGGTCATCAGACGAAAAGTGCAGGACCCCATTACTTAAATGGCAGCCATTTTCCTCATTCATAATTAAGTCTTCACAATGAGATTATTGGATACTCCCAAGAAATTTCCTTCCAGAAGCAGGTAGATAACTGGCTAGTTAATAATCTGGACTCCTTCTGTCCAAAGTTAGTCCTGCCATATTTCTAGTGTCATCTTGTCACATGTTAGTAATATTATCAGGTACCATATGTGGAGGCAAAAAAAAATGGGTAAATGTTTTAATGGCTTGGCTTATTTTCTGCTATTTTACTATCTACCATGCATCTCATCTATAGGCACTGTAGGTACACCCATGCATACCTTCCTACATACATTAAACCATAATCTGGCAGGTGCAGATACTATAGTGAGTTACCATATGCATAGGGATTTCAAGAAGTCTAGTGCTCCCTGCTTATACTAGAGCCATTGTTGACATGTGCCATCAGAGCCATCTTCCCCACTCCTGGGGACCAATGAGACTCCACTCAGCTTGCTCCCACCATTTCCCACTCAGCCTGCTGCCACTACAGCCTTTTCTTGGTACTCATGGACCTTCAGATTCTTGAGGTAGGATGGGCTCCTAAGGGTCACTGACCCAGGCTCCTATCTCCTTCTTGGCATCATTGCCAGCTCCTGGCAGAACTGATGCTTTTACATTCCCCATGATGGAGAACTCCCTGCCTTGTGAGGCAGCCCGTTCCATCTTGGATGGTTTTGGCTGTCATTGTTTAATATATGAATCCCCTGAGTGCATCTATAAGCCAGGAATTGTATAAGAGAAAATGAATAAGACATAGACCTCACCCTTGAGAGAGAGCAGAGACAGACATAAATAATTACCCAAAATATAACCAGCCTGTGGCAGAGTATATACAATACAGCAGGCCAGGGCAGCATGTTCGAAGGTGGGACTGTATGAAGCACAGCGTGTCTGGAGAAAATAAACATGTTAATGTAGTGTAGGGTGTGTGGAGGTGGGAGGCAGAGATGGAGACTGGCAGGACAAGCTGGTTGAGGCTTGCTTCCATATGAAGTTACATGGAACCAAATACTGTTCTGAGGCAGGGGAGTGTCGTGATCAGGTCTTTTGTGTGGGAAGGAGCAACTGGGGGGCCATAAGTGGTTTCCATAACTAAACTTAACTAGGAAACCCCATTTCCACAGCTGACAGAAAAAAAAAATACACTTGACATGTGAAATCATTCAGACTCTTCTAGGTTTGTACTTAGACTGTGTAGAGTAAACTTTTTGCCTTTTTCTCCTGAGGTGATCTAAGTTTCTGGAGCACTCTGGCCTGGCATGGGATGGGGATCTTTAGTTGTGAGGTCTCAAGACCTGCTTAGCCATCAGCCCCACTTACCAGACCCCTGTGGCAGCCTCTGAGACTCTGTCATCTCCCCACTTTGGCCTGAGACTGTCACCTCCCCACTTTGGCCTGTCCTGGCCACAGCATCTGCCGCAGGATTCCCTTCCCTGTGCTATAGGTGTGCTGCCCAGCAGTCATGCTGATCTTAAATCTTGGCTTCCTTCCATATTCCTCTAGAGAGTCCCCAGGAAATTTAAAAACTGTCCTCCATAATCTACTAGAGGGCAAGGGAAACCAGGCAATGTCAGTAAGCCATGTCAGGCCCTGTCTGACCTGCCCGCCATGTTGGCCTCTGTAAAACTATTTCTTTCCAAAATTCCTGGCCATAAACAAGGTGCCAGTGGCCCTGCACTGAGCTTTCTAAAGGGGTCTCTTTCCTGCCCCTGCCCCTGGTATTTGAACCTGAGTCAGAGCAAGGGACAGACCGCACTCCTGTTCTCTCATTTCTGCTGTCCGCTTCCCAATCCCTCTCTGCACTCCTCCCCTCAACTCCCAGAGGTGCTTTTCTTCTTCCTGGAGAGCAGAAAACTGCCCCTTAATTAATTTCATGCCTTCCCAGGGTTAATATACACTCCAGGGCTTATAGTCAAACATTCTGTACCCTGAGTCTACTCAGCCTCTGGTTCTTAATAGTTCAAAAGACACTTCTGGGATTTATAATACCCTTTTTATACTCCTCAAAGCTTGGCTCTTCCTAGTGGAATTCTTGCCTTTCTTAACTCTTCTTTTTAAATGAGCCTTAAAAAGAGCCTGTTTTAGAAGTTGAAGGCTGAACACGGCCTCCTGTACTCTCAGCTTCATCTGCCTCCCCCTGAAGTCATCGAGTTCTCAGTGTCCATGGGAACAGGGCCTCAGGACAGACATGATCCCTAGAAATGAAAACAACATTGGATACTATTTTGAAAAATTATTGTTACATAAAATGTATGTATTCTCCCTGATGGCATTTTTGTTGGTTCACACTCCTTGTGGGCCAGCCTGGGAAGCTCCATGCCATCCCCTGCAGGGCTGGTGGTGGGGACTGTACCATCCTCTTAGGAAGGACTTCCTGAGAAGTCAAGAGCATTGGATAATGGGAGGCCTGACATTCTCAAGTCTCAATCTTGTTTGTGAGGAGTTCCAAGGAAGGAAACCTCATACACTTCGGACTTGGAAGTCTGCTCTGGAACTGGAGAAGAAACTGGCAGATGCCTCAGTTACATCAAGATGGGTTACAGCATGGCGTGATTAATATTTATTTATTTACTTACTTTACTTACTTAATTTATGAGACAAGTTCTCACTCTTTCACCCAGGCTGGAGTACAGTGGTATGATCATAGCTCACTGCAACCTCGACCTCCTGGGCTCAGGCGATCCTCCCACCTCAGCCTCTCAAGTAGCTGGGACTACAGGCACACACCACCATGCCCAGCTAATTTTAAACTTTTTTGTAGAGTTTCCCTATGTTGCCCAGACTGGTCTCAAACTCCTGGGCTCAAGTGATCCTCCCACCTCGGCCTCCCAAAGTGCTGGGATTATAGCTATGAGCCACCATGCCTGGCCTGATAAATACCCTTTAAAGTCATTGTAAGATCTGAACTATGAGCCAGCTGCTCCTTTCCTAAAATTGCCATAAGGATTTGTTATAGACCAGTGCTTATGAAACTTAGATATGCCTCAGATCATCTGTGGAATCTTGTGAAAATTCAGATTCAGATTCAGTAGGTCTGGTGGGGCCAGAGATTCCCATTTCTAGTGAGCTCTCAGGTTGTTAGATGCTGTAGGTCCATAGGCCTCACTTACAGTAGCAAAGATCTGGACCAGGCATTCTCATCCAGCTGAGTTATCCCCAGGGTTTCTTGAATCAGTGTTTCCTGGGGGCAGTAGTTCCTTGGCTACCTTATAGTGTATAGGAATAAGCATTTGGTGGCAGTTTTCTTTCTGGGTGAGTGGCTGTCAGTGAGCTAAGAATATGTTGCTTTCCTGATTTGGGGAATAAAATGTCAAGTTCCAGTTGTTTAGGTGTAGGAACAAGTCCAACATTTTTCTAACTCTAGCAATCCAGCATCCCTATTGTTGCATAAGAAAGTGACTCCTAAAGTTAGTGACTTAAAAGAGCCTCTTGATTTCACTCATGATTTTGTGGGGCAGGATTTTAGCAGAGGCTTGGCTGGGTAGTTCTTGCTTGGGGTCTCTCAAACAGTTGTAATCAGATGTTGGTGGGGGCTGTGGTCATCTGAAGGCTCGACTGGGCTGGGGCTCCCAGGTGGTACACTTACGTGGCTGGCCTTGGATGCTGGCTATGATCATGGCACTCAGTTGCAGTTGCCACTGGGGCATACAGGTGGCCTCTTCATGTTGCTTGGGCTTCTCACAGCATGGCAGCTGAAAGGTAATATCTAGAGAGAAAGCAATCTTGACAGAAGCCACAAGGCTTCTTCTGACTTAGTCGTGGAAGTCACACAGAGTTACTTTTGCCACGTTCATTTGGTACAAGCAAGTCACTGAGGCCAGCCCAGATTCCAGGGGAAGGGAATTGGGCCATCTTTAATGCACCACAATGCCCTTTCCAAATTGAATAGTCAGGTAGCATTTTACTTGCCCTAGTAGCACAGGCTAAGACTCGATGTAACTTTTCCTATGTGCAAGGACCCTTCCTTGTGCTCCATCAAATCTGCTCTGCTGATTCCTTAGCAGGAGGGAGAATCACAGTAATGATCTATTTGGGACCCAGGTAGAGAAGGCCAGAATTCATCATGGGAGAAAGATGCTCAGAAATGGCCTCAGCATCCATATTTGGCTTTCATACTCAAATCATGGCTTATTTTGAAAGTCAAAAGTCTCTTTAAATGAAACCAGAGATATCAAGGGCATGACTTAAGCTTTACAACACTCTGCTCTGCTTGTCAGAACTATGTGTCAAAATCCTCTAGCAAAGCTGGATGAAAAGATGGAGCTTAAATTAAATAGACTGTAAGGTCCACATTACTCATCACCATTCTAATATTGCCTACTACTGTTGAAAGTTTCCTTCATTAACATGTGCTTTGCTGCTTCTTAAAATAGCTCCATAACCAAATGCCGCAATTCTGAAAAGCATGATAAAAAAGGTTCTCTGATCATGCTCATTACCGAATATTTTTAGCAGAGCAATAATTAGGATTTGAAGGAAGCCGGGTATCTCATTATGTCAACAGAGGACTTGGCTTCTTTCAGAGACCTACCTCCCAACCAGCCAAAGCAAATCTCTCCCTAAGCCAAATCTACTTTCAGTTACTCAAACACAGAGACTTCACCTTCTGGCTTCAAAGAAAGGGTAAGCTCATGGCATCAATGTCTTACATGACTTGCTAAAATCCATTAGTCACTAGAGAATCGTCTTATTATTTCAGCAGGAGGGGTGTGGGTAAAATATCTGCCTGCTGAAAGATGGGATGGATTTCTCACCAGAATGTTCCCCACTGTTCCCACAAAGGTGGGGATGTCGTCTGAGGGTTCCCCCACCCACCAGAGCCTCCTGCACAGCTGGGTCAATTTGGGTGCTATTTATGTTCGTGTGTTTAGATGGTTACATCTTCTGCCTTCCATTTGGTTTTCCGTGTTAGATTCTTCCCTCCTAGAAAGTGATAAAAGAAGTGTTTGGCCTAGTGGCAAACCCCAACTGTCCTCTGACCATGGAACATAAGAAACTGGATGTTTTGTCTCTAACATCAGCAGTGCCACTCTGCTACTGATACTATAAATGTGCAAATGACATCAAAAGAAAGCTCCAAAGAGACACCCTCATTGGGGCTGCAAGATGGAAACATTCAGAGAGAACTGGGTTTGGAAGGGCACTTAGAGATCAATATTCATCTAGTCATTCATTCAAGAAATATTCCTATGGTGCCTGTTTGTCACCCAGTGCTGAGAATGTAGAAGAGGACGAGAAAGGCATGATCCCTTCCCTAGTGTAGCTTATAGTCAACAAGACAGTTGTTGAACAAGTTATTTTATAAAGATCTTGCTGTATTTGGAGGGAAGGGGAGTGGTCCATGGGAAGGAACAACACACCAGAAGACCTAGTCTGAGGGTTGAGATATTTGCTTGAGGAAGTGACACTAAAGCTGAAGCCCAGTGGATGCCCAGGAGTTAACCAGGTAAAGATTGTGTCTGTGGCAGAGTGAGGGGAGGGGAACCAACCCTTTCAGGACACTGAAGAAACCCAGCATGGCTGGGCTGAGGCAGGGTCAGCCTACTGCACAGCTCCACAGAATACAACAGCAGTCCCCCCCTGCAGTTGTATAGCAGGGGGGCCTTGGTTTAGGGAGTGAAAGGGAGAGGGTCTGAGATAAAATTGGAGAGAAGCACAGGGAAGAGACATGCAAGCTACTGCACAGCCAAGTTAAGGATTTGACTCTGAATCCAGAGAAGAGCAGAAAGCCAGTGGAGGGTTTTGAGCAGACCTCTGACTTGCATTTAGTAAGAATGCTCTGTAGAACTTGCTCTCTGGGTTGAGGCAGACAAAAATGACATTGCTGGAGACTGGTTTTGAGGTTCTTGCTGTGATCTTTGACCAAGATGGTGTTGAATTGGTTTAGGATGGATGAAAGTGAGTGAATTAGGGAAACATTTAAGAAGTAGATTGGGAACTTGGTTGGATGTGGGAAGTGAGAGAGAAAGAAATGGCACAGATGAGTCCCAGGTCATCATGTCCAATCACCTTTTTCTCAGCTGAGGAGACTACAGTTAAGTAACTCGCCTTCAGAGGGTTTGAGTGACTTGCCCACGTCTACAAACCAAGAACCCAGTGCCCTTGTCCCCAGGCTTTGTCCATACTGTCCCATGCCTGATGCCTCTGACTGAGTTGCCGTAATGATATGGGATAGAAAGATCTCAGTTGCCAACAACATGTCATTTCAGTTCACAACAGAAGTGTAAGCATAAACCTGATTCTTGCCTTTGTTAATATTTGTGACCTCTTTATAGCTCTATATCTGTTGATATACCCACATTTATCTTTGAAGACTTTAAGGAAGTTCTATTAGAACTTGGCATCCTCTGTGCTTGTTTATTTTTTACTCAGCCCCACATATTCTAGATGAAAGGGCCTTTGAGTGGTGAAACTACCATGTACAGTAGACTGTTCTTAGGAAGATAAATCATCTAACCATCCCTACAGGCATGCCTTTAGATCAGAGACGACACAAATAGTACACTTTTTCTTCTTTTCCTTTAGTATAATGTGAGCAGACTTCCTTGGAGATGAAGCAGAGTTGCTGTGATCTAATTCATTGACTCAGTTGTTAGTCTTCATTTACTTTCTCACTCAATTTCCATTTATTGAGCACCTTCCATGTGCTAGACACAGGGGCTGAGGTGGGTGCTGGGGATGCAAAGACAGTTAAGGCACTATCAGTGCTTTCAAAATGTTCATTTTCTACATGGAGACAAATATTTAATTTTTTTTGTTTGTTTGAGACAAGGTCAGGCTGGAGTGCAGTGGCGCAGTCACTGCTCACAGCAGCCTTGATCTTGGACTCAAGTGATCCTCTCACTTTAGTCTCCGAAGTAGCTGGGACCACAGGCGTGCACCACCACACCCAGCTAACTTTTGTATTTTTTGTAAAGACAGGGTTTTGCCATGTTGCCCAGGCTGATCTCGAACTCCTGGACTCAAATGGTCTGCCTGCCTCGGCCTTCGAAAGTACTGGGATTATAGGCATGAGCCACCATGGCTGGCCCAATATTTTTGTTAATGAAAGATAAGTTAGGTTCTGAATGTTGTGGATTCTACCTGATGACGTCAGAAAAGACTTCCCAGAGGCATAACCTTGAAGCTGGACTTTGCAGGATGAGGAAGAGCTTTGCAGTTAATATGAGCAGGGAGGGGGTATCCAGGGCAGAAAGGAAAGGCTCAGCATGGATAAACAGCAGGGGCCAGGCAAGTACATGGTATGTCCTGGAAACAGGTCTGGGATGATGAACATGTAGCATTTAAGGTAGAGAGGAATTCCACGGAACTGAGGGTGGAAGAGTCACTTGGGGCCAGACGTAAAGTCTTCATTGGCATACCCAGGAGCTCCAACTTTGTCCTGTAAAGGGGGACCATTAAAGGAGATGGGTCAACTGAGGTGATCTTAATTTTTCCTCTATCCGCTCTTTTCTACTTGAACAGGGATGTTCGTTCCAACGCAGAGAACAGAAGGCATCTCAACATCGGACATCATTACCAGAATTGTTCGTGACTATGATGTTTATGCCCGACGTAACCTCCAGAGAGGGTATACAGCCAAGGAACTGAATGTCAGCTTTATAAATGTAAGCATGCCACCTCAAACCCTCTGAAGACCACCATGCCACACCACCACCACCAGTGCTGCTGTTTATTGAGCACTTACTAAGTGCTATGCAGTGTTCTCCCTCTCTCTCTCTCTTTTTTTTTTTTTTGTGTAGAGATGGGGTCTCACTGTGTATAATATTTTAAGTTTGATTTAACTTGTTTTTTTTTTTTTGAGACAGGGTCTCACTATGTTGTCCAGACTGGTCTTGAACTCCTGGGCTCAAGCGATCCTCCTGCCTCAGCCTCCTGAGTAGCTGGGATTACAGGCATTTGCCACCATGCCTGTGCAGTGTCCTTAACGCTTTGTATTTATTTTCTCATTTAACCCACACAATAACCCATGATGTATTATTATCCCCATTTTACAGATGACAAAACCAGTATCTACAGGGGTAACATAAATTAACCAAAGAACACAGGTAGTGAGCTTCACATTTTATAAAGGTGCTTCCTTGCTTCCCTCCTCTTACCCCAAACTCTCTCTTTAGAGTTTTTAGACTTGATTGAAGGGTTTCTGGGAGATCTGCCCCTTGTAAAAGGCAAGAGTTATCTTCTGCTGAAAGGAAAGGGAGGAGGGAAGAGGCAATGAAAGCTAAACCCAGAGAAACTTTTTTATTCTAACGTTTTAAAATTTTCATTTGATTAAGGCCTTACAGATGCTCATTAGAAACCTTAATGGCCATTTTTCATTGTCCAAAGAAATTACAGCTGCTTAAATAAAGCCTAAAGTCTTTGGCTTCCTTTTGTAGTTCTACCATATTGTTCCCACAGGACTGCTGTTAGTTTAATAATAGAGCAACTGTTAAAACAATATTTCAGTTCTGGCATACATGTGCAGAACATGCAGGTTTGTTACATAGGTATACACGTGCCATGGTGGTTTGCTGCACCCATCAACCCGTCATCTACATTAGGTATTTCTCCTAATGCTATCCCTCCCCTAGCCCCCCACCCCCTGACAGGCCCTGGTGTGTGATGTTCCCCTCCCTATGTCCATGTGTTCTCATTGTTCAGCTCCCACTTATGAGTGAGAACACGCGGTGTTTGGTTTTCTGTTCCTGTGTTAGTTTGCTGAGAATGATGGTTTCCAGCTTCATCCACGTCCCTGCAAAGGACATGAACTCATCCTTTTTTATGTATGCATAGTATTCCATGGTGTATATGTGCCACATTTTCTTTATCCAGTCTATCATTGATGGGCGTTTGGGTTGGTTCCAAGTCTTTGCTATTGTGAATAGTGCTGCAACAAACATACATGTGCATGTGTCTTTATAGTAGACAAAGAACATTAACAGTGACTTAGATTCCCTCAGGATGCCATTTTTATATAATAATAATAATAAAAACAATCTTTAAAATAAGCAAAACAAGCTGTTAAAAAGCAAAGAGGGCAGCCCAGTTGCTGGAGATGATGTTAGTGATTCTGAGCAACTGTATTTGCCTGGGCTGTGAGGTGCCGATATCTTTGATTAAAATAAGAACCCTCCGTACATACAGAATTCTAACCCCCAAAATAGACGCTGTATTTTCAAAGGATGATTCATCTTCAAAGCTAGATACTTAAAATTACATGCAGCTATAATTATCCAATAGCTCACACAATTGATCATTGGTACCTTCAAAATAGGAGGGGCTCATTAATTGTGAATCGTTGATCATGAGTTGTCCTCACAAGGCAGGGAGTGTTGAGAGTCTAGGCTCTGTAACTTCATATAAGCCGGGCAACAAAATGTCAGGAAATGTCGGAAAATGTCAGGTTTGAGTGGCACTGGAACAAGTGGCTGAACATAATTCAGTCAAAGTGATTATTTAGTATCTGATAGAGAATAAAGCCCTGGTTATTTCAATAAATTAAACTGTCTGTTCTTTCAAATTGAATTCGGTCAACCATCCAAACATGTCAAGCCATTTTCAAAAGTTATTGCTCACTCTCTTTAAACGGCGTTTAGATAAGCCACTTAGCTCAAGGAACCGTGCAGGCAGTTCGGATGCACTCACTGCCTTCCTGTGACGACAAACCTGGCTGCAGTTCAGAGATGAAATCTAATGTGTTGCATGGGCGTGTAGACAAATCACGGAACCTCAGAGGTGACAGGGACCTGATGCCAGTCAGTCACCCAGTCCAAGTCCCTCAATTTAGAGATGAGGAACGCTGAGCCCAGAAAGGGAGCCTGGCCAAGGTCCTTCAGGTCAGGGAGAGGTAGAGGCAGCAGCAACTCCCCAGTCTCATGACTCCCAGCCCAGTGCTCATTCAGCTATTCTGTGCTGCCCTGAGAGCCATGTATAGTAACTATTTCCAGTGCAGAATGAACTGTGGAAAAGAATGATATAAAGGCAACAGCTAACATTTGCCAAGAACTCATCATATGCTCATCTAAGTGTTTTACTTGGATTATCTCATTTAATCCTCATGATGGGCCTACAAGGGTGGGTAGGATGACTATGTCCAACATAGAAATGAGGAAACAGAGGCCCAGAGAGGTTGAACAACTCACCTAAGGTCACCTAGTAAGTAACGGAAGACAGAGTGACCTCCCATAGCACATATATGTATATATATAGCTCTCAGTAGCAACACACATAGCTCATGCCCCAGCCTGAGGCTGCAGGAAGGTTTGGAAGGTCGAAATCAAGGACTCTTTACCCAGTTTTGCAATATTCCAGGTGTTTCAAAAACTTCCGAAACACAGGCCAGGCACAGTGGCTCATGCATGTAATCCCAGCACTTTGGAAGGCCGAGGCGAGTGGATCACTTCAGGTCAGGAGTTCAAGACCAGCCTGGCCAACATGGTGAAACCCCGTCCCTACTAAAAATACAAAAAATTAGCCGGATGTGGTGGTGTGTGCCTGTTATTCCAGCTACTCAGGAGGCTGAGGCATGAGAATCGCTTGAACCCGGGAGGCAGAGGTTGCAGTGAGCTGAGATCATGCCATTGCACTCCAGCCTGGGCAACAGAGCGAGACTCCATTTCAAAAAAATAAAATTCTGAAACACAAAATGAACTTTAGTCCCACATAGTAAAGAAAAATGATAAGCCTTACCCCTTTAGGAGAAACATCATGATTTCATGGGGGAAGAGCCACATGTTATTTTCATGGTTTTAATACTGCTCTCATCAGGTAACACAGACAAATGCCTCTGCCACTTAATACTAATGAAACAGCCAACATACACTGAGCATTTACTAAATGCTGGCCTTTGTGCCAAGCACTTTGCATGCATTGTCACAGCAACCCTAAGGTAGGGATGATTATTATCCCCAATTTACAGATGAGAAGACTGAGGTTTAGAGGTGATATGTGACTTGCCCAGCATACGATGGTTTCCAAGCACATAAGTAGACATTGCTGCAGAAAGACTATAAGAAGAACAAAATCTGAGTCTAGAGAAACTATCAGCACAAAAGCTTTCATCACCACCAAGGAAATCAATACAGTTAAATTAGCATAGTGGAAAATATTACAGTGGAAATTTTAGTATAACACATAGGTTCTAAGGCCCAGTTAATGGCCCACTTATTTCAAGCAATATTGTTTTAACCATATCCCAGTAAAACAGCGAACTCAGGCAGCTTCTGAATAGTCATTGTGTGCACAATTCATACTTTTGTCTAAGTCCCAGCAGAATTGAATGGGGTTATTTGCCCAATATCTATGCACAACAAAAGACAACTGTGTGTTTTTTATTCTCCTCTTATATAAGTGAATCCAACTCAAAGACATTTAAAAGAAAGAAGATATTAAAACCACTTGTAGTTCCCTTTACATATCCAAATGGATTAATGGCAGATGACTTTTCTTACAAGAGATGTGCCTTTCCATCAACCTAGCCCTTGGGAAATGGCAACATCTTGACTCTTCAGGTTAGGAACAAATACAAATTGGAATAAAATATGAACTTTAATGTGAATGATTGATCTCTCTCATGTCCTCTTGGATAAATCTGTTTTTTTTTTTCCTGTAAACTTTCACCAGGAGAAGAGGTACCGTTTCCAGAACCAAGTGGACAAAATGAAGGAAAAAGTCAAGAATGTGGAGGAAAGATCAAAGGAATTTGTGAACAGAGTGGAAGAAAAGAGCCATGATCTAATTCAAAAGTGGGAAGAGAAGTCAAGGGAATTCATTGGCAACTTCCTAGAACTGTTTGGACCTGATGGAGCATGGGTATGTAATGATTTCACTTTACCCCACAATGATGAGTGTTTTCAGTTTATCCTCCTTTTTATGGAGCCACTCAAGGGTGCCCCTTATCTCAGATCCACTGCATGCCCTCTACTTTAGGCATCAGCCTGAATGACTTCAAGTCCATGTCACTTCCTTACTGAGTTTCTGCTTTACTCGTCAATATGGCACCCAGTAGCACACAAAGCCACGTCTGGTTTCAGTTTCTAGTTCTTATCCAGAGCTTGGAAGCCATCTGGTGATCACTTGAGTGTCTCTTACTTCAGGAGTTGATGCTGTCGCTCATCTCAGTCTCCCAGTTGGGGATGATGAAACTTTGGGAGTACAGATGAAGTGGGCTAGTGGCAGCACGGAGCTTGTGTTACAAGACATGGATCATGGGATCTTGGATCAACTACTGGCATTTATGTTTTGGGGAGGAGAATCCAAAGAAATGTACTCTGTCAGTCAGTTTTTCTTGTGAGGAGCCCTCCTCTTTTACTGGTTGCAAGACAGAGAGAGAAGAAGTAGGAGTTTGCCCTGCATCTGTGCCCATCGTGCCCTGATTTTCCCCTGGTTTTTCATGACACGCAAGTGTTGGGATAAGGCACAACAGTCTTTGGGGACTGAGGACATGATCTGAATCTTAAAACTGAGAGGAAATGTAGAGGGTCTCCTTGCCTAAAATCTGAACAACTTTGAATGATAACTATGGAAAGGGAAAAGAAAATTCTGGAAACCTCCACTGGTACTTTATTGGTATTTCTATTGTGCATGCCCTTCCCAAGTAAATACCAGTATTATCAGGAGAGTTGATGAGGGGTCTGTAAAAGAGATTCGAAAAGTTTACTTTAGAGACGCTAAAGGGTTGACGAGGGTTGTATGAAAGAGATACTAAAAACAAAATTTCCTCCTACAACAAAAAGAAAAAATTCCATTTGATTTCTCTGATTTTAAGTAGCCTGGATTTCCTATTATAATATGAGAAGTCTCTACCAAAATCCACTTTGACTTAATTATTTTATTGACGGGTTGTCACTGCTACCTCTGCTTGTTTGAGCTCATTCATTATAGGATTATCTAAAAGTGAAACACTCAATTAGTAATAGAAAAAGAACAATGTTTGGGAAGTTGGGAGAGATGCTTTGCTTAACACCTGGCAGCCTCTAAGTGATTATAGACGTGGGTGTTATAGGCCAACCATGTCCTATCGGCTGAGTCTGAGAGGGGTGAAAGGTTTACAAGGACTGCATGAGCCTTCAAAGACTCCTAGAAAGAGCTGGCAAGAGTGGAGGAGCCAAGGGCTGGGCTCCTTTTCATTTTCCCCAGGCCTGTTAAAAATTTCAGCTCAGATAAGTTAATTCCTGGTACATTTCTTAATGTTTTTGTCTATGCATGGCACTATGCATAAAGAAGAACATAAAAACAGACAAAGTACAGACCCTGTTCTCTCGTCTCTATGACATATGGTATGAAATTTTCTATTTAATCTAGTGTGTATTTTAATAGTTCACATTTTCACAACTAATTTCCAGGCTCTAAAGAAACAACTAGTGGTTTTTAATGAAACCATGTAGGTGTTCATTCGTTTACAGGGATTCAGAAACCTGTCTCTGCTGATAAGAGTTGGTATAGTAACTCAAGAGGGTGGATGTTTTCTCCACTTGGAGTGAGTAAAGGCAGGGAAAAAATGTAATTTCCCACTTTGGGAGGCCGAAGTGGATGGATTACCTGAGGTCAGGAGTTTGAGGCTAGCCTGGCCAACATGGTGAAACCCCGTATCTACTAAAAATACAAAAAAATTAGCCAGGTGTGGTGGCGCGTATCTGTAGTCCCAGCTACTCAGGAGGCTGAGGCAGGAGAATTGCTTGAGCCCAGGAGGCGGAGGTTGCAGTGAGCCCAGATCATGCCACCACACTCCAGCCTGGGTGACAGAGAGAGACTCTGTCTCAAAAATATATATATATATGTGTGTGTGTGTGTGTGTGTGTGTGTGTGTATGTGTGTGTATATGTGTGGGTATATATGTGTGTGTATATGTGTGTATATCTATGTGTGTGTATTTCTGTGTGTGAATATATGTGTGTGTATATGTATATATGTGTGTATGTGTGTGTATATGTGTGTATATATGTGTGTGTTTGTATATATGTGTATATATATGTGTGTGTATGTGTGTATATGTGTGTGTGTGTATATATATATATATATATAATTTGATGAAAACTTTATAGACCTTAGTCATTTCAGGCTCCCAGTGAAGGTGAAATAGTAGCTGGAATTGTTCTTGGGAGTCTGATGACAGCAAGCCAAGGTGATTTTTAAGAAATGAAACCCAGTTTAGAGACTGGAGGTTTTTCTTTTTAAAACTTGCTATTAGTGTCAAAACTGTTATTACCATTAATTTACCATATCAGCCAGACTAAGACATTACTTTTTTTCTGTTGACGTTAAAAATACAGGAATAGTTACAAGGATGTTAAACGCCAAGATAAGTAATTTGCTTTTCATGAATATGCTATTATTATAATAATTCCTTATTTGTGAATTTGGGACTGGAACTCATTTCTTAAAATAGAAGATCTGTATTACCGGCAAATACAGTACTGTTACAAACAACCCAAACTTGGAAAGGCACAAAATAGAAGGATTTAAGATACAAGTTCTGGTACAATGAGATAGGTATGCAGCATAGTATGTAACTTATAGTGGGTATTCCACAAATGTTTCTGGGTTAAATGAATGTATGAATGAATGGATGTATGAAGAAGACCTATTCACAGAACCTTCCAGCATCTGCAAAGGATTTGTGTGCTAAAGCCTAAATCCCCCACCCCATATACGTGTGTGTGTGTGTGTGTGTGTGCGCGCGCGTGTGTGTATGTAGACAGATAGATAGATGATAAGCAGATAGATAGCCTTAGCCTTTTATTGCTTATGGTGCTAGGTACAGGACTTTATTACAACTTGGTGTTTGGTGGATCAAATTCAGTACACAGACGTGGTGTGCTTTGCCCTTAACAATGTTTTAAAATTTATTTTAGGGAAGGCATGAGCTCTTGTTTGCCATAGTCACACCTTGCTCCGCTGCTCCTTTCCCCTCCCCTAACCTGACTCACACATTTATGCAGCCCATCTGGCCCCAGGGAATATTTGAATTTGCTCCTTGTGGTATAGTCTTTTTTAAAGCAGGGTCTCACTCTGTTGCCCAGGCTGGAGTGCAGTGGCATGATCATGACTCACTGTAACCTCAAATTTCTGGGCTCAAGCAATCCTCCCACCTCAGCCTCCCAGATAGATGGGACTACAGGTGTGTGCCACCATGCCCAGCTAATTTTTAAATTTTTTGTAGAGATACAGTCTTACTCTGTTGCCCAGACTGGAGTGAAGTGGTGTGATCATGACTCACTGTAACCTCGAACTCCTGGGCTCAAGAGACCCTCTTGCCTTGGCCCACCAAGGTGCTGGGATTACAGGCATGAGCCACTGGGATTACAGTGCCTGGCCATAGTCTTTTAAGTCTCCCCAAGTGACCTCATATTTGACATTAAGGATGCCAATATAAAATTGAAGCCCTTACATGCTATCTCTGAGTAGAAAGTAGTGATGATGATGATGATGATGATGATGATAGTAAATAAGAAGGTGATGATGATGATATTGTCTAAAAGTTGTATGGCAGGTTGAATTCTTTTTTCAATGTCCTTGCACATTTATTCTACCCATTTTATTTACTTATTTATTTTTATTTATTTATTTATTTTTGAGATGGAGTCTCACTCACTCTGTCACCCCAGGTGGAATGCAATGGCGCGATCTCGGTTCACTGCAATCTCTGCCTCCCGGGCTCAAGTGATTCTCCTGCCTCAGCCTCCCGAGTAGCTAGGACTACAGGCATGTGCTACCACGCCCGGCTAATTTTTGTATTTTTAGTAGAGACGGGGTTTCACCATGTTGGCCAGGCTGGTCTCAAACTCCTGACCTCAAGTGATCCACCCACCTTGGCCTCCCGCCACCCATTTTAATCACACAGGAAGGTACATTTTATAGATAAATATATAGATATAGACAAAGGCCTACAAAATTATACGATGAAACTTTCCCGTGGTCTCACAGGAGTTGGTAGGCGGTAGGATGGAGCCTGGGGCTAGCCTCTTTCTCCTGGTCATGTCTGTATCCTTCACCATAGGAATGTCCACATGATGCAGTCATTTTGCTTCATTTTCCTTTGGTCGGGGTGTGTCACTGTAGAGAAACTGAGGTCTACCAACATCCCTCTAAGGCCTTTGACAATGCCAGTTGCCAGAATTGTGCTTGAGACCAGGCCATCTAGATTTATGATAGGCACTCTCAGCCCTCCACTGTACTGCTGTCTCTAGGCTTTCTCAGCAAACAGAAAGTGTGGTATCCATGCCTATTAGTTAGCTTTTGGTGGTAACAAATTACCTCAAAACTTGGTGGCTTAAAACGACAAACATTTATTATCTCACAGTCTCTGAGGGTCAGGAACCAGGAAGCAGCCCAGCTGGATGGTTCTGACTCGGTCTTTCATGAAGTTGCAGTTAAGACGTCAGCTGGTGGCCAGGCACAGTAGTTCACGCCTGTAATCCCAGTACTTTGGGAGGCCGAAGCAGGTGAATCACCTGAGGTCAAGAGTTCAAGACCAGCCTGGCCAACGTGGTGAAACCCCATCTTTACTAAAAATATAAAAATTAGCCAGGCATGGTGGTACACGGCTGTAATCCCAGCTACTCGGGAGGCTGAGGCAGGAGAATCACTTGAACCCGGGAGGCGGAGGTTGCAATGACTCGAGATTGCACCACTGCACTCCAGCCTGGGGAACAAGAGTGAAACTCCGCCTCAAAAAACAAATTTGTGACAAATATATTCATATATTCATAAACATAAAATGTACCATTTTAACCTTTTTTTTTTTTTTTTTTCTGAGACTGAGCCTTGCTCTTGTCTCCCAGGCTGGAGTGCGATGGTGTGATCTCAGCTCACTGCAACCTCCACCTCCCAGGTTCAACCGATTCTCCTGTCTCAGCCTCCCGAGTAGCTGGAATTACAGGCGTGCGCCACCACCATGCCCAGCTAATTTTTATATTTTTAGTAGAGGTGGGGTTTTGCCATGTTGGCCAGGCTGGTCTCGAACTCCTGACCTCAGGTGATCTGCCTGCCTCAGCCTCCCGAAGTGCTGGGATTACAGGCATGAGCCACTGTGCCCGGCCCATTTTAACCATTTTAAGTGCACAATTTAGTGGGATTAAATGGTTGCATTCACATTGTCCTGCAACCATCACCACCATCCATCTCCAGAACTTCTTCATCATCCCAAACAGAAACTGTAACCATTAAACAAGAGCTCCCTATCCCCTTCTGCCCCCAGCCCCTGGCAGCCAGCCTTCTACTTCCTGCCTCTATAAATTTGACCACTCTATGAACCTCATATGAGTGGAATCATACAGCATTTGTCCTTTTGTGGCTGGCATATTTCACTTAGCATGATGTCTTCAGGGTTCATCCATGTTGTAGCATGTGTCAGAATTTTCTTTCTTTTGAAGGCTGAATGATATTCCACTTTATGTGTACATCACATCTTTTTTATCCATTGTTCCATTGATGGATGTTTGGGTTGATGTGAACATTGGTGTTTGAGTTCTGCTTTCAATTCTTTTGGGTATATACTGAGAAATAGAATTGCTGGACAACATGGTAATTCTATGTTTAATTTTTTTGAGGAGCCGCCTTACTGTTTTCCATAGTGGCCGCACAGTTTTACATTTCCACGAGCAATGCACAGGGATCTAATTTCTCCACATCCTCACCAACACTTGTTATTTTCTGTTTCTTTGTTTTTTTTTTTAAATAATCGTCCTAATTTTAGGCACTGCTAATTTTTAAGATTTTTGATTTTGAGAAAAGAGCTACAAAATATAGTTTGTGGATCTGCATTAGATTTCCCACCTGAGACTTTGACAGTTTAAAAAATTTTATCTTTTTTTAAAAAAAGATTGTTGTTGTTGTTGTTTTTAAGACAGAGTCTTGCTCTGTCACCCAGGCTGGAGTGCAATGGTGCAATCTCGGCTCACTGCAACTTTGCCTCCTGGGTTCAAGTGATTCTTCTGCTTCAGCCTCCTGAGTAGCTGGGACTACAGGCATATGCCACCATGCCCGACTAATTTTTGTATTTTTAGTAGAGATGGGATTTTACCATGTTGGCCAGGCTGGTCTCAAACTCCTGACCTGACCTCAAGTGATCCACCCACCTCGGCCTCCCATAGTGCTGGGGTTATAGGCATGAGCCACTGCGCCCGGCCCCAAATTTTTATCCTTAAACAAAGGTACAAGTAAAATGTGAATAAACATGAAAAGTTTCTTATTATGCAACTGGCTAATTACAAGAGAGGTGGTCATGAGCAGGGGGTCACTCTCTGGGTAGGTGACTTAAGGCAAGTTCATTTGCCTCTCTGGGACTTAGTCATAGCATCAGTAAATGGGGAAAGTAAGCATAGCTGCCACATAGGGCTGTTGCGAGGATTACATTGGTTCATACTTCATTTTTAAAATCTATATTTTTTGAGACAGGGTCTTCCTTTGTTGCCCAGGCTAGAGTGTAGTGGCACAATCATGGGTCACTGCAACCTTGAACTCCCAGGCTCAAGCGATCTTCCCACCTAGGCCCTCTCCCCACTCAACCTGAGTACCTGGGACTACAGGTGCATACCACCATGCCCAGCTAAGTTTTTCAAAATTGTTTGTAGAGATGGGGGTCTCACACTATGTTGCCCAGGCTGATCTCGAACTCCTGGACTCAAGCGGTCCTCCCACTTCAGCCTCCCAAAGTGTTGGGATTATAGGCATGAGCCATCGCACCCAGACTGGCTCACACTTCAACGCCCTTAGAGCAGTGCCTGGCACCTGTGTCGGGCACCGTGTAAGGGTTAGTTGTTATTGATTTGGCCAGAACTGAAGCATGGGCCCTTTTCTCTCCTTGAGTTTCATCTTGCTTACCCAAGGGCCAAACCAAACCAGATCGTACCAGGAACTTTATCATTTCTTTTCGGCAGATAAACCAGAATAGATCTGAAATACTGAAACCTTTAAAGGCATTTGTCAAGACATTTATTGCCCCACTAGATGTTAAGTACTTCTGGTTTTTGTTTGTTTGTTTTTGTTTTTTTGAGATGGAGTCTCGCTCTGTTGCCCAGGCTGGAGTGCAATGGCATGATCTCGCCTCACTGCAACCTCCGCCTCCTGGGTTCAAGTGATTCTCCTGCCTCAGCCTCCTGAGTAGCTAGGATTACAGACACCCGCCACCATGCCCAGGTAATTTTTGTATTTTTAGTAGAGACAGGGTTTCACCATGTTAGCCAGGTTGCTCTCGAACTCTTGAACTCATGATCCGCCCGCCTCAGCCTCCTAAA
Source organism: Homo sapiens (assembly GCF_000001405.40). Classification (NCBI taxonomy): domain Eukaryota; kingdom Metazoa; phylum Chordata; class Mammalia; order Primates; family Hominidae; genus Homo; species Homo sapiens. Next base: position 24,567,705 of record NC_000023.11, on the reverse strand, counting down.
GTGCTGGAATAACAGGCATGAGCCACCGCACCCGGCCGATGTTAAGTACTTCTTAAAAGGGAAAACTTCATAGGAGAGAAATAGAAAACTACTTTCGTATGGACAGGACTATAAATGGGATTATTTTCTTGAGGGAAAACATTATAAATGGAAACCTCTTAATACAGTGAGAGACTGAATTTAAATACCTTTACTCTTGGAAAATGCCATGCATACTCTTCCTTATTTGTTATATTTCTAAAGTGCTTTTCTTCCCAGGAAGCTCATTACAAACTGTCTCCTGACTGTATTGAATTCCGCTCCTTTGCAAGGGAACCACCCTTCAAAATGCACCAGAAACAGATCAGAGAGCTGGCAAATTGAGGCTGGGAGTTATTTTGCATGGATATTGCATTTTATGAAGTGCGACACCGTTGTTTATCATTAAAGATTCAAGTTCTTTCATCCCCTCAGGCAGAATGTTCTCAGCTATGAGCTTGATTCAAACTATAGTAGACAAGTCGTAGATTTCTTAGAAAGTGAACTTCTAATGGAAATCCTGACAATCCATTAACAGCAGGAGGGCTAATGGCTGCCACAGAAAATATACTTAAAGATTACAGTAATAAAAACACATATTTTAAAGTGCCTGCTAGAAGTTCAAGAATGTTTTTAAATGTTGCTGTTAATAATAGACCACCAAATCCTTATAGCATTTGAATTTGCCTCATAAATGGGTTTAATCTAAGGGAGTGCTGTTGTACTGCACCTTTTTTTTCTGTTTGACTTTGAGGGGGGCTTGATATCTTTTGGCAGAATTATCAATGCCTTAATGGAAGGTAAATAATTGGTATATTAGCAGACGTGTGGAATTTTAAATCTGGAAAAGACCTGAGCAATCAGCCATCATCTGTTATTATATCTGCTAGAGGAAACTTGGGACTCTACAAAGTAACGGGCTAGAGCTTAGAAAGGAAAAATGAGTGTTGGGGGCAGGCAGTGCTATTGGTGATGCGCCTGTGGCCTTAATAGTTCCTTACCAATGTCATTATTGTAACACCTGCCCTTCCGCCTGATCTCCTTGCATGGGTTACATGAGTTCTTTCTTCCTACTGTGATGCTTTTTTATGATAAAAGTAATATATATTCATTATATAACCATTAGAAAGTAAAGAAGGGACTGAAAATCACTCGCAGTCTCATCATCCAGAGCAGTCTCTCTGTTAGCATTTCGGGTTATCACTCCCATCTGTTTCCCATCTCCGTATATGTACATTCCTTCTACAAACTTGAGATCATGCAGAACATAGTGTTCTAAAATCATTTTGGCTTTGCAGTTGCTCATGAGTGTTTTCTCACATGATGAAATATTATTTAAGAACCTGATTCTCCTCATCTGCTTATTATATCATCTTGGAGTTGTACAGGTTTTTCTAACCTAGTTAGAGAATTTGCAGTGTTGTGTGTTATACATTGCATTGAATGTCCATCATACACAATAAAGATTTACTTACATCTCTGATTATCTCCTCAGAAAATAGAAGTTTTTGCATCTATTGCCAAATTCCCCATCAGAAAGGCATTGCTGTTTTATCCTCTTACCAGCAGTAACATGAAGGTAGCCCTTTTCCTGAGCCCTCACTAGCTGTAACAAATTTTTAAAACTTTAGCAATCTGATATATAAAATGTATCTTATTTCAGCCATTTGCATTTGTTCGACTACTAGTGATGCTGAACAGTTTTTCTAGCTCATTTACAAATTTCTCTTGTGACTTGTCTATACAGGCCATATGTTCATTTTTCTACTAAGCTTTTCACCTTCTTCTTTTTGATTTATAAGCTCTGTCTATATACCGAGATCTATCATTTGTAGGTAAACTTTGCAAAAAATTCCACTATTTTTTGCCTTTTTTCTTATTTCATGGTGTTTTTTTTTTTTTTGAGGTACAGAAGTTTTAAAATTTTGTGTAGTCAAATGTCAATGTTTTCCTTTATGGTTTCTTTCTTTGCTTTTATGCTGACACCCAAAGGTATTTCTAAAACACAGATCTGATCAGACTCCGCCCTTGATTAAAATCTTTCTGGGTTTCTTGAGTAGGAAATCCAGTCTCCTTGTGGTGCTCTAGGTCCAGACCATTGCCACCCCATGGGCATTTGGGGTTCTGGCCACACTAAGCAACTTAGACTTAGTACTCCTTACTTAGCATGCTCTGTTTAGAAAGGCCATCCTCTACTAGCCCCCATGGACCCACTCCCCATCTCCACCCACCTCTTCCTGGGCATTATCAAAGACCCAGCTGAGACATGACCACCTCTTCTACCCTCTTCTTCCCCCCCTTCCTCCTGTGTAGCACCTGGTCCCCAGAAGATCTCTGTAACGGTTTGTAAAATGAATAACCCAAAGGACAAGCAAAGCCTAAGATGGTAAATAGGAGAATTGGCTTTCAGGGCCAGTTTTGTATCAAAGGATTGAACTGAGTGGCTGGGGGCTAAGGCTCAAATGTGAGCAATTGAAAGACCCCAGGCAGCACAGGCAGGATGCTCAGGAGTTGGTGGGATGCAGCGTCTGGGAGGCTGAGCAGCAGGCAGCAGGCACAGTAGGCTGGGAGCACTGGGGGCCCAGTGGGGAGCTTCAGGGAAGGGCTCAATTCTGAAAGCACCCAGCAACCATCACATGAGGTCCCAAACTGGTAAACTGATCTTAACCACCGAAACCTCCTCCCACCCCACAGTCTTCCCCAAACTGGGAAATGGCATCACTGCTTTCCAATTTCTTGGACCCGAGACTGCAGTCACTTGATTCCCGTTCCTCCCACACCCCATGTCCCATCTGTCAGTGAGTCCCGTTGGCTCTACCATGAAAACATAGCCAGACCACATACTGTAGGATTCTATTTTGATGACATTCTAGAAAAGGCACAACTGTAGGGACAGAAAACACATCTGTTGCCAGTGGCTGGGGGAGGGGAGACTCCAAAGGGTCATGAGGGAATTTGGGAGCTGATGGGACCCTCCTATGCCTTGATTGCAGTGGTGGTCACTCAACTGTATGCATTGTCAAAACTCACAGAACTGGCCGGGCGCGGTGGCTCACACCTGTAATCCCAGCACTTTGGGAGGCCAAAGTGGGCGGATCACGAGGTCAGGAGATCGAGACCAGCCTGGCTAACACGGTGAAACCCCGTCTCTACTAAAAATACAAAAAATTAGCCAGGCCGGGTGGCGGGCGCCTGTAGTCCCAGCTACTGGGGAGGCTGAGGCAGGAGAATGGCGTGAACCCGGGAGGCGGAGCTTGCAGTGAACCGAGATCGCGCCACTGCACTCCAGCAAGACTCTGTCAAAAAAAAACAAAAAACAAAAAAACAAAAAAACAAAACAAAACAAAAACTTAACAGAACTGTACACTAAAAAGGGTGAGTTTATTATACCTCAGTAAAAATATGGGGGAAAATATACTAGGAATCCTGCCATTTTTCAGCACACTGCCATCATCCCGGGCCGGGCCAGGCTCCATCACCATCTTGGATTTTTTTTTTTTTCTCTTGAGACGGAGTCTCACTCTGTTGCCCAGGCTGGAGTACAGTGGCGCCATCTCGGCTCACTGCAACCTCCACCTTCTGGGTTCAAGTGGTTCTCCTGCGTCAGCCTCCCCAGAAGCTTGGATTACAGGTGCCCACCACCCTGCCCAGCTAATTTTTTGTATTTTAGTAGAGAAAGGGTTTCACCATGTTGGCCAGGATGGTCTCGATCTCCTGACCTCAAATGATCTGCCCGACTTGGCCTTCAAAAGTGCTGGGATTGCAGGCATAAGCCACCGCGCCTGGCCTTGGATTCTTATTGCAACGGGCTCATAAGTGGGCTCCCTGTTCCTGCCCCCGCCTCACTGCCATCTGTTCCCAACACAGCAGTCAGAATGGTCTTTTGAAAACAAGCAGCAGATTGTTAATCCTTTGCTCAGAATTCTCCAGAGGTTTCTCTTCTCAGAGGAGACTGTACGTGAAACTGCCGCCTGATATGTCTCTGGCCTGATCTCCCGCAGTGCCTCCCCCTCTCCCTTCCCCACCAGCTCGCTCCATACTGCCACGATGGCCTCCTCCTCTCCTGGGACCTGTTGCATGGGTCCCCTCAGACTGAAAGGCAGAGTTCTCACAATGGCTGCCAAGGCCCTCCATGGCACAGCCCTCTGTGCCTTCTCTGGCAACCTCTTCCCAACCGCCTCCCTCAGCTCCTCCCCATCTATCAGCCCTCAAGGCAGCCGCGGTGCCCTGCCTGCGCTTCCTGGGTGTGCGTTCCATGCTCCTTTCTTGGGGTGCTCTGTCTGGAGTGCGCTGCCCTCTGATTTCCATTCACCTGGTCCCTCCCCTTATCTCTTCCAGGTTCTTCACTCAAGAAGCGTTTTCTCAGTGGGGCCTTCCCCGAGCACCCTGTTTGCAATCGCAGCTGCCCTGCTCCCAGCCCCACTTGCTATCCTCTCGCCCTCTTTTTCTCACAGACCACAGATCCATCTGACATACCATATTTTGTTTATTGTGTGATTCCTCCTCATATCTGTGAGGGTATGAGGTCAGGGGTTTTGTTTTCTGCCACCCCTCCAGTCCGTAGGTCATGACTACTTGCCTGGCTAGTCAGAGACACTCAGTTAAATTTTGTAGATGGAAGAAAAAAAAGGAAGAAGGAAAGAGTGTTAAGAACCAGTGGTAGCTGGGCATGGTGGCTCACGCCTGTAATCCCAGCACTTTAGGAGGCTGAGGTGGGTGGATCACCTGAGGTCAGGAGTTCAAGACCAGCCTGACCAACATGGTGAAACCCCGTTTCTACTAAAAATACAAAATTAGCCGGGCATGGTGGCGGGCACCTGTAATCCCAGCTACTTGGGAGGCTGAGGCAGGAGAATTGCTTGAACCTGGGAGGCTGAGGTTGCAGTGAGCCAAGATCATGCCACTGCACTCCAGCTTGGGTGACAGAGCGAGACTCTGTCTCAAAAAAAAAAAAAAAGAGAAAAAAAGAACCAGTGGTGACTGTAATCTTCTGTCACTACCCCTGAATATCACTCGGTTCCTTACTATACATAGTCTTGGACAACACGGGATGTGGTATGAGTGTAGGTTTGTGGGCTCAGGAGTTTTGGGGTAGTGGCTCTCCTGCCTGCCTTACCTTTTTGTTTTGCTGCTGCCTCAGATTGCAAAGTTAACAGATGCCTTCTCTCCAATTTATCTTTAGAAGCAGATGTTCCAGGAGAGGAGCAGCCGGATGCTGCAGGCCTTATCCCCGAAGCAGAGCCCTGTGAGCAGCCCAACCCGGAGCCGGTCCCCTTCCCGCTCCCCATCGCCCACCTTCTCATGGCTTCCACTCAAAACCTCACCCCCTTCCTCACCCAAAGCAGCCTCAGCCTCTATCAGCAGCATGAGCGAGGGGGATGAGGATGAAAAGTAGAGGCTGCTGGGAGGCAAGAGCCGCACCATGCAGGATGGGGAGGAGGGCGAGAGTCACAGGGTTGCCTGGGTGGTGTTTGAAGGGTAATAGTCACAGGAGCTGCAGCTCAGCAGAGAGACCCTGAACTCTGCTAAGGGAAGGTCTTGGGACCAGTTCTCTCTCACTCTCCGTACAGCTGAAGAGTTGGGCGAGGTGCAGAGACTTCTAGCTGGACAACCTACACAAACCTTAGCGTCTAGAGTCACTCTAACCTTGCTAAGGAAGGATGCAGAGTTCCCTAGAGAGACTTGCACTGATGGGGTGACTTCTGCTTTGGTCCTTCCACCACCCCCACCAAGTAAACCACCTGTGGCAGCGGCTGTTCCCTCAACCTGCTACTTCTGCGTCCATAAGGGTCCTGCACGTTGCCTCCCACCACCCCAGCTCTGCCAGAATAAAATTGTTTCCAATAGAGGTGGCAAAGTGCTTCTGAAATAGTCGAGAAAAAGACAGATTCCAACCTCCTCAGTCCAGCCACTGAGACCTGATGTTGGAACGCATCAGCTCCTTCCAGTTCCATGAATGTGGCTCATAGACAAAGCCTTGCTTTAGGCTGGTTATAAAAGGTCATCTAGTGTGAACCTTAACTTTTTATTCAAAGGACAGTTTTGTCAAGAACTCCACGTAAGGCCTGATGTGCTCCTGGTTGTACTTTCTCATCACTGGTTTGACTTCATTGTTTTGCAGAAATTACCTTAATCCGTGGGAACTGCAACAAAGAAAAACTTCCTAATATATAAAAAAGAGGAGCTGCTTTGCTTTGCCTCCAGGTTTAGCGGACAAGAAATGTCTCCTGAAGCTTCTCCTTAAAGGATGCTATTATGGAATGGCTTTTCCCATTTCTGACCAGTTAACAGTTTCATAGACCTCAAGTAACAGTTTGAGGTATCAAACATAGTATACCAATAGGGGGTGCTACCTGCACGTATCTGTTCTATATATGCTCCAATATGTCATCCCCGGGTGTATCCCATGTGCAATATGAGTATATAGTGGTGGCATTTTATAATAGACCCCACTCCTGCGCTCCACCATAATACTCCTCTGAAATCCTTGGTCTCAAGAAACATCTGTTCTCTTGTGACTTGGGCACTTTGTCAAGCTTATTCCAGATTCCTGTGGAAACGTTTTATCCCAACCAGGAAATTAGTATTTTGTTCTCGTGGCCTCCTATAACATTTTTGGGTGAAGGAGAACTCAAGACTTTTTACAGAGAACTGTGGGCTCAGTTATGATCTCAGCATCTGAATGGTCTAGGTAGTATCACCATTATCTCTGGCCCTAGGTTTGCCAAGTAGGATGAAGACTCTAAGTGTTCCTGCTGAGTTGTCCAAAGGTCCTGCTCCTTAGTCACCTGTGCGAAATGAGCAGGGAGAGTTAAGGCATAGAACCAAACTCTTTGGGTTATTGTATGGGTATGCCAGTAAATTCAGACACAGAGCTGGGGTCTGACTGAATAGAGGCCCAAACCAGCAACTTGTAGGCAGAGCCCAGAATCTCTTGTGATAGAAATACCCCTTTTCAGAGGCCTTGGGAACCAGCCTTCTAGGTGACAAGGGGACAACCAGTGAAGGAAGGCGGCATGTCTTTCCCCTTCTTGTTGGGGTTGAACTACCTCCCTATCCACTTGGAGATGAGTGCTGTCTGCTGTGAAGCAAAACTATGAGGCTGAGCTGGCTTGGAACCTCTTTGTTCTTGGCACTTTCCTTCTCCAGGACTCTGGGAAGCACTCATATGGGACAGAGGGCTGGCAGGAACATGGCATGTGAAGAAGAAAACTTCTTTTTGCAGTCAAGGGCCACCCAGAATATTGCTCTTCAGAGAGGGACAAGGGCCTCATTCTTCCATTTGGTCTCTGTCTTCCATCATGCACTCAGGTCAAGCCATGCAAGTCTGCCTACCATTTGAGTTAGTTGGCACTTGTAGCAGTGAAGGATGAGGCCAGCCAGGCAAGGGAAGGTGGCGGGAACAAGGGAAGAGAAAAGGAGGAAAGAAGTTCCTGGAGGGAGGAAAGGAGGATAAAGAAAATCTGCTCTCATAAAACCATTTCAGGACCTCACTTTACAGGTGAGACTCTCTTGGGAAGGCCTTTGTGCCCCTGCTCCATGGCCCAGGGCAGATAGATTCACTTTTACCTGAATCTTATACTCTGGAGCAAATAGTGTATCAGGCTGACTATACATTTGCAGGCCTTACACGCCATACTGACAGGTGCCACTTACGTGACTCATCAGATAATGTCACCATTGCTGCCAATTATGGGAAATAACTAATGCCTATTCCAGGGATGAGCCCAAACCACACATAAATGGGTTCTAAATCTCACCCTCCTAACCTGCAGTGAGTCCCCCCGTTCCACCCTCTTGAGGCTGCAAATCTACTGAGAAGGAATGGGAAGGATTCTACAACCCAACTTTTGATACTTTTTGGCCATCTCTCAGTCTCTCCCAGCCCCTACCCCCACACCACCTCCCTGCTCCCAGGCAGAGACCGGGTTGCACTTTGTTAGGGCCAGCAGGTCAACTGTAATGGCCAAGAGTGAGTTAAGGCTGGAATGAGAAATATGCCCCAAGCTTGGAGGGGTAAGCAGGAATAACACAAAGCAAGGAAAGAGATTCTTTTTGCCCTAGTGAGGAAAGGAAGCTTCAGAATGAGGGCTGGAGGATAGCAACTTAGGACTGCAGAAGGGGGCAGCTTATGAAGATGGGAGAAAGTGGGACTGAAGTTGTAGGGGAGCAGGAGGGTAGTGATTTTCCGCTTTTCTTTCTTTCTTTCTTTTACTTTCTTTCTCTTTCTTTCTCTCTCTCTCTCTTTCTTTTTCTTTCTTCTTTCTCTTTTTCTTTCCTCTTTTTCTTTCTTTCTTTTTCTTTCTCTTTCTTCCTTCTTTCTTTCATTCTTCTTTGTTCTTTCTTCTTTCTTTCTTTTTTTTTTTTTTTGAGATGGAGTTTTGCTCTTGTTGCTCAGGCTGGAGTGCAATGGCACAATCTCGGCTCACTGCAGCCTCCACCTCCCAGGTTCAAGGGGTTCTTCTGCCTCAGCCTCCCAAGTAGCTGGGATTACAGGTGCCTGCCACGACACCCAGCTAATTTTTGTATGTTTAGTAGAGACGGGGTTTCACCATGTTGGCCAGGCTGGTCTCAAATTCCTGACCTCAGGTGATTCTCCCGCCTCGGCCTCCCAAAGTGCTGGGATTATGAGCACGAGCCACGGCGTCCAGCCGATTTTCCGCTCCCTTTCAAGTGTTAACTCACCCCCTGACAGGTGAAGAGGGAAGGGTTCCTTTTACGCACAACCAAGGTTAGCAAATGCCCATGCAGGATATGGGGTCCCTGCCTCTCTGGTTGCTTCATTTCAGCACTTCTATATTAGCTGCTTATGGGGACCCTAAAATGAACTGGTCACCCCTCCACCAGCTAAGAAACAAGGGTGGGATTGCTGTGCCATAAGTCACACTGAACGACTTGCTTCTGGCAAGCATGCTCCTGTGTGTCAGGACCTTACCAAGGCAAAGAAATGCCAGGCTCAAGAGGAGCAGGACGTGAGACATTGGCCTGGCTTCTAACCTGGTCTGAGTGGAAGAGACACAGCTTAGGGATTTCAGTTTTGCTCTTAGGCTACTAGATACTGTTATTTCACCCCCTGAGGGAGGGACAGGAAGAGCACGGATTTATTTTCTCTCCGTCTTCAGTACTTATTTTAGCATCTAGTCATACCCCAGGGAGAGATGCGAGACGGTGTCACTGGCTCAGCTGAAGCAGATGAGCCCGTCTCTAGCAGAGATGTGCCTGTTTCTTAGGCATCCGTTCAGCACTAGTCTTGGCCATCAGATTTTTAAAAAAGAAATAGCTCATGAGGCATTTGCAACTTCTCCTCTCTAGACTTCTTTCTAGTTTTCCTCTGTTGTGTCACTGCGATGTGTCCAGGGACAAAGCCATAAGTAGAGCATACATACTTAAGACTATGCTGTACATATAAGACAAGACCTGTCTGGGTTAAAGCACGACCTTATGCCCAAGCATTTACTCTGGTGCTGAATAACGCGAACTACTGGAATCAGCCTCCCCCAACTCTGCGCGCCCCCTGCCCCCCTGCTCCTATCCCATTCTTGCTCTCAAATGGACCACACCATTCTCAACTCGTTTATAAATAAAGGGATGCAGAATTGCACTTTCGTGTGTCATTGTCATGTTTCTTAAGTGTGCTGCTGTGTGTTCCTATTTATGAACTAGCTCAATGGGGAAAAATACAGGCATTGCAGCAGCTGTCCTGGCCCACCGGCTGGCTCTGCCCAGCTGTGGCCCCAGCCCTTCAGAAGGATGTGACTGTGCACCGTGCAGAGCAGGGCAAAGCCTTGGAGTTGCCAAAGGCCCCACATTTGACTTGAAAGCTAGTTAGGAACAGCACCACGTGGAGGGAAGCTCACATGGTGAACCCAGTCAGGACCCTGCATTGTAGGCTCCACTACTAACTGACTTTGTGACCTTGGCCTAACCTTTTCACTTCTTTGGCCTCAAGGAAATTATTTCTAAGGTCTCCTTTGCCTGTAAAGGTCTCTGAATGTATGAGGCAGGCTGCATTGCCCCAAGCTTCTACCAGCTGTGATGCTGTCACTGAACGACCATGAGAAAGTACTGAACTCTCACGGGAGAGGTGGTCTTCCAGTCCCCTGGGGCCTCCACAGCCGCATTGGTGACTGGTTTCATGCCTTCAGCCTCCACACTTCTAGCATCAAGATAAAAGGCTCTAGAGTTCCATCCACTTTTCTTATCTTGTCACTTGACGGAATGCTTCCCAAGTGTACCTAAACTTTGGGAAGTGGCCATTTCAACCACTTTTCCATCTTTGGGGAAAAAAAGCTTCTTTGATCAGCTAGACACAGATAGATGGGGGTGGACGCACTAAATCTGGATCCCAAATGTCAACAGCTAAGGCAGATGTCAATATTCTGAGAACTGTGCTGGTGCCCTCCACTCGCCAAATTAAGGAAATTCCATTAACTCCATCTGGAGAGGTTGCGCTTTTTGAAATGACCACAGTTCTGACATTAGCCTCGGGTCCAGAATAAATAAAGCCAGGCTGGTAGTCAGCAAGGGAATGAATTTTAAAATGGAATACCTATTATTCGTACACCATACTATTTGGTTTCACCACATAGATCAAATGCATTCTTGACAGGTTGTATTTCAAGCAACAGTTACAAGTTTCTTCTTGACTTCCATGATGCCTCAGACATGTTCTCAAGGGGAAAACAATCAGTTACAAGGTGTACTAAAACCCATATTTAAGAACCTTGATATTTGCCCCCAAGAGAATTAGCCTTTGTTAATGAACATAATTCCTGGGGGAAAAGGTACACTATCAAAAGTGTTCCCACACATATCACACACACACAGTCCTCTTGTCTTGGAGTCTTCATTGGTAACTGGAGTTGAATGTTTAGGCAACTTCTCCAGGTATTCAGCAGGAACTATTAGATTAAAAGGACTCCCATAGAGATGCTTTTGAGACAGAGTGTGACAGTTCATAAGCATCAAAGTATACTTGGTGATCAACTTCTTTAAGAAACCATCAAGTAGAAACCAATCAAGAGTAAAATCTGAAGATCTCATTAAGAGCCCAAATATCTGTAGCTGATAGAAGCCTTATGTTAGTCTTTGACACGACTATAATGTGTATTCTAGAAAAGGCACCATATTGACTAAATATCAGCTGCAGTTGACCAAAATGTGAGAAACTTGGAGAAATGGTCAGAGCAGGGTTGACATGTACTGTTCCTAGAAACAATTTTTTTTTATTTTTTGACACAGAGTCTCGCTCTGTCACCCAGGCTGGAGTGCAGTGGTGGGATCTCGGCTCACTGCAACCTCCGCCTCCCAGGTTCAAGCGATTCTCCTGCCTCAGCCTCCTGAGTAGCTGGGATTACAGGCACACGCCACCATGCCTGGGCTAATTTTTTTTTTTTTTTTTTTGTATCTTTAGTAGAGATGGGGTTTTATCATGTTGGCCAGGCCAGTCTCGAACTTTTGACCTCAAGTGATCTGCCTGTCTCGGCCTCCCAAAGTGCTAGGATTTACAGGTGTGAGCCACCGCACCCGGCTTCACCTATAAACAATTTCTATTCTCCTTAACTTTATAATCTTTCTTGAGTGGAGGTGAAATAATTAAGCTACAAGCTTCCTGTACTCTATTCATAAAGAGTTCTGATGGAGGGATTAGCTACAAGTAAAATATTTGATCTGTAACCTTCGATTTAAAAAGAATTGATGATTCTCTACTTGAAAGAGTTGGAGTACTTTACCCTTTCCACAGGGACCTTTTCAACGGACTATACTTGCAAATATCCCTGTCACTCTAAAATGTCCAAGTCCAAAGAAAACTTGTCATCATCTGCCATGTGCGTAGCAGGACATGACCCATTACATAGCTTGAGAAGATAACCAGTCTTTTTAATCTGTTTGGTAGTCATGTTCCACTGGGAATATGTTGACAAAATGCCATTTACCAGCCTGATCACAGACCCACCTTAACACCACTGAGTCACTGATTCTTTTTCTATTTGTTTCTATATCTGGTACCCAGGGATTAATGATAGATGAAAGAAGTGGAAGAGGTGTGTATTCGTTTCCTACTGCTCTAACAAATTACAACAAACACAGAGGCTTAAGACAACACAAATTTATTAAATTACAGTCCTGAAGGTCAGAAGTCCAAAATGAGTCTTACTGGGCTAAAATTAAGGTGTTGGCAGGTGGCAGCTGTTCCTGTCTGGAGGCTCTAGGGGAGAATCTATTTTCTTGCCCTTTCCAGCTTCTAGAGGTTACCTGCATTTCTTGGCTCATGGCCCCCTAACATCTTCAAAGCCAGCAGTAGCCAGTCCAGTCTTTCTCATGTCACATCACTCTGACACTGACTCTTCTTCTGCCTCCTCCTCTTATAAGAGCCCTTGTAATCACATTGGGCCTATCCAGATAACCCCAGGAGCATTTCCCTATTTTCAGGTCATCAGCAACTTTAATTCCTTCTTCATATGTAATACAACGTATTCCTAGGTTCTGAGGATTAGGATATGGACATTTTTGGGGAACCATTATTTTCTCTAACCCAAGGTGACTGAGGACAGTGGTCACAAATCCTTGAATCTTTTCCCAAGTCCTGACAGAGTTGAGGAGCAGTAACTCTCATACAAATAGAGATAATTTCTTCTTTTTACCATTTCTATTTAACAGCTACCAGTGATGACCTTGCTAAAATGTTTGAGTTTTGATGTCCACAAGACAAGCATGGGCCGGGCATGGTGGCTCACGGCTGTAATCCCAGCACTTTGAGAGGCTGAGGTGGGTAGATCAGGTTAGGAGTTCGAGACCAGCCTGGCCAACATGGGGAAACCCCATCTCTACTAAAAATACAAAAATTAGTCAGGTGTGGTGGCATGTGCCTGTAGTCCCAGCTACTCGGGAGGCTGAGGCAGGAGAGTCGCTTGAACCTGGGAGGTGGAGGTTGCAGTGAGCCGAGATCGTGCCACTGTACTGCAGCCTGACAGAGCGAGATTCTGTCTAAAACATATGCACGCACACACACACACACACACACACACACACACACACACACACACACACGAAGCATGGAATAGATATAACGGGGATATCTGACCCAAAGGAACATGCTCCCTGGTCCATGAGGAGAGGAAGTGTTGAAACCTCAACTCATGAACATGGAGCCATGGCCAATAGGGAAGGAAGTTAAAGGACCCCACCCCCCATTTCCTTGTACATATCCTCCAATCCATACTTGGCTATAACAAGAAGTGAAAATGGTAACTAACCAAAGTCTTTGACCATTGGACATGTTCCCACTGAAACAAACCCAGGGGTACAGATTCTGGCTGTCAGGCACAATCTGTTTCCTGCCTATTTGCCCTCTGTTTTTTTGTTTTTCTTTTTGTTTTTGTTTTCTGGTTCTTTGGATGCTGATCACAGCCAGTTTAAGCTAGGAATCACTTTCAGCCACAACACACTTTCAAGCTACTCCATGCTCCTTTCTAGAGTAACTCATTTTCCTTTGAAAGTCGTGGCCTTTGATCCACATTTTAACTTAAGGTCTGGCATACATTTCCATCCGAAGTACTCAACAAACATTTGAGTGGGCCACTAGGTGCTGCGGACACAAAGACTAGAGGGGACACAATCCCTGCCCCTTTGCCCTCAATTTCAGTTTACTAGTCTGCCTCTCAGTCTCCTGACTGGCCCTGTCTTTGACTTTACTGAGCTCTTAAGGAAAACTCCATGTTTCTGGCCACTGAAACTTCTGATTCTACCAATAGAATCTTACAATTATTTTACTTACTAATTTTACATGATTTTACTCATCTCTTTGGGGGTGATGTGCTCTAACTGTCCCTGAGTACAAAGATTACCAACTCTGAGAGTGAGGGAAAATAGGAAAACCAGATTTTTAAAAGATTTTCTATTCATTTGAAACTATTTTCTGAGTATGCTGAAAAGAGGAGACTGACAATGATATCCCTTAGCTAGGCCCATGAATGGCAGTAAGGTTCTGTTTTGTGAGGGCCTTGCATGAAATAGTTTAAATGATCCTAATTGGACAGGGCTGCTTGATGGATGAGATGGTCATTCTCAGTCTCCCCTCCATTCTTTGATTGCAGAGTGCCTGACGGGCCTCCCTCACCTGAATAATGGGGCATTTATTTGCCCTTATAAACTGTTATTTCATGACCAGTTGAAGCCCTAGGAGAAGAGCAGTTTTCATATAGGAAGCTCCATTCCAATTATTGTGCTAAGGTGACAATAATTATCTCTAACTTTAGAAATAATTCCACTATTATATTAAGCTGTCACTAAGGAACTGTTGGAAGCTTCTGCATCCATCACTGTTGTTGAAATCATTAACATGTTTATTTTGTTTGAGGACTTGCAAATACTGTTTGGACAAGAATGCCAGAGAATGTAAGAGTAGCATTAGCCTAACTTGGAGTTTCTTGCAGAGAAGGAAACGGCAAAACTGCTTAGTTGGCCCAAATCCAAACTGACAAGCCTTTTCTCCTTTTTAAGTATTTCCCAATTGCTGTTAGGCAGATTATCAAGAAAGTCGCAAAGCTCGTAGGCCTGCTCTGTGCCAGGGAGACATGATTTGGTGCAGCCAGCATTCTAGCTTTTCCCAATGACTGGTCTATAGTTTGAACTTTATCGGTGGTTTTCAACCCTGTTGCATGTTGGAATCTCCCAGGGAACTCAAAAAAAGACTCCTCAGCACCCCTCTAATGGATCTGAAGTGGAGCCAGATTGAGACCCTCTGGGCTATGGTAATACGTCAGTTCAGGGAACAAAATAAGCCCGAAAGTAAATGGATTCAAAGAGGTAGATGGTCAATGGCCTGTGTAGCAAAGACGAGAACTGGTCTGCCATGTGGCCACACTAGGAAATGGTCTAAGTATCATTTTATGTTTTTTAACCAAGGAGAGAGAGAGATGATTATGTTGATGAAAGTGTCATCAGTGGGCAGAGGACAAAGGATTCATTGACAAAGGATTCATTTTAACACCAACGTTTAAAAATGACACAATTGCTGTAAAGCACCCAGCCTGGTGACTGGTGAAAACGGGTGCTCGACGCTAATTTTAAATAATTCAACAGATGAAATGGCTGTCCAATATGGTTGCCACTAGCCACACGTGGCTATTTAAATTCAGAAAATTAAATAAAATGTAAAATTCAGTTCCTCAGCTGCACTAGCCACATTTTAACTGTTGAGGTGGCTAGTGGTGGCCATATTGGACAGCACAGATGTAGCACGTTTCCAGCACTGCAGAGAGTCCTAGTGGTGGATGGTGGTCTACAGAAACCCTTCCCAGACGCAACCCCTTCTACACGATGCCTTATGATTTATTCATGTGATCAAAGTGTAAGTACGTTATTATGAAGCAAATATCTGAAAATATCAGCAGATAATCACTTGTAAGCAAGCATTATTAAGTCATTTGGAAAGGATTTTGAAATCAATGACAAAAAAGTAAAAATGTACACTCAAGTGTGATGCTCTGTGGCAGCTACATGGAACTGTGCAGTCTTGAGTTAAATAGTCTCTTTGTGAGCCTAAACTGCACATACTTTATGGATTTCAAACCAGGGCAGGAGTGGCTGCTACGAAAACACGATTCCCAAGTCATCAATGATGTCTTAACACAGCAGCTGACCTTTGGTAAAATGCAGATGGATAATACTAAAATTCTGAGTAAAACCACTGTCAATTTCAAGAGTCACTGCTTTTATATTCCATATACATAGATATATAAAAACAACATGAAAGTAGGTTAGTAATTGCTTCCCATTTTAGGTTTTTAAAGAGTGCCACAAAACATCAAACCTGGAGTCTGGAATCCACGTAGTCCAATTCCCTAATTTTGTTCATTCATTCATTCATTCATTCATTCATTTTTGAGACAGGGTCTCACTCTGTCACCCAGGCTGGAGTGCAGTGACGTGATCATGGCTCACTGTAGCCTCGACCTCACAGGCTCAAGCAATCCTCCCGCTTCAGCTTCCTGAGTAGCTGGGCCTACAGGTGTGCATCACCACACCCGGCTAATTTTCGTATTTTTTTCTAGAAATGGGGGTTTCGCTATGTTGCCCAGGCTGTTCTCAAACTCCTGGGCTCAAGTGATCTTCTCGCCTTGACCTCCCAAAATGTTGGGATTACAGGCATGAGCCACTCTGCCCAGAAACTCCCTAATTTTATAGATGAGGAAACTAAGGTACAGTTAACAGAGATAATTGGTAGCTGAACAAAGACAAACGTGATTTCCTGATATGAACACTCCCCAAGGACCATTCAAAACCAAGGCATTTGCCTCAAATTTTTGAGAACTTTTGTTTTTTAGCGTTAAACATGGAAGATAGCAGTTATGTGGCTCTCCAATTAAAAAATGAAAAGGCACCTCTTCACCACGAAATGTTTAGTAAAAGAATTACACACTGCTAAAGAGCTTGAGGACTACATCTGTTAATTATTCAGAAAGCACTTAACTGTAGCCAAATGTCTTTGGAGGCACTGGGTTCTGGTGTCGGTGCTGCCCAGTTCATTATAAAAGACCATGGAACCAATAGCACTTTCATTGAAAAACTCAAGTTGTTTGTCTTCTGAAGATGCCGTGTGGCAGCAGTTTGCAATGTTAGTTTTTAAAACAATTCCCCTGGAGCATTTGTCAATATAGATTCCTGGGCCTCCCACTGCCCCCTAGAGAATCAATCAGTAGAAGAGCTGAGGTAGGGCCCAGGAATCTGCATAAGCCAGCATTTCAGGTCGTTCTGGTGTGGGTGGGCCATGGCCAGGCCATCTCAGTTTGCCCAGGACCGTGCCAGTGTACACCTGCTTACACGGTTTACAGAAACAATTGTTAATAGTGCTCTTTTTCATTCTCAAAAGTGTCCTGACTTAGACAGTACAGTGTATGGCCCTCTTTCTTCTATCCATGGACCATATTTTGAAAAATACCAACTCTAACAGTTTACTATTATACAGCTACTATATTTCACCCATAGGATGCTCCCCAAAAAAGGTGAGCTCCATGTTCCCTGCTAGGGACTCCAAATAACCTATTTTCCTTCACTCAATCATAAGACTTTAAGCAAGCATCCTTGTCTATTCCCAGCAATTTGCAAAGGTGCTTGGTGCCGTTAATGTACTGAATTTCAGAAACCAAGAGAGAGAAGTTTATAGGTGGGAGTGATGAGAAATAGACGAGGGCTCACAAAACACCACAGTGACGCACAGTGAATCACAACTACCATTTTATTGTTCTGATTATTGGGGTACAGAATTGTCCATGTGCTCCAGGACTAGTTGGGCTATGACAGACACCACAGATTGCTCTGCAACTTCCGGGGAACATTATCTGAGTCACATGCTTCTCTGGTCATGTTTTTCCAACATCAAAATGAAACACTTTTCTCCATGGAATGTGGAGTGACAAATTATCTCAAACCAAAGTCATCCTTCATCATGACGGCATGTACCAACCAGGCCACACAACAGCATAGAACTGAGGGGACCAAGCTTCTTTCTATAAACAAAGCTCCTTGGCAACACTGGACTTGTGTGTACATTTATCACTGTAAGTAGGCTGACAGAGGCACAAAGCGAACCAGGTCAGATTTTGACTTATGAGTACAAATATTGTAATGAACTTTTATTTGATGTATAATACTTTTACCCTATTAGCAGCTGTTCCCAGTTTAGACACCGCTTTTATGAGTCAAGGAGTTATGATGAAAAATCAGCAAAGTAAGGAACTTTACATTTCATTGCAGCATCAGATATGTTCACAATGGTATATTTTATTCCACAGTGCTGTTTCTTATTTGGTTCAAGCATTTCTTAGGTAGTCACAAGTTGTTTTAGATCTGGGAAATATTTAAATTTCAAGCACTTGCATGCTTTTGAGAGGATGTGAACTTAGAGCAGCAGATGGTGTGTATATAAACCATAAGCAGCAACTATGACCTCAAATGATTTTAACACCAAGGAACTCTGCAGAAATTAGGGTCAGCCAGAATGCCAAAGTGGTATGTTCCGTTCTTCTTAAAAATGGGTCCTGTTTTCCAGGACTGACTCAAGCACAACTCCAGTTTCTAATCACAATGTAGCACTCAGTTCTACACGAGAACTAAGCATCACAATGAGAACAGAGCAGCACAATTGTAACAATGAACATAATGGAAATGAGGGAGGCAATAGAATTCAATTCCTCCAACAGTGAATAAACTCAATTTGAATTTTTTAAAACACTCCATACTTTACATTTCCTAAGTAAACTTTGCCTTGACTGTCCACTCAAGAGTCAAGATACACTTGGTAATTTTTAAATAGATGCACAATTCATTGGTCAAAATCACATATCAGCTCAATTCATTGGTCAAAATCACACACCTTGCTTGAAAAGGACTTAATATGATGCTTTCCCCAGGAGTTACCCAGGCACCTAGGAGAAAAGGAGCAGATCTAGGATCTCATCAAG
Source organism: Homo sapiens (assembly GCF_000001405.40). Taxonomy (NCBI): domain Eukaryota; kingdom Metazoa; phylum Chordata; class Mammalia; order Primates; family Hominidae; genus Homo; species Homo sapiens. Next base: position 24,549,223 of record NC_000023.11, on the reverse strand, counting down.
CCCCTTATATTTTTTTAACGCTGGTTACAAGGCTGAGAAGATTCTGCCTGGTCCCTCTTCGGTGGCAGGCAGTCTCAAGTTTTGTCAAATCCCTAAAGTGACAGACTTTAGCTGTAAATATTCTAAAACATGCTCATTAAACATTTGGGATATTAACTTCAACATTTTTTCAATGAAGGCATAAGTCGGTTTTTCCTGTAAGTATATAGTGCTTTTAAAAATATGGACTGAGGTTTCCCATGGTTGTAACAGTTCAGATGACAAAAAGCAAATGGAATTTATAAGAAAGCGGTGCCACGATAGAAACAACAGTATAACATTTTCTACTCATCCTGTTTTCACAAACTCCTTTTGTGACACGACATTTAGCACGGCTCAATGGCGGACACCACTGACTTCCAATCGGATTTCACTTTTGTAACTGCCTTTTTCATGTCTAGCATATGTGAAAAGCCAAAACAACTAGAATTGGATGTTAAGATTTCTTTTTTCTCTCAAAAAGAATCTCAAGGTATGAATATTTTAAAACATTAAGTGGTTCTGTTATTAATATGCATTCCATTCTAAGCTTGCCATTTTCAACCAATTTGGAAGGCAAAGATGAACTAAAGAGTAGTTAAAACCAGTGCTGTGTGCCAGAGTTAGACATTTCTTGACTTTGCTAACTGGAGGGCAAATATTACTCAGTACATACGTGATTGTTGATACTTGTGCTGTTTTGACCCATTTGCAAAAGTTATCCAGATTATTCAAATTAAGAAGCCACTTTTAGGTTCATTGAAGTTAGAACTATCTAATGGAATGTTCTTTTAAGTGAAAGCTTATTATCCCCAAAGGAGTCAGTTCCAATGGAAAATAGAGTCCTCACTGAAAAGCCAAAAAGCAAAATTATCAAACAAAATCAAATTGCAGGGTTGTTCTGTGAAAATCTCAGAGAAGCATGATAAAAGGGATCTATGCTTATCTCCTAGACAAAGGAAATTTGGATGTCATTTATCATGAAAAGAGCAAGGTTCAGGCTTCTTGGATAATCTTATGTTCCTGAGATTACAATACTCTAGTTTTGAAGCTCTAGCTCTGAAATTTACATATGAACTAACAAATCTGAACACACTGTAATAGAGTTCCAGAGATCTCCATGGGATTCTTATCAAAGGCTATTCCCTGAGACAGGCGGGGGTAGTGAAAATGTAATTCTCTGAGTACAAAAAAAATACATATAAAATCATTTTGATCTCTTTACTTTTCCCTTTAAAGAAATTACTAAAATAAAAAGATTTATCGCTATAGTCTAAACTCTTATGTTTTACCTTTGTAAATGTCTTTCTTTTAAATGAACACTTATTGCAAAGCCAGGCGTGGACGCGATGCTTTCATATACATTCTCTCTCCTGATACTTCTCTTAAAATCATCATTTGTATAGAAATAAAAATATGGTCTTACAATACACACAAAGTTAGTGAAACATTAAAATAATTAGCTAGAATACAATTGTAATTCTTTGCTTTTGGAAATTATAACATGAAAAAAGTTAAGCAAACTTAATGGAATCCTAAAATGAGTAGAACTTTTCAAGAATGCAATTGCAATCCTGTACTAGAAAATATAATGTGAAAAACAAATCCAAAATACGTCTCTATGTAAATTAAAGCTCAAGCCATGGTATTCAAAATTAAAATGATTTACATAATCTACTATACTTTGTGATTTTTTTAGTAATTAACCTTCCTGAGGTTGATTTTGTTCTCCTTAGTGTTTGCTTAACTAAAGTGCTTAATAAAATTTCTACATAATATATTACCCTCTCCATAGATGAATATTATTTTGAACTACAATCTGACAAAAATCTAACTACATTTAATTATGCTTGATTAATCCAAATGTCACTGAGAGATTTATAGAACAGAGAAATACTTTTCAGGTTAAGTTCATACTCTTCACTGTAAGCTTCCTGGATCCGGTATTACCACAAATTTACTATCTCACGTCTCTAATATTGTTTTTAACATCCCATAAAAAATATTCCCAATAGTCCAAACTGGACCATGGGACTCCAGAGATCAATCTCCGCTTCTTTTCATTTTCAAGAGACAGGCAAACCTCTATCAAAGAGGAAGTCACCACTTCCAATGGGAGGCACGTTGCCCCTGCAGCGCCACCAACACTTAAGGGGAAAGGATGGAGAGAACTGAAGTCAATTCTCCACCTTTCGGTGTTTTATACCAAAAAATGCACATACAGGATGCATTATGAACTTATTAAAACACTGTAAGGATATTAAGGCAAGATAAGGGGGCTGCTTTCTTTTAATGCAGGCACGTAACTATATCAGACATTTGCTTAGACACTTTCGGTAATGATGCCCTAAGGTGCTTTAGTTTATATGCAAATAAGTCTATTTAAAGGGTGACAAATTGGCCCTACCTCTGGGGATAATTAAACACATCCCATCTTCTTCTCCAGTTGTTAAATCTCCCACTGCTGGGTCACTCAGCTCTACCCCCAGGGATGACCAGACAGACAACATGTTCTAAGGCATGGAGGAACTGTCATGAGGAGCCACCTGTGTCACACACAAAGTAACAGTGTCCTGGCCACCCTAACCCTATCACCCAGATCATGGGGAATTCATGTCCCTATCTTAAAGACATGAAGATAGAAACAGAGGTTTCTCAGGAATTCTGTGACCAAAATATTGTTGTCATTTTATTTTCCTTTTGGGGGATGAACACAGCTGATACCAACCTGTGGACTTGAGAGGGAGGCCTTCCCAGATTATCCTTTCCTCCACCTCTGAAACAAGTTTAGAAGTGTTAAATAGGGTCTCTTCTGACAAGCAGCTGTTTTAGCTACAGCATCATCATCCAGATGCTTTAAACTTCTATTCAAATAATAAGTTCTGAAGTCCTAAAAAGACACATCCGGAAACTGCCATCATTATGGGGTTTTGTTACAAGGAAACAGCAGCCCACACTATTCAATGAAGTCTGATTGTAAAAGCTGCCTCCTCTCACCTGACCACAGTTCCCCATTGGTCAGCAAGACAATGAACTGAAATGGGCTCCCATCTGCTCTGTCTACCTGAAGCCACAGTGTGGGGACCTCGACAGGGTCCCCTACAAAGTTGAGTGCAGAGCCAGACACAGAAAACAGACTCTCCAAATTCAGATCAATCGACGTGAAGGTGAGAAAAACTCAGGAATCACTAACACTTCATCTTCTAAGGAACGCACCTGTCCATGATGAAAACAACATTGAGAAGATCTGGTGCTATCTTCTGCATCTCCCTTTCTGGCTGGATTTTTCTCCATAGCACTCATCTCTCAATCGTACTATTCAATGTCCTTTTTGTGTTTCTAGTCTGTCTCCCCTAATAGAAAGTGGGTTCATGAGGCAGGGATTTCTGTCTGCTTTGACCCCTGCCATGTGCCCAGCATTCAGCACAGTTTCTAGCACGCTGGAGACACTGGACAGTATTGCGATGGAGGACTAAAGGTAGCTTTCCTTCACATGACTCCTCTCTCTGCCACCCTCCCTTCGTTAACCTCTCTTACATGTGGGTACCGGTCTTCAAGTCTCCATTTCACACCAGGACAGACATTAGGGAAAGGCACTGCCCAGGGTGGAGCTTGGTGCATACAGCAAGGCTGTCACTAGTGCTCCTTTATCATTATGCTAGAGCTCTGAAGGTGACGAAAGCTTGCTGCCGGATGTCTGGTGGGATGTGCTGACCACTGAGGCAAAGAGGCTTCAATTCTACAAACAGGCCAAATAAAACCCCAGCCCCAGGATCTACCTACAAATGCACTTTCAAAACATTAACTCAGTGTGCTTTGGTGGTGGGCTCCAGGTCTCCAAACCATGTGAATATGTATTCATGAGAAACCAAAAGGAATCCTGATGAAGACTTAACACCTTTCTCTTTCTTGATGAACTAAATTTTAAAATGGGTTGATTGAAAAGACAGGTAAGAAAACCTGTGGCACAGTTAAGGTGTCAGAGATGTTAACCCCCTCAGTGGCACAGCTCCACCAACAACCTGTTCATAAAGAAGAGCTTAGGCGTCTCTTGGTAACTCTGGTGATGTGCTAGTTTGGAGTATTCTATCATATTTAATCAGCTAACTAATAATTGTCAATGGCTGATAACTTAAGTTCATTAAAATGTCATATGTCCTCTATTTTCAAACCAGAAGGTACTGATATCTCTAATCAATGAGACAGGAACTTGACTTAAAAGTTATCTTTCCACACAGAACAGTAAACAAAAATCCCGTATTGATTAAGTTAATCGTCCTTTCTTGCTGGCAATATTGCTTCCTTCTGTTTGCTCAAATGTAGATTATGAAGGACATTAGCTTCAAAGTCAATGTTTAAGCATCTGGACTGCTGAAAAGATGGCAGAATAAATGCATGTTTATATAAGTGCTCCTGCCCTCTGACCCACACATCCAAAAGTTGAACAACAAGCTGTCTATAATGAAACTAGTAAAAGCTACAACTCCATACCACGGACTCCAGGGCAATGTCTGACAGATACAACCAAGTTGGGGATGAATCGAAGAAGAGTTCTTGCATTTGCCAGGCATTTCTCCGAGTCTCCAGCAGCCACAACTGCTGGGCAGTTAATGAGAAGATTCCCAAGACTCTACTGATCATTTGTTAACTTGGCAAAACAGGACTGGCAACAGTCGGGAGAAGCTGGGCACACTCTGCGCGTGCATGTTTCCAGAAAAACGAGGACAGGCGGTTGAGATCTCAGATGAACCATGTGTGTTCATCCCCTCCGGTATCCAAAAGAGGAAGAGCGGCGAGAAGCAGGACCAGAGGAGAGAAACCAACTCTGGAGCCGATCTCACAAATGTGGGCTACATGGAATCCAGGAGGGCAGAAGTACAAACCCACCATGTTCCTGCTAGGATGACGACTAGTGGGAATGGGGAAATGCAAAGAGGATCTGTCTCCCAATGGGACCCGGCCACCCCCAGGGCAGAGGATTCAACAGTGTCTATGGAAGGCACTCACAGACAACATGTTCCAAGGAGGCTTCGTGTCACTCCTTATTCCCCCAAATCCAAACAGAATGAAAACCAAAAACACCCTCCACCACTACAACCCATCAAGAGCTAGCCTTAGGGTTCAAGTGCTAAGGTTATCCTTCAAACATGTCTCGCTCAAAAGAGAAGGAGTCAAGGAGGATTTACCCACACTCTTCTTGGACAGGTAAAACTGGTACCATGCAAAGATAAATAATAAGCAGAAGGGGTCATCATGATACTTGTGCATCAAGATAAAAGCAAAACAATACAAGAAAAGGAATGAAAGATGCAAAGGATAGATAAATACACTCTAGAAAAAGAATGAGCTCATAAACCACTAAAACTGTAGACAAAATTGTTCAGCACTGGAAGAAATACGCAATCAAAGAGGACAACATAATGAGCTCAGGAAAGAAAGAGATAAAAAATGAAACTAGGCTGGGCGCGGTGGCTCACACCTATAATCCAAGAACTTTGGGAGGCTGAGACTGGTGGATCACTTGAGGTCGGGAGTTTGAGACCAGCCTGGGCAACATGGTGAAACCCTGTCTCTACTAAAATACAAAAATTAGCCAGGCATGGTGGCATAAGCCTGTAGTCCCAGCTACTTAGGAGGCTGAGGCAGAAGAATTGCTTGAACCCGGGAGGCGGAGGTTGCAGTGAGCAGAGATCACACCACTGCACTCCAGCCTGGGTGACAGAGTGAGACACTATCTTGAAAAAAATAAAATAAAATAAAATAAAATAAATAAAACTGTAACAGAAGTGGAAGCCACATTACAAGGAACAAGCCCTAGAATCAACAGTACAGAAAACTGAGTCAGTCAGTGAAATGGAGGATAAGACTTGAGAAAAAAATCATACAGCATGAATGAAGAAAGATGAGATGAGTGCCATCTAAGGAAAGATAACTGTGAAGGACAGATGACAGAGAGCCAATATAAAAATGAAGTTTTCAAGAAGAGAACAGACTAAACTGATACAAAACGCAGTGAGGCTTGAAATGACCATATCTAATGCTCACTGCATTCCAGAAAAAGGCAACAGACAACAGTCAATCCTGAGATATACTCCAACGAAGTTACTAAATTTCAAGGATAAACAAAGAATTCAAGTATCCAGGGCAAACAATCAGGTCATCTACAAAAGGGGAAGAAAAATCCATCAGGACTCAGACCTGTCAGCACCACCAGATATGGACAACCATAAAGTAGCAATAACATCCTGTCTCCAGAGAATTCAAGGAAAAAGGCTGTGATCCAAGAATCCGATAGCCAGCCAAGTTATTGTTCGTAAGTAACAGCAACAGGAATACATTTGTAAATATGCAAGAAAACCCAACCGAAGCTGTAATCCAGTCTGCAAAAAAGATAAAAACATCAGCTCTCAAATGTGGAGTCTTTGTATGAAAGGGCTGGCAGTAAGCACTGAATTCATTCAGACACAGAATTAAGTCTAAATAACTCTAGTAATTACCTACAGCTATCCACTTTAAGTTGCCTGTCATTTTTGGTAAAAGCTGCCAAATCCATCTGATTATCTCCTCTAACTATGCCAAAATGGAAACACACAAAAGAAACCCTCTCCTGAACGGAATTAACTTGCTCTACAGATAATTTGGGGTTTAGAGCTTACCCTTTGAGGAATAGTATACTGAAGAAATTCCTCAAAAGAGATAATACAAATCACCTGGCGTACTGTTCCAAGCACCCAAGTGCTTGCTTTGGCCCTTCCATTGACTTACCATGCCACCTTGGCAAACTCCTTAATTGCTTTGGGATTCATACAAAAAACCGATATACCTGTGTAGTCCAGCTCATGGCATTGTAAGGATCAAATGGCATGCTGTATGCAAAAGGTCTTTGGAATCTATACACAAGGCTGTAAAACTATGTCACACTGTTTGGATGGAAAGAATTCTGTATTCAGGAGCCAAAATCAGATATTCAGAGACAAAAAAAGGAAGAGATGGCTCCTGCGGATCTATCCCTCCACTTCCTTGCATTTCTCTACATTTTAAAGTCATCTCTTAGCACTATAAAAAGGAAATTCAGCACTTTCACAGCTCCTGACTTGAACTTCCATATTTTTAATTTAGAGACAAGGATGGTTTAAGAACTTAGAAAGATGTTGCCCTACCACCCAAGGAAAATGTCTGACAGTTTTCTATCTTTGATTCACCTACTATTTATGAATATTATTCATTATTTTAATATTATTTATTAACATTGTTTATTAAGCACCTACTATGTGTCAGGCACTATTTTAAATAGACACAGTCCCCACTTAAAATAAAATAGAGTAAATGAAAGAGCAGTACAGAGGAATGGGAAAGAATTTAGCTGAAAAAGGGTCCATGTCTATTTGTGTTACAACCTATATGGGGGAAATCTGACCATTTGCTTATAGGCAAACCCAGTAAACAGCCAGATTCTCTGCCTAAATTAAAAGAATCATGTACAGTTGACAAACAGGATAAATGAATACTTGGGTAAAGAGGCTAGTAAGCCAGAAGAACACAGATGTTCCTGAAACTCTTCTTGCAGTTGCTTTAGGGTTAAAGATAAATTCTTAATGAAGAAAACAAAGACAGGAGAAGCAAGGTTGTACTGGGGTCAGATGGATGTGAGTAAGCCAAAAAGCGTGCTAGTAAAGAACTACCGATTAAGTCATGAAGACACTGAAATCAATCTTTACTTTTGAAAAACACTTGTAAAGGGAAGAATGTGATGAGATTTTTCTACACCATATTATCCATATTCGGCCCCTTACATGGTACTGCTTGTGAGGATGTGGTGATCGATGGGCCTTCCTCAAACAAGAGAAACGCTGTCAGAGTCAGGCAGTAGGCAGCACCCCCTAAACTGCTGCCTCCTCTCTCCTACAGTGTATCACACTTGAAAGCATAAAGGAGTATCGTTGGAAATTGAGGCCTAGGAAGATATTATCTCATGTTTATAAGGAAGCTAGGGTCGGCTGGGCGCAGTGGCTCGAACCTGTAATCCCAGCACTATGGGAGGCTGAGGTGGGTAGGTCACTTGAGGTCAGGAGTTCGAGACCAGCCTGGCCAACATGGTGAAACCCCGTCTCTACAAAAAAATACAAAAACTAGCTGGGCGTGGTGGTGCATGCCTGTAATCCCAGCTATTCGGGAGGCTGAGGCACAAGAATTGCTTGAACCTGGGAGGCGGAGGTTGCAGTGAGCCGAGATGGTGCCACTGCACTCCAGCCTAGGGGACAGAGTGAAACTGTGTCTCAAAAAAAAAAAAAAAAAAAAAAAAAAAAAAAAAAAAAAGGAAGCTAGGGTCTTTGCATGTAAAGGACCATTTTTTTTTTTTTTTACATCTTTTATGCCACACAAAAATAATCATATGGAACAGCCCCATCCCCAAGACACTGACTCGGTCCTCAGACCTATGGGCTTCCTATGACCCACCTCTCACCAGTCTCTCAGAAGTACATCAGTATTTCTTTTACCTGATTGATTACATATGAGTTCTCTGATGAGATCCTTCTAAGGATGGAAGAGATGAGCTCTTTCTAAAGATGAACGGAACTACCCTGAGCTCAGGTAATATAACGAAATAAAAGAAAACAAGATCCAGTGGAACTAAGAGAAACAGGAATGCAATCAAGCCACATGCAGCTGGTCAAAGCACACCTCATCTCAGGGAGAAATCCCCCACGGTGGTGGGAGAGGAGCTAATTGCATCGGTACTATCATATGACTAAAGCAGGATGAATGGTTTACAAGTCAGAACTTCTACATCAGTGGACTCAACACTTACAAATTGGACTGAAACATTTATATGGACATTAAAACGGGGCAGAAATCAAAGTAGATGATATATATGGAAAATTACCATGAAGAGAAGCACATCCTGTGGAGCTGTATATAGGATGCTGGTTTCAATCCGGATTCTTCGGTCACTTCTATTCCTAAGGGTAAATATAACATCATTCCTCTTTCCTTATCCCAAATCGTCTGCTAATTCCCACTTCCAACTTTTAGCAAAAAGGATTGTGAAAATCAGACTGAGGTGACAATTCTAAAACTAAGATGAATGAAAATGAAAATTATTAAGACCTGGAGCATTTTTCAAAAATAAACTAGAGAGGCCTTTTCCCTCTGATAGTCTATTTTACAACTAGTAAAGCGCATCATACAGAAACTTCCAATTCCTTAGAAGACTACAAAGGAATAAAATATGACACAGGTACAGTATTAGATGGATGGAAGTTTGACAGAAGCATAAAAACTCCACTTCACACTCTGTACAAATTTGGTATTGACCAGGAGGCAGTTTTTCACTTAAGATCTTTGAAACCAAGCAGTTGGGTGAAAAATTCTAAGATAACATTTCGAATGCTTTAATCAACAGACATATACAAATGAATTTTAAAATAAAACCAAGGCATCAATGAAGAAGATCTAACATGAAAGTCACCACATCTCACAATGAGAATCCGATCAGATGGAAGAAGGCAAAAGTCTAAATCATAGAGTGGCGGAGGGAGGCACGGGAGAGACGGAGGGCTCTGGGACTAAATCATCAGGGCATGGCCACCTGATGTCTTCCACTTTCAGGGTCCCAGGGCCCTAGGTGGAGGTTTGGGACAAATATGGTATTTGGTCACAAGGAGCAACAGTACGATCTGCTGTATCTGGAATGGGAAAGGCGCACAGAATCCTGGAAGGACTGAAGACATCAGATGCTATGATAACAAGATGGAGAGTACGAGGGCACAAGAGCTGTAAGGAGGCTCTGTGCTCTTCGGTGACAGGCATCAATCACACCACAGCAAGATGTCATTAAAAAGTTACTACTTTAGTGGAAGATCTGGAGTAGCTACAGGAAAAACTCTTTGGGAAAGTCCAGGTGGTAGAGAGAAAATACACATTTAAGCACTAGGAATAACTGTGATGCCACGCTCAGAGCAGGTGGGAGAAAGCAGTTCTCTCTGTTTGACTTGCAGAAGGCAATCTTTCTTCACAGAGAGGACCACAGCATTCAGTCCTCTAGAAAGTTCTATTAGTCTTGATCTTGTCTCTACAAAGAAAATAATGAGAATATCCATAGTGAGTTTGTGAGTACAACCTCCTCTGTTTTGACCAGGACTTTTAGAGTATTTCATTATAGTGATAATTCAAAAACCCTTGCCATATCTCAGAATTATTTTCTACAATTACTACAGAAATAGAATGACCATTTAATTACTTATATATACTTTAAAACGGTTCTTTACTGTCAGTGAAAACTCTGGTTAGAAATATAGAGTGACTGCTAAAAACTATGAGGTTTCTTTTTGGGGTGATGAAAATATGCTAAAGTTAGTGGGAAGGGCTGCACAACTCTGTGAATATACTAAAAAATATGGAATTGTATACTTTTATTTATTTATTTATTATTGAGATGGAGTCTCGCTCTGTCGCCCAGGCTGGAGTGCAGTGGCGTGATCTTGGCTCACTGCTGCCTATGCCTCCTGGGTTTGTCTCGTGCCTCAGCCTCCCAAGTAGCTGGGATTACAGGCACCCGCCACCACCGCCCGGCTAATTTTTGTATTTTTAATAGAGACGGGGTTTTGCCATGTTGTCCAGGCTGGTCTTGAACTTCTGACCTCAAGTGATCCACCCGCCATGGCCTCCCAAAGTGCTGGGATTACAGGCGTGAGCTACTGTGCCCGGCCAGAATTATATATTTGTAAAGGGTGAATTTTATGTTGTGTGAATTAATCTCAATAAAACTCTCACTTAGAAACTGTTTTGAAAATAAATTTTCTTAGAACCTCTCATGTATAAATACCTAGTGAATTTACCATACTTACTAAAGTCTTTCCCCAAATCTCTACCGATTATTTGTATAGTTTAACAATTTTAACTGTCAGGCTAAGCATTTTAAAATTTTAAGAACTGCTTTCTGCTTAAATTTGTTCACCTAATAATATATTAGAAGTTAAGACTAATAATCAGCATACAACCTTCAGTTTAAAATTTAAACCTTAGTTTAAACCTTAGTTTAAAAATTGCCTTTAAAATAATATTCAATTAAAGCCACCTTTTTACAACCAAACCTTTTTCTAAAGATGGCTTCTGCACTACTCAAATTACTCCACATATCAGAGCAATAGTTTGAGCAGTTTGAATCAACTGGTCACATCGATGCTCAACATTCTATTTGACTTACATACAGACTGAAAATGGAATCAACAGAAATTGATATGATCCAGGTATTTCAAGCTGATTTAGCTTAAACTTGGCTGGGAATGGTGAGAGTAAGTATGTTTGTTTCCACAAACCAAACTTCTCTAAACTTCATCATTTGAGATGAGTGGCCAGTCCAGCAATATTGCGTAGCAGTCCACCATGACACTTCCATAGAAAAAAATAAACATCCATATGGATATCATTTATAACACTTGTCAGAGAAGACCAACGCTACTAAATGGTACAATACTGCAAAGCTATATAAACTGTATTTGTGTACAAATATCTTTCTGTTGCATTGTGTTAAAGATGTTAAAAATCAAGGTTTTCAGGATAATAAGAAATATATACAATTAAAATATATTGGGGAGAAACATTACAATGTTAAAATAGAATAAAATATCAATATGAACTTATGATTTAAAATATATTTTAAATATAGCTATATTTTATAGCTCTGTCTGTCAAGGAAAAGGGCCTAAAAAAGGTATAACAAGCATCCCCAATTATCAGATTAGCATCTCTAATACTGATTAAAAAGAAACAGGGCTGGGTGCAGTGGCTTATGCCTGTAATCCCAGCACTTTGGGAGGCCAAGGCAGGCAGATCACCTGAGGTCAGGAGTTCGAGACCAGCCTGGCCAACATGGCGAAACCCCAACTCTACTAAAAATACAAAAAAAAAAAAAAAAAAAAAATAGCCAGGCGTGGTGGCTCATGCCTGTAGTCCCAGCTACTTGGGAGGCTGAGACATGAGAATCGCTTGAACCCAGGAGGTAGAGCTGCAGTGAGCTGAGATTGCGCCACTGCACTCCAACCTGGGTGACAGAGTGAGACTCTGTCTCAAAAAAAAAAAAAAAAAAGAAAAGAAAAGAAACAAGACTCCTTGAGGGAAACAGTTGATTCTAGGACACAGGCACAGAAGGTATAAGATGAATCTAGGATATCATCTTGGGCAAGAAAAGCTTTCAAAGATTAATGAGTTTTGGCAATAGAACACTAAGGATCCAGCTGGAAATAGCTCTCATTGGCCAAAGGTATGTCAATTCAAGCATCAAAAAGGAAAATGACTGTTACATGCAATAACATGGATGAATCTCACATAAAGCCAGACACAAAAAGAGTATAGACTATGTGTTCCTTGTAAATTCAAGAAGAGAACCTATGGTGATAGAGTTAGAAAAGCAATTATATGGTGGAGGAGGGAGGGACAACTGTTTGACTAGAAAGGAGTCTTTGTGGGTAGAGGAAATATAGATGTAAAAAAAAAAGCTGTAAACTTAAGATGTGTGCACTTTACTATTACTATATGTTATGCTTCAATAAAATAAGTGCCAATTAAAACATATCAAAGTAACAAAATCTACTATAACACTAAAAAAGACAAAGCCATAAACTCATTTGTTAACCATTTAAGGTGGCTTTTAACATATTTCTTACCTGGAAAATTGGTAACTTGAAGGGAATTTAATTGTCCCTTTAAATTTAAAAGGAAGGAGTTAAACAGTTACCAGAGGAACTGTACTTCAAAATACCTAAATGGCCTTATTTGATGAGGAAGAGCTTTACTTTATAGGAGAATAATTGACAAAGGAATGATTTAAAAAAAAAACATTCTTTTATAAACCCAAATAAAATTACTGTGTTAATTTTAACACAGGCCGAAATGATCAATTGGGGTAAAAACCATTAGGTGAACAGCTGATGGGTAAGTATACATTTGCATAGTGCCAAAATAACACCACACAGATTATTTTCTAGTGAAAAAGGGAAAAATAACTATAACTCAGAGGGATCAGACAGCCATCACCTAAACTATGCTCAATCATAACATCACTAATGGTGGGTCAATGAGATGTCATGGGTCTCAGTGTAATTCTGCAACAGTGTTTATGGATATTCTAGCAAAAAATGCTCCATTAGCTCTTTCCTTTCCTTTCCTTCCCTTCCCTCCCCTCCCCTCCCTTCCCCTTCCCCCTCCCTTTCCTTCCTTCCTTTCTTCCTTTCCTTCTTTTCCTTCCTTTCCTTCCTTCTTTTCCTTCCTTTCCTTCCTTCTTTTCTTTCTTTTTTTTTTTTTTGACCAGCATGGACAACATGGCAAAACCCTGTCTCTACTAAAAATATAAAAATTAGCCAGGCATGGTGGCCCACGCCTGTAATCCCAGCTACTCAGGTGGCTGAGGAATGAGAATCACTTGAAGCCAGGAGGCAGAGGTTGCAGTGAATGATCATTGACATGGAAAGATGGGATGGTTAAATGAAACAAAAGCAGGTTGTAAAATAGTATGAATAGTGTAATCTCATTTGCAAAAAAAATACATATATACACAAATGGCAAAATATCTGGAAGAATATACACGAAGCTATAGCAGTGGCAATCTCTGGGTTTTGGGAACACAGAGGTTTCTCCTTCTTTTTTGGCTTACTTATGTTTTCTTTCTTCTTCTTCTTCTTCTTCTTTTTTTTTTTTTTTTTTGAGATGGAGTCTAGCTCTATCGCCCAGGCTGGAGTGCAGTGGTACTATCTTGGCTCACTGCAACCTCTGTCTCCTGGGTTCAAGCAATTCTCCTGCTTCAGCCTCTCAAGTAGCTGGAATTACAGGCGTGTGCCACCACACCCGGCTAATTTTTGTATTTTTAGTAGAGACAGAGTTTCACCATATTGGCCTGGCTGGTCTCCAACTCCTGACTTCAAGTGATCCACCCACCTCGGCCTCTCAAAGTGCTGGGGTTACTGGCGTGAGCCACTGCGCCCAGCCAATGTTTTCTTATTTTTTATAATGCACATATACTGCTTTTTTGTTAATACAGGATTATTTTAAGTTAAATGAAGCAGAACCCCACTGTTGCTAGTAGAGTTGAAGCTTAAGGGTACATAGTCAGAAGAAAACTACAGATTATTTTCCTTATTACCATAAAACAGTGAAACTTGTTCTGTGATTGATAACTTTTCCTTTATAATGTTAACATTTTTTATTGTGATAAGCTATACATAACATAGAACTTACCACCTTTTTCTTATTTGAGACACGGTCTTATTCTGTCCCCCAGGCTGGTGTGCAGTGGTGCGAATCATAGCTCACTACAGCCTGGAAGTCCTGGGCTCAAGTGATCCTCCCGCCTCAGCTTCCTGAGTAGCTAGGACTACAGACCCACACCACCACACACGGCTAATTTTACCTTTTTAAATTTTTTGCTGAGACAGAGGTCTCACTATGTTGCCTAGGCTGGTCTTGAACTCCTGGCTTCAAGAGATCATCCAGCCTCAGCCTCCCAAAGTGTTGGGATTACAGGCGTGAGCCACCACACCCAGCCCAGAACTTACCATCTTAACCATTGCTACATGTACAGTTCAGTGGCATTGAGTACATTCACGCTGTTGTGCAAGCATCACCACCATCCATCTCCAGAAGTTTTTCATCTTTCCACCTGAAACTTTGTACCCATGAAACAATGCCTCCCCATTCCATCTTCGTCGCTAGCCCCTGGCAACCTCCCTTCCACTTTGTGTCTCTGCATTTGACTACTCTAGGTACTTCACATAAGTGGAATCATAGTATTTGTCCTTTTATGTCTGGTTTATTTCACTTAGCATAATGACTTCAAGATTCACCCATGTTGCAGCACATATCAGAATGTCCTTCCTTTTTAAGGCCAAATAATATTCCATTGGATGGATAGATCACCTTTTATCTTGATTGATCATTTTAACTTATTTTTCAGTTTCAACCTACAACGTTTATGAGGACAAACTGCAAACTTAATTGCTTTTTAAATAAAATTGATGGCAGGCCAAATCCCTGCTTGCTGTTGTGAATACCTCTACACTGCAAGAATTCCTGGAACAGTGAGTGGGACACCTTTATTCAGACAAATCAGATACTTTGTAATGGAAATCAAGGTGGTATATTACTGTTTTGCTTTGTATTTTGAAGCATCCCTGGGTTCACTGCTGGGATTGCTCCAATCATCGGCTTCAGGCGTGGTCTTGTAATGGCGCCATGCGGACTTATTAAAAACTGGAAGTCTCTCAAATGACTCACTTGAAAGAGCCTATTGGAGAAACAAAAATATACACCAAAGGTCGACAGTGTCATTTTTCTCAAGTGAAATAGTAACCCAAATTTTATTATTTAAAACATCAGAAACCTTAATACATATTTTCAAAATGATATTAAAATTACACCTTAGTAGTTTACTTAGACTGGCCAGGAAAACATTAAAGCTTTTTTAAAGGAATGAAAACATTTGCTCATTCAAAATCAGAACTGAAATACACATGACCAGAACAAAACATATTTTAATTCAGCTCATACTGCTTTGAGATGCTCAACTGTTTTGACTATACCTGGTGACTGGTCTCACAAAGGGCCCAGGAAGAGATACAGTCTCATGCATCCCAGGTTTATAAACACACACCATCAAGTATATTAAATATCGCATTACTTAGATGCATGGGCATCTAAGATAAATACTCCCAGTAACTGGTTAAATTCTGGTATCACATACATAGGTTGAGTATCCCTTTGAAATGCCTGGGAACAGGCCGGGCACAGTGGCTCACACCTGTAATCCCAGCACTTTGGGAGGCTGAGGCAGGTGGATCACCTGAGGTCAGGAGTTCGAGACCAGCCTGGCCAACATGGTGAAACCCTGTCTCTACTAAAAATACAAAAAATTAGCCGGGTGTGGTGGCTCACACCTGTAATCCCAGCTACTCAGGAGGCTGAGGCAGGAGCATGGCTTGAACCCAGGAGGCAGAGGTTGCAGTGAGCCGAGATGGCAGTACTGCACTCCAGCCTGGGTGACAGAGTGAGACTCTATCTCAAAAAAAAAAAAAAAGAAAAAGAAAGAAACAAAAAAAAAGAAAAGAAAGAAAGAAATGCTTGGGACCAGAAGTAGTTCTGATTTTTTCCGATTTTGGAATATTTGCATTGTGCTTACCTGTTAAGCATCCCTAATCTGAAAATCTGAAATCTGGGGTGCTCCAATAAGCATTTCCTTTAAGCTTGACCTTTGAGCAAGCATCACGTTGGCGCTCAAAAAGTTCCAGATTTTCAACCATTTTGGATTGCAGATTCTTGGGTTAGGGATGCTTGACCCACAGTGGCATGTTATGCCACTGTTTAAAAGAATGAGCCAGTTCTACATAAATGGATCTGGAAAGATCTCTAAGACAGATTGCAAAGTAAAAAAAATAAGAAGGTGCTGAAATTTCATTTATGTGGGAAAAATTCTATTTTTCCCATATTTATAAATGTAGAATCAACTCTAGGAGGATCCATAAGACGCTGAGACCGGTGGTGATCTTCGCTGAACAGAACTGGCGGTTTAGGGCCAGTGGGAGGAGAGACTTCATTTTTCCTTTTGTAGCTTTTAAATTTTTATTATGTGCCTATATTACCTATTCAAAAAAATGTTACAAATATTCTAGAGTTTAGAAATAAAAGCCCAATGATCACCAATGAATAAGAAAAACTGTGTTACAGAGAAGTTTGTTATTAAATGAATCTTTTACATAACCATATTATGATTACTGAATTCTTGTAGCTTTGGGAAAGCCAGTGAGTTTTTAAAACAAAAGACCAAAATACTTCAGTTTATGAAAATCTGCCTTCTTTTAGATCAGACCTTTCAATAGGCATGTAGTTTTTTAAGTCACAATTTAAAATTATGGTTTTAAAAATCAGTATTTTAATTTTTTTTTTTCTCTTTTGAGATGGAGTCTCATTCTGTCGCCCAGGCTGGAGTGCAGTGGCACCATCTTGGCTCACTGCAACCTCTGCCTCCCGGGTTCAAATGACTCTCCTGCCTCAGCCTCCTGAGTAGCTGGGACTACAGGCGTGCACCACCACATCAGCTAATTTTTTGTACTTTTAGTAGACATGGGGTTTCACCATGTTGGCCAGGCTGGTCTCGAACTCCTGACCTCAGGTGATCCACCCACCTCAGCCTCCCAAAGTCCTGAGATTACAGGCATGTGCCACCACGCCCGGCCAAAATCAGTATTTTAATTTCTATACCTCCACGTTTCATATTTTGCTTTATCTGAGCATAGAATCAAGCGTGAGGCATAACATGGTTTTCATGGGAAAATGAAGTAAATCTGAGATGAATCTAAGAGATGATACAGTGCTGTTCTCAATCAGCGATTAGAACTTACAGCTTTAAAAAGCAAAGATGCCTCATACTAACAAATAAAACGCAGTACCTTCAAATAAATGACAGCATCAGTACCCACTCCTTCCATGGAATACAGTTTCAGATCTCCTTGAAAATATCTAGCATACAGACGGGAAATTGGCAAACCATAACCAAATCCAGCCTATTGAGAAAAGAAAATTAATACAGTGAGACAGGCACAAATGCTAACACATTTTATATGATGACCATTCAGAGAAGGTTAAAATAAATTCTTGATTCAGATTTAAATCAAATAAATTACTGACTCAACCTTTACAATGATGTATATCCTCTTCTATGGCAAACAACCCCTTTATTTTCACCCTGCAAAAACATGTCTTATATGTTTGGATAATAATAGAAATATTCTAATTTTTGACTAATGCTTTTTTAGCATTTTAAAGCAAAATTTTATCATTTTTTTAAAAGCACATTCCAAGGCCGGGCACAGTGGCTCACGCCTGTAATCCCAGCACTTTGGGAGGCTGAGGCAGGTGGATCACTTGAGGTCAGGAATTCATGATCAGCCTGGCCAACATGGCGAAACCCCATCTCTACTACAAAAATTAGCTGGGCGAGGTGGTGGGAGACTGTAGTCCCAGCTACTCAGGAGGCTGAGGCAGGAGAATCGCCTGAACCCAGGAGGTGGAGGTTGCAGTGAGCTGAGATGGCGCCACTGCACTCCAGCCTGGGCGACAGAGCAAGACTCCATCTCCACACACACACACACACACACACACACACACACAAAAGCACATTCCAAATCAAGTGGAATGTGACCTGATGACAAAACTAAACCACATCATTTCAAAGTCCCATGATCAGATTTCCTTGCTTTTGCAAGTGAAAATCAATAGCGCAGTGCTGAGTACAAATCTACCAGTAACAAGACGAGAACATGGAAAGGAAAACAATTTTCTGAGAGGCAACTACTAAGGTTCCGGGAATGTGAGAATATTTTGGTATATTGTAGTTCAGGTATTTTTAGAGATTAAAAAAATTTTCAGTACCCTCCTATATCTCTATGTCAAGGAATCCTGACTGTCAATAACAGGTGTTCTATGGACAAGAACAGTAAGAATCAAAACTAAATGTAATACCATTTGTGGTGGTAGTGGGGCAGGGTGGGGAAGGAGATGTAACACCAAGCTTCCTCACTTCTGGTTAAATCTATGAACAAGGTTAAGGAAGGAGGGCAGGGGACCATGTGCACAGAGTCACATGGGCCTTAGACTCAGACAGACCCAGTTGAAATCCACTTTCTGTGCGACTCTGAGCAGTTTACTCAACCTCTTTGAGACCATGTTTTCATCTGAACATATGATAAAAAACTGACCTCAGAGCTGCTATAAGGATTAAATAATATAACAAGTATAAAATCTTGGCACAGTGCCTAACACAGTAAAACTAAATAAATTGAGGCTGGTACTATGGCTACTAGGAGCAGCAATTTTATGAAGTTACACAGATTTCTGCCATTTTCTAACATCTCTCCTTGATACCTTCCCTCAGGGTAGGGTTTAACTGAAAGGGCAGGGGGTAAAAGAACGTACCCCATTATTTAAGGGCTTTGGGACTTGCTGAATATGGCCAGTAGTGAAGATGAGATATTTATAGTAGTGACTCAGGTAACCACAGCAAAGAAACTAGCTCACTCTAGGAAGAGATGTGAGCAAATCTGCCTTCTATGTTCAAGCAAGGCCCAGAGCCTGCCCTCATGTCCAACACAGAAGAGCCGAGAACTCCGAGGCCAATGCAGATGTGAGTGTAAGCCCAGACTCCCAAAGAATGCAGAGGAGGGGTCTGGACCTCGGATTTGCTGAGGTTCAGGAAAGGTTTCCCAGAGTGTCAAAGGATCAGCAGGAGTTCGCTGGGTGGATATTCTCAAACAGAAATGCACATGTAAAGGCACAGAGGTGTAAAAGGTGTAAAAGTGTAAGTTGCTCAATGAGGAAATTATGTTTTCTAGTAGTACATATCCATGTGCCCACTTTAAAGCTGAGGACAGTTTCTTTTTCTTTTCTTTTTTTTTTTTTTTTTGAGGCAGAGCCTCGCTCTGTCGCCCAGGCTGGAGTGCAGTGGCATGATATAGGCTCACTGCAATCTCCACCTCCCAGGTTCAAGCCATTCTTGTGCCTCAGCCTCCTGAATAGCTGGGATTACAAGCATGCGCCACTGCTCCCGACTATTTTCGTGTATTTTTAGTAGAGACAGGGTTTCACCATGTTGGCCAGGCTGGTCTCGAACTCCTGACCTTAAGTGATCCACCCGCCTTGGCCTCCCAAAGTGCTAGGATTACAGGCCAGTTTCCTAACTGGGAGAGCCACTAGCAGAAGCATTTCTTCGGCCACGTAGTACACTGGAAAGAACACAGACATGGCCAGCACCAGCTCTGCAGTTAATTAGTTCAATGACTTTGGACAAGGTCATTTCCTCATTTCCTCATCTATACAATGGGAGTGCGCATGCGTTAACTGTTAAAAGTCTCTTACAAGCCCTCAGTTTCAATAAGAAAAAAAACCTATGATATAACAGCTATCCTCAAGATGCTATTTTAAGACCTGGAAGAGACAATCTATATTTCTTTTAAACAACTGGGGAAGGTGCTAGATTTGTTTGTGGTGCCTTTTTTCCTTTTGATGTGTATTTAAGTGCATGCCAGAGCCTAGTCAAGGCAACGCCTCTCAAATGTGATCTTTCATGAATTTTCTCGACTCCTATATAAATGATTTCCTGTTTCCAACATGCTGAGTTAACAAACTCTGTCTCAAATAAATGATGCAAAGTGTTTGATTTTATTCATACAAATAAAATATAATCTTATGTGCTTATCAGTCAGGTACGACTTTAAAATGAAACTTAATTTATACCCTGAACCATTTTGCAGACTGATAGATATGTTGCTGTGTTTAATGACAAAGGGTTCAATTGTTGTTTGTCAATTAGAAACACTCAGCAGGGGAAGCAAGTGTGGCCCTACCAGGATCTAAATGCTACCATGGTAACCAGTGGCTTTTCTCACTGCCTTAACAGGGCTGAAGGTTATTTCCAGAGTGAGACAGAAAGGGCTCTGAAAATGCATACACCACCTATATGTTTCATGCTAATGTTATTTAACATAAAAATTTAATGTTTTCATAATTTAACATTTTAATTATATAAACAAATTTGACAGTGGAGATTCCAAGGCACTAGGTGATTCGCGCCTCTGTGGTACGCACGCCAGAGTGCGCAGGACCAAGCGGCAGCTATGCATTCAGTACTGTCCCTTTGCTCACCCACTGGCAACTTCCACCCCTTCCAAGGGTAGCACAAAGTGGAAAATGGTGCTACAGTAGCAGTCTTACCACAATGAGGTACTTTTTCTCTGTATATGGGAATGAGGCACTCAGCTAGGAGTGTTTCTTAGACACAAATCAGAGAGGAAATTGAAGTCCAAAGGATTCACAAAGCAAGTAGCCAAGGCAAAAAATTCTCCCTCCTCCAAACCATAATACACGCAACCTTCTAAATCAACTACACTAATGTGACAACCTGGGGAGAGAGGCAGCTCCCTCTGAGCCCCTTCCTGTGTTTATGATCTTTCCTTCAGCAGCACTTTCAGATGCTTACCAAAGGGGCAGCTCTGGTAGGCTCCAGGCTGGGTCTAGGAGCAGTAGAATACATGTAGTTAAAAAGACGATCTATTTTTCGAAGTGGGACACCACCACCTAGGTCACTGATCTGCAATGTTCAAAATGTTAACAATCAAAACAAAGAAGTTGATCTATACTTAGTAGGAGGCAATGGGTTCATTAAATAAAGTACATAGCAGATTACTCCACAATGTACAAGGACTTTGAATCCCCCAGTGACATACGGTTCCTTTGTGAACAGTGTAAAACAAAGGAGGCCGAATGGTACAGTGGGATCCAACAGGCTTGGTGTTGAGGTCTTGTTCAACTCCCTGAATAACAAGGTTCTAATGAAGTTTAAATAAGGTAACTTAAGCCAAGGATCTAGCATAGAACTTACAAACAGGACACTCAATAAATGTCAATTTCCTTCCCTCTGATTTTTCAATGTCTAGATACTATTAAATCACAACTGATAATTAAAGTATACATGCACATAAAACAGTTACCTTAATGGATAAGTCTTCTTTACCCAAAGTAACGAGGGTTTTAACAGCAGGGTAGCCCTCTTTTCTGTCTTCATAGAGTTCAACTGTCGCTCTCATTGAGTTCTAAAATAATAAGATCTTTTTATTAATCATACTGCCGAATCACAAACCACAATTTTTAAAGAGAAAGAAGCGCAAGATGACTTATACCCAACAACCCTTTTTTGGGGCAAATATTAGTTGGATTTTTATGGCATTTTTCCCTCTAAAGAGCTTAGCTAAACGTGCTCAAATCAAGGAAAAATTTCCTGACACTTTGTTTTTCACCTAGTTTTAGCCTCATCCAACATGCTAAATATTTATTTTTCTTTCCTTCTTCTTCTTCCTCTTTTTTTTTTTTTTTCGCTTTACGGTATTTAAATTATTCAACTCAACCCAGAGGAATGTTTTTATCGCATGTAATGAGGCTATGCAGAGGCTGATTTGTGCACTTTAAATCCTATTTATCAGTCTGCATTTATAGAGCACCTTTTCTCTAAAGAAGGCAGAAAAACTGAAAGGATGCATGCTTCCCACAAAAATTAATCATTTGGCTGAAAAAAGTAGAAGAAATATTGGTTAAAAAGAAATTCTGAAAAAGCCACAGCTGCTGAAGAGAAAGTTCACAATTGAATGCCCATTTCAACCTTAAAGCGTTACATCAGTAACATTCTAATTTTTGGAAGCAAATCAGCATAACTGATTTTTCAGGTGTTCAATTTAGTGTTTCACGCATTGGAAGAAATGAAATTTTAGCTCAAATGCCTTGTGCCTGTAATACTGCTACTGTAAATGTCATTAGCTACTGATTAACAAAAGCAACAGCTTAAGTTGCAGACTCTAAAGAATTTGGTGGGGGGGAGGGGTGGTTCTTTTGGTCCAGCTCATCTACATCTTTCTCCTCTGCCTCTCTTGGATCTTCTGAATTGATTCAAATATTTTATAAAAGAGTTGCAGGATCTCTCAGGACTGGAACAACCACTAATGTACCAGTGTGGTTAATTTTCAGAAGCATAAATATGTATAAACATGTTTTTATTTTGATCTGGCTATCACCAGTAAAGCCTTTGCCAGGTTTGGAAACTAAAAAGCATCTCTAATCTCATAACTAAAGAAAAAACAGTATGGATTTTACATAAAATCACTAAAGTGCAATTAAGCTTCAAAATCAATATGTACTAATATTCACAAAAACTATAGTGTACACAGCAATTTCTCATCTCACAGTGTACAAATTATAAAACCCACAGGATATCAGAAATAGAATTTTTAAAATGGTTATGCAAAACCTTTTTCTTATGCTAATCTAATGAATCCATTATGCCCTGAATCAAAGTAATTTAAAATGAAGACTTCTTTCCACGTTTTTAAAATTCCACTTACCTTGAACAACTCAAATAGCATATGAAACAGATGTGAGGGCACATAAACCACCTGAATAGGTTTGTCTGGCGCTTTGGCTGAAAACAGAGACAAAACCATCAATCAATAAGGACCCAAAGTAGGAGAAATTCAAGAATGATGTTTGCATTCTATTTTCCAAGTGTGTAAAACAGAGCTCTATAAAAGGCTAATTTGAGTTTCCACCTCTAAAGGCAGGGCTGAGCAAAAGCATATGCTTTAGAATCAAACAAACCTGGGGTGACACCCAGTTCCTTCACTTACCAGCTATGTGACCTTGGATAAATCACTCAATCTCTTTGAAACTTTGTTGAGCAGAATTGGAATATTATCACCTATGCCATAACATCCTGAGTATTACAGAAGGCCAGTCAGATATCACTTGGTGTTTTTCAAATTGGGGGCTACCTTCTGCCACTGACCCCAGGGGGAATTCCACGGGAGAATGTGGAGCAACAGGAAAAAAAAGGGCTGGTGAACTGGACTAAATGGCAGTGTTCAGTTTTGTTAAATTATGACAAACAAGGCATCTTATAGCATAGAATGTAAGGTTCACATAACTTTTTCTCAAGCAGCTAGCACATAAACCCCTAGAGACCTATGATCTTTTCCCCTTGCACCATGGGTCATCTGAAGACAATCTGAGAAACACCAAAACCCAGGTGAAGCAATAAGAACAGTGTGCGGTACAGAGCAGATGCTCAAAAATACAGTCCTTCCTCCTCCTCATGACCCAAAATCACTTAAGAGATTGAAACTACATGAACTCTCTCAGGTAGAATGCTGTAATTTCAACCAGCTACTTCCTCTAATAAAGTAATTAACAGTAATACAAATTAGAGTTCACATTTGCTTGATTCTTAGCAGTCTACACAGAGCTTTCACATACATTATTCAATTGACTCCTCCTGACAACACTTCCTGGCTCCTAGAGGGGTGGTGGTGTTTAGAGGTCTGGAAACAGGCTTTGGGAAGCCTGTGTGACTTGCCCGTGGTCCCAGAAGTGGCACCGAAACCAGACACCTGAACAAAGAGCTTTTGAGTCTAAATCCCGAACTCTTCAAAGAGCAATTATTTTTATTTTTATTTATTTATTTTTTGAGACAGAGTCTCACTCTGTTGCCCAGGCTGGAGTGCAGTGGCGCCATCTCGGCTCACTGCAACCTCCACCTCCCGGGTTCAAGCGATTCTCCTGCCTCGGCCTCCTGAGTGTCTGGGATTACAGGTGTGCGCCGCCACTCCTGGCTAATTTTTGTATTTTTAGTAGAGACGGGGTTTTGCCATGTTGGACAGGCTGGTCTCGAACTCCCGACCTCAGGTGTTTGCCCACCTCGGCCTCCCAAAGTGCTGGGATTGCAGGCGTGAGCCACCGTGCCTGGCCTGAGCAGTTGTTTTTAAAATCACTTAGTAATATATGTAAACGGCTTAAAAATTTAACAAAAGAAGAAAAACAAAAGTCCTTCCCCCTTTCCTATCTTATCCTTCAGTCTGAACCCAGAGGCAGCCACTCTTTACTACTTCTGCTGTAGTCTTTGGGTTGGTAATATTTACATTCTGTTCTGTAACCCAAATTAGGGATGCTGTAAATTGCCTATAGGTTCTTTCAAGAAAGTAGAAAATCAAGTGTTGGTGACATTATAACTATGTAAATATTGATCACTGTAGAACAACCACAACAGTGTACCTAGACATTTTCTTCCCTATTAATGCAATAACAATGATTCATGTGTCCCTTGGAGGAGAATGTTCCCAGCCTTAACATGAAATGGAGTTTCTTTATACTCCTCCAACTGGTCAACATCATGCTACCCTTTTTGGGTTGCTTCATAGTTGGTCCATGCCATTTCGCTAAGATCTTCCAGCTTACTGGAAGCTTCCATACCTACTTCCAGTTTCCATACCTACTTCCAGCTTCCATACCTACTTCCAGCTTCCATACCTACTGCATGGTATCCAGTCCATTCTTCAAGATTTTTCAAATTAGAATCAATTGCTTTGCAAACATGCTGCATAGCCATCATCCTAAAGTTGTTTTTGATTGAAGTTCTAGAATGTTTTCCCCTTTCTTAGATGCATATTATACATAACATCAAGGCAGTCAGGTAACCTACCTCAGAAAGGGATGCATGGGAGACACATCTGTCAATCTTTACACCTCTGATCTATTTGATTAAAGGTTTGGCTAGATAGAGAATTCTAGGTTTGAAATGATTTTCTCTCAGAATTTCAAAAGGGGGGTTTCTGGCAGTAACAGTAGAGCTGATAAGTTTAATGCCAGTTAGGTTTGGTTCTTGCTGCTGGCTTTTGCTGAAGGTCTGATCCATCTTGGTTGCAATATTCTTGTTTGAGAATGAAGAACCGGATTCACTGTATGAGGGAGCTGGCGTTCATATCCCCCTGGGGCTCTCCATTAAGTGGGAAGCCTGACTTAGAGCTCTCTGGACTGGTCAAGACTTTTCAACTTGGCTTGAGGATGAGCAGGTAGTAAATGGGCCTCTGAGCAGAGAGGCCCCCAAATGCTTAAACGAACAGGGCTTTGCTGCAGGGTAACAACACTCACATGAAAAGCCCTAATTCTTCCTAGGTTGTTCTCGAACAAAATACTTAGTTGCCTGTTGGCAGGCTGAACCCGGCCAGAGTACAGCTGCCTCCCGTCATCCCTCCATGCTCTTTCTTAGACCAGCTTTCAGTTAACCCTACCCTCTGCCTTCCCTTCCCATTCCAGTCCATTGCACCACCTGGCCCTGCCCCCAGAGTCCCTCCAGGACAATCTTCGGCAAACCAGTTGCCACCTCTGCTGCAGCCTCCTCCCCTGTGGCTGCTTCTGCTCTGTCCCACCAATCAGCATACTTCCATCTAGTGACCCTCTTTCAAAAGTTGGGATTCATGCCTCTTATGGACGGAATGTTTGTGTGTGTCTCCCCCAAATTCCTATGTTGAAATGTAACCCTTGATGTGATGGTATTAGGAGATGGGGCCTGTGAGAGGTGATTAGGTTATGAGGGCAGAGCCCTTATGGATGGGATTAATGCCCGTTTAAAGAAACTCCAGAGAGCTCCCTCGCTCCTTCCCCCATGGAAGGAAACAGTGAGAAGCCAGCTATGAATCAGAAGGTGGGTCCTCACTAGACACCAAATCTCCAGGAACCATGATCTTGGATGTCCCAGCCTCCAGAACCATGAGAAATGGTTGCTGAAGCCACTTGGTCTCTGGTATTTTTGTTATAGCAGCCTAAATGGACTAAGGCACTGGTCCACTAATGAGCTCCTCTGCTTTCCTTTGCTGCTTTTCTTTGGATTCCTTTATCGTCATTTTATTTTTATTTCTTTTTTTCCCCTCTTTTTTTTTTTTGAGATGGAGTCTTGCTCTGTCGCCCAGGCTGGAGTGCAGTGGCGCAATTTCAGCTCACTGCAACCTCCGCCTCCCAGGTTCAAGCAATTATCTTGCCTCAGCCTCCCTAGTAGCTGGGACTAAAGAAACATGCCATCATGCCCAGCTAATTTTTGTATTTTTAGTAGACACAGGGTTTCACCATGTTGGCCAGGCTGGTCTCGAACTCCTGACCTCAAGTGATCCGCCCACCTCGGCCTCCCAAAGTGCTGGGATTACAGGTGTGAGCCATTGCGCCTGGCTCCTTTATTGTCATTTTAATGGGGCTCGAGGAACAAGCTGGGTGCTCAGTTTATCTTGTACCAAATGGCATGATTAGTTATATAAACAGCCTTATGAATTCAACCTTTTCACCCCAAATCTCAAGAAAAGGCAAACACCTTTTATATAGTGGGTTTTTTTATTTTTATTTTTTCAGTTTAAACAACATTCTCTAGGAGCCATCTAAAGGCTTGCTCAATTACCTGCACTTTTCTTTGGGAACATTACAGTTTAGATTTCTTTCCTTCCTTTTAAAACCATGTCAAATGCTTTTGTCCATGACTCTTTCCTAGTTCTGGGTCTCGAGGCTGGCTGTTAAGTAGCAGATGCTTAATAGATGTTTGCTGACTTATAAAATAAGTAGAATATGAATTTTCCATCTAAGGGTACATTTTTAAAAGTCAATTTAAAAATGGCCTAGGTTTGTCATGCTCAAGACTTCAGAAATAATGAAGTCTCTATTTTGTACAGTCATTGCTCCAAATGCCATTAGTTGAAACAGCATTTAAGAAATACCATTAGATATAAGGAATTTTATTTCCAGACAGTTCTCCTTCCAGAATAAAAAAGCATCCACTTAAGGTGTTCAGGATCAACCTCCAACCTGCATCTCCAACATAGAACTTGTTAAGGCGAAAGCACATTCCTTAATCATGCTCACAAGAGAGCTCTAGCATTAAGAACTTATACATAAAAATAATCACTACACTACCCAAAGCAACATAAAGCTAGAAGCTACCTAGAAACACCAGCATTCATTTATCTTAGTGATAGGACAAGGGGCTTCAAAACATGATCGAAAGGGGGCTTCTGTAATTCGTGAGACAATGCCAAAAAGAGTCGGAAAGCTCCTCTCCTGGTGGGTGAGCTGCCCAGCATGACAGCCTCAGCGGGGACAGAATGTGCTGACATGGCTGGCACTTGGGAATCAGCAAGAACAGGCCTGCTGCTTTGGCCTTTAGAATGAGGGAGGCTGCCACTCACGCAAAAGAGCAATTTGTTACTACCTGCAGATGTGAGATCAGCTCCTGCCTAGTCCATAGGAAGAGAGAGAAAGAATATTAAGATGGTTCTCATCAGGAACACTCCAGACAAGCCCACTCGGTCCTGGTAGTATATTTATTCAATGGGGACATGACTCTTCTCAGAGAACCCAAGAGACCTTGAAAGCAGCTTTGACTCCATGCCTTCTAGTCAAATGGAGGGGCCATGTCCTTCAACAGCAGCCTGAACTCCTTTCACAGTTTTATCTCATTATAAGAGAAATACATTTTTAGTGTACTCCTGAGGGGGAATTTGGTTTATCTTTTTTTTTTTTTTTTTTTTTGAGACAGAGTCTTGCTCTGTCACCCAGGCTGGAGTGCAGTCATGTGATCTCGGCTCACTGCAGCCTCTACCTCCTGGGCTCAAGCGATCCTCCCACTTCAGCCTCCTGAGTAGCTGAGATTACAGGCACATGCCACTATGTCCAGCTAATTTTTCTATTTTGTGTAGAGACAAGGTTTTGCTACCTTGCCCAGGCTGGTCTCGAACTCCTGGGCTCAAGAGATTCTCCTGCCTCAGCCTCCCAAAGTGCTGGGATTACAGGTGTGAGCCACCATGCCTGGCCTGGTTTATCTTTAACTGTAAATGCTCACACCCTGCTCAGTCATTCCACATCTAGGAATCCAACCTGCAGAAATACTTCCATACGTTCACAAATTTTTCCACCCTCCCCACCTCTCACACTCTTTCATAGCTCATTATATGGAATATAGGAAAACAGGAAATCCTAAATGTATACCCATAGGAAAACAGTTAAATAAATTATGGTAAGTTACACTATGGATAATCTCTAAATGAGATTAATACTTGCAAAGGTCTTCAAGGTGAAGTGAAAACCACGTTATAAATAGGGTTAAAGCTATACATGCTTTATGCAAAAACCAAAGCTCTATATGGGACTGAGAAAGTTGTGGGGGATTTCCCTTTTCAGTCACATTTCTGTATCTGTATTTTTGTGATAAGCATGTCTCTTCCATAATTTGCAAATAAAAAAAGGAATGTGCAAATAAATATGTAATCATATGATGAACGTAAAAATCATCTGTAACCCCATTACCCAGAGAGCTGCTATTTGTATTTTGGTAGTATAAATCCTTCAAAATATTTTCCAATGAACTCCACTACTATAAACTTTTGTAGCCTGTATTTTTTTAAAAATCTCAATTTTTCCCATACGTTATTCGTTTAAAGCATTATTTCAAAGGGCTGCATAGTATTCTATCTAATGGGTGTACCACAATTCAGTTAAACAATGCTCTATTGTGGAAAATTTGGGTTGTTTTCTAACTTTATAAGAAAACTACTGTGATCATCAATCTTGTACATAAATCTGTGCATCTCTATTTTCATAGATTTTTGTTTGTTTTTTGAGATGGGGTTTCAAACTATTGCCCAGGGTGGAGTGCAGTGGCACTATCTCGGCTCACTGCAACCTCCGCCTCCCGGGTTCAAGTGATTCTCCTGCCTCAGTCTCCCAAGTAGCTGAGAATACAAGCAAGTGCCACCACGCCTGGCTAATTTTTGTATTTTTTGTAGAGATGGGGTTTCGCCATGTCACTCGGGTTGGTCTTAAACTCCTGGACTCAAGAGATCCACCCACTTTGGCCTCCCAAAGTATTGGGATTACAGGTGTGAACCACTGTGTCCAGCCTCTATTTTCTTATAATAAGTGTTCTGAAGTTTAATTTACTGGACCAAAGAATATGACCATTATTAACTTATTTACTGGGCCAAATAGAAAGAACATTGCTGGCATTTTTTAGAAAGGGAATACCACTTTTAGCTTATACAAGAAATGTATGTGCTGGTGAGAAAGTATTTTTATGGGCACAAATTCAAAGCATTAAAATGTTTTAATCACTGTCATTTTGAAAGACAAAAATGGCATTTTTGGCTGGGCACGGTGGCTCACGCCTGTAATCCCAGCACTTTGGGAGGCTGAGGCGGGTGGATCACCTGAGGTCATGAGTTCGAAACCAGCCTGGCCAACATGGTGAAACCTCGTCTCTACTAAAAATACAAAAATTAGCTGGGCATGGTGGGGGGCACCTGTAATCCCAGCTACTCAGGAGGCTGAGACAGGAGAATCACTTGAACCTGGAAGGCAGAGGCTGCAGTGAGCTGGGATCACACCACTGTACTCCAACCCGGGCAACAGAACGAGACTCCTTCTCAAAAAAAAAAAAAAAAAAAAAGGCATTTGTCTGTGTTTTTGTTTGCACTTCCTTGATTAGTGAAGTTAAACACTTTTCCATATGTTGATCGACTGCTTGCATTTGTTACTTTGAGAAGGGCCTATTTATACCTTTCTACATACTCTACCTTGATTATTTCTGTTCCAAGAATTCTGGGGTCTAACACATTACACATTCCTGTACAAAAACTCCTTACAATAATATATCTGGTTGACCAAAAGCGTAGAAAGTTTTAAAAAGATATAAGAAAATGAAAAATCAGTATAATTTTTGGAGCTCACTGAAATATGGCTTAGGTATAAACAGCTTCTTAGTCAGCTTTTTTGAATGTAAGGTTAAAATTAGTTTTCTTTTACCATTGAATTCTTCAACTTCCAGCTCTGGAGCTACCAGGTAATACTGTTCACACAGCATCTTGGCTGTTTCATATGCATCTGCAAGAAAAGGAAAAAGTTTAGCTGCTGTACTAATAACATAGGCACAAGCGTGTGTGTGTGTGTGTGTGTGTGTGTGTGTGTGTGTGTGTGTGCACATGTGCATGTATATATCTATAGGTACATAAGATAAACTGTCTAAACGGATGGATGTAGAATTAATCAACTACAACCTTTTACAAAATACCCTTTTGTGGCTTTAATAGAATTACCATGACTAATGCAAAATTTCTCTTTTCTATTTTTTCCAAGACAGCGTCTCACTCTATCGCCTAGGCTAGAGTACAGTGGTGTGATCATAGCTCATTGCAGCCTCGAACTCCTGGGCTCAAGCAGTCCTCCCGCCTCAGCCTTCCAAGTAGCTGGCCTTACAGGCATATGCCACCATGCCCAGCCAATCTCTCTTTTCTTAAAGGATTTTCTGTTTGTTTGTTCGTTTGTTTGTTTTTTGAGACAGAGTCTCACTCTGTCACCCAGGCTGGAGTGCAGTGGTGTCATCTCGGCTCACTGCAACCTCCGCCTCCCAGGTTCAAGCGATTCTCCTGCCTCAGCCTCCCGAGTAGCTGGGATTACAGGTGTGTGCCACCACGCCCAGCTAATTTTTGTATTTTTAGTAGAGATGAGGTTTCATTATGTTGGCCAGGCTGGTCTCGAACTCCTGACCTCAGGTGATCCACCCTCTTTGGCCTCCCAAAAGTGCTGGGATTACAGGCATGAGCCACCGTGCCTGGCTTTCTTTTCTCAAAGTTTTAATGACCATAACAATGTCAACATACTAGAATACTGGCAATTCAGCTAGCTCTATACCAAACACGTACTTGTTTAACTTATACTATTACCAAAATATATTTTTCATGAAAATTTAGGAACTCAAGACTATACGTTCTAAGCACCATGCAACCTGACTAAATTGTAGCAAAAGAATATTTGTCATGATCTTAAAAATAATAATGCCAACAGTCTTGTGATTTGCCAGAGTTATTTGTAAGTGAAACCTCAGTAAGTATTTGCTGAATGAATAGATTTCCATGAGCCACACAATTTAAGTTACTGGAGATGCCACTATCACTTTAAAAGGTCCTTTGAGTTAGTTAAAGGTAACAGGCTGGGGCTGATATTTATCAAAGTCTGAGGAGCAACAGTCCGCTTTTTAAAGGATAAAATAAAAGACATATGGTAAGAAGATAAGAGCCATTACAGAAACAGCCGGAAGACAGAATTCAGGAGATTCAAAGATGGGGAGCAGATTCAGAAAGCAAAGGTGCATTACAAGACATTGGACATTGCATATATGCCTTTTCTCTCGAACTGTAAACAATCTGAAGTCAGCGTTTGTGTCTTAACACTTGTTTCATAACTTGCATAGAACTTCGTATAGTGCCTGTGTAGATGGTCAACAAACAGTCCTTGAGCCGGGTGCAGTGGCTCACGCCTGTAAACCCAGGACTTTGGGAGGCCGAGGTGGGCTGATCACTTGAGGCCAGGAGTTCAAGACCAGCCAGGCCAACATGGTGAAACTCCATCTCTACTAAAAATACAAAAATTAGCCAGGCATGGTGGTGAGCGTCTGTAATCCCAGCTAGTTGGGAGGCTGAGGCAGGAGAATTGCTTGAACCCAGGAGGTGGAGGTTGCAGTGAGCCGAGATCGTGCCACTGCACTCCAGCCTGGGGGACAGAGTGAGACTCCATCTCAAAAAACAAAAACAAAAACAAACAAACAAAAAACAACCTTAGTTTGATAAATTTTAAACCTTTTGGTAATTTACTTTTTAAAAATCTTTATTGGAGATAATTCTTATGCCATACAATTCACTCATTGAAAGTAAAGTGTACACACAGCTGGGCACAGTGGCTCACACCTGTAATCCCAGCACTTTGGGAGGCCGAGGCAGGGGGATCACTTGAGGTCAGGAGTTCAAGACCAGCCTAGCCAACATGGTGACACCCCTTCTCTACTAAAAATACAAAAATTAGCCAGGCATGGTGGCGGGTGCCTGTAGTCCCAGCTACTTGGGAGGTTGAGGCAGGAGAATCGCTTGGACCCAGGAGGCAGAGGTTGCAGTGAGCTGAGATCACACCACTGCACTCCAGCCTGGGCAAAAGAGCAAGACTCCATCTCAAAAAAAAAAAAAAAGTACATACAACTCAGTGGTTTTTAGTATATAGTCAGAGCTGTGCATTAATCACTATAATCAAGTTTACATATTCATCACTACAAAAAGAAGTTCCGAACCCATTAGCAGTTACTCCCCTCCACCCAGCCCTAGGCAACCATGGATCTACTTTATCTCTATAGATTTGCTATTCTGGACTTTTTACATAAACGGAATAATATGCGGTCTTCTGTGACTGGCTTCTTTCACCAGCATGTTTTCAAGCATCATCTACATCACAGCATGTATCAGGATCTCATTTCTTTTTATTGCTATATCACATTCCATTGTACAAGTATACCATATTTTCTTTATCCGTTCATCAGCTGGTAGACATCTGGGTTGTTTCCACTTTTTGGCTATTATGAATAGTGCTGCTATGAACCTTTATGTCCAAATGTTTGTGTGAACATATGCCTTCATTTATCTTGGGTATATACCTAGGAGTAGAAAACTGCTGCTTCGTGGGCGCATTTGGAATGTTCTCAACAGGATTATCAGCTCTTTGAAGACAGGCTCTTATTTCCTTTATATTCCCCACATCAATACCGTGCAAAGTAAATACTGTGCTTGTTTAATATTCAAGAGGTGAGAGAAAGAAGGAAGGAAGCAAAGGGGGAAAAGTAAGCCCTACAGAATGTTAATGTTAAAAATTGACATTATTAACCTAAAATAATACAAAGATAAGATTAGGGTATGTTCAGACTATAAATTTTAGTTCATTGACTTCATATTGCTACCAAATTAATTATCTATTATTTGACCTCAGAGTAAGAATTCTGATTCCTTTACTAAACTTTTAGAATTAAATCTCTATAAAGAACCAAAGATAGAGACATTAAAATAACTCAGACAAGGTGAAATAATGAGGGACAGCAAAAAGGAAACAGCAGTAAGAGGAGAAAAAAAATGTTTAAAAGAGTTGATCAGTATGAAAATAGACACTTAAGTAGGATTGAACTTCAATCCTGAAAAAAAAGTTAAAAATTTTGAATTGTACTAAATTTACAAGTGTTTTCCTAGGCTATAATAAACCTTATCAAATATCTGTAAAGTACTTTTGTCAAAAGAAGAGAAATCAAGACTCACTCCTCTTGCTTAGCCTATGCCGCCAAACAATGCTACATCTCCACCTAGTGACGTGAAAGCACAAAGCTGAACACAAACTTCCAAGATCACAAGCACTGAAACCTAAAAACGATCATTCATTATCGATACACAAAGCCAACACATCTTCACAAAACAACTCCTCCAGGTATGTAATAAAGATGTTTAAACAGTGCTCTTCCATTCACTACAAAACAAAAATAACCTAAACCCACTAAATGTGCTAATTCCTCATGGAATTCGCTTGCCCAGTAGCATGATTATGACAGCGTTGTTAAGAAAATGTGCTACACAAATTTAACATGTGAAAGACCAAGCCTAGACAGAAGCAGCCAACTCGAAACACAAAGACCCAGTACAGCTCCTAAAACCACGTGCGAATAAGAATTTTTAAAGCATCACTACAACTTACAGTGTATCAACGTTATAATTAAGAATTGCATGATGATCCTTGAAGAACTCAAGTCATCACAATGTAGACTCACATACACCAGCTAGCCAAAAGTATTTTGAGGGCATTAATGGTATTACATATATACTATGCATCTTTGTAAATTCCTTGGACACAATGCATGTTGCAATGCCTTGGACACAATACACACTTAGCATTTGTTAAATGGAACGATCCTCTGACCCATGATTAAGTTCTCAACATGCAGTAAATTACACTGACGGGAGGTGTTCCTTTTGGTGAGACTGGGAACTAGAGGCCTAGACTCATTCCCCAATCTAGCTGTGTGTGGGATTCGTTACCAAATTTAAAAGAAAGAGTACAGATTATGAAAGGAACCCCTGGAAATTCCGAGGCAGTAGCTCTATGTTGAGGCCTGAGAGTCCACATTCTTAAAACTTAGCAGGTAATTCGGAAGAGAAGCTAGGCCACTTCCCTGGAAAATCAAGTCTGAGTCACGCTAATTCTGCCACTCATCTCTCCCAGGATATGAATGATTATGAGGTTCTGGGGTAACAGCACTTATATACTCAAACAGGACATTTCTGTTTAAGTAAAATAATTTAACATAAAAATGAAAAAGCTTTAAAAAATCGCCATCAAAACCAAAATTCAACTCATGGCTTGTAATTTACATTTAGAGTAAAATGCAAATTCTACTTATAATAAGCTTTCTAATCAAACTTTTCTATTTTTTAAATTAGAAATCAAAATTTCAAAAAAGATAACTGCCAAATTACTTTTATGTGCATACTGGGGCCAATATTTACCATCAATCTTTAGAAGAAAATATTAGAGAATTATTATTGCCACTGAATATAAGTGACATGCCTTCTTTTAGGAATCTGTTTTCAAGGGTTTTAAGGTACTGATTATAAAGTAATTAACAAAACTGCAGGTGTGGCTCATACATACTTCCCCAGGTTAAAATATCTAAACTGTAAATGCATTAGACTAAAATTTTAAAAGGCTGAGAACAGGGTGAAGGTTCACACAGCAATCAGCCCAACAGAACCAAACTAGCCATGAATCCGTTTTAAGAAATAGCACACAGGAAAATTGAACAGATAATGGAGGTTGTTTCATCAGATTTTCCTATTCAAAATTCACCACAGAACTCTGCTATCAAATATTAGCCTCTATCTTGAATGCATGCAATCATTTGAGACAAAAAATATGAGAGGCTGGACTAGGATGAATTTGAGTGAGTGCTGAAAAAATTAAAAGGAAGGTGCCAAGGTCCCTAACTTTGAGTCTAACAGAATACAGAAAATCATAAAGCTGAAGTTTAAGAAGCCAGTGTCACAAAAAGGTAAATGTAAATGACCAGAAAACATTAGAAAAGTGCTGATGGGCTGTTTTTAATTGTTTTTATTTTATTTTTTAATAAAAACAATCCCACAGCATTTACTGTCATCTGGTAATAATATATACAGATAATGGAAACAATCTGAACAGGCATTTTAGAACTATACTCCCAACAAATGACACCTAAAAAAACAAGTTCTCAATAGTGTCTCACTTCCTTGATCATTTCTGGTTAGAGACATTTTGTGGCAGAATATGATCTCCTTTAGCACGATCTGGCCCAGGGGTTTT
The DNA here is from genome assembly GCF_000001405.40 of Homo sapiens. Classification (NCBI taxonomy): domain Eukaryota; kingdom Metazoa; phylum Chordata; class Mammalia; order Primates; family Hominidae; genus Homo; species Homo sapiens. The sequence continues at coordinate 24,513,622 of NC_000023.11, read as the reverse complement.
CTTGGCTTTGTTTCACAATGAATCGCTTCTGCATCATCTGATATGAGGTTCACAGACTCGTCAAAACCAATGACACGGCCCTCTATCAGCATATTCACTTGCTCATAGAGCCATACCTGAATCCGAGATCTATTTTGCAAGTATCTGAAGATGAAGGTAAGGTTGATGGGCTATATTCACCTTCTGCACTTTTTGGCCCTGGCCACAGTGCACCATGGTAGAACCCACAGAGACAACACTGGCCCGCACCCCACCTTCTGGAATTGATATGCTGCCTTTTAGGAACCCTTTCAAGTCTCAAAGCAATTCTAATAAGGCATGTCTATCATCATCCTTCCTACCCCAAACCCATCCCAAGTGGGATCCAATGGAGATTTTTTAAAGGAGTAGGCCCCCACACCTCACGCTCCAAACCACAGCAGACTGGGCAAGTGGGAGTGGGAGCAGAATATCCAATCTCCAGATTGATCAGAATCCTAAAACTTGTGATCGTAGGGGGAAAGAAAAAAAAAGATAAGCTGAGTTAATTAAATTCATCTTTTGGGAATTCAGAATCAAGATCGTGGGCAAAAAAAGATAAGCTGAGTTAATTAAATGCATCTTTTGAGAATTTAGGATCAAGACAGTTGGGGTGATCAGGCAGGGCAGAAGCCAAAATGGTACACTGAAAATTATCATGATCTGTGAAGGACTAGAGTGCCCAACAAGCTGCCACTGAGTCGTCCAGTACACAGACAAAAACAGGTAAAGGAGCAGGCACAGAGAAAGGCGGAAAGGCCATGACTTGGCAACTCCAGCTGCAAAGACACACAGAAAACAACCTTGTTTTCTGTTTCCTAATTCCAATTTCTTTTTTTTTTCTGATGGAGTCTCACTCTGTCACCAAGGCTGGAGTGCAGTGGTGCAATCTCAGCTCACTGCAGCCTCTGCCTCCCATGTTGAAGCGATTCTCCTGTCTCAGCCTCCCGAGTTGCTGGGATCACAGGCACACGCCATCACACCTGGCTGATTTTTGCATTTTTAGCAGAGATGGGGTTTCACCATGTTGGCCAGGCTGATAATTCCAATTTCTATAGCTCCAACTATAAAGTGCTTCCTGTCCTTGGATTATCATGGGACCTACCAGGTTCTTTTGATAAATCTTTCTTGAGCTAGCGTGAGTGGGTCTCTGTTACTTGTAACCTGAAGAGCCCAAAGTGAGAGCACAAGACATTATTTCTGAACCAGAATAATGCCACGCGCTCTGAGGATACCACTTGTGTGCTATTATATTAAGCAGTAATAGCATGTAAGAACAACACAGGCAACTTAGCATCGCTGTGAGAATCGATTTTTACACCAAGTATTTAAGTTTATACTTTCAAAATGATCTTACAGCAGGATTTTCCATTTTATTTCCTAGCTTCTTACAAAGAAAGGAGGGAAAAGGGTCACAGTGGAAGGCACCTCCCAAAGGATAATAGGACCTGCTTTACAACACTAATTCTAGCATTCACTACCTGGGGTCTATAATTTGTAGATGTGTAAAGGTAGATACTAAGGTGCTAAATAAGCAGCAAGGAGGCATGTTTCAGTGTTCTGCACATTCAATTAATGCTACACAAGATGCACCCCACTTTTATATGTTGATACAACTGTCTAGTCAAAAATAAAAATATTGTCTCTACTCTTCTACATGGGAGTTTTCTGTAATCTGTCTCAAGAGATCTAAGGATGGGAGTGGGCTTAACACTTGTTTTGTTGTTGTTGTTTGTGTGGTTTTTTTTTTTTTTTTGAGATGGAGCTTCACTCTTGTTGCCCAGGCTGGAGTGTAATGGCGCAATCTCAGCTCACTGCAACCTCCGTCTCCTGGGTTCAAGCGATTCTCCTGCCTCAGCCTCCTGAGTAGCTGGGATTACAGGTGCCTGCCACCATGCCCGTCTAACTTTTGTATTTTTAGTAGAGATGGGGTTTCACCATGTTGGCCAGGCTGGTCTCGAACTCCTGACCTCAGGTGATCCACCCGCCTTGGCCTCCCAAAGTGTTGGGATTACAGGTGTGTGTCACTGCACCTAGCCAACACTTATTAAACCTATAAAACACACATGTGTGCACACAAAGAGGCTCACACACAGACGCCCACACAGGGTCATTTGGGCTGGACATCTGACTATGCTTAAACCATGTAGGATTCTCACAGCTAAGAAAATCATTAGTAGGGCTGTCATTAAAACCTGGAGCCCTTACTCTCGTAACATCCAACTGCTTAAAACAAAAGGAAGGAAATAAAAGATTAGCTATAGAGATTCTGAGTTAGAAGATTAACTAAGAAATCTCAGAGGATAGTGGAAGAAGGTACAAAGCCAGGGTGAAAATACCAACTACTCTAAAAAGAGGAAGGCAACAGTAAGACTTCACTAAGAGTCAAAAGAGGCTGACATCCATTTCTTCCCTTCCTTGGCAACACTTGGCAGGGATTGGTAAGAAGAGCTGGTGAGGCCTGGGCCTCTTGAGACCTTCTGATGGTTGCTCCTGGGGCATTTGGGGATGGAGACTCCAGTGCCTTTTAGCTAGAAGACACAGAAGAAATTTCAGGCCTTTCAACCTTTGGCGCTCTGTGCCTTCTTTATTCTCTCTCAGTCTTACTTGGAGGTAGAAAGAGCTTCTGCATAAGCATTTGATGCTCAAAAAATTAAGAGGAGGGTCCATAGGAAATGAAGCAGACAGTCGACTGGAGACATCTGCTTTGGTCTACAAGGAAAAGAGAGGCCTGCAGGTTTCCTTCTAGGTTGCCTAGCCCATTTGCCAGGGTAGAAAAAGTAACTGATGTAAGGCCAATCCCCCACTGCAGAATAAAGGTTATGCACACTTGGCTGGAAAGACCATTTAAATATACAGATAATGAGTATCACAGATTAGACACAGGAAGAACTCCAAAATACTGACGCAGACAGCAGGATAGAGGCTTCTACCATGGGGTATCAAATTCAGCCAGGAAGGGTGTGTGTGATGGGCATTAGTGCTGGAGATAGAGAAATTCAAAAATACTATGGATTTCACGGAGACAAAGATTAGACACAATATTTGCAGCTACACACCTATCTATAAATCTGATATGAGTTCAAATGTATAAAACAACGTTCTCACTAAATTATGAAAACAGGTAATTTTTATTCTCTTCTCTCTTTTCCCATATTTTCTAAACTTTCTTCGATGAGCACTTTTATTATTTTGGGAAAATGGCATTAGTCTTCTTAACTATCCCAACTGGGAAAAGGAGTTGGATGATTAACAAAAATGTTGGGTAAAGTGGGAAACCGTAAAATGTGATTACTATCGTAAACATTAACTTAAAATGCACATTTGAACATACAATTTATTTATCTGTCAGTATATTCATATAAGGCCTTTCCTTTGAATGTGGATCAGTTTGGGGTTCCAGTTCGTCTTTCTTGGATGAACAATATCACTTACATCTATGAATTCCAATTCCTATTTCTTTAAAGTATAATAAACTTAAAGATACTTGTGAAGCAACCTGGGTATAAATTCCAGGTAAGATTTTTACTCCGTGCTGCCCTGTAATCTAATCGTTTTCTTACTCACAGTAATTTCATAACATTTTTAAGAGTCCTTCCAAAGCATTCAACTTGGTTTTAACAGAAATAAGTCTCTTTCTTGTATGCATATTTCTTCAGTTTACATAACATTTAAATAAATTATATAGTCACAACAGTCAGTATAACTTACACCAAGGGCTTGGGTACAAATAAGTGACCCTTAGTAAGCATGCACCTCACCAGGTGGAAGCAGAAGTACAAAAGCATTCCAGAAAACACACATAAGCCAAGAGTATTTAGTGTGCTGTGGGTATCGGTATGCATCGTTTATGAAGGGAATGAAGGATGTCAGAAAGTTGATTATGTGGCTGCTGCTTTAGAGGGTTATACACTTTCGGAATCTGAAACCACCTCCACTGTTTTTTTCCTTAAGGGAGGATGCTGTTGAGAGATGAAAAACCATGGTTTGAGAGAGGCGTGGGGAATGGGGAGCATGCCAGTCCTTCCTGCTTACCCCATGAGTGTGGAGGTGGGATTTGTATGTGTGTACATGTCCATGCGTGTGTGTGTGCATGTGTATGTGTATGTGTGTGTTGGGGGAAGAGGGATTTTGAGTCACAAAAGGGCACAAGAAGTGACTGTTATTGTATAGGGCTTCACCAGGAACTCCAAGCTTTAATTATGCTAAGTGAGTGGCAGGAATGATTAAGTAAGGGAAGCAGTAAACTTTGTTCACAGTGCAATAATGGGTATAATATAGTTAATAAGCGCAGGAGAAAGACTAAAGATAAAGCTGTGAGTACAAGAAGAGGGAAGAAAAAGGAGGGGACTGTGGCTCAGGGTCAAAACTGTGTCTAAAAGGGACAAAGCAAAGAGGAAGCTATGAGGTAGACATTGGCATAAACTTCCAGGGTTTTTTCTTTCAATTATGTATTGAACTATTCTTCATATAACCTTCAGCTACTTTTTGGTACAAAACTTCTGACCCTAAGAGGAGTGATGCAAAAGCGTATAAGAATAATTCCAGACCTTTAGAAATTGACACCCTAGATAGAGAGAGACAAATAGGCTGGGGATGGTGGCTCATGCCTGTAATCCCAGCACTTTGGGAGGCCAAGGCGGGCGGATCACCTGAGGTCAGGAGTTCAAGACCAGCATGGCCAACATCTGGTCAAATGGCCTCATCTCTACAAAAATACAAAAATTAGCCGGGCATGATGGTGGGTGCCTGTAATCCCAGCTATTTGGGAGGCTGAGGCAGGAGAATTGCTTGAACCCAGGAGGCAGAGGTTGCAGTGAGCCGAGATCACGCCATTGCACTCCAGCCTGGACGACAGAGCGAGACTCCATCTCCAAAAAAAAAAGAAAGTACAAATAATGACAAGGCCAGGTAATATGTACTAAATATGAGAGAAGAGTAACACAGACAGTAAGTGCCATAAAACGATCGATTCTGTTCACATTAAGAGTCAAATCACAGTCGATTCCTCCTCACACTCTGACACCTCTGACTCACTTTAGCACCACTTAATCGCTCTGTTCTATAGAAGTGGTAACAGTTTCATAAAACTCCCTGCTACTTATCTAGTTGTACTGGTTCTTGGTTAAAAGCTCCCTAAAAATTAGTGAAAGACTTTATTTGTGCAGAAACAATAAGATGATGAAAACAAGTGTTTTTAAAACTTCATTGATACGGTTTGGCTCTGCACCCTCACCCAAATCTCATGTTGAATAGTGATCCTGAGTGTTGGCGGTGGGGCCTTGTGGGAGGTGATTGGATCATGGGGGCAGATTTTCCCCTTGCTGTTCTCATGATAGTGAGTTCCCACGAGATCTGGTTGTTTAAAAGTCTGTAGCACATTCCCCTTCGCTGTCTCTCTCCTGCCATCAAGTGAAGACGTGCTTACTTCCCCTTCACCCTTCTGCCATGATTGTAAGTTTCCTGAGGACTCCCAAGCCATGCCTCTTGTACAGCCTGCAGAACTGTGAGTCAATCAAACCTCTTTTCTTCATAAATTACCCAGTTTCAGGTAGTTCTTTATAGCAACATGAGAACAGACTCATACATTTACCGTGAAGAATTCCAAACACATACCCAAGTACAGAGCATAGTATAATGAGCCCATGTGCCCATCAACAGCCTCAAGAATTTTCAACAAATGCCCAGTCCTTTTCACTCCCCTCCCTGTGTATAATTTTGAAGCAAATCTCACATCATTTCATATCATGTGTAAATATTTTTAAATACCTCTCTCAAAGCTAGCACTCCTTTATAAAAACAAGACCAGATACCAATATCACACCTAAAAAGTTAACATATTTTTAATGTCAAATATCCAGTGTTCAAATTTCCAATTGTCTTATAAAAGCCTGAAATGACTTTAAAAAATATTTTATAATTTATGCCAGAAACAAAATAAAGGCACCAACCTATTATATAATCAATGGCGTACATGGGAAGCCAAATGACATGTCTGACACCCAAGGACTGTCTGCTGCTAGTAAACCTGTCTACAGCCTTTACTGTGTACTAGCATTGCTTTAGGGGTTCTACAAATATGAACTCATTTAACTCTACAATATAGGTGAATTACCAAGAGCATCATTTTACAGATGAAGAATCTGAGCCCCAAAGAGGTTACTTAATCAAGTCTGAGATCACCCAACTAACATGAAGAGAAAAATAAAATGTGTTATATTCATACAATGGAATATTTTTCAGCCATAAAAAGGAATAAAGTACTGAAAGATGCTATGACATCAATGACCCTTGAAAATGTTATGCTGAGTGAAAGAAGCCAGTTACCAAAGACCACATATTGTATTGTTTTGTTTATATGAAATGTCTATAATAGGAAAATCTATACAGAGTCAGAAAGTAGATTAGTGGTTGTCTAGGGCTAAAGAGAAGGGTAGAAGGGAGTGACTGCTAACAGGTCCAGGGTTTCTTTCTGGAGTGATGAAAATGTTCTACAGGCCAGGTGTGGTAGCTCACGCCTGTAATCCCAGCACTTTGGGAGGCCAAGGCAGGTGGATCACAAGGTCAGGAGTTCGAGACCATCCTGGCCAACATGGTGAAACCCCGTCTCTATTAAAAATACAAAAATTAGCTGGGCGTGGTGGCATGCGCCTGTAGTCCCAGCTACTCAGGAGGCTGAGGCAGGAGAATCACTTGAACTCGAAGGACAGAGCTTGCGGTGAGCTGAGATCGTACCACTGCACTCCAGCCTGGGCGACAGAGCGAGACTCTGTCTCAAAAAAAAAAAAAAAAAAAAAAAAAAAGAAAGAAAAAAACAAAATGTTCTACAACTGGATTGTGGTGATGGTTGCACAACTCTGTGAATACACTAAAAAACACTGAATTGAGCATTTTAAATGGTTGAAGTTTATCATATGAGATTGTATCTCAATAAAGCTGTTTTTAAAAGTATATTCTCAAAAGATTTAAAATGTATCAAACCAAGGAATATTTATTAATCACCTACACAAGCACTACAGTTGGTTCTATGCAAGTTATAAAACAAATATAAGACACAAACCCTGACCTCAAATTGGTTACAGTTCAAGAGAAAATGCACACATACCATATATCACAATGCACTTTTGCTTTCTAAATTGTGCCTTTTTCTCAAAGGGGTAATCAACTGTCTGAACCAAGTTTTCTGTTTCATAAAAGGCACTGAGCTAAGGCCTAATGAACATGTAAGCTATGATAAGACTGACCCTTTCCTCCTTGCCCCCGGAGGCCTTTGGAGGTTCTGATCAACCACAAAGTTATCTTGTGAGAGAGCAACCAATAGGATTCCTAGAGCTGAGGCTGGGCTGATTCACCTTACAACTGAAATAATGTGAGTAAATCTGTTGTGACTCAACAGAGGCCAGGGCAGCCAGACAATCCTAGGCTAAGCTAAAACCAACAGGTCTGGTCCTCCTCCCTGGGTTTAGGAATGCCCAGGGTAAACAAATTACAGAGGTTTTCCTTTGCTATGGCTGCTGAAGAGCAATGAAGATCCTTGATGAAGATCAGAGAGAATTGCAGCCATGAAACTTGGGAGGTGAGCGTTTAAAGAAGGGAGATAAAGGCCAACACAGGAGATACAATCTGCAGAAAGGGACAATTTGGGGATCTGAGGTTGCACAAAGTAACCGTAACAATGAAGAAAACTGAAGAGGTACCTGGTGGATCGCTCACAACCAGGAAGGTTTCTTGGAGATAGCATTGATCTTAAATGAATAAATAATGAGGAAACTGCTGTTCAAATTCAAAGTGCCTGGGTACCAGGGACTTACGGATATAGGGCTTGGTTCTTCCCGGAGGATACTGGAACAATGTCTAGCTTAAAGTCCAATGAACCCATGAAGCTTACATGCCACATAAATTCTAAAGCCAGATGTGAACAACAGAAATATGTTTAAATTTTATAGACACGTGAATTCAACCTAATTTTATGATAAGAATTTGGATTCTCTGAAATTTTCAGATAACAGTGGCAATCAGAATCTTACTTAAATGTTTACTGTTTGAGACAGAACTACAAATGAAACTCTAATCAATAAAGTAGAAACTCACATTTTGAGCCTTACCAATTATGCTGAACTGCCTAGAAAGAACTGCCTACCTGAACTGCCTAGAAAGAACATTTCATCTGGATCCAGTGGCTTGGGCCCAGAGTGACCTGATGAATCAGCAGACTGCACTGCAAAATAACCCTATAGCCAAGCTGCCTCCAATAAACCACAATCCAATTTGAACTACGATCGATACCATTACAACGGTCTCCTTACCTTTCACCACATCCGCCACGTTACAGGTGGGATCGATACTTCCTATGTGTTTAGGATGAACAGGATTAGTGTCACCCCCAAACAGAAGTGCTAGACGAACACAAAAGGAAAGGGAGGGGATTAAAACACAGCAGGCTGGGATGGTCACACAGGGAAATATAGGGGCTTATGTTTAGAAAGGATATCTTATGTGTAAAAATCATTTTAGCATCCACAGCAACTTAGAGCAATGGAATACACACAATTGATGGGTGAACAACTCTTATTGGTCAATGAAGGAGGAGGATGTGGTTTAAGGTCTGTCAGTTGCAGTCAGCAGGTTCTAAAGCAGTGACACGTGCCAGGTGCCCAATCCGTTCTTCCTCTCCCAATGTGACATGGATGAAGAAACTTACTTTCATCCTTAGTCAAGTATACCCACCTTCTTAGTACTACTCCAGACACAAACTCCAACTTTCATTAAATATTTAGAACATGTGGTCTATACCATTTGGACAAGCTTGCAAAGTGTCTTCGCTGGCAGCATTTCAGATGCCTCCCCCATGGAGATTATGTTTCAATGTTGTGTACACAAACAATACTTGTTCAAGTATTTTTAAAAATACACTCAGATAATTTCACAATATACAAGATTTGCAAAATTTTGTTTCTGAATAAAAGCCAAAAGAAGCCCCAAAGAAAAAAGCAATCTGCATCCAAATATTTATAGGTGTTCTTATTTTTAAATCAAGCAAAAATTGCGACTAACAAAAGAAGGATGCCTAAATAAAATAGGGGATATTTTAAACTATGAAAAATGATAAATACAGGCATTAGGCTAATTAATAAAGTTCGAACTGATTAAGGGGAAGAAAAACAGAGATGTGTAGGCCTAACTAATGATCTAAAAACATGCACGTATATATGTGTACATGTGTATTTAGATCAGAAAGCAACTGGAGTTATCTAAGTAGTTTAGTTGAACAGTATTTAGGCTCTTTTATTCCTGTAAATTGTCATACATTTCCATTTTGAAGATATACATTTAATATAAGGCCACATTTAATAGTTCTATAACATTCAGTTATCCAAATAAATCAAATTACTAAAATAAAGATGGTTTGTCCACTTTGTGATGCAGCAAACAGGGTGAATTATGCTCTAGACATGTGGATGCTTTTCCTCAAGGATTATAAAATCAGCCAAAGAGACAGTGCTGAAGATGAGCCAAAAAGTTTTTTGTGTGGAGGGAATTTTAGTTGTTTTTTTCATATCTGCTTAGTACCCTCAAGAGCAGACTAAAACTCTCAATACGGGATTATGGACTGACAGTCTGGCTTAATCTGACTTCACTGATCACTGTGAAATAAAGAACTGATGGCTCCTATCACCAACATCCAATTCAATATTTCCAGTGTCAATGTTTTTAAAACTAAAAAGGAAAACACATAATATCCTGGATAAAGAAAATAATACAATCTGAGATACATAAAAGTATTCAGAGATGAAGGCCGGCTGCCATTAAAGGCGGTCCCTCATCCCCATCAAGACTGTATCAGCAGAGACTTAAAAGGTAGGCAGTGGTCCTGTCTCTAATGTGAGCCTCATAAAAGCCTTTCAAACATTTCTTTTAACCAAGAATACAAATTAATAGCTTTGTAATGGCTAGGATTCACTTAGGAAAAACCGAACTAGAAATGAAATTTCTACAACCAAAAATGCAGGTCAGTAAATTAACAACAGGAAAACATTTGGGAGAAATCACTATGGTTACCTTTTCAAAACTGGACCAACAAACTCCAACTTACTGTGCTGATTAATAAGCATGCGGAAAGAGATGCGGTTGGTATAAAACCGATCCAGAAAATATTGGATGTTAGTGCTAATGAAAGGATCAAACCCAAACTTCTCCTTGTATTCAATCACTCCTTGTGCCATTGTAGGAACCACATCATTGTGTCTATTTCTGACTTTAATCAGAACTTGTAGAAAGCTGTGTGAGAGGGAAACAAAACGTGGTCAGTCTTAATATCTCATGGGCTGATGCACAGACTTCCCAGCTCTGTCCCCAGACTAGTTGTCTGCTGGTATTTTTATAAGTAGAGACATTATTCTTACTACATAGAACAAGGAACCACCCACAAGAAACTAAAGTATGAGCCAAGTTTTTGCTTGAAACTTTTTTTCTACAGAAACCCTTCTTTCAGAAGTGCAAAAAGTAAAAGGTTCTAGTACAGAAAAAAAATGCTCAAATACCCTTTTAGGAATCCAGACTTTTTGGATAAGTGATTGCATATAACACAGGTTCTATAAAAGTTGAATAAAGAATTGCAGAACATATCAGTACTTCTTCTGAGAACATGAGGACAATCCCCACAAAATCTCCAAGGACTGATTAAAGCAATCTCAAAGCAATAGCTTCCATGAATAAAGAAATAATGTCACACTGTTTTTTGGGTTTTGTTTGTTTGTTCTTTTGACGGAGTCTCACTCTGTCACCCAGGCTGGAGTGCAGTGGTGTGATCTCGGCTCACTGCAACCTCCACCTCGCGGGTTCAAGCAATTCTTCTGCCTCAGCCTCCCGAGTAGCTGAGACTACAGGTGTACGCCACCACGCCTGGCTAATTTTTGTATTTTTAGTAGAGACAGGATTTCACCATATTGGCCAGGCTGGTCTTGAACTCCTGACCTCGTGATCCGCCCACCTCAGCCTCCTAAAGTGTCTCATACAGTTTAAGAGTAAAATTTGGAAATAAATATCTCGCAGCAGTAAAATACAGTGATGAAATGCAGACAGAACACAGGAAATTAAACTATTCAAGTATCTGGCATCTTATTGTAAATATGCATATGGGAAAATACATTAAGAATGGTATAAGACAAGTCAGTCAATGGAACTAAATAAAAAGTTTAGGACCAGGCCCATGAGTGAGTATGTATATATAAAAATCGAGCATATTGAGAAAGTGACATTGCAAATCAGTAGGTAAACAATCAAACTAATAATCAAGTTAACTGGAACAGCGGGCTAACAATTTCAGTCACATCCTAATTTCAAGACTTAAAACCAAATACTGGATTAAAAATGTAAAAGGGTGAAATCACAGAAATGATAACAGAAAAATCAGGTGAATAAGTACATAATCTTGGGATAAGGAGGGCTGTTCTAAGCTTAATATCAAAGGTAGAAACAAATAATGTGAAGAAACAAATGATATGACTATGTAGAATTTTAGCAATCCTATAGGGACACACATTAATAAATGAAGTAGAAAAAAAACAAAAAACTTAAAAAAAGGAAAAAACTAGCACCCCATCAGAAAACTAGGCAAAGGATCTGCTATCAATGCAAAATTTACCAAAGAAGAAGCACAAATGCCAATAACGTCACCCTTACAAATAAGAAAAGCAAATCAAAACAATGTGATACTTATTATTCTCCACGTATCAGCATCAGCTAGAGTTTGGGGCTTAACTGAGGCACTTCTCAGGACAATCAGCAACATACAGCAAAAGCCCAAAGAAAATAATTCCACTTGGAGGAATTGATCCTAGGAAAATAACTGGAAAAGGTGAACAGCTGTTTGTTTGTTTGTTTATTTATTTATGAGACAGAGTCTTGCTCTGTTGCCCAGGCTAGAGTGCAGTGGCACAATCTTGACTCACTGCAACCTCTGCCTCCCGCGTTTAGGCAATTCTCCTGCAGCCTCCCAAAGTACCTGGGATTACAGGTGCCCACCACCACGCCTGGCTAATTTTCATATTTTTAGTAGAGACAGGGTTTCACCATGTTGCCCAGGCTGGTCTCGAACTCCTGGCCTCAGGTGATCCGCCCGCCTTGGCCTCCCAAAGTGCTGGGATTACAGGCGTCGGCCACCATGCCCGGCCAACAGATGTATTTAAAAGCTGTTCTTTAAAGCATTGTTTATAGTAGCATGAAAACTACAAACCAGTCTAAAATCCAGTGATAGAAGATCAAATTGCATGAACTATCTGAAGATGGACTATTAACATGAATATTATGAAACTATTAATAATGGTGTAGATCTATAATGTTGACACTTGTTATGTTTGTAAAAATATTTTACGCATATAAATATATGCATGCCTAGGGAAAAGCACGGAAGAAAGGAAAATAGTAATAGTGGTTGTCCCCTGGTAGTAGAAATTTGGGGTGACTTTCTTTTTACTTATCTCAATAGTCTTATTTTTCTGAAATATTTGATGAAATATTTGACGAAATATTTCTGTAACAAATACATACGTACAATGACAATAAAGATGTAAAACTCTGAAATTAGGCCATCGTCATTCACAAAAAATTTTATAATAGACAATTTGTCCTTTATGTAATACTCGTTGCAATGTATTTGTAAGTTAAATATTACTAAAGTGAAACGATTCATTATAGTAGAGAAGTGCCTCAACTTATCTGAAGTGGGGAGACTTACCTCAATGGCTCAATGCTCAGAATTCTCCTCCAATCTTCCGGGCTCTTCTAAACTCTATCATAAATGATCAACAAGCTTGTCCTCTAAGCTACTTTTGCTTTACTAAAATGATTTCCCTGCTGGTGATCCCATACAACCTCTTGGTAAACAGAAAAGGCTGCTACCATGATACTCGCTCACCTTTCACTCCTTCCTTCACCAAGAACATCAGCCTTCTCAAATGCCAACTATCATAACTAACCACATGAACCTAGGCAAGCTACAAAACTCACGGAGTGAGAGCTCAGCTATTATTGCTATCGTCAAGCACACACTGGATTCAGCACTGACAGTTTGCAAAGCAGGCTCGTGGCCATAAATCACATCGGATAACCTGTTCCAGAAACTGAGACGGGACTCCGGGAAAAACACAGCAGAAATTTAACATCGTGTATAGTCGTCTCTCAGTATCCGCAGGGGACTGGTTCCAGGATCCCCGCAGATACCCAAATCCTCAGATGCTCAAGTCCCTTATCTAAAATAGTGCATACAGCCTACTCACATCCTCTCGGATACTTTAAATCATCTCTAGACTAGTTATAATACCTGATACAATGTAAATGCTATGTAAACAGTTGATAGACTGTATTTTAAAATTTTGTATTATTTCTTATTGTTGCATTGTTATTTTTTATTGCTTTTTTTTTTCCTGAATATCTTTTCAATCTGTGGCTGGTTGAATCCAAGGATGTGGAAACTGCCAGTACAAAGGACCAACTATACTTCTACAAATTTGTTCTAAAATTTGGAGCTACAGTGGTCAGCCCTAGGTTTTAGGATTTCTGCCAAACGGTTACCAGCTAATGACTTTTGAGAAAACAAAGCTCCTGGATTGAATTCATTTAATAATCGCTTAAATGACAGCAGTGGCTTATATCAAGGAAAACGCTACATCTGGGGCTCTAACCCAATGCTTCCCTGCCTTCCACACTTCACAGATCCATCAGACAAACACCCAACAAAGTATAAAATAGGTGAGGGCTTTTGTTTTTCCTTTGAATTTTAGTTTACAACTAGACTAGAACTAGCTACTCATGGCTCAGACGTAAACATAGCTTATAGGTCCAGCTTTGCTATGAACGGTCACAATCTTGGGCAAGTCACTTCACATCTCTGAACTCAGTTTCCTTATCTGTGGATTGAGAGGACTGGGTTAAATACCTCCTAAGGTTGCTTGTATAACATGGTGTTTCCCTAGTTCTTCTTATGGAACATCTATTAAGTCAGGTGTTCAGTCTCATAACTATGTGGACTAGTTTATACTTAGAAATTTCTCAGCACAACAGGCCTACCATATGCATCCACTTACATATACATGAAACAGGAAGAAATTAATGTGAAAGGGATATTTAATTTCTCTTGGAGGGGAAAACATACTCACAGCTAGAGTTAGTGTTCCTGGGATAAATAAAAATGAATCTCATCAGCATGATAATTTGCCAGTCTGTGCATAAAGGGAGCAATAGAATTCAGGTTGCTATATAAAAAAACATACTTTTATGCCTCTCCAAAATAAAACCACTACAGTTTTTGAGCTCAAATGTAATATCCTATTGAAATTTTTTTTTTAATTGTAAAGGATTGAGTAGATAAATTCATGTATATAAAAAGGCCACTGCATTCTTAAAACTACCACTAGATGGAACATTTACTGCAGTGTTTATAGTGACTGCCCAGTTCACCTTGGGTAAAGGTATTAAGTATTAGATCATAAAAGCAAAACTGAAAGTGTCATTATTACTTTTGTATTGTGTTACATTCTTAGCTCGAATTAAAAAAAAAAAACTCAATGTTGAGTCACTACTCATTAAGAAAATGAACGCTTTTGTCCACATTCATACTCCTTGAGTCTTAATGACTTGAATTACATTTACCAAAATCTTTCTTACCTAGATATTTTTACTTTCAGCTAAGTGGTACCATACTTACTTATCCAAGACCTGTGGATCCTCAGGGCTCTTATTTTCATATTCTAAAAGTTCAAGAAAACTCTGCATATACCTAAAAGGAAAAAAAAAAAAGAAAAAGAAGAGTTACTATGTTAGTTGCCTGCCCAGCATCCACCCCTCCTCTCCCTCTTCCTAAGAACACTCCAAAATTTCACTCAGGTCTCCATCCCATCCGCATCCCCCATGTGGCTTAAGTGCATCAGGGAAGCCAGTGCCTCCAAAGATCCTGGGTGGTCCCATTTTTCTCTGGGCAATTCTATTTCTCTTGTCACTAATTATTCATTAGCCCAATAGTTTAGGTCTAAGCCTATCACTGTGTGCATTCCCCTGAACACAGGGAATGGCTCAGGAATGGACATACTGTCTCAATTCAGGCCAGTAAAATGACAGAAAAGACTCGCTAGAGGACTTTGGCAGAGAAATCAACCTGCTCTGCTTTTGTGCAGTGCTGTGTGGATTGGAAGCCTGGAACTGCTGCAGCTATTCTGCCACCAGGGGGGAATCCAGTCTGAAAATGAAGCCAGCACCATCGAAAGCAGGGCCTCGATAGCTTCATGAATCTCTGAATCAAACCAACACCAAAAGCTCACCCTACGGCTGGACCTTCTAGTGACATGAGCCAGGTTCGGTTGCATTTTTTCTACTTACAAACAGACATATCCTAACTTATATACCAAGTCTACAGTTTGATTACCAAAAATGTACTTATACATTTTAAGAAACACATGTGTGACACTGAAGTGCCTGCCAAGAACTTAGAAACTAGAAGTGAAGAAGGGTCCTTCTGAGTTAAATTAATTTCATCAGTACTTAATGGGGGAGAAAGAAGGCCAATTAAACCCTCAGAAACAGCTTCTGGATTAAGAATAGCTCCATATCTCAATCAGGGCCAGTATAAGAAACAGTCTGTCCAACATTAAAATCTGGAGAACACAGAAAAATGAGATCCAGAGAGGCCCATTAGTGCAGCAGCTATATCCAGCCAGGATCTGTTGGATCTGGTGGGGATTCAGATATTCCAATTAGAGATATGTGATCTCTATTTGGGGTTTTAACATGTCCTGAAAGAATTATCCCTTTATTCTAATTATTTCTAAGCTTTAATTGCCACTAATCCTATTATCTACACCTTTGGATAGAGGATGAGGACACTCTAGTAACTAAAAATGACTGTTACACATATAAATACTCCAATGAGAATGCCACTTGATTCATCAGCTTCATGTGAACTTTGGACAATGCATTTGATACTAATGAATGTTCATTGATGGACATACTTTTTAAAAGTCTCTGGGGGCTGGGCGTGTTAGCTCACGCCTGTAATCCCAGCACTTCGGGAGGCTGAGGCGAGTGGATTACTTGAGGCCAGGAGTTCAAGACCAGCCTGGCCAACATGGCGAAACCCCGTCTCTACTAAAAATACAAAAAATTAGCTGGGCGTGGTGGCACATGCCTGTAGTCCTAGCTACTCGGGAGGCTGAGGCAGGAGAATCGCTTGAACCCAGGAGGCAGAAGTTGCAGTGAGCCGAGGTTGTGCCACTGCATTCCAGCCTGGGCGACTGAGCAAGACTCCATCTCAAAAAAATAAATAAAATAAATAAATAAAAGTCTCTGGGCATATAAGGCTATGGATTAGATATTGTTAAAATCATTGGGTCAAAACGCCAAGAGGTCAAAGCCAGCCAGCCCCAGTGATGCCCTCCGCCCTGCCACATGCAAGCAAGCTAGGTAGGCATCCCGTCCTTTCCAAAGGGGACAGTTGGAGAAAGTCATAAATAGCAGGGAGCCAAAGATTATTCTGGGCCAGGTGCGGTGGCTCACACCTGTAATCCCAGCACTTTGAGAGGCCGAGGCAGGCGGATCACAAGGTCAGGAGATCGAGACCAACCTGGCTAACACAGTGAAACCCCGTCTTTACTAAAAATACAAAAATTAGCAGGGCATGGTGGCGGGCGCCTGTAGTCCCAGCTACTTGGGAGGTTGAGACAGGAGAATGGCATGAACCCAGGAGGCGGAGCTTGCAGTGAGCTGAGATCCCGCCACTGCACTCCAGCCTCGGCAACAGAGAGAGACTCTGTCTCAAAAAAAAAAAAAAAAAAAAAAAAAAAAGATTATTTTGAGGTTCCCAGCCTGACAGTCAAGAGAGCAAGGAGGACACACTGTGACCAAGGGGATGGTGGTGGGGGTCACAGCCCATTATGCATAAGATTCGCTTTTAAAAGGAAAAAATGGCAGTGAAACACAATGCATGATCCTGAAGTGGATTCCTAAATCAGGAGGAGAAACTGCAAAAAAAAAAAAAAAAAAAAAAAGATGGGGGTAGTATCAGGACAATTAGTAGTAAAGTGAGAACAAGTTCTACATATTAGAAGACATTACTGTATCAATGTTAAATTTCCCAAATTTGATGATCACATTGTGGTTTTCTGAGACCTGTTCCAATGAAATACATGCTAAAGTATTTAGGGCAAAGGGGCATGATGTAGACATCGTGTATGTGTACCATATATGGGTGTGTGTACCATATATAGACATAGATTATATATATGTGTGCACGCACGTGTGTGTGTGTGTGTGTGTGTGTATGCAGAGAGTGAGACAGAGAGAGAGAATCTGAATGACAATGGTAGAACGTTGCCAAATGTTAACAATGTTAACAATTAGTGAATCTACGTGAAGGTATACTGGAATTCTTTCTACCAGTTTTACAACCCTTCTGTTAAGTAGGAAAGTATTTCAAAATAGAATGTTTAAGAAACAAGAAGGAAGAAATGGCATGCATTTGTTTGGAATGGATACGGAAAAGGAACAGTTAAAAGACAAAAACCAAACAATAGAGTTGACATAGCAATTTGTTCAAGCCTATACTTTGCCGGAATAATATAACACATTTAAGTACATTTGGTCTTTGTCCCTGCTTCCTGGACAGAGCTCCCAAAACCCTTGGAACTACCTGAATGATAGGATTGTCTTCTGCTATCCATAAGGAGCCGCCTTTGACCACACCTGAGTTTAT
Source organism: Homo sapiens (assembly GCF_000001405.40). Taxonomy (NCBI): domain Eukaryota; kingdom Metazoa; phylum Chordata; class Mammalia; order Primates; family Hominidae; genus Homo; species Homo sapiens. The sequence goes on along the minus strand of NC_000023.11, from coordinate 24,495,864 downwards.
GCTAATGTGGTGACTTAGGACGGGACCTCTAGATAGCCTCAGGATGGGGCTGGTCACCAGAAAGGCCAAGTGATTCGAGGACTGCAACTTTCAGCTCTACCCTCAACCTCTGGGGAGGGGAGAGGGCTGGAGATTGAGCTCTATCAAAACCCTTGAACGACCATCAGAGAGTCTCCAGGTTGGTGAACATATGGGGGTACTGGGAGGGTGGTGTGCCCAGAGTGGGCATGGAAGCTCCATGTGTCCCCCCATACCTTGCCCTATGCATCTCTCCCATGTGGCTGTTCCTGAATTGTACCCTTTCTAATAAACCTATAAACATAGGTGAAGTATCTTCCTGAGTTCTGTGAGCCGTTCTAGCAAATTATCAAATCTGAGAAAAGGGGCATGGAAACTCAATGTCTAGCCACTCAGTCAAAAGCACGGGTGGCCCAGGACTTTGTGTCACAAATTCAACTTCTTCAGTTAAATGACATATGCTTTAAGCATCAGAGCTATAACTGATTTAAGTTTATGTTATACTCTGTCAAAATTTTTCCTACTTTTCATGGAGCAAATGAAGCAAAGGAGGGAACTGATATTTTTCCAATCTGAGGTTCCCCTTTAAATGACTTAATTTGTTCTACAAGAAGTACTGACTTCAAGGAATGTCTTTACAAGGAAAACGAAAGGAGTAAGGTTAAGACTTGATAAAAGCAGCAAATATCCTGTCAGAAGAACTGCAATCCCACCACACACAAGAAAAACTCAGGAAAGTGTCTAGTATAACTTAACAAGCATTTTCACTAAAACAACTTTAAAACAAACAGCTCTAAAAGAAAAAAAACAAAACAACTTTTAATTGCATGGAAAACCCAGCTATCCCAAATGACTCATTCCTACCTAGACGGGCAGTATGTGCACTTTTACAGAGAATGGTCTCGCTGCCAAATGTTCACAGCATTGTGGGAAGATCCATTTTAAGCCACATTGTTTACTTACCAACTCTGAACCAATCCCACTGAAGGGCGGTTAAGTAAATTATCCGGCAGAAGATTAACTTCTCTCATTGTGTTAGCCAGCCGCACAGGAAGTTCCTTTCGTAGAAACATATATGAAGTTTTCTCACATGCATTATCTCTCCCTATTAAGACATGAAAAATGTTCCATGATTTTATAGTCTAACAGATGGAGAAATAAAGTGCTCCCACGGTAGCACGGTTACTACTGGTTGGAAAGAGAAAATTAAATAATCCTGCAGTCTCTAGTTGAATTTTTATCCTTTGAAATAGCAAGTTCAAGAAAATAAGTTAATTAGCAGAGAAAAAGAACATTCATTACAAGAGGCAACTTTGAAAGCAGTTTTTTTTTCTTAACACAAAAACGTTCCTAGTGTTACCAGCGGCAATACAAAAGTGACCTGGGATATAATCTGAACTTGTTTTCAAATAAACACCATGGGAAAACTGCCAAGTACAAAGGTAACAGAACGTGTAAATCCACTCCCATTCATAGGGCTTTCCAGGAGGCAACGGATCCATTCATTTCACAATTATTTACCTACTGTGTGTGCCAACTGTTTCCTAAGATTTTCCTCCAGTGTGTTTCTTCAGGGACCATAGCTCTGCCCCTCTGGGAAGTAGCCACAGACCCCAGAGACCCTGTGCTTCCAGAGGAGGGGCTCTGACTGAGACACAGGGTTGGCATGTGCCAGAGAAACATGCCAGAGAAACTATCTCCTGGGTATACTCAGAGGCAGAGTGATCTACCATGCCACATCGGAGAGGGTAAGATGTGGGTTGACCATAAGGAAGGAGGTCAGTGCCTTCTGGAGGCTTCCCTGAGCTAGCTGTGCATAAAATTTACATAAACAAGACGCCATGAGAGGAAACATACCTGGCCACTTAAAAGAGGAAACCTGAGCTCTTTCCCCTGCTGTCATGTGGCAGGAAGAGTTCTAGCATCAGCCTGGCCTGCAACCCCCAGCCCTGCTGGAAACTCCATGGTGGCTGGGAGTGGAGGGCCTGATAGAAAAGGCATGAGCTTTGGAGACAGAAATGTTCTCCAGCCCCAACTCCTCCATTTGCAGGTTGTGAAACCTTTGGTAAGCTTCTTCACTTCTGAGTCTCAGCTGCCTTAATCTGTAAAATGGGGATAAAACTAGTTTGTGTAAGGACTAAATGTGATACTGTGCATGGAGGCTGACACGGAGCAAGTGTTGGACAAACACTGGTCCTTCCGGTCTCCGTGGTATTGAGGGGTCCATCCCATCTCCCTCGCCCTGCCTAGGCCTCTTTGCTGCTCCATATTCCCTGGAGGCTGCACAGAAATGGGCAACATCATGGCCAGGCCCAGAGAGAGACGAGCAGAGCCATTTAACAATTTTCTCTTCCAAACTCTCCTTATTCTTCTGTACGTCATGAAGGCAGCAAGTCAGAGATTCAGAAGTGAATCCAATTTTCTAACACTTCCAGTCATATTCTGGTTTATTCATTTGCTCTCCCTACCAAATAAAACTTGAAAAAAAGAACCTAATCTAGAAAGTAATCTGCAGAACCTTTCTTCCCCACTCATCCCTGACCCCCTTCTCCATTCTCAAAAAAGTTACAATAAAAGATGAAAGTCTGAAATAATCCATCCCTCATTTCCCTCATCCTAAGTGAGTATATTGAAGGCCTTTGGTAAATCTTTTAACTAAATGATGATTCACTTTTCTCCTTCATACTTTCACTGTGATAAGTACCTCAATCCCCAAATACCCACTTCAAGTAAGAGGAGAAGGGGTGTAATGCCCCCACAATGACCTTCCAACATCTATTCTATACACATTCATTTGGCCTTAGGCAATTAACATTTAAAATGACTCTGGTCATTTTTTTTTTTTTTTTGACGGAGTGTTGCTCTGTCGCCCAGGCTGGAGTGCAATGGCATGATCTCGACTCACTGCAACCTCCGCCTCCTGGGTTCAAGTGATTCTCCTGCCTCGGCCTCCCAAGTAGCTGGGACTACAGGCACCCACCACCACGCCTGGCTAATTTTTCGTATTTTTAGTAGAGACGGGGTTTCACTGTGTTAGCCAGGATGGTCTCCATCTCCTGACTCGTGATCCACCCGCCTCGGCCTCCCAAAGTGCTGGGATTACAGGCATGAGCCACCGCGCCCAGCCAGCTCTGGTCATTTTGCTTCAAATAATATAGAGACAGTCCCCAACTTAAAACAGTTCAACTTATGATTTTTTGATTGTTTAATCTTCTCACTTTATGATGGGTTTATCTAATTATTAAGGGCTTTTTTGTTTTGAGACAGAATCTCACTGTCACCCAGGCTGGAGTGCAGTGGCATGATCTCCGCTTACTGCAACCTCCACCCCCCAGGTTCAAGCGGCTCTCGTGCCTCAGCCTCCCGAGTAGCTGGGATTACAGGCGCCCGTCACAATGCTTGGCTAATTTTTGTGTTTTCAGTAGAGATAGGGTTTCATCATGTTGGCCAGGCTGGTCTCGAACTCCTGACCTCAAGTGATCCACCCACCTTGGCCTCCCAAAGTGCTGGCATTACAGGCATGAGCCACTGTGCCTGGCCAAGTGCATTTTTGAGTTACAATATTTTCGACTTATGATGGATTCATCAGGATGTAACCCCACTGTAAGTCAAGGAGCATCTGTATATTATTCCTAAAAGGTTCTGGATGAATATAATTTTAATTTTAAATGCAATAAAATTGCTGATATTTATCACAGTGAATCTCATTATAAAATGAATTCCCTATTATCTAAGTTAAAATAAAAGTCTAGCTTTTCACATGCCAGGAAAAATACTTTGCATCCTGGCTAAACAGAAAGGAAATTATCTTTAAATCACAAAAGAAACATTGATGTTCTCACTGTGGGATGACAAAGACTCTCTCCTTTGACCAAACTTGAAACCGGTTCTTCTGGGTTTGTTTGCTTTTGGAGACAGGGTCTCACTCTGTCACCCAGGCTGCAGTGCAGTGGTACAATCACGGTTTACTACCACCTCAACCTCCTGGGCTCAAGTGATCCTGCCACCTCAGCCTCCCAGGTAGGTGGGACAGCTGGCTAATTTTTGTATTTTTAGTAAAGAGGGGGTTTCGCCATGTTGCCCAGGCTGGTCTCGAACTCCTGGGCTCAAGCGATCCTCCCGTCTCAGCCTCCCAAAGTGCTGGGATTACAGGCATGAGCCACCGTGCCCGGCTCTGAGTCCTCTTTCTGACTAGGCCTCGACTTTGGGTTCTATCTTGACCTGCTTAGTCCAGTCTCAGCAAAAATCCTGCTGAGTCATTTTAGTGAAAATCCCCTACCCTTGGTGTCTGATCCCCCTACCCTCGATATCTTATCATGCTGGCCTGCCTTCAACAAGAATCCCCTCCAACCTGGATTTTTCCTCTTAGTAACTTTCCACCCATTGACCCACACTCTGCTCCTTGGCTATAAATTTCCACTTGTCCTTGTTGCATTAGGAGTTCAACCTGATCTCTCCCCACTATTGCAAAACTCCCACTGTAGTGGTCCCTCTTGAATAAAGCCTTCCCTACCATCTTTAACAAGTATCAGATAATTTTTTTTTCTTTTTTCTTTTTTTTTTTTTTTGAGACAGGGTCTCGCTCTGTCACCCAACCTCCACCTCCCGAGTTCAAGCAATTCTCCCTGCCTCAGCCTCTGGAGTAGCTGGGATTAAAGGCATCCGCCACCATGCCCGGCTAATTTTTGTATTTTTACAAAGAGATAGGGTTTCACCATGTTGGCCAGGCTGGTCTTGAACTCCTGACCTCAGGTGATCCGCCCACCTCGGCCTCCCAAACTGTTGGGATTACAGGTGTGAGCCACCAACCATGTCTAGCCAGTTTTTTTTTTTCTTTAAGAGGAAAAAGGAAGTTCTGGAATAGGGAAGAAGTAGAAGAATTCTGGTGTTAAACTGAAACTGGTAGTATCAGTATGAACTAATAATTTTTTCACAATTATGAGTTTTTGAGGGTAATGAAAGTATACATGTTTAAATTTCCAAGTTGGCAGCCTGTTAGGAGTCACAGGATACGAGCATGTTGTGAGCAGTGAGAGCTGGCTGGCAGGTGTGAGGTGGCCATAGTCAGCTTCTCATCTCTTCTCTAGAAGTTGCAGATCTAGATGGTTTCAGAATTTAAAGGTTTTTCAATTTTAGGAAGGTAAAAAGGAGTCTATACCATACATTGTACAATACAGAGTATTAGAGAGCCACAACATAGCTGCAGTGAAATACGTGAACATTTCCAGTAAGTAGGATAAGGACTATGGAATCAAGTCAGTTCAGGTCTGGTTTTGCCACAAAATGAGTTGTGGCAGCAAATATATGAAAAAGAAATTCAATTTTCAGAGTTTTTTGAGTTCAGGATTCAGAGAAAAGCTTATGGTCCTGCGGGGCGTTGATGACAAAGGTCAGGTGCTGAAGTTCGATGACAAAGGTCAGGGTTTGAATCTTGACTAGAGCATTCACAAGCTTCATGAGCAGGGGTAAGTTTCTTTACACTTCTAAACTTCATTGTAACCACCTATAAAAAAAGAGCAGTATCTACTTCACAGAGATTTGGTGAGGGTTAACATGTGCTTAACATTTAAACCAGAGGCAGTGGCTCACGCCCGTAATCCTAGCTACTTGGGAGGCTGAGATGGGAAGATCATGTGAGGCCAGGAGTTCGAGACCAGCCTGGGCAATGTGGCAAGACCCCCATCTCTATAAATAAAAACTTAATAAACCACAATATTTAACAGTCACATATTCTTAAAACTTAGAAGAGGGGCTAATTAAATAGCAATCACTAATGACGCTGATGATGCTCAAACAGAATAGTCTGAGGCCATGGGATACACAATCGAACTGTCAGTTACTGCTTGGTCAGCCCTGAGAACCCATTCCCTGGGCTCATCTGATGATTCTGCAATAGTTAAAACTCAACTACTAGGCATGGTCTAAGAGAACCAAATTTCAGGAAGCATTTTCTTCAAGCTTCCTTGGATTATCAGCCTGTTATAAAACTCATGTGGAAAGAAACTTTTATCTGTCTCTCTATCCCCCATAGCACATATTATAGTGCCTCGCCTATGGTAGCTTCTCAATGATTTTTTCAAATAATAGATAATGCTTTCAGAAGTTTGTTTTTTTCTTTGTTTGTTGTTGATTTCTTTTTTTTTCTTTTTTTTTTTTTTTTTTGAGACAGAGTCCCACTCTGTTGCCCAGGCTGAAGTGCAGTGGTGTGATCTCGGCTCACTGCAACCTACGCCTCCTGGGTTCAAACGATTCTCCTGCCTCAGCCTCCTGAGTAGCTGGGATTACAGGTGCCCATCACCACGCCCAGCTAATTTTTGTATTTTTAGTAGAGATGAGGTTTCACCATGTTGGACTAGCTGGTCTCCAACTCCTGACCTTAAGTGACCTGCCCGCCTCAGCCTCCCAAAGTGCTGGGATGACAGGCATGAGCCACCACACTCAGTCCAGAAGTTCGTATTTTTTAAAAAGAGTAGTTGGAAAATTTCAGGTTTTGTCTCTTACATTCTACATTAGGTTTAGGGACAAATTCTTTGTACTCAGACACCTTAATTATATATCAGCTTAAATAGGAGGATAAGTCTTTTTTAGTTAATTAGTTAGCCTAAAAATAAGTATGAAATGCCTGATTTTTATAACCTTTCTGTGCTTTCTTCACGTACATTGAAAGTATCTTTCCTATGTATTAATGCCGGATACTCAGTTTAAATGAAAAGGTTCTAACAACCATTTTTTTTTAAATAATAAACTTACCAAGAAAAACATTTTGGTTTTAAATGAATGTCCTCGCCAGAGGGTTCTGTTTTGATAAGTCTTCTGGTATATTGTGTATTTTCCAGTTCTGCTTTCCAATTATTTGACTTCATTTTTTCCCTACTTACTTGGCTTCTCTACATTCCTTAATTTTGACTTTCTATTTTTATTCTGCATTTCTCAATATACTTCATCTTATTCAAATTTACCAATTAAGTTTTTCCCTGGTATCAGTTCAAAGATGACAAAGGGAGCAGGTGAGGGGGCTTGGAAAACTCTGACTTAGTGGATGCAAACAGGTCATTAGACTCAAATACACTCATGTGCATTTCTTCTGTTTTTCTCCTAAGTTTGACGATCCTTTCATTCTCCTTTGTTTCTGGTTTGTTTGTTTGTTTTTGAGACAGAGTCTCTCTCTGTTGCCCAGGCTGGAGTGCAGTGGCGCAATCTTGGCTCACCAAGTGGCGGCAACCTCCACCTCCTGAGTTCAAGCGATTCTCCTGCCTCAGCCTCCTGAGTAGCTGGGATTACAGGCATGCACCACCACACCCGGCTAATTTTTGTATTTTTAGTAGAGACGGGGTTTCACCATGTTGGCCAGGTTGGTCTCGAACTCCTGACCTCAGATGATCCGCCTGCCTCAGCTTCCCAAAGTTCTAGGATTACAGGCGTGAGCCACTGCGCCTGGCCTCTGTTTGTTTTTTATACTTTGTCCTTTTATTGGGAAGCTGGAGACAATTACTATATTTGCAAAAGGTATGATTTGCTTTGTCTAGAAAGGTTCCATATAGCTTCACATTCACCAAGACCTAGGGTGAATAGACACAGAAATATAAATGACTTTCAATGTAATGCAGGGAGCCTTCCCTATGGTGGGACCAGGAGGTAGCCAAGAGCGTTTAGCTAGCCACCTGAGAGCAGGAGCTCACAGACATATTTCTTTATACCTGGTTTACATAGTGGCTGATAACCCTGGCTTCGTTTTAATCCTCTTTTCGACTAATTTACAGGCGGCAGAAAAAATAATTATTTCTTCAATTAATCAAGTCACCTGATAATAAGTGTCTTTTTTTTTTTTTTTTTTTTTTTTTTGAGATGGAGTTTTGCTCTTGTTGCCCAGGCTGGAGTGCAATGGCACAATCTTGGCTCACTGCCACCTCCGCCTCCTAGGTTCAAGTGATTGATAGTAAGTACCTTTTAATTAAAGCAGAGGCTGAGGACATATTTTGTACTGTCTTCAATCAACAGAGACCATGCCTCCTAAAATGTAGAGTCTCCTCTGTCTGGATTACTTGAAGGCTTTCTTTGTCCATTGTTCAGCTTTAGCAGTTGGTGGGGGTTGGGGGGTGGTTTGGGAGTGGCAATAATGAGATAAAGAGCAATACATGGAAAAATTACCCGCAAGGCACCAAAAAACCCCAACAGAATGATCCAGCTCATTCTGATAATTTTTATTAATATCATCAACTAAATGCTTTCGATTAATATCACCAACTAAATGTCTGAGTTGGCAATGTACTTTTCCCATTAGCCATGTTTAAATTGGTAAAATATAACTGAGAACATATTATTTTAAGCTTTTTAAAAAAAATTTTCAACTTTTATTTCAGATACAGGGGGTACATGCGCAGGTTTGTTCCATGTGTATGTTGCACCTAGGCAGTGTGCACAGTACCCAATAGGTAGTTTTTCAACCCGCGCCCACTTCCCCCTCCGTCTAGTAGTTTACAGTGTCTGTTGTCCCCATGTTTATGTCCATGTGTGCAGGTGAGCTCTTCAACTTCTTTTCTCTAGTTGTAGTTATAAGATTTCAATCTGTTGAAAACACTGAATTTTAGAATAAGTCATTAATTTTTTGATTTACTAGGGTTAAACAATGATTAATTGAATAGTCCTTCAGAAGAAACAATCTGACATGTGAATGGAGACCTACCAAATGGTTGTGAATGTCCTTCAAAGAATCACTTTTTTAAAAACTTAGTTTCTACTTTTAAAATGTTTGTTTTGTTTCATGAGCAGTTTCTCACTGCCTTAAGAGCTTAAGAGTTTTCCTTTGTTCAAGAACATTTATTTCTGAATTTAAGAAGGATCAAAATAGGCTGCAGATTTGGAATCTGCCAAACTTGGGGCTGCCTCCACTCTAGGCCAGACCATGTTTTGGTTATTAATAACAGTGAGCCAATTATGCCTGTAATCCCAGCACTTTGGGAGGCTGAGGCAAGAGGACTGCTTGAGTCCAAGAGTTCAAGACCAGCCCAGGCAACATAGGGAGACCCAGTCTCCACAAAAAAATAAAAAATCATCTGGGCATGGTGGTGCGTGACTATAGTTCCAGCTACTTAGGAGACTGAGGCAGGAGGATCGCTTGAGCCAGGAGGTCGAGGCTGCAGTGAGCTGTGATTGTGCCACTGCACTCCAGCCCAGGTGACAGAGTGACACCCCATTTCAAAAAAACAAAAACAAAAAGAGTGAGTCAGAACTTCAGAGACAAAGAGCCAAATACTGGGGATTTCACGCACACTTTATTCCCTATCAAATTCAGTGCCCCAAAACATCTAGATATTACACGACTTCTTTCAGTCCAAAGTCCATATTATGATACTCACAGATGCTGTGAGTCAGGAATTTAGACAGCACGCAGAAGGGATGGCTTATCTGGGCTTCAGCTGGGAAAACCCGAAGGCTGCAGGGTGACTAGATCTTGGGTCTGGAAACATCCGAGGGCCCCTTCACTCCTAAGTCTGATGCTTGGGACAGACAACTGCACAACTAGGACTGCCCATCTGAGCAGCTTGGGGTGGCCTCTTCCTGGGCTCCCTCACATCACGGCAGCTTCGGGCTAGTTGGATCCTTCCACCACTTCAGTGAAAAGACAGCAGCCGCATGGCCTTTTATGACCCAGGCTCAGAAGTCACACAGCTGGCCTAGTCTGCCACAATCAATTAGGCTAAGTAGCCAGGGCCTGCCCAGACTCCAGAAGGAAATTTCGACTCCTGCTCCTGACAGAGGGGTGCCAAGGTCACACTGTAGAAAAGTATCCTCATGGCCATCTTTGGAAAATGCGATCTTCTCTGGGATGTTAATGGGGGGTTGTAGATGATTTATTGCTAAATTATATTTTAAAGCACTCTTTTATGGCCAGTCAGATTTTGTCTCTTTTGGGGGTTAATGTCCATTTTTCTGTCTTTGTTAGTCTCTTTCTCGCTGTAGGCTTCCCTCAGACGTGTGGTGATCTTTGGTTGTTCAGTCAGGTTTGGGAAGGAAGCAGGCTAAAGACTGGGAGCCCTGTGGGGCTCTTGGCGGAGAGAGCTCCCTGAATTCCTGATTACACTGGGGCTTTTCAGTGGGCGCTAATACCACACCAGCTTCCCTGATTCTCCTGAAATAGTTCCATCAGTGTCTTTAGAGAAGAACCCCCTTTTGTCCTTTACCTTGCCGATAGGGATAACTGCCTGCTGTTAATGTTCTAGAGGTCAGAACAGAGGGTGGCCCTTCTGTCTGCAGACTTTTAGTTCATTCTCCTGTTGGCACCCAGCCAGCCTTCCTGCCACTCCTGCCCGCTACTGGTCTGCTGCGTTGCTGAGGTAGGAGTCCCCTATCCCCCCACCCCGGGCTCTGCTGCACTATGCTCAGCACCCTCCTCTGCTACAGTGCCTTCTGAGAGTGTTCTAGACCTGAGAACTGTCCAATATAGGAACTGGCAGCCATTACAAGAAATTTATTTATTTATTTTTTTGTTTTACTTTTTTGAGATGGAGTCTTGCTCTGTCGCCCAGGCTGGAGTGCAGAGGCACGATCCCAGCTCACTGCAACCTCCGCCTCCCAGGTTCAAGAGATTCTCCTATTTCAGCCTCCCGAGTAGCTGGGATTACAGATGTGCACCACCGCGCCTGGCTAATTTTTGTATTTTTAGTAGACACAGGGTTTCACCATGTTGGCCAGGCTGGTCTCGAACTGCTGACCTCAGGTGATCCACCAGCCTGAGCCTCTCAAAGTGCTGGGATTACAGGTGTGAGCCATAGCGCCTGGCCCCATTAAGGGAAATTTAGATGTTCCATTTTATTTTTATATCAATGATAAATTCCCCAAGGGTAATAACTGTATCATGGTTATTAGGAGAATACCCTTAAGCTGAGGACATACATACTTAAGTATCTAGGGGTAAAGAGGCATGATGTCTGCAATTTATTCTCAAATGGTTCAGCAAAAAAGCATAAAGCATGTGTATGTGAGAGAGAGAGAGAGAGAGAGGAATAGGGATGGATGGAGAGGGAAAAATAAAGCAAATACGGCAAAGTAACTCATAAAAATCTTCCTATAACTAGAACTATTCTATTCTTTAAAAAAATACAAAAATCTCATACAAAATATGCTACTATATGCAGAGCTTCCTAATGGGGTCTGACACCCGTGGTACCCTTCATGTAATGATTTTTGTTCTTCTGATAGGAAAAGGGGGTACGAAGGTGATTGGGATAGAGTTCTTAATTAAGGTAGTAGTCCCTTGATCCCCTCTCTTTAGAAATCCTGTTTGTTTGCTCTTTTGAAACATATATCTGCACAGACTAGTGAGAAAACTGCTGCTCTGTATAACAAAGCCAAAGCAAGCTGTGAATGGATTTCTCTGTGGGCCCAGAAGTTGTGCCCTGTGCTTGGGCAATGCCCTCTGCCACTGCCTCAGTCACTGAGTTCTATGAGTTCTATGTCCTGTATCATGATTCCTCAAAAGATTGAAGAGTCCATTAGTACAATACCTGGTACATTGTAGGTATTCAATAAATATTTCCTGGCTGGGCATGGTGGCTCACACCTGTAATCCCAGTGGGAAGCCAAGGTGGGAGGATCACTTGAGCTCAGATGTTCGAGATCAGCCTGGGCAACATGGCGAAACCCCATCTCTACTAAAAATACAAACAAATTAGCCAGCTATGGTGGCACGTGCCTGTAGTCCCAGCTACTTGGGAGGCTGAGGCATGAAAATCGCTTGAACCTGGGAGGTGGAGGTTGCAGTGAGCCGAGATCGTGCCACTGCACTCCAGCCTGGGCGACACAGTGAGACTTTGCCTCAACAACAACAAAAAATTTCCTGGCTGGGTGCGGTGGCTCACACCTGTAATCCCAGTGGTAGGCCGGGGCGGGAGGATCACTTGAGCTCAGGAGTTCGAGACCAGCCTGGGCCATATGGTGAAACCCCGTCTCTACAAAAAATATACAAATTAGCCGGATGTGGCAGTGTGCACCTGTAGTCCCAGGTACTCGGAGGCTGAGAGGTGCAAGGATCGCTTGAGCCCAGGAGGTCAAGGCTGCAGAGAGCCAAGATTGCGCCACTGCACTCCAGCCTAGGTGACAGAGTGAGAGCCTGTGTCACATACACACACACAAAAAAACCTCGGATCGCAACTGAAAATTAAAACACCCAGTAAGTTTAGTTACAAACTTAACATAGCAAATAAAATTCAGAGGTTCAAGATAACATTTGCAGGTAACGGTAAATCCCTCTTACAGGCCAACTTCATTCTATATATTTGTTTAAGGGTATTCAATCCTTAAAATCATGAGAAGAGCCAAAAGGCAGGTAGGAAGACAATACAGTGGCAGTAACAGTCAATATGGTGTGTCAGGCCAGAGAGTGGAAGAGACATGATGTGTTCAGAACAGATGTCACAAATAAAGCTGTGACGAGCTAGAGCATGTGAGTAACAAGCACTATGCAGCCAAAGCCGCCATGCATCCATATCAACCTAATTCCAGAAGGGAGTTTAGAATCTAGTCCTAACGGTAAATTGGTGAGTTACAGGATGCCCTGTTGTCATGGAAGCAGGAATAGCTAATGGTCACACTGTACTCATATTTGAGGTTAACTGAGGCAAATCATTTAGTTAGCCATCACAGTGATCAAAGGGAATCCAAAGCAAGTCACTCTCAAAGCACAAAAGAGCTGAAAGTGCTATGTTTCTTGGAAAATGATCAGTTTTGTACAGCTGAGACCTTCAGCCAATAAACTTGAAGATAATTAACATTCAAGGTTAAGAGCTCCCTACCCAGCTTTTATTCTTAGCAGAAAGCTGACTTCATCAAGGAAATGCTGTGTCACTAACTTCTCATAGTAAATTCATAACCAACATCTACCAAGCACCTACCATGTGTTATGCACTATGCCATACGTTCTCAATCTCATCAATGCAACCATCCTATGATTAGCCACTAGCATTTCTATTTTGTAGATAAGGACACTGAAGTGTAGTGGGATTAAGTGATTTGCCCAGGCTCACACTGCTGGTAGGCATCAGAAATTAAGACTGGAGTACAAGTCTGTATATACTGCTTCTCATATTCCCAGAGATGATAATGCAGACTAACAAGTAGTGGTTTTCAGAAGTAGAATTATTTCATTGTAAGTAAGTGGAGTAGGTATCAATCTGATAGTTCTGAAATAATAAAACTAGATAAGCATTAGATTATACCATTTCCTGATTGTGTAACAGAATAAATTTAGACAAAACCTCAGCATTGCTAATAGAGACTATATTTGCTATAAAGAATTGCACTGGGGACAATGGTATACTATGTTAAACTGAAAAGAGCGTAGGTTTAAAAGCTCAATCTTGCTTGTAATCCCAGCACTTTGAGAGGCCAAGGCGGGCAGATTACTTGAGGTCAGGAGTTCGAGACCAGCTTGGACAACATGGTGAAACCCCATTTCTACTAAAAATACAAAAAATTAGCCAGGCGTGGTGATGGGTGCCTGTTATCCCAGATACTTGGGAGGCTAAGGCAGGAGAATCACTTGAACCTGGAGGTGGAGGTTGCAGTGAGCCAAGATCACACCACGCACTCCAGCCTGGACGACAGAGGAACACTCTGTCTCCAAAAAATAAACAAACAAACAAACCTCACTCTACCTGAATTTTAACCATGGCTTTGCCCCTAACTTTGCTTAGGTAAGAGACTTAAACTATCTAAGCTTTAGACTCTTCATCCAAGAAATGGAAACACTTAATGTGGACGCTGTGAGAATTACAGCTAACCACTATTGTGTTTAGCAGAGAGTGGCACACAAATGTAAGTTCCCTTGGCCTCATAAAAAGAATAATTTCTGGTTCCCTTTGGAAGAGGTGGCCAAGATGTTATACCAAAAACTAGCTGATGACTGGCATAGTCTCTTCCTTACTTGGGGCTTCTACTTTCTCATGTGTAAAATTGGGAAGATTACAGATGATCTCTGTATTAGTTTGTTCTCATGTGGCTAGAAAGAACTACCTGAGACTGAGTAACTTATGAAGGAAAGAGGTTTAATTGACTCACAGTCCACATGGATAGGGAGGCCTCAGGAAACTTACAATCATGGCAGAGGCGAAGGGGAAGCAAGCACATCTTCACATGGTGGCAGGAGAGAGAGAGAGCAAAGGGAGAAGTGCTACACACTTTTAAACAACCAGATCTCATGAGAACTCACTCGCTATCATGAGAACAGCAAGGGGGAAATCTGCCCCCATGATCCAATCACCTCCCACCAGGCCCCACCACCAACACTGAAAATCATAACTCAACATGAGATTTGGGTGGAGACACAGAGCCAAACCACATCAGTCTCTAAGCTCAAGTTCCCACTGAATTAGTCTAAGAGGATAAGATTTTTGTTTGTCTCTCTATACAGTTATTTATCATACACTAACCTTGCCTACTAATATAAATTCTAAGAAAACTCTGGAGAGCAGTGCTAGGAGTAAACAGCCAAGGAAAAAAGGTGGAAGTCAAGAAAAAGGGGCCAGGCGCGGTGGCTCACGCCTGTAATCCCAGCACTTTGGGAGGCCGAGGCGGGCAGATCACGAGGTCAGGAGATCGAGACCACGGTGAAACCCTGTCTCTACTAAAAATACAAAAAATTAGCCGCGTGCAGTGGCGGGCGCCTGCAGTCCCAGCTACTGGGGAGGCTGAGGCAGGAGAATGGCGTGAACCCGGAAGGCGGAGCTTGCAGTGAGCCAAGATCGCGCCACTCCACTCCAGCCTGGGCGACAGAGCAAGACTTTGTCAAAAAAAAAAAAAAGAAAAAGAAAAAGAGTATGCACATTTACATTTTGTTCTTCTCTTTGTGATCTCCATCCAGAAAGCCTCCAACAACATTTTGGATAAAGGACAATTGGGTTAACACCTTACCTGTTCCCAGAAACCACCCTTATTTCAAAAACCTTTAAGGGCGAGGTAGGGACAGCAGCAAAAAGATACCACAAAATTATATGATTCATCCTTCTGACTAGCATACGTAAATTTATGTATTTGTCCCAGCTTCTCATTTATCTATGAGCTCCTCAAAGGCAATGAATATGCCTTGGCAATTTCCCAATGCTTCTTAGTTTCCATTTCATTCCAAATCCAGAACTTTCAACTAATGCTGATGGACTCCAGAATGACTTCGGTGTTAACCTTTGGCATCTCACTCACAGACTCTATCCCCTAAAGTGGTTCATAGCTCTTGGGCAAAAATTTCACCAGCTCTAACACTGTGGTTTTAACTCTGGAAGAATATTATTACACAATCGCCTGGGTAACCCAAAAGCACCAGCACCTAGACTCCTACCCGCAGCAATTGATTTAATTGGTTTATGTAGGGAGCAGGTGTCACTCATTTCAGGCGCTCCCCAGACAATTCTCATGAGCAGCCAGGACTGAGAACCATGGACTAGCATCTAATCATAGAAAATTCAATGAGGGTAAACAAATCAAAGAACTCCTCAAGCCCAGACAATGGCTATTAAGCATCCCCAATTTTTTATTTACCCATGTACTGTTGTCTTTATTTTCACCTTTGAGTTTTATTTCAGCCTCTTGGGAAACTGATCACAAACATCTTTGTACTCTGTAAGAGACTTTTCAGTGTCAGCTCTTTTTTTCCCTTTCACTTTCAGATGATCTTAAATGGGGAAGATAAAAACTAAACAAACTCGAGAAGGAAACGGCTGTGCTTCAGGATGTGGTAATGCTTGGGAGGCGGTGACAATGCACTCGATGGTCCTTTCCTCCAGTTTGTTTTGCTCACACACTGCGCCCAATCCCTCACCTACTTTCTCTGCTATAAAGAGGTGGTAAGACGATCAGGCGGGCAGACATGTGGCTCTACTACCTATTATACGTGTGAGTCATCTTCTTACCCGCTCAGAACTTCAGTTTCCTAATTGGTAAAATGGGCATGGCTGTTGTGAGAATTAGATGATATCCTGTTTTAGTTGGTAAGTACTCAGTAAGTGCTAGTCGAATCTATTGAATCTTTTTCAGGTGCCATATAAAGTCCTTTTTTTTTTGTTTGTTTTTTTTGAGACGGAGTCTCACTCCATCGCCCAAGCTGGAGTGCAGTGGCGCGACCTCGGTTCACTGCAACCTCTGCCTCCCTGGTTCAAGCGATTCTCCTGCCTCAGCCTCCTAAGTTGCTGGGATTACAGGCACGTGCCACCGCCTGGCTAATTTTTTTTTGTATTTTATTAGAGATGGGGTTTCACCATGTTTGCCAGACTGGTCTCAAACTGCTGATCTCAGGTGATCTGCCTGCCTCGGCCTCCCAAAGTGTTGGGATTATAGGTGTGAGTCACTGTGCCCAGCCAAGAGTCCATTTTAATTTCCTTCTCCAATAGCTTCACTGAAGTCAAGCTCAGGTCAAAGAAACAGGAATAGGAGTATGTAGGCCAGAGATAACACGGTAGAGAATATGTAAGGAGCTCTAACAAAAGAAGCAGTACCCTGGCCATGAAGGGCAATTTCTAGAGAACAGGAGACTCCCTGAGACAAGCAGCTTCCTCCCAGAAGAGTCTATTACAAATAAAGTGCTCACATGAGCACATCACATGACCAATGCAGGAACAGTAATACAGCAATAACCACTTTGCTTTCTATTTAACAGCAGAATCAGGAGGAGAAATTAACCAAAGTTATACAAAATCCACAGGCTGGTATTAAGAAATATCTGCTAGCAAGCTTAAGGAAACATTATACCCTACTAGGACAGATCCAAGAAAAGGTTCAGATAGAAGCCTGAGTGTTCTCTGGTCTATGAAAATGTAACAATTGTGGGAAAATATATGTAAGTTACAAATTTCAAAAGGCCCTACTGTTTTCTGGCCAGCAACACATGGCAAAATATTTAACTTCATGGTATGGGAAAATGTTAGAGAGATGATAATTTCTTCCCAACAGTGAGACTATTATATACTGACCTCCATGCCCTGGTAAGAGAGAAAGCAACACTGGTACAACTCAAATGGTTAAGGAGAATCATAGATCAAGTCCAAGAATGAAAATAAAATCACAACTGTTTAGGTGACCCTTAGGGAAATAACATACCACTGAGTTAGAACCCTAAGTATTCAATTAGAGCGAATATAAATGCTGACCTGTGCAAATGTAATAGTTTACTACAATTTTTCTGCCATTCATTATGGCAAAAGGTTTAATCTCAGAGTTAAGATGAGGCAATGACCAGGAATGGGGTTCTCCTTGAGGGATATGAAGGACATCCACCATGGGTCACAATCAAACCCAGCTCTCCCACGAAGGCAAGTATAGCGTAAACTAGCCTTCCTGCCATAAAAGCGAAATAGGCTAACTGAAGATACTTCAGTGCTAGTTTTTCCTTTGTTTGTTTGTTTGTGACAGAGTCTCATTCTATCACCCAGGCTGGAGTGCAGTGGCACGATCTCGGCTCACTGCAACCTCCACCTCCCAGGTTCAAACGATTCTCCTGCCTCAGCCTCCTGAGTAGCTGGGACTACAGATATGAGCCACCACTCCCAGCTGATTTTTTGTATTGTATTGTATTTTTTTTTAGTAGATATGGGGTTTCACCATGTTGGCCAGGCTGGTCTCGAACTCCTGACCTCAAGTGATTCACCCACCTTGTCCTCCCAAAGTGCTGAGATTACAGGCATGAGCCACCATGCCCGGCCTCAATGCCAGTTTCAATGCCAAGTACATGGCAAAGATGTAAACCCTAAAACACCACGTAACCCATCCACAGTTCCCTTAGCACACTTTTGATGATATGCTATTCAAGGTGCACAATGACTAATTTATCAAGAAGAATTAGTACACAAGAAAAGCAAGAATTATTTAAAATGTAAAGTAATAAATAAGGAACTGCCCTCACCAAATTTCAACATAAATTACAAAGTTAAAATGTGATATTTAGTTAAAATCAGAAAAGTTGCCATGTTGACTAGAATCCACAAATACAAACTACTCTGAGAGCTTAGCATATGATCAAAGAGAAACGGCCAAGATAAAAGAGAAACAGCCAAGTTTCAAGAGAAAAACTTGAGGTCTTAATAATTGTTGGGCAACTTGACAGCAGAACAGGGTAAAAATGAGTTAGCTACAAAGGCTCATCAGAAAATGGCAATAGATTCCAGAGAGATTTAATAACTACTTACAAACTCTGCTATAGGTGACAAATCTGACCATGATAAAAGCACCGTAAATGATATAGGTAACACTGAGCATATGAAAACTCAGACTGTGCACTAGATAAAAAGGAAACCAACATACAGTGTTAACACATGTAAATATATGGGCAAAAGCAGGAAGGGCTATCACAAAAAAACAGATGAATTACCCATATTACAGGTAATATAGCAATTCTTTCCAAATGTCTTCAGTTTTATACTTTGATAATTACTTTGCCAAAGGAAACGATATTTACACAGCACAAGAGCTTACTATGCCAAATATACACAGGAATTTATGCAAATGATAAAAACTTCAGATTCTGGTTACAAAATGGCCAATGGCACTTTACACAGAACAAAAAGCAGACAAAAAACCCAAGCAGAGGAAAAAGCACTTTTCATTCCTATGTTACCTATGATGCGATTAAAATCATAAAACCTCATTTTGGCAGGGCTACGGAGAAACTGATACAGATAAACTTTGCTGACAGCCCTGGATAAATTAAACCTATAAACTGTCAACAGCTTTCATATGGTAATTCCACTCTGAGGCAGATATCCTATAGGTAAACCACCCGATTACCTGGAAAAGCCTTCACTACCCCAAAAGTCACACTCCAGATAGTCAAAGTTTATTGTTACTAGCATACAGGAGAAACAGAGCTTTACCACTTAAATGGAAATTAAGACCAATCACTGCTCAGTTCTTTAAAGAGGGAACTGATTTGTCTTAGAACAGGGAACAAGAAACTTTCTGTACGGGACCAGATAGTAAACATTTTTGGCTTTGTGGGCCATATAGTCTCTGTCAATACTCAATTTCTGCTGTTGTGGATGGACAAAAGCCACAAACAATATGTGATGAATGAGCATGGCTGTGTTCCAGTAAAACTTTATTTACAAAAACAGGAGTTGTCAAAACCCGCAGTGTGCAACACAAAGAATGAGCCCTAATGTAAACTATGGACTTTAGGTGATAATGATGGGTCAATGCTGGTTCATCAATTATAACAAATGTCCCACACTGGTGCAGGATACTGATGGCGGCAGAGACTGTGTTTGGGGGTGGGGAGGGGTTCTGTGGGCACTCTGTACTTCCGCTCAATTTTGCTGTAAACCTAAAACTGCCTCTCAGTATCTGTGGGGGATTGGTTCCTGGACACCCTTGGATATCAAAATCCATGGATACTCGAGTCTCTTACATAAAATGGCCTAGAGTATTTGCATATGACCTATGCACATCCTTCCATATACTTTAAATTATCTCTAGACTAGTTACAAGGCCTACACATCATTTCATTTACATGGATTCAACATAGTGTTCAAGGTGAGGCAAATTCAAATTTTGCTTTTTGGAAATTTGTGGAATTTTTTTTCTGAATATTTTCTATCTGAGGTTGATTGAATCCATGGATGTGGAACCCACAGATATGGAGGACGAACTGTACTCTTTTTAAAAAACAGTCTATTAATTAGAAAAAAAAAAACAGGTGGCCAGCCCTCAGGCTATAGGTTGACATTCTTAGACCAGGGTATTCCTAAAATAAAAGGATTTGCCCAACTCTAAAATCAGATTACCATGGAAGTAAAATAATGGAATGCCTATACATATACAGGAAAAGAAAAAGCAGTGATATTTTCAGATTCCATCCAGTAACAAAACCAAGGTTTCCCAAACCTTGCCAACAGTCTGATCAATTTTCCAAAAGCTTAATGGGAGGAAACCACCCAACCATCAATAGATCAGTAACTGCAGCTGTCTCCACTTTCAAAAGCACACAAAACATAAGTGCTACAAAGACAGTGAGGCCAAAGCCATGACTTTGGTGCCTGAGAGCTGCCCCAGAGCCAGATAAACCACGCCATGTTAAAATGCAGCCTTATCAGATCTTAAAGGCCCAAAAAGCCCTCACTTCCTCCCTTCTTTCCTTCCTTTCCTCCTTCCGTCTTCTACCTTTCCTCCCTTCTTTCCTTCCCTTTCTACTTCCCTCCCTCCTTCTTTTTTTGAGACATGGTCTTGCTCTATTGTCCAGGCTGGAGTGCAGTGACGCGATCCCAGCTCACTGCAGCCTCAACTTCCCAGGCTCAAGCGATCCTCCCATCTCAGCTTCCCATGTAGCCGGGACCACAGGGGTGCACCACTATGCCTGGATAATTTTTTTATTTTTTTGTAGAGACAGGGGTCTCACTGTGTTGCCCGAGCTGGTCTCAAACTCCTGGACTCAAGCGATCCTCCTGCCTCAGCCTCTCAAAATGCTGGGATTACAGGCATTAGCCACAGTGCCTGGACCAATTCTTTCTTTAAATTTAAAAACTGGTCAAGATGCAATAAGCCAAGTTAGATATCTTTACCCTCAACTAAATTTTTCTCTTCCCCTTTAATTCTGAATAGTTGATCCCTTTCTCCAAACAGGTTGGTCTAATTCTTGGTGACACCTTGTAGCAGAAAAACTACTGCTTACAGGGAAAAAAAAAAAAAATCTGTCATTTACATATGTAAAGGTACAAAATAAACACACTCGGAAGCAGAATGAGATTGTTTTTCCCTTTTCCTAACATAATTTTTTTAAAAACCTTTCCATTTTCTCCAAGAACGCAATCACTGTTGTCCCCAGTGGTGATCAGGCTTCAAGGAGCAAAATGACTTAAAAAGCCAAGACTTTGCGAAAGGGAGTCATTTGGAACCAAAGTATCTCCAAAGTATCTTAAAATATGTTCTAAAGGAAAAGAAGATGGCTGGGCCCTTAAACTTTAAGAATAGTAAGAATGCGGAAACTGGCCGCTACCTTCTAAGAGCTAAAGGCTCTGAGGTTCACAGAGCCGGTGTGATTATGACAGAAATCAAAATATTTAGTTTTGTGAAAAGACGGCAGGGCTATCAGCAATCTGCTTTCTGGTGGTTTTGAGAGATGCTATATTTACACATGGGGACACTATGGAAGTTTAAACTTGGCTGGGCACAGTGGCTCACGTCTGTAATCCCAACACTTTGGGAGGCAGAGGCGGGTGGATCACCTGAAGTCAGGAGTTCGAGACCAGCCTGGCCAAGACGGTGAAACCCCGTCTCTGCTAAAAATACAAAAATTAGCCGGGCGTGGTGGCGCATGCCTGTAGTCCCAGGTACTCGGGAGGCTGAGGCACGAGAACTGCTTGAACCTGGGAGGCGGAGGTTGCAGTGAGCCGAGATGGTGCCACTGCACTCTAGCCTGGGCGACAGAGTGAGACTCCGTCTCAAAATAAATAAATAAATAAATAAATAAATAAATAAATAAATAAATAAAATAAACTTATATAACTGACTAAATGAAAGTGGCATAATGTTTAATAACCTCGATATGGAGTCAGGCATGCCATCAGTAATTGCCATTTATGGAGCACCTGCTCTGTGCAGAGCAAGCTGAGCTGAGGAAGCTGTAAGAGGTTACAAAAAAGAGGTGAGCGCCTGCCCTTTGGAAAGAGACAATTGAGGATAAAATCTAAGAAAAGGAGGCAGGAGCAAAATCTCTTTAATGCAAGTGTGGCTGTGCAAAAGTAACTGGAAAATCAAACAAATGGGACGTCAGTCTGCAGGGAGGGGAGAAAAGTGGTTAATATGGGAACCAGAAGCCGACAGGGCGAGACTGAAAGATGAAAAGCAAGTCCAAAAGAAAATGTGAATCATTTCCTACCAACTCATTCAACATTCAGAAGGTTCTATCTTTATGCCATAATAGTCCAAGTTCTCCTTTTCTTATATAATTAAGAGAATTTTTAATTTATCACAACTGCTTAAGGGAAAGAGAACTCAAATTTGTGCAAATATAACAAGGAGCCACCATAACATTAACTGCCAGTCAAAAACAATACATTGATCCAAAAATCCAGAGAGGTTTATAGAAAAAAATATGGAACAAGACATGTGAAAGTTATATTTCAGGAAATAAATTCAGGCCAGGCACGGTGACTCATGCCTGTAATCCCAGCACTTTGGGAGGCAGAGGCGGGTAGATCACCTAAGGTCAGGAGTTCGAGACCAGCCTGGGCAATAGGGCAAAACCCCGTCTCTACTAAAAATACAAAAATAAGCCAGGCGTGGTGGCAGACACCTGTAATCCCAGCTACTCGGGAGGCTGAGGCAGGAGAATCACCTGAACCCGGGAGGCAGAGGTTGCAGTGAGCCAAGACCAAGCCGTTGCACTCTGGCCTAGGTGACAGAGTGAGACTCTGTCTCAAATAAGTAAATAAATAAATAAATAAATTCAACAAATGTGTGGTTGGTTTTTTTGTTTTTGTTTGTTTGTTTGTTTTGTTTTTTGAGACGGAGTCTCACTCTAGCCAGGCTGGAGTGCAGTGGCGCAATCTTGGCCCACTGCAACCTCCACCTCCCAGGTTCAAGTAATTCTCCTGCCTCAGCCTCCCGAGTACCTGGGACTATAGGCGCCCACCACCATGCCTGGCTAATTTTTGTATTTTTAGTAGAGACGGGGTTTCACCACGTTGGCCAGGATGGTCTCAATCTCTTGACCTCGTGATCCACCCACCTCGGCCTCCCAAAGTGCTGGGATTACAGGCGTGAGCCACTGCACCCAGCCAATAAATGTTTATTCTGAACATTAAAATGTGATGTTTTCATTGCTCCCAATAAGGAATTAACATATATTATCTGAAGCCACACTGTCCAATATAAATATGTGAGCCAGGCCAGGGGCTGTGGCTCATGCCTGTAATCCTAGCACTTTGGGAGGCTGAGGTGGGCAGATCACCTGAGGTCGAGAGTTCAAGACCAGCCTGACCAACATGGAGAAACCCCATCTCTACTAAAAATACAAAATTAGCTGGGCATGTAGGCGCATGCCTGTAATCCCAGCTACTTGGGAGGCTGAGGCAGGAGAATCACTTGAACCTGGGAGGCGGAGGTTGCGGTGAGCCCAGATCGCACCATTGCACTCCAGCCTGGGCAACATGAGCAAAAACTCCGTCTCACAAAAAAAAAAAAAAAAAAAAAAAAAAGAAAGAAAGAAATATGTAAGCCATATATATAATTTAAAATTTCCTAGTAGCCACATTAACATAAAAAAGAAATAAAGTTTTTGATAATATTCCATTTAACCCAACATATCTAAAATATTACCATTTCAACATGCAATCAATATAAGATGTACTGATATTTTACTATTTTTATATTAAGTCTTTGAAATCCAGTGTGTATTTTATACTGAAAGCACATCTCAATTCAGAGGCTAAATTTCTATCAGAAATAATTGACCTATAAAGAGATTTCCTAAAATTTACAGGTGATAAAGTGGATTCCATATCCAAGTTATTCTACACAGATGTAAAAATTAACTGCATCAAGTATCCATTTTAAATTTAAATTAAGTCAATTCAGTTTTTCGGCCACACTAGCCACATTTCAAGTGCTCAAAGGTCTCCTGGCTGACAAGTGGTGACCCATATGGGACAAAGGTCTATAGAAATAAAGTAATAACTATAAAGATAACCACTAGAACCAAAAATTCAAGCCTAGTTATTTATTAAAATAAATATGGCAAAACAAAGCAAATATATAACATAGGAAAACTGAGGTATTAAAAACAGAAAGCAACAGAAAATTACAAATGCTTATCATTACAGATGACAGATCTATCATACCAGTAAGTATAAATAGGTTAAACTTACCACATGAAAAAGACTGATTCACAAAGCAAAACCCAACTTTACACTACATTTAGAGACATATTTAGAGCGAAGTAATTCAGAAAAACTGAAAATAAAAGGATGGCAATGCTATCCCAGGAAATGTAAACAAGAAAATAGGGAACTAGATCTCAATGTCAAATAAGGACGAATCCAGGCCAAAAAGCCTTCAACTAGTAAAAGGGCAGCACTCTAATGCTAATGGGTATATCTCACAATGAGGATGTGAGTTAATAAGCATCAAACATAACACTGATAGTCATAAAGCAAAAACAATAGGAGCTATACGGAGAAAGAGAATCATTATTAGGAGACTTTAACTTCTCTTGTGTTTGATCCATGACAAATCAGGTGGATAAAAAAAGTAAAGTTACACAAAACCTAAATAACATAATATTGCAGAGCTGACATATCACACTCTGCAACCTGAGAAGAGAGTATAACCTTCTTTTCGCTGCCCAAGGAACATTCACAGAAAACAACCATATAATGAGCTTCAAAGTTAACATCAATAAATTAGAGAATAATTCAGACAACATTCTGTAATCACAGTGCAACAAAACTAGACATAAATAAAATTAAAATGCAGAATGCACCTTCACTGGAAATTTTTAACTCCTCCAAACAACTCTTCATTCATAGGAAAATAAAAACCTGAAGACACAGAAGAGCTAAGAGAAAAAAGACCAAATACACACATCAGCTGCTAAAGCAGTGCTCAGAGGAATAACTAACCTTAAACATTGAAATAAACAAGACAAAGAAGAAAGCATTTAATTTTTTTTATTATACTTTAAGTTCTGGGGTACATGTGCAGAACGTGCAGGTTTGTTACATAGGTATACACGTGCCATGGTGGTTTGCTGCACCCATCAACTTGTCATCTACATTAGGTATTTCTCCTAATGCTATCTCTCCCCTAGCCCCCCCACCTCCCGACAGGCCCTGGTGTGTGATGTTCCCCTTGCCGTGTCCATGTGTTCTCATTGTTCAACTCCCACTTATGAGTGAGAACAGAAAGCACCTAATTTTTAAAAGAACAAAATAAACCTGAGACCAGAAGGAATTATTAAAGTCAAATCAGACAATAAACTAGATAACAAAAGTCATAAAACTAATAAATCCAACCCAATAAATCATCAACTAACCTACTCAAGAAGAAGGGGGGGGACAAATGTCACAGGGAAAATTAAGACTGTTCAGTGACAACTATCTCAGCTATCCAAACTGACTTAAAAACCTCAATGAGTAGGATAATTTTCTTTTTTTCTTTTCTTCTTTTTTTTTTTTTTTTTTTTTTTGAGATGCCGTTTCACTCTTGTCACCCAGGCTGGAGTACAAGGGCATGATCTTGGCTCACTGCAACCTCCGCCTCCTGGGTTCAAGCAATTCTCCTACCTCAGCCTCCCCAGTAGCTGGGATTACAGGCACCCACCACTATGCCCAGCTAATGTTTGTATTTTTAGTAGAGACGAGGTTTCACCATGTTGGCCAGGCTGGTCTCAAACTCCCAACCCCATGTGATCCACCTGCCTTGGCCTCCCAAAGTGCTGGGATTACAGGCATGAGCCACCGCGCCTAGCCAAGTAGGATAATTTTCAAGAAAAATATATCAAAATGGACTCTAGAAGAGACAGAAAATCTACAGAGATCAATAACACAGAATAGAGAAAGCTATCAGAGAGCAAAACTCCCCAAAACATACAGGCTTAAACACTTTCATATGAAGTTCTACCAAATCTTTAAGAACCAGATAATTCAAAAGATAAATTAGTCTTAGCATAGGAAAAGAAAAAAATTTATCTTTTTGAAAACAAAAATTTATCTTTTTGAAACAAGCATGACTTTGATCAGAAAATCTAACAGACCACACATACAACATCTACAGACAAATAGCAAATGGATATCAATAAAACAAACCCAGGAGTTCATCATTCTATTCTCTCTACTTCTGTAAATGTTTAAGGTCTAGAGATCTAATGCACAACATGAAGAATATATAATAGATAATAAAATTGTACTGTATATGGGATTCATGCTAAATGAGTAGATTTTAGCTGACCTTGCCACAAAAATAAAAAAGGGTAACTATGTGAGATGATAGATATGTTAATTTCACTGTAGTAACCTTTTAACTATATGTATCCCATAACATCATGTTGTATACCTTAATTATACACAATAAAATTTATATATGTATTTACCTATACATGTACATCCCCCAGGCTGGAGTGCAGTGGCAGAAACACAGCTCACTGCAGCTTCAATCTGGGCTCAAGCCATCCTCCTGTCTCAGCCTCCTGAGTAGCTAAGACCCCAGGTGTGCGATACCACCACTCCTGGCTAATCTTATTTATTTATTATTATTATTTTTTTTAGAGACAGGATCTCACTATGTTGCCCAGGGCTGGCCTCAAACTCCTGGTCTCAAGCCATCCTCTGTCTTGGCCTCTCAAAGCACTGGAATTACAGGCACCCACCTAAGTTTTTTTTTTTAATTTCCACAATAAAAAACTAAAATAAAGACATCTTTACTCAAGGAGAAAAAAATTCTATCTAGATATATCATTTTTTTTTTACCTATCAAAAGTTTGACAACAATGTGGTGAAGGCATAGGAAAACAGGTACTCTCAGAAACTTCTAGCGAGGGGGAAAACAAACAACCTTTATGGAAAGCAATTTGACAATGTTCGCCAAAATTACAAATGCACATACCTGCTGATGTAGCAATCTCACGTTTAGGAATCTGTCCTACAGATACACGCGGACATGCATGAAATGACAATGCATATAATAATTCACTGGAGGGCAGGTTGCCACAGCAAAGTCTAGAAACAACCTATTAATTGTAGCCATCAATAGGGAAAGTTGCTAATAAATTCTGGTACATTCATATAACCAAATTCTCAGAAGCCATAAAAAAGAAAAACAAAGTTCTGCAGGTACAGATATACAAAAATCTGTCTCTAAGGTATTAAGCTCAAAAAACAAGGAACAGACAAAGCTATAAACTGCCATTTATGCGAAAAAAGGGGAGGCCAGTGGGCACAAGTGGGAAGCAGGCTTTTCTGTGTCCTTTTGAACCCTCTGAATTTGGAACCATGTGACTGTAATCTTAGGCCCAAAAGAAAAATCTCATTTTAAAAAATGCCACCCTTTGGAATGTACTATTGCCATAATAAATTAAAAATCCATTTAGAACACTTGTTATTCTTGCTATATTTGCTAACTGTGTGGCAGGCTATATTTCAAGTCAAGATGGAGTTCAAGAAACTTTCATTATTTTAAAAAGCATAGAGAAAAATACTGCACATAGATGAAAGGGGGCCAGCAGATCAGACAGAAGATCATCTGATTAATGGTGCTTAACCCTGGATATGCTTTAGAATGACAGGGGGATCTCCTAAAAATACCAGTGCTCTGCTCTCCACCCCCAGCACCCCCAGACCATTTACAACAAAAATTCAGAGTATGAGGCCCTGGCCTGAAAACCACTCAAGTAAACACTTCCAAACAGTGATTCAACAGAAGTCCAGGGGACATTTTGCTCCCCCAGGGGACATTTGGCAATGACTGGAGACATGTTTGGTTGTCACGACTTGGAGTGGGAGGTGCTCATGGCATCTAGTGGGTAGAGGCCAGGGATGTAGCTCAACTTCCCACAGTGCACAAGACAGCTCCTACCAAAATTACCTGGCCTGAAATGGCAAGAGTGCTGAGGCTCAGGAACCCCTGCTTTAAAATAAAAGCACAGCTTCTGAAGTAACAACAAGTTTTAGCCTCCACTTTTGAACATAGCAAATAATCTCCTTATTTACTGATGTGCAGTACATCCACATAAGAAAGCCTATTTATCAAGGTTGTAACAAATTGTGTATATCCTGTGTATCTCCTTTCTCTGGTCCCTGTCTAGTTACTCTAGTCAAAATGTACGTCCCATTTGTAAAGTACCCATGGAGAAAGGCATCAAGTTCATAAACTAGCAGCCTGTGGGCCAACTTGATCCATCCATCTATTTTGTTTATGCCAAAGTTCTCTTGAAATATACTGAATTGGTGCCAATCAGCTGCCCCTTTGGAGCTAGCTATATACCAGGAATTTATCACGGTCCTCAACTCGTTGGCTTCATTCACTTATCCACTGCCCACTACCTGGTGCTTTAAGTGCCTGAGTTGGCCCTCTCCTGCAGTTTTCTCTAATCATACAGGGGCATGAAGCCTCTTCACTCCTCCTCTCTCCTCACCTTAAAAATATCCCACACCCATTCTGAATTCTCCAACTCCCACATCAATTGCCAAAATAGAACTGCTATCAAGAGACAGAACTAAGAGAAAAGTAGAAGTAGAGATGGCCTTTTTGCAACAACTCCCGTCTTTTAGTTGTCCTGTCATTAAAGATAGGCTGATTAGCACCTGATTCATCTCTGGGTGTTACAAACTAGCCTTGTCACTTCTAGCAAATTCCACTACAACTATATCTAGCACTTCTGTGCGCTTCCTTATAAGGAAAACCTTAAATTATTATGCTTCTCTCATGACCTTAGTGAATCCCTCCACCCCTCCCAAAATAGGTCAGAAGACTTTTATAGGAAATATCTATCAAAAGATTTGGTAGTTTTCTTTTAGAAAGTTCATGCCTCTTCCTTTGAAATCACAATCGTATAGTGGTGAGCTGTGCTTTTAAAGATCGCCTGATACAATCTACTCATTTTATTAATGAGGAAAATGAACCCCAAGTGAGGTTTGGTCACTTAGTCAAGGCCACATTCTGAGCTAGTGGCAGAGCCAGAATTAGAACATTTGTTTCCAGATACTGGCCTCACAGGTTTTCCATGATAACACTATCCTCCACTGTGGTTTTCCTACTCACATAACATCCTTACCAAAATACCTATTAACACGGGTAGACACTAGCTGCTATGGAAATCAACTAACCAAAATTTTGGCTGGCTATTGGAGCTATCACTTAAACTTTGAGGGTGGAAAGAACTGGGAGTTTCTGGATTCCTTTTGTTCCTTTTATTGTGAATTATCCTGTTTCAGTTTACACTAATGAAAGGCTGATACCTTCAGAATCTTCCCTAAACCATAAAGATGGAAAACTTGCCTATATTTATAGCAATAGCAACATTTTCTAAACTCTAAAGTCAGAAACTGCCTCAAACCTCTACAATTCTCGAGATAGTAAGTAAAACTACCAATAGCTTTTGGGAGTGAAGTTTGAAGATGCAGAAATCAACGTGTCATTGAACTTTGACTTTCATCATCATTCTCTGGCAAATTGGCTTCTAAAATTTTAATTTGGTCTCAACTTTAACCTATTCCTCTCTTCCTATCCTAGCTTTTAAAAAAAAAAAAGTATGGACATCACTTTTTGCATATCAGGTCTTCCTCAAATGTTCTACCTACTCTGCACTTTAGTTTTTATGCCCAACTGACACTATCACTGACACCCTTGACATTTACATAAAATTCATTAAATGAACAGACACCCTACGATTTCCCCTGGAGAGCTTAGAACATCTTTGCTGCTGGATTTGATTTTCCTCCAGGGATGCTGAGTTCCATTCTGATACCTCAATGCATGCGTTTTACTTTTAGGTGTTTCACAACCAGCTCCTTCGTTTTCTGGGGAAACATGATTCAGTTAACAGAAGGTGGTGGAATCTATTCCCATCTCAGCTAGGCCTGAGGCAGGCTGGGAACCCGAATCTTCTTTGGTCCCACCTCAATCCGTGAAAGCCGCCCACCAGCCCACCGGACAGGGAGAATGTGGGTGGGACACCAATGGAGAAGAGAAACGAAAGGTGCTGGCACTAAAGCCAGAGTTGTATTAGACCCTGCTCTGATGCTAGGATCCCAGACGTCCGCTCTTCCCAAGCATCTAAGGCGTCTGCAGGCCAGGCCTCTAACTGATTTAACATAACCTGATGAAGACAACAGTTCGAGTCCTGCCACTCCAGCCACACAGCAACACCTTAGAGCAGAAAAGGAACAAAATGCCATTGCATAATTTATTCAACCTCAAGGTATTTCTAAACAGTTCTTACCCAACCAAAAAAAAAAAATTCTAAAAATAAAAACATTAAAAAGCCACCCACATCTCGTTCTGAAGTTTTAAGGGCTGTGAGGTTTGTGTCAAGCAGATTTGAAGCTAACGACCGCAGGTTTGGGGAGTCTCGCCTGCGATGAGGGTCCTGCAATGAGACGCCGTTTCTGTGTCTCCGGGTAAGTCCCAGGCTGGGTGCGAGGGGGCCAGGCCCTGCCCCTCCGCGCCCCGAAATCCGAGCCCCAGGAGAGCCCCCCGGATATTCCCTAGCCCCGCCTGCGGTTCCCACAGACTTTACCCCGAAGCTGCGGAGATCCGGGGTGGCAGCCCGAATGGCGGCGGCCCCGGGCCCATGGGGACCCTTGGCCCCGTACTCACCGAAGTCCAGGAATTGTTTGATGGAGAGCGGCGACGGCGAAAAGCGCGAGTAGCGCTCGATCTGCTTGGGCACCGGCTGCTTCAGCAGCCACCGGAACAGCCGCATCCTCGCCCGGGCGGCGCACAGACCCGCCTAGACGCCCGGGTGGCCGCAAGGGCTGGCGCAGCCAAGCCGCACGGATAGGGCACGTTTGCGAAGCGCGCACCCCGGCCTCGATCTCGGCCTCGGCGCCGCCGGTGCAGCCGCCGCAGCAGCAGCAGCAGCTCCAGGACAGCGGCGGGCCGCCCGCGGCTTCCCTAGGCTCCGCCTCGCTGGGCGGAGTCGGTTGCTGCACGTACGCGGCGCGCGAGGGGAGGCGAGGAGCGCGAGGGGCACGCGGCCGCGCGCGCCCTCCACTGATTGGCCGCCGCTGCCTCTGTGACGTTTGTGTTTTGTCCGGGCGCGGCGCCAGAGACCCCCCTCCCTGGCTCATGGGACTCAGCCCAGCCCAGCAAGTGCAGCCGCTT
This sequence comes from Homo sapiens, assembly GCF_000001405.40. Lineage (NCBI taxonomy): Eukaryota > Metazoa > Chordata > Mammalia > Primates > Hominidae > Homo > Homo sapiens. Next base: position 24,465,054 of record NC_000023.11, on the reverse strand, counting down.
TCAGCTCCGCCTCTGGCTGGGTTCTCCGCTGCCGAAAGGTAGCCGAGGTGCCCGCGGACCGGGAAGAGGCCAGGAGCCCGGAATCCGATCCTCCGCGCTGCTCAAGACCCTTCTCAACCGCAGGCGCCTTTTCCGGGAGGAGGACTTGCCGTTCGCTGCATCCTGACACTTAGATTTTACAGCCTAACTAGACTGACTCTGTTTCGTGGCCCAGCCCCACCCCCACCTCCCTGCCTGACTCCCAAGAGAACACCTTTGGAACACCTTTGGACTGGATTGTTAGTTCGCTGATTCTCTTTTTCGTGGTTCCTTTCCCCTCCTTCCCGCACAAGATTAAGTGACTGATTGCATTTCATGTCCCCCCACCACCACCGTTGGACGGGATCCATTGTGAGGTCAAGGGTCAATAACACCCCCTACCTCCCCAATGCCAGTGGACAGGATAATTGCAAGGTCACTGACTCTGTTTCATACCCCCCCACCCCACTACTACCATTGGAAAGGATCAAATGTAAGGTCACTGGCACTTTCTTTCATACCCCTTCTCTACACCACCACCATAGGACAGCCCCCTTCACGCTTCACCACCACTTTTGGACAGGAGTCTATGCTTACACAGTGTTGGGTATTCTTTATCTCAAGTGAACTTGAGAGCCTGGCATGGTGACATGCACCTATAGTCCCAACGACCCTGCAGGCGGAGGTGGGAGGATCACGTGAGCCCAAAAGTTCAAGATCTGCCTAGGCAACATACCCAGACCCCCCTCTCAAAAAAAAAAAAAAGTGAACTTGAACTCAGGGCTCAGTATATGAAATTGTTATTTCCTATTATGAGTGAATAAAGTACAGCTTACTTTAGCCATTTCCACCAAACCTTGGCTTTTTTTTTTTTTTTGGCAATATGTAAACATAAACATATGTAACTAAAAGGACAGGAAGAATGTTCTTTAAGGAAAGGTACAAATGTGACTGGAAGCCACTCCTTGGGTCTCTGATTGGACTAGTTTTCTCACTGAATGAGATTATTGGTGGGTAGCTATTTAGCTTTTGTGCCTTCAGTGGACGTTTATGCAGCCAATTCTTTGCTTAATAAAATAGTTGCATCTCTACTCTGAATGTAAAGAAAAGTAACATACACAGTAAAAGACCTCGGCCAGGTGCGGTGGCTCACGCCTGTAATCCCAGCACTTTGGGAGGCCGAGGCGGGCGGATCACGAGGTCAGGAAACCGAGACCATCCTGGCTAACGTGGTGAAACCCCAGCTCTACTAAAAGTACGAAAAATTAGCCGGGCGTGGTGGCGGGCCCCTGTAGCCCCAGCTACTCAGGAGGCTGGGGCAGGAGAATGGCATGAACCTGGGAGGCGGAGCTTGCAGTGAGCCGAGATCGTGCCACTGCACTCCAGCCTGGGCGACAGAGCAAGACTCCATCTCAAAAAAAAAGACATCCAGTGGTCTTCTAGACTTTTGGATTTTCAAGAACATCTTGGTCATCTTCATCTTGGTAGAAGTATGTAGACTACCATGTCTTTTCCATTCAAATTAAATCAAAGCATTAAAAAAGACATACTAACAACTTATTTAACCAGGAGCTTTACCAGAAGAGCTAAGTAATCCAGTTGGTGTGCATGGGCAGACAAAGAGAAGACCAGTGGCCTGTGGTTCCTAAAGTGACTTTCAGGTGCTACCTGGAAGTGGAGCGATAATTGGTGGCAGTTGTCAGTGAGCAGGAAGAAGCTGGATGTTTGTGGAGAGGGAGATTTTCTCAGCCTAAGCAACAAAGCGCTGATCTTTCTGAGCTTGCAAATCGCTTGTTTCACTTCTTCCTTTTCCACTGCACAAAATGCTACTTAAAATCCATTCTGTTGATTTGATTATTTAAACTTTCATGTGCCTAATTTTATTTCTGCTTTTCCAAAAGGTGACAAAGTCCTAGAAGTTGGGAACAATATGAAAGAGCCCTATATAATGTAAAATGTGCTTAGACAAGGCTAAGGTCACCTAGCCTGTCTGCGTCACGCTTATTTTTATGTCAGATTAAGATACCTGATTTATCTCCCTGGCATTTGTGACAGTCAAATGAAATAAACCACATGTAATATAAATACAAGGTACTGTACCTCCTGTGTACAGCAATGCATATATTTTTACCTAATACTTTCATGATAACTTGCAGAGGCCAGAAGTGACACCAGTGTGTTGATAAATAGATCTTGATGAACTTTTTTCAACTCCTTGTACACACCAAGGTCTAGTGCAGACCCCACTCCCAGTGGCTTTCAAAAGTGAAATCCCTGGACCTGCGGCAGCAGCATCACCTGAGAACTTGTTAGAAATGCAAACTCCTGGGGCGTCTAATCCTAGCACTTTGGGAGGCAGAGTCGGGCAGGTTGCTTGAGCTCAGGAGTTGGAGACCAGCCTGGGCAACATGGCAAAACTCCGTCTCTACTAAAAATACAAAAATATTAGCAGGGCAAGGTGGTGCGCTCCTATAGTCCCAGTTACTTGGGGGGCTGAGATGGGCGGATAGCTTGAGCTCAGGAAGTGGAGGCTGCAGTGAGCCAAGATTGCACCACAGCACACCAGCCTGGGTGACAAAGTGAGACCCAGTCTCAAAAAAAAAAAAAAAAAAAAAAAAGAGGCCGGGCGCGGTGGCTCACGCGTGTAATCCCAGCACTTTGGGAGTCTGAGGTGGGTGGATCACGAGGTCAGGAGATCGAGACCAGCCTGGCTAACATGGTGAAACCGCATCTCTACTAAAAATACAAAAATTAGCTGGGCGTAGTGGCGCACACCTGTAATTCCAGCTACTCGGGAGGCTGAGGCAGGAGAATCACTTGAACCTGGGAGGCGGGGGTTGCAGTGAGCTGAGATTGCGCCATTGCACTCCAGCCTGGGCCACAGAGCAAGACTCTGTCTCAAAAAAAAAAAAGATTAGGCCAGGTGCGGTAGCTCTTGCCTGTAATCCCAGCACTTTGGGAGGCTGAGGCGGGTGGATCACCTGAGGTCGGGAGTTGGAGACCAGCCTGACCAAAATGGAGAAACCCCATCTCTACTAAAAATACAAAATTAGCAGGGCATAGTGACACATGCCTGTAATCCCAGCTACTCGGGAGGCTGAGGCAGGAGAATTGCTTGAACCTGGGAGGTGGAGGTTACAGTGAGCCGAGATTGCACCATTGCACTCCAGGCTGGGCAACAAGAGCGAAACTCCGTCTTAAAAAAAGAAAAAGAAAAAGAAAAGAAATGCAAACTCTTGGGCCCCACTGCAGCCCTACTGAAGCAGATCTGCGTTTTAGCAAGCAATAAAGGTCTTAAAGATATGGCCACAAATTCTTTGATATTCCTCAAGAGATGGAGCTTAATTCCTTTCCACTTGAATGTGGGTTAGACTTAGCTCATGCTTCTAACAAAGAAGAGTGTGGCCAGAAGTGATGAGATCTCACTTCAGAGACTGGGGTCCTACAAAATGCCTGACCAGTACTCCTCAAAACTATCAAGGGCATTCAAAACAAGGAAAGCCTGAGAAACTGTCACTTAGCCAAGAAGAGCCTAAGGAGATATTACAACTAAATATAATGTACTATCCTGGTTGGGATTCTGGAACAGAAAAAAAGGATATTAGTAATGACAAATGTTTGAGGTGATGGATATGCTAATCATCCTGATTTGACCACTCTACATTGTATGTATCAAAATGTCACTATATACCCCATAAATAAGTACAATTATTATGTGTCAATTAAAAAATTTTTAAAGGATATTAGGATAGGGAGAGATTTGTTAAAGGATACAAAATTATAGCTATACAAGAGGAATAAGTTCTAGTGTTCTATAGCACTGTAGGGTGACTATAGTTAAAAACAATGTATTATATAGTTTCAAATAGTTAGAAGGAGAATATTGAAGTTCCCAACACAAGGAAATGGTAAATGTTTGAGATGATGAATATGCTAATTACCCTGATCTGATCACTGTATAACCTCATGAATATGTACAATTATTATTTCTCATTTAAAAATATAACTAGAAATTTAAAAAATAGGCCGGGCGCGGTGGCTCATGCCTGTAATCCCAACACTTTGGGACGCTGAGGCAGGCGGATCACCTGAGGTCAGGAGTTCAAGACCAGCCTGGCCAACATGGTGAAACCCCGTCTGTACTAAAAATAAAAAAATTAGCCAGGCGTGATGGTGGGTGCCTGTAATCCCAGGTACTTGGGAGGCTGAGGCAGAAGAATCGCTTGAACCCTGGAGGCGGAGGTTGCAATGAGCCAAGTTCGCGCTATTGCACTCCAGCCTGGGCGACAGAGTGAGACTCTGTCTCAAAAAAAAAAAAAAGGAATTTAAAAAATAAAGTCAATATAGGCAATCATTCTAGCTAAAAGGAATAAAATATTCTAAAACAAATGGACAAAGGGATATTAGGTAAAACTAAGAAATTCTGAATAAAGTATAGACTTTGGCCCAAATTTGTTTAATAATAATGTATCAATATTGGTTCCTGAATTATAGCAAATGTACTATACTAATGCTCCCTGCCTCCCTACCTCTCTCCCTCCCCCCACCTCTCTCTCTCTCAGTCTCTGTCTCTCTCTCTCTCTCCTATGATACTCCCCTTGTGGAGCCTTGAGATGACAAAGCTCTAGCCAACACCTTGATTGACACCTCATTGTAACCTTGAGAGACACCTCATTGTAACCTTGAGAGAGACCCTGAGTCAGAACCACTCAACTAAGCAGCTCCCGGACTCCTCACCCCGAGAAATCCTCAGTTTGTTGTAATAAGTGTTTGTGGTTTCCAGCTGCTAAGTTTCTGGATAATTCGTTACACAGCAATAGTTAACTAATATGCAAGCCCTCCAGGTAATTCTTTTTTTTTTTTTTTTTGAGACAGACTCACTCTGTCACCCAGGCTGGAGTGCAGTGGCATGATCTCAGCTCATTGCAACCTCTGCCTCCCAGGTTCAAGCAATTCTCGTGCCTCAGCCTCCTGAGTAGCTGGGATTACAGGTGTGCACCACCACGCCTAGCTAATTTTTTGTATTTTTAGTAGACACAGGGTTTCGCCATGTTGCCCAGGCTGGTCTCGAACTCCTGAGCTCGGGCAATCTGCCCACCTCCACCTCCCAAAATGCTAGGATTACAGGCATGAGGCACCGCGCCCGGCCACCTGAGGGTAATTCTGATGCACCTCAGTGTGAAAATCAGTGTCCTCCCCTAACCTACTCTAACCTAACTCTCTATTCCTTCCAGCTAATGCCTCAGATCTCAGTGTAATCATCACTTAAACATAAAGGGAGGCCTTCCCTGACCATAAAGTCAATTCCTTCTCCTTGCCATATGTTTTCTCGATTCGCTCTACTTCCCACTGTAACTCTCCAAACGCTTTGTTATAGTTTGATCAATGCCTGTCTTCTACACTAGACTTAAGCCTTGGCAGGGCTGGGACCAAGTCTGGTGTACTCACTGCTGCATCCCCAGTGCCCAGCATAACTAACAGTCACTGTTCAGGTTCACAACAAACATGTATTAAATACATAAAAATCAACAAAAATAACAACCAAACCTATCCCAAATCGCACTCCTTCTAAAAGCTGCTATAGAACACTAGAACTAGGCAAAGGTAGTTTTCTGAGTAATTTAAATAATAATGGACACTTTATTAAATCATAATATGATGCAGCCAAAATCCAAAGTAGAGTGGAATAGATGAGAAAAAAAGATCTATCTCCCTAACTAGTGGATCTTGTTACAAAATACCTCTGTCACCATTTGACAGGGGTATAATATCCTGCTCTCCTTGTATTTTCTTCCTCCTTCTCTCTTCTCAGTTAATGTTTTTTTGAGCACCTATTGTGTGCTATGTGAAAGCACTTATGTTGTCTCTTCACAGTGAGTATGATGGATGAATATTATCCTCATTTTACAGGTGAGTGAGCTAAGACACAGAAAGGTTAAAATAATTTAAGTTTATACAACTTGTAAATGGCAGTCTGGGTTTGAATCCAGGTCTCCTGGCTCTCAATTCGATGTTCTTTCATAATACCAGCCTGCCTTTTTAAAACAAAATAGACTTTATTTTTAAAGAATTTTTAGGTTCGCAGCAAAATTCAATGGAAAACACAGGGAATTCCCACATATCCCCCTGAGACACACATCCTCTTCCACCATCAACATCCCCTACCAGACTGGTACATTTATTACAATCAAGGGACCCATATTAACACATCATTATCATCCAAAGTCCATAGTTTACATTAGGATTCACTCTTACTGTTGTACATTTTGTGGGTTTGGACAAATGTATAATGACAAGTATCCACCACTATAGTATCAAACAGAATAGTTTCGCTGTCCTAAAACTCCTCTCTGTTCTGCCTATTCAACCCTCCCTTTCTTCTGACCCCTGGAAACCACTGATCTTTTCACTGTCTCTAATTTTGCCTTTTCCAGAATGTCATATAGTTGGAATCCTGCAGGATGTGGCTTTTTCAGACTGGCTTCTTTCACGTCACCATATGCATTTAAAGTTTCTCAGTGTCTTTTCATGGCTTGATAGTTCATTTCTTTTTAGGGCTAAATAATATTTCACCATGTTGGTTTTATCACAGTTTATTATTAATTCACCTACTGAAGGATGTCTTGGTTGATTCCAAGATTTGCCAGGCACCTTTCGATTTTAAGAGTGGGAAGTGAGATGGTGAAAATAAGTGAACTGGTGGATCAAGGGTTACTTAATAAAGCTTTACTAAATGTACATCTTTAATCAAATATGTGTATGACTTGAAGGAGTAGCTCTTTTCTCCCGTGTCTAGATTCTAGATTTTTGAATTTTTTAATTCTTATGGATGTATAATAGCTGTATGTACTTATGGGGTAGGCTTTTTTCAGCAAACTCTTTTAGATGGCACAAATCCTCTTGAAGCCCTGTTTATCCTGGTCCTTTTGTTTCTAATTAAGGGGTTTCAGCCTTTATATTCCTCCAAAAGAGGTCAGAAAAGAATTTTTTGTTTGTTTGTTTGTTTGTTTGTTTGAGATGGAGTCTCGCTCTGTCGCCCAGGCTGGAGTGCAGTGGTGCGATCTCGGTTCACTGCAACCTCCACCTCCCAGGTTCAAGCGATTCTCCTGCCTCAGCCTCCCAAATAGCTGGGATTACAGGCGCATGCCACTGTGCCTGGCTAATTTTTTTCTTTTTTTCTTTTTCTTTTTTTTTTTGTATTTTTAGTAGAGATGGGGTTTCACCATGTTGGCCAGGCTGGTCTTGAACTCCTGATCTCAGGTGATCCATCCGCCTCGGCCTCCTAAAGTGCTGGGATTACAGGCATGAGCCACCACGCCTGGCCAGAAAAGATTTTAAGTACAGGGATGATGTGACAGGATAATTTATTGAGAAATTAAATCTATGTTTTGATTTTGCTGCTCTTGGAGGTGCAGAAGAAAGGAGTCGCTTATCTTCCCCAGCCTAAAAGACAGTGGAGTCTTTGGCTCCGGGTTTTGGGCTGCTATGCCTTGACGATATCATTAGCTGCTTATGTGCAATGGGGTGCTTTGGTTTCTACGACTGAAAACAGAAGTTGGAAAATATAGGAGATATTTTGGTTACCTCTATAAAATCCATTCCTTCTTCTATTGGTAACTACTCCCACTTTTGTTCACTCCCCCAGGCAGTTCATTTGTGCCTTGGGAAGAAAATAGCCCACCTCAGCTGTAGTCATGATATATATGGGTCAATCTACAAACTAATGAGCTTAATTCTGATTGCTGGCCATGGCTCCTGGTTCAAGGATAGATACTTGACCCAATTTAGGCCAATGATATAGGAGGAGACATTTCCTGGGAGCTTCTGTGAAAGAAACTTGCTGCTATTCTCAGGAAGCTTCTAGAAGCATCTCTCTCAACCTCTCACTTTTCTTCTTCTCTCTTCCTACCTCATTCCCATCTCTGGGTGCAATCAAGGAAGCATGTAGTACCTGGAGTGCAGTAGACAACCATTTTGTGGCCAGAGTGAAGCTGACTTTGCAGAAAGCAGAGCAGAAATGGGAAGAAACTGGGTCCTCAATAACGTTGTCAGGGCACTAAATCAATCCAACCTGAAACCTTCTCTGAACTTCCAGTTACATGGGCCAGTACATTTTTATGGTTTAGGCCACCTTAAGCAGATTGATATTACTAGAGTCAAAACTGTCACAGGGCTGGGAGCAGTGGCTCACGCCTGTAATCCCAACACTTTGGGAGGCCAAGGCAAGTGGATTGCTTGAGCCCAGGAGTTCGAGACCAGCCTGGGCAACATGGCAAAACCCCATCTCTACTAAAAATACAAAAATTAGCTGGGCATGGTGGCACCCACCTACTACTGAGGAGGCCGAGTGGGGAGGATCATCTGAGCTGGAGAGGTTGAGGCTGCAGTGAGCTGTGATCTCGCCACTGTACTCCAGCCTAAGCGACAGAGCAAGACCCCATCTCAAAATAAAAACTAAAAAAGTATCCTAACTTTCATGCCAAGCATACTTCAGGTATCCTGTATATACACATGGGGACAAGCCCCCCAGTAATGGCTGCTGTTGGGCATCTTGCCAGCTCTGCACGTGGGAACGCAAACCCAGATTTAATTTGATTTTTTAAAATAAAGAAAGATAATGTTTCTTGTGCCCAGGGGTTATGAACAAAATCAGATCCTATAATACCCAGAAGGGAAACAATAACAGAGGATGGTTAAATAAATCATGGCACACATACAATGAACCATTATACTGTCTTTAAAGGTTCTTTGTATGAAGTCTATATGAGAACACGGAAAATACAAACATTATAATAAGAGGGAAAAAGGAAGATACTAAATTATGTATTAAATCTGAGCTTCAGGCAGGGCTCAGTGGCTCATGCCTGTAATCCCAGCACTTTGGAAGGCGGAGGCGAGCGGATCACTTGAGCCCAGGAGTTCGTGACCAGCCTAGGCAACGTGACAAAACCCCATCCCTACAAAAAACAAAAACAAAAAAATCAGCCAGGCCTGGCGACTTACACCTACAGTCCCAGCTACTTGGGAAGCTGAGGTAGGAGGATGGATTGAGCTCAGGAGATCGAGGCTACAGTGAGACAAGATCACGCCACTGCACCCCAGTCTGGGTGACAGAGTGAGACCCTGTCTCTAAATAAATAAATAAATACATAAATAAACTGAGCTTAGCTAGGAAGAGATCACCTAAACCTTTTTTATCGAAAGGTACAGAAGGAAATACAGCAAAATGCCAACAAAACAACCACCACTAATGAATGCCTTGAGTGATATCATGGTTTGATTTGACATTGAGAAAATCCTTAGAATCCCTGGGTGGCAATGTGTTCTAAAAATCTGAACCAAGGATAGGTAACATGAATGACTTTATTCAGTTCTCCTTCAACCCAAAAGATGAAGGTTAGTTATACAGAGACTTGTCAGAATCCACTGCTCTTCTGTTTTTATCCAAAACATGATCTTATCTGTTTCTATGAATATTTACTTAGTCCCATAATTAACAGAGCATGAACCATTATTTGCAGAGGACTCTGACATCTGAGGTGCCACCTATTATCTAGAAAACTTGGCATTTCTTCCATCAGCATTTAGTAAAGCCTTCTTTCATCCAAGCTGTTTGCCAAAGTACAGCCCTTACCCCCACCCCCAACCATCACAACCACCACCAGCCTCCAAATTGCTGTGATTTCCATCAGGGAGGGTTGTGTAGCTACCAGGAGGACCTCTTCCCTAGGCCACCAGGGTCTTATTGTCAGCCCCAGCTGTTTTCACCTTGGCCCCTCCACTTGATCTCATTTTTCTGGAGGTATTAAAGTTTTGAGAAAAAGAAAAACAGGCCAGGCGCGGTGGCTCATGCCTGTAATCCCAGCACTTTGGGAGGTCGAGGCGAGAGGATCACTTGAAGCTAGGCCAGCCTGGCCAACATGGTGAAACCTCATTTCTACTAAAAATACAAAAACTAGCCAGGCGGTGTTGCGTGCCTGTAATCCCAGGTACTCGGGAGGCTGAGCCAGGAGAATCGCTTGAACCCAGGAGGTGGAGGTTGCAGTGAGCCGAGATCATGCCACAGCACTCCAGCCTGGGCAACAGAGCAAGACTTCGTCTCAAAAAAAAAAAAGAAAGAAAGAAAGAGAAAAACAGCCATTCTTCACAAGGAATTTAGGGATTCCTATTCAAGAATAATTTGTACCTTGTATCATCTGATGCATAAAATGACTATAGTATTAGTGATATTAAAGGAACAGAACTGGGGCCAAATGCTTCCCACAATTTGAAGTGTGCCATAGAATAGAATAGGCCAGATTTCAAATCTGTAGAGATTCATCCTCATGAGAAGAGCTAGAATTGCTCTGCCCAACAGAGTACCACTAGCTACATGGCGTTGAAATGTGGCTGGTCCAAATTGAGACATGTCATATGTATAAAATTCACACCAGATTTCAGACTTGGTATGAAAAAGGATGTAAACTATCTCATCAATAATTTTTTAGAGATGAGGGTCTTGCTATGTTACCCAGGCCTGCCTCAAATTCCTGGACTCAAGCTATTCTCCAGCATCAGCCTCCCAAGTAGCTGGGATTACAGGCATGAGCCATTGTGTCTGGCTACATTACTAATTTTTATAATGATTACATGTTGAAATGATAACTGATATGGTTTGGCTGTGTCCCCATCCAAATCTTATCTTAAATTGTAGCTCCCAGCCGGGCGCAGTGGCTCACGCCTATAATCCCAGTACTTTGGGAGGCCAAGGCGGGTGAATTACGAGGTCAGGAATTCGAGACAAGCCTGACCAACATGAAACCCTGTCTCTATTAAAAATACAAAAAAAAATTAGCCAGGTGTAGTGGTGCGTGCCTGTAATCCCAGCTACTCAGGAGGCTGAGGCAGGAGAATCGCTTGAACCTAAGAGGCAGAGATTGCAGTGAGCCGAGATCACGGCATCGCACTCCAGCCTGGGTGACAGAGTGAGACTCCGTCTCAAAAAAAAAAAAAAAAAAAATGTAGCTCCCTTAATTCCCACATGTTGTGGGAGGGACCCCATGGGAGACAATTGAATCATGGAGGCGGTTTCTCCCATACTGTTCTTGTGGTAATAAATAAGTCTCATGAGATCTGATTATAAGGGATTTCCCCTTTCACTTGACTCATTTTTCTCTTTGTCTGCTGCCATGTAAGATGTGCCTTTCACCTTCTGCCATGATTGTGAGGCTGCCCCAGCCATGTGGAACTGTGAGTCCATTAAACTTCTTTTTCTTTATAAATTACCCAGTCTCGGGTCTTTATCAGCAGTGTGAGAATGGACTAATACAATAACCTTTTGGGTATATTGATTAAATATAACATATTGTTAAAATTGATTTTATCTATTTATTGATTTCTTTTTACCCTTTTAAAAGTGTGCCTTCTAGAAAATGTAAAATTACCTCAGTGGCTCACATTTGTGGCTCATATTAGATTTCTACTGGACAGTGCTGTGCTAGGTATATTGCAGAGTGCCCTTTATACTTCTATTTATTTGGGAAGGTAACTAGCATTAGCTTCTGGACTTCTTTGTGCCAGGGCTGTGTTAGGTGCGGTTACCTCTTTTAATCCTCATATCATTTACAGATGAAGAAAACTGAGGCCTAAAAAGTTAAGTAAGCTGCCTAAGGTCAGCCACTGAAGTGTGGTAGAGCCAATAAATTCAATACTGGATTCTTGTTCAGGGCGTTATTCAGTTGGCAAGTGCTATAGTTTGAATGTTTGTCCCCTCCAAATCTCATGTTGAAATTTGATACACAGTGTTGGAGATGGGATCTGGTGGGACATGTTTGGGTTATAGGGGTGTGTATTAGTCCATTTTCATGCTGCTAATAAAGATATACCTGAGACTGGGAAATTTACAAAAGAAAGGGGTTTAATGGACTTACAGTTCCACATGGCTGGGGTGGCCTCGCAATCATGGCAGAAGGCAAGGAGGAGCAAGTCACGTCTTACATGGTTGGTGGCAGGCAGAGAGAGCTGTGCAGGGAAACTCCCGTTTTTAAAACCATCAGATCTCTTGAGACTTATTCACCATCACGAGAACAGCACAGGAAAGACCCACCCTCATGATTCAATTATCTCCCACCAGGTCCCTCCCACAACACATGGGAATTATGGGAGCTACAAGATAAGATTTGGGTGGGGACATAGAGCCAAACCATATCAGGGTGGATCCCTCATGATTAGATTAATGTCCTCCCTGGTTCGGGGGTGTGGGAGGGTGGGTGAGTTCTCACTTTATTAATTCCTGCCAGAGCTCGTTGTGAAAAAGACTCTGGCATCTCCCTCCCCTCTCTATTGCTTCCTCTCTCGCCATGTGATTTCTGCATACCCTGGCTCCCCTTCCCCCTCTGACATAAGTGGAAGCAGCCTGAGGCTCTCACCAGGAGCAGATGCTGGCACCATGCTTCTTGTACAGCCTGCAGAGCCAAATAAACCTGTTTTCTTCATAAATCACCCAGCCTCAGGTATTCCTTAATAGCAACACTAAATGGACTAAAACACCAAGGCTTTTTTCTCGGCCATGATTTGAAGATCTATACAAGCAGAGGAAGTGATGACAAAAAAGAATGGGAGGAGATGTGTTCTCGAAAAATGAAATTGCTTCACACAGATAAGCTTCACTGAAAAAATAAAACTACACTTCCTTAGTCCTTGAGGCCAAGTTAACAAACACATGACTGGTGATGAGTGATGTAGCCTTTTTATATAACCATAACTTAGAGTTTTTGAGTGGGTACTGTTGAAGATCTAGACTTTTCCCATTCAAGAAAGAAAGATTCCTGTATTTGTCTATAGTTTTAGATGTAGCAGGAAGAAAACTTTGCTAGCTAGTCCTGTAATTTTTTTTTTTTTTTTTTGAGATAGGGTCTCGCTGTTTCGCCCAGGCTGGAGTGCAGTGGTGCAACCATGGCTCGCTGCAGCCTCAAACTCCCGAGCTCAAGCCATCTACCCACCTCAGCCTCCCAAGTAGCTGAGACTACAGATGTGTGCCACCATGTCTGGCTAATTTTTGTATTTTTTGTAGACATGGGGTTTCAACATGTTGCCCAGGCTGGTCTCAAACTCCTGTGCTCAAGCAACCTGCCTGCCTCGGCCTCCCAAAATGCTGGGATTACAGGCATCAGCTACCATGCCCAGCCTAGTCCTATAATTTCTTTTTCTCAAAGAGTATCTTGATGGATTTGGATATATAAGTTTGGGATTGGAGTTGTGGAAAGAAGAATTTGGAGCCTGGCATGATCCTGGAAGGGAGAGGGGAGAAGTAAAGACTGGAGGAAAAAGAGTGGGGAGGGTGCTCTAAGAAGAGCCCAGGAGCTATGTGAAACAAACAGCCAGGTAGCAGAGGTGTCTAAGAGAACACACTGTTGATTTGAGGGTAGGGTGGGGGAAAGGCAGATGAATGAACGAGGGCAGGATGGGACACTTTCACCTCGGTCCCTCAGGGCATGAGGGACCCCAGCTAACATCTGGATGACATATAATACTGAATTATCGGTGAAAGAACCTAGGTGAGCATCTATGTTAAAGGCTTTAAACTGGCTCTTCCATTAATATTTATGAAGTTCCGTGTGTCAAGCTGACAGTATCACCATTATGATCTGAGATCTAAGATTAGTTTGGTTTTTTTCCCCCAAAGCAGACCATGTGCAAGTTGCTTATTTGAGAGATTATGCCAGAAAGTACCTCCAGGGGAGTAGGGGAGCCAGCCAGTCAAGGCTTGCATGTAATCATGCAAGTTATGATTGGTAGCTTGAGCTTCATTCCACTGGGATCTCATGGAGACAGCATAGACACATATCTCAGACTTATTTCACCCGAGAGGCAAGGGACCTGGGATATTCATACACCAATTCCCATTGGTCAGTGGCTGAGGGTTGCTCCTGGGGAGGGAAAGCAATTCCCTAGCACCTCTGGCCTGCTGAGGGCACTGCCCTAAATTTGGTCATTCTCTGGCTTTTACAAAAAATAATTTTATCATACACATATGTATGTATGCTTATATGATTTCATTTCAGTGGTTTAAAATTTCCTAAGAAGAATACTGTGCTATAAGAAGACTTCTGGAACCAGCTTTTGCCCTAAGTATTAGATTGCAAAGATTCATTTTCTGTTACATTTGTAGCCATCGAGACATTTAGGTTGTTTCTAGTTTCTTTTTCCATTGGGTTGCTTCTTCCCCTCCTCTCCCCTCCCCCTTTCCCTTCCTCCCTCCCTCCCTCCCTTCCTTTCTTTCTTCCTTCTTCTTTCCTTTCCTCCTTCCTTCCTTTCTTGTCTATATATCTATCTATTTTTTGCTACTATAAACAGCAAACAGTGCTGCTGTGAACATTATTTGGGGACAAGTTTGTAGACCTAGAAGTGGAATGGTTTCAGATCAAAAGGTATGAGACTGTCTAACTCTATTAAGGGAATGCAAACTGATTAAACCAACTCCCACTTCCACGGGTAAATAAGAGCTTTTGTTAATCCATATCCTCTTCCTCCAAACTTGTTATTGTCAGACAGCTTCATCAAATGCGCTAACTCTTGGACTGGGTGTTGGGATCATGGCTGCACATATTTATGTATGCATGTATTCATTTAAAAACAGGGCCAAGCATGTACCTATGTATCCTGAGCCCAGGATTATTATTAATTCAATTTTATGGAACTATGGACCCCTTTCCCTAATAGTACAGTCAGAGTATACTGATCATGTTCTATAAACGCATGCTATCCACTTCCATAAACACCAAAGCCCAATTAGGGTCTCAAAGATCCAGGCTCATTCTATAGACAATTCTGAGCTGGGCAGTGTCTGCTTTTGTTTTAGCACTTCTTTCTCCAGAGACCACTTACCTTCACGCTGCCTCCATCTGACCAGTATCATCCTACTGTACCTGAAGAGTTCTCTTTTCTTCTGTTTCCCTTTCCATAACTCTTCAGTGTCCCATTCCCTCAATATTTTGGTCTTTTCTAGCAGTGAATTGAAGTGCAATCTTTCACCACCATAGCAAAGAAATCGGGTCGATCATTTTGGTTGGGTGGGCCTTTGGGCATTCCTCCCGCTACTAGGCAGGGCATCACCTGTCTTCTGTCAGTCCTAGATACTGGTACACCCTACTTGGTCATCTCACAAGATTAGGCAGTTCTGCTATTTACTGACTGTGTGATCTTAGGTGAGTTATCTAACCTCTCTGAGCTTTGGTTTTCTCATCCGAAAAGTGGGATATTAGAATAATGAAGCCTCCTTTATAGGTTTGTTGTAAGGACTGAAAACATTACCCTCCTGGGGTCCACCAGCTTTCAATTATGGGGGCTGCTGCTGTTTCCATACATTTGAGCATGGCAGCATAATGTAGGCAGACACCTGACCTTGAAGTTCCAGGCCTAGATCTGCCACTAACTAGCTCTATGGGTTTGGGAAAATTGCTTTATCTTTCAACACCCTGTTCCTCAGATGTAAAGTGAGAGGGCTTGACTTCAGCTGATCTCTAAAAAGGAGACCATGAATCTATGAGAAGAGCTCTGACTACAATACTAAATTATTTATTGATGCCAATGTAGTCACCCAAAGCTATTGTTCCTCAAGTACTAATTTATTCAATAGATCCTGAGAGAAGGGTTAGGACAAGTACTTTCACAGGAAAATAAGAGGAAATCATTTATTTTACTATAGGGAGTAATTTCCAAAGCTGAAGGACAAAGGAAATAATGAAGAGAGGGGGAAAAGAACTACCTCCAAATTTACGCATAAAAGCTATGTTTGTGTTCAAAGCATTATTCAAAACCAAGTTCAGAACTCTGATATTCCTCTCTAATTACATCAATTATTTTTTCACCAGCTTACAAAGCAAGTTTACTGCATGAGTCAGAGCAGTATTCTGTTTTTCCTAGTATAATTCCTTGTATAACCCTTTTTTTCTTGTATTCCTTTCCCTCAAAATGGCTTCGTTCTTTCACTGCATTTTTTTTTTCTTCTCAGCATTCCTGTTGTTGCCCTGGTTTCAGTGAGAAAGTCACTTTGGTCTTGGATAAGTTTTATTTGGCAGTATAACTCAAGAAATATCTCATTCTTATGCTATGTTGTCTCATAGAGTGGAGAAGGCTGGACTCATATATACCTCATAGTCACGGTCAAGGAACTCCATCTGAATTGGGTATAAGCTGAATTTCAGTAGTCAATAAAAAAGTAAAGATACATTTTCTCTTCCGCTTATTTAAACCTTCAATCTGGGGCAACTGTTGGCTTTTCCAATAGCCTTTCTGGCTTCTCCTAGGTAGAAGACTCACCTGTAACCTTCCCTTATACTTATTCATGCCTCACCTGCCTAACTAAGATCCTATTGTCCTTTGTCTTCTCACAGGACTGGCCATGTTCCCAGTGAAGAACCGCTGCATACTCATTGGATGAGAAGCAGTTGCAATGAGATTTTGATTAACTCAGACTCCCTGGAGACATAAAATCTCTCCAACATTAGGAGAGTGAAAGGAAGAAAGTGAAGGAGAAAGTGAGTTCATGGTTCAAGATGCAGAATAACCGAGAGAGATGGCAGCAAGCAAGGACTCGAGCTAACAAGAACAACTGATAGAATGATTCTGGCCAAAGCATCCGTGGAAGTGTGGTGCTATGATCTGAATGCTTGTGCCCCTCAAAATTTATATGCAAAAACCCTAATCCCGAAGGTGAAGGTGTTAGGAGGAGGGGCCTTTGGGAGGTGATTAGGTCATCATGAATGGGGTCGATGCCCTTATAAAAGAGGCCCCAGAGAGCTAGCTTGCCCCTTCCACCATGTGAGGATTCAGTGAGAAGGCACCATCTTTGAGAAAGCAGGCCCTCACCAGATACTGAATCTGCTGGTGCCTTGACCTTGGAATTCCCAGCCTCTAGAACTAGAAGACGTGAACTTCTGTTGTTTATAAGTTACCCAGTAGGTGAGTGGCAGCCTAAAGACTAATACATGTGGTTAAAACCCAGGAGTCTGGAGTCCTTTCCACCACCTACATTTGTCTTTCTGGGAGGGCAAAGTACATGTGTGTGCTATTGGTGGGGGAAGGGGAACTTTTCTAGCGGTGATTCGAAGTGCAATCATATTTCGGCCCCATCCCCAACAGCATTGGATTTCTCACCACCATGCAGCTTTTCCTGCCAGAAACACTCCGAGGAGGTGACAATTCCTGGTTCTGCTCCCTACTCCCCCACCATACCAAATTCATGCTAAGGTCATTAATGATCTTCATGACCAAGGGATACTTTTTAGTCCTGTTTTTCTTGATCTTGTGGTCACTCCCTCCTTGTTGGAAAACTCTCTTTCTTTGAATTCAGTGACTCCATGCTCTCCTTGTTTTCCTCCTGCTCTCTGGACACTGCTGGGTCTCTCTTCGTGACTTCTGCTTCTCTGCTTTATCTTAGAGTTTCTTAGAGCTCTGTCCTTACCCTTTTCTTACTTGCCCCTCTCTTCTAGGCAATTTCCATTATCCCTGTGGCTTCACTTACCATCTCAATCCTGACTCCCAAATTTAAATCTCCTGCCCCTACATATCCAAATGCCTACTAGCCATTTCCTCTTGAGTGTCTTAGTGATCTCCTCAAACTATACATGTCCAAAATGGTACTCTTCTGTTCTTGCCAAAATCCTTATCTTCCAGCATTGCTCTCTTCCTTAGAAAATGGTGGCTTCATTGATCAGTTTGCTTAAGATAAGAACCTGGGAATCACTCTTAACACCTCCCTCTCTATCACCTCTTACATCCCCTCAGGCAACAAGTCTTTGCATTCTGTGTCCTCTATATCTCTTGAATCCTCTGCTTTCTTCCATCCCAACTACCACTATCCTGGCCAGGGCTACGGTTACTTTTCATCAGGCTATGGCAATGTTCTTATAACTGGCCTCCCTACATTTTCTCTTGCCTCCCACCCTATTCTTTCATCCACTGCAGCTTACATGATCTTTAAAAATGTACATATAGTCAGGCCACTCTCCTTCAATGGCCTATCCCTGCCTGGTCTAGACCCTAGCATCTCTCCATCTCCTCTTGTACAACTCTAGCTCTTATTTTGTCTGCTTCGGCAATACTGGATATATTTTAATTCTTTAAAATTCAGTGTTTTGCCTGCCTACAGCTTTTGGCTATGCTCTTCCTTCTGTCTAAAATGCTCTTTCCACTCCCATTGACCTGAAATAGCTAACGCCTACCCATCCTTAGAGTCTGCCTTAAACACCACGTCCTCAGGAAAACCTTTCCTGATCCTCCCAATGGACTCAGTCTCCTTTTAATCACTCCCATCACACCAGGCAGGCGGTACTCCTCCATAACACACTGCACACTTGAAGTTGATTAATAGCAAGTTTTGGTTTGCTGCCAGTGTTCCTCTCACAGCTGTAAGTTCCATATTGGCAGAGCCCATGCCAGTTTGTCCACCACTGAGGTCTCAGTTCCTAGCATAGTGTCCAGCTGATCGCTGGCTCTCTGAACAGTGCCCCCAGTCATTACTCCCAATGCTGTCACCAAGCCACCCTTGTTGAATTGAAAACATCCTGTGGAGTCTTCCTATGTTAGTTTTCAATTGCTGCTGTATCAAATTACCACAAACTTAGTGGCTTAAAGCAACACAAATTTATTATCTTACAGTTCTAAAGGTCAGAAGTCCTAAAATCAAGGAGTAGGCAGGGCTGAATTCCTTCTGGAAGCTCTAGGTGAGAACTGACTTCTTTGCCTTTCTGGTTTTTTGAGGTTGCCTGTGTTCCTTGGCTCCTGGCCCTGTATCCCTCCAACCTCTGTTTCCATTGTCTCATCTCCTTCTCTGACTCTCCTTATCTCACTCTTACCCTCCTGTCTCCCTCTTATAAGAACCTTCGTGATTACATTGGACCCATCCAGATAATCCAGGTTAGTCTCCGTATCTCAAGATCTTTAATTTAATCATATTTGCAATATCCCTTTTGTCATGTTAAGGTAACACATTCACAGCTTCCAGGGATAGGAGGTAGACAGGAGGTAGACATCTTTGGGGGGTAGGGTGCTATGGTGTGAATGTGTCCCCCAAAACCCATATGTTGGAAACTTAATCCACAATGCTACAGCATTGGGAGGTGTGGCCTTTTGGGAGGTATTTAGATTATGAGGGCTCCGTCCTCATGAATGGATTAATGTCATTATAAAAAGGGCTTTCCGGAGTGGGTTTGCTCTCTTCTGCTCTTCTGCCGTGTGAGGACAAAGGCTTAGTCTTTTTTTTTTTTTTTTTTTTTTTTGTCCTTGTACTTTTCACTATGTGTGGGCACAGCAAGGAGGTCCTCACAAGACACCAGATTCTGGCACCTTGATCTTCAACTTCTTAGCTCCAGAACTGTGAAAAATCA
Organism: Homo sapiens; assembly: GCF_000001405.40. NCBI lineage: Eukaryota > Metazoa > Chordata > Mammalia > Primates > Hominidae > Homo > Homo sapiens. The sequence goes on along the minus strand of NC_000023.11, from coordinate 24,445,669 downwards.
ATTTCTGTCCTTTATAAATTACCCAGTCTCAGATATTTTGCCATAGCAGCAGAAAACAGACAAAGACGGAGGAGGAGGAGACATTATTCAGCCTCCTGTGCCCCAGCCTCCCATGCCCCAGAAGATATTTGCAAAGTTTGTGGGAACAAGTTCTGAACTTACCTACAAAATATCACACATCAGACACACTCATATACATAACAGTACTGATCACTATTATAACTTGCTCCTAGATTCTCTTGTAAATTTGTTTTCATTAGTCTTCCTTCAAGTGTGTACATATACTCCGTAGTGTTCATATACACATAGTCCTCAATATGCTTGGAATATTCTTCCAGATTCCTGTCCCATTGATGAGGAAGGCAGAGCCACAGGAAGGGAGTGAGGTTCAGCCAAGCAGCTGAAGTGACCTCCTTGTCTACTCTCCCAACTCCAAGTCCGCTATCCAAACTGTCACTTTCTCAAGAAGCTGGCTGAGAGGATGGTCACAAGTTGTCTCAGGTGGAAGAATTTTTGCAAGAAGCTGTGGTTGAACATTTTTAGATGCGTTTATAATTTATAGGACAATGTTCAGAAAATGCACACCACCTAATTTGGCAAAAAGGGTTTCATGATACAAAAATTTGCGTTTTAAATACCTGATTTAGTTGGCATCAATACTCTTAAGACTGTGGTACCCTGATCCTCAAAATGCTACCTATGGACCACTGCGCATCCACCTCAGAGTTGGGGTGGGTAGAAACACCAAGCCCTAGGAATGGCCTCATCTTGCGTTACAGCTGTGATCTCATGCTTTTCTGATAGTTACAGAAATCAAACACAAAATGCTACTTCTGGCAGCACTAAATGTACTAACTGGGAACGAATCTTGTTCCCAACAGGCATGATCTAGATATTTGTGGAAGCAAAGACAAATGTGTTTTTCTCTCATGGCATCTACTTTCCTTGCAGTAACCAACTCTCAATTATTTAACCCTTGCTCCCATCTAGGGATTATTGCTTTGTGAGCATTCTATTTTTTTCCTAAGTCCTGATTATTTGACCCATGAAAGATTTCCAAGGAGGCAAGAAGGAATTGAAAACATTTTTCTCCTTCCTTAGCCTCCCGAGTAGCTGGGACTACAGGTGTGCACTACCAGATCTGGCTAATTTTTGTATTTTTAGTAGAGACGGGGTTTCACCACGTTGGCCAGGCTGGTCTTGAACTCCTGACCTCAGGTGATCCACCGCCTCAGCCTCCCAAAGTGCTGAGATTACAGGCATGAGCCACCATGCCCGGCCCATTTTTCCACATTCTTCATACTTTTATGTATTAAAAGGAAAACATCACTTCTAAGGAAAGCTCTGGGTAGGTTGCTCTGAGTCCTCTGACCCTAAGAGATGGACATCCCTATAGTGTAATCTAGTCATGATGTTTCAGAGCGTGGAGGGAACTCAGCGATCAGCTGGTCTATCTTTTTGTTTTGTAGATGAGGAAGCAGCAGCCTAGACAGTTGAGTGAATCGCCCAGGGACATACAGGTCAGGGCTGTTGACAGTTTCATAAGGCCATAAAAAAATATCAACCACGAGTCTACATATCTGGCTGATAACAGTTATAGATACAGCTTCCATATAATAAATTTAGTCTTCAGTGTTTTAAGATTTCATTATAATTCAACCTGAGCTAGGCCAAAGTTTACTTGAAACCCTCTTTGAAAGAAAAGCTTGCTAAACAATTAAAGGTGTAAAAAGATCATAGGATATCTAGTTTACCTGTTTCTAGGAGCAAACTGTTCAAAGGACATTTGCCTTTAACTATATGCAACTATGCTTCTGATTTTAAAATAAACCATTAAACTAGGCCTTGCAAAACATCAATTTGGAACCATCTTGTTAATTATTTACTCCTCATTATATACTTGCAATTAAAATTGCTTTAAGTCACGAGCATCAGACTTTTCATTGATCTGGTCTAAGTATGCCTTCTACTGACTCAGAATTAACTGCAGGGCATCAAAAGGGAATCAGAAATTGTATGGCAAGCCTGACTCTGCCAGGGCAACTGCCCTCGTTCACCTTCAGTGAATCTTGGACACTTTTGCTTTGATGAATGGGAAGGGCGGAGTTTTTAGTAATTTGTTTTCCCCACCAGTACTGATGTGGTTCTTTTAATGGCAACCCTTATTTATACACATCAAGGATTTCTTCGGATGAAAACTGACAACAAGGTAAGTCATTCCAAGGCCTTTCGGAAGTCCTTTGTCCTTCCTTCCTACACCCCACACACCATTATCCTAGGCAGCTTCTGCCACCCAGCTCTCTAGGGAACAGTTAATCTGACAGGATTTGGTTTAAACTCTGGGCCCCTACCAAGACATTCAAGGAAAAGTCTCCTAACTTTTTTGTCAGTTGCAAAATACAACTGATTCCTCATGGAAAGCTCTTTCCCTCCTTTAAGGCAGGGACTGTTATTCAAGGCTATGTACTTTTGAAAGAATCTTGCTTTGGGGTGGTTCTCTGTATTGAAAGGACACTTTTGATATTGCCTATGATTTCATCCTCCTCTTCCTTCCCTTGTATCTAGGGTTACCAGATGAAATGCAGGACATCCAGTGAAATTTGAATTTCAGACAAACAACAAAATTTTTTACTACAAGTATGCCTCATGTACTATATGGAACATACTTATACTAAAAAAATTATTTGTTGATTGTGTAAAATTCAAATTTCACTAGGTATCCTGGATTGATTGATGGTTTTGCTTTTTGTTTTTTGCTAGATCTGGCAACCCCACATGATTCCCTTCTTTTAACTTTGTTTTGTTCTTGATATGGTTTGACCATGTCCCCACCCAAATCTCATCTTGAATTGTAGCTCCCACAATTCCCACGTGTTGTGGGAGGGACCCAGTGGAAGGTAATTGAATCTTGGGGGCGGGTCTTTCCCATGCTGTTCTCATGATAGTGAATAAGTCTCCCAAGATCTGATGGTTTTATAAGGGGGAGTTTCCCTGCACAAGTTATCTCTCTTGCCTGCCGCCATGTGAGACATGCCTTTCACCTTCTGCCATGATTGTGAGGCCTCCCCAGCCATGTGGAACTGGGAGTCCATTAAACATATTTTTCTTTATAAATTTCCCAGTCTCTGGCATGTTTTTAGTAGCAGTGTGAAAACATACTAATACAGTTCTTTCTCCTAAAATTTTATTTTAATAGGCTCTCTTCTCAATTTCGTTCTCCTCTTTAAGGACAGTTTTTTCTTCACCTTCTGCTTTTATTTGAGGGTATAATTTTTTTGCGATTTGGGATTGTGATGAGCAGCACCAGACTTCTGTAGAGAGGGGCTCAGAGCCACAGCTCGGGTGAGATTTGAGGAGGGCCTGTCTGAGACCATGTCTTTTGAAGTTCTTCCCTCAGCAAATGCTGCATGTTAAGCACTGCCTTCTCTAACTGGTACTTCCAAAACGCCACTGGAAAACATTAACATGGTAAGTTACTAATACTGCGTTAGGCCGTTCTGGTGTTGCTATAAAGAAATACCTGAGACTGGGTATTCTATAAAGAAAAGAGAGCTCACGGTTCTGCAGGTGTACAAGCATGGTGCTAGCATCTGCTTGGCTTCTGGGGAGGCCTCAGGGAGCTTTTACTCGTGGAGGAAGGCAAAGCGGAGCAGGCAAGTCCCACGGTGAGAGCTAGAGCAAGAGGGAGAGTTGGGGGAGGTGTCATACACTTTTAAATGACCAGATCTCTCAAGAACTTACTATTGTGATTACCGCACCAAGCCGTGAGGGAACTGCCCCCATGATCCAATCACCTCCCACCAGGCCCCACCTCCAATACTAGGGATTATATTTCAACATGAGCTTTGGAGGGGACAACATCCAAACTATATCAAATACCTTACTAGAAGTGATTTAAAAATTTTATCTCCATCTACTTTAAGTAAACACTTTTAAAAGTATAACATGCATACAGAAATGTGTCCAATTAAAATATGCACAGCTGGATGAATTTTCCCAAAGTAGACATCCTGGGTAGCCAGCACCCAGATCGAGAAATACAACACTAGAGGCCAGGCATGGTAGCTCACGCCTGTAATCTCAGCACTTTGGGAGACCGAGGTGGATGGATCACTTGAGGTCAGGAGTTCAAGATCAGCCTGGGCAACATGGTGAAACCCCGTCTCTACTAAAACTACAAAAATTAGCTGGGCGTGGTGGTGCACACCTGTAATCTCACCTACTCAGGAGGCTGAGGCAGGAGAATTGCTTGAACCCCGGGAGGCAGAGGTTGCAGTGAGCCAAGATCGCGCCACTGCACTCCAGCCTGGGCGACAGAGCGAGACTCCATCTCAAGAAAAAAAAAAAGAAAGAAATGCAACATTAGAAAGGAAATCTTGTCACATGCTACTACATGGAGGAAACTTGTTTAGGCTAAGTGAAAGAGGCCAGGCACAAACAGATGAAAATAGTGTGTGATTCCACTTATGTGAGGTACCTAGAGTAGTCAAATTCATAGAGACAGAAATTAGAAGGGTGGTTGCCAGGAGTTGGAGGAGGGGGCAAAGGGGAGTTGTTGTCTAATGGGTGTAAAGTTTCAGTTTTTGAAGATAAAAAATTCTGGAGATCTGCTTCACAACATTGTGAATATACTTAACGCTACTGAATTGTCCACTTAAAAATGGTTAGGATGGTAAATTTTATATCATGTGTTTTTATACCACAGAAAAACAAGAAACACAACATTACCAGCACCCCAGAAGCCCTCATGCCCTTTCCAGCAACTCCCTCTTGTCCAAGATAACCGCTATCCTGGTCTCTAAAATACCCCATCTATTAGGTTGGCGCAAAAGTATTTGAAAGTAATTTGGTTGGTGCAATTACTTTTGCGCCAACCAAATACTTTCAAAAGATTCGAGAGTTACAGAGGGAGAAAAAAGTTTATCAGACCCCTTTCCTTCTGACAGGAAGACGCCTTCAGATCAGAAAGAATTCGATAGCGCCTATCACGATGCCTGGCATACAGAAGTAGCTTTAAAATGTTTGCTAATTCTGTGTTGAGTGAAGGCCCTAGGCTTGTGATTATGGGGAGTCCTGGGGGTAGAACAGGGCACCCAAGAAGGAAGATGGAAGTGCTGAAAACAAATACAAGCTACTTTGCAATCCAGCCAAAGTTCAGCCCTGCATATTTATCACAGGTTTATTAACTGGCGATGCATTTTTTTCTCTTTCACTGCGTTGACAACATGATCTCTAGGTTCATATTTTAATCCAGCCCAAAGTATATATTTATTTTTTGCTATTGTGCACATAACACTAACTGCTTATTTTCTTACCAGGGTGTTTATTGCCAATGTGTACGGCATAAGACTAAATCGATGTGTTTGTTAATGCTTACTTCCAAATTCCTCAGGGGAAAATTCTAAACTTAAGGAAATTTAGGTTCACTTAATTTAAAAACCGCCTTAAATATTCAATGCACTGGACTTTTTGATTATGTGATTTTCCAAGAGGGCACCAAATGTTCTGAAGAACAAATGATGAAGCTGTACGCATCATGACCACGAAAATAGATAAAATTGTTACTTTAGACCACAAATGGTAGGGACTAGGGCAGAGTTGAACAATCTTTTTACAGTCTTGAAGCCAAGGGAATATGAAAACACCGCTCTGATGTCAGATGGTGGGCAGAGATGTTGGGTGCCTTGGAAACAGAAAAGGTAATGTCATACTATACTTAAGGATTAGTTATTTGAAACAGTGGTCTCACACCTAATGATCCTTTTTTTTTTTTTTTTTTTTTTGAGACAAGTCGCCCAGGCTGCAGTGTAGTGGCGTGATCTCGGCTCACTGCAACCTCTGCCTCCCGGGTTCAAGCAATTCTCCTGCCTCAGTCTCCTGAGTAGCTGGGATTACAGGCACACACCACCATGCCTGGCTAATTTTTTTGTACTTTTAGTAGAGATGGGGTTTCGTCACCTTGGCCAGGCTGGTCTCAAATTCCTGACCTCAGATGATCCACCTGCCTGGGCCTCCCAAAGTGTTGGGATTACAGGCGTGAGCCGCTGCGCCCGGCCCTAATGATCCATTTTAAAGCCCATATATAGTAGCCCCCCTGTACTAACCTGAGATGAAATTCATAAGTGATACCACATACTCTTACACGTAATTATAAAAGACCAACATAACGTCCTAGTAGAAAGGAGAAGTAAAAGCAAAGTAATGTATAATGAAATAACATACACCTTAAAATGTAAACCCTCAGGCATGGCAACACTAGAAGACATTAAAAAGTAGTCAGATGCTCACACTAATCTGTGAGTGACAGCTCGTGATGCGGACTGACACAAGTGTGCTTTAGTGGCAACTCAAATCACAAAAGCGCTTCTGCCCATGTTGCTGTGACTTTCCAACATGGTGAAACCATGGAACACTGGAAAGTTCTAGTCAAAACTAAATGCAAGCATCCTTCAACTGGTATAGTATTCAACTTGTTGGAAAATTAGGTGCTTATTTTCACCTACATGAAGGTTCAGCAGGAAATGTGAAGGTCATTTGGAACATGGGACTATTTCCAATACTAGACTCACTCTCCCCCACCCTTTAAATGTCAATAGGCTCCCCCAATCATTGTGAAAACCAAAAAAAAAAATGCCACCAATTTCTAAAATGTCCTCCACCCCAGACAATACTGCATCCCATTTAGAATCTCTGATTTAGAGTTTAAAAAAAAATCATTTGCAGATTTTTTGTTTGTTTGTTTGAGACAGGATCTCACTGTGTCACCCAGGCTGGAGTGCAGTGGTGAGATCACGGCTCACTGCAGCCTCAACCTCCAGGGTTCAGGTGATCCTCCTACATCAGCCTCCCAGGTAGCTGGGACTGCAGGCATGCCATGCCCGGTTAATTTTTTGTATGTTTTATAGAGACGGGCTTTCACCATGTTGCCCAGGTTGGTCTCGAACCCCTGGGCTCAAGAGATCCTCCCACCTCAGCCTCCCAAAGTGCTGGGATTATAGTTGTGAACCACTGCACCCGGCCTTGAATCATTTTTTAAAATCTCAAAACACATAAGTTATAAAACGATCCATATCCTCAGAAATTCCCCTATTTTTGATTCACATTCCTTTGGATTTAAAAAAAAAATCCATCTTTGAGTCTACAGTCCCACCAAAAAGAAGTTTCTCAATATCTGAGTCAGTAAGCACATGGGGTCAATAACTAAAATTACATAGTACTTTTTTTCCTGGAAATACTTACTTAGTATTTTAGTTATTAAAATAATAGGCCGCCAAAGGAAAAAAAAAGAAGAGCAAAGCCCTGCAGATTGTCTCATCAAGAAAAGCAATTTAAGGAGAAGAAAATGTCGTACAGAACTAAGATAGCAATAAACACTGTAATTATTGTTTTTGCTTAATTTTCCAGGTATTGTTTAGCTGTGTTTTTCAAAAATGTTCCATAATTGTTCTTAAAACTTCTTGATTAGCAACACAAATGCAAATCAACTACCCTACCTACGCTCTCAGTTCCAGTCTATAGAGCACTGTTCTCAGATGGGGGTTTCATGTATCTTGGGGCCAGAGGAGTCCTGAAGCCGGCTGGTACTAGCCCAAAAGAGCTGATTGCACACATACCCTCCCGACTTTGCATTTGGCAAAGTCAAGTTGGTAGCCTGAAATCAGCAGTAATGAGAGGTATTCATACCCCAGAAATTGACAAACGGTACAAATCAACTCCACCTCCTACTCAGCCCCCTTCCAGAAAGCCTAGTGTTAAATATTTACCAGGTACCACTGCATAGGCTGGCTTGTAGGAAAGAATAATTTGTTTTAGAAGCATAAAAGAAGACATTGTTACAAACTCTTTTGGAAAAGATGAGTCCAAATTGGACTCTCCAGTGTTTGATCACATTCTAGTAAGTTTAGCACATTATGGCTCATAAATAAACAAGGAGCCAAAACTAAATAGCATTAACTCACCAGTATTCAGATATTTACTTAGCACCAATTATGCGCAAAAGAGTCTCCTTAGATCCTTTCTGGAACAAGGCAAGATATAAAGGAAGTAATGTGCAATGGACCAATGTATATGCTGCCAGTTTAAAAGAGAAAATTAAACATTGACACGAATATTTTTCACCTTTGTCAAAGGGGACAGTAACATTTAATAAGCATTATGCCAGATGTTAAACAAATATTATCTTGTTTGATCCCTCACAACCAACCTATAAAGTAATTATTAGGTTCAACCATATGAAATTGCTGATATTTGACCACTTTTGACTCTACACATGGCAATTTCATAAGGTTCCACCTGATATTATTTTCTCCACTTTCTAGACAAGTAAGCCAAGACCTCAATATACAAATTTGCCAAATGTCAGACAGCTGCTAGGCTATCGAGTCAGGATTCCTTGTAGACCTTACTGGCTCCAGAGCCCCTGTGTTTCCCACCACACATACTTGCCAAATAAAAGAATTGTTAAACACATATGATGTGCTGCACACACTGGAAGAAATCTTAGAATTAAACTGTTTTGAAGTAACTCACAGTAAAAGAAATTAAATTAAAGGCATGTATTTTGCCACACAACTAAACATTGGCTTCCCGGGCTTCTTAATCATAAATGATTAGAAATAATCATAATTGTTGATACATTTTAAAAGCTAAAAAGTATTTTAATAGAGACGGCAAGCATTGTTTAATTTGTTCTTAAGAAATGAAATTAACCTTTATTTGTACTTAAGAAATTCAATTAATGTTTAATTTACGCCCAAGAAGTTAAATTAATGTTTCATTTGTACTTAAATGACTTCTTAGAAATGCTATTCTGGCCAGGAGCGGTGGCTCACGCCTGTAATCCCAGCACTTTGGGAGGCCAAGGTCGGCGGATCACCAGAGCTCAAATGTTCAAGACCAGCCTGGACAACGTGGCGAAACCCTGTCTCCACTAAAAATACAAAAATTAGCTGGGCGTGGTGGCGCATTCCTGTAATCCCAGCTACTCGGGGGGCTGAGGCAGAAGAATTGCTTGAACCCGGGAGGCGGAGGTTGCAGTGAGCCAAGATCACACCACTGCACTCCAGTCTGGGTGACAGCCTGGGTGAGTGTCTCCAAAAAAAAAAAAAAAAAGAAAAGAAAAGAAAGAAAAAAAGAAAAAGAAATGCTATGCTGGTACAAACTATCAAAAGTCTTATATTCACAGTCTGTCATTCTCAATCCATTAGAATGATCAATGCTTCAGAAAAGAATTACAGTACAGTCATAAATGTTCGATATGGTACAGGAGTGTCTCAATTTTTTTATTGAAACCCACAGTAAAATCAAGGCATAATACACATATACATGTATATGTATATAATTTAAACAAAAATCATGAAAATTTTTCTCTTGCTATGTGCAAAACACTGATATTTTCTACTCGATTCCATTCTACTTCTTTTAAAAAGGCAAGCCAGTGCTGGGTGTGGTGGCTCACCCCTGGAATCCCAGGGCTTTGGGAAGCAGAGGTGGGAGGATCGCTTGAGGCCAAGAGTTCAGAATCAGGCTGAGCAACATAGAGAGACCCCGTCTCTACAAAAAAAAAAAAAAAAATTAGCCAGGTGTGGTGGCACATGCCTGTGGTCTTGGCTACTCAGGAGGATAAGGTAGGATAAGGATGAGGTAGGAGGATCCCTTGAGCCCAGGAGGAGTTCAAGGCTGCAGTGAGCTATGATCGCACCACTGCACTCCAGCCTGGGCAACAGAGAGACCCTTTCTTTTTTTTTTTTTTTTTTTTAAATGCCGGGCGCCGTGGCTCATGACTGTAATCTCAGCACTTTGGGAGGCTGAAGTGGGCGGATCACTTGAGGTCAGGAGTTCGAGACCAGCCTGGCCAACATGGTGAAACTCCATCTCTACCAAAAATATAAAAATTAGCCAGGCCACACACCTGTAATCCCAGCTACTCGGGAGGGTGAGGCAGGAGAATGGTTTGAACCCAGGAGACAAAGATTGCAGTGAGCCAAGATCGTGCCACTGCACTCCAGCCTGGGCAACAGAGCGAGACTCTGTCAAAAAAAAAAAAAAAGCAGAACACAATTTAGTAAATCACTTTCACAACTCACTAATGTTTTGTGGCCCCCCGTCTGAAAAACACTGTCTTAGAGACCTTTATTTTTAGAGCCCTCATTTTATTCCTTTCCCTCTAGGTTACTTTGTTCTTTTTATCTAGAACTTTGGCCCCTGACTTACCAGCTTCCTTCAACAGATATTTACAAATCACTTGCTATGTGTCCAGCACTATGCTAGGTGCTGGAGGTGCAATGGATTTATATTCACATTCTGGGATCCTAACATTCATCCAACTGTCATGCAAATAAACTCAAAATTTCAACTGTGCTTAGTGCTACAAAGGAGAGGTACCAACAGGGGAATTTGACCTAGTTAGGGAAGACTTCCTGAGGAAATGGCACCTAAGCTGAGATGTCAAGATTTTTTTTTCTACTCTATTCTATTGCATCCTATTTCATTAAGAAAATGCTGGCCACTCCCCATTACCCCCAATTCCTAATCTACTTTCAACAACCACTAATCTGATTTCTGACTCTATAGATTTGCATATTCTGGACATTTCATAGAAATAGAATCATATATAATATGTAGACTTTTGTGACTCTCAATTCACTTAGCATGATGTTTTCAAGAGACATTCATGTTCTAGCAGTGTATGGGTATACCGTATTTTGCTTATTCATTCACCAGTTGATGGACATTTGGGTTGTTGCTTCTTTTGACTATTAAGTAATGTTTCTATGAACATCTGTGTCCAACTTTTTGTGTTAACATATGCTTTCATTTTTCTTGAGTATATTGCTAGGAGTGAATTCCTGGGTCATATAGTACCTCTGTTTAACATCTTGAGGAACTGCCAAACTATTTTCCAAAGCAGCTATGCCATTTTACATTCCCCTCACCGGGGAAGGAGGGTTCCAATTTCCCCACATCCTCACCAACAATTGTTTATCTATCTTTTGATTATAGCCATTCTAGTGGGTGTGAAGTTGTATCTCACTGTGGCTTTTATTTGCGTTTCCTTGATGGCTAGCATGCTGAGCATCTTTTCATGCGTGTATTGTCCCTTTGTTCATCTCCTGTTAAGAAATGTCTATGCAGATTCTTTGCCCATTTTTAATTGGGTTGTTTATCTTTTTATTATTGAGTTGTAAGGGTTGTTTATATATTCTGGATACACATCCCTTATCAGATAAATAATTTGCAAATATTTTCTCTCATTCTGTGAGTTGTCTTTTTGCTTTGTTGATGTTGTCCTTTGAAGCACAAAAGGTTTTAATTTGATGAAGTCTTAACACCCTATCTTCCACCACCCGTCCCTGATTTCTTTCTTTTTTTTTTGAGACAGAATCTCACTCTATTGCCCAGGCTGAAGTGCAGTGGCGCTATCTCGGCTCATTGCAACCTCTGTCTCCCAGGTTCAAGCGATTCTACTGCCTCAGCCTCCCGAGTACCTGGGATTACAGGCACCCACCACCACACCCGGCTAATTTTTGTATTTTTAGTAGAGACGGGGTTTCACCATGTTGGCCAGCTGATCCTAAACTCCTGACCTCAGGAGATCCACCCTCCTCGGCCTCCCAAAGTGTTGGGATTACAGGCGTGAGCCACCGCGCCCAGCCTCTGATTTCCTCTTTAACCATCACCTCAATTTCACCTTAGCCATGGACCTTGACATCACCCAAAGCTGTTGGAACTCTGCTGTTTTAAACCCCAGTATTCTACTTTCAGGGTCCGACCCTTTGTCCTTATAGCTTTCCCTCTACCTTATTTCTATGACATCTGCTCTAAGGCCTCCAATCCCACAGTCCTCAGTTTTCTGCCTGTTTGTCACACCCACCTCTTCCCAATCTTTTCACCTTCTACTCTTTTCTTTTCTTTTTTCTTTTACTTTAAGTTCCGGGATATATGCGCAGAACGTGCAGGTTTGTTACATAGGTATACATGTGCCATGGTGGTTTGCTGCACCCATCAACCCGTCATCTAGGTTTTAAGCCCCACATGCATTAGGTATTTCTCCTAATGCTCTCCCTCCCTTTGCCCCCAACCCCCTGACAGGCCCCGGTGTGTGAAGCTCCCCTCTCTGTGTCCATGTTGGAACAGGAATTAAAATAAATTAAAGAACGTGTAAGCAGAAACTCAGTATATGTAAGAAAACCCAATTCCCCCTGAGAAAGAGAAAGAGCTGGAGTCCTTTAAAAATTAACTGCCTGTTTTTCTGTGGCTAGTGAGCCTTATCTCTCCTCCTTTCCTAGGCATTGTGAAGACCCTGTTTCTCTAGCTGTGCAGCTGCAAGGTCACTAGACAGATAAACTCAAGTCGCAAAACATGTTTTTCCTTGAAAAGTAAGAAATGATGTAATGAATATCTCAATTAATTGAATAACTGTCTTTGTTTCTCACTTCTGTAATATGCTTCCCCCTGCACAGATCTCCCCCTGCCCCACAAAATGCTTAAAACGTAACTTAACTCTTTGTTCAGGGCTCAGTCCTTTGGATGTTAATCCGACTGGGCTGGTGCACCTAAATAATAAATATCCTCCTGAACCCCATCAGTCTCTCTGATTCCTTAACAATCCTGCAACAACATGTTCTCATTGTTTAACTGCCACTTATGAGTGAGAATATGCAGTGTTTGGTTTTCTGTTCCTGTGTTAGTTTGCTGAGAATGATGGCTTCCAGCTTCATCCATGTCCCTGCAAAGGACATGAGCTCATTCTTTTTTATGGCTGCATAGTATTCCATGGTGTATATGTGCCACATTTTCTTTATCTAGTCTATCATTGGTGGGCATTTGGGTTTGGCCCAAGTCTTTGCTATTGTGAATAGTGCTGCAATACCTTCTACTCTTTTCTTATTCAGCCTAGAACTTAGAGTATACAACACTACACTCTCCACCCCAGTATGTTCCACTTATTTGCCCCATTGTCTTTTTGTTTACGCTTGTTCTGCTTTGGTACACTTGATATATCCAGCCATATATCAATCCAACTATTTGGCTTCTCTATTCCTACGACTACTAAGCAGTTGAAAAAGTCAGGGAAGCTTATACATTATAAATTGGTGCCATTCCTGATTGATGTGCTTTAACATCAGCTGAGCTCTCAAACCTGTCCTGCAATCCTTTCATTCGGCCCACTTTACCTTCTTCTCCCATTCCCTGAGGTCAGCTCTACTACTGGCCCTTTCACTTATGTCATTCTCACCATGGTCTTTCTTGAACGAGCCAAGATTACTCAAGTCTCCTTGGTGCTTGCTGTTCCTCTGCCATAAACATTTTTGCACTAGGTCCTTAAATGGCTGGAAACTTTTTGTCATTCAGGTCTTAGTTCAAATGTCACCTCTCCAGAGGGGCCTTCCCTAGCCACCCTGTCTACTGTGGTCACCTTCCTCCCACTGCTGTCACATTATCCTGATTTATTTTCTTATTTCTTTTATCTGTGCCATCTGTCTGGAAAATTCTTACTCCTATGCTTCTAAAACCCTTCCTTAGCTAGAGTCAGAGACTTGCTCCTCTGTGCTTTCATAATACCCTGTGTAGAGCTCTCTTACTGGGTTGTTGTTGTTTGTGGATTACAGATCTGTGTTCCCTTTCCAGATTGCAAGCTCCTTACAGATAGGTGCTGCGTCTTATTCATCTTTGGCCCTAGCAAGGTGCCTGGCACAGAGCAAGCACCCAGTACTACAATATGTGTGGAAGACAGTAATAGAAACCCATTATCTATGGAGTGTGGGATCTGTCCATCATGAATGAGGATTAACAATTGTTGGGAAATAACAATGGGGAAACATCCTATAACACAAACTAAATTGTGCTGAGTATGACTTATAATAGCACCCAATAGGGGAAAGTGTCTGAACATAGGAAACTCAATAGGTAAACTATGGCACATCTACTCATTGGCATTTCATACTTCTATTAAGATGATGACATCCTACAAGAGATAATAACATAGAACCTTTTTATGTCATGATGATAATGAAAACGCAAAACCTGTACACATCATGAAGATTGGAAGAAAATTAACTAAAATGTAATGCTAAGTTTTTTATGCAATAGAAATATAGGTGCTTTTCTGCTCTTTCTTTTGCTTTTCTGAATTTTTCTACTTTTCTCTATGTGTATATTACTTTTATACTGAAATAAGCCCCAACATTTTGCTTCTAAGAAATGGATATAGTCCTATTCCTTCTTTGCTTTATACAATTTCAAATATTAATTTATTGTTCAATACCCTGGAAAAACTGAAGACTGCAGAGTCAGAGTGATTTATCCAGCATTCCTCAACAAATTAATGACAGAAAAAGAAATATTACGGTAGTCCTGACGTTTGGGAACAAAAATGATTTCCTGTAGGCTGTATACCATCAATATTGTATTTCAGATGGTTTTGTATTAGGTCCTTGGCAATAGGCTAAGTGGCAAATGAGAAATAGCATTTTAAGAGTATTCAAAGGAAAGGAAATAAGTATATCAAAGAGCTATCTGCACCCCCAGGTTCACTGCGGCACTATTCACAATAGTCAAGGTGTGGGAACAACCTAAATGCTCAGCAGTGAATGAATGCCTAAAGAAAATTTGTCATATATACATAATAGAATATTATTCAGCTGTAAAAAAAGAATGAAACCCTGTCATTGTAGCAATGGATGAGCCTGGAAGAAATTAGGTTAAATGAAATGTCAGAAACAGAAAGATAAATACTGCATGTTCTCACTCATATACTGAAGCTTAAAAATCTGAGCCTGGTGTGGTGGTACCTGCCTGTAATCCCAGCTACTCAGGAGACTGAGGCAGGAAGACCATCTGAACCCCGGAGTTTGAGGCTACAGTACACTATGATCACGCTTGTGAATAAACACTGCGCTCCCTCCCAGGCAACACAGCGAGACCCCATCTCTAACATGAAAAACAATTTTAAAAATGTTTAAGTTGAGTTCATAGAAATAGAGAGCAGAACTATGGTTATTAGAGGCTAGGAAGAGAGGGGAGTAGGGCTATGAAGAGGTTGGTTCACAGATACAAAATTACACTTAGATTTTATTACTATTTTTTTTTTAGAGATGTGGTCTCACTATGTTCCTTAGGCTGGTCTTGAACTTCTGGCCTCAAGCGATCCTCCTGCCCCAGCCTCCTGAATAGCTGGGGTTACAGACACAAGCCACAGTGCTCAACTCAAATTTAAGACTTAACAATGAAATATCAAGGTGGATATAGTTCATTTGAAGGAAAAAAAAAGAATTCATAAATGTAGGCTTGCTTTATAAAAGGGGTCGCAAGAGAATTAGTTTGAGTTCTAAATTCCCCTAAAATATTTAAAATATGGCCCTACTCATATAACGTAACAGATAATACAATGCTGAGACCCAGTTATCATTCAGATAACAGGACAAATATCTAACACAATAAATTCCAATCTACCAAAGAATTGGAAAAGTTCCTTAGAATCACAAGGATTTTTTAAAACTTAGATATGCCTTATATCAAACTCATTGTTTGGATGGAGGAGCTACCCCAACTTTGTGTCGACTTTTAAAGTGAACAGTTTAGAGGAAAATTATACCTGTCATATAAGGGAAAAGGCAAATTTTAATAAAATGGATGAAGGTTGGAGGATGTTTTAGTTTGAGTTCTGTGTTAGGCTGTTCTTGCATTGCTATAAAGAAATACCTGCTATAAAGAAAAGAGGTTTGCTCTCTCCGGTCTGTGCCTCCAAGATGACAAAGAAAAGAAGGAACAATGGTCGTGCCAAAAAGGGCCGCGGCCACGTGCAGCCTATTCGCTGCACTAAATGTGCCCGATGCGTGCCCAAGGACAAGGCCATTAAGAAATTCGTCATTCGAAACATAGTGGAGGCCGCAGCAATCAGGGACATTTCTGAAGCGAGCGTCTTCGATGCCTATGTGCTTCCCAAGCTGTATGTGAAGCTACATTACTGTGTGAGTTGTGCAATTCACAGCAAAGTAGTCAGGAATCGATCTCGTGAAGCCCGCAAGGACCGAACACCCCCACCCCGATTTAGACCTGCGGGTGCTGCCCCACGTCCCCCACCAAAGCCCATGTAAGGAGCTGAGTTCTTAAAGACTGAAGACAGGCTATTCTCTGGAGAAAAATAAAATGGAAATTGTACTTAAAAAAAAAAAAAAAAGAGGTTTAATTGGCTCACAGTTCTGCAGGCCATATAGGAAGCATGGTGCTGGTATATGCTTGGCTTCTGGTGCAGCCTCAGGAAGCTCACAATCATGGCAGAAGGCAAAGGGGTAGCAGGCATGTCACATGGTGAGAAAGGTGGCAAGGTGGGGGGGAAGGTGGGGGGAGGTGTCACCCACTTTTAAATGACCAGATCTGGTGAGAACTCATTCACTCTGGTGAAGACAGCACCAAGCCATGAGGGATCTACAACCATGACCCAAACACCTCCCACCAGGCCCCACCTCCAACATTGGGGATTACATTTCAACACAAGATTTGGGTGGGGACACACATCCAAACTCTATCACGTTCTCCTAAAGATAGGTGCTGACATAAGGATTCCAGTGCAAGATCATCTACATAAGTCCTTGACTTAAGATGGTTCAACTCTGGATTTCTCAGCTTTAAGATGGTGCAAAACCATTCTGTTTTTCACTTTTTGTACAGTATTCAATAAATTACATGGATTATTCAACACTATTATAAAATAGGCTTCATGATGATTCTGCCCAACTGTGGGCTAATGTAAGCGTTCTGAGCATGTTTAAGGTAGACTAGGCTAAGTTATGATGTTTGGGAGGTTAGGTGTATTCAATGTGCTTTCGACTTACAGTATTTTCAACTTGCAATAGGTTTATCAGGATGTAACCCCTCCATAAGTCAAGGAGTACCCGTAGTTTACTTGGAAGGAAATTTCAGGAAACACCAGTACGGCAGTGGGGAAGTGAAACAAAGAAGGGAAGGAAGAAGCCATTAATGGTGTGTCATCAAGTGAATTACCATTGTGGGCAACTGGAACTTAATCCTGCTGATACTCTGGGTGACAAGGTAGAACCCCACCTGAAAAGCAAGAGCACTGTTTGAGAGTTGCTCTGGTGTTCAGAGACAGTCTTAGGGCAAAGAGTAGTAGTTGCTGACTGTTAGAAGTTGGACCCATGGCTGGGCACGGTGGCTCACGCCTGTAATCCCAGCACTTTGGGAGGCCAAGGCGGGGGGATCACCTGAGGTCAGGAGTTTGAGACCAGCCTGGCCAACATGGTGAAACCCCAGCTCTACTGAAAACACAAAAATTAGCTGGGCATGGTGTCAGGCGCCTGTAATCCCAGCTACTCGGGAGGCTGAGGCAGGAGAATTGCTTGAACCCAGGAGGTGGAGGTTGCGGTGAGCCAAGATCACACCACTGCACTCCAGACTGGGTGACAGAGTGAGACTCCATCTCAAAAAAAAAAGAAGTTGGGCCCATATGCATAAAAATGGTAGATACTGAGGATTATGAGTGGGGTACCAAAGCATCTGCTACAGATGGAAGAAACAAACTTCAGCATGGTGTTTTACTTTGCTTTGACACTTTTCTTTAAGTGGTTTTGGTGATTTACATTTATGGTCAAAATTCCTTAAAGCTAACTTTCTATCTGCCATACTCTCTTGTATGCATGCTCATTTTTCTTGCCCCAATATGCACAGGCCTGTGCCCAGGCTGTTGCCAACACAGGCTTCTTCTCTGTGCCCCCCTTCCTGGAGGCTGTGCCTGGTTAACAGCAGAAGGAAGGCCTCAGTGCTCGAGCAGCTTCTTCTGGTTTGACCTGTTATCTGTTCTCAGTGGATGTGGTTCAGGACAGTAGAAAACATGGCCTAGGCTGCTATTACAGCAGAAGGGCCTGGAGCCTTCAAAGCATTTCTATAAACAAAAAATGATCTAGTTTTATACTTGTTGAACATGTTCCCTGGGCAAGGAACAAAGATCAAATGCAGTTAGTCACTCTTGAAGGGAAACTGGTGGTTTGTGTTCCAAGAGGACTTTGTCTCCTCCTCTTTTCCTCCTCCTCTCCTCTCCCCACATCCTCTCTTGAGATGAACTATTTTGTCCTAAGCAATTTTCCAAGTCCAAAGAATGATTGCAGAGTTTGTAACATGCAGTTCATGGCATTAAAACACTTAGCAGAGGAAGCAATAACAAATCCAATGCCACCTTGCCCCTTCCATGCGGTTTTGTAATAAAAGATCAAACTGCAGAGCTGTGAAAGGGCTGGGACAACAGCTCTGCACACATCTGCATCCTTTGGTGGCTTGAGGGTGGGGGACAGCACACCCTTCTGGGTATCAAAAGGCATTGGAACGGGCAGCGCTGGGGCCTCTCCTCTCTGTTTGATCACCTGGAACTAGGGCTGCACCTACGACTCCTTAATGTGGATTTTTAAAGGCAACCCGTCCTCCAGGAGCATGCAGCCCCGTGCTGGGACCCACAGCTTGGCAAGGGGAACATGGGCTGGATTTCAGCTCCCACTCATTCCCTCTGCCAGGTGCCTGTGTACAGGGCACAGCCCACACATTGCGCATGGGGACTCTGTCCAGGACTAGAGGAAACTCCTTCCACCCCTGGCCTGTCATAGGCCACCCACCTCAAGTCCAGGGCTACAGTTCACTTTTTTTTTTTCTCTGAGATGGAGTCTCTCTCTGTCACCCAGGCTGAAGTGCAGTGGCACGGTCTCGGCTCACTGAAACCTCTGCCTTCCGGGCTCAAGTGCCTCGGCCTCCTGAGTAGCTGGGATTACAGGACTCTAATGGAGGGCCACAGGCAGTGGAAAATGAGGCAGACAGTGAGGCTGGCCCCTGAACTGGATAGTGCTGTTAACAGGATCTGGGTCCAGAATACTGCAGACATCAGACATGTGTTAACTGGGTTTGCTGCCGGCAAGCCACCATCCTTGGGAAGGAGTTGTGTGGGCAAATCAGGAAGTTGCCCTCTCAGCAGATGTCTCCAGGATGGCTGCCCTCAGGTGTAATCTGGGGATCAGGAAACCACTGCTGGAATCCTTGGCTTCAGAATCATCCCAGACCTGTTGCAACCTGTATCTGCAAAATAGAAACCACCTACCATGCCTCTTTCCCCCACTTAAATGAGTTCTAACATTTGTCTAACATGACCACATCTGATTGGTGTAACTTAAATTACACAGCTGCAAGGGAGTCTGGGAAATGTAGTTTTTCTATTTCTGTACTATACATAAAGGCACACTGGAAAGAGATCGAAATAGATGTGGAAGAGTCATTTCCATCATGGTTCCTCTGTTTGAAAACCTTCAGTGACTCTCCTAAATGGTGCTGTTGAAGGGAAGCAGGGCCTGGGTCTAAGATACAGCACACACTAACAGTGATTTCCAAACTGTGGTCTATAGATCCCTGGGGAGACAAGATGTTCTTGAATCTCCTTGTATTTCATTTTCTGTGGACTGAAAAAAACATCATGATTTCCATATGTGTTTATTTTTGAAACATGGAAATAATTGGGATTCAAAAAATTATCTCTCTCTCTCTCCCTTTCTCTCCCGCCAAATCACTTGAAAGCCTTCTTTACTTCTTTACAAGCACTCTGTTTCTCACCCACAAACCCCTCTCCTCTGCCTAGAATGTAAATGTCATCTCCCTCCTCACTTGCTAATTCCCATTCATCAGGTAAGACTCGTTTCAGGCCACCACCTCCCCTGGCCTGAGGGGTGATTCTCTCTGACTACCTCAGGCTGGGATAGAGAATTCTCATCTGTTTTCTTGTAATATCCTGGGAAGTTATACTAATAAGAATAAAATAAAAGCTAACTTTTTCCAGCTTACTCTTTGCCAGGCCCCACAAAGTATGTACTCTTACTAACTCATTTTATAGATGGGAACACTGGGACATAGAGAGGTTCCATAACCTGCCCAAGGTCACCTGCTAGTCAGTGGTGGCTGCAACTCAATCCTAGGCAGCAGTCTGGCTTCAGAGTCTATGCTCTTGATGGATAGTCTTGTCTCCTCTCATCCTATTATTGCGCTGCTCACCCTGCCACCATCTCTCTCTCAATCTCTCTCTCTTTCTTTCTCTATCTCTCTCTCTCCTCTCCACTTCACTCTCTCTCTCTCTCCATCCATCTAATCTATATCTCAATCTGTGTGCCTGTCATCTCCATGAATAACCATTGGTTTTCTATGATATTAAAATGGGAGGGGGGAAGTCAACATTTTCCCTCCCTTCCCACCACGTTGGAAATTCTAGGACCGGGGCCCAAATTGTTTGATCCTTCCTTCTCTCATCCTCCACTGTCTGTTAACAGAGGAACTATTTTCTCTTTCGGCAAAGAGTACCAGACTAAATTACAGAGTAGGCTACAAAATTACTACCCTCAGCTCCCTTCTTTGCCTGTTTTCTCTAAAATAGGTTATTCCTGTTGGTTGTATAAATATAAGACAGAAGCCACCACTGCTTTGCAATCACGTGGGGAAGTGTATCATCCGCTCCAAGCTCTGTGGAGCAGACCTCCTGGCCGGGATCCACTGAGCATGCCTCAGGAAAAGATGACGTTGCTGGGAACTCCAGCCCACACATCAGCATTCTCATGTGAACACTTAGTAGAGTGAAATTGGAAATAGTTTGACAACTTTGCGAGACTCAGAAGGTGTTTCCAAATCTGTGCCTTTGCCTTCGTTGTTTATTACCCTGTCTGTCTAACACGGATGACACTTGCCCGTGTTTCATGTGCCTCAGCACCTTGGAGGCTCGACTGAAACTCACCAACAGCCTTACCAGGTGACCTAGCTGGTCATTCCCTCTACTGGGTGTCAGCCACACTCCTCGTACACTGCGGAAGTGCCAATTTACCCCAGACTCATCTCTTCTTGCCTTGCTTAATCTCCTTTCTTTTCCTTTTGTGCTTTAAGTGTCTGATTTCTGATTAGCCCATTTATTTGGCCTCATAAGCCAGGCAGTTCCTTTTCCTTCTTGAAGGTAACTTACAAAAGAAATTTTCTTTAATCACCTTTCAAGTATGCTGTCTGGGCTCCTGTTTAGGAAGGTCCTCCCTGCCCATGAAGTGTCCTTCCAAAGGCTTGTGTCCTCTGCAGGAAACAATTCAGATGGGTCAGGCGTGATGGCCTTGTAAACCTCTCTTGTGCAATTTACACATCTGAAACCATCATTTCTTTCAGCAAGCACACTATTTCATCAAAGCACATCATCTGTAGTAGAGGTAGAAAGCTCATCAAATATGCTTAAGGAGTGACTTTTGTAACTCACTATTGTTTTAAAACATCTTAATTCCTGTTCTGGTTAAAGGACCCAGTATATCTACAGCCATCTTAGAGACTGTCAGTTCAATCTATGAAGAGAGTGGGATGTTGTCAAAACAGTGTTGCACAAACCCTCTAAAGAAAGTGAAACAAAAAAAAATGTTGGTGCAAGTTACAAAAATATTATGGAGTCAATGAGACGTGGCAGTTAATCCTCAGCTAATGTTGACACAGAGCAGCACACCCACAAATGCCAAAGAGTTGAGAGCAGTGGTTCTCAGCCTTGGCTGCAGATTGGAATCACTTGGGTGTTTTGTTTTTTTTTAATCTCCATGTCCAAGCCATACTCCAGTCCAATTAAATCAGAATCTCTGGGGGTGGGCCCCAGGCATCATTACATTTCAAGGTCCCCAGCGATTCCAACATATAGCCAAGTTTGAAATCTATTAGTTTAGAATACCTGGCCCTTGCTCACAACTGCTTAGGCAGGTAGGTGTGTGGGGCTGGGGAAAGGGCAACACATGCCTGGTCAGGCCAATCAGACTGACCAGGGAAGCTATATTAATGATAAGAAACTTCCCAGCATGCCTCTTTCCCAACCTGCCTGCTGCCCACTCAGCTATTGAAGCTACACAAAAGGTAGAGTTGACGCTCAGGTGAGAGTTAAGGTTACCAGATACCAGAGAGCTGAAAGTAGGAGGGTCAAGGCACAGAGAGTAGATAGACACCAGTGCACATGCAGTGGCACTCTGTGATGTCCTTACTGGCCCTGCTACAAAGTGGTATGTTGGGTTTGCCAATTTGATGTATTAAATTGATAACCAGTTGAAATGATATTCCAACAATAGCAATTGATACAATGATATTCAATTGAAAAAGAAAAAAGACCCGGTGGGCAGGGTGTACAAAGGGGGCTTCTTCTGAAGTTCTGGTCATGTTGTTTCTTCAGCTGAGTGCTGGTTACACAGGTGGGCTCAGTTTGTGAAAATGTGTCTACCTGTACACTTATGATATGTGCACTTTTATCTATACATGTTCTGCATTAGTAAAAAGTTAAAAAGGAAGATAAACCCTACATTGATCATTGAAAAAAGGTCATAGATGCTGTCAAAAATTTACCCACAAGCTTGTTTATAGGAGTGGGATTGATAGCCCCATGTTAGAAACCATCCAGCCGGGCGCAGTGGCTCACGCCTGTAATCCCAGCACTTTGGGAGGCCGAGGCGGGCGAATCACGAGTTCGGGAGATCAAGACCATCCTGGCTAACATGGTGAAACCCCATCTCTACTAAAAACACAAAAAAATAGCCAGGTGTGGTGGCAGGCGCCTGTAGTCCCAGCTACTCGGGGGGCTGAGGCAGGAGAATGGCGTGAACCCGGGAGGCGGAGCTTGCAGTGAGCTGAGATTGCGCCACTGCACTCCAGCCTGGGCGACAGAGCCAGATTCCGTCTCAAAAAAAAAAAAAAAAAAGAAACCATCCAAATAAAAAGCACTTGGTTAAATAAATTAAGGTTCTGCCATACAATGGAATACTATGTAGCTATTACAATTCTACACTGTATAAATGTGATTCACCATGTAAGCAGCACTAAAAACAAAAACTACATGATCATCTCATAGATGCAGAAAAGGCTTTAGATAAAATTCAACACTGCTTCATGTTAAAAACTCTCAATAAACATACCTCAAAATAGTAAGAGCCACCTATGACAAACCCATAGCCAACATCATACTAAATGGGCAAAAGCTGGAAACATTCCCCTTGAAAACTGGCACAAGACAAGGATGCCCTCTCTCACCATTCCTATTCAACATAGTATTAGAAGTCCTGGCCAGAGCAATCGGGCAAGAGAAAGAAATAAAAGGCATCTAAATAGGAAGAGAGGAAGTCAAATTATCCCTGTTTGAAGATGACATGATTCTATACCTAGAAAACCCGTAGTCTCTCCCCACAAGCTCCTTGATCTGATAAACAACTTCGGCAAAGTTTCAGGATACAAAATCAATGTACAAAAATCAGTAGCATTTCTATGTACCAACAGCATCCAAGCTGAGAGCCAAATCAAGAATGCAATCTCATTCACAATAGCCACAAAAAGAATAAAATACCTAGGAGTACAGCTAACTAGGGAGGTAAAAGATCTCTACAAGGAGAACTACAAAACACTGCTGAATGAGATCAGAGATGACTCAAACAAATAAGAAAACATTCCATGCTCATGGATAGAAATAATCAATATTGTTAAAATGACCATACCAGCCAAAGTAATTTACAGATTCAATGCTATTACTGTCAAACTACCAATGACATTCTTCACAGAATTTGAAAAAAAAATGTTTTTAAATTCATATGAGGCCATGCGCGGTGGCTCATGCCTGTAATCCCAGCACTTTGGGAGGGCAAGGTGGGTGGATCACGATGTCAGGAGATTGAGACCATTCTGGCTAACATGGTGAAACCCCCTCTCTACTAAAAAATACAAAAAATTAGCCAGGCATGGTGGCGGGCACCTGTAGTCCCAGCTACTCAGGAGGCTGAGGCAGGAGAATGGCATTAACCCGGAAGGTGTAGCTTGTAGCAAGCCGAGATTGTGCCACTGCACTCCAGCCTGGGCGACAGAGCGAGACTCCGTCTCAAAAAAAAAAAAAATTCATATGAAACCAAAAAAGAGCCCTAACAGTCAAGGCAATCCTAAGCAAAAAGAACAAAGCTATAGGCATCCCATTACCTGACTTCAAGCTATACTGCAAGGCTACAGTAAACAAAGCATGGTACTGTTCAGACACATAGACCAATGGAACAAAATAGAGAGTGCAGAAATAATGCTGCACACCTACAACCATCTGATCTTCCACAAAATCAACAAAAACAAGCAATGGGGAAAGAATTCCCTATTCAATAAATTGTGCTAGAATAACTGGCTAGCCATATGCAGAAGATTGAAACTGGATCCCTACTGATATGGTTTGGCTGTGTCCCCACCCAAATCTCATCTTGAATTCCCACATGTTGTAGGAGGGACCCAGTGGGAGGTAATTGAATCACGGGGGCAGGTCTTTCCCATGCTGTTCTCGTGATAGTGAGTAAGTCTCACAAGATCTGATGGTTTTGAAAAACGGAAGTCTCCCTGCACATGCTCTCTCTTTTTGCCTGCTGCCATCCATGTAAGACGTGACTTGCTTCTCCTTGTAAGTCCAATTAAACCTCTTTCTTTTGTAAATTGCCCAGTCTCAGGTATGTCTTTATCAGCAGTTTGAAAATGGACTGATACACTTACCTTTCAACGTATACAAAAATCAACTCAAGATGGATTAAACACTTAAATGTAAAACCTAAAACTATAGAAACACTTAAAGAAAACCTAAGAAATACCGTTCTGGACACAGGCCCTGGCAAAAGTTTCATGACAAACATGCCAAAAGCAATTGCACCAAAAACAAAAATTGACACATGGGACCTAATTAAACTAAAGAGCTTCTGCACAGCAAAAGAAACTATCAACAGAGTAAACAGACAACGTACAGAATGGGAGAAAATATTGTAAACTATGCATCTGACAAAGGTCTAATATCCAGCATCTACAAGGAACTTAAACAAATTTATAAGAAAAAAAAACAAACAACCTCATTAAAAAGTAGGCAAGGGACATGAACAGACACTTTCAAAAGAAGACATGCATGCAGCCAATAAGCATAGGAAAAAATGCTCAACATCACCAATCATTAGAGAAATGCAAATCAAAACCACAATGAGATACCATCTCATACCAGTCAGAATGGCTATTATTAAAAAGTCAAAAAATAACAGATGTTGGTGAGGTTGCAGAGAAAAGGGAATACTTATACACTCCTGATTGGAATGTAAATTAGTTCAGCCACGGTGGAAAGCAGTTTGGCAATTTCTCAAAGAACTTAAAGTAGAATTACCATCTGACCCAGCAATCTCAATACTGGGTATATACCCAAAGGAATATAAAGAATTCTGCCATAAAGACACATGCACACATATGTTCATCGCAGCACTGTTCACAACAGCAAAGACATGGAATCAACCTAAATGCCCATCAATGGTAGACTGGATAAAGAAAATGTGGTACATATACACTATGGAATATGATGTAGCCATAAAAAAGAACAAGATCATGTCCTTTGCAGCAACATGGATGAAACTGGAGGCCACCATCCTAAGCAAACTAACACAAGAACAGAAAACCAAAAACCCCATGTTCACACATAAGTGAGAGTTAAACATTGAGTCCATATGGACACAAAGAAGGGAACAACAGACATTGAGGCCTACTTGAGAGTGGAGAGTGAGAGGAGGGTGGGGATCGAAAAACTACCTATCAGGTACTATGCTTATTACCTGAGTGATGAGTAATCTGTACACCAAACCACCATGACACGCAATTTACCTATATAACAAACCTGCACATGTTTCCCTGAACCTAAAATTAAAGTTAAAAAATTTACATTTAAAAGATTAGGTCATGACATGGAAAATGGCTCACCATCTATTTTAAAGTTAAAAAACCAGACTAGGCATGGTGGCTCACACCTGTAATCCCAGTACTTTGGAAGGCCAAGATGGGAGGACTGCTTGAAGCCCCAGGAGTGGGCAACATAATAAGACCCATCTTTACAAAAAAATTAAAAATTAGTTGGGCATGGTGGCCCACACCTATAGTCCCAACTACTCTGAAGGCTGAGGCAGGAGGATTGCTTGAGCCCATGAGTTCAAGGCTGCATTGAGCTATGATCATACCATTGCACTCCAGTCTAGGTGATAGAGCAAGACTCTGTTGGTTAAAAAAAAAAAAGATGGAATATCGTTATATGTGTATTACATATTACTATGCATTTTTCTATGTACACTATTTTTTGAAATAAAGAAACGTATTAGGCATATTTGAGATATAAAGTCCAACAGACAGAAAGTGTGCAGATGGGACCTGGATTCAAGTCCTACCCCAGCTATTTACTAATAATCATTTGCCCTTGGCTAAGTTGCTGAACTTCATAAAAACCAGTTTTATTGAGATATAATTCACATACCATACAGTTCACCCATTTAAATTCAATTTTTAGTATATTCACAGTTGTGCGACTATCACCACAATCCAATTTTAGAACAGTCTCATCGTTCCAAGGAGAAACCCCGTGCCCATTAGCAGTTGCTCCCCATACCCACCTACCGTCCCAGCCCCTGGTGACCAGTAATCTACTTTTTGTCTCTTTACAGTTGCCTATTCTGAACATTTCATATAAAGGGAATCATACAATGTACAGTTTTTATGTGTGTGGTGTCTTTCACTTAGCATGTTTTTGAGGTCGTCCATGTTGTAGCATGTCTCAATACTTCATTCCTTTTTATTGCCAAATAATATCCCATTGTATGGATATACCACATTTTGCTTATCCATTCATTAGTTGATAAACATTTGGATTGTTTCCACTTTGGGGTTATTAAAAATAATGCTAGTATGAGCATTCATGTGCAAAGATTTGTGTGGATATATGTTTTCATTTCTCTTGGATTCATACCTAGGAGTGGAATTGCTAGGTTACACAGTAATTATGTTTAACCCTTTGAAGAACCGCCAGACTGTTTTCCAAATCAGCCACACCATTTTACAGTCCCCTCAGCAGTGTGTAAGGATTCCAATTACTCTGCATCCTCACCAATACTTGTTATTGTCTGTCTTTTTTATCATAGTCATCCTAGTAGGTATAAAGTGTTAT
Source organism: Homo sapiens (assembly GCF_000001405.40). Lineage (NCBI taxonomy): Eukaryota > Metazoa > Chordata > Mammalia > Primates > Hominidae > Homo > Homo sapiens. Next base: position 24,418,662 of record NC_000023.11, on the reverse strand, counting down.
CCCATTATGGGTATTTTTTAGAATAATTTTCCTTTTTTCTCTTTTTTATTCATGTGTCATTTTTACTGTCCACATTTAAGGTGTACAACATGATGTTTTGATACACACATATATAGTGAAATGATTTCTACAGTCAGGTAAATTAACATATCCATCATCTCTCATAGTTATAGTTAGTGTGTGTTAAAAGTACCTAAAATCTACTCTCAGCATATTTCCAGTATACAATATTATAACTCAAGCAATATTATAGCCCTCTTGCTGTTTTGATTTGTACTTCCTGATAACTAAGGATGTTGAGCAGCTTTTCACGTGCTTATTGGTCATTTGTATATCTTCTTTGGAGAAACGTCTATTCAGACCTTTTGCCCATTTTTTAATTGGGTTATTTATATCTTATTATTGAGTTATAAGAGTTCTTTATATATTCTGGATACAAGTTCCTTATACGATTTGTAAATATTTTCTCCCATTCTGTGAGTTGTCATTTACTTTCTTGATGGTGTCCTTTGAAGCACAAAAGTTTTTAATTTTGATAAAATCCAATTTATATATTTTTTTCTTTGTTGCTTATGCTTTTTGTATCATGTCTAAGGAGGCTTGTGGAACCACATCTTTTAATTGCCATGTTTTTGGTGCCAAGCACAGAGTCTAGCATATAGCAGACACACAAAATCAACAATTGAGAACTGAAATGACATATTTTTCTTTATCTGAACTTGGGAATTCATTGAGCACTGTATCAATTAGCTGTCATTTTACAACAGATGACCTCAATTGAGTGGCTTGAAACCAGAAACATTTTCTTTTGCTAATGATTCAGTGGGTTGGTTAGGCAGTTCTTCTGGTCTGTGCTGGCTGATGTGTCTCTATTCAGCTTGCAAGTTGGCAGGTGGTTGGATGATCTAGAATGGCCTCACACACCTGTCTGATGTTTGGCAGATGGTTGTTGGATGGGATGCCTTGGTTCTTCCCCATGTAGCTTTTAACCCTCCAGTTTAGGCTACCTCAGGCTTGTTTACTTGGTGGTCTTCAAGTTCCAAGCCCAAGCTCCAATACCCAAGCATTTTTCAAGCTTCTTCTGGTATCACATTTGCTCATGTCCTATTGACCAAAGCAATTCACATAGCCAAGCTCAAATTTAAGTGATGGAGAAGTAGACCCCAGCTCCTGTGACAAGGGAAGAATTTGTGGCCGTTTTCTATGATCTACCACAAGCACCTTCTGTGCTCCTAGCACTGTTAGGCTTTTATGGGGGAAGTAAAAGGAGACTCTCTCCTTTCAGTTTACAATGCTACTGTGGGTATCCATTCATTCAAAAAATATTTAATATTGTCTTAGTCCATTTTTTGCTTCTATAGTAAAATACCATAGACTGGGTGATTTATAATAAACAGAAATTTATTTCTCACAGTCTTGAGTCTGGGAAGGCCAAGGTTGAGGATCCGGCATCTGGTGAGGGACTTTTTGCTGCATCATCCCATAGCAGAAGACAAGAGGGCAAAAGAGAGGAAAGGGAGCCAAACTTGTCCTTTTATGAGGAACTCACTCCTCAAATAACAAACCTACTCCCCAGATAATAGCATTAATCCATTCATGAGGATGGAGCTGTCATGGCCTAATCACCTCTTAGTCTCACTTCTTAATACTGTTACAATAGCAAGTAAAGTTCAACATGAGTTTGAGAGGAGACAAACATTCAAACCGATTCAAGGCACAATGCATCCTGAGGCAAATTTCCCTTCAGCTCTGAGCCTATGAAATCAAAACAAGTTATCTACTTCCAAAGTACTATGGTGATACAGGCATAGGATAGACATTCTCATTCCAAAAGAGAGAAATAGGCAAGAAGAAAGGGGTAACAGGCCAAAAGTTCAAAAGCCAACAGGATGAACAACATTAAATCATTTCTTTAAGAGTCAGTCTTCGGTGGCTCACTCCTGTAATCCCAGCACTTTGGGAGGCCGAGACAGGCGGATCACCTGAGGTCAAGAGTTTGAGACCAGCTTGGCCAACGTGGTGAAACCCCATCTCTACTAAAAATACAAAAATTAGCCAGGCGTGGTGGCGGGCACCTGTAATCCCAGCTACTCGGGAGGCTGAGGCAGGAGAATCGCTTGAACCCAGGAGGTGGAGGTTGCAGTGAGCCGAGATCACGCCATTGCACTCTAGCCTGGCGACAAGAGTGAAACTCCGTCTCAAAAAAAAAAAAAGTCAGTCTTGCTCTGTCACCTAGGCTGAAGGGCAGTGGTGCAATCATAGCTCACTGCAGCTTGACCTCTTAGGCTCAAGCAATCCTCCCACCTTAGCCTCTCAAGTAGCTAGGACTACCAGGCATGTACCACCTCGCCTGGCTAATCTTTTTATTTTGTATAGGTGGAGTCTTGCTATGTTGCCCAGGCTGGTCTGGAACTCCTGGCCTCAAGCAATCCTCCCGCCTCAATCTCTCCCAAAATGTTGGGATTACAGGCATGAGCCACTGCACCTGGCCCATTAAATCTTAAGACTCCAGAATAATCTTTGACTCCATCTGCTGCCTTCTAGACACACTGGGATTGGGGTTGGGCCACCAAGGCCTCAGGCAGCTTTGCCCGTATGGCTTTGCTGGGCTCCTCCCAAGCAGCAGCTCTCATGGGTTGGAGTCTCATGCCTGCCGTTCTTTCTGGATGGTTGGTGTTGCATGTTGGTGGCTCCACAGTTCCGGGATCTCAGGGGTTTCACTAGGTCTAGTCAGAACTCTGGGGTGGCTCTGACCCTGCAGCTCCACTAGGCATTGTCCTAGAGGGGGTTCCCTGCCATGGCTCTGCCCCTATGACAAGTCTCTGGCTGGGCCCCCAGGCTGTCTGATACATCCTTTGAAATATAGATGGAGGCAGCCATGCCTCCATGGTTCTCAAACTCTGCGCACCTCAGAATTAGCACCATGTGAATGCCACTAAGGCTTATTGCTTGCTCCTTCTGGAGTGGCAGCATGAGCTGAACCTGGGGCCACTTGAGCCACAGCTGGGATGGCTAAGTAGCACTACACTGGAATGCAGGGACCACTCTGCCCTCTTAGAGCCCTGGGCCTGTGTTGGGAGGGGCCGCCCCAAAAATCTCCAAAATGGATTCAGGTTTTCACCTATGTCTTGATGAATAGCACCTAGCTTCCTTGGATCCATGCTAATCCCTTCATCAGAGGGTTTCTTGGCTGTACTCTTGCACACTCTTTGTTCTTTATATGTCCAGGCTGCTAATCTTCCCAATCTTTATGTTCTGCTTTCCTTTTAATTATAAATTCCATCTTTAAATTATTTCCCTCTTCTCTCATTGTACTAAATGCAGTTAAAAGAAGACGTGCAGTTCCTTCAATATTTTGCTTAGAAATTTCTTCTGCCAGAGACCTTAGCTCATTCTTCTTAAATTCTGCCTTCCATAAGGCCCTTAGGTGTTGACACAATTTTTCCAAGTTATTTGGCACTTTATAACAAGGATGACCTTTACTCTAGTTTCCAATATCTTGTTCCTTCTTACCATCTGAGACCTCATCAGAATGGCCTTACATCCATATTTCCACTAACATTTTAATCACAACCATTTAAGTAATCTCTTAAGAAATTTCATATTTGGAGCATAATTCTGAAGCTTTAAAAAAACCAAGAAAAGAAAGAAAAGAAATTTCAGACTTTCCCTACAGCTCTTGTCTTCTTCTAAGCCCTCATTAGAATTGCCCTTAACATTCCATTCATAGCAATACAGGCATTTTCTAGCCTGCTCCTCCAAATTCTTTTTATTTATCTATTTATTTAAATTTATTAGTGGGGTCTTACTATGCTACCTAGGCAGGAGTGCAGTGGCTATTCACAGGTGCGATTATTGTGCATCGTAGCCTTGAACCCCTGTGCTCAAGCGATCCTCCCCGCTCAACCTCCCAAGTAGCAGGGGCCACAGATGCGTGCCACCACACCAGGCTCCTCCAGATTCTTTCAACCTCTACCCATTACCTAGTTTCAAAGCTGCTTTCACAATTTCAGGTACTTGTTATAGCAACACCTCACTTCTCTGGTACCAATATTCTGTCTTAATCTGTTTTGTGCTGCTATAACAGAATACCATAGACTGGGTAATTTATAATGAAAAGAAATGTATTTCTCACAGTTCTGGAGGCTGGAAAGTCCAAGATCAAGGAAATAGCATGTTGCAATGGCCTTCTTGCTGTGTCATCCCACGGCAGAAGGTGAGAGGGAGAGAAAAGGGGGTTGAACTTATCCTTTTATGAGGAACCCACTCCCACAATAACAAACCCACTTTCAAGATAATGGCATTAATCCACTAATGAGAGCAGAGCCCTCATGGCCTAATCACCTCTTGAAGGCCCCACTTTTTAACACTGTCATAATGGTAATTAAATTTTAACATGAGTTTGGGAGGGGACAGACATTCAAACTGTAGCAAATATCTATTATATGTCAAGCATAGTTCTGGGCCCTGGATATATCTCAGTAAGCAGAAAAAACTAAGATCCTAACTCTTGTGTTATTTACATTCTAGTAAAAATTACAATAGGAAAAATTACAAATAAACTCCCAACAAATTGTTCTGGTGGTGGTGAAATTTTTTTATTGCACCTATCTATAATCAAGATGGAATCCAGGACTTGTCTCTGGAAGAAGAAGGGAAGTACAAATGCCTCTAAGAACACATAGCGAAAAGGGAGAGAAGATTGCAAGAGATACTAAGAAAGAAAAACAGACTTCTATAGAAAATGGAGCTTTGTTTTTACAGTATTTTTAAAGTGAGTTTGTATCGGTCAGGGTTCAAGCAGAGAAATATAACCAATAGGAAATATAAAGAGATTTGTTGCAAGGAGTGGTCTTCTACAGTTGTGGAGGATGGTGAGGCAAGTTTGAAATTCATGGGGCAGGCTGTCAGAAAGGGCAGGGAGGAATTCTCTAGCAAGAGCTGAAGCTGCAGTCTGCAGGCAGAAGTTCTTCTAGGAAACCTCAGCTCTGCTTTTAAGACCTTTCACCTGATTGAGTCAGGCCTTCCCAGATTACCCAAATAATCTCCATTAACTAAAAGTCAACTGATTATGGACTTTAATCACATCTACAAAATACCATTATAGAAGCACTGGGATTAGTGTTTAGTTGAATAACTGGGGACTGTAGCCCATGTTGACACCTCAAACTGACCATCACAGGGTTAGGCTGATAACTCTGTGAATATACTAAAAACCACTGTACATTGCTTCTCGGCCTTTTGGCTAAGATCAAGTGTAAAAACCACTGTACACTTTAAATAGGTAAGTTATGTGATGTGTGAAGTATATCTTAATAAAGCTGTTAAAAAGTGGGTTAATTTCATACTTTGGGAGGTCTAATTTTTAAAAATTAATTGGACTTCTTTTAAAAAAAAGTGTGTTATTATGAATGTGTTGACTCAGCCTGGGAAGTCAGAACAGAAACTGCAATACATGCAAAATGTGGGCTAACTCACCCTAAGCGTGGCACAGTTTTGTCCTCTCAGCTAGAAGTTAGAGTGATTCCCCATGGCTTCCTTCCTTACTGCCTCTGTGCAATAGACCAATTAAGGTTTTCACTCCCCAGCCAGTCACCAGGAGAAGACAGATGCTGAGAGAGTCAAAGAGCAGTGTCTGTGCTAAGAGTCCAGGAGGCTCCTCAAGCCCATGGGCTGGTCTTGGGATGTAGAACCTGGTGCCACCTAATAAAAACCATGTCAACTCCAATTAGCTCTCTGTCTTCTCTGCACTCAAGTAGCTTTGGCCTGTGGGCAGCTTCTACAGCTCAGCTGTAGAGACAAATAAGTAGGTGGTGAGGTTTCTTTGTTTTTGTTTTCTTAAGCGTGGTGAGGGTTAGATGTGTTCCAGGCATTTAGAGCAGAGTGAGATCATTCTAGGCTGAAAAGGCTTGGAGAAGGCCCTTGGGGAAGGAAGCACGAACAAAACGTGGATGACAGGAGGCAGGAGGGCACACATTAGGACCAGGAACAAGGGGCTAGGGGAGGTAAGAGGCTGGGCTGACTGCAGCAGAGTGCCTTGGAGAGATTGGGCAGGTACAGGGAGGTGGGTGCAGGGCAGAGAGGCTCTTGAAGGATAAGTGGAGAAATGGGGACTGAATGCAAGCAAACTAGTGGCCTTCAAAGTAGGGGGTGCATAACTCAAGGAGGGGGTCAAGGTGTCTCACTGGAGCAGGGTAAGAAAAGATAATAGCTTCTGTTGTATTTCTTTTTGATCCAAAGAATAACAAAATAATCTCAACTAGCAGGTAGTATATGGAATGATGCTGCCACCCTCCTCCATCTGTATTTAGGTCACATAATCACAAGACAAGGTAGGTTATAGTCTCTCTGTTTAACAGGTTAGGAAACTGAGTCATAGAAAGGCTAGGTGAGTAGCTGTGTTAATTCATCAGGTCCTCTGGGAAGCAGAGGCCAAGACAGGATTAGATATGTGAGAGATGTTGGTGGGAGAAATGTCTGTGAAGCTCAAGGAGAAAGAGCAGGGGAATGAAGAAGGGGGATTTTCAGATGGTGATGCCATCTGATGTCAGATGCCAGTCTGACCCCTGTGGAGGAGAGAAGGAAGGAAGCAGAACTGAAGGAAGTGTCTGGGGTCGCAGCCAGCCCTAGGAAAGTCTCAGCCAGGTCTTGAGCCAAAGTGGCCTGTTGGAAGAATCCCACATCTCCCAGAAATAGCCTGTGCAAGTGACTGTGCTTAGTCATTGGCCGGGGAGCATGGCCTGGGTTCAAATGCAATGATCTGGATGGTCAGGGTCTGGAGAGGCAAGAGCTGGGCCATCAACTATGCTTCCAAAGCAGGGGGTCTGAGTGGCCCACTTTCATGGCCACTGCGATAGCCTAAAACCACATGGCCAGTAAATAAATAATAAATAATGGGACTAGGATTTGAGCTGAGACCTGTCTGACTGAAAATCCCACTTTTTTTTGCCATGACATCCTATACCTATGGTCTTGGGAAGACAAACTTTACAAACTTCCCAGTCATGCTAAAGGCTTTCCTGATGCCATAAAGTGCAGTGTTGATAAGAAGTGCCACTGGGAACATGTTTGGAACTTTCTCAGATCATTTCAAAAAGCCATGCAGACTCCTGCAGCACAGATTTCTAACACCAAAATCTAGCTGGGTAGCGTGCATTTTATTTATGTTCTGTGGGAAAGTTCAAGGTGCCCTGAAAGAGAAAGCAGGAGAGACCCGATGGAGATGGGGGAATAGGGAGTGTCAAAACGTCTAAGCAATGGATGCTCCAGGGAGGAATGGGGTTGGTGTTAATAGACCAGGGTCTAGCTCAAGGATTGTGTTGTTGGCTCCTCTGTGCATGAGAACTGCTGGAGGCCAAACCCCTGCACTTGACTTCTTTTCCACGGGCCCTGTTTGTATCTTCCAGTGGGCTCAGCACATCATTTTTAGGAGAGGGTGTTACTTGACTGCGATGTTTATGGTGTTTGAATTCTTAATTCCTTGCAGTTGATTTGGAAACATATAAATAAAATAAACACACCACATGGTTCTAAGCTTATTTTTTTTTTCCTGGGAATAAACTAGATTGATCGGCCGGCTGTTTGAACTGTCGCATATAATGATTAAAACCCACATATTTTATGCTGGCAGTTGGTAAAATAGCAGGGAGTGCTCTTCGATTATATTGCTTAAAGGCTGTAAAGCTCCTCTCTCTCCTGGTTACAAAAATGTTTGCCTTTTGGTTGACTGATTTTGAGGCTCACTTGTTATACTACTTATTCAGGTTGGAAATCATTAAACAAAATGATAGCTCTTGGTTTAGGAGACTGACATCTAAAAACAAAATGCTTCTTGCTATTGGGTGCCCATCAGTTTCTCACTCCTATTAAAAATCGTTCTTTTCCCATATGGAAGCCCACAAGACCAAGCTTTTGTTAAACAGATTTAAAACACCAATCATCACCTCGTTAATCTTCACACTCTTCCCTGTTAAATGGAGACAAGTGTCATTACACCACACTGGGCCAACACCAGAAAGAGTGCAGTTCAGTGGGCAATTATAGGTCTTACAGGAACAAACAGGCACTCAATTCCCACTAAAGTATCAAGGTTGAATCACAGAATGATAAAGTATTAAAGCTGGAATTTTCTGTAAAGATGGAGAGGCAGGGTTTAAGAGCAAGTGCCCTGGAATTACCTAGTGCTCCTCTCAAATGGAAGCTCTGATTTTTACCTGCTTCGGCAAGTTTCTGAACTCCATTAGGCTCAGTTTCCTCATCAATAAAATAAAACTAATGAAAGTATCTGCTTCATACTGTGGTTGTGAGATCATGCACATGAAGCACTTATCACTCAGAAAAGTGTAGTTTAACATTATTAGGGTCAAGCTCAAATCCTCAGAGATTTTAGAGGTGAGGCTACTGAAGCCAGAAAGGTTGTGCCCAAAGTCCCAGAGTTGTGCAAGGTCATTTAAATTTAACCCTGCTGGACAGACTGGAGCAGACTCACTGCCTCCCCATCCCACCCCTTTATACAGGGAAGACCTCGCACAAGTCATCTCTTGTTTTTTGTTTTTTTTTTTTTTTTGAGATGGAGTTTCGCTCTTGTTGTCCAGGCTGGAGTGCAATGGCGTGATCTCGGCTAACCGCAACCTCTGCCTCCCGGGTTAAAGCGATTCTCCTGCCTCAGCCTCCCGAGTAGCTGGGATTATAGGCATGTGCCACAACACCCGGCTAATTTTGTATTTTTAGTAGAGACAGGGTTTCTCCATGCTGGTCAGGCTGGTCTTGAACTCCCTACCTCAGGTGATCTGCCTGCCTTGGCCTCCCAAAGTGCTGGGATTACAGGCATGAGCCACCACGCCCGGCCAGGTCATCTCATCTTTTTATGTCTCTGTTTCTCTTCTTCAAAATGCAGAGTGCTCATCTAGGGTCCATGGATGATGCTCTGAAGCTGACTGTACTGAAGCTTGACTGAAGAGGGTCAGTGGCTTTCATTATGGGCTCTGAGACCCAAAGAAAGTGCCATAATGGCAAAAACCGCAGTGACTTTTGCACTAACCTAATAAAAACCACGAAGAAAGATGCTCAGATCTCTCTGTAAAATTCTGTGACTCTAAGGGTGGATAATGGCCCAGCTGGGCCATCTTAACTGACTGAACACACCTGCTTCCTAAGCAACAACTCATTTTTGGTGTTCGACCTTGTCAAAGCAGTATCACATAATACTTCATAACAAAACCCAAGGCGGGCATTTGGGCACCACTTTATAGAACTTGAGATACAGAGAAAAGAAGTAACACAAAGGAATAGTGAGGCTTTAAGGAATAAAAAAAAAATTAGTTTTCTGGCCGGGTGCGGTGACTCACACCTGTAATCTCAGCACTTTGGCAGGCCAAGGCGGGCAGATCTCTTCAGGTCAGGAGTTTGAGACCATCCTGGCCAATATGGTGAAACCCAATCTCTACTAAAAATACAAAATCAGCCGAGCGTGGTGGCGGGCTCCTGTAATCCCAGCTACTCGGGAGGCTGAGGCAGGAGAATCGCTTGAACCTGGGAGGCAGATGTTGCAGTGAGCCAAGATCGCACCATTGCACTCCAGCCTGGGCAACACAGTAAAACTTCATCTCAAAAAAAAAAAAAAAAAAAAAAATTAGTTTTCTATCATGATGTGAGGGAAAGGGAAAAAACAATTTCATTTTTTTTCTGGAAATGAGCAGAAAATGGATAATATTAATTATGTCAGTGAGGATCTTGAGAAAGCCAAGGATGAGTCAGAGTTAGGAGTGTGAGAGATTGATTTGGGGAGCGGGGAGAGTGAAAAATAAAAGGGAAAGAAGCCAGACTGGGCAGGAAAAATCTTCAGACCATGATGCAGCTCTGACATTTGCAAAATGAACGTGCATGCAAAGCATGGAAAGCATAATTGGGCACGGAAAGCTTTGGAGCACCATGTAGCTCTGGCAAAGTCTTGGCCAACCCATGAGAGGAGTTTTGTGTTGGGCAGAAATATCCATGCCCTAGTGGCCCCCACCAGCACCACGCACCACACCCAGTTGCTGGCTGAAGGGGCTAACAGCTAACTGCGCTCTTTACAGCTGAATGAGAAGTCCTTTCTTGGAGTGATATCTAGGCAGTGTACCTCAATGACCGCCACTCAAATATAATTCATTCTCTGTACTTTGGGGAAGCAAACGAAAGGCAGTCATCTCTGATCCCAGTGGAAATAAGGGCTGTTTGGTCAAATGTCAGCAGAAAATGTCATCACTTATTGGAGTAGTTTGTTGCCAGGTACCAGGGACTCACCCACAAAGGTCTACTATTTGACTGGCCAGCAAGTCCTTGATAAGGGATGTGTATGCATTTGTGAAACCTCCGCAAACACCACGGATGGATAACCAGACTACTCTTAACCCAAAGTCGATTTCCACGGACACACTATAGGGCACAGATATCTGATTTGGAAGTCTGAAGTTTGGAGTCCAATTCTTTTTCTCTTTCCAAGGTGGGAAGTGGTGTTAGATTTCATGTTTCCATAGTAAGATGAACAGATGAACGTGGTACTTATGTTTTAAATTATGTAAGTGATTGTTTCTGTGACTACATGAAGAAATAGAGAGAAAATGAACAGGCTGTGTAGCTGTGTCCTCTCTGGAAGGGATCCTCCTAATTTGCCTTTGGATCGGCTCAAGGTGATTTGTAATCCTTTGCTCTTTCCTTGGGCAGTTTGGGTTCCAGTCTTGAGTCTATTTCCCTCAGAGAGTAGCCCATCAGGGCAGCCTCTGTGTGGGGGTGGTCAAAACCAGCTCCAAACTCAAATCAGTTAGGGATGCCTGGCACTAACCTATAAGATGAATCTCATCAGCTTTCAGGCACAGTCCCTTCAGGGGGCTACTTGTCACCCCTCTCTGCCTACAAAACTTCCATGAGGGAGGTTTTAGGGTGGGGTTCAACTCTGGCTCCTGCCAGGGCGACTGATAGGAGCCAGAATGCCTGCCAGTTAGGATAATTTTGGCTGCAAGTAACAGAAAGCCCTGATTCAAATGGACTCAATTAGTAAGGACATTTCTTAGCTCATTATGTATCAAAAACTATTGTAAAGTTTCAAGTACAAATTTATTTTTTTAATGTTGATAAATGGTAAGCTGGGTGCAGTGGCTCACGCCTGTAATCCCAGGACTTTGGGAGGCCCAGGTGGGTGGATCACTTGAGGTCAGGAGGTTAAGACCAGCCTGGCCAACATGGTGAAAACCCATCTCTACTAAAAATACAAAAATCAGCTGGGCGCAACGGCGTATGCCTGTAGTCCCATCTACTCGGGAGGCTGAGGCAGGAGAATTGCTTGAACCCGGACGGAACACGGAGATTGCAGTGAGCCCAGATTGCTCCACTACACTCCAGCCTGGGCGACAGAGTGAGACTCCATCTCAAAAAAATAAATAAATAAATAAATAAAGTTGATAAATGGCACAGAGTGCCAGGGACTCAGAGCTGGGTAGTGTATCTAGAGCCATAAGTACTGAAGCATGGAAGTTCCTCTGGACCTGAACATGAAGTAGTTAGGAGCTTTGCCTATTTCTCTAACTGTGCTGTGTCTGGCTGTGTAGCTTCCAAGCCTGGCTCTCTGGCCCTCCCTGAGGCTCTGAAAGCTACCTAGTATTTTTAATAAACTCCTTAAACTAGTGAAAGTGGATTCTAATGTTGGCAACTAAGAACTCAGCTGGATTCAGAAGAGCATATGTTTAAGATTAACCCAAGCCAGGTGCGGTGGCTCATGCCTGTAATCCCAACTACTTAGGAATCGAGGTAGGAGGATCACTTGAAGTCAGGAGTTGCAGACCAGCCTGGCCAACATAGTGAGACCCCATCTCTAAAAAAAGTTTGAAAAAGTAGCCAGTCATGGGGGTGTGCACCTGTAGTTCCAGCTACTGAGGAGGCTGAGGTGGGAGGATTGCTTGAGCTCAGGAGTTTGAGGCTGCAGTGAGCGATGATTGTGCCACTGCACTCCAGCCTGAGTGACAGAGCAAGATCCTTTCTCAAAAAATAAAATAAAATTAACCCAGTAATGTTGCCACAATTCCCAAATGATTGGGAATCAGTATCTCAGAATTTTTTTCCAAAGTAAAAGTACCTCTTTCAAATTGTAGAAAATTAGAATGCTTTTGGTTCTTCTACATGGGCATTTACCTCCACTAATGTCAGCAATCACCAAGCTGAAGAATGTTCATAGGCAAGGAATCTGTTGAAACAGAAATTCCTACTTTGCAATGATATTTTGGATGTTTCTTCCACAGTCTAAGAGCCTCATTAGCAAATGCCTGGCACTGACCTATAAGAGGATCCTCAAAGTTGTACCCTTTCCTTTAACTAGTACCACCATCTCTTACTCTTGTAATTATGACACTGAAACACCATGTATGATCCACTTACTGTAATCAGAAATCTCCAGAAGCCCTGAGGCAGTGTTTTATATCCTGCACTGGCATGGTGAAAACTATTTATGGTTATCAGAAATCTCCCTAGAAGGGTAAGGGAATAGAAATGTCATTGAAAACAAAAATGTCACATGCATGAGTATAACAGACTTAACTAACAAAGTCAGCCCACTTCCCTCCATTATATAATGGACAATGGTAACTGTTATACAATTAATCCACTCTTTTTTTTTATCTGAAAGGGGAAAATAGATGGTGCCATGAATTTCAGGGTTACTGGAATTTGGAAAAAGCTTTCTCTCTAGTGAAGTTTCAACTTCCCTTCACAAGAACTGTCTAGAGACTCCTAATTCCAGTCATACATTAATATTTTATTCTTACATTAAGATAGCCTTTAAAGGCTGGGCGCGGTGGCTCAAACCTGTAATCCCAGCACTTTGGGAGGCCAAGGCGGGTGGATCACGAGGTCAGGAGATCGAGACCATCCTGGCCAACACAGTGAAACCCCGTCTCTACTAAAAATACAAAAATTAGGTGGGCATGGTGGCGCATGCCTGTGGTCCCAGCTACTCGGGAGGCTGAGGCAGGAGAATCGCTTGAACCTGAGAGGCAGAGGTTGCAGCGAGCCAAGATCGCACCACTGCACTCCAGCCTGGTGACAGAGCGAGACTCTGTCTCAAAAAAAAAAGATTGCCTTTAAAAAAAATCTGTACTCTAAAACTCCAATGATTCTACACAAAAAACCTATTAGAAATAATGAATTCAGCAAATTTGCAGGATACAAAATCAACTCACAAAAATTGGTTGTGTTTCTCATACTAACAATGAACAATCTGAAAGGGAAATTTAAAAAACAATTCTATTTACAATAACACCAAAACGATAAAATATTTGGGAATAAACGCAACCAAGGAAAGACTTATACACTGAAAACTACAAAACATTGATGAAAGAAATTAAAGAAGACACGAATAAATGGAAAGACATCCCATGTTCATGTATTGGAAAACTTAATATTGTTAAGATGCCAATACTACCCACGGTGATCTACAGATTCAATGCAATCCCTATCAAAATCAAAATCCCAATGGTAATTTTTTTTGCAGAAATAGAAAAAAAAACCCTAAAATTCATATGGAAGCTCAAGGAACTCTGAATAGCCAAAACAATTTTGAAAAAGAACAAATATGGATGACTCACGCTTCCTAATTTCAGAACATTACAAAGCTACAGTAATCAAAACAGTGTGGTACTAACATAAAGACAGACCTATAGACCAATAGAATAGAATAGAGAGCCCAGCAATAAATGCATGCATATATGGTCAAATGATCTTTGGCAAGAGTGCCAAACCCCTCAATTAGGAGAGGGCAGTCTCTTAACAAATAGGGTTGGAAAAACTGAATATCCACATACAGAAGAATGAAGTTGGACATTTATGTTACACCATACAAAAATTAACTAAAAATGGATTAAAGACCCAAATTTAACACCAAAAACGAAAATTCCTACAAGAAAACAGGGGGAAATCTCCATGACACTGAATTTGGCAAGGATTTCTTGGATATGACACTAAAAGCACAGGCAACAAAAGAAAAATAGGCAAATGGGACTACATCAAACATAACTTCTGCACATCAAGGGAAATAATAAAAGGAATGAAAAATCAATCCATGAAATGAGAGAAAGTACTTTCAAATCATATATCTAATAAGGGTTAATATCCAGAACACATACAGAACTACAACTCAACAACAAGAAAAAATCAAATAACCTGACTAAAAAGTGCACAAAAGACTCGAATAGACATTTCTCCAAAGATCATATACAAACGGCCAACAAGCTATATGAAAAGATGCTCAATGTCATGAATCATCAGAGAAATGCAAATCAAAACCACAATGAGATATCACCTCTTACCCATTAGAGTGGCCACTATTAAAAAACAAAAAGAGAAAATAAGTGTTGGTGAGAATACGGAGAAATAGGAGTCCTTGTGCGCTGTTGATAGGATTGCAAAATGGTGTGACCACTATGGCAAACAGTATGGCAGCTCCTCAAAAACCTAAAAATAGAACTACCATATGACCCACCAATCCCACTTCTAGGTATATACCCAGAAGAATAGAAAGCATGGTCTCAAAGAGATGTTTGCACATCTTTGTTCAAAGAAACACTTTTCACAATAGCCAAGAGGTGGAAACAGCCTAAATGTCCATCGATGGATGAATATAGTATCTGCATACAATGGATATTATTCTGCCTTAAAAAGGAAGGATATCCTGTCACACGGTACAACATAGATGAGCCTTGAAGATAGTGAAATAAGTCCATCACAAAAAGACAAATACTGTATGATTTTATTTACGTGGAGTAGCTACAAGTAGTCAAATTCACAGAAACAAAGTAGAATGATGGTTGCCAGGGACTGGGAGGAAATGGGAGAGGAGAATTGTCTAATTTGTATGGAGTTTCAGTTTTGCAAGATTAGAAAGTTCTAGAGATCTGTTTCACAACAATGTGAATATACTCAACACTGCTAAACTGTACACTTAAAAATTAAGACGGTATCTCATGCCAGTTAGAATGACACTTATTAAAAAGTCAAGAAACAACAGATTCTGGCAAGGCTGTGGAGAAATAGGAACACTTTTACACTGTTGGTGAGAATATAAATTAGTTCAACCATTGTGGAAGAGTGTGGCAATTCCTCAAAGACCTAGAACCAGAAATACCATCTGACCCAGCAATTCCATTACTGGGTATATAGCCAAAGGAATATAAATCATTCTATTATAAAGATACGTGCACATGTATGTTCATTGCAGCACTATTCACAATAGCAAAGACATGGACTCAAACTAAATGCCCATCAATGATAGACTGGACAAAGAAAATGTGGTACATATACACCATGGAATACTAAGCAGCCATAAAAAGGAACAAGATCATGTCCTTGTCAGGGACATGGATGGAGCTGGAAACCGTTATCCTCAGCAAACAAATGCAGGAACAGAAAACCAAACAGCGCATGTTCTCACTTATAAGTGGGAGCTGAATAATGAGAATACATGGACACAGGAAGGGGAACATCACACACTGGGGCCTATGGGGAGGGGGCAGGGGGAGGGAGAGCATCAGGTAAAATAGCTAATGTATGCTGGGCTTAATACCTAGGTGATGGGTTGATAGGTGGCAGCAAATCACCTTGGCATACGTTTATCTATGTAACAAACCTGCACATCGTGCACATGTATCCCAGAACTTAACATAAAATTAAAAAAAGAATTTAAAAAAAGTTAAGACGGCAAGTTTTGTGTTATGTGTTTCTTACCACAATAAGAAAAAAAAAAACAAAAAATCTCTGTACTTCAAAAAATATAACATGAAGGTACATGTCAAATCCAGAGACCTCTGCCATAAGCATGCACTCCATTAGCATTTGAGAGCATATCAACGTTTTCAATTGATTTCTTTTCTTGTCCCATATTACTGTGCAACTGGGATGTCAGACCTTGATTTCCAGTTCAAGTGAAGGCTGCTCCCCAGTATTGTCCAGAATGCAATGCTTAGGCCCTTACCTGCCCAGACTAGTAGAAATCCATTTATTCCCTCCCTCGATGTCCTCTTACGTGCTGAGAGCCCCTTGGGAATTTTAGCATCCTAGCCTGAAAATTCCCACTTCTCTTCGTGAGAATCAGAACTCATAGCACCCTCTTGACATTGGATAACACCACAGTCATCACCAGCTGGCTGCAGACCACCAGGCCAGGGGAACATTGCAGCTGATGGGACCACTTGTCCCCACCTATAGCTGCCAAAGAAGGGATGTAGCCGGGTGTGGTGGCTCATGCCTGTAATCCCAGCACTTTGGGAGGCCGAGGCAGGTGGATCACCTGAGGCCAGGAGTTTGAGACCAACCTGGCCAACATGGTGAAACCCCGTCTCTATTAAAAATACAAGAAATTAGCCAGGCTTGGTGGCAGATGCCTGTAATCCCAGCTACTTGGGAGGCTGAGGCACGAGAATCGTCTGAACCTGGGAGGCAGAGGTTGCAGTGAGCCAAGATGGCGTCACTGCACTCCAGCCTGGGTGACAGAGCAAGACTCCATCTCAAAAAAAAAAAAAGAAAGAGAAAGAAAAAAAAGAAGGGATGTAGACTAAGAAGCCATGTGATGTGAGAAATAACAAATCCAGCGGCTGGGATTCTTTGGACCCATCTACATGGCCACTTTACCAGGCTAAGCCTGTCCCCAGGAGGACTGCACTGGGACAAGTTCATGGGTGCCCTACACTCCAGACCTAGGATTACCAGTTCTGATTCAAATCTGCAGCCAGTCCACTGCTCCAATCTCCCCCGCCCCCATAGCAACTGCATTGCAGGGTCCTTGGTGCCATTTCCTAACCCCTGTGTTTGTTCTCTGTGGTCCAGGTCCACATCAACAGATTTCATCACTGGATCTCAGTGAGAAGGCTTGGTGCTGACAGTGCCTTTCCTTCCAGAAGGCCCTTGGCCTTCTGATACAAATTTTCCCATCCCCCTGCCAGCAACCTTCAAACTCTGTATATCATAAATTTGCTGAAGGAGGAATAGAAGAAGAAAAACTTACCAGGTACCAAATTACAACCCTTCTATATTTTTTAAATGGATGAGTGGGATGGAGGTAGGTTCAGTTAGAAATGTCAAGGTGGAAGGACTTGGAGAATATTCTTCACTACAGCTTTTTACCACCAGCCAGTGGATTCAACTCTGAAAAGCCCAATGACCTTCTTTTAATACTCCAATCTTTCTCACCCCTATGTTTCTCTTTGGATCTTTAATTCTGTCTTTGATGACTTCCTATAAGTGTTCATTGAGTTGAATTGTTTGTGAGGTAGAGAGACAAAGGTTATTTCGAACAGGCACATTCCCTTGGGTTCAGATCAACTGTCAATATATTTTAATAAGACACAATTACCCCTAAAGGCAGCGGAAGGTGGGTTTGTTCTGGGTTTGTCAATGAGGATTCACGTTAAGTTTTAAGGCCATCACACCCATAATTCCTTGCCTGGGCCTTGAGATGTAGCCATCTGCAGAAGAGGGGTGTGTATATGTGTGTGTGTGTGTGTGTGTGTGTGTGTGTGTGTGTGTGTGTTTTGGGCAGAATCACAAAACCAGCTATGGGCAGGAGAAATGATGCAAAGTCTGAGAACCAGGTTAGGAATAGAATAACCCTTGGATGGCCTCCAGGTGCAGAGGAACCAGTTCTGAGTTTTCCACAGGGCAGTTCAAGGTCATCTTTTTTTTCTTTTTCCTAAGTGCTGAGCTTACTTCTCTATGAAGGTCATCTCAACACTGGTTGATAACTTATACCTTCCTGGAAGACGGTGGGAATTTTCCCAAGAAAATAGCTTACAGTCTATTTTAGGTTTTAAAGTTACAATCTAGATTCTAAATTCCATCCAAGATAGGCTTATATTTGGTGATATTGTCTTCCAACCAAAAACATGTATCAGTTCCCTTCTGTGTGCTAGGCATCATGCTAATTGTGAACAACGTTTATTACCTTTATTATTTCAACCACACAACATCTTATGAAATACATGCAATTGGGCCGGACACAGGGGCTCACACCTGTAATCCCAGCACTTTGGGAGGCCGAGGCGGGTGGATCACGAGGTCAGGAGTTCGAGAGCAGCCTAGCCAACATGGTGAAACCCCGTCTCCACTAAAAATACAAAAATTAGCTGGGTGAGGAGGTGCACACCTGTAATCCCAGCTACTCAGGAGGCTGAGACAGGAGAATAGCTTGAACCCGGGAGGCGGAAGTTGCAGTGAGCCAAGATCGTGCCATTGCACTCCAGCCTGGGTGACAGGGCGAGACTCTATCTCAAAAAAAGAAAGAAAGAAAGAAAGAAAAAAAGAAATATGTGCAATTATCTCCACTTTGTCAGTGGGGGAACTGAATGTCAGAGCCTCCCCAAATTCACATGGCTTGTTAGTGAAAAGTAGGAATTTCAAACCTGCATCAGGCTGCCTGCTTAACCTGTATGTGCCCACTATACCACGACACTGCAGTACCTAGAAGTTCCAGCTTTTTCTCTTCATCCTTTGGGATGGAGGTGGTGTCAGCCATAATGGATGGAGAAAGATGGATGACAGGTGTGTGTCTAAGCATGGCAGAGAAAATGGGCAGAAAAAAATGGCCAGACAAGTGAATAGCTGAGCAATGATGGAGAAGTGAGGAACATATTCCCAGGTATGGTACAGCCTAAAAGAGCTGGGAAAAGTTTGCTCCAAATACTAGATCAGAGAAGCTGTGTCTCCCGTGGTACTATACATTAGAGTAGCAATTCTCTCCATTCTTTGCCTATATAGTCCAGAACTCGTTCGGAAGTTTAAACCACGAGTTCAGGGTCATAAGCTGATTCCTGTGTGATTCAGTCTGGTAAACATGTGGCATAGCAGATTGCATTGTTGTCCTCAATTCTTTGCCCTTCCCCACATCATACCCTCTGTCTTGTGGCTTTATAATTCCTCTCACTAGAAGCAAAGTGTACTTCCCCATCTCATTGATGATACTGGGCTTGGCCATGTGACATCCTTTGGCCAGTGGGATGTTAGCAGAGGCTTAAAATGTGCTTCGCAGTTGGGCTTGTTCACTTATGTCTGTGCCATTTTTGTGAGCAGAGCATGGCCTACATATCCTACTAGTGCAAAGAGGATGAGAGGCACTTAGAGTATACCTAGGCCCAGCCTGCTCCTTAGAACCAAGCCCAGTCAGGGCTAGCCTAGATAAGCCAATCCACAGATGCATGAGCAAGAATAAATGATTGTTGTTTTAACATAATGAATGTGTTTTGGGGTAGTTTATTATACATCATAATTGTGGCAGTAGCTGACTGATACATAAGGAATACAGGCATAAGCAGCAACTGACAATAAGTATCTAATGGTGTGTGTGTGTGTGTGTGTGTGTGTGTGTGTAGGCACCTTGAAGGGGGTTTCAGCACACATCTTTCACCATGATGAGATGCAACACTTCTTCCACAGCATCATCCTCACACAGCCAAAAGGACCATGCATCTACATGCATACCAATACCAAGGGAATTTCTTTCGCTTTTTTTTTTTTAACTAAACAGTAGGACAGCTGTTTCTACAAAGCCCATAATTCAAATGTTGTGACTGGGATGCTTCTAAAGTTTCCCTTTTCAGTGGGTAACACCTGATAAACCAATTCCCTCCTGGGTATTCATGTGTAACTAGAAGCCTCAATGATGTAGACACAGCTGTGGTAGTCATAGAAAGGATTGGCTATGGGGTTCAGACCAGCGGTATGCTATAACAGACTTGCACCAACTTGCAAGAGCTGATTGTTAAATCATCAGGAATTTTGCAAGCCAGTTGTTAAACACAGTCATTATTAAAAATTAAATTACATAAACATACACTAGACCTCACCCTGCAGCTCAACTCTGCCCTCAGTTCCCAGGGCCCATCCTGCAAGATGTCTATAGTAGCAGGTCACCTGACTGTGGCTGTGTCCCAGTTATGATTCCTGAACTTTTCCTTTACGCCCTGGCACTGCCTGGTCATAGCTCCTCCCCCAAACCCAAGCCCAGCTCCTGTTATACGGAGTCTTCTTTGGTCCTGTTGTCTTTCTGTTCAGGGAATCTCATTTGGGCTGTAACTCAGAGCTCCTTGTAGGCTTGACTCTTGCTTTACTCTTGAAAATCACTCTCCCAGATTCTAATATCTTTTGCCAAACCCTAGCCAAGTGACCAGCACTTTCAGCCTCTCAAAAGAGCTGTATGTTGACTGCCTGCCCTGACCCAAACACTAATCATAACTCCTAACCCTAATCCCTATCCTCTAGCCCTAGACCAAACTTGAAATCCTAATGCTAACCCTAATCTAAACTCCTAAAAATCACCCTAAATCCTAGCCCTAATGGTTGCTCAAACCCTTAACCCTAACCCAAACACCAAACTCCACCACAACACTAACCCCACATTCTATCACATAACTCCAATCCCTACTACCTAACCCTAACCCCCCAAACCCAACCCTAACATGTAACTCCAATGCCTAACCTTAATCCCCAACCCTAACCCTAACTCCTAACCCTAACCTCACCCCTAACCCCCAATCTCTTTCTCCAGGATCCTCTGCCCGCCTTCCCACTGCTACAACCACTTCTCCATGCTCCCTTACTGGGTCAGCTGCTTTTCTAGAGAAGGACTCTATTTCCCCAAGCCCTTTAGGCCAGTCTAGGCCAACCAGCTGGAAACTCTTTGGTCAACACTTGGAGGCTTCTCTGAGTGCCTGAACCATATTTGGGTCTAACTTTCCAATCCCAGCATCTCCCCGCCAGCCCAATCCTGCTCTCAAAAATCATTTCTCTCCCAGCCCAATCCCGAGACAGATGACAAGCATCAGTTACATGGGAAATTAATTTAGGCGAAAAAACTCTTCCTTCCGAATGTAAATTAGGCAGCTTGGACTCTGGAGCCAGCCTGCTCAGCCACTTAACTCCTTGCGTAACCTTGGGCAAGTTACCTTTCCTCCATATGTTCCTCTATAAAATGGGTGTAATAATAGCACCTCTCTCATAGGGTGGTTGTGAGGACTAAAATGAGTTGATATATAAAAGCACTTAGAACAGTACCTGGCACCATAGTAACCACTAAGGAAATGTTTGCTTTTGTAACATTATTATGACTATTACCCAAAAAAAGTGTACATTTTCCTTTTCAGACTCAACTTGCTTTTATGAAGAGGGCAAAAAAAAAAAAAAAACAACAACAAACTAAACATGCTTATTTTAGAAATACAACAAAGAACAGAAAAGTATTAAAAAGAAGGAAAAAAAATAACCCACATCCAGCCAGCTACTTAGATTTCAAGGACAAAAGATAATTTGACTTTGCGAACGTCTGCATATTAGTAGATTTTGAGTTGCTGCAGCCAGACCCAGCCAAGCAGAGCTGTACTTTTATTTTATTTTGCTCTTGGCACTCAACTATAATTCCAGGCATAACATGGGGTCTCTGTATGTTTGTCTTTCCCATTAGGTTGGAAGCTCCCAGAGGAGAGAAACAGTGTCGTTTTAATCCCTGCATTGCCAGTAATGCCCAGCACAGAGCCAGGCCAGGAAAGATGCTCTCTAAATGACTATGTGCCTTGTTCCCCACAGTTGTAACTAGTTTGGAATTCAGTTTCACAGCTCTTTGCTCAGAAATACAGGTTTCTAGCAGAACTATCCTTGAAATAAAATGTAAGAAAAGAATTTCCCAGTGGAATTTGTTGGGGTTTTGTATTACCTCTTCTCACAAATCTTTCAAAAGACTGCTTTCCTCCATTGGGTAATTTCAAACATTTTTACCACTGGGTAACATAGCTCATTAAAGCAGTAATTTTCCACTTGCAGGTACAAAAATGAAAAGAAGACTGGCCAAAACCATTCGCCAAAGAAACATGGCATCTGTTCAGAGCTTATTATTTTTACTAGCTGCCTGCCAAAGACCACAAACCAACGGAGGGCTCTTACTCAACACAGACAACTGTATTCTAATCGACATTGTTCCCTCTCTTAAGTAAGCTTACCAAGTGATAGCAAGTGCCACTCAAGCAGTAAAATGAGAAATGGAAACATGAGGCTTAATGTAGCATGAACATGGGGTTTTTTTAATTGCTTTTTTAAGAAAAATTTGGAGGGAGCAAAAGGATTGAACAGACATGTCAATTTCAGTGAGTAATCCCGCTTTCCATCCTAGCCCACTCTGCCCTCACCTTTCGCTTTGATCTTCTCTCCAGTTGGCCTGATATTCATGGCAGAAAAAGCTGGTCTAACCACACTTTCCTCTTTCCATAAAGGCATTTTATGATGTTTCCATGCAAACCCAATATTCTTACTGACAGTGAAGTAGGGGACAGAGGCAATAAAAAAAGTGGATGTGAAAGCTTACAATACAAAAGAAGAAAGGCTCTTCTCCCAAGTTATGAACAGCTTCTAAATCACATAGAGCATCAGCATCGGCAGAAAATAGATGTGTATGAAAGATATGCTTATGTGTTACATAAATCTATGTGTCTGCCTGCAAAAACTGATAATTAAGAAGCAGAAGAAAGTAATCAAGACTTGACTCTGTATCCCAAAACTCAGGAAAGTGCCAGGGTTGTTTTGTCATTGGTGTTTTTCCTCCCCAGTAATAGATTCTCTTCCCTCTTCCACAAGCATTTTGTAAGGCTATGTTTAGAATAGACGTCAGAGCTGGGAAACCAACCTGCAAAGCAAGACTTTCCCAAGGGTGTCATCTTGTGGTGCTTCTGTGTATTACAACATTTCTTCGACCTGATGCAGACCACAGCTGGAAACAAGAGGCAAATAACTGTGAATCAGTCCTTTGATTTACAAAGTTGAATCAGTCCTTCGATTTACAAAGTTGAACCTTTGCGACTTGGCATTAGATAGTGTGTGGTGGGTGTCAAACACACAGGTGCTGAGAGATGGTTTAAAATTTTTAAGTGCTGCCATAATGTGGAAGTCATACATCAGGAGACAGAATGTTTGGTCGGCCTGAACATTCAGCTAGTTTCATAAAATAGCACACTCAGCACCCCCCTTTTTTTGTATCAAGCCATAAAAATGTTTACAGGCCGGGCACAGTGGCTCACACTTGTAATCCCAGCATTTCGGGAGGCCGAGGTGGGCAGATCACCTGCAGTCAGGAATTCGAGACCAGCCTGACCAACATGGAGAAACCCCCGTCCCTACTAAAAATACAAAATTAGCCGGGCGTGGTGGCGCATGCCTGTAATCCCAGCTACTCGGGAGGCTGAGGCAGGAGAATTGCTTGAACCTGGGAGGCAGAGGTTGCGGTGAGCCGAGATCGCGCCATTGCACTCCTGCCTGGGCAACAAGAGTGAAACTCTGTCTCAAAAAAAAAAAAAAAAAAAAAAAGGTTTACAAAGGGTCACTGAGGAAAGATTCATGAAAATACAACTTCTATAGAAAGGACTTAGAATCGCTGCATTTTAGAGATAGAAGAATCCCTTTAGAGGTGGGCTTAAGCTGGGGACCATAGTCCTGCTTTAGGAAAAATGAACTCCTTGAAATTGAACATAAAGAGTAGTGTTGGCACATACCGGCATTTTAATACATAGAGAATCTATCATTTTTATCAGATTATCAAAAGAGTCCGTGGCCTAAAGAAGATTAAGAACTAATGCTTGGGGCCAGGCGTGGTGGCTCATGCCCATAATCCCAGCACTTTGGAAGGCCAAGGTGGGCAGATCACTTAAGGCCAGGAGTTCGAGACCAGCCTGGGCAACATGGTCAGGGGGGAAACCCCCTGACCATGGGGAAACCCCATCTCTACTAAAAATACAAAAATTAGCCGGGCATGGTGGTAGGCACCTGTAATCCCAGCTACTCGGGCAGCTGAGGCAGAATTACTTGAACCCGGGAGGCAGAGGTTGCAGTGAGCCAAGATCGTGCCACTGCACTCCAGCCTGGGCGACAGAGTGAGACTCTGTCTCAAAAAAAAAGAAAGAAAGAATGCTTGAGATCCTAGCCTCATATCCTCTACAAAAATTCTGTCTACAACAGCCTTGACAGATTCAGTTACTCTCAGGTTAAACTTTACTGTTGTAGAGACACCACTACCTTGAGGCAGTTGTTTAATGCTAATTGCTTCTAAGCATTCAGAAGTTTCATACTGCGTTGGACTGTCAATGGAATGTCAACCCACTGGGCTTAGTTCTACTCTCTACCCTACCACAGCCTGGTCCAGACCTTTTCCAAATGTCATCCCTTTGCATCTTTTGTGTTAGCTTGATGTCCTTCCTCCATGTCTCCCCCTTGCCAGACTATACCTACCTAGCACTTACAGCTTTCACTTGCCATGACTTTCAGAGACCTCATTTCCCAGGTACCCTGTCCCCTTTTTATAAGAGACAGTGATTCTTTGAAAACTTGACATACAAAACTGAATGCACTACCCCCAATGACAGCCCCTTCCACCTACAGATTGCCTTATTTGAACTTGTTCAAAACACTCACACTCTTTTCTATTTCTGCCTCTCTCTCTTCTTTAACCAAGAGTCTTTCACCATTTCCAGTTTAAAGAGCATTCTCTTTAATAAACAATAAGAAAAAGGGGGAAACAAACTAGGAATTGTACGGTTCTTTCTCGTGGTCTTTTGCTTGTATCACTTCACTCACCCCAAGCAGACCTATTTTCTCCTTATTTTATTTCTGGTCTAAATGTAGCACAAATGATTTTTGTATTGCTGACATTAGACTTTCTGAAAATCTGGGCCATTCTATCTTTTGATTTCCAATCTGATAAACTTTTGACATGATTTGTGTTGATTCTTTACTGATGTCTGGTTTCTGTTTCTATACATATCCCTTCAAAATCAAAGCTATTGAAGAGCTGAAGCCTCGACGGCTTCTTTAGATCCACCCCATTCCTCTCCTCTCCAGCTTCCTCTGTGGTTATATATTATGAACAATTCTTCAGCAATCATTTTCTCTTGCTCATCTCTGGTTTTTGGACTCTCCAGCCATGAGCTCATGACCATATTTTTTTGGTAAATTTTTTGACGTGTTCTTTCCCAAACTCTGTGGACATGCCTGGGGATCCCTTTCTTGGCTATGTCAAATTGTCCTTGTCATTTTCTCCTGTTTCCTGTCACCTCCACCATCACCTCATTGATGATCATTAGCACTGGTATATCAGTTCTCCTCATGGCTTCATCAGCACTGTGAGGTAATGACAGTTAAACAAAAGGGACAGTGACAAATGATCAAGGCTGGTGATGAAACTAGAAAGAAATGGATAGGAAGGACAGTTCAAGAAGGAACTCTACAAATGCTGACTGTCTTACAGTTCTCCTCTTGGGCTTGGCCTGGTGCAATGGTGGCAGGCATGGATTTTTGGAGATCAGATGTGGCTCCAATAGCTAGCAATGCAGTGAACAGAAAATGTGCAAGGCCAGGGTGGGTAGAAGCTAATTCCTGGGCCACCAGCAGCACACATCTTCAGAACCTCATGAACTAGAGGACCTGGACCTCTTACAATCCTTTGGCTGGGATTTTCCCAGAAATCTGGCCAGACTGAAGGCATCAGAACATGCAGCTAAGGGACAGAGGACCACTGCAGACAAGCAGATCCACCTAACATAAGCCCTGTAGGCAGCAGGCAATTTCGTGTGAGAAATCGTCCTTGTTTGTGAAATGAACAATTTCCACTCCCTCTGGCAGACGCTATAGGAGTCCTGCCAGTATCCGCTCAGCACTCACCAGCCTTGTACATGCTGATAGCTTTCTATTGCAAGCATCTGCAACTCTGCCTGGGGCTTTTTCCAGCTGCAGGGGGGTGCTCACCAAATACCCAGGGTATGCCAGAAGTTTCAGGAAGCGGCAATGGCAAAATGCCCCAGCTTCTCACCCCAAGTGGGACAACTCAAGCATGTGTTTGCATGGTCTCTCAGATGTGCCCAGCAGGATCAAACCCCAGTTGCCAACAGTGGTCTGCTGCTGACACCGGTAAGATATCCTTTTTTTTTTTCTTTTTTTTTTTTTTTTTTGAGATGGAGTCTCGTTCTGTCATCCAGGCTGGAGTGCAGTGGTGCGATCTCGGCTCACTGCAACCTCCGCCTCCCGGGGTTCAAGCAATTCTCCTGCCTCAGCCTTCTGAGTAGCTGGTACTACAGGCACACGCCACCATGGCCGGCTAAATTTTGTATTTTTTAGTAGAGACAGGGTTTCACCATGTTGGTCAGGCTGGTCTCAAACTCCTGACCTCGTGATCCACCCGCCTCGGCCTCCCAAAGTGCTGGGATTACAGGCGTGAGCCACCGCGCCCAGCCTGGTAACATATCCTGTACTGACTACCTGCCTTCTCTGCCCTGTCCCTCCAATTCTCACTTCCATACTGGTGCTTCCTGGGATCTCTTCCAAGTAAACTACTTGAACTCAGATCCTAGTCTCAGGCTTTCTAGGGGAATTAGCTGAAGACACTCCCTGATTGTAGTTCTTTAAATTACATCCCTTGCTCCCCTTTCCCTCAGGGCTCACACAATGGCCACTCCAGGGAAATTGTTTTTCTGCACCCTACTTGGGACAAGCCGTCTTGTTTTGTGCCTCCCCAGGAAGGTAGTCATGAAGCGGTTTCCACACTTTTCCATGTCTGTTCACCAGCGCACTGCTGATAACATTAAGCACTACTGGGAACCCTGCCTGTGAGCCAGCCTGACCACTCAACCTCAACACCTTCCTGCCAGTCCCCTAAGGCAGTGATTCTCAGGGCATGGTCCAAGGATCCCCACATCCAAATTACCCAGGGAGCATGTTGAAAATGAAGTTTCCTGAGTCCCACCCACTGAATTACAATTTCTGGAGATGAAGCCCAGGAATCTACATTTTAAACGACTTCCAGGGGATCTTACACAGCCTGAAGTTTGAGATCCACTGTTTGGAAGTTTGGGTGGTCACCAATTAGCAGCACCAATTTGCCCCAGTAAGTTCTTTGCCCAGCCTTGTTCAGCAAAACCCATAATATTCAGTGGACGATAGCAGCTGCTTCATTCAAATGGCGCCACCCTTTTCCTGTTTCTGAGTGGCCTTCCCTGAAATTCTGTATGTTTTTCCTGCCCGCGTGGACTTTTGACACTGCTTTGCTCATGGTGCCTGGAGGTTTAGGTTCCCTGGGGTGGAATTTAGCCAATGACCAGCAGGTGTGAGCATCTCAAAGTCCAGCTGCCTTGTTTGGATTTGTGGTACACTAAAGGGGTGTAACTTACCCCCAAGAGCTCCCCTGTGGGATCGGGCTGGGGCAGTGACTTCACTTAAGATCATCTATTTGTAATTAAAAAAAAAAAAAAACCTAATGCTAAATGACGAGTTAATGGGTGCAGCACACCAGCATGGCACATGTATACATATGTAACTAACCTGCACATTGTGCACATGTACCCTAAAACTTAAAGTATAATAATAATAATAAAAATTTTAAAAAAAAGATAATCTATTTGCTTAGCTCCCTCCCCTTCTCTGTCCTGTCCTCCATTCCCTCCCTGCCTCCCCTGGGAGCATGTCCTTAATAAATCACTTGCTTGTGAATCCTCATCTGAAGGTCTACTTCTGGGGACATTTACCTAAGAACCTATTTTCCTTACTTTTTCCTGACTTTTGCTACATAAGTGAACTTGAGAGTAGCTAATTACACCATAAATAACAGTTCTACTCAGTATCAAATTGATCACAAGGAGTTTAAGTTATATTTAAAGAAGGTGCCTGGATGGATGTAGGTTATGAAAGCTAATGCCCTTTTTCCTACTCTACCGTTTCCTCTCCCCCTTCAATGACAGCTAATATTTAATTAGCACTTATGTATTCCAGGCACTGTTCTAAGCACTCTCACATATGTCATTTAATGCTCATGGCAACCCTATAATATTGGCACATTTATCATTTCATTTTATCATGAGGAAACTGAGCATATAGATAGCAAGTGACTTGCCCAAGGTCACACAACCAGTAAGTGGCAGAGCCAGCAATCAATCCAGGCAGTCTGGTTCTGATGTCTGGGGCCAAGGTGGATTTCTCCCTTCTTGGAGATGCATTGTATTTATCTGTTTGGCATAACTTTGATATTATGGCATTTGACATAACTTTGACATTATGATGTTTGGCATAACTTTGAAATTATGGCATTTGGCATAACTGTGACATTATGGCGTATCTTGTTTACCACGCACTTCATGTGACCGTATCTTGTCTCACCCCAGACATAGTAAGCCCTTTGGGAGTGGATCCAACTTTTCATACCACTTGTAGCTTCTCCCTAGGACAGAATGTGCTCTGTATGTACCTGTATATTGATTGATCATATTCTTCACCAATTTCCTCCTGCCCTGTCCTTGGTCCTTTAATCACCTCCTTTGACTACAGGCCCAGACTTCCTCTTCTTCCTCCTCGTTCACCACCATCACAGACAATGACCAGCAGGTTGTCTAAATCTCAGATACTATACGATCAACTTGTGTGTACACAGGCCCAATATCATGCATATTAGTAAAATGTAAACCTATGTAAACCCTCTAGTCCTCTTCCCAAATTAAGATATATTTTGCATACTTTTCTGTGTTGTCCAATTTGGTAGCCACTAACCACATGTGGCTATTTAAGTTTATATTTATCAAAATTAAATTAAATTAAAAATTCAGTTCCTCAGTCCCACTAGCCACATTTCAAGTGCTCAATATTCACTGATTACCATAGGGGACAGCAGAGACACAGAACATGTCCATCACTGCAGAAAGTCCTCAGACAGTGTGACTTCGGAGGCTGGCATAGATGATTTTTCTCTTGAAGACTAAAAGTTATTTCTTTCTTTCCAGCTTCTATAGACTCCTATACACTACTACTAAAATCACATTCATGTCTGTCCTAATATACAAGAATGCTGGCCGGGCACAGTGGCTCACACCTGTAATCTCAGCACTTTGGGAGGCCGAGGTGGGCAGATCACCTGAAGCCAGGAGTTCAAGACCAGCCTGGCCAACATGGCAAAATCCTGTCTCTACTAAAAATACAAAAAATTAGCCAGGCGTGGTGACACACACCTGTAATCCCAGCTACTTGGGAGGCTGAGGCACAGGAATCGCTTGAACCCAGGAGGCAGAGGTTGCAGTGAGCCTAGATTGCGCCACTGCAATCCAGCCTGGGCAACAGAGTAAGAGTCTGTCTCAAAAATAAAATAAAGAATGCTAATATGCTGCCTAGGATGTGGGCTGGAGGACAGAGATGAAGGTAATCTCTTCCCCAACCTCACTGGGTTTCAGAGAATATTGGAAACTCCTGGAGTTTTGCTGGCTGCGTCCTTGCTTCTTCATTTAGGGAAACTTTCTGGATCATCAAGCACAACCCACCTCCCCTGAGCTCCCAGTCCTCAGAGGACATGGGAATGTGAAGGCTTTTAACACAAAACTACACAACACACGTTTTCCCTATCAATGTCAAAAACTCTGGTTAAAAACAAAATGGGACAACTCATTAATAAAAAATCAAATCACTTGATCAAAAAATGGGTAAATAACTTAAATAGACATTTATCTAAAGCTGAAATATAAATGGCCAAGCATAAGACGCTCAACATCATACATGATCAAAGACATGCAAATCAAAACCACGATGTGATATCGCCTCACACCCATTAGAGATGGCCATTATAAAAAAAATTTTAAAAAAAAACAGAAAATAGCAAGTGTGGGTGAGGATGTGGAGAAATTAAAACCCTTGTGCACTGTTGATGGGATTGTAAAAGAGTGCAATCACTATGAAACACAGTATGGAGTTTCCTCAAAAAGTTAAAAATAGAACTACTGTATGATCCAACAATCCCACTTCTGGGTGTACACCCAAAAGAATAAAAAGCAGGGTCTCAAAGATATGTTTGCACATCAGTGTTCACAGCAGCTTTATTCACCATAGTCAAGGGGTGGAAGCAATCCAAATGTCCATCAATGGATAAACAGCATGTGGTATATACACACAATGGAATCTTACTCTGCCTTTAAAAAGAAAGAAATCCTGTCACATGCTACAACATGGATGAACCTTGAGGACATTATGCTAAGTGAAATAAGCCAGTCACAAAAACACAAATACTTTGCCTGAAGGGGCAAAGAGAAGGAAGAGTTACCAAAATGGGTGGGAGCTATAGCTCTAGGAGAGGGCTGCCTGATGGAAGTTGTAGCTCTCACCAGAGGAAAAAAGCTGCTGACCAGCATAGCCTGGCAGGGAGTGGGCTGCAGGAATAAGTACGCCTGCCTCTCTCTTCCTATCTCAGATCTACTGGTGTCCTCCATTGTCTGGACCAAACCAGAAGCAGCTACTCTCCAGACTGGATCTGGAGGGACAAATGGGGAATATTCAGCCCAGGGACTCAAGCTATTTTCCATTTGGCATTGAAGGTATCTGGAGACTTTGAAGACATCTGGGTTACACATATACCCACCAGAGCCATTATCTGTGGCTTATCTCTGTCCTATCAAAAGGCAGCCCCCAAATCATTTCTTTTCTAACAAAGAGCAGCCTGAAAACTTGAGCTACAGACATAGATAAGCAAGCTGGAAGCTTGCACAGGTGAATACCGGCAGATGTGCCAATAGGAAAGGGCTACCTGGAAGCCAGCTATGTTCAACATGGAGGCTGCATCTTCCCTTTTCTTTATCACCACAAGTACAGTAAAAAACCAGGCAACATGGCACCAGCCAGGTAGAGAACCCATCTGCATAATAAAAGGTTAGGGAGGAGTGGCCAGCTTCTTCACACACTATGCAAATGGCACACCTGATCCAACCAACTTTTTGTGCCCTATGTAAATCAGACACCGCCTCCTCAAGCTCATCTATGGAACATTCTGCATCTCACTGAGGAAGTGGCAACCCATTTTCTCCTGGACCCCTCTCTGCACAGAGAGCTCTTCTCTTTCTTTTGCCTATTAAACCTCCATTCTTAACCTCACTCCTTGTGTGTCCATGTCATTGATTTCCTTGGCATAGGACAACGAACCTTGGGTATTACCCCAGAAGAATGACACCACTTCACTGGGATGAAAAGAGCTTTGACCTCGCCTCCCTCCATGTGAAAGAATATCTAGGAGATAAAGAGATCAACACAGAGAAAATCAGAGCTGAGTTGAGAGAGGGCGTGGCAGAGAGCACTTGATGTCTTAGAGTCTCTGAAACAAGTTCTATCTCTGGACTTGCCAGTTTCCTGAGCCAATAAATCCCCCTCTTTGCTTAAACTGGTTTGAATTGGATTTCTATTATTTGCACTAGAAATGGTGTAATACAAAAGCCCTAGCACGAAACATACATGCAGACACACTGACCTATCCTACCCTCTCCACTGCAGTCACCCTTACTGTCTTCTGTTCTCTATCCTTAAAAACTGCATTCATGAAAATCTATAATCTCATTAACCCCCACAGAATTGCTAACTCATTGTGTTGTTGTAGTATGGTATAGGACAGCAAGCAACTTTAACTTTTAAGGAAAAGGAATTTGGATCAGTATATTATTAAAGATTGTATTATCATTTGCAGTTTAATGTATTCTTTAATAGTATTTATAATAAGGCCAGGCACAGTGGCTCACACCTGTAATCCCAGCACTTTGGGAGGCCGAGGTGGGTGGCTCACTTGAGGTCAGGAGTTTAAGATCAGCCTGGCCAACATGGTGAAACCCGGTCTCTACTAAAAATACAAAAATTAGCCAAGTGTGGTGGCACACACCTGTAGTCCCAGCTACTCGGGAGGCTGAGGCACAAGAATTGCTGGAACCTGGGAGGCAGAGGTTGCAGTGAGCTGAGATCACACCACTACACTCCAGCCTGGGCAACAGAGTGAGACTGTCTCAAATAACAATAATGTTTAGGATATACAAGGACAAAGTTTGACCTTTCTCCATTTAACAAGTGATGCATGCTGTTTAATTTATTTTTAACTAAGTATACAAGAGACAAAGATGAGGATGAGATAGTTCCTGGGGCCACAGAAAAGTGAAAAATCTCTGAGAAGATGGTAAGAGAATGGGACTTCCATATCTGCAACACCTCTTCTCCCAGTCTGCCTGACACCAAGCTTGCAGAAAATTTTTCTAGACTCAGAGTTTCTACACTGGAAAAAGTGAAATTGAGGTGGACAACCACCTTCTCCACTATTTTTGGTTCCCTGGCAGGAGCTCTATCCCTGCCTCAACCCACAGGAAGCACTGGGAGTGCCTGAAGGGAAAAATATCCCTGAGGACAGCCAGAAAAAGGGAATCAGGACTATCACCCCTAGCCCTGGAAACTCTGCTCTGTAACTTGGCCAAAGGAGATGCCAAATCAGAGTAGCCGTTCAGCAGCACCGTGTTGTAGGACGTATAGTGGCATGAACCCCAAGCCAGCTCTTCCACACTGCCAGGTTATCTCCTTTGGGACCTCCCCTATTCCTAACTGGCAGCACTCCTATCCTTTGCTAGAGTGGAGGCAAACTTGAGCTTTAAGCACCATCTAATGCCAAAAATGAGGCAATGACCTAGTGGAAAGAAGAAGAAATTCAGCAGGTAAATTATGAAGAATCTCTAAGCAAACATAACCAATAAAATCCAAAACAGGCCAGAAAGAGAAGACTAGAATAAATAATTAATCCTTCAATGCAAAGACATAGACACACATCCACAAGAGACAATAGCAAATAGGGAAACATTATCCAAACAGACAAAGCAAGGAACCAATGGCTGATCCTAATAAGAAGGTGATACGTGAGTTATCTGACAAAGAATTCGAAATAGCAATTTTAGGGAAACTCAGTGATATCCAAGATAACACTGAAAAGCAATTCAGAAATTTATCACAGAAAATTAATGAAGAGATGATTGAAATAATTTAAAAAACCAAACAGAAATCTTGGAACTGAGAAATACATTTTCTGAACAGAAAAATTCATTAGAGGCCCCCAACAGCAGACTAGATCAAGCAGAGGAAAGAATCACTAATCTCAAAGACAGAATATTTGAAAATACAGTCAGAGGAAAAAAACAGAATTAAAAGGAATAAAGATCACCTGCAAAATATAGAAAATTACCTCAAAAGACCAAATCTAAGAATTACTGGTGATCAAAAGGGAGCTGAGCAAGAGCAAGGGGTAGGAAGCTCACTTAAGGAAATAAATAACAGAACATTTTCCAAAACTTGAGATAGATACAAATATCCAGTTACAGGAAGGTCATAGAATGCCAAACAGATTCAACTCAAATAAGACTGCCCCAGGGCACATAATAAAACTCCCAAAGGTCAAGGACAAATAGAGGATTCTAAAAGCAGCAAGAGAAAATAAACAAATAACATATAAAGGAGCTCCAATTCATCTGGCAGTAGACTTCTCAATGGAAATCATACAGCCTCAGAGGGGGCGGGATGATATTTCCAATGTGCTGGGGGAAAAAAGAAACCTACCATTCAAGAATACCGTAGTTTTCAAATATGAAGGAGAGATAAAGCCGGAAAAAAAGGAACACTATGTGCAGAAAGGAAAAAATTGAAGGTATAAAATTCACTGTTAAAACTAGGTACGCAGACAAACTCAGAATGCTCTAGTACTGTAATTGTAGTGTGCAATTCACTCATAACTGTAGTATAAAGCCTAAAAGATAAATCTATCAAAAACAATAGCTACAGTAAGCTGTTAAAAGATAGACAATATAAAAATATGTAATTGAGACAACAGAAAGTCAAAATGTAGGGGGGATGGAGTTGAAGTGGAGAGGCTTTTTTGTTTTCATTTTTTTCTGTGTTTCTATTATTTTCTTTGTGATCTAAGATAAGTTGTCATCTCTTTAAAATAACTTGTTATATCCATAAGATGTTTTTGTAAGCCTAATTGTAACCACAATGCAAAAACCTATAATAGACTCACTAAAAATAAAAAGCAATGAATTAAAACACACTACCAGAGAAAATTACTTAACCACAAAGGAAGACAGTAAGAAAGGAAAAAAGGAGTTACAAAACAACCAGAAAACAAGCAACAAAAATGGCAGTGGTAAGTCCTTACTTAATAATAACACTGAATGTAAATGGACTCAGTTCTCCTATTAAAAGACAGAGTGGCTGAAGGGATAAAGAAACAAGACAGAACTATATGCTGCCTATAAGAAACTCACTTTACCTATAAAGACACACATAGACTGAAAGTAAAGGGATGAAAAAAGATATTCTATGTAAGTGGAAACCAAAAAAGAGCAGGAGTAGCTACACTTACATCAAATAAAATAGACAAGTCAAAGACTGTAAAAAGAGAAAAATAAAATCACCACATAATGATAAAAGGGTCAATTCAGCAAGAGGCTATAACAATGATAAATATTTATGCACCCAGAACCACAAAAGACACAGAATAGCCAAAGCTATCCTAAGCAAAAAGAACAAAACCAGAGGAAACACATTACCTGACTTCAAATTATTCTACAGAGCTATAGTAACAAAAACATCAGGGTACTGGCACAAAAACAGACACATAGACCAATGGAACAGAATAGATAACCCAGAAACAAATTTATACATCTACACTGAACTCACTTTTTACGAAGGTGCCAAGAACATACATCAGTGAGAGGACACTCTCTTCAATAAATGGTGCCAGGAAAACTGGATATCCACATGCAGAAGAATGAAACTAGATCACTATCTCTTTCCATACACAAAAATAAAAATAAAAATGGATTAAAGACTGAAATCTAAGACCCCAAACTATGAAACTACTACAAGAAAACTTTGGTGAGACTCTCTAGGACATTTGACTGGGCAAACATTTGAGTTATACCCCATAAGCACAGGCAACCAAAGCAAAAATGGACAAACGGGATCACATGAAGTTAAAAAGCTTCTGCACAGCAAAAGAAACAATCGACAAAGTGAAGAGATAATCCATGAAATGGGAGAAAATACTTGCAAACTACCCATCTGACAAGGGATTAATAACCAGAATATATAAGGAGCTGAAATAACTCTATAGGAAAAAAAATCTAATAATCTGATTTAAAATGGGCAAAAGATCTGAATAGGCATTTCTCAAAAGAAGACATACAAATGGCTAACAAATGTATATAAAAAAGCTCAACATCACTAATTATCAGATAAATGCATATCAAAACCACAGTGAGATATCATTTCACCTCAGTAAGAATGATTTTTATTTAAAAAGGCGGGGGGGAATAACAGATGCTGGCAAAGACGTGGAGAAAGGGGAGCCCTCGTACAGTGTTAGTGGGAATGTAAATTAGTACAATCACTACAGAGAAGACTATGTAGGTTCCTCAAGAAACAAAAAATAGAGCTGCTATATGATCCAGCAATTCCACTACTGTGTATACACCCAAAAGAAAGGAAATCAATATATTGAAGAGATATTTGTACCTCCATGTTTATTGCAGCACTACTCACAATAGCCAAGATATGGGATAAACCGAAGTGCCCATCAACAGATGAATGGATAAAATGTGGTGTACATACACCATGGAATATTATTCAGCCATAAAAAAGAATGAAAACCTTACCACCCAGAGTGATTGTGAGTATAAAATCGTATGTGGTGAGAACATTCAAAAGTCTCTTCCAATAAATGTGTGAGGTTATAAAAATAAATAAATAAATAAAAGCACTGGACCCCCAAAAATCCCACGTGGACTTGGATATGCTTTGTTATCTGCAAAGCCCCATACAAACATAAAGGATTTGTTTCTCTCAGGAGAAATGCTAATGTCATTGGCAGCAACATAAATGGAACTGGAGGTCATTATGTTGAGAGAAATAAGCCAGACACAGAAAGACAAACATCACATGTTCTTACTCATATGTAGGAGCTAAAAAAGTGAATCTCATGAAGGCAGAGAGAAGTTTGGTGGTTGTCAGAATCTGGGAAGAGGGAGTGTATTAGTCCATTCTCACGCTGCTATGAAGAAACACCCGAGACTGGGTAATACATAAAGAAAAGAGGTTTAATTGACTCACAGTTCCGCATGGCTCAGGAGCCCTCAAGAAACTTACAATCATGGCTGAAGGCACCTCTTCACAGGGTGGCAGGAGAGAGAATGAGTGCCAGCAGGGGAAATGCCAGATGCTTATAAAACCATCAGATCTCCTGAGAACTCACTCACTATCACGAGAACAGCATGGGGGAACTGCCCTGATTCAATTACCTCCCACTGGGTCCCTCCTGCGACATGTGAGGACTGTGGTGATTACAATTCAAGATGAGATTTGGATGGGGACACAGCCAAACCGTATCAGAGGGCATGAAGAGAGATCAATTAATGGGTACAAACATACGCTTAGAAGAAACAAGACCTAGAGTTTGATAAATCAGTAGAGTGACTATAGTTAACAATAATCTATTGCACATTTCAAATAGCTAGACGAAAATAAATTCGTCCTAGAATAAACAGACGATAAATATTTGAGGTGATGGATATCCCAATTACTCTGATTTGATTTTTACACATTATATGAATATATCAAGTTATCACATGTACCCCAAAATATGTACATCTATTATTTATCAATAAAAATAAAAACAATTCAAAAAAAGTCATAGCGAATACTTTTTTAAAGTATACAAGCAAGAACATGGTTTATCTACAAATTCAAAATGACATATTAATATCATGTTTGGGGATCAAATGTGTATTAATAAGTAGATTGAAATTTAACTGTGTGTTGAATCCATCCAGACTGCTTCCATGGCCTGTTATTTGGAATTCTTGACTTTTGCACTTTAAAAAATACATTCCTTTATTATTATAATTTTTGTATTTTGTTTCTAAAAGAGGAGACACAAGCACTTTTTGGCAGCTATTTGCAAGCACTTCTTCAGAAGTAATATGCTGTGGAAATGGATAATTTTATTCTCAATAAAGGAAAAGCCAAGTTGGATAAAAACTTTTTATCCATATAAAATCTTTTAATCCATATCCACTATCCATATAGTGCATATTCCTTTTTATCCTTTTAACTTTTATTTTGAAGAACTAGAGATATATTGATGTAGTAAGAAATGATAATATGAATGTTCCTTACAGGTGTAAGGTCAAAATTCAGAATTATAATTTTTATGTCCCTCATCAGCTCATTCTATTTTTTTTTTACCATCTTAACCATTTTAAGTGTACAGTTCAGTAGCTCATTCTACTTTAAAATCAGTATTTTTGATGCCTCCTTTCTGAACCCAATAATCCACTGCGAGAATAAGTTAGACAATTGAATAAAAATAATTGAAAGCTGTAGAATGGTCAAAACCCCCATAGCAGATGAGGCCATCACCTGAGTGACAAAAGAACCAAGCAGATGATGCTGGAACAGGCCTGCTACTAACAGGCATAGGATCTTGACTGCCCCAAACAGCCAGTCAACACTTGGAGGCTTTTACAGTTGAAATGAAAACAGATTCCACTATTATTTTTTAAAAATCATAAACCTCAGAACACTTTCACAAACCCTGGAATATTCTTAGAACCAAAACTGAAGTTAGAAATCTTAGATTCATATCCTGGTTCCACCTCTCCCTAGCTCTGTGACTTGAGCAAGTTATTTTCTTTTTCTTTTTCCAATGCTCAGTTTGTGAATATACAAGTGAGGATTTAAAATATCTACCCAGTGAGCCTGGCCAGTCTACAATCTGGGCACACCACAGTCAGAAGCAAAGACAGGGAGAATGTCAACTTGAACTTGGCTTAAGTTGTTCTCACTTCAGTTTATT
Source organism: Homo sapiens (assembly GCF_000001405.40). NCBI lineage: Eukaryota > Metazoa > Chordata > Mammalia > Primates > Hominidae > Homo > Homo sapiens. The sequence goes on along the minus strand of NC_000023.11, from coordinate 24,380,954 downwards.
ATCAAACTAGCAGATGGATAAAAGCTGTGCAAAGAATAAAAGTGATAACAACCCAAATAAGTGAACAGACGTAGCTCGTCAAAGCAGCTCTAACAGTGTGAGGAGTCTGCCAGGTCAGAGAAACAAAAAAAAGCCTAAACTCATTATATCATTAGACTGGGGCAGGGCCATGTCACAATAGCAGTGGTTTTCAAAGTATGGTCCCCAGACCGACGTTTTTGACCTGGGTATTTGTGATAAATACAAATTATTGAGCCCCAGCCCAGACCTACTGCATCAGGAACTTTGGGGCTGAGTCCCAACAATTTGTGTTTTAACAAGCCCTCGGGGGCATTCTGATTGGAAGCTCAAGTGTGAGAACCTGCCTTATGGCATGAGGCAATTCTTTTGGAACTGGTTTCATGTTCTTGTTATTTTTCTCATGGGCCTGCTTACCACCCAGGATGATTGTGAGGATAAAATCCTATGTGGTAAGAACATTCAAAAGCCTCTTCTGATAAATGCATGAGGTTATATAAATAAATAATAGCACTGGCCAAAAAAAAAAAAAAATCTCAAGTGGAATTGGAAATGCTTCATTATCTGCAAAGCCCTATACAAACAGAAAGGGTTTGCTTCTCGCAGGAGAAATGCTAATAGCTATGAATTTAACGATCGGTTCTGCACGGCACTGGCCAATTCAGCCCTATAATAGGTACAGGATTGGGCTATCCCAAAAGGCAATGGCCGGTAGGATCTTTTCCCTGCTGCCTTTGGGGATCACTTGCATTTTTATATGTGAAGGAGGAATAGATGGTGCATCAAGAGCCTACTAGCTTGAACTATCTGCCTGGGATCCAGTCTCCAGGAACATCTCCCAGGTTTGCTGTAAACAGCAGTGTCCAACAGAACTTTCTGTGATGATGAAAATGTTCTACAGCCCGCATTAGGCTACACTGTCCATTGTGCTAGCCACTAGCCACATGTAGCATTTAACAATATGACTAGTGCAATAAAGGAACTGCATTTTAAATTTTATTTCATCTTAATTTGAATCTCCACATGTGGGATGTAGTTATACTAAAACATAATTATTCTTTGTTTACCTGAAATTCAAACGTAATTGGGCAACCTGCATTTTTATTTGGTAAATCTGGCAACCTCGGTTAAAGATTATCAGTGACATTGACATTAACTCCTCCCGTGGAAAGTTTGATCGAGAGATTTTCGCTCATGACCAGAGGAAGCAGATTTGATCTTACCTTGGTCAGAAAGGGCACAGTGTTCTTTTTGGAAGAAAATTTTTGAAGGAATAGTGGCTGAGAAAATCAATGTAACAGATGACTAGAAATACAAAATTGTACTATCATTCGTATACTCATGCTTATTTCTCTGCAACTGAATCCATTCTCCACATACAGGTTTCAAAGGGAAACAGAAGGCAGTCCAAAGAGCCTAATTCAGTCAGGGATAATTCTGGGCTTGGAGCATGGTCCTAGGTATTACGGAGGAGCAGAGAGGAATGGTATCTATGGGTCATGCAAAGAAAGGATTGTAAAGCAAACCTTCCCTTCTTAATTGCTTAATCTCTTAGTCACCTCAATGGCTTATTACCTTATGAAAGTAATCATGAGATTGAAAAAAATAAGACCAAGATTCTTGCCTTATGACTATGCTTATGCTTTTGCTTTGCTTCAAAGACAAACAAAAAAAAGTATGGCAACCAGAATATTGCTAGTTCTCAGACAATATTTTCTGGCTGGGTGTGGTGGCATACGCCTGTAATCCCAGCACTATGGGAGGCTGAGGCAGAAGGATCGCTTGAACCCAGGAGTTCAAGACCAGCCTGGGCAACGTGGTGAAACCTCATCTCTACCAAAAACAGAAAAATTAGCCGATCGTGGATGAGCACACCTGTAATCCCAGCTACTCCAGCTGAGGCTGAGGTGGGAGGATCGCTTGAGCCCAGGAGGCTGAGGCTCCAGTGAGCCGAGACCATGCCACTGTACTCTAACCTGGCAACAAAGTGAGGCTCTGTCTCAAAAACAATAATAATATTATTATTTTGCTGACAACGCTATAATTTCAAGACGTGATTAAATAGAGATGTCTTTATCCCTCTACACACTCTAGCCCTCACTTTTTGCCATAACTATCTCCTCTTTTAAGAGATATTGACAAGAAATCAGTTCTTAAGGCCTCTAAGCTCATCTTTGATATAATAAAGAAGGTATTATTTTGTAGTTACTTATTTGATAGCATTATTTTTAACTAGAGGAAAGGATTTTGAAACTGGCACTCCTTCCCCAGGAATAGCAAAGGAACTTGGTGTTTTTATTAACTAAACATCATTCCAAGAGTTGATTCTTAGAAAATTCAGGTCTTCCAGTTTCCAAGAATTTTTAGGTCAAAGAGTAATGGTTGTAGTTTTCCTCTTTCAAAAGAAGGTTTTGATGTAACAAACATAGCCAGCAGGTTTAAAAAATGAATCGTAATAGCATTGTGTCTAAACCATCACCTTTGATGTTTTCCTATTTTCTCTATGGCCTAAAATACTCACATGGATATAATTTTAGCTTTGGAGATCTGATGACTTGGGAACCAATGGGTCTCCAGCAAGAGATTATTAGCGCATGCAATTGCTCTCCTCTCTCTTCTCTCCCCTCTCATGGGGTCTTTCTCTCTTTTCTACCCATTTCCCTATGAAAAGGTATTGAGTCTGGAAGACAGCCAGCATTCTAGTATTTGAATGGTTTAAATGGGTTTAAGCCATTTAAATGGGTTTACATTTCAATAACTCAGGTTTAAATTTGGAATTACAGCATTCACCCTGGAGGGCCACCATGTGATTTGCATCCAGACAGGTTCTCAAAATGTGGATGGTCCCTGATCCAGCAGCAGCAGCAGCAACACCTGGAAACTTGGAAATGCTAATTCTCAGGGCCCACCCACCCAGACCTACTTGGTTGACTTCAGTTACAGTTACCTGAGTATTCTATCCAAAAAAAAAAAAAAAAAAAAACCTTTCATGCTTCTCTTTCTTCAGAGTAGAAGAGTAGATCATCCTTCTCACTGGCACATTCAGACTCTTCTCCATGGAGTAGAGCATCTTTCAACGAGTGTATGGTCCCAGGACCATCAGCATCAGCATCCCTGGGAACTTGTTAGAGATACAAATTCTCAGGCCCCACCCCAGACCTGCTGTATCAGACACTCAGACAGTGGGGTTCAGCAATCTGGGTTTTAACAAGCCCCCTTGCGATTCCAATGCATGGTTGGGTCTGAGGAACAATGAGATAAGAGCATTTCCTGCTATTGAGCCTATTCTATGACTTAGATTTATTCTGAGATACCAAACAGCTACCACAGCCCTATTAAAAAAGCTCTTTGAGTAGTTTACAAGCCCATGGGATTGGATTCTTTTGTCAGTCTGCCTTATCCTCAAAAAGGTATTAAAAACAGTAAACACCATTCACAATATTACTCTGTAGATATATATCTGTGTTTCTCAAGAGGATTCATTGGAGGAAGGGTGTCTGAATTAGCTGTGTGGGATCTGTGTGGGTGGGATGGCAAGTGGGGAGAGTCGTGGATTTGAAAATGCCTCCTTTCCTCCTTGATGTAGGGGTGTGTGTGTGTGTGTGTATGTGTTTAAGTTAGGTTGGTAGAACAGTCTGGCAAGATTCAAATCTACTGGGGTATGAAAGCCCATTTTTATAATCCACTCATCGTGGCCCTATCACTGAACTCTTGATCTTTTTTTTAAACCATATGAATGTGAGTTTCCTTATTTAAAAACAAGTAAGTACAATTTGGTGACTATTCACCACATCATGCTATGCTCTATGTATGATCCTTAACATGCATTATGTCTATCGGTCATCACAGCAACTTGGGGAGGTTGGAACTCTCAAACCCATTTTGCAGATGAGGACACAGAGGAGGCTTATACAGATGAAGCAGTTTGCCCAAGGTAAGTAGACAGCAAGCATCAAGAGTCAGGATCTGAAAGGCCACTGTTTCAACGATGGTATGCCACCTCATGTGAACTTTGCATTTTCTGATTTGATTAGGGAAGACAATGACCATGCACTAAATGTTGAAAAATGACACATTCAATGGATGGAAAAGATATTTTAGTCTGAATGTAATTGTTTTGGGATTGGGCCGTCCTTTTCAAACTTGACTGTGTATACAAATCACCTGGGAATCTTATTAAAATGCAGATCCTGCTGGACGTGGTGGCTCACTCCCGTAATCCCAGTGCTTTGGAAGGCCAAGGCAAGAGGATCGCTTGAGGCCAGGAGCTTGAGACCAGCCTGGGCAACATATAGAGACCCAGTCTCTACTAAATAAATAAATAAATAAATAAATAAATAAATAAATAAATAAAATAAAATGCAGATCCTGATTCAGCAGGTTTGCAGTAGAGCCTGAGATTCACATTTTTTTCATTAAAAAATAGTGCTCTTTATTATAAATTACTGAAATGTTTCTTTTCTGAATAGAAATATAAATATGTGCAAAGTTTGACTTGGATTAGGATTTTATTGAGTTCTTCAAGCATCTCCTAATAGCCTCGAGGGCGTGAGTAGGGGGGAGGAGAGAGGACTGGAGGTGGAATCTTTATAAAAGAGTGATTGAGACATTGTAAACATTATTAAAAAACAAGAAACGAACAAAAAAATAGAGAAAAAAACCACCCCAACACACAACTGCCCTGTCCAGCCCAATACCTGACACAGAAAACTTTGTGTTTGTTTAGTTGCACCCCCCCCACTCCCCACCACACACACACACACACACACACACACACACACACACACACACACAAATCTGTTCCAGGTAATTCCATCGCTGCTACATTCCTGTAAGTTGTCACTGATCAGTGCTATGACAGAGCGGGAGCACCTGGGGTGGCAGCAGTCAGCATCTCCGATGACCTCCAGCTTCCCTCACCCAGGCAGGAGGGAGGGCTGTGCAGGGGCTGGGGGCAGTGGGACCTGGTGGCTCTGCTCTGACCACGAGGCGCCTCACTGGCCAATACTTACTGGGCTAACACTCCCAGTGCTCAGCTGGAAGGCATGGGTTTCCGCCCCCTCCCCACTTCCCTGTCTGTGGGCTGGCTGGGTGCCCTCCGGTGAGTCCCTCAGCCTCTCCACGCACTCCACGCATCCAGGCTGAGTGTGTGGCTTTCCTATGCTGGGTCCGTCTCCATGGTACAGGGAGCATTTAAGGCGAATGAGAATCACATTTCTAACCAGCTCCCAGGTGATAACGCTGCTGCTGAGCTGCAGACATTTCAAGTAGCAGGAGATGAGATACAGTGTTTCTAAATGTCTTGTTCATGTATAATATCATTTGATCCTTACCTAAGCCCTGTGAAGTAGCCATTATTATTTCTACCTCTTAGATGAAGAAGTTGTGAACTCTTAATCTTTAATTTAAAAGGTGAACAGTATTGTAGCTCCTCAGTGCATTTATACTATCAACGAATCTAGGGGTATTCTTTCAAGTACAGTGGGTATAAAAGTATGGTTTGACCCCCAGGCTCTCCCCCTCCAATTCCTCCTTCGCATTCCTGCCTCATAAACTATGCTAAACCACAGCTCCAATCATAGCGTTTCTCCCCCAATGGTGGCTCCCCAATATTTCCCAAATTAACTTCATATTTCTCATTTGGCATTCAAGACTGAAACTGTAGATTTTACATCGAATTGTATGAAATTGCCTTTTTAATGGAGCAAAAGTATCAAATATCAACAATCTCATATGGTTCGACCTAATATTATCTGCCTCATATTTACTTTGTTAAACTTCTCTATAGCCTTTTTCTTTTCCATATTGTAATTATTTTTTCTCTTTTTTTTTTTTTTTGGAGACAAGGTCTTACTGTATCACCCAGGCTGGAGTGCAGTGGCGTGATCTGGGCTCACTGCAATCTCTGCCCCCAGGTTCAAGCGATTCTCCCACCTCAGCCTCCCCAAGTAGCTGGGACTACAGGCACGCACCATCTCACTCAGCTAATTTTTTTATTTTTTGCTAGAGACAGGGTTTTACCATGTTGGCCAGACTGCTCTTGAACTCCTGACCTCAAGTGATCTACCTGACTTGGCCTCCCAAAGTGCTGGGATTACAGGCATGAGCCACCGCACTTGGCCCATATTGTAATTTTTAAGTTTCTTGTAATTTTAATACTTAACCTGCTAACGACCAGCCCCAACTTCTGGTGAAAAAATCTCAGAAAAATAAAAAGAAAATGTTCCCTCTTCCCTGCAGCTTCAGAGAAGCAGACACTATTATGTGACACAGAGCCAGTCCCATGTCATAAAATTCTAATGGGGAACATTCATGCAAGTATCTATCCCACTCTCCTTGCCAGCGTGGAGGCTTGGATGAAAGACCATAATCCTAGTCTGTTTTGTTACTATAAAACTGTCCTTGGAAGTGTTATTTCTAAAGAAATGTATCTCTTAAGTTACCTGGATATCAGAGTGTGTTGCTATGTCCTGTGAAATGGCACCTATAACACCTAAAAGTCTGCAACTCTGGTTGGTCATCTTATTAAATAATGTGTTGCCCTGGTAATAATAATACGGAAATTGTCAATTCTGTTTTCCACAAGGTAACAAATATTTCGGTTAGAAGCCTTTGTTAAGTGGAAGAAGAGCTTTAGAATTTCTTTTTCTCCCTTTAGGCATTTTCAATCCTGTGATTCTGTTGGCTTCCTTATTCTTATTCTTTTTCTTTTTTCTTTTTTTTTGCAACAGGGTCTCAGGGTCTCACTCTGTCACCCAGGCTTGAGTGCAGTGGTGCAATCATGGCTCACTGCAGCCTCCTTGGGCAAGCAATTCTCCCACCTCAGCCTCCCGAGTAGCTCGGACTACAGGCACGCACCACCACGCCTAGCTAATTTTTTTTTTTTTTTTTTTTTTTTTTGAGAGAGACGGAGTTTCATCATGTTGCCCAGGCTGGTCTCAAACTCCTGAGCTCAAGCAATCCGCCTACCTCAGCCTCCCAAAGTGATGGGATTACAGGTGTGAGCCACCATGCCCCACCTGGCTTCCTAATTCAAACAGTAGAATCTGTCTCATTTAAATTACCAAGAAGATCCATGCTACGGAGCCAGCCTGTCTTAGCCCTTTCCTTCACTTCCGCTCTGCACGTACACCATGCTATAGATAGCGCCTCTTCTGCGCTGATCATCCTCCACTGTTCCTTTGCTCGTGTGATTCCTCTACTTAGAACACCTTCTTCCCGCCCCCATCTAAACCTAACAAAATCCAAGCCAAGGTCACCTGAGGGTCACCTCCTTTGTGAGGCCTTCCCCAATTCCATCCAGTAAGATTTATTTTTAATGATATTTGTCATCGTCTCCTTGATGTAAAATCATTTATTTCCCTTCTCTCTCTGAGTAGACTTTAATCCCACTGAAGACAGAGAATGTGCCCTACTCTTCCCCACCATTACCTAGCAAAAGGCCTTGCATGTAAGCATGCTCTCAATACTTAAAAAATGACATTGAAGGCCGGGCACGGTGGGTCACACCTGTAATCCCAGCACTTTGCGAGGCCAAGGCGGGCAGATCACATGAGGTCAGGAGTTCCAGACCAGCCTGGCCAACATGGCAAAACCCCGTCTCTACTAAAAATACAAAAAATCAGCCAGGCATGGTGGCAGGCGCCTGTAATCCCAGCTACTCGGAAGGCTGAGGCAGGAGAATCGCTGGAACCCAGGAGGCGGAAGTTGCAGTGAGCCGAGATGGCACCACTGCACTCCAGCCTGGGTGAGAGAGAAAGACTCTGTCACACACACACACACACACACACACACACACACACACACACAAGACATTGAAGCAGTTTCCCTACAATCAATATTAAGGGTCATCTTGATGTAATTGACCTCTAAAACCAAACCCCTCTTCTTCCCCACCATACCTTGAAGATTCTAGGGCCTGACTCATTATCATCCTCTTCAACACTATGCCAGCAGTATGAATTCTTGATGATTTTGGTATCCACATAGATAATCCTTCCAGTAGCCTGGGCCTTCAACTCCTTGACCTCCTCTCCTGCAAAGATCCTGTTAAGACATCAACCACAGGCAACCACACTACCATGGTTTTACAGTAGAACTCATCATTATCAATAACCATAAGAGCCTCCATAATCTCAACTTCAAACCTCCCACTCTCCAAACACTGCCAAACAATCATTTCAAAATAACTGGCTTCTCAGGGAGTATGAAAAAGATGCATAGCTCCAAATATCACTTGTTAAAAATCACCCCGTTCCCCTTCCCCTTCTTACTTCCAGTGGAAGTTTAACATTTCTGTAGAGGAGCCGCTTAGAGCCCAAGAGTAATCCTGCTTAGAAGAAGGCAGGGCATTAGGGGATTTGTTTTGAAGCTCTATTTGCATAACACTTTACACAGTTCTTAGAAGCATCACTTTTCCATATCAAAGAATGCGCTCCATAGCGAAGACAGGCGTAGAGAGCTAAAGTTTCTCAAGCTGCCTCCCGCTTCACACTGACTTTCTCAAGTCTTACAATAAACTCGTTAGAGTTTATCAGACTCACCCAAAACAGTCCTTCCAAAACCTGTCTCACCAGCCATAGGCCTCATCGCTTTTCCTTCTGCTCTTTCCCATTGGAAATTGGGAGGGCAAAGCCAGAGATCTTAAATAGGCAAGGATGGGAGAAGGCTGGGAAGCACTGTGTGTGTGTGTGCTCGTGCGTGTGTTCGCGCGTGCGTGTGTGCGTGCTTGTGTGCACGTGCGTGTGTGTGCTTGTGTATGTGCGTGCGTGTGTGTGTGTGCGCGCGCGCGCGCGTGTGTGTGTGGCGCTCACGCATGATAGGACTTTTCCTGTTGTCCCAGAGTTGCCAAAGGTGGAAACAAAAAGCATCAGGTGCTCCCACATCCTAACGAGGGGCTGCAACCAGCCAGCAGACACGTTCTCAGAGAGTACTAAGAGATGGCAGAACTGGCCCTATTTGGACTCTGACCGTTCCCTTCAACCACTCTTTTCCAGCCTCTGTAGCTACGGGAGGATGGGAAGGGGAGGGAGAGAAGTTGAGTGTTCCTGGGGTGGAGGGGGGAGCTTTTCTTTTCTTGGGACAGAGTAGGAAGGGGTGAGGAAAGGAGTGCTGGGACTCCCCTGCTCTCCCAAGCCAAGAGTTGTATGTAGAAGGGAGACCTCTAAGAGGGTCGCTCCTGGAGAGTCGGAGGTCTGCATGAAGGCAAAGTTGGCATCCAGTTTTACTGCCTGGGCTCGTGTGGAGCTGCACAGACCCGCAGGCCCACACTGGACCACCCTGGAGCCTTGGAAACTGTGGGCGAGCTTGACGCATATTCTTTGAGGGATGTGTTGTATGTGAACCTGGAGTCTGGTGCCCCCTTGTGGTCTAGAGACATCTGAACGTGAGCGGTTCAAAAGGTACTGAGGGGCGGTGTGCCCGGAAAGCAAATGGGAGCATCACTTCCACCTTGATCCCGTGAGCCCACAGCTTCTGAATTTGGAAAGGCTCCACAGGAAGGAGCACAGCAGGGCTTACTAAGAGAGCCGCTCTTCAAGAGGCCCCAGAGGAGTCAGAATCCAAGTGAAGTTCAACACCGTCGCCGCAGAAAAAAGAACCAGCCCCGTGCTCAGAGACCCTTCACCTCACTCAGCAAATCAGAGCATCACACCTGCAAAAGGACCATTTTCGCAGGAAGATTTCTCTCTCCCTTCTCTCGTCCTCCCCCACCCACCAGACCAGAGAATACGATATTGAAATTGTAATTGGGACTGTCAGCTTTACCAAACAAGAGAGCCCAGCAAGTCATGAGGTCCACCCAAGGTGTCATTAAAGGATGGGAAAAGGGACTTGGTGCTGCATGGTTGAAAGCAGTGGTTGGGAAAAATAAAATGGTTTCACCTGTATAGTCCACCACTGAGTTGAGACTCATCAATGCATCAGTTACATGTACCCAGGCACAAGGCATAGACTTCAGAAGCAGACAGAAAGGGAGCTGAAAAATTGTGCCACTTAATAGCTTTATTGCCTCAGGCAAGGACTATCTGAGCCTGTTTCTTCACTTGCAAGTAAGGATAATCATACCTAATGGACATTATGACTAGGTTATTAAAAGGATTAGAGGCAGCATATATAAATGAATAGAAGCTACTATTTATTGATGGATGTGTTGACACATGGAGGGGGCTGTTTCCAGTTTCCCAAGACAAAAGACAAATAAAAAGAACTAGTAAAGTAGAAATAAAAAATAAGAAGTGAGGAATGCTGAAGTGCCAACCATAAATGTAAACGCAGCGATTTGAGCTACAAATTTGGTTTTGAGTTTCCCGGCAGCTGAGGCACAAAGAGAAACCTCAGAACTTGCACAACTACAGTTATCAGAAAGGAGGAAGGATGCCTTCTCAGGAGAGACAAAGCTTTTCCTGGCTCCAAATTTCAAAAGCAACATCTCAGAAGTTTTTCTGCATTGGCTTGTAAATTACCTGAAACCTTGACTAATCTTTACCAAGGGGTTTCTAAAGCTTTAGAACTAGTGATGTAGTAATTGGGACTGGGACAAATTATTGAAGGTGAATGACCTAGATCTCTACACTCTGGATCACAGTGGTATTCTGCAGCAATTACTCTCCTATAATTCTTTAAATTCTCTCAGTTGAACTTTCCCTGCTACATTCATTGTGAGATCACCCAAAGGACAATTAGACTCACCCCTTCTACCTCAAAGAAATGTTTTTATTTCCAACTCATGCAGAAGCTTCAGACTGAGGACAGATTTAAATAAAAGTATAGATATATTTTTAGATGAAATAGCTACATTCAAAAGGCTTTTCTCTTTCCCAGATGTAATTCTGGCCTACAAAAGCCACACTGCTCTCCCTTCAAAGGCCACAGTCACCTTTCAGGGGTATTAGCACATGAAGTAAACAGCCTTTGCAAAACAGTGCTACAGGTGAGCTTTCCCACCCCAACTGCAGAGGCACCTCCACTAATCTGCAAATGCTAACGTGGGTTTCCAGGGAAGTTGCCAAAATAAGCTCCTGTCCTCCCTCACCTTTACTTTAATCCCCAAATAGGTTTTGCTTTTACCATATGGTAATTATTTCCAAATCATAAGTGCAAACACTCACTCTGATTGGAAAATTAGCAGATTTCAAACTCAGGTAATTTGTCCCTAATGAGGAACTTGTTGAACTGAATTTAACAATTAACTCGCACACCCTTTGCTGCCTGCTATGGGAGTAAAGCAGGGAAGACAGAAGGGCAAGTCGAGGGCTGGGGCCTGGACTTCGAGTACAAGATAAAGGTTGGGATGGGGGGAAGGTGTGTTAATGGGGCTGTAGGAATATCAGGAACTTGACTATTCAAATGGATATAATATCTATGAATTCATATATAAATGAATTTCAAACATATGCCGAAGTAGAATAGTATAATGAGTCTCCATATACCCATCAACCAGCAGCTCCCACAATTATCAACTCATGGCTGATCAGGTTTCACTTCTGCAGGAGGAGCTAGAGACCCAGAAGATGCACAGGAAGGAGGTGCAAAAGGAAGAATAAAAGAGTGGTGCCGGCCAGGCACGGTGGCTCACGCCTGTAATCCCAGCACTTTGGGAGGCCTAGGTGGGTGGATCACCTGAGGTCAGGAGTTCGAGACCAGCCTGGCCAACATGGTGAAACCCCCATCTCTACTAAAAATACAAAAATTAACTGGGCGTGGTGGCGGGCACCTGTAATCCCAGCTACTTGGGAGACTGAGGCAGGAGAATCACTTGAACCCGGGAGGCAGAGGTTGCAGTGAGCCGAGATCACGCCACTGCTCTCCTGGGCAACAGAGGAAGATTCCACCTCAAAAAAAAAAGAAAAAAAAGTGCAGTGCCTCTCCTCTCTCCCACTCCCTTAGGTTCCAAGCACTTTAGGGTAGATACGGGTTGTTGAGTTGACTGCTGGGAAAATGAGTGTCCTCCTGGTAGGTCTTTTGCATATGGCTGTACAGAGCCTGGCAAAAGACTGACCTTTTCCACCCTCCTCGCTCCATGGCTGGGGCGACTTGATCCTGCAGGTCCTGGCCCAGATGACCATAGGCCATGAGGATCTCAAGAAGCTCCAGCCCACTACATGCAATCAGCATCATAAATCTCACTCCACCTGTGTGCCCCAAACCCAGGTCATGCCTGATGCTCTGTCCCCATAATCTGCTTTGCTCCTGTCCCTCTAGAACTGCGCTGACCCACACAATAGCCACTAGCCATACATGGCTATTAAGCACTTGAAATGTGACAAGCAAGACTGAGGAACTAATTTTAAATTTCATGTACTTTTAATTAATTTAAATTTTAAAACTTGTACTTGATTCAATTATGGGAAAACTTCCAAGTATGTTTGGAAAGTGAATCTACATTTTCAACTATAAGGTTTACAAAATCTAAATACAGATCAAATATTTGATGAAAATTTGGTATATGAATTGAGAGTCTCTGCAGTCGGAAGCCTCATGTAAAATGCCTCATTGAGAATTTTAAAATATTGATAACATAGGAATGATATTTGGGATATATTTGGTTAAACAGAAATTATTATTAAAATGAATGTCTCGTTTCTTTCTACTTTAAAAAAATGTGACTACTAGAAAATTTAAAATTATATATGGGTCTCATATTATACTTCTATTGGATAGCCCTGTTCTAGGGCTAGAGTCCTCTCTTCACTTGCAATTATTCTCAAGGAATATAATCCTGTTCCCAAATTCCCACCCTGTGACAAAGGCTCAATTCCACCTGACATGTCCTGTTGTGCTGGGCCTACCTGGATTTTCCTGGATGCTCATCTGCAAGCCTACCTTCTCTGCAAACTGTCAGAACATTCTAGGGACAACTGCTTTCACACAACCACTTCACCATCAACGTTCTGCTGTTAAGCCCTGAACATGCAACCTGCAGAGAACTAATTTTGAATTTGTCCTGGGATAGCATCCAGGTTCTCATGATACTAAAATAAATAAAAAGTTTACTCACAAAATGTAGCCAGCTAATGTCTTCAAAAGGTACCCTGTATCAAAGTACCAAGTAGGTGGGGATAATTAGAAGGAAATCAACAAAGTTTGCCAAACAGTCATCTGAAACAAAGCTGAATTTATTTGCCTGCCTGGGAGGAAAGAGCCACATCACTCAAGCACAAGTTTGGCTGGTAGCTCCATGTAGTACTTGAAAGGACCAGATAGACAACAAAGGAAGGAAGTAGACCAAATCTGATGATATTCTGAGTTCAGGTCTCTAGTTGGCACCCAAAGCTAAGGAGAAACTCTTCTTTGCAACCAGTCGTTGCACTGGTTCGCTTCTTAAAAGTGCAGGCACCATTTCCAATTATGCCCAGGATGATCTGATGGACTTGGTGTCACTCAGGAAATTCGATGTGTTTTCTTGAAGTTGGCCAAGTCTTTCTTTAACAGCATCAGTAGCACATTAGTAATAGGTTTTGTCAAGTAAGATTAACCAGTTACCTGCCTCTTCACTGATGTCTTTTGGAACTGCCAGACCAAACTTCTTTTCATTTCGTTAAGGCAAAAGGCAGAGAAACATACATGTATACTTAGAAAAACAAATATTATATAAACATGGTACCCTTCAAAGCTGTAACAGAGCAAAATATAAGAGGCACTAAAACAAATACTTCTACACAAATGTTGACAGCAGCCCTATGCACGACAGCCAAAAGGCAGACAAAAACCAACTGTCTATCATCGGATGAATGTACAAAATCTGCTACATACAAACAATGGAATGTTATTGAACCACAGATAGGAATGAATTAGCAATACATTTTACAACATAGATGAACTTCAAAAACATTATGCCGAGTGAAAGAGGCCAGACACAAAAGATCACATACTGTATGACTACATTTACAGGAGATATTTAGGTAAATCCATAGAAACAGAAAGCAAATTGGTGGTTGCCAGAGGCTGGGAGTGTGAAGATGTCACGCTAGTGCTTAATGGGTACAGAGATTGCTTGGTGGGTGATGAAAATGTTTTGGAAACAGAAGGGGTAGTTGTACAACATCATGAATGTACTAAATGCCACTTTACAATTGTACTTTACAATGGTTGGTTGTTCTGTGATTACCCCTTAGTTGTTAAAAAAGAAAAAAGAAAGGGAAGACAAAGGGGCACAAAAGTTCATGGTTCTTTGAGTCTCACTGGAACAAGGGAAAAAATGAGGGAGCAGAAACAGATGAACAACTGATGATGATGCATCAACAAAGAGAAAAAGACAAAGAAAAAGACGGGGGTTCTACTTAAGAAACAAGGCTACAGATATTTGAAAAGCAAACCAATAAAATGGATTTTCAAATGTTTCACTAAATGTTTCTTGCAAACAACCTACAAAAAATGTAAATGATTTTATAAAGAGAGCACACAAAACATCCAAAAAGAGCCTTTTCAAAGCCAGTGAGAAAGCCTTGCTCTGTGGAGCACTAGGTGCAGACAGGGCCTTTGAAAGGGCAGGGGACTGTCACAAGCAAATCTGCCACTAATTCCATTCCACAGCTTTAGAGGTCTTCCATGTATTCAATCGCAGTGTGACAAGGATCACTGTATTGTACTTTTTCATTTCATTTTTCAAAATGAATGTGTAATAATTCCATTCCATATATTGTACATAAACCTATTAATCTAAATACGATTACACTCTTTCAGAATTCTTCTGAAAGAGGTTTCTCAGAATTCATAAGTCACTTTCATATATATTATGTACAGGGAAACCATTTTTAAAAAGCAATGACCTTTATGTCACATGAGACAGCAGGGATAGATCATGAGGACATTATGCCAAGTGAGATAAGACACTCATCAAATGACAAATGCCATATGATTCCACTTCCATGAAGTGGCCAGGGTAGTCAACTCATAGAGAAAGAAAGTAGAACAATGGCTGCCAGGGACTGGGCAAGGGAGAATGGGGAGCTGCTGTTCAATGGGCATGAGTTTCAGTGTTGCAAGATGGTCTCGAGATCTGCGGCACAACCGTGGGGATGGACTTAATACTATTGCACTGGGCACTTAAAATAGTGAAGGTGGTCCATTTTAGATTATATGTTTTTACCACCATTAAAATAAATTTAATCCCACTCTTCTTGTTAAAATATTAACTTAAAATTAAAATCTTGTTAAAA
Organism: Homo sapiens; assembly: GCF_000001405.40. Lineage (NCBI taxonomy): Eukaryota > Metazoa > Chordata > Mammalia > Primates > Hominidae > Homo > Homo sapiens. The sequence continues at coordinate 24,365,778 of NC_000023.11, read as the reverse complement.
TATTAACTTAATATTGTTGGTATTGCCATTTTACGGCTTTAGAGAAATTATACGTTTCACGAGTTTAGACTCAAACTGGTTGGGATTTGGACACTTTAAAACACTATATTAAAAATAATTATATCGACAGCAGCAATGACAACAAAAAGAGTAACTTAAGCAAAACAACGCTCCTTTAGGAAATCACTTCCGTTTCTAAAGAAAAATCAGTGGATTGTGCTTCTGTGTAAACTGTGTACTTTAAAATGTAAAATACCGAAACATGAAAAAAAAAACAAAACTCAAGTAAAAACTGGGAAATCATTTGAGTCAATGCTCCTGTGCTTTTAAAAGAGAGACAAACTACCACAAGCCTCAGGGCGCTGGAGGGGTTGGCTTGCCTTCCTTCCTCTGATCTACCAACTGGCTCCCTACTTGCACACCTGGATGTGGCTGCACTATCTGAACAGCGCCTGTTGCCAAAAACACTGGCTGCTGCAGGACTCTCAACTGCTGAGTCTGGAGCTGGATATGCTGCGGCTGCTGCAAGACTCTCAACTGCTGAGTCTGGAGCTGGATATGCTGCGGCTGCTGCTGCTGCGACTGTGGCTGCTCCTGCCGTGGCTTTGGCTGCCACTGCGGTTGCAGTTGCAGCTTCGGCGGCTGTGGCTGTGGCTGCTGCTGCCTCAAGACAGAGGGGAGCTGGACACCCTGCTGAGGAACCTGGGCAGAGCCAAGCAGACTCAACACAGCAGGCTGGGGCTGGGGCTGCAGACCACTTCTGGCTCTAGTGGGGTTCACCTTAAGAAGTTGCTGAGCAGGGAAGGCCTGCCCTTGCGTGCTCAAACCTAGTGCGGAACCCTGTGGCCCTGGCTGAGGAGGATGAGCAGCTGTGGGCTGCTGGAGCTGCTGCAGGGAAACCAGCTGATGGGACTGCTGCTGCGGGCCGGTCAGAACCGCCGAGCCCTGCGGAACCTGGAGGAGTGTCAGAGGCCTGAGACCTTCCGGAGTATTTAGGAAAAACTGAAGGGGTGCTGGAGAAGATGCCTGCACTGCACCGGGCCTTGCATCTGGTAGTGGACCTCCTGAGGACTGAAGGTCACTGCCACTGATTCCTGCAGGAGCGGGGGCACCCGAGCCAGGGGCCTGCACAGGCTTGAAACTGCTCCCCAAAGCCTGGGCTCCCTGGACTGGGCCCTCCACATTGATGGCCTTTAGGCCAGTGGAGCCTGTCCTCAACTGAATGGCTGGCGCTATTTTTATGAATTTGGTGGGGGGCTGGGCAGCTGGACAGGGCCTGCTAGCTTGAATGAGAGGCACAGAGGGCTTCTGAGAATGACTTGGTGCCGCAGAAGCAGCAGCAGCAGGAGCAGCAGCTACAGCAGGAGCAGCGGCAGGAGCAGGAGCAGGAGCAGCAGCAGCAGCTAGAGCAGGAGCAGCAGCAGCAGCTAGAGCAGGAGCAGCAGCAGCAGCTAGAGCAGGAGCAGGAGCAGCAGCAGCAGCAGCAGCAGCAGCAGCAGCAGCAGCAGCAGCAGCAGCAGCAATAGCAGCAGCAGCAGAAAATGGACGCTTAAGAGGGCTGCCTGCCTGTTGTGGGGGAAAACTGTTACCTGAGGAAATCTTTCCTGAGCTTGAGGGAAGTTGGGTGCGGGGAGGTGGATGTTTCTCTCCCTTCCCCGATACTGAAGACTGGACCCACACAGGATCAGGCTGTTCTGGTGTTTTCCATGAAGAGAGCTGACTGACACTGGCTGGGCCACTGGAGCTGTGTGACATCTTGCCTGGACCTTTGACTTTGCTCTGCACCGATTCCTGGGCCTGACTCACTGCCCTCCCAGCATCAGTCTCTGACCCAGGCCTGAGACAAGCTGAATGGTCATCTGGGAAGGGCTGCCAGGGAGACTTCTGGCTCTTCTGCCTGGCTTTTTTACGTGGCCGTATTTTACCACAGAGAAGCGGATCATTAAACGACTGCATGATGCTTGGCTTGGTGTCCCAGGCCTGACAGCCAGCTTCCAACGCAAATCCAAAAGGGTCTTCTACCTCCTGGGCTGGCCAGACTGGGAGCTGTGGGTCAGCAGCTGTGACGGACTGATACCCTTTAGCAAGTTTCTCCACATCCACTTCTGAAGGCACGGCCAAATCACAGGGTCTGCCTTTCCACGTGTCTACACAACTTCCTGCTTTAGCAATGTTCAGCTCACAAGGCTGACCTACTTTTCTTTCTTCTTTTTGGCCAGAAGTCGACACTCTCAGCTCAGGAGGAGGTGGACAGTCAGACTGCTCCTGCTGTGGCTTTACAGAGGGCCACGAATACCTCTGGAGGCACCGTTTCATCGGGTCGGTATTCATCTTTTGCTTGTTGTACAGCAGCCTGTTTGCAGTGCAGGCAACTGCTACAGAAGGATCAAGACACAGTGGTTCAGCTGTCGCTAAGATCAGCTGGCTCTCAAGCTGAAGCTTGTCTTCCTGGCTCCATTTCTGGCCATCTCTTGTCATCATCTTCACATCATGGGCTAAAGTCTGCATCGTTGGACGTAGAAGAATATGCCTGCTTTGGTAACCAGGAGGTTGCATATTACTGGACTGCCTGTAGTCACGAACTTCTACTATGACACACCCACTATGAAAAATGTTAACCGAAGCTTTATCCAGGACATCACCCAAAGCAGGGGGTAATTCTTCTGCATCCAAGTAGTCCAGCAATGCCCTTTCTTCATAAGGCAGCCGAATGGTCTCTGCAAAGGACCCATCTTCTCTCTGGAGCATCACAGAATACCCCTGATTGCCTGGGTATAGATTGACCAGTAAACATGGCAAGGACTCTCTCCTAACAAGCTTTTCTAACAAGTTTACATTGCTTCTCAATTCCTGAGGATCCTCAGGCTCTTTTCCACATTCTTCAACATAAATGTCATAAAGTTTTTCCTGCAGAGTTTTTCCCGCCCTAGGTGAGTATCTCCTTCTAGGAGGTCTCTGTTGGGCAATTTCAATGATATTCTCTGCGCGATCCAGAGCCTGTTCTAAATCTCGATCCATTGTAACAGAAAACAGGGCCCCTAAGAGGAGAGAAAACGCATGTGCGTTGGTGAAGCAGGGTGGAATCACGGCTGTCATATTAATCTACAGGCCCGCAAGATGCCACAAGTCCACACTGAGTTCAACGTGGGCATCTGCCCAGAAACCCGCCCCCAGGGAAGCGCTACCCAATCTGTTTGAGGGTTTCTGAAAACATGGGTACCTGAGGGGTCGTCGTCGTGGCCGGACTTCGCGTCTCTGCGGCCTGGAACGGAAGTGAGCGGGAGGGCCGGGGTCAGCTTCTAGGCGCGTCTGGGCACCTGCCCAGAAACCTGCCCCCAGGGAAGCGCTACCCAATCTGTTTGAGGGTTTCTGAAAACATCGGTACCTGAGGGGTCGTCGTCGTGGCCCGGGCTTCACGTCTCTGCATGCTACACCGGAAGCGAACGGGAGGGCCAGGGTCAGCTCCTGGGCCCCGTCTATGCGCATGTGCACTCGCTGCACCGCAGGTTCTGGGGCTCCTGCATCTCTAGCCTCCTGGGCGCAAGGCTCACCCACCGCACTTCCGGGTCTGCTGCCCGCACTTGCACTCGACTACTTGCCATTTCACCTTGAAAGCATACATGCAAAAGCATAAGCCACCAATGACGGTATAGATGTATCTTTCGCACCGTGCATAGACATCAGTTTCCACAGGAATGCCGCTGTCGGGAAATCATGGGAAGTTGTCACTGATCTTGGTGGAAACTTCAACAATTGTTGGCACTTTTGGAATCTCTTGCCATCAGTTGCAAGGCTGCTGTTGGTATCTGTCAGCCACTGGGCTGCGGAATGAGCCCGCGGTAGCAGTGCTTCCATGCCCAGAGACGCCACAGATTTGTGGCAAGCATCAGGATTCTTCCTGTCGTCGTCGAGTGAGCTCCCGCCTGGGGGTGTTCATGTAGATGCATCAGTACCTGACGTTCATTTACATAATTACTCACCTTTATTTCTCCATGTGTTGAGTTAGGGCACTTACAGATTAAAAAATTACGTGGTGGGTCATTACATTGTCTATGGATTGCAGGTCAGGATGGTAGAGAGACATGAAACCATTCATTTCTACAAGGTGATTTGCACCTGATAAGGACGAGAACAATTGTTCCAGGTGATGGCAATAAATTTTCAATGATTAGAGTAAACTGTAGACCTTAGCTAAGATCCTAAAGATGGATTTGCAGCAATATCATTCAGTCTTAGGTAATTTATGGGACATTGTTTTCCATTAACTTTGTTGCCTTGAAATCTCCCAGTTTGTTTGGTTTTGTTTGTTTTATTGGACAAGATCAATAATGTTTTTCTGGGGAGAACTACTCCATAGCCTGTTTTTCTGACTCATGAGTGTGATCTAAATTCTGCCCCTCCCTCCGCTGATATCCCAGGGTGCATCTCACTTATTAGAGAGGTATATCTGCCCACCCTGCCATGGGATGGACTCGATCTTCAGCTGGCGAATTGCCCCTGTCTTCACTTGGGTTTCCCCAAAAGCATTCCCGGAGGAGAGGATTTGAGTGGGAGTAGTTTCTTTGGGTGCTAATCCTTAGAAGCATTGGTGACAGAAAGGGGAGCTGAGTCAGGGATAGGAAAACAGACAATGAGAGACGTATTCCTGAGCACAAGCGGCTCCAGACAACTGGTCCATGCTGGGGACCTTGGAAGACAGTACAGAATAAGCCTCAGATTGTCCCGTCCTAGATGCAAGGAAGCTGGGGTATTTATTCATCCACTTTTCTTTCTCATAGACTGAGGACAGTCCTGGGAGCATTATTCCCTGACACTTCTGGTTGCCACATACAGGGGCCACCCATGCTGATTTGGCTCGAGGATGCCCTCAGACAAAGTCACAGGTGCTTGCGGTAATACTCTGTCTGTGTGTACAGAATGGTGAGTGCCAAGGGGAGATGGACAGGGCACCGGCAGCATTTGCTGCATTTAGGACTGAAGATGAGTGAGAGAAGTCAGCCATTCATTCTTATCGATGTAGATAATGTGCTATGTAATACATCTGGGCATATGGAGAAGTGAAATTATATTCCATCCAAGTGAAATGGGCAATTTAATGTAAGGTTTTTTCAGGTATTAAAGCTAACAAGACCAAAAATGGAGGATGTGACTCACTCTTGACTTCCCAGAGGGAAGACGCCAAGGCTACCTAGGCCACAGGTGCACTGGAAGAGGCTGTGAACCTGTGTGTATGTGTGTGTGTCAGTGTGTGTGTATGTGTGTGTGTCAGTGTGTGTGTATGTGTGTACGTGTGTGTGTGTGTGTGTGTGTGTGTGTGTCAACATGCATTAGTAGGCCTGACACTGCTTATCATGGTTGGCCATCCCCTTCACTTGTGCTGCCTAATTGCCTTGTTTTTACACAATATGATGTTGTTAGAAAAAATTACTCTGTGTCCACACCATCCTTTGAGCCTTCCAAGCATGTTAACGAACACTCTGGTTCATTAAAAGATCTTCAACTACAGCCCTCCCCTGTAGCAGCTCAGCAGAGATTCACATGCTAAGAAATGTCCTGGCCAGACTAACCTTTGCTGGAGGAATAAGAGAATTCAATTAATTGCGAGATAATTTACCTAATTTTCAATTGGTAAATTTCTTTCTTGTTTTGAGACAGGGTCTTGCTCTGTCGCCCAGGCTGGAGTGCAGTGGCGCAATCATGGCTCACTGCAGCCTTGACGTTCCGGCCTCTACCTTCTGGGCTCAATCAATCTGCCTGCCTCAGCCTCCTGAGTAGATGGGACTACAGGCGTGCACCACCATGCCTGGCTAATTTTTGTATTTTTTTTTTAGAGATGGGATTTTGCCAGGTTGCTCAGGCTGGTTTCCAACTCCTGGGCTCAAGCGATCCTCCCACCTCAGCCTCCCAAAGTGCTGGGTTTACAGGTGTGAGCCACTGCACTTGGCCTAATTTCTTTTTTCTGTACCCATTCTGGGTCAAGCATAAACTTAAAAAAAATTAAATATAATACACACAGAGTAAAATTCATCCTTTTCAGTTCTGTGAGTGTTGAAAAATATGTATAGTCATGCAACCACCACCGTAATCAAGTTATAGACTGTTCCATCTTGCAAAACAAAATTCCATCATGCATCTTTGGAGTCAACTTCTTCCCCCACCCAGAATCCCTGGCAACTGGTTATCTTTCTTCTGTGCGTATAGATTTGCCTTACCAGAAGGGCTTATAAATGGAAGTCATATAAATGGAATCATAAAACATATAGCCCTTGTGACTGGCCTCCTTCACATACCTATATTTAAGATTCATCCAAGGCCAGGTACAGTGGCTCACATCTATATTCCCAGCACTTTGGGAGGCTGAGGCATGTGGATCGCTTGAGCCCAAGGGTTCGAGGCAGTCTGGGCAACATAGTGAAACCTCGTCTCTACAAAAAGTCAAAAAATTAGCTGGACATGGTGGTACACTCTTGTGGTCCCAGCTACTCAGGAGATTGAGACGGGAGAATTGGTTGCACTAGGGAGGTCAAAGCTGCAGTGAGCTGTGATTACACCACTACACTCTAGCCTGGGTGACAGAGTAAGACTCTGTCTCAAAAAAAAATTCATCCATGTTGTTGCATGTATTTGTTGTTTGTTGCTTTTCACTGCTGCATAGTATTCCATCATATAGATTAACCAATGTTTGTTTACCTGTTTACCAGTTGAAGGACATTTGGATTCTTTCCAGTTAGGCAATTATGAACAAAGTTGATGGAAATATCCACAAATAAGATTTTCTGTGAACAGAAGTTTTCATTTCACTTGGGTAAATATCCAGGAGGGGAATGTTGGATCACATGGTAAGTATATGTTTAGCTTCATAACAAACTGTGAAACTCTTTTCTAAAGTGGCTGTGCCATTTTGTATTCCCAACAGCAATGTTGAGAATTCCAGTTGTTCCACATCCTTGACAGCATTTGGTATTGTCAGATTTGTTTTTTTGTTTTGTTTTGTTTTGTTTTGAGATGGAGTCTCACTCTGTCACCCAGGTTTGAGTGTAGTGGTGCGATCACAGCTTACTGCAAGCTCTGACTCCCAGGTTCACGCCATTCTCCTGCCTCAGCCTCCCAAGTAGCTGGGACTACAGGTAACCACCACCATGCCCGACTAATTTTTTGTATTTTTAGTAGAGATGGGGTTTCACTGTGTTAGCCAGGATGGTCTCGATCTCCTGACCTCGTGATCTGCCCGCCTCAGCCTCCCAAGATTTCTTTTGTTTTAATCCATTCTAGTAGGTACCTAGTGTGTCTCATTGTGGTTTTGATTATTTCTTTAATAATTAGTGCTGCTGAGTATATTTTCATGAGCTTATTTTCTATCCATATATGTTTGGTGACATGTCCATTAAAATATTTTGCCTATTTTTTTGGATTTTTTTAATCATTGAGGTTTGAGAATTCTTATATGATCTGGACACAAGTCTTTTAGGAGATACGTGTTTTGCAAATACTTTCTCCCAATCTGTAGCTATATTTTCATTTTCTTGACAGTGTCTTTTGAACAGCAGCATCTCTTAATTTTAATGAAATTCAATTTATCACTTTTCTTTTCAGGAGTGTGCTTTTGGTATCAGATCTAAGAAAAATTTACCTAACCCAAGGTCACAAAGATATTCTCCTATGTTTTCTTCTAGAAGTTTTATAGTTTTAAGCTTTACATTTAGGCTTATGGTCCATTTTCAGTTCATTTTTGTATAAGGTGTGAAGTGTAAGTCATGTTTTATTTTTTGCATATGGATATCCAAACATTCCAACATCCTTTGTTGAAAAGGCTATTCTTTCTCCACTGAATTGCCTTTATACCTTTGTTAAAAAAAAAAAAGATTGACCATATATATGAAGTTCTGTTCTATTCCACTGATCTATTTGTCTATTTTTGTGCCAATATCATTGTGTCTTTATTGCTGTAGCTTTACAATAAATTTTGAAATCAAGTAGTGATACTTTCCAACTTTGTTCTTCTTTTGCAAAGTAGTTTTGGCTATCCTAGTCATTTTGCTTTTCCATAAGCTGTACATTTTAGAATCATCTTGTCAATTTCTATAGCTTACAAGGCCCAAATCCTTGTTCCATTAATTATTTGTGTGCCCTTGAGCAAATTATTTAACTCTTTTGTGTGCCTGTTTCTTCACTTACAAATTGGAATGATGATGATGGCTACTCACTTAGTTGTTTTAAAGTTAAGTGACATAGTCCAAATAAATTGTGTCCATAAAACAATGTCTGGCACATTGTAAGAACTCATTAAAGGTTAGCTATGTTCCCCCTCACCACCATCCTTCTAATTGCTTCAGAAACCTTTTATTTCCTGGGGACAGTGGGGAACTAATTAACAGTTTGGAGAGGAAGAGTAACCTTTTTTAGCATGTTAACTGTAGTCATGGTGATGACAGTGGACTGGAGTGGAGTGAGATTGGTGGCAGGAAACAGATTAGGAAGTGATTGCAATACCCCAGTGGCAACTAATGAAGTCAGTGTTTGTGAAGATGTAAAGGAAATACTTCAGTCATGTCTCAGATATTTTGAACAGGGCTTGGTAACTGATTGTAGGAGTTGAAATAAGACAAGAGTTGGTTTTTTTTCCTATTTCTAATTCTTCCCAAGGTGAAGCACTTACTCAGGTGAAGCTTACAGTCCATTAGAACCTCACTCAGCAGACCCTCAAAACATTAGAGGAAAATCACAAGAAAATGAACAGGTCCAAAATGTACTCCCATCCATGAGGCATCATGAAAACAATATTCGGGATCAAGATGCAGAGACAAAGCAAGATTAGCATTGTTACGAACTAAATGTTTACATCCCTCCCAGATTCACATGTTGAAATCCTAACCCCCAATGTGATGGTGTTAGGAGGTGGGGTCTTTGGGGGGCGGATTAGGACATGAGGGCAGAGCCCTTATAAATAGGATCAGTGCCCTAATAATAAAAAAAAAGGCCCTAGAGAGCTGCCTTGCCCCTTCTACTACCATGTGAAGACACTGCAAGAAGACACCATCTACAAAGGATGAAGTGGGCCCTCATCAGACGCTGAATCTCTTTGCACCTGAATCTTAGACTTTTCAGCCTCCAGAACAGAGAGAAATAAATCTGTTGTCTATAAGCCACCCAGTCTATGGTAGTTTGTTTTAGTAGGCTGAATGGACTAAGACAAGCATCATCATTCGAAGATTCACTTACATTCATTGTGCCCTACCTGCAGAGGTAGGAAAGTAGACCCATGCTACCACTTAGGCTTCCAAAGACAAAGGCTAACATCCAAAAATCTTTTTCACTATCCACAATACTCTAGTGCCTAAATCAGCCCATAGATTGCGTGGTTTTACAAGAATTACCAAATGTGGCTTGGAGAATTAAAATTATAATTGGTGTTCAGGCCGGGTGTGGTGGCTCACGCCTGTAATCCCAGCACTTTGGGAGGCTGAGGCGGGAAGACCACCTGAGGTCAGGAGTTTGAGACCAGCCTGGTCAACATGGTGAAACCCCATCTCTACTAAAAATACAAAAATCAGCCGAGTATGGTGGTGGGCACCTGTAATCCCAGCTATTCGGGAGGCTTAGGTGGGGGGATTGCTTGAACCCGGGAGTTGGAGGTTGCAGTGAGCCGAGATCATGCCACTGCACTCCAGCCTGGGTGACAGAGCAAGACTCCATATCAAAAAAAAAAAAAATTATACTTGGTGTTCAGAAAAATAAAATTCTATTTGCATGTATTTGTGTCTATATGTTTATATATGTATATATAAGTACTAAAATTTTATATGTAAATATCTCAATGGTATAAATATATAAAGTTAGTATGAAAATATAAATATATAAGGGAAACTAGCAGGTTCAGTGTATGTATAGCTTTAATATATATAATGTATTCATATATTAAAATTATATGTATATCAAATTTCACTATTTTACTTTACCCAAAGAAGTTCCTGTAGACAAAGTACCTCCTGTTTAGTCATCCTACATTTTGAAAAGAGTAAAAACTTAAAATATTTTTAAAAGAAAAAAATTGTGTCATCAGATCCATTTTAATAAGGCTGACTAATGTTACTAAGTATATAACACTAATACCAAATTACAGTCAAAATGCATTGCTAAGAAAAGATGATACCCCCAACTATAATTTTAGTTTTGTGAGATATGAAAGCTGGATATGACTCCTGGCCTACATTTTTTCTGGAAAGATTGTTCATTATCCATTCATCTGGCCCAGACAGTCATTGCCTTGTGCCATCACCATTTTTATAACAATCTGGCCTTTACAAAGCCAAGGTGCAAAAGTATTATCTCATGTAAGAACCTCTCATATCTGGTGTGAAACTTAAACTCTAAGTGTAACACAAACATTAGCTTCCCCTACTCTCTTCAAAGATGACTTTTTTACGTTATATTTCCAGAAAAGGAGGTTCCTCATCTGCCTGCTCCTGAGTCATCCACTTGGCATCACCCTTTCTGCTTTGTGAGCTCCTGTTCTGGGCCACCACCTGGGGATATGTCTTCCTCTATGTGATAATGCTGTCATGGAGCAGTGAAGGGCGGCCCAGGGTAGGCCGTGTTCCCAGTTGTGTCCTGCCCTCGATACCCCCGCAATAGCAGGTGATAATGTGTTTCAAGACTTGATTGACCGAGGCCGGACACGGTGGCTCCCGCCTCACGGGGGTAGAGTGGCTTTCTTTTTTTCCAAGCCAAATTGTATCTAGCTTTATTAAAGATACTTTCCATAAACAATCATGGTATTTCAGGCAGACATGGGCAGACAATCGTTAACAGTATGCAGCTTTCAAACTCCCTTCTTCAATGGACTACCAAAAATCAGAAAGCCACTATAAAACCCAATGAAGTCTTCATCTGATGCTCTGAACAGGGAAAGTTTAGAGTGAGGGTTGACATTTCACGTTTAGCATGTTGTTTAACAACTTTTCATGAGCTGACCCTGACTTTCAGGAAGTGAAATGAAAATAGCCGAATTTGTCTGAAGATCCACCATCTAGAAATGGAACCACTGCTCTTTCGAGGGGTGCTATCTCAGTGGCATCACTGGAAAGTCCAGATTGCCTGACACACTGGTAACCAATGACTGGAGGTGAGGTCCCAACAGATGTCTGGGTTTAAGGGAGTTAAGTCTGTGCTGAAAGGTGGAAAGGGAAAAGAGGACATAAAAATGAATTTGTTTTTCCATACCACAAGGCTTTTGAAATGCCAAGGTGGCCATGTGTGTCAAAGTCAGGGAGTCCCTCCTCCTGGGAGCCAAGACAAAGTCTTGGGAAAGGTGCTTTCCCCACATCAATCCGGCTTCTGAAACATTCTATTAGTGACATGGTATTTCAAACTGTGCAGTCACTAGAAGTACACAGTTATCAAAAATGCACACGCTTCCCTCAGCATCTCTGGCACCTTTAGCTCTCTGTGCCTGCTCTGTTTGACAATTTGCAGGTTAAAAGCAATATGGAGTCAATTAGGATAGATCTCTTTCACTGTCCTAATTTTCTCACTGTTATAATTTTTGCAAAGGCAGTTTCAGTGACATTGGCATGATTCAGATCACCCCATACTTCCCTATACACAACCTTTGAGGTCACCACTAATAAAAGAAATATGAAGACTTTGAGACATGGTGAGCATTAAAATCAGTTTACTGATAGACAAGATTAGGGAAAACTTAAGTAGAATTAGGTCCTGTAGGATGGAGTCTTCAAACTGTCAAAGAATCATTCAGAGACAATTGAAAATTGAAGTACTGAGAATTTTTTTTTTTTTTGAGACAGGGTCTCACTCTGTTGCCCAGGCTGGAGTGCAGTGGCGTGATCTTGGCTCACTGCAACCTCCACCTCCTGGGCTCAAACCATCCTCCGGCCTCAGCCTCCTGAGTAGTTGGGACTATAGTTGCATGCCACCATGCCTAGCTAATTTTTTAGTTTTTGTTTTGTTTTGTTTTGTTTGAGACAGAGTCTCGCTCTGTCACCCAGGCTGGAGTGCAGTGGTGCAATCTGGGCTCACTGCAAGCTCCGCCTCCCGGGTTCACGCCATTCTCCTGCCTCAGCCTCCCGAGTAGCTGGGACTGCAGGTGCCCACCACCAAGCCTGGCTAATTTTTTGTATTTTTAGTAGAGATGGGGTTTCACCATGTTAGCCAGGATAGTCTTGATCTCCTGACCTCGTGATCTGCCCACGTCGGCCTCCCAAAGTGCTGGGATTACAGGCGTGAGCCACTGTCCCCGGCCCCTAATTTTTGTATTTTTTAAGGAGGCGGGGTTTCACCATGTTGCCCAGGCTGGTCTCAAGCTCCAGGGCTCAAGAGATCCACCCGCCTCAGCCTCCCAAAGTGCTGGGATTCCAGGCGTGAGCCACCATGCCCAGCCTGACGTATTGAGGATTTACTAGCATTTAGGCAATATACAAGGGAGAGCATACCCTCTGGAGACCCTCAGAGTGGGTCTTATAAAAGCAAAGCTGCAAAGTTTCACAAAGACTGATTGGTTGAACAAGGCCAAGCTTATTAGTTCCAGATTGGGTCATTGTAATGAAGCTGGGCACAGGCCGTTTACTGAACCTCAAGTCTGGTTGTAGTTTTTGGGAACTGTGTTGACCCATTAAGTCGTTAGGTTGACCTCAGATATACAAGCTGCAAACAGTCATAGTTTTATCATCAAGCTATATTTTCTGCTGAATCAGACCAATTTTCTAGTAAGTGGTCACCCAGTTCCTTTTAGTGGAGCCCTGACCACATGCTGTCTTGCAATTTCTCATGCCCTCCAGGCTCAGGATTCTGCAAATCCTGTATTATATTAAACCCAGGTGTTGTCACTGTGATCAGGAACATTTCCAAAATTTAAAGTTGATGGTTTACTTCTGGAGGACAAGGACATTAAATGAACAAGGTAGGAAATAATGTACCCTGTGTTGGGAGGTCCCCAAGTCCACCTTCAAGTCTGACAATTTGCTAGGAGGACTCAGCATATACTTGCACTCACAGCTATGTTTTATTACAGTGAAAGGATACCAAGCACCATCAGCAAAGGGGAAGGGTGCATGGGATGAAGTCCAGAGAAGACCAGGCACAAGCTTCCAGAGTCCTCTCCCAGTGGAGTCACATAGGACATGTTTAATTCCCCCCAGCAATGAGTTGTGACAACATGCATGAAATGTCACCAACCAGGTGAGCTCATTAGAGACCCAACAATCAGGGCTCTTATCAGAGGCTGGTCACATAGGTAGCCTCTGCCTGGCACCTTCCCAAATTCTAGACTCCCAGAAGGAAAGCGAGGGTTCAGCACAGATCATATTGTTTAAACAGTTTATGCACAGTGAACCAGTCTTATCAGTTAGGGTGAAAACCCTCCCCAAAATCTAAGTTGCCCGACACCAGTCAATGGCCAACCTTGCAAGCAGGTTTTTAATATTTATTTATTTATTTATTTATTTATTGAGATGGAGTCTCGCTCTGCCATCCAGGCTGGAGTGCAGTGGCACGATCTCAGCTCGCTGCAACCTCTGCCTCCCAGGTTCAAGCGATTCTCCTGCCTCAGCCTCCCAAACAGCTAGGATCACAGGCATGTGCCATGACACCTGACTAATTTTTGTATTTTTAGTAGAGACAGGGTTTTGCCATGTTGGCCAGGCTTATCATGAACTCCCGACCTCAGGTGATGTGCCTGCCTCGGCCTCTCAAAGTGCCGGGATTACAGGCATGAGCCACCACGCCCGGCCGCAAGCAGGCTTTTTAAAGGATAGCAATTAGGCACGGTATGTTAACTCTTTTCTGCACATATCCCCACTTGAAAACATTCACTGTCATGTTCAACTTCTTTATTTAGAACACCATGGAAAAAAATAGATATTTCTATAAAGGATTTACCAATCTGGGGAATATGTCTATCTCTCAACTTATGTTGTACAGGGCTTTTTTCCTTTGGTTAATTTTTTTCTGTTGGATCTCCTAGACAAGGGGTTGGCAAATTATGGCCTGTAGGTTAAATAAGGCCTATGACTGCTTTTGTAAATAAAGTTTTACTGGAACACAGCCATACCCATTCATTTACATACTGTTTATGGCTGCTTTCACTCTAGAGGGGCATATGTGAAGGGTTGCAACAGAGACTGTATGGTTGTCAGCCTATTATATTTACTAGCTGGTCCTTTAGTGAAAAAGTTTGCCAACCCTTGTCTTAGGCCACAAAAAGTGCAAATAATCTGCTTTCCTGTAATGCTGGCATGTGTATTCTTCCAAACCTGTGTTTCCTGTATCAAATACAGCATTCGTTCAATAAGGAGAAAATGCTGAGAATCAGACTACTAGATGAATAATAGTTAATTCTTGGGTTTTCTCCATGTAAATTGTTTACCTGTGCCCAGTATGCAGATCATCAGAATAATGGCTAAAACGTTCTAAGAAAAAGTGTCTTCCTGTAATACAAAGAACTGTTGCTAGATTTATTTTTTCTTATCATAGTGCCAGGCCTCAGTGTGTTAGAAAAAAAATCTAAGTATTAGAGAAATGGACCAATTCTCTTGGTTTTGGAAATTCTGTAGTGATCATTTATGGGCTTTAAGACAGTTGGCTTAAACTAATTCCTTTGAAGGCAATTTTCAGAGGAGAAGGTGGGCCATTTCTCAAAGTCTCACTACAGTACAGGTGTGGAGAAGAAGAGTGCAATCAATCAAGCACAGGCCTGGGATTCACAAATCCTACAGTCAATCTCACATTGCTTTGGATGGAACACACCTGAAAGTGGTTCCTGAGTATATCCCTGCTTCAGTAACATCATAAGTACAAGATTCACTGTTAGGCAAAGAAAGAAAAAATCAAACCATAAAGATTACCACAAATGTCAAGAGACCAACTGTCCATGGACACCAAAATTCTGTACAGGAAGCTGAGGGTTAAGAATACAGGAATCAGCCGGGCGCAGTGGCTCACGCCTGTAATCCCAACACTTTGGGAGGCCGATGCGGGCGGATCATGAGGTCAGGCGATGGAGACCATCCTGGCTAACATGGTGAAACCCCATCTCTACTAAAAATACAAAAAAATTAGCCAGGCGTGGTGGCAGGTGCCTGTAGTACCAGCTACTCGGGAGGCTGAGGCAGGGAATGGTGTGAACCCGGGAGGCCGAGGTTGCAGTGAGCCGAGATCGCACCACTGCACTCCAGCTTGGGCAACAGAGCGAGACTCCATCTCAAAAAAAAAAAAAAAGAGTGCAGGAATCATTTTCAACTGCTCCAGGATTTATAGAAGCATGAACTTGTATAGGGGCCATTCCAACTCCTGGGGCAGCAAATAGTATTACCCTAGTGTCTCCCTCTTATGGAAGGACAAGATAAGGCCCAGGAGCTCTCCAAGGTCTACACACAGAAGCAAATCTTCCTTCAACATGGAAGCTTCCAGAGTCTTCTCCCAGTAGAGTCACACAGGCTGCTGTGTGCTGCCGCAGAAGGGATATCAGCAGGCTGTGACCACAGGTAGTAAGAGTGATTCTGAGGAGGTGCCCATAATCAAGGTGAAGAAAAGGAAGATCCTGAACCTTCAGAGGCATTTCTAGCAACTGAGGCAAAAGCACTGAATCACAAAAGCAGGCCTATCTGGTATCATTCATTCATTCATTCATTCTTTGTTCATTCAGTCAGAAATACCTATTGGTCACCTGGTATGTCTAGGTGCTGGGTGCTGGGTATTAAATGGAGCTTGCAGCATAGTGGGGGAGATGGACATTAAATAAATAGCTATGAGCTGCAGTCTAGCATAATGGTTAACAGAGCAAAGTCAGATTACTTGGGTTCAAATTCTGGCTCTGCCACTTGCTAGTATATGATTCTGAGTAAGCTACTTGACCTTTCTGTGACTCCGTTTCTTAGCCTATAAATTATGATTAATAATAATTCCCACCTTCTTTGAGATGAACCAAACTATAACTACACACAACAATATAGACGAATGTTGAACAAAAGAAGCCAAACACAAGAGTGGAGCCTGATGGCATAATTACTGGAAGAAAACATGAGGGGGGCTTTAGATGCAGGTAATATTTTATTGTGGCAATTCATTGAACTGAACATTTACATGAACTTTTCTACATGTATATAAAATTTCCACAAATAGGAAAAAACCTACAGGAACAAAGTTAAAAGACAGATTTAGGTAAGTATAATTTTTATTAGAAAATATGTTCTTTATAGTTGTATTTATCTCTATGAAAAATTACAGACAGTCTAAATGTCTGACAAACAACTTTATAAAAGATAATCATGGCCAGGCGTGGTGGCTCACGCCTGTAATCCCAGCACTTTGGGAGGCTGAGGCAGGCGGATCACGAGGTCAGGAGTTCAAGACCAGCCTGACCAACATGGTGAAACCCCGTCTCTACTAAAAAAATAGAAAAATTAGCTGGGCGTGGTGGCGCATGCCTGTAATCCCAGCTACTCAGGAGGCTGAGGCAGGAGAATCACTTGAATATGGGAGGCGGAGGTTGCAGTGAGCCGAGATTGCGCCACTGCACTCCAGCCTGGGCAACAGAGCGAGACTCCATCCCCCCCAAAAAATAAATAAATAAATAAATAAATAAATAAATAAATAAAAATAAAAATAAAAAATAATCATGGTGACAATAACATGGAAAAATTTTTATAATTTATCGCTAATTGATCAAAGCAGAACATGACATTTTGAATATATGTGTTTATCTCTGTAATAATTAAAATGTATCATTAAAAAGAAAAATAATGACCTCATTAGGTTGTTGGGAGGATTAAATTGGATACTAAAAGGGCATGGAAAAGTACTTAGCATGTAATAAGTGCTCAATATTGTTAGCTGTTTTTGTTTTGTTTTGTTGTTTTTGAGACAGGGTCTCTCTCTATTACCCAGGCTGGAGTGCAGTGGTGTGATCTCAGCTCACTGCAACCTCCACCTCCTGGGCTCAAGCAATCCTCCCACCTCAGCTTCCCAAGCAGCTGGGGCTACAGGCACGTGCCACTACACCTGGCTAATTTTTGTATTTTTTATAGAAACGGGGTTTCACCATGTTGCCCAGGCTAGTCTCAAACTCCTGGGCTCAAGTGATCCTCCCGCCTTGGCCTCCCAATATGCTGGAATTACAGGCATGAGCTACCATGCCGGGCCAGCTGTTATTATTTTTATATAAATATATAAAATTGTAGACTGTGAAAATAAATATAATGAAAAATGTGGTGCTCTAAAAGTAGACCCGGGTCTACTTTTTGTTTCCAAAACAAAGGATTTCTGTCATCCAGGATGTCTTGCTGCTAATACAGAGCTTCAGCCACTAAAAGGCTTTGCAGCCAAGAGTCAGAGCCACCAACCTTGGAACAGGCCACAAATGGACATCCAAATAGAAAGGGCTACAGACATCCACTGATAACAACAGTAATACAGTACATGGGTATAGCTTGTTAAAGCTTAAAAAGTATTTTCATGCGAAAAAGACTTCTATGCTTATAAAAATAAACCAATGAGGTAGATAGTATTCTCATTCTTCAGATGAGGTGACAGCTGTACTAACTCCCTAAAGTAACACAAAAAGGGGACAGCTGAGATTTGAGCTTCAGTTGGTTAAGTCATCTGTCTGTATGCCCAACTCTAAAACCCTCATTTCCCCAGTGCCCCAGAGCTTCCACAATCTGGACAGCCATACACAAACACAGAAGGCACCCTGCCTCCCACTCTTGTTCTTTGGAAACTGATAAGGAAAGGATTAGCAGCAAGCTGCAACCCAGTCTCTCCAACCGAAGGATTTCCTGGGAAGAAAAAAAAGTGAGTTACTCAAATCTCCTTGTACACATGCTAATAACAGATCTCCTGGCAAACAAACTAATAATATTAAACTAGCAGGACAGTCCTTATCTATGGAATGTTTTCAGGAGAATGTATTTGGTTCATCTAGCATTGTTTATGGTAAACAAACTTGGAATGTTTGTATTTATGGGGCATGGCTCTCTGGAAAACGTCATGTGTTAAATCAAGTTTAGCCTAAAGTTGTCTTCTTACGTATTTTAAGTTTGGCCTAAAGGTTTATCTTTACGTGGTGAGCTATAACAAGTGGGGGTGTAAACAGACTGCAGCCCACACCTGTGCCAATCACTGAGTTTTGGCCAATCAAATGTAGCCAATTGTTCAAACTGTGTTCAAATGAGGCCGACGCCAACCTGTAACCAATCCAGCTTTTTCTGTACCTCCCTTCCATTTTCTGTGCATCACTTTCTCTTTTCTGTCCATAAATCTTCTTCCACTGCATGGCTGCACTGGAATCAGAGCCTATTCTGGCTCCGGAGGCTGCCCAATTTGCAAATTGTTCATTGCTCAATTAAACTCCTTTAAATTTAATTCAGCTGGCCAGGCACGGTGGCTCACACCTGTAATCCCAGCACTTTGGGAGGCGGAGGCGGGGTGGGGGTGGGGGTGGGGGTGGGGGTGGGGGGGGGGCGGCGGAAATCACCTGAGGTCAGGAGTTCAAGACCAGCCTGACCAACATGGTGAAACCTTGTCTCTACTAAAAAATACAAAAATTAGCCGGGCATGGTGGCAGGCACCTGTAATCCCAGCTACTCGGGAAGCTGAGGCAGGAGAATCACTTGAACCCGGGAGGTGGAGGTTGCAGTGAGCCACGATCACACCATTGCACTCCAGCCTGGGCGACAGAGCAAGACTCCGTCTCAAAAAATAAAAAATAAAAATAAATTAATTCAGCTGAAGTTTTTCTTTTATCAGATGCCGTCAAAAGTGGGACTTGAAGCAGAGCTTCTAACAACCTGCAGGAGCGCTGAGTGACTAAGCAAGGCACCTGCCAGACCCATTGTGCCGTTTCTCTCTTGGAGCAGCTGGATATCATGGTAAGTTCTCTCTCCGGTTCCAAAGCTCCACAGATTTGTGTTTGGAGCTGAGTTTGAGCAAATTTCTGATCCAAACTGGGTTTGGAAGTCATGACAGAAACTGGACTGGGTCCGGGATCGGATTGGATCTGATAATTAACTGGTTTGGATCCAGTTAGAGGCCTATTACATCTGACTGGGTGAGAAAGAACCCAGTAGTAAATGGCAATATTGCAGGGTGTGTAAAACTTGGCTTTTGGAAATTCACAGGGATTTTTGCGTTCTATCCCTTTGTTTCATTTTTCTTGCATGCTAAGATAGGAAAAACAAATCATTGGCTAAGTTGATCAAGGGAACCTGAGAACAAAGACAAAATTTGAGGTAAAAAATGGGATCCTTAATTTCTGAAGAACTGAGTTCCTTCTGGCTTACACATGCCTAAGTGTTAGGCCCTGGAAGCAGCAAAGTCTTACAGAAATGGTGAAATCTTACTAAAGATAACTTACGGTGAACATTCCAAATGAACAACACTGCACTGGAGAAGTGCATTTGCAAATGAGAGCTCCCAAATTAGTCTTATCTGAAGATGCCTATTGATATGCAGAAGCTCCTAAAATTTCAATATTTTTATTTAAAGACTTTAAGAAAGCCAAATAAAAAGCTTAAGTGACTAATTGATTTAAAAAAAAATTAAATCTGCTAATCTTTTGGCTTAGTTACAATCCCAATCCAAAGAAAATAGACTGCACACCAATTGGCCGATTTGGGGTAAGTAGTGGGGTACAATTTACCTGGGTAAAGGATAGGATTGGGTTAGAGGCCCTCCCTTCAGTAAAGTCCTTCTTGGTTAAAAATGGATTTCGCACTATAGCATGTTAACCACTATTCTCTTTAGATTAATCTGCCTTGCACTTTTTGCTGATGGCTATAGGTGACAGGATTAGGCATGTACAGGATCATGGGGCATGGGGAACCTTTTTTTTCCTCGGAAAGGGAAACTTGCAGGCTAATAGGACTGCTAGAAAAGATCCCTTCACAACTGATAAGGAGCCGCCTGAACTTTTGATTCAGTGTTGCTGTAATGGATGGGCCTTTCTCTGGCCACTCTGAGCTCCTTGCCTTCCCCAACTCGCCGCAAGCAATGCTTTTCTCTTTTTCTCCTTTCCCTTTTCTATCTTTTCTGTTACTCAGGACAACCATCTTGCCCAGAGACCACATGTTAAAACTCCTTTAATCCACTTGGAATGGATGAAAGATGACAGAGCCAAACTAGGGGCAAGTTTAAGCCTGGCCAGTTCGATGTTGGGCGCTAAGCAGAGTGGCTAATTTCTGTTTTGTCACACATATTTTGCTCTGGCCAGAATGGAAAATGTTAATTCGGGTCCCCCACGCATCCGGTTGGGCAGCAACTTATAAAATTGAAAGGCTTTTTACTATGGTTCCATGAAACAACAGCAAAAAAAGATTTTCCTTTGTGTTGTGGCTTGGGCCCCATGGCTGTGGAGCAGCGAGCAGGGTCGCTGGTGCCGCTCAGGGATAGGGAATCCAGAAACCTGGCATGCTGTCAAAAAGGCAATTTCTTACCAGACTTCTGGCCTCTTGCTCTCTGTGCAAACTGGTTGAATGAATGGTAAAAATCACTGTTAGCGCCCGTGTAAAGTTTTGATTAATGGGAAATGGATTTATGAGGCTAGTCTTAAGCTGTAGCAAATCTGATGTACTTTGTGCTATGAATTTGTCTTTCTGCATCGTTCTGTCATAAAAAGGGGTACTACTATAGAATAGAATGCAGGCTTAGGACCCCCGTAAGCTCACTGTTCAACCCAGCCCAGCAAACTGGTCAGTTATAAATTTTGCTGCAGGTCCCTGAAACAACAACAAAAAACTGGATGAGGTTTCCCTCCCATCTTGTTTTATGTCCTTGGGAGCTTGACCTTATAACCATACGGCGGTACTTTTTCTTGGTCTCTGCCATCCAGGGAACCAGAATTTGGGGGGTTATGTCATAGTTAGCTCTAAAAATTATCTTGAGCAGTTAAAAGCCTTTGCAAGCTTAAAATTGACTGCTGTAGGCTCCTTCTGGGAAGAGCAATGGAAACCTTCCAAAGCTATAGCTCACCAGCTGAGGTTTTGCCATTTTACAATGGCAGTCCAGGTTCAATCCTGGCTTAGGGAATGAGTGCTTTCTGGTTGATATCTGTGTGACCTTTACCATTTGTTGATTCTCTGCCCCTCCAGGTGCAACTTCCAGCTTCCTTTCTTGAATCTTCCTTTCTGTGAGCTACCTTTGGAGATTCTAGATCTTGTAAAAACTGCTAACACCTCTCTGAAAATACCTTGTACACTTATGGTTAAGTCATAACCTTAGTTAAGGATTATTGGTTTCACCTGGGAGGTTACCAGCGTAAAGTTCAAAAGCCAGAAATATTGGCCGTTTGGCCTGGCTAAAGTCAGGTAATAAGAGATTTAAGAGGACTTAAAAGGCCCCAACAGACCAGATCAAACCAAAATGGAGTCACTCATGCTAAATGTGACATAATCAAACTAAGACTTTAAGGAAACACATAGATCCTAGAACAGACCAGGTTTTGTTTTTTCCCTGTAAATAGGATGTTCCAGCGTAAGCAACTACGCTCTACTCAGTCCTTCTTCCTACCTTGCAAAACCCACGGTTTTACTGTTTCCCAGTGGGTTTCAAGACCAAATAAGTACATTTACAATGGTGATAGTGATATCAATGACTAGAGTTTTCATCAGTCTCTCAAAACTGAAATGATGACCAAAAGGGGGAAATTGTTAAATCAAGTTTAGCTTAAAGCTGCCTCCTTACATATATTAAGTTTGACCTAAAGGTTTTTCTGTTATCGTGAACTACAACAAGTCAAGGTGTAAACAGACCATAGCCTACACTTGTGCCAATCGCCAAGTTTTGGCCAATGAACAGTGGCCGACTATTCAAACCATGCTCAAATAAGGCAAACACCGAGCTGTAACTAAGCTAGCTGTTTCTGTACCTCACTTCCGTTTTCTGTGTATCACTTTTTTTTTTCTGTCCGTAAATCTTCCACTGTGTGGCTGCGCTGGAGTCTCAGAGCCTATTCTGGCTGGGGAAGCTGCCCGATTCGCAAATTGTTCATTGCTCAATTACACTCCTTTAAATTTAATTCAGCTGAAGTTTTTCTTTTATCACATGTAAGCTATGTAAGAAATTTTCTTACTGATTGAGCCAGTTTGAATCAGGGCTTTCTGTTACTTGCAGCCAAAATTATCCTAACTGGCAGGCATTCTGGCTTCTATCAGTTTCCCTGGCAGGGGCAAGAGTTGAACCGCACCACAAAGACCCCCTGTGGAAGTTTTGCAGGCAAAGAGGGATGATAAGGATCTCCCCAAAGGGACTGTGCCTGAGAGCTGATGAGATTCATCTTATAGGTTAGTGCCAGGCATCCCTAACTGGTTTGAGTTTGGAGCTGGTTTTGACCACCCCCAGACAGAGGCTGCCCTGATGGGCTGCTCTCTGAAGGAAATAGACTTAAGACTGGAACCCAACCTGCCCAAGGAAAGAGCAAAGGATTACAAATCACCTGAAGTTGATCCAAAGACAAATGGACATACTATCACCAAGGTAGCCCTCTTTTCTGTAACTAATGACTATATACATTGTTTCGCTACTTTATATGTTAAATCTGGGCTAGTGTGCATCTTAGTGTTACCCAAAAAAGGACCAAGAGAGCTGCACTGGCAGTCGCTGACCTCTCTCTGCTTTGTCTGTGCCTCATAATTACTTGTATCCTTGAGATTATTAGTAAAGCTTGATACCGGGTGAGAGTTCTTGTAAGTCTAATTTGCCAATTTGTTTCCTGTGTTATTTAGCTCAGAAGTGATGGGTGTAGAGCAGTAACTGTAGCTATAGTTGTTAAGTGTCCAAAGAGCACACTGGATAGGAAACCATTCAGAGACTACAGCCCACAGGGCATCAGCCACATCAAGAGACATCCCAGGATGCTCCAAAGATGTGAGTAGTCCAAACCCAAAGTAAGATAGAATTACTCCAGGTAAGGCTTAGTTTCCCAAAGTGCACAGGATGATTCCACTGAGAGAGATATACAGGTCTTTCTAGATGGTCACAATTTTTTTTTTTTTTTGAGACAGAGTCTCACTCTGTGTCACAGGCTGTAGTGCAGTGGCAGGATCTCGGCTCACTGCAACCTCTGCCTCCCAGGCTCAAGCGATTCTCCTGCCTCAGCCTCCTGAGTAGCTGGGACTATAGGTCTGCACCATCACACCCAGTTAATTTTTGTGTTTTTAGTGGAGATGGGATTTCGCCATGTTGGCCAGGCTGGTCTCAAACTCCTGAGCTCAAGTGATCCTCCTGCCTCAGCCTCCTAAAGTACTGGGATTACAGGCATGAGCCACTGCAGATGGTCACAGATTCTTGAACCAGAACCTTAGCCCTAGAAAAGACTCAACATTATTTTTTACTACTTCTCATATCCAAACTCGAGTTCACCTTCCAAGTTTGCTGATCATACTTTAACTAAAGATCATTTGATAAAGAAAGGAGAAACCCTTCTTCAGAAAGCTTACCTGTTCATAACTCTCCTTTTCAGTAAGTGTTCCTGACTGGTCTAGTTGGTTCCAATCACTCTAATCATTAACTGGTTCCCAGGGAGACCCCCAGACACTCTGTATTTTTTCCTTTTGCCATAAGTAAGCCCAAGTACTGCCCACAAGCTTGGACCTGGGACTCCCTTGTGAATACTTAAAACACCAGGCAAATGCAGAATTTTCCATTACTCATCCACAAGCTTCTCTTGCTGAAGCAGGAAGAGAAGATCCACAGGAAGCCACCTCATCTACCATAGCTAATAAGCTGATAGTGGATCAGAATAAGGCAAAACCACAACCTCTTCCTGCTCCCATCCCAATCTACAAATAAAAGTTGTTCTTCCATGACTATACAGAGTGGATTCATCTGTGGAAATGTCCTGTTGTTACAAATAGGAACACTTCGTCTTCTGGTATGTAAACCATCTTCAGAGATGATTCTTCTCTGATTGAAAATTAGGTCACAACTTTCAACTCTTAAGTTGTGGTATATGCAAGCTAGGTTTTCCAACTTTATCATTTCAGGATGTATCATAGTGGGGTAAGGCTGGCCATGGCTAGCCAGGAGAAACTGATGGAAGAACAAAATTATCTAAGTGGTTTCTGGTGGTGATATCATTAGTTAGGGAGCCTCAGTAAAATATTTATCTGAGCATGTTGTATTCCCTCTTGTGAGAATCAATTCTGTCTACTTGGCTAATGGATACAAAAGCCTGAAGGCACCACAGTTAGATGGAGTTTACAGACATTTTATAATTCCTCATTTAAAAAAAATTCCACAGGCATACAGCAGGCTGGCCATAAGCAAACTGAGAGAGGTCAAATGTACCTTGGGATCTATCATTTTTAATTTCTCTCTCTGAAATAGACATTCCCCTCATACAAAAGTATCCATTCTCCAAATGTTACAGTCCCTCCATCCCACTCCCCGCAAAAAATCCCTTGCTGTGTCCCAAAGGTCTCTATTAGGTAACAGCAACTCTGAAAATGTAATCATCCACTTCATTCATTCATTTATTCCCCAAATATTATTGGGCACTGTTTTGTGTCAGGCATATTAAAGTAGCTGAGGACACAAGGATGTATAAGAAAAATCCCTCCCTTCCATCTTCCCTGCCCACTCACCTGATCATCACAAAATCCTTTTGCTTTGGCATCTTAAAAATCTTTTATGTTCTTTCTTCCCTGTCTCTGTCCCTACCACCATCATTTTGTCTCAGCCTTCATCAGCTGATATTGAGTCTATTGCAATAGTCTTAACTACCCATCCTC
The DNA here is from genome assembly GCF_000001405.40 of Homo sapiens. Classification (NCBI taxonomy): domain Eukaryota; kingdom Metazoa; phylum Chordata; class Mammalia; order Primates; family Hominidae; genus Homo; species Homo sapiens. The sequence goes on along the minus strand of NC_000023.11, from coordinate 24,341,041 downwards.
TTTCCAACCTGCTCCATCCCACCGATTTTCCATACATGGATTGATATTTCTAAAATGTTCTTGTTGCTTCTTACTGCCTTCAGGTCCTCCATAATCTGACCCCTACCCCCAGACTTGTCCATTCCCATTCTATAATAGTTGTAATACACTATGTTCCTGTGCCTTCATGCCTTGCCATGTGTAGCATTTTTTTTCTAACAGCTTTTATTAAGATATAATTCACACACTGTTCATTCACCCACCTACAGTGTACAATGGTTTTAGTATAGTCACAAAGTTGTGCAACCACAGTCAATTCTAGAACATTTTCATCACCCACAGGAGAAACCCCACACCCATTAGCAGTCACTCCTCATTCCCCTCATCCTATCCCCTGCCTCGGCCCTAGACAATCACCAGTCTACTTTCTATTGCTACAGATTTGCCTATTCTGGACATTTCATATAAATGGAAACATACAGTATGTGGCCTTTGTGTCTGGCTCCTTTCCTTTGCATAATGTTATAGCATATATCAGTATTTCATTCTTCGTTACTTACAAATAATATTCCATTGCATGGCTGTTACCACATTTTGTTTAGTTGACGGACATTTGGGTTGTCTCCACTTTGGGCTACTATGAATAATGCTAGTATGGATATTAATGTACAAAATTTTGTGTTAATATGTCTCCAATCTCTTGCATATACATTTTGGAGTGGAATTGCAGGGTAATATGATAACTCCATGTTTAACTTTCTGAGGGACCAGCAGACTGGTTTTCAAAGTAGCTGCAGCATTTTACATTCCTATCAACAGTGTTTGAAGGTTCTAATCCCTCCACAACCTCATCAACACTTACTATTACCAATTTTTGTACATTATGGCCATCCTAGTGAGGGTGAAGTGGTATCTCATTGTGGTTTTGATTTGCATTTCTCTGATGACTAATGGTGGTGAGCATCCTGCTAAGTGATTATAGGGATCTTCTTTAGAGAATATGAGGCTTCTGCTTTATGCTCTTCCCCTGGCTTGAATGACCTCTTCTTCACCTTGGGTCCCATTCCTGGCTTGTTGGAAAGTTCTGCTTGTCCTTCAAAACCTGGCTCAATCATCATATTCTCTCTCAGGCCTTCCCTGACTCTCCCAGGAAGAACTGATCACTGTTCCTTTGGACCCATCCCTGTCTGCTCTGCAGCACTTAGCACCTTGTATTTTCCAACATGTAGAAGTTAATTTCTCACAACATTGATTTTGGGCTTGGTTATGTAACTTGCTTTGGACAATGGAATGTAGATATTTATGACTTACACAACATCCTAACAGAAGCTTTAATGCTATTCATAATATGGCTGTGTCCCTCTTTTGACCTTCTCCCTTACACCATGCGAAGGCACATGGAGCCAAGTGGAGCTCAAAGATGCCCAACTATGTTCTGCCAAATTATAGCCTTTTGCTACGTAAAGTGTGGTACATGTACCAGCAGCATTGGTATCTCCAGGGAACTTATTAGGAATAAAGAATCTTGGGCTCTGCCCAAGTCCAATTTAATCAGAATTTGCATTTTAACAAGATCTCAGGTGATTGACATGCATATTAAATTTGAAGACCACTTCTTTTTTTTATTTTATTATTATTATACTTTAAGTTTTAGGGTACATGTGCACAATGTGCAGGTTTGTTACATGTGTATACATGTGCCATGTTGGTGTACTGCACCCATTAACTCGTCATTTAGCATTAGGTATACCTCCTAATGCTATCCCTCCCCCCTCCCCCCACCCCACAACAGTCCCCGGAGTATGATGTTCCCCTTCCTGTGTCCAAGTGTTCTCATTGTTCAGTTCCCACCTATGAGTGAGAAAATGCAGTGTTTGGTTTTTTGTCCTTGCGATAGTTTGCTGAGAATGATGGTTTCCAGTTTCATCCATGTCCCTACAAAGGACATGACCTCATCATTTTTTATGGCTGCATAGTATTCCATGGTGTACATGTGCCACATTTTCTTAATCCAGTCTATCATTGATGGACATTTGGGTTGGTTCCAAGTCTTTGCTATTGTGAATAGTGCCACAATAAACATACGTGTGCATGTGTCTTTATAGCAGCATGATTTATAATCCTTTGGGTATATACCCAGTAATGGAATGGCTGGGTCAAATGGTATTTCTAGTTCTAGATCCCTGAGGAATCGCCACACTGTCTTCCACAATGGTTGAACTAGTTTACAGTCCCACCAACAGTGTAAAAGTGTTCCTATTTCTCCACATCCTCTCCAGCACCTGTTGTTTCCTGACTTTTGAATGATCGCCATTCTAACTGGTGTGAGATGGTATCTCATTGTGGTTTTGATTTGCATTTCTCTGATGGTCAGTGATGATAAGCATTTTTTCATGTGTTTTTTGGCTGCATAAATGTCTTCTTTTGAGAAGTGTCTGTTCATATCCTTTGCCCACTTTTTGATGGGGTTGTGTTTTTCTTGTAAATTTGTTTGAGTTCATTGTAGATTCTGGATATTAGCCCTTTGTCAGATGAGTAGGTTGCAAAAATTTTCTCCCATTTTGTAGGTTGCCTGTTCACTCTGATGGTAGTTTCTTTTGCTGTGCAGAAGCTCTTTAGTTTAATTAGATCCCATTTGTCAATTTTGGCTTTTGTTGCCATTGCTTTTGGTGTTTTGGACATGAAGTCCTTGCCCATGCCTATGTCCTGAATGGTATTGCCTAGGTTTTCTTCTAGGATTTTTATGGTTTTAGGTCTAACATGTAAGTCTTTAATCCATCTTGAATTAATTTTTGTATAAGGTGTAAGGAAGGGATCCAGTTTCAGCTTTCTACATATGGCTAGCCAGTTTTCCCAGCACCATTTATTAAATAGGGAATCCTTTCCCCATTTCTTATTTTTGTCAGGTTTGTCAAAGTTCAGATGGTTGTAGATATGTGACATTATTTCTGAGGACTCTGTTCTGTTCCATTGATCTATATCTCTGTTTTGGTACCAGTACCATGCTGTTTTGGTTACTGTAGCCTTGTAGTATAGTTTGAAGTCAGGTAGCGTGATGCCTCCAGCTTTGTTCTTTTGGCTTAGGATTGATTTGGCGATGCGGGCTCTTTTTTGGTTCCATATGAACTTTAAAGTAGTTTTTTCCAATTCTGTGAAGAAAGTCATTGGTAGCTTGATGGGGATGGCATTAAATCTATAAATTACCTTGGGCAGTATGGCCATTTTCACGATATTGATTCTTCCTACCCATGAGCATGGAATGTTCTTCCATTTGTTTGTATCCTCTTTTATTTCATTGAGCAGTGGTTTGTAGTTCTCCTTGAAGAGGTCCTTCACATCCCTTGTAAGTTGGATTCCTAGGTATTTTATTCTCTTTGAAGCAATTGTGAATGGGAGTTCACTCATGATTTGGCTCTCTGTTTGTCTGCTATTGGTGTATAAGAATGCTTGTGATTTTTGCACATTGATTTTGTATCCTGAGACTTTGCTGAAGTTGCTTATCAGCTTAAGGAGATTTTGGGCTGAGACAATGGGGTTTTCTAGATATCCAATCATGTCATCTGCAAACAGGGACAATTTGACTTCCTCTTTTGCTAATTGAATACCCTTTATTTCCTTCTCCTGACTAATTGCCCAACTTCCAACACTATGTTGAATAGGAGTGGTGAGAGAGGGCATCCCTGTCTTGTGCCAGTTTTCAAAGGGAATGCTTCCAGTTTTTGCCCATTCAGTATGATATTGGCTGTGGGTTTGTCATAGATAGTTCTTATTATTTTGAGATACGTCCCATCAATACCTAATTTATTGAGAGTTTTTAGCATGAAGGGTTGTTGAATTTTGTCAAAGGCCTTTTCTGCATCTATTGAGATAATCATGTGGTTTTTGTCTTTGGTTCTGTTTATATGCTGGATTACATTTATTGATTTGCATATATTGAACCAGCCTTGCATCCCAGGGATGAAGCCCACTTGATCATGGTGGATAAGCTTTTTGATGTGCTGCTGGATTCGGTTTGCCAGTATTTTATTGAGGATTTTTGCATCAATGTTCATCAAGGATATTGGTCTAAAATTCTCTTTTTTGGTTGTGTCTCTGTCAGGCTTTGGTATCAGGATGATGCTGGCCTCATAAAATGAGTTAAGGAGGATTCCCTCTTTTTCTGTTGATTGGAATAGTCTCAGAAGGAATGGTACCAGCTCCTCCTTGTACCTCTGGTAGAATTCGGCTGTGAATCCGTCTGGTCCTGGACTGTTTTTGGTTGGTAAGCTATTGATTATTGCCACAATTTCAGAGCCTGTTATTGGTCTATTCAGAGATTCAACTTCTTCCTGGTTTAGTCTTGGGAGGGTGTATGTGTCGAGGAATTTATCCATTTCTTCTAGATTTTCTAGTTTATTTGCGTAGAGGTGTTTGTAGTATTCTCTGATGGTAGTTTGTATTTCTGTGGGATCGGTGGTGATATCCCCTTTATCATTTTTTATTGCGTCTATTTGATTCTTCTCTGTTTTCTTCTTTATTAGTCTTGCTAGCGGTTGAAGAACACTTCTTTAAGCAACCCTGAGCCATCAGCTACACGAGCTTTTAAAACTTTGGAGGCCAGGTGTGGTGGCTCACGCCTGTAATCCCAGCACTTTGGGAGGCTGAGGTGGGCAGATCACGAGGTCAGGAGTTCAAGACCAGCCTGGCCAATTTGGTGAAACCCCATCTCTACTAAAAATACAAAAATTAGCCAGGCATAGTGATGCTTGCCTGTAGTCCAAGCTACTCAGGAGGCTGAGGCAGGAGAATCACTTGAACCCAGGAGGCAGAGGTTGCAGTGAACCAAGATCACGCCACTGCACTCCAGCCTGGGCAACAGAGCAAGACTCTGTTAAAAAAAAAAAAAAAAAAAAAAAAAAAAAAAAAACCCAACTTTGGAGTTGTTGCCCCAACAAAAACTGACTGAAACATCCACATTGTACTCAGAATCCTGACTCATAAGGAAAATAATCAGATGTAGCTTAGTTTTCCTCAGGAAGGAGCACTGAAAGTGTTTTATTATGTCTTTTTTACTCTCCAGACAGAAAGGCATTAAACTTCTTAATTTACTGCCCACCAATCAGGGGATGACCAAGTTAACTTTTATTCAGTGAAGTATATATATATAGGAGGGAGGGAAGAGTGGAGAAAGTAGGGGGGCAGGAATTACAGTCTGGAATTTTCCTGAAACGTAGATGATACCCATGAGATCTAAGAATCCCTGAATAACCTCCTAGTTCACACTTATTCTTCTGTTCTAAAAGGACCTCTGTAAGTCAGAAGAATGTGAAACATCAGTCTGTGTGAGAAGGGATCCCAACAGAGGTAGAAGGAAACTTGGTGAGCTCGACTTACAACATTAAAAGAGAATGAAAATTAGGTAGACCTTCTACCACATTATTTAAATTATTTTAGAATATGTGATTATATTCTGTATCAAAGCATTTTTGACTTTGAGGGAAAGCTCATCTCAAACTAGATCATGCAATAAGGAAATTTATTGGCTTAGATAACAGAAAGTCTAGAGTAGGTCAAGCATCAGGTTTGGTTTGATCCAGTAGCTCTACACTGTTCTCAAGGACTCAGATTCCTCCTGTCTCTCCACTCTGATGTCTATGGTATTGATTTCATTCCTAGGCTGGATCCCCTTATGTTTGTATTATTGGTACCAGAAGCAAGCAGGGCGATATCTTCCTGATAGAGTCTGATTTTCCGTAGACTTCCTCTGAAGGGTGAAGAAGTTTTACTCCAGAAGTTCCCAGCAAACTTCTTTTCCATATATCATTGCCACAAATTATCTAAAGACCTGCCATCCTAGAACCAGTCACTGGGGCGGGGGTAGGGGGAGCGGGGGAATGAGATTATTATAATTAGCTTAGACTAATCAGGCTTCACCCCTGAACCTGAGGTATAATGAATATTGGATTGTCAAACACAAGGTCCACTGCACATTTTATTGTCATTAGTTATTTAGTTACCTGTTTCCTCCTCTAAGTTATACTTTCCTGGAGGTTAGGAAGCAAATTTTTTTTCCTCTACCCCCACAAAGCCTGGCATATAGTAGGTACTTAACAGATGTTAATTTAGTGAGACTTAGAAAGGGCCAGCCAGTATAGGCAAACCCAATTTGATATTTCTAGAATCTGTACACACCTCTGTTATATGTGTTACTCCTGGCCAGACCTCTCTGGTTCTCAGCAGTTTTGTATACTAAAGAATTTATCTGACTTTGTCCTGGGTTTTGGGCATAGAACTTCTAAAACCCTTGGAATTTCCTGAGTGATAGGAGTGTCTTTGTAATTAATGAGCCCCTTGAGTCACACCTGAGTTTATGCTAATGAGATGATTTCAGATATGGGCTGGTCACCAGAATGACCAGCCATGTGACTGGAGGGTTGGGGTTTTGGGCCAGCCAAACCTTTGGACAGGGGAGGAGGACTGGAGGCTGAGTTCAATCACATGGCTGATGATTCAGTCATACTTATGTAAAGAAACCTCAATAAAAATTCTGGACACCAAGGCTCAGGGGAACTTCCTGGTTGAACACATTGATGTGCCAGGAGAGTGACATGCATAGATTTGATGGGAGAGGGCATGAAAGCTCTGCATTCGGGACCCTCCCAGATCTATGTATCTTCATTTGGCAGGTCCTGATTTGTATCCTTTATAATAAAACAGTCAATGTTAAGTGTAGTGCTTTTCTGAGGTCTGGGAGTCATTCTGGCAGATTATCAAACCTGAAGATATTGTGGAAACCCTTGAATCTGTAGCCAGCTAGTCAGAAGTGCTGGTAGCCTGAGGAGCCTCAAAGTGTGGCTGGCATTTGAACTGAGGGTAGTCTTGTTGGGGACCATGCCCTTTAAGTAATGGGATCTATGCTAATTCCTGGTGGATAGTGCCGGAAGTATACTGCAGTATACCAACTGGTGTCAGAATAGAGGTAAGTCTCTTAAAATGAAGAGAAACTGTAAAATCAACCATATCTTGGAAACTCTACCAGTGGAAAAGTGGGACAGTGTAGATTCTCCCTGTACAGCCAGCCCAAGAGAAGAACACAGACAAGAGAAAAGATGGGGAGAGACGTTCTGGTAGAGACACAAGACAGCAGGCTACGTATCTACCCTTTGAGAAGTAAGAAAGAGGTCATGGGGGAATCATTGGACCTGATACATTGGCCCAGAATTTTATATGACAGGAAATCCCTATAAACTTAGCTCCTATCCAAATATTGTTCTTCCATCATCCCTTATTACTCATTAGGCAAATCTGGGGAAAATTTTATTTTCTAAAATCCAGAACATTTAACAGAATGCTATCCTGTTGTTCAAAGGCTCAAGATAGTGTCAAAGGGGGGAAGCCCCATAATATTAATTAGATAATAAATAAAAGCCAGTCTAGATTTAAAAGCTTCTGACAATTTTTCTACCATCTAACATCATGTAAGAATAAAGAATTTCATTACATCATGGAGTAAGAATTTCAAAATCTTCAATAAGTAAGGAATGGCCCTCCTTAAAGCAAAAATAAATTAAGCGAAGTTTAAGCTTAGTCATAAATCACTATGGTTAGAATTTTGGGTGGCATTCATGTCAGTAGAATTTAACAATTATATTAAACTAGTATATTATAAGAGTAGGACTTTATGATAATTTTTATATGCCAGATGTTATTCTTAAAATCCTGCTGTGATTTGGTGCAGATCCAGCTAGCGTCTAAAAGAAATACTTTAGAAAGTGAAAATTATAATAAATTGAGCCTTGGCTGTCAGGTTAAAAGAGTCTATTTTTTTCCTGTCTACTTTTGTTCAATATCATTGTGCATTTTTCTTCTAATGTTGGCAAATGTCGAAAGGCCTATTTTTAAGATGTGGAGATTGAAAACTATCTGAAGACTTTTGGCTAGCGCAGGGTTTCTCAACGTCAGCACTACTGGCATTTTGGGCCAGATAATTCTTTGTTGTTAGGGGCTGTTCTATGTGTTGTGGGAGGTTTAACCACATCCCTGGCTACTACCCACTAGATACCAGTCACATCACTCTCTCCCCCACAGTTGTGGTGACTGAAAATATCTCCAGACATCTATGATAGATATTTTTATCTAGGAGGTTGAACTATAAAATGGCAGTTCTAGAGAGAACAATTTTGTCCCCCGGAGGACACATGGCCCCCTAAAACAAAAACAAAATCTGGCCCAAAATGCCAGTATGCCAAAGTTGAGAACCCTGCTGTAAACTAACAAGACTTGTGATGGCAGTGGGTGAAATTTGTTTCATTTTTTTTTATTACTGAATTATATTCACACTTAACCTCTGAGACCATCTTGTGAACTTAATTTGTTGCACTGCCAGTGTCAATTTCTATTCTTCACCCCTACATTTTCCTTCCAATTTCTCAGGGGTGGAGCACTGGAGCAAAGCTAAGCCAATTAGTGCATTCCATCCTCCTAGACAATGATTGGTTCAGAGGTGGGTATGTGATATGATCCAGGCCAATTAGAGTAAATATCTGGACTTTTTCTGGAAAATCAACCAATTCTCTTTGTCCTGCTGGAAACGAAGGAAGAAAAAAGAAAGCCATCTTAGGACTGCAGGGGACTGTATCTGTTGGTTGAATGACTCTGCAAAAGGAAGAGTGGAGAGACAGGGTGATCCCTTTAGGGCACTGGATCAAGCCTCTCCAAATGCCAACCCAGTTTCTAGACTTTTTGCTTACATGGATGATACAGTTTCTTTATTGTTTAAGCCATTTTGAGTTACATTTTTGCTTGATACTTGCTACTGAAGGCATCCTACTGATATAACCATCTACTATGATCTTTTTCTGTCCACAAAACACTTCTGGACAAAATGTGTGGGTTTTTCCTCACACCAGCAACCATTTCTCCACCTTTCTGGACATCAGCCAGGTGTCCTACAGTTTAAGTAAATCCTGACATTAACTACCTGGAGTTAGCATTACATCCCACAAGTTAAAGCTTCGGTCCCACACGGCTGCCCCACTTCAGATGTCAATTGCAAGTCCTGGACCACTAGGACTTCTGACCAACCAGCTAAAAATTCAGGCAGTTCCCACAACCCCTCCCTGGGTATGATAATTTGCTAAAATGGTTCACAGAACTCAGGAAAGCAATTTACTTGCATTTACCAGTTTGTTATAAAGGATGCAGATGAAGAGATACATAGGGTAAATTCCAGAAGGGTCCTGAATGCAGGAACTTCTGTCCAATGGAGTTAAGATGTGCCACCCTCCCAACAAGTGGATGTGTTCACCAACCCAGAAGCTCTCTGAACCTCATGATTTAGGGGCTTTTATGGAGATTTCATCATGTAGGCATGATCAGTTATTAATTCACTCTCCAGCCTCTCTCCCCTCCCTAGAGGTTGGGGAGAGTAGACCTGAACATTCTATGCTTCTAATCAAGACGTGATCTTCCTGGCAACTAGCCCCCATCCTGAAACTTCAAAAGTTTCCTCATTAAAACAAAAGAGGCTCTATCACCCAGGAAATTCCAAGGGATTTAGGAGCTCTGTGTCAGGAATGATAGTCAAGTACCAACTATTAGACAAAAGATGCTCCTAGCATCCCTATCACTTAGGAAATTACAAGGGTTTTAGGAGCTCTTTGTCAGGAACTGAGACAATAATCAAATATATAGTTCTTTTTATGCCACACTGTCATTAATACTTTTCTTCAAGGCTGAATGTTGACAGTGGTTCCAGAAAGGAAGAAATGAATCAATCTAGAATGGTGAGGAGTTCCTGTGGTTTGAACAAGCTTTCCAGGTGATTCTGATGTTCCTCTTCTCTCATCCCCAATAAAGAACATTATTTTAAAGCCTTCTCTATTGGTCAACTCTTGCTGAAATGAAGAAAAGTTTTTCTTTGATTTTAACTGTCAATACAGTGTCCTAACAACTTGTGTTCTGTAATATGCTTTCTGTTCATTATCTCCACTAATTCATCTATCTATTCATTTTTCATTTATAGTTTCTAAATTTATAGATCGTGGTAAAATAGTGGTTCTTCTCTTTTTTTGAGATGGAGTCCCGTTCTGTCACCCAGGCGGGTGTGCAGTGGCACAACCTCGGCTCACTGCAACCTCTGCCTCCGGGATTCAAGTGATTCTCCTGCCTCAGCCTCCTGAGTAGCTGGGATTACAGGCATCCGCCACCATGCCCAGCTAATTTTTGTATTTTTAGTAGAGATGGGGTTTTGCCATGTTGGTCAGACTGGTCTCGAACTCCTGACCTCAGGTGATCTGCCTGCCTCAGCCTCCCAAAGCGCTGGGATTACAGGCATGACCCACCACACCCGGCAAAATAGTGGCTCTTTTACCCCCTAAAAGGTAGCATATGAAAATGAAATTGTTTACAGGCACATAATGGAATTTGGGGTTATAGTTTGACCAAATAATTATAGTTGATGCATGTATTGTCAACCAACTTAAGATTATTCCCCAGCTTTTCTTCTTTTGAATATTTGCCTCGCATTGATGGTGAAAATCAGATAGCACTCTAGATAAGCGGTGGTTCTTGACCTTGGCCACTGCACTTTGGAACCAACTGGGGAGGTTTAAAAATGACTAATGCCGAAGCCACCTCCAGAGATTCTGATTTAATTGATCCAGGGTTTGCCTTCCTGGTTATGGGATTTTTGAAAGCTCCTCAAATGATTCTAGTGTGGAACCAGAGTTGAGAACCACTGAGCTTGATGCCACATAGAATCTTATAAGTGCCATTTGGCACTTGATTTACTCACCAGGCAGGTCTTTTTGTTTTTAGTGAGTAATTTTTGGGTATGGTTTTAGGAACCTTCAGAAATTGACTGAATCATAAATTTTCATTAGTTACAGATGAGACTACATGTTATGGTCTCCCAAGATAAAATTTCTTAATACTATAGGCTTGTTTAATGTTTCTGATTAGGAATTACCCAATATGGAAATAGAAGTTTCATATTAAAGCATATCAACAGACCAGGAGACAGAAGAATGTTCAATGAACACTTTCTTTTCTGGATACTTTACAGGAATAGGTTCCAGAGATATTCAAGACAGAAGACAGAGGGTCTCTCTCTCTCTCTCTCTCTGTTTCTCTCTCATGACATACACACACACACACACACACACCACTCATAACCTATTCATTTTAGTCAAATGTATTCCCAAATATCAAAAATAGAGACTATTCCATTGGCTTGAAAATTTATAATACCTCCTCCACTCTTTCAAGGTCAAATGCTAGGATATTACAGGTGCCACAAAACCCAAATTGACCAGGGAATTTATATTTGTCACCTTGATGCAGCACAAATTTAGGGGTTTTCTTCTTGCAGCTGAGAATCACCTGATGTAGAAAAATAATTCCAGCTGGTAACAGGGCAATAATAATAAAGACTTCAGTAGAACAGTGGACCCACATCACAGGACCTCAAGGTTTACCCAGGAAGGGAATGAACGAGAACCCTCTGGTTAGGGCTATGTCATGCTGTTCTTGGCAAATCCAATGCCCATCAAACAGAAGGTTCATGTGCCCCCAACTTAGACTGAACATGTGGAATTGCTGTAGCATCAAGTACTTTCAAGAACTGTTGGTTGGGGCCGGGCGCAGTGGCTCACTCCTGTAATCCCAGCACTTAGGGAGGCCAAGGCGGGCGGATCGTCTGAGGTCAGGAGTTCAAGACCAGCCTGGCCAACATGGTAAAACCCTGTCTCTACTAAAAATACAAAAATTAGCCAGGTGTGGTGGCGGGTGCCTGTAGTCCCAGCTACTCGGGAGGCTGAGGCAGGAGAATCACTTGAACCCGGGAGGTGGAGGTTGCAGTGAGCCGAGATCACACCGCTACACTCCAGCCTGGGAGACAAGAGCGAGACTGTGTCTTAAAAAAAAAAAAAAAAAAAAAAAAAAAAAAGAACTATTGGTTGGAACTGCTCTGCTCCAGTGACACCAGGAACAGGTCTCCCTATTACTGGTTGCCTCACACTAGGAGGATTTGCTCCTTGGCACAGTAAGTCAGATTTCCCCAACACTCAGGTCAGAAAGTCTCTTGGTGGCACGAGGTCAGAATGCAATTGATAGAACCTCAGAACAGGTTGAAAGAAAGCAAACTACTGAAAAATACCTTGCTTCAGCAAAATATAGGGATTGACTGATGAGGGAGAAAAGCCAATACTTAATTAAAGGATTTCTAAGTGCCCATCATGGTTACAAATTAGCTATTTGTTAAATTTATCTCCCTTTTTTTTTTCTTTCCAATTTGCTGTCTTTGGAGGAGCCGTCCTAAATGCTATTTTATATTCTCTGGGGCAGCTGATAATTAAAAGTTATACACGTTCTTGTGGCTAGATTGAGCACCATCATAGCTCAATCTAAATAGAAGGAATTATGCTAGTCTGAGGTACGAGAAACATTGGGTTTTTTGGTCTTATTTTTGGAATTAACTTACTTGGAAGTAATTTCAAACTTATAAAAAGTTGTAAGAATAAAAATAGTCCAAAGAAACCTGTATACCCTTAACCCAGATTCACCTATTCTCCACCCCTGCCCCTTTGCAAGTTTTCCACACTATGGCCCTTGATGCCAAATAGTTCAGTATGTATTTCCTAAGAATAGAGATAGTCTCTCACATAGCCATAATACAGTCACTGACTAATTGGATGCAAGATATTGGGTCCATTGTTAAGTGCAGGATTTTTTGCAAGTCATTTTTATAATATTTACTAATGTTTTGTAAATTTAGAGCCTTTTTTTTTTTTTTTTTTTTGAGATGGAGTCTTGCTCTGTCACCCAGGCTGGAGTGCAGTGGCGCGATCTCGGCTTGCTACAACCTCCACCTCCTGGGTTCCAGCGATTCTTGTGCCTCAGCCTCCCGAGTAGCTGGGATTACAGGCACCCACCACCACGCCTGGTTAATTTTTTTGTATTTTCAGTAGAGACGGGGTTTCACCATGTTGGCCAGGCTGGTCTCGAACTCCTGACTTCAGGTGATCTGCCCGCCTCAGCCTCCTAAAGTGCTGGGATTACAGGTGTGAGCCGCCACGCCCGGCCAATTTTGAGCTTTTGTCTGGGATGCCGTTTAGTTACTTGGAAACAGTTTGATTCCCTCAAGGCTTGCCTTTCAGCCTGGTTAGGCTGACTCAGACCAGAGCAGCCTTTAGTCTATGGCTAGCTTGACCCACTATTGAGGTAATACTCTTCAAAGTACACACAATGCCCAGATATTATGAGGATTCTCCACTCTGGCTATTGGAAGGATGAACTATTCTTGGCCCTGTGTGATCTCCAAGAACTTTTCCACCTGATTCTTCTTGAAGATTGTTTCCCTGGTTTCTTTATACGTAGTGAATGACACAGATCAGTACTAAATTGAAGATTGGAGGGAAACTCTCTGCAGGTCTCCAGAGTTCAATCTCTGGGAAGCATTCTCTTCTCTGGTCTTCTTCACTGCAAATTCTAGCCACCTTGGCCTCTCCAAATATAATACTATATATTATATATTTTATATATACTCACCATAATACTAACAAGGAGCCTCTCCAAATTCTTAACTCCAGCCCCTCAACTCAGAGATCGGGGCTCTGTTTGGGTTTCCCCTCCTTGCACTGCAGGCTGGAATCTCACTCCAGGCAGTCAGCAGAGGCAACTGTAGGGCTGGCCTTATTTGTTTCTTTTCTCTTAGTCCTATACTGCCTTATTGTCCAATGTCTGAGGACCATTATTTCACATATTTTATCTGGTTGTTTAGTTTAAGGTAAGAGGGTAAATCTGGTCCCTGTTACTTCATCCTGGCCAGAACAATATTTTTGTCTACTGTCCATATTTCAATTTTGTCAGTTGACCTAATGATGTTCTCACAGTATTTTTACTTCCCCCCTATTACAATGTATCTAGGCTCAGGTACTGTATTAGTTGTCTTTTTTTTTTTTTTAGCCTCTTTTAATCTAGAATGTCTCCACAGCCTTTCTTTGTCTTTTTATGACATTGACATTTAGGAAGACTACTGCTCCTCCCCCTTTACCTTGTTTTGAGTCTATGCGATGTTTCATGATTAGACTCAGGTTAGACATTCTTGGTCAGAATACAGCACAGGTGATATTGTATCCTTCTAAGGGTATCACATCTGGAGCTATAAGATGTCCATCTCTTCTTTACTAGTGACGTTTGTTTTGGTCCCCTGGCCAAGGTGTCCAATTTTTCCATTGTATAATTACTGCTTTGCTTCTTCCCTTGCAACTGATGAGCAGTCTGTGGGGAGGCACTTAAAGATCATAGAAATATCCTGCCCTTCATCAAAATTTCCCCAAGATTTAGTATCTATTGATGATTCTTGCTTGATCCAGTCTTTAACGCGATTATTGCAAAATGATCATTTTCTACATTCCCAATCCTCCACATTGACCAGTCAGCTCTTGGCATTCTACCATAAGCAACAGCCCTCCCTTTTCCCTCATTTACCCATTTATCCACCTATCTATTTATCTATTTAATCAGTATAGATTCATGAATTCCTATTTTTCCATTGGTTTATAATTCATTACTGTACTTAACTATTTTGGTGCTCAAATTTGGTGCTAAGGTTTGGCCAGTGGGAGCTCTTTCAAGCTAGTTCCTCTGTCCCTGTGGCATGTCCCCATCTTTTTTCTGATCCCTTCCTTACTTCTTGACATATCCACATATCCCACGCTCATCTTGTGTCTACCTTGCTCTATTCCAGGAATCAGCCAGAGAAACATAGTTTTAAATTGTGAAATGAACCTCTGACATACACAGTTGGCTTTATCCAAGACCAGTCTTCTAGCCCTTATGGAAATGGCAGAGGTGCAAGAGAAGAAACTGAAGCAGTACTTTTATAAGCTACCCTTGTGTCATATTTACCATTGGTCAAAGCGAGTCACATGGCTAAACTGAGATTTAAGGGGTGGGAATATATACTGTGCCTTTTCATAGCAAGATCTGTAAAGTCACAAAGGAAATGGCATGGATACTGGGAAGGATAAAGAAATTGGGTTATTAATGCAATGAAATGATCTTAATCCAGAAGAAAAGAAGAAATTCTCAGATAACCCAAGTCATTTAAAATTGTGTCCCATCCTATCAGTCATGTAGCACAATAAATTATGAAGGCATGATCTATAACACTACCTACAAAACCACTAAAACTAAAACGTTTGGAATATAAACTGAGTTATACCCTCTTCTATCTATAAAAGTTGCTCACAAGTTAGTTCACATATGGTTAATTTACATATAATTCTGAATCACAGAAGATTCATTGCCTTAGTATAATTTGTATAGCACTTTATAAGCATTAGCTGTGTTAGAGTGCATTAATAACCCTATTTCTTTATCCTTCCCAGTGTCCATGCCATTTCCTATATGACTTTACAGATCTCACAATTGAAAGGCATAGTGTATATTCCCACTCCTTAAATCTCAGTTTAGCCATGTGACTTGCTTTGGCCAATGGTAAATATGACACAAGGGTAGCTTATAAAAGTACTTCTTCAGTTTCTTCTCTTGCACCTCTGCCATTTACCATAAGAATGATATGCCTGAGTTAACACAGGAGGAAGAAGAGCAACAGGTAGCACAGAGCTAATCACCATTGCCCAACCCAGCTTAGATCAGTCATGTCCCAGACATGAGTCTAGCTTAGAGCAGCAGAACTGCCCAGGAAGCCCAGCATAGATTAGCTGAGTCCTGTACATCTATGAAAAATATATTGTTGGCTGGGCACGGTGGCTCAGGCCTGTAATCCCAGCACTTTGGGAGGCCAAGCTGGGTGAATCACCTGAGGTCAGGAGTTTAATACCAGCCTGGCCATCATGGTGAAACCCTGTCTCTACTAAAAATACAAAAATTAGCCAGGCTGGTGGTGCATGCCTGTAAACCCAGCTACTTGGGAGGCTGAGGCAGGAGAATCACTTGAACCCGGGAGGCAAAGGTTGCAGTGAGCCGAGATTGTGCCACTGCGCTCCAGTAGCCTGGGTGACAGAGTGAAACTCTGTCTTAAATATATATATATATATATATATATATATATATATATATATACACACTCATAGATGGGAATTGAACAATGAGAACACATGGACACAGGAAGGGGAACATCACACTCTGGGGACTGTTGTGGGGTGGGGGAGGGGGGAGGGATAGCATTAGAAGATATACCTAATGCTAAATGACGAGTTAACGGGTGCAGCACACCAGCATGGCACATGTATACATATGTAACTAACCTGCACATTGTGCACATGTACCCTAAAACTTAAAGTATAATAATAATTAAAAAGTAAAATAAAATAAAATAAAATAAAAAACTCTCCAAAGGCTTCCCAGTCACAAAAGTCAAAAATATATATATATATGACTATACATGTATATATAGTATATATATGAGTATATATGTGTATATACATACATATATACACATATATGTATATATATAGTCATATGCTACAAAGGCCTTGTGATTGTCATGAGGCAAATGTTAACCAATATATTAGCTAATATAATCCTTGATATCCCTCATTAGATAGGTAAAATGGATATCATTATTCCTACTTTACAGATGTGGAAGTGAGACTCATAGAAGTCAAATGCAAATGATTTTATCATAGTCTTACAGCAAGTAGGTGGAAGAACATCATTTCAGACCCAGGGTTTTTGGCATTCGATTCCAGTGATCTTTCCACTGCATCTCTTGGTAAAATTGCCTTGAAGAATGGAGTTTAAGGGCATTCCTATGGAAGTCACATGTTCAGTCAAGGATCCTATGACAAATGGTTGCTGAGCTGCACTTCAGCTGGGCCACCTAAGACTTCAGCTGCTTCACGCTTCTTACCTGGAAACCAACAAACTTGGGGCAGAGAGCAGAGTAGGTAAGAGCTAGGCGGCATGTCATTATAATTGGTCACAGTCATAGCCAATTTATTTTCCATTCTTGAAGCTGTAACCATTTGAGTTCAAGTTGCAACTTAGTACAAAATGAAAAGCATATCCGTGTTCTTTTAAGAACTACCTACTTCATTTTAAAACAACAATGACCAAACAAAATAAGAACTATGGAATTGTAATTAAAGCCTAGAGTTTGATAAAACCGAGTTGGTATTATAGTTATGAGCCACACAAGATGTTTCAGTCAACAAAGAACTGCATATACAATGGTAGTCCCATAAGATTATAATACCGTATTTTTACTGTACCTTTCTATGTTTAGCTATGTTTAGATACACAAATATTTACCGTTGCCTATAGTATTCAATTCAGTAACTATACAAGTGTGTAGCCTAGGAGCAACGGGCTATACCATATAGCCTAGGTATGTAGTAGGCTCTACCATCTAGGTTTGTGTATGTACACTCTAGGATGTTCACACAATGACAAAATCATCTAAGGATGCATTTCTCAGAATGTGTCCCCATCGCTAAGCCATAGATGACTGTATTTCTTAATGCCTTCCCCTGGCAAAATCATTAAAAATAAATATAAGTTCTCCTTTGCACTGCCATTAAAGAACTCAAATTTCCTTTAACTTAGGAAATATCAACAATCGCATTAGTTCAGAATTGACAAATTGGCCAGATCATATTACTTACTGGATACTTATTAAATTACATATTCCTGGTCCCTACCACAGACCTACTTAATAATGTCCAGGTGAGGAATCCAGGAATTTTTAGTTTGATCAAGTAATAGGTGATTCTTAAGCTCAGCCAAGTTTGCATTTAGCTGATGCAGAGACAAAAAAAAGGCTATATAAGTTGTGATTTTAAATATAGTTATAGTTCTGATGCTTTAAGAAACTCATCGAACTTCCCTGGATCTCAGTGTTCTTATCTGTAAAATGGGGACATTGGATCAGCTCTGTCTAGAAGAGGTAAATAGAGATAACAGAAGGGACTGGAGCTTTAAAGTATTGGGTAGCAATCCTGACAGTATATTAGAATCCCTGGGAAGCTTTTGAAAGTTACTGATGCCCAGGTACCACCCTAGGCCAATTAAACAGAATTTTTGAGGGTGGTTCCACATGTTGCTAGTTTTAAAATCTCCCCAGGTGACTTTAATGAATAGCCATGGTCACAAACTACTGCTTTAAAGGCTGACCCCAACCACATTGAGCCAGGATGATTTTGATTAGTCTCCCTGCACCTGCTTCCTTGTCTATAACCTGGGAAGCTGATACAGTTTGGATATTTGTCCCCTCAAAATCTCATGTTGAAATTTGATCCCCAATGTTGATACTGGTTGGTGGGAGGTGTTTGGGTCATGAGGGCGGATCCCTCACTAATGGTTTAGGATTTAATGTTTTCATTTCCTGTTCACTCACTGGTTTTCTTGTGTACAGTTACCCAGGAGTAACGTTTTTGCCATAGACTGTGAGTCTTGCAGACTGGCTCAGCTTGTCCTGCCAGCCCAAAGGCACATGTCTACTGGTCTCTTCCCAGGTGGTGATTTTTCCTCTACTCCATGAGAAAGTTATAAGGTAGATAAAATATATCTTCGTAGCCCCACAAGATCCTTTTGTACCCTCAGTGAGATCCTCTTTCTCACCTTCCTCGGACACCCTATGCTTTATTTCCTCCCATCCCCACCCACTCATTAAAAAAAAAAAATCTCCCCTCAAAAAAAAAAAAAAAGCAGGTTCTCAGAAAGGATTTGAAATTCATTTACTATTTTAAGAGATTCAAAGATCTTCTGAAATCTGTCCATGTATCCCGTAGTTTAAAACCTCTGCCCAGACTCAAAATTTCAGATGTCAAGTCAGGGCAGAGGTATTTTTGGAGTAGGGCCCCTGAAATCATGTGAGTAGCTGCCTAGTTGACCTGCTGACAAAGGCCTCTATCTCAGTCTGGCCTGTGCACATGCCCCTGTGCATGTTTCAGGATTCCAGTCCCAACCCTAGGATGTCCAGATAGCCCCTAGACATGTTAGATCACGAAGGGTCCCAGCAAGCCTTCCAACAGTTGAGGTCCCAAGGGTATCCTCGGGTTCTCTCTGCAAAGCTAAATATTTTGTCGATGTGGCAAATGGCCACAATTATTGAACCAACAAGGTAGCATGAGCCAAGATGCTAAGTCTGAGGTAGCTGACCTTCCACCCTGACACTGCAGCAATGATGAGACTCCTCCTGGTCATGCTATGTGGTTCTAAGGCCAGGCAAAGAGAGGCTGGGAACTGCAAACCAAGCTGGTAAACTGCAATGTTTATGTGCCCAGAGCACAAATTTAGGCACAGGGATATTTCTGAAGCCAGTCTTAATTCCTGAAAGTTTGGAAAATCTTGTGAGGCTTGTGTGTACACATGTCTGGGTAACTAGGGCAGTTCAATTTGTCCTATGTTAACCTCCAACCATGCCTCCGCCCCCACCAATTCCCCCAGAGTCAGTCCTTTGTTCCAGATTGGTTATCCATTTACCCACAAGTCCCAGGTCTCTGGTCGCCATTATTGTTTTTCTCACCTGGACCCCTCTCTTCCAGGGCCATAGGCAAAACACAACACTTTCCCAAATATTCTCCCTTCCTTGTTTTTGATTCAAGCAAAAACAACTTACAAGAGAATTGAACACTTTTGCCATTAGTAACCACCAGAAAACACATTGAGCTTCAAATTATTCAATAAATTTTGACAGAAAAAAGTCAATTGTGGTTGTCTCTGGTTTTCACTGAAATGGGAGTGGTCTGTCTTAGAAGTAGACCCCACCCAAAGACCAGCCTCACAACTTCATATGGCCCCTTCCATCAGGGAGAGAGAGGCCCCCACACCTCCCCCTTCATCCCCATCCATGGAGATGTGGGTCCTTTAGGTGACCCATTAGGAGCCATTGGTACTGAATATTCCAGAATGAAAAATCATGTTTGGCCCACTTGGTTATCTTCATAGTTAAAAAGGGACTATCTAATTAAATAGTTTCTTTTTAATTATGTCTGGCATAATTTATACCATTCAAAAGTTTCAAAAAATAAAGAGTGAAAAGTAAACTTTTGCTGACAAAGAACTGTTATCCTCCAAAATATACAAAGAACTCTTAAGACTCAACAATAAGGAAATGAACAACCTGATTAAAATATGGGCAAAAGACTTGAATGGATACCTCACCAGAAAAGATATACACATGGCAAATAACCATATGAAAAGATGCTCAACATGTATGTCATCTGGGAATTGTAAATTAAAACAAGGAGGCCCAGCACCAGTGGCTCATGCATGTAATCAGCACTTTGGGAGGCCTAGATGGGCAGATCACTTGAGCCCAGGAGTCCAAGACCAGCCTGGGCAACATGGTAAAACCCCTTTTTTACAAAAAAGCACAAAAATTAGCTGGGCATGGTGGCATGGGCCTGTGGTCCCAGCTACTTGGGAGACTGAGGTGGGAGGATCGCCTGAGCCTGGGAGGTCAAGGCTGCAGTGAGCAGTGATCGTACCACTGCACTCCAGCCTGGGCAACACACCAAGACCCTGTCTCAAACAAAAAACAAAACAAAAACAAAGAGATACCACTACACACCTATTAGGATGGCCAAAATTCAAAACACTGAAAATACCAAATGCTGGCAAGTATGTGGAGCAACAGAAACCCTCATTTATTGTGGGTAGGAGTGTACAGTCACTTTGGAAGAGAGTTTGGCAGTTTCTCACAAAACTATACTCTTACCATACAATCCAGCAATCACACACCTTGGTATTTACCCAAGTGAGTTGAAAACTCATGTTCACACCAAAACCTGCACAAGAATGTTTATAGCAGCTTTATTCATATTGCCAAAACTTGGAAGCAACCAAGATGTCTTTCAGTAGGCGAATGGATAAACTGTGGTGTATCTATACAATGAAACACTATTCAGCACTGAAAAGAAATGAGCTATCAAACCATTAAAAGACATGGAGGAATCTTAAATGCATATTGCTGAGTGAAAGAAGCCAGTGTGAAAAAGCCACATACTGTATGATTCCAACTATATGATGTTCTGAAAAAGGCAAAACTATGGAGACAGTAAAAAGATCAATGTTTGTCAGGGGTTAGGGAGAGGAAGGGATAAATAGAGCACAGAGGATTTTTAGGGTAGTGAAACTATTCTGTATGATTCTATAATGGTAAATAGATGTCATTATACATTTGTACAAACTCATAGAATGTACAACACCAACAGTGAACCCTGATGTAAATTCTGGGCTTTGATTGATAATGATGTGTCAATGTAGGTTCATCAGTTGTAACAAATGTATCTCCCTGGTGTGGGATGTTGATAGTTGGGGAGGTTAAGGGGTCGGGGGCAGGGGGATGGGAACTATACTTTTTACTCAATGTTGCTGTGAACCTAGAACTGCTTTTTTTCTTTCTTTCTTTCTTTTTTTTTTCTTTTTTTTTTGAGACGGAGTCTCGCTCTGTCGCCCAGGCTGGAGTGCAGTGGCATGATCTCGGCTCACTGCAAGCTCTGCCTTCCGGGTTCACGCCATTCTTCTGCCTCAGCCTCCCGAGTAGCTGGGACTACAGGCGCCCACCACTGCGCCCAGCTAATTTTTTGTAATTTTTTTAGTAGAGACGGGGTTTCACTGTGGTCTCGATCTCCTGACCTCATGATCTGCCCACCTCGGCCTCCCAGAGGGCTGGGATTACAGGCGTGAGCCACCGCGCCCGGCCTAGAACTGCTTTTTAAGAAAGACTATAAAACAGAAAAACAAGGAGTCAGTAAAAAAAAAAAAAACAGGAAACCTTCATCCTTCCCCCTACCCTACCATCCTGTCTCTTAGGGGATCAGTCCCCAACATCCAGCGGGACGTTTTAAATCGAGAGATATTTCAAAGGTTTCATCTAGAAATCTGGCTGATTAAGCCACCAAACTTTTGTTCACAATTGACTAAAGTTCAATGGCTTGTTTCCTTTTATTTTCTTTGGTAACACTCTGATGGGTTAGTGAGCAGTGAAATGGCCAACAGGTAGCAATTTCAGGGTATGAGAGTCAAGGGACATGCACAATCCATCACAGAGGAACCTCCCCGTGATAACTGGGAGGAGACCTCTAAGAACTACACCTACAATTGATAGATCCAACTGAGATTGATGCTAAGGAGTAGGGCGAGCCTTAGATAAAAATGATTGAAGTCTACGTTTCTCTTACCCTTTCAGGTACTCCCTCCCTCTTCCCCCAGACAAAAACTCTTCAAATTAATGTGTTTTCTCTTCTAGGTCATTTTAATGTCATTCAACAAATACTTACTATTGGATATAGGGAGGAAGAGAGAAACAGAAGAGTTGAGGATGATTCCAAGGTTTTTAGTCTGAGCAACCGGAAAGATGAAGTTGTCGCTTCCTGAGATGGGGAAGGCTGCTTGGGTAGCTTTGCACTGTGTCAACTTGGCTAAGCTGGAACTATGTTTCCTAGAATTGCCTTTCCTCTGGACCTGTCTCCTGAACTAGACTCATAACATCATGAGTATTATATGATTCTGGGGTGTAGGGCTGGCCAAAAGAGAAATTTTTATGAGATCTGGAAGTCAGGATTGAAGCAGCAGCCATTACATTCTGAAGTTCAGTGTCAGGTATCAGGCACCACTGCAGCTCACACATGTTGCTCATCTACTGGCTCACCTTGATGGGAGCTGGGGAGTAGGCAGTAGCTGGGTCCACAGCTCCCCGAGCTCCCGCTGGATATCCTCCTTCAGCTTTTCTGAGTCCTGGGCCAGGTGCCTGTGCACCTCCATGGCAAAGGGAGCCAGTTCCTTCTGCAAGTCACCTGAATCATCAAGGTTAGAGGCAATGAGAGCCAGACTCAGGTTTGTCCTCGCTGGTTCCAGTTAGCCCTTGTGTGTTCCAGATGGTCCTTGTTCTCGTGCTTCATGCCCAGCTTTTCTTCCTTGCTGCTTGCTCTACTGACCCCCAGTGGTATCAGGTTCATGCCCAGATGCAGAAGCAACAGCCCTCCATAGACTTCTTCACCAGCTTCCCTTTGTGATCCCTGGTTAATGACTTTTCTCCGACCTTCCAATTGTCCTCTTCTACACATTTACTTCCCTAGAGTCTCCCATGATTTGTGGGGTCTGGTCACTATAAGCAAATGTAATTCCATATTACTTATAGTGATTCCAATTCCTAATTGAACCCCACTGATACTCTGCCAAAGGAGCAAGTTTGGGTAGGAGATAAGGAATTCAGTTTGGACATGTCAAATTGAAAATTCCCATTCAGCAGTCAGGGGGAGATTTTGAATAGGAAGCTTGAGGTTATGAGTCTGTAGTTCAGGGGAGAGGTCCAGGCTGGAGCTATACATTTGGAAACAATTAGGGTGTAGATGGTATCTAAAGCCATAAGACCAGATCAGGTCATCAAATGACTGAGTGTAAATAGAGAAAAATTGTCTAAAGACCAAGTCCAGGGATGCTGTGACATTAAGAAAACAAAGGGCAGATAACATACCCTGAAAGAACAAATACTAAACGAAGACCAAAGATAAATTATTGAAATGAGCAAAGGTTCTTAACTGTTGAATAAATCTAGAAAATTTGGAAACGGTTATTGACATTTACCAGGCAGACGAACAAAAATATCTTTGCTAGTTTATCTTTTTAAAGATAACTTCTAAAGATTTAATGATGTTTTTGTTTGCATCTATCCCACTGGCCATGGGCTGTCTTTATTAATCAGGTCCAATGGCAGATTTAGAGCATTAGCAAAGTAATTCAGGGCCAACCATAACAGCCATTGCATTAAAAACAAAAATAACATTTTAAAAATTACATCTATCATTTGAACTATCCTAGAAATTGAGGTGTAAAGTGTTTTGTGGTTTAGAGATTGCTGCTTTATTTCTCCAGACCTGGTTTTGTGATACCACAGGGTGGTGGTTCTTAACCAGGGATGATTTTGTCCCCCAGGGAACATTCGACAATGTATGGAGACATTTTTGATTGTCATAAATGGGAGGGGGCTGCTACTGGCATATAGTGGGTAAAGGCCATGGATGCTATTAAAAATCCTACAATGCACAGGACAGCCCCCATGACAAATGGGAATAATACAGAGAGGGAGAAACCCTGTCTTAGGGTCTGGCTACTTAGAGAGCAGAATGAAAGTCTTAACAGAACAAAATCCAATTTCATTTACTTTTCAGTAAAATGGTTAAAGGATGGGCAAGTGGAAGAAAGGGAAGGGGGATAGAGTTCGAGAAAAGAAAAAGAGGGAAAAAGAGGAAGGGAGAAGATTAATATGCTGTGCAGCACTTATGGGTTGTGAGACGCTCTTAAATCCAGTAAACAACTCTTAGCAGATGTGGAAGCACTGAATGATGTAACAGGCTATGGAAAGTGATCTTCACTCAATCTCAGAGCTACAATGTTACCTAAGGTTTGCTTTACTATAGCTGGGGCCTGATCACAGGAGAAGTACAAAATGTCAGAGCAAGTGATGAAGGGTTAACCAGGAGGCAACGGTATCTTCAGCTTCTGCAGTCTTTGGGCCCTGTATTTTCAAATTCTCTGCTGGTCCCTCTAATTAACGGCAGCAGGGAAGAGGTGGCAAAGATCTAGACCTCAATGGGTATAGAACAAAGTAGTTTCCTAATTGTAAATTAGGACAATTATCTTGCAATTAATTGAATGTTCTTATTCCTGTAGCAAATCTTAGCATGGCCATGAATTTTTCTCAGCTTGTGCTATTCTCTGCTGTGCTGCTACAGGGGAGGGCTGCAGTTGAACTTCTTATAATCAACCAGTGTGCTCATTAGCGTGCTTGGAAGGCCTGAAGGATGGTGTGCACTCAGAGGAATTAAAAAAAATTAATCTTGTGGAAAGGCCTGGTAATTAGGCAGCTCAAGTGAAGGGAATGGCCAAGCCATTATAAGCACTGTCAGGCCTAGTAATGCATGTTGTAACACACACACAGGTTCACAACCTCTTCCAGTGTACCTGTGGCCCAGGCAGCCTTGGGGTCTTCCCTCTGGGGAGTCAAGAGTGGGTCACATCCTCCATTTTTGGCCTTGTTGGCTTTAATACATGGAAAAAAAAAGCTTTACATGAAATGGCCCATTTCACTTGGATGGAATACAAATTCACTTCTCCATATGCCCAGATATATGACATAGCACATTATCTACAAAATTAAGAATGAATGGGGCTGGGCTTGGTGGCTCATGCCTATAAGCCCAGCACTTTGGGAAGCCAAGGCAGGTGGATCACTTTGAGGTCAGGAGTCCAGACCAGCCTGGCCAACATGGCAAACACTGTCTATACTAAAAATACAAAAATTACCCAGCTGTGGTGGTGCACACCTGTAGTCCCAGCTACAAGGAAGGCTGAGGCAGGAGAATTGCTTGAACACAGGAGGAAGAGATTGCAGTGAGCCGAGATCGTGCCACTGCACTCCAGCCTGGGTGACAGAGCGAGACTCAGTCTCAAAAAAAAAAAAAAAAAACAAAGAATGGCCGATTTCTCCCACTTATCTTCAGTCCTAAATGTAGCTAATGCTGCGAGTGCCCTGTCCATCTCCCCTTGGCACTCACCATTCTGTACACACAGACAGAGTCTTACTGCAAGCACCTGTGACTCTGTCTGAGAACATCCTCAAGCCACATCAGCATGGGTGGCCCCTGTATGTGGCAACCAGAAGTGTCAGGAAATAATGCTCCCAGCACTGTCCTAAGTCAATGAGAAAGAAGTGGATGAATAAATACCCCAGCTTCTTTGCCTCTAGGGAAGAACAATCTGAGGCTTATTCTGTACTGTCTTCCAAGGTCCCCAGCGTGGACCCGTTGTTCGGAGCTGCTCGTGCTCAGGAATACATCTTTCATTGTCTGTTTTCCCATCTCTGACTCAGCTCCCCTTTCTGTCACCAATGCTCCTAAGGATTAGCACCCAAAGAAACTACTCCGACTCAAATCCTCTCCTCCGGGAATGCTTTTGGGGAAACCCAAGTGAAGACACAGGCAATTCACCAGCTGAAGATCGAGTCCATCCCATGGCAGGGCGGGCAGCTATACCTCGCTAATAAGTGTGATGCACCCTGGGATATCAGCGGAGGGAGGGGCAGAATTTAGATCACACTCATGAGTCAGAAAAACAGGCTATGGAGTAGATCTCCCCAGAAAAGCATTATTGATCTTGTCCAATAAAACAAACAAAAACAAACAAACTGGGAGATTTCAAGGCAACAAAGTTAATGGAAAACAATGTCCCATAAATTACCTAAGACTGAATGATATTGCTGCAAATCCATCTTTAGGATCTTAGCTAAGGTCTACAGTTTACTCTAATCATTGAAAATTTATTGCCATCACCTGGACAATTGTTCTCGTCCTTATCAGGTGCAAATCACCTTGTAGAAATGAATGGTTTCATGTCTCTCTACCATCCTGACCTGCAATCCATAGACAATGTAATGACCCACCAGGTAATTTTTTAATCTGTAGGTGCCCTAACTCAACACATGGAGAAATAAAAGGTGAGTAATTATGTAAATGAACGTCATGTACTGGGGCATCCACATGAACACCCCCAGGCGGGAGCTTACTGGACGACAACATGAAGAACCCTGACGCTTGCCACAAGCCTGTGGCGTCTCCAGGCATGGAAGCACTGCTAATGCGGGCTCATTCCACAGCCCAGTGGCTGATACCAGCAGCAGTGCTGCCACTGATGGCAAGAGATTCCAAAAGTGCCAACAATTGTTGAAGTTTCCGCCAAGACCAGTGACAACTTCCCATGATTTCCCGACAGTGGTATTCCTGTGGAAACTGATGTCTATGCGCGGTACGAAAGATGTGTTTATACTGTCCTTAGTGGCTCGTGCTTTTGCATGTACGCTTTCAAGGTGAAATGGCAAGTAGTCGAGTGCCGGCGCGGGCAGCAGACCCGGAAGTGCAGCGAGTGAGCCTCGCGCCCAGGAAGCCAGAGAAGCAGGGGGCGCCTGGAATCTGCGGTGTGCGGCAAGTGCGCACGCGCGCAGACGCGCAGACGGCGCGCAGTAGCTGACCCCGGCCCTCCCGTTCATTTCCGGTGCAGCACTCAGAGACGCGAAGCCCAGGCCACGACAATCACCCCTCAGGTACCGATGTTTTCAGAAACCCTCAAACAGATTGGGTAGCGCTTCCCTGGGGGCAGGTTTCTGGGCAGGTGCCCAGACGCGCCTAGAAGCTGACCCCGGCCCTCCCGCTCACTTCCGTTCCAGGCCGCAGAGACGCGAAGTCCGACCACGACGACGACCCCTCAGGTACCGATGTTTTCAGAAACCCTCAAACAGATTGGGTAGCGCTTCCCTGGGGGCAGGTTTCTGGGCAGGTGCCCAGACGCGCCTAGAAGCTGACCACGGCCCTCCCGCTCACTTCTGTTCCAGGCCGCAGAGACGTGAAGCCCGGGCCACGACGACGACCCCTCAGGTACCGATGTTTTCAGAAACCCTCAAACAGATTGGGTAGCGCTTCCCTGGGGGCAGGTTTCTGGGCAGGTGCCCAGACGCGCCTAGAAGCTGACCCCGGCCCTCCCGCTCACTTCTGTTCCAGGCCGCAGAGACGTGAAGCCCGGCCACGACGACGACCCCTCAGGTACCCATGTTTTCAGAAACCCTCAAACAGATTGGGTAGCGCTTCCCTGGGGGCGGGTTTCTGGGCAGGTGCCCGTGTTGAACTCAGTGTGGACTTGCGGCGTCTTGCGGGCCTGTAGATTAATATGACAGCCGTGATTCCACCCTGCTTCACCAACGCACATGCGTTTTCTCTCCTCTTAGGGGCCCTGTTTTCTGTTACAATGGATCGAGATTTAGAACAGGCTCTGGATCGCACAGAGAATATCACTGAAATTGCCCAACAGAGACGTCCTAGAAGGAGATACTCACCTAGGGCGGGAAAAACTCTGCAGGAAAAACTTTATGACATTTATGTTGAAGAATGTGGAAAAGAGCCTGAGGATCCTCAGGAATTGAGAAGCAATGTAAACTTGTTAGAAAAGCTTGTTAGGAGAGAGTCCTTGCCATGTTTACTGGTCAATCTATACCCAGGCAATCAGGGGTATTCTGTGATGCTCCAGAGAGAAGATGGGTCCTTTGCAGAGACCATTCGGCTGCCTTATGAAGAAAGGGCATTGCTGGACTACTTGGATGCAGAAGAATTACCCCCTGCTTTGGGTGATGTCCTGGATAAAGCTTCGGTTAACATTTTTCATAGTGGGTGTGTCATAGTAGAAGTTCGTGACTACAGGCAGTCCAGTAATATGCAACCTCCTGGTTACCAAAGCAGGCATATTCTTCTACGTCCAACCATGCAGACTTTAGCCCCTGAGGTGAAGACGATGACAAGAGATGGCGAGAAATGGAGCCAGGAAGACAAATTTCCTCTTGAGAGTCAACTGATCTTAGCGACAGCTGAACCACTGTGTCTTGATCCTTCTGTAGCAGTTGCCTGCACTGCAAACAGGCTGCTGTACAACAAGCAAAAGATGAATACCGACCCGATGGAACAGTGCCTCCAGAGGTATTCGTGGCCCTCTGTAAAGCCACAGCAGGAGCAGTCTGACTGTCCACCTCCTCCTGAGCTGAGAGTGTCGACTTCTGGCCAAAAAGAAGAAAGAAAAGTAGGTCAGCCTTGTGAGCTGAACATTACTAAAGCGGGAAGTTGTGTAGACACGTGGAAAGGCAGACCCTGTGATTTGGCCGTGCCTTCAGAAGTGGATGTGGAGAAACTTGCTAAAGGGTATCAGTCCGTCACAGCTGCTGACCCACAGCTCCCAGTCTGGCCAGCCCAGGAGGTAGAAGACCCTTTCAGACATGCATGGGAAGCTGGCTGTCAGGCCTGGGACACCAAGCCAAACATCATGCAGTCGTTTAATGATCCGCTTCTCTGTGGTAAAATACGGCCACGTAAAAAAGCCAGGCAGAAGAGCCAGAAGTCTCCCTGGCAGCCCTTCCCAGATGACCATTCAGCTTGTCTCAGGCCTGGGTCAGAGACTGATGCTGGGAGGGCAGTGAGTCAGGCCCAGGAATCGGTGCAGAGCAAAGTCAAAGGTCCAGGCAAGATGTCACACAGCTCCAGTGGCCCAGCCAGTGTCAGTCAGCTCTCTTCATGGAAAACACCAGAACAGCCTGATCCTGTGTGGGTCCAGTCTTCAGTATCCGGGAAGGGAGAGAAACATCCACCTCCCCGCACCCAACTTCCCTCAAGCTCAGGAAAGATTTCCTCAGGTAACAGTTTTCCCCCACAACAGGCAGGCAGCCCTCTTAAGCGTCCATTTCCTGCTGCTGCTCCTGCTGTAGCTGCTGCTGCTCCTGCTCCTGCTCCTGCTCCTGCTGCTGCTCCTGCTTTAGCTGCTGCTGCTGTGGCGGCGGCGGCCGGTGGGGCGGCACCAAGCCATTCTCAGAAGCCCTCTGTGCCTCTTATTAAAGCTAGCAGGCGCCGTCCAGCTGCCGGGCGCCCCACCAGATTCGTAAAAATAGCCCCAGCCATTCAGGTCCGGACAGGCTCCACTGGCCTAAAGGCCACCAACGTGGAGGGCCCAGTCCGGGGAGCCCAGGTTTTGGGGTGCAGTTTCAAGCCTGTGCAGGCCCCTGGCTCGGGTGCCCCCGCTCCTGCAGGAATCAGTGGCAGTGGCCTTCAGTCCTCAGGAGGTCCACTACCAGATGCAAGGCCCGGTGCAGTGCAGGCATCTTCTCCAGCACCCCTTCAGTTTTTCCTAAATACTCCGGAAGGTCTCAGGCCTCTGACACTCCAGGTTCCGCAGGGCTGGGCGGTTCTGACCGGCCCGCAGCAGCAGTCCCATCAGCTGGTTTCCCTGCAGCAGCTCCAGCAGCCCACAGCTGCTCACCCTCCTCAGCCAGGGCCACAGGGTTCCACACTAGGTTTGAGCACGCAAGGGCAGGCCTTCCCTGCTCAGCAACTTCTTAATGTGAACCTCACTGGAGCAGGTAGTGGTCTGCAGCCCCAGCCCCAGGCTGCTGTGTTGAGTCTGCTTGGCTCTGCCCAGGTTCCTCAGCAGGGTGTCCAGCTCCCCTTTGTCTTGGGGCAGCAGCCACAGCCGCTGCTGCTGCTGCAGCCACAACCACAGCCACAGCAGATCCAGCTCCAGACACAGCCTTTGAGAGTCCTGCAGCAGCCAGTGTTTTTGGCAACAGGCGCTGTTCAGATAGTGCAGCCACATCCAGGTGTGCAAGCAGGGAGCCAGTTGGTAGGTCAGAGGAAGGGAGGCAAGCCAACCCCTCCAGCTCCCTGAGGCTTGTGGTAGTTTGTTCTCTTTTAAAAGCATGGGAGCACTGACCCACATGAATTCCCAGTTTTTACTTGAGTTTTGTTTTTTTTCTCATGTTTTGGTATTTTACATTTTAAAATACACACTTTACACAGAAGCACAATCCACCGATTTTTATTTAGAAACAGGAAGTGATTTCCTAAAGGGGCATTGTTTTGCTTAAGTTACTCCTTTTGTTGTCATTGCTGTTGATATAATTGTTTTTAATATAGTATTTTAAAGTGTCCAAATCCTAACCAGGTTGAGTTTAAACTTGTGAAGCATATTTCTCTAGAGCCATAAAATGGCAGTACCAACAATGTTAAGTTAATATTTTAACAAGATTTTAATTTTAAGTTAATATTTTAACAAGAAGAGCGCAATTTAAAATTTTTAATGGTGATAAAAACATATAATCTAAAATGGACCACCTTCACTATTTTAAGTGCCCAGTGCAATAGTATTAAGTCCACCCCCACGGTTGTGCCGCAGATCTCAAGACCATCTTGCAACACTGAAACTCATGCCCATTGAACACCAGCTCCCCATTCTCCCTCATCCAGTCCCTGGCAGCCATTGTTCTACTTTCTTTCTCTATGAGTTGACTACCCTGGCCATTTCATGGAAGTGGAATCATATGGCATTTGTCACTTGGTGAGTGGCTTATCTCACTTGGCATAATGTCCTCATGATTTATCCCTGCTGTCTCATGTGATGTGAAGGTCATTGCTTTTTAAAAATGGTCTCACTGTACATAATATATATGAAAGTGACCTATAAACTCTGAGAAACCTCTTTCAGAAGAAAGAGTGTAATCGTATTCACATTAATAGGTTTATGCACAATATATGGAATGGAATTATTACACATTCATTTTGAAAAATGAAAAAAAAGTACAGTACAGTGATGCTTGTCACACTGCGATTGAATACATGGGAGACCTCTAAAGCTGTGGAATGGAATTAGTGGCAGATTTGCTTGTGTGACAGTCCCCTGCCCTTTCAAAGGCCCTGTCTGCACCTAGTGCTCCACAGAGCAAGGCTTTCTCACTGGCTTTGAAAAGGCTCTTTTTGGATGTTTTTTTTTTTTTTTTTTTTTTTCTTTTTTTTTTTATTTTTATTATTTTTTTCTTTTTTTTTTTAATTTTTTTTTTTAATTTTTTTTTTTTTATTATACTCTAAGTTTTAGGGTACATGTGCACATTGTGCAGGTTAGTTACATATGTATACATGTGCCATGCTGGTGCGCTGCACCCACTAACGTGTCATCTAGCATTAGGTATATCTCCCAATGCTATCCCTCCCCCCTCCCCCGACCCCACCACAGTCCCTTTTTGGATGTTTTGTGTGCTCTCTTTATAAAATCATTTACATTTTTTGTAGGTTGTTTGCAAGAAACATTTAGTGAAACATTTGAAAATCCATTTTATTGGTTTGCTTTTCAAATATCTGTAGCCTTGTTTCTTAAGTAGAACCCCCGTCTTTTTCTTTGTCTTTTTCTCTTTGTTGATGCATCATCATCAGTTGTTCAGCTGTTTCTGCTCCCTCATTTTTTCCCTTGTTCCAGTGAGACTCAAAGAACCATGAACTTTTGTGCCCCTTTGTCTTCCCTTTCTTTTTTCTTTTTTAACAACTAAGGGGTAATCACAGAACAACCAACCATTGTAAAGTACAATTGTAAAGTGGCATTTAGTACATTCATGATGTTGTACAACTACCCCTTCTGTTTCCAAAACATTTTCATCACCCACCAAGCAATCTCTGTACCCATTAAGCACTAGCGTGACATCTTCACACTCCCAGCCTCTGGCAACCACCAATTTGCTTTCTGTTTCTATGGATTTACCTAAATATTTCCTGTAAATGTAGTCATACAGTATGTGATCTTTTGTGTCTGGCCTCTTTCACTCGGCATAATGTTTTTGAAGTTCTTCCATGTCGTAAAATGTATTGCTAATTCATTCCTTTCTGTGGTTCGATAACATTCCATTGTTTGTATATAGCACATTTTTGTTTATTCTGATGATGGACACTTGGGTTGTTTCTACCTTTTGGGCGCTGTGCATAGAGCTGCTGTCAACTTTCATGTACAAGCATCTGTTCTAGCACCTCATATTTTGCTCTGTTAAAACCTTGAAGGGTACCCTATGTAATATTAGTTTTTCTAGGTACACATGTACATTTCTCTGTTTTTTGCCTTAACAAAATAGAAGGAGATTTGATCTGGCATTCCAAAAGACATCAGTAAAGAGACAGGTATCCAGTGAATCTTACTTGATGAACCCTTTTACTAATGTGCTACCGATGCTGTTAAAGATTTGACCAACTTCAAGCAAACACGTCGAATTTCCTAAGTGACACCAAGTCCATCAGAGCAGCCTGGACATAATTGGGAATGGTGCCTGCACTTTTAAGAGGCGAACGAGTGCAATGACCAGTTGTAGAGAAGAGTTTATGCATGGCCTTCGGAGCTAAGCAGTGACCTGAATTCAGTATGTCACCAAATTTGGTGTGCTTTCTCCTTTGCCTGCTGCTTCTTTCAAGTAGGACATGGAGACAACAGCCAAATTTGTGCTTCAGTGATGTGACCTTCCCTTCCCAGGCAGGCAAATAAATTTAGTTTTGTTTCTGATTATCATTTGGTGGTCTTTATTTCCTTATAATGATCCTCAAAACAGTTGATAATTGGATGCAACTGCCACAATGATGAAGAGAAAAGAATATAACCCTTGAAATAAAACCCTAGAGTATGTATTTATTTAAACACCTATATAAGGAGGATTTTCCACAATAATGTTGGAGATGGGGGAGAAGACAGACCAAAGAAAAGTAAAAATGCCTCTTTAGGACCTAGATGGTATTCAACCCTCATCTCATTGTGTCCTTCAGTAATTTAAGCTAGATTTACAGAATAATGAAATGTCAATAGATGAGTACGCAATAGAAAGAATGAGAAATAGGTTGGGGCAAAAGTAAGTGTGGTTTTTGCCATTACTTGTTTGTTTGTTTGTTTGTTTTGTTTTTTGGTTTTTCTTAGATGGAGTTTTCGCTCTTGTTGCCCAGGTTGGAGCGTAGTGGCACAATCTTGGCTCACTGCAACCTCCACCTCCCAGATTCAAGTGATTCTCCTACCTCAGTCTCCCTAATAGCTGGGATTACAGGCATGTGCCACCACACCTGACTAATTTTTTTGTATTTTTAGTAGAGATGGGGTTTCACCATGTTGGCCAGGCTGGTCTCAAACTCCTGATCTCAGGTGATCCACCTGTCTCAGCCTCCCAAAGTGCTGGGATTACAGGTGTGAGCCACCGCGCCCGGCCAGTTTTTGCCATTACTTTTAATGTCAAGAAGCACAGTTACTTTTGCACTAACCTAATAGAGGCAGGCTCAATATTTTCGTGGCTTATTGCCCTACCCCAAGTCAGAGGCCAGGACACAGACCAAGGAGATGATAGAAATAACATTACAAGAGAAAAGTATTGACCAACCCAGGAAGTCCAGGTGTTTGTATCTGCACAGATAATTTGTACTTATTTATAAGTGACAAGTTTAAACAGCTGTCATTCTGTATTAGATTTCTGTTTTGGGAAAAACACCCAATTCTACTAAGAAACTTATTTCTTAAAAGCAACAGTAACATCTTAGTGAACAGGCTGTCTTCAGGGTCCCACTTCCATTTCTCCCACCTCTCAGCTAATACCAATATTGTCATTTGTTTTCGTTGCATGCTGCCTCCCTGAAATGTCACCAAGACAACCTGTTGATTAGAGAAAGCTGAGTTTATTCTTACTGGTAAGATAGAGGACTACTTTGATAGAGTCTTAGTAGTATTGCAAGTCGTTAAATATATTTTTCCATAAAATCTAATTAAAATAATTCTTCATCTCCAGGACTTTAGTATTTCATCTGCAGGGAAAATGTACTTAACTGCTTTCATTGCATCCTGATAAACACGTAGGCATAAAATATAGGATCTTTTCCCCTCTGTTCTTTCTACATGCTTGACACTGTTCTCTCTTACTGTTTCACTCACTGAGTTCTTGCAAAAACCACTTACAATTATAAAAGAGGAAACAAGGCATTGGGCTCTTAAGTAATTTGTTCACAATCTCCCAGCTGCAAAGTATCATAGCCCAGATTTGGACCCAAGCTTCCTGGGGTCAGAGACCACATTCTTTCCCACACAACCCTCTTTACTGCCTCACTGAGGGCAAGACGTAGGCCTGTCGCCAGGGGGCTCACAATATGGTTGCAGAGACCCCATGACATGGACGAAATGACAGATGGCAGTCTGTCATTTTGCTGTATGTTGGCGTTTGAGGGGAGCTTATACGTGACGTCTTTGCCATAGATTGACACCAGCTGAAAAAGAGAGGGATCCAGCAAACAGCTGGACATCAATATATCTCTTTATTAGTGATGCTCATATATTCAAGGACATAATTTAGACCTGGCTTCCTCACTCACAGGCAGGGCTGGAGGCAGGGCTGCTGTGGGCTGCAGATCCCTCCCATGATCTGGCCCTCCCACTGGGGAGAACTGAGTGGGCAGGGAGAGCCCACTTTACTCTAATGAAGAGCTTCTTAACCCCTCAACAATAGGCCTCTGGTATTTGGTGAAGCCCGTGGATCCTTTCTCAAAACTTTTTTTTTTTTTTTTTTTTTTTTTTGGAGACAAGGTCTGGCTCTATCGCCCAGGCTGGAGTGCAGTGGTGTGATCTTGGCTCACTGCCGCCTCTGCCTCCTGGGCTCAAGCCATCCTCCTATCTCAGCGTCTGGAGTAGTTGGGACTACTCACCACCATACCCAGCTAATTTTTTTTATTTTTATTTTTGTATATTTTGTAGAGACGGTTTTGCCATGCTGCCCAGGCTGCTCTCGAACTCAAGAGCTCAAGCAATCCACCCACCTAGGCCTCCCGGAGTTCTGGGATTGCAGGCATGAGCTACCATGCCGGCCTCAAAATAACATTTTTAAGGGCATAAAATAAAATACATGGTATTACAAAGGAAACCAATTACACTAAAATACAACCCTGAAAGTATATACCGTAAATACATTCATGATAATCTATGTGTTCCTTTATTAATGCATTAAATAATAAGACAACGGTGGGACTAATAACTACCATAATTTTGAAGTAGTGATGAGCTTAAACGATATTTTGAGATATCTGCAACAAGTGAAATTTCATAAGAAAATATCTCATTTCTATTAGCTACAAATTTATAGACACTGGTAATACTGCAGTTTGTTGTCTATATTCATACTTGCAGGAAATACTGCATTTCAGTTAGAAGTCAGATAAAATGGCTGGGTGTGGTGGCTCACGCCTGTAATCCCAGCACTTTGGGAGGCTGAGGCGGGCAAATCACCTGAGGTCGGGAGTTCGAGACCAGCCTGACCAACATGGAGAAACCCATGTTGGTTTCTCCAAAATTACTAAAATACAAAATTAGCCGGGCATGGTGGCGCATGCCTGTAATCCCAGCTACTTGGGAGCCTGAGGCAGGAGAATCACTTGAACCCGGGAGGCAGAGGTTGTGGTGAGCCAAGATCGTGCCGTTGCACTCCAGCCTGGGCAACAAGAGTGAAACTCCGTCTCAAAAAAAGAAGAAGAAGAAGTCAGGTGAAATTACAATGTAAGGTTTTTTTCTTATTAAGTTCATGGGTCCCCTGAAAGTGTCCACAGACCCCAGATTAAGAACTGTTGCTCTAATGGAAGCTCCGCCCCCTGGAAACAGAAGAAATAGGTAAAAAGCATCGCCCCCAGCAGTATATGTTATATGAACAAGACTACAGGTGGTGATCAAGTTTGCTTAAATTGTACCTAGTGGCCAAATTATTAAATGGTTATCATAGCAGCTTAGAAAGTAGTTGCTTACAAGGCATGCATTATCCATTTAATCCTCAAAACAATTCTATTGGTGGCTGGTATTGTTAACTCAATTTTCAAGTGAGGAAACAGAGAGGTAAGTGTAACTTGTCAAAGGTCACACATCTAGTTAACAAAGAGGCCAGGATTTGAATCTAGGTAGTCTGGTTCCAAAATTCATTGTCTTAACCACTAAATTGAAGCTGCATAATAAGTTTAGAGAGCTAGTCTAGAAAAAACTAGGGCTAAGTATAACTACTGTTTATAAAATTGCTTCCATAGGAAAATACTTATAAATAAATCCTTGGGAGATGTATTAGTCAGGGTTTTCTCCAGAGGGACAGAACTAATAGGATAGATGTATATATTAAGGGGAGTTTATTAAGGACTGTTAACTCACACGATCACAAGGTCCCACAAAAGGCCATCTGCATGCTGAGGAGCAAGGAAGCCAGTCCAGGTCCCAAAGCTGAAGAACTTGGAGTCCAATGCTCAAGGGCAGGAAGCATCTGGCACAGGAGAAAGATGTAGGCCGGGAGGCTAAGCCAGGCTAGTCTTTTCACGATTTTCTGCCCACTTTTATTCTGGCTGCTCTGGCAGCTGATTAGATGGTGCCGACCCAGATTAAGGGTGGGTCTGCCTTTCCCAGTCCGCTGACTCAAGTGTTAATCTCCTTTGGTAACACCCTCACAGACACTCAGGATCAATACTTTGCATCCTTCAATCCAATCAAGTTGACACTCAGTATTAACCATCACAGTAGACAACCCTTCCATAGATTAGAATATACAGAGATCAGGAACTATGGAACACCCTATAGTTGTCTATTATCTACTATACTAAAATAAGCAGAATTATCTAAAAATGACCTCATTCTGAGTTGCCTGTATCATAAATCAGCTGGGGCTGGAACAGAGTGGGGAAGGGGCCTTCTACTGAACTCAGCTTCCTATGGGACCAGTGGCTGCCTTCCCCTGACCAGAGGGCACATAATTTCTAATGGGCTCTGTCAAGAACTGGGAAGGGTCTGAGAATTTACCCTGCTTGCAAGCTAATCAGTTAGCCTGCCACAGTTTCATGCATGCTGGCAGAAGACACAAGAATATCAGGTCAAAGAAAAATTACTTTATTACTCATAGCGCAATAGAAAGCATGAACCTCAGGTTTGCATTGGTTCCTCTGCCCCCCAAGTTTCATGGGGGCAACATGGAGAAGGACCCAGGTGGATGTTGCACGTGCAGTGGATGTGTGTCACAGATGAGCAACCCACGCTTAGAAATACTATTTTAGCTGGGCGCGGTCGCTCACACCTGTAATCCCAGCACTTTGGGAGGGATTACAAGCACAAGGTGGGCAGATCACTTGAGGCCAGGAGTTCAAGACCAGCCTGGCCAACATGGTGAAACCCATCTCTACTAAAAATACAAACATTAGCCGTGTGGTGGTGCACGCCTGTAATCCCAGCTACTCAGGAGGCTGAGGTTCGGGAATCGCTTAACCCTGAGAGGCAGAGGTTGCAGTGAACCGAGATAGTGCCACTGTACTCCAGCCTGGGCAACACAGCGAGACTCTGTCTCAAAAAAAAATAATAAAATTAAAAATTAAAATTAAAAAGTTTTTAAAAGAAAATACTATTTTAAAGAGGGCTGCAAGCAAACTTGCCCAATTGTGTTCTCGAATAAGACATTATCATTTTTATTCTTTTTCTTTAAGTTGTTTAAAGACAAGATCTTGCTCTGTTGCCCAGGCTGGAGTGCTGTGGCTCAATCATAGCTCACTGTAACCTCGAACTCCTGGCCTCAAGGGATCCTCCTGCCTTGGCCTCCCAAAGCTCTGGGATTACAGGCATGAGCCACCACACTTAACCCTTTATCTTTATTATACTGGTCAACAAAAAAGTTTGCCCTTGGCTTCATAGGGAGACACTATACAAACTTTCTTCAAAAGTTAGTTCAGAATAAAAACTGTTAGTGCCTCTACTCACCAGACATGCAGAAACACACAAAAACCCATGGAGAAGTGGCACCTCCCAACAGAGGCCAGCAGCTGGAATTCCTAGGTAACTCCTTTAAACAGCTAGCATCCAACTCCAGACTTCCTGGCACTCAAGCAGTTTATGTGTCCCTTCATTAATAAAGTTGTCTTCTCATCCTCACTCTATAAAAGGAGAGCAGTAAGGGGGCAGGTCCCTCTTCCGGAATGCAGACACACACTATATAACCAGGAGGGTGCGGTGACGCTGGCAAATTTCTCTAATGGATAATGGAAGGAAGGGGGGATGGGCCTTCTCTTCTCCTGTTACCCTGGCCTTGTTAAGTTTTCCTTCCCCTGAATAAAGGTGATGACTTAAAATTAACTCCAAGTCCTGATGCATGACAAGTGAGACCCAAATAGTCTCAGTACAATGGATAAAGAAAAGTAACAAGACATCTAAGAAGTCCCAGCAGGCCAGGTGCAGTGGCTCATGAGTGTAATCTCAGCACCTTGGGAGGCTGAGGTGGGAGGATCACTGGAGCCCAGGAGTTCGAGACCAGCCTGGGAAATATAGCAAGACCTTGTCTCTAAAAAAAAAAAAAAGGAAAGAAAATTAGTCAGGCATGGTGGCACACACCTGTAGTCCCAGCTACTTGGAAAGCTGAGATGGGAGGATCACTTGAGCCCGGGAGGTCAAGGCTGCAATGAGTGGTGATCACACCACTACACTTCAGCCTGGGTGACAGAGCAAGATCCCATCTCCAAATAAAAAAAAAAAAGAATTCCCAGCAGCCAAAAGGAGGAAGATCAAATAAGGCAGGCACTCAGGGAAACAGAATTGCTAGAGGACAAATAACAAATTTTTAAAAATAAAACTAAGAAAAAGAGATTCAAATACAGCATTAGGGTGACCAACAATCCTGGTTTTCCCGGGACTAAGGGAGATGCAGGGATGTGAGGCCTTCAGTGCTAAAACCAAGACAGTCCCGGGCAAACCAGGATGAGTTAGTCACCCTATACATGCAAGCATCCTCCCACACACAAAAACTTTCTGTAACTAGGTGAAAATGATTTCAAAATTTTAAAATACAGTAGATCTCCTTGCATCCTGCCATTGCATCCAGAGGTAGTAATTTGGGGGAAGGAGAAGAAATATCTCAAACATACTATCTCAAAAAATACAAAAAGATGGAATTATAAAAATAAGAGACTTGGAAGATAGAGACAAGCAAAAATAGGAGATCAAGGAGGGGAAAACGAACTGATGGCGGGTAAGCATGATTATGCGAGTACATTGGCTCTTGAACGACACAGATTTGAACCTCATGGGCCCACTTATAATGGGGACTTTTTTTCAACCAAACTCAGATGAAAAATATGGTATCCATAAGATGTGAAACCCGTACATACAGAGAGCAGACTTTTCATATACTTGGGTTCTGCAGGGCTGCCTGTGAGACTTGGCTATGCACAGATTTTGGTAAATGTTAGGGTCCTGCAACCAATCTCTCACATATAAAGAGGGACGACAGTAATGACGGAAACTTTTCCTTGAACAAAACAAAGACCCAAGTTTATAGATTGAAAAGCTGCACTGAGTTCCCAGTAGTTTCCAGGAGGATAATAGTAGATAATCTACACACTACAATACATGAAATTGTTGCTCAACAGACATTTATTCCCTCCCCTTATCTAATATGGGTGAGCAGTACTTTCTTAACTCTTGACTTTGGGTTTGGCTGTGTGACTCACTTTGGCCAATGGGATGTTAATAGATGTGATTCAAGCAAAACTTGAATTATACCTGCATAGCTGGCCTCACCACCCTGTGCTCCTGCTTTCTGCCATGGGAAAAGCATGTTTTTGGAGGCTCCTGATCCAACCTGGACCCAATCTGGAGCCTAGATTTAAGTACAGCCTAGATTTATACGTGTGTGAAAAAGAATAAATACTTATTGTTTAATGCCACTGAGATTTTTGTGGTATTTGGTTATGCAGCATTATTGTGACAATAGCTGACTGATATATACACGTATGCATACTGTGGTAAAATTCTGAGCTGTCAAGAACAAAAAATAAATCTTGGCTGGGCACGGTAGCTCACACCTGTAATCCCAACACTTTGGGAGGCTGAGGCAGGAGGATAGCTTGAGCCCAGGGGTTTGAGGCTAGCCAAGGCAACATGGCAAGGCCTTGTTTCTACAAAAAATTTAAAAAATTAGCCAGGCATGGTGTCTCACTCTGGTGGTCCCAGCTACTCCAGAGGCTGAGATGGTAGGATCCCTTGAGTCCAGGAGATGGAGGTTGCAGTGAGGTGAGATCATGCCACTGCACTCCAGGCTGGGTAACAGAGCACGACCCTGTCTCAAAAATAAAATAAAATAAATATTCTTCCAGTCAGAGTAAGTTATCTACAAATAAGAAGAGGCTGGGCGAAGTGGCTCAAGCCTGTAATCCCAGCACTTTGGGAGGTCGAGGCAGGTGGATCACTTGAGGTCAGGAGTTCAAGACCAGCCTGACCAACATGGTAAAACGTCGTCTCTACTAAAAATACAAAAATTAGCTGGGCGTGGTGGCACACACCTGTAATCCCAGCTACTCGGGAGGCTGAGGCAGGAGAATCGCTTGAATCTGGGAGACGGAAGTTGCAGTGAGCCGAGATTGTGCCACTGCGCTCCAGCCTGGGTGACAGAGTGAGACCCTGTCTCAAAAAAGAAGAAGTAAGATGAGTATTGGACTTCTCATGTACAGTGTTGGAAGTCCTAGAAGCTAAAAGATGTTGAAAAATCCTCTAGAGACTACTGAGAGTAAAGTACTACAACCCAAAAATCCCACACCCAGCCAATATTTCATTCATCTATCACGGGAAAAAAAAAAGATCTTTGAGGATTTTTAAGAATAAAAAAATTTTAATAACCACATGATTTATTTGAGAAAAATACTCAAGAAGTCATTCTAACCAAAAACCAAGTGAACGAAAACAGTAGCCTCAAGTACTGAAGCTTAAATTAAATGGATAGTGATTGTATTTCTGAAAATATGTAATAAGTAGTTTAATCTAAATTGATCATAAATTAATATCTTAGAATCTGTAATATGAGTACTAAATAAGGACTCTTAAAAGGAGTTGCTGCAAAGGCAATTTTAATAATAATCCAGAACGAAACTATTTTAGAAAAAAACAGGCATTAGATGTGGTGGAGTGGAGGGGGAAGGAGAGTTAAAATACACTGACAACCTCATCTTATTAGGGTAAGGGATGCAAGGAAAAATAGACTGTTGGGTGAGAGAATAGTTGGGGGGCTGTGTTTTCAAGTAATGGTAACAAAATATGCAATTGGTTATAAATACCAGATGACAATAAGTTACAATTAAGAGAATGGAAAGTGCAATGGAACTTCCGAACTAGCCAGGGCAAAAAAAATGGAATGGATAGCAACTTCATAAACCTAACAAAAATAAGGAAAAAGAAAAAGAAGAAACACCAAATTAAAATGATATAGAATAAACATACTATGGAAAAAAATTAATCAAATATATCAGTCGTTTCAGTGGATATGAATAGACTTAATTTTTTTTTTTTTAAGGTGGAGTCTCTCTCTGTCACCCAGGCTGGAGTGCAGTGATGTGATCTCGGCTCACTGCAACCTCCGCCTCCCAGGTTCAAGTGATTCTCCTGCCTCAGCCTCCTCAGTAGCTGGGACTACAGGCACGCTCCACAACGCCTGGCTAATTTTTTTAATTTTAGTAGAGACAGAGTTTCGCCATGTTGGCCAGGCTAGAATAGACTTAATTCTATCAAAAGATAGAAAATATCAAAATGAGTTTTGTTTGGGTGTTTGTTTTTCTGTTTTTTGTTTGTTTGTTTGTTTTGAGACAGGGTCTCCTCTGTCGCCCAGGCTGAAGTGAATTGGCACAATCATGGCTCACTGCAGCCTAAACCTCCCAGGTTTAAGCAATCCTCCCACCTCAGCCTCTTGAGTAGCTAGAACCACAGGCATGCCACCAATCCTGGCTAATTTTTAAAAAAATTTTTTTTGTAGAGAGGGGAGTCTTGCTATGTTGCCCAGGCTGGTCTTGAATTCCTGCGATCAAGTGATTCTCCCCTCTTGGCCTCCCAAAGTGCTGGGATTACAGGTGTGAGCCACCACATCTGGCCTTGAAAATATCAAAAGGAGTTTTTAAAAATGAATAATTTATAAGAAAGAGATAGCAGGCCAGTGTCATATATAACAGAAATGGTAATATTTATCATCAGGCAGGAAGGAATTGAAGATGAAAAAACCTATAGAGACTGAAGAGGGAAGTTATGGAATGACAGCAAACAGTTTAAGAAAAGAAGCGATAATATGGAAACTTGTATGTCTCGAACAACATAGCAGCTAAATATATAAAGAAGAAAGGCTAGGATTGAGTCTTGAAGAAGGCCAATATTTACAGGTTGGGAAGAAAAGAATAAGCCGGAAAAGGAAGCTGAGAAAGCATAGCAAGAAATAAAGGAAGAGCAGGAAGGTGGGAAATGGTAACATGATCCCTGTGCCCTGGGAGTGCCCCAGCCTACAAGTAAATATGAGCCAAGCAACACTGGTCAGCTCTGCGCTCAGAGAGGACAAAGCCTGAGTGACCACACTTCCTTCCCTGTGAGGAGGCTGCAGGAGACACAGGCTTTTGCCTACAGGCTTCCATTCTCCTGCATCTGCAATTTGTAACAGATTGTAATTGAGATGCACAGAGCAGAATTCGGTCCTTTTGTCTAAATGGGAGTTTTATAGGCTTGGAGTATTAAGAAAGGAACAGCTGCCCAATGTATGGGTGACACTGTGGAACACATCAGTATGTGGAAATTAGAGAGTGCCTATTACTTCCCATTAAAAGACCCATTTAACTTTCTGAGACTTAAAAAGTTAGCCCGTGTTAAGCAATGGAATGTTTCTTACCCACTGAAAATCCCCTTTTCTCTTGACTATTCAGGAATCTATGCTTATTGTCACATTTTCAGGATAATTTTAGGGAATTTTTCTAATATCTACAGGAAATACACTTCTTAATATTGGCAAATACCTGTCAAATCCCATTTCTCTGCCTTACGCTGTGCAGAGCTTTTGTTTTCCAGTCATGGTGATCTGTTGCAATTAGTAAATTTTTAAAATGACACTCTCACTTTGCATATTGGCTGCCTCCCA
This sequence comes from Homo sapiens, assembly GCF_000001405.40. Taxonomy (NCBI): domain Eukaryota; kingdom Metazoa; phylum Chordata; class Mammalia; order Primates; family Hominidae; genus Homo; species Homo sapiens. Next base: position 24,297,816 of record NC_000023.11, on the reverse strand, counting down.
CCCCAACCCCCCCAACACAAGCATGTGCGAACGCGCGTGTGCGTACACACACACACACACGGGCTCTTTTTTTTCTGGAAAAGGCAATCAGGCAATAAATTGTGAGAGCGAAATAATACACCAAACAAAATACATGTATGATCAAGTTGTTTCTTACTTTGGATTTCTACCTAAAGGTTTTGCTGGCATTTTCAATTAGCAGGTGACATGGTTAAGTTTTGTGTCCCCATGCAAATCTCATCTTAAATTGTAGTCCCCATAATCCCCACATGTTGTGGGAGGGACCAGGTGGAGATAATTGAATCAGGGGGGCAGTTTCCCCCATCCTATTCTCGTGATAGTGAGTTAGTTCTCACGAGATCTGATGGCTTTATAAGGGGCAGTTCCCCTCCTCACGCTCTCTTGCCTGTTGCCGTGTGAGGTGGGGTTTTGCTTCTCCTTTGCCTTTCGCCATGATTGTGAAGCCTCCCCAGCCACGTCGAACTGTGAGTCCATTAAGCCTCTTTTTCTTTATAAATTACCCAGTCTCAGGTATGCCTTTATTAGCTGCATGAGAACTAATACAGCAGATATGTAGGGAATTAGGCCTGATTGGAGGTTGCACAGGAGGAGGAAAGTTAAAGGGTAGGTGATGTCCCAAGCACCTGAACTTCCCCTGACTGTACTAAGTAGAACATTGGAAAATAGCAAACAGCATCCATTCAGGAATGTAACGTAACAAGAAATGAATACAACCAAAATCTTGCACCATGTTACTCAAAGGGTGGTACCTGGACCAGCAGCATTGGTATCCCCTGTTAGAAATGAATGCAGACTCTTAGGCCTCATGTAAGACCTACTGAATCAGAATCTGCATTTTAACAAGATCCAATGAGACGTGCTGCTATGGAGAATCTCCTGGCGAGCTCATGAAGAACACAGAATCCCAGCCTTGTTGAAATAGTACGCAGCCTAGGCCTGTGTAGTTTTACCAAGTCCCCCAGGTGACTCTGATACCAGCCGAAATTTGAGCACCACTACACTAAAGCTGTGCCATTCAAATACGGTAGCTGGTAGCCACGTGTGGCTATTTAAATTTGATTTTAAATTACTTAAAAAGTCAGCCACTAGCCACATCTCAGTGCTCAAGAGCCACATGTGGGTACTGCATTGGACGGTAAAGGTCTAGAACAGTTCCATCAATGCAGAAAATTCTGTCGGGCAGCACTGGTTTCATTGGTTCTCAATCTTGACTACACATGCAAATCACCAGCCCTAGCTTTTTTGTTTTAGGTTTTAATACAGAACATTACTTATTTTAGGCCTCATCATACAGGCATTTTACCTTCATAGAAACTTGGCCCAAGGTTTTCTAGTACAAACACTGTTAGGAAAACCAAGATCTTGATCTCGATAAAACCACACATATTTCACATTTAGATGATCACGTGAGATATTGTCGCTTAACTTTGCTGAAATCCAGGCTGTGGTGCCAGATTCTATGTGGGCAATTTCGTGGATGTGCTACTTCATTTTCCCTTTCAATAGTTGAAAAGATTCCCTGGAAACACTGAACATTTTTAAAAGATTCCACACCGTCATACTATTTCCCTCACACAATCATTTTTGTTCAGGGATCTAACCCTCTAATCCTTGCATATCTGCATGTAGAAACTGATTATTTATTTATTTATTTTGAGACGGAGTCACTCTCGTCCTGGCTGGAGTGCAGTGGCGCGATCTTGAATCACTGCAAGCTCCGCCTCCCAGGTTCAAGTGATCTTTCTGCCTCAGCCTCCCGAGTAGCTGGAATTACAGGCACCCGCCACCACACCCGGCTAATTTTTGTATTTTTAGTAGAGACGGGGTTTCACCATGTTGGCCAGGCTGGTCTGGAACTCCTGACCTCAAGAGATCCACTCGCCTCGGCCTCCTAAAGTGCTGGGATTACAGGCATGAGCCACCGCGTCCGGCCAGAAACTGATTTTTCACAAACCTCCTGGCCTGACTGCTCAATAGATTTATAACAATCACAGGACTGTATTTCTCTAGATCAGCTCCCATCCCCAACCCGCAGAATCCACAAACATCTGTAAATGCCTGCCTTCTAGCTCCTTAGGGACAGAGGCAGGGACTGGGAAGGGGGCATCTGGTTTGCCCTACAAATATTTCTACACACACATAATGTGTCATCTTCAGCCTTTGCTCCCACAACAACAATGGTGCCCCGGGTACCCAGGTTGCTATAATGATGTCCGTTGCTGCTTCTAACTCACAGACATGTCTCCATATCACACTGAATCTCCAAGAGTCACCTAACTAGGTCACTTTCACTCTGGAGATTTGCTTGGTAGGGTAGGGCATTATTATTTGCTCTATCTTCTTGTCCCAGCCTAACCCCCTGCAACATCTACTTAACACTGGACTACACCGAAACATCTTCCCTCTGGATCAACCATTCCTTAACCAAGTGTATGCATTTGGAATCCTTCTCCTCTTGGGGTTGGTAAGGAGTGGCCCTTATTCCCAATGGGGCTCAGTCCTAGAGCAAAGAGAGGGCCACTGGCCCTAGAGGGCTGGCTACTGTTAAAAGAAAAACTTCGGCTAAATTAAATTTAAAGGAGTTTAGGCTGGGCATGGTGGCTTAAACGGCTGTAATCCCAACAATTTGGGAGTCGGAGGCCAGCGGATCACGAGGTCAGGAGTTCGAGACCAGTGTGGCCAAAATAGTGAAACCGTCTCTACTAAAAATACAAAAAAATTAGCCAGGCATGGTGGCGGGTGCCTGTAGTCTCAGCTACTCGGGAGGCTGAGGCAGGAGAATCTCTTGAACCCGGTGGGCAGAGGTTGCAGTGAGCTGAGATCGCACCACTTGCACTCCAGCCTGGGCGACAGAGAGAGACTCCATCTCAAAATAAAATAAATTTAAAGGAGTTTAACTGAGTAATGAACGATTCGCGAATCAGGCAGCTCCCAGAATCACAGCAGATTCAGAGAAACGCCAGCGCCGCCATGTGGAAGATTTATAGACAAAAGGAAATGACAGAAATCCACAGTGAGGCACAGAAGCAGATGAATTGGTTACAGCTCGGCGTTTGCCTTATTTGAGCATGGTTCAAACAGTTGGCTACATTTAATCGGCCAAAATTCAGTGACTGGCACAGGTGTGGGCCACGGTGGGTTTACACCTCCACTTGTTATACTTCACCATGTACAGAAAAACCCTGAGGCTGAATTTAAATACGTAAGGAGGCCGCTTTAGGCTAAACCTGATTAACACTAGTCACTGTCCCTACCAGGGCTGGGACTAGGGTGAGGCAGGTGAGGCACTCTCAGGCTTCAAATGCAGGTCGAACCTTTAAAATTTTGATGTTGTGTTCATCATGGTTTCTTGCCCTAATTTTGATTTTTTTTTTTTTTTTTTTACTATTGCATTACAATATTTTTATCTTGATTACTGAGGGAGTTTGTCTGGCACTCTGTTAAATTTTGCATAAGTGCCTCGTTCACTCTCACCCTAGTCCCAAACCCTGGTCTTGTCCATCAGATTCCTCTCTCCTTTAGCCCTGGTAGGCTGCCTCCTCATGCCTTCAAGCTATATCTATCATAAATCCCTCCTGAGGCTGGGCGAAGTGGCTCATGCCTGTAATCCCAGCACTTTTGGAGGTCAAGGCGGGCAGATGGCTTGAGGCCAGGAGTTCGAGACCAGCGTGGCCAACATGGGAATACCCTGTCTCTCCTAAAAATACAAAAATTAGCCGAGTGTGATGGTGCTTGCCTGTAGTCCCAGCTATTCAGGAGGCTGAGACAGGAGAATTGCTTGAACCCAGGAGGCAGAGGTTACAGTGAGCCGAGATTGCGCTACTACACCACAGCCTGGGTGACAGAGTGAGACTCCATCTCAAAAAAACAAAAAACCCTCCTGGGCACCCGGTGTAGGTCCTGAGCTGCACATAGCAGCTACCTAGTTGTAATCACACTGCTCACCATTTTTTGTATTATCTTTTATTTTCATAAACAATTATTTCATAAGCAATACTTTTGGTTTCCAGGTTGCCTTAATTGCCTTTTTTTTAAACAGCTGCAAGATAGCCCACTTAGTTGATGCACTATTATCGGATATTTAGGCTAGTTTCCATTTCTAATTGATGAATGAAGCTTTAGATTTGTAAAGATGCTGAGTGTGGGGGTAGAGTGAGGTTTGAGTGAGATAAATTGCTCTGCCTGATAATGTAGGAGGCTTTGTTGTTGTTTTGGGGTTTGGAGATGGAAGAGTGGGCGTTGTTCGTTCTCTGACGGGCTACAAAGCAGAGAACAGGGTCCAACAACTTGTTGGGAAGCTGGAGCCTCATTTGGAAGAAATAGTAGAGGGACATTTTTAAAAGAGATGTGTGACACTGAATTATGTTGGAGAAAGAGGAGGAAAGAAAGACGAAATGGGAAACATTTGAAAATAGTGACTTTTTTCCCCTTAGTATCTCTTCTCTTCTTTTTATTTTGAGAGAGTCTTGCTCTGTGGCCCAGGCTGGAGTGCAGGGGTGCGATCTGAGCTCACTGCAACCTCTGCCTTCTGGGTTCGTGATTCTCCTGTCTCCTGAGTAGCTGGGATTAAGGCATGCGCCACCACATGCAGCTAATTTTTGTATTTTTAGTAGAGACAGGGGTTTTGCCATGTTAGCCAGGCTGGTCTCAAACTCCTGGCCCCATATGATTTGCCCGCCTCAGCCTCCCAAAGTGCTGGGATTACAGGCATGAGCCACCACCCCGGCTCCTCTTAGCATCTCTTCTGATGTGAATCAGCTGGTAGCTGGCAGGGCTGAGGCGTGCCACAGGAAGACCACCAGGGACACATCTCTAGTCCAAACCGAACTAGCTTCATTTACTTGCTGCAGCCAGTAAGATCTCGCTACAGGGGGACTGTGGGGGCATTTTAGTAAGAAGAATGGGGGTGGGGGTTGGTTATTACAGGATTTAGGCACGTGTGGAGGGATTCTAAGAGTTTAGGGATGCAGGAGCATGTTCTGAACTCTGTTGTCAGGAAGCAGAGGCAATACAATCATTGGGTATCTTAATTTGTATTTGGGAGCTGAGAAGCTTGAGACAGGGCTGGAATTGTCATTGGTAAAGGAGAAGCAGTGGATGGGGGAACTGTTAATCATTTTCCTGGCTGAGGAGTGGCCTTGTCTCTGTTGAGTTCCAAACATGGTCACAGAGTGGCCTTCTCTGGACATTATTTATATCCCATGTTGCTATTTATCTTCAGTTGGGAACATCACGGCCTAGCTGCCAGCAGGGCTGTTCTTCACTTTCTCGGTCCTTCCTTTTGGCCAAGAGCAGACAAGCTGAGCCTGCAGGATATTAATCTGTGGGATCCAGGTCCACACAAGTGAGGGCATTCTGCTCTTGAACAGCTGCAGTAGTCACCCAGGGAATCATCTGGGTGGTTCAGGGATGGACGCGCCAGGAGATCTGGGAGTTTACTCTGACATGTTCGGGACAGGCTGTTTCTGCTTCGTGTCTGTCAGTGTCTTTTGAGAGCACCTGCATTTCAGTTACGCCTTTTCCCTCATCCAGTTTTTCTGAACAGATGCAAATGCTGGAACTTAGTTTCAGATCCCTCCAAGCAGAACCGGAGGTGACAGCTTGCGTATAGGTGGTTCACTGTGAGAAGTGATCCATTTTAGCAAGCATGGCCCAACTGCACAGGGGCCCACCAGAAGGCTTGTATGAGGTCCACCCAAAGCCCAGGGGAGGGGATTGCTTATCCACCAACTTATCCCCCATGGCCAAGACTCCCCCACTTCATGTCAACCCCTCACCATTCCAGGAGTGTGGATTTGCAAAAATGGTTGAGAGGCCCCTATTAAGTGTCCCCTGCCTAGCAGATGTTAAACATTTCATCAGTATTTGAAGACTCATGGATAAATGGAAAAAAAGTTAGGGCCTTTTGCTCCTGAGAATCTTCAATGACTTCTGTGACCACCACCCTGACAGGATCAAGTCCCAAAGAAGCTGTCTCATACTGATACAGTGAAAACCCTTAGACTCAGCCTGAATTTCATGGCTTTACCTAGACAACTCCCTTCTCCTCTTAGACTTTCTTTGAGTAATTAACTAGAGTGCTGCCTGCTTCTCCCAGGGCATAGAACCCAAAGGTATTTCTGTCCTTGTGGGTGAAGGCCCTTGGCAAGTGCATCTCCTACAGACCAGACCTATTGTCAGCCCAGTAATGAGAAGGAGTAAAGAGAAAAGGAAGAAGGAAATCCTGTCCCATGCTACAGCATGGATGAACCTCAGAGATACAATGCTAAGCAAAATAAATCTGTCACAAAAGGACAATTACTTTGATTCCACTCATATGAACTGTCTAAAGTAGTCAAAATTATAGAAATAGAAAGGAGAAAGGTGATTATTAAGGGCTGGGGGATGGGGTGGAGGAATCGGTATAGAGTTTCCGTTTTGCAAGATGGAAAAGTTCTGGAGATTGGTTGCAAAATAATGTGAGTATACTTAACACCACTGAACTATACATGTAAAAATGGCTAAGATGGTGCTATGGTTTGAATGTCCCCTCCAAAACTCATGTTGAAATTTAATTGCCATTGCCACTGTATTAAGAGGTGGGATGGTTAAGAGGTGATTAGGCCATGAGACAGCTCTATCCATATAAATGGATTAATGTCGTTATCATGGGAATGGGTTTGTTATCTTGGGAATGGGTTGTTACAAAAGCCAGTTTGACCCCTCTCTTGTGTGCTCTCTTGCCCTTCTGCCACAAGGTGACACAGCAAGGAGGGCTTTTCCAGATGCAGGCCCCTCAACTTTGTATTTCCCAGCCTCCAGAGCTGTAGGAAATCTGTTTTTTATAAATTACCCAGTGGGTGGTATTCTTTTATAACAAAAAATGGACTATTGGCCAGGCACAGTGGCTCAATCAAGCCTGTAATCCTAGCACTTTGGGAAGCCAAGGCGGGCGGAGCACCTGAGGTCAGGAGTTCGAGACCAGCCTGGCCAACATGGCAAAACTCCATCTCTACTAAAAATACAAAAATTAGCCAGGTGTGGTGGCAGACACCTGTAATCCCTGCTACTCAAGAGGCTGGGGCAGGAGAATTGCTTGAACCCGGGAGGCAGAGGTTGCAGTGAGCCAAGATCACACCATTGCACTCCAGCCTGGGCAACAAGAACAAAACTGTCTCAAAAATAAATAAATAAAAATGGACTAAGACAGATGGTAGTTTTTGTTATGTGTTTTTCACCAAAATAGACTTTGAAAAGCAAATCCAAAAAAGAATGAGAAAGGGAAGAGAGACTAGCTTTATCCTGCTGCTATACCACTGAGTAGACCACATATCTTAGGGAGCTCTAAGTGGACAATATGCCTCTATTTTTAGCAGTATAACTCCAGCAAAACTCTGGAAAAGTAAAGCTGAAAGCTGAAACATTCAGCAGGTTAAGAAAGACTGGCCAGAGCTGAAAAGGAGCCCAAAGTATAATCATTGAAACTGGTAATGTACATAAATAGCTGGACCAGTTTTTCTCTTGTTCAAAAATCCCATTCTATTTGAAAGCAATTTTCTTCCACTTCAAACTCTCTCATTATATACCCTTTCATTCAAAATGTTAATTCTCCCTCCTCTTGTAATTTAACCATCCGCTAATCATTTCTGGGATGGAAACACATATTCCTAAGTGAAACTCTTTTGAAGAGCTGAATTAAGCAGACAGTGGGTTTGTTTCTGTAATTTCTTGTCTAATGATTAATAGAATTGCCAGTGAAGAACTTTCTCAAAGTCTTAAAAACTATCCATGACAATGTTTTTGTGCAAACTAAACTTTTTTTTTTTGGCCAGATGGAGATTTATATCTCAGTAATTAAGGTGAAAAAAAGACCCAAATAATACAAATATGTTGCCCACAAATAATATTTGCAAAAATGACTTAATAGTCTATTAAAAATGCAGTCCAACTCTCTTTGCAAGCAAAAGAGAAGCTATGGAGATACGGGTGCTAGCCTTGGGTCTTCTGGTTACTTTCTAAATGACCTTGGTGATATGGTTCTGTGTCGCCACCCAAAGCTCACCTTGAATTGTAATAATCCCCACATGTCGTGGGAGGGATCCAGTGGGAGGTCATTGAATCTATGCTGTTCTCGTGATAGTGAATAAGTCTCACGAGATCTGATGGTTTTATAAAGGGGAGTTCCCCTGCACATGTCCTCTAGCCTGCCACCATGTAAGATGTGCCTTTCTCCTCCTTCACCTTCATTGTGAGGCCTCCCCAGCCATGTGGAACTGTAAGTCCATTAAACCTCTTTTTCTTTATAAATTACCCAGTCTTGGGTATGTCTTTATTAGCAGTGTGAGAAGGGACTAATACACTTGGGAAGAAAGGAAGCAACCTTGGTTCAAAGTCTGTATCTTCCAGCCAATATGAGTCCACTTGTAACACAAATGATAGAAATCAGATCAAGAAACAAAAAATAATAGCAAGGAAGTTTTATTTGGTTTTTTAAATAATAAAGTCAAATGTCCTTCGCAGCAACATGTATGGAGCTGGAGACCATTACCTAAGTGAAATAACACGGAAACAGAAAATCAAATACTGCATGTTCTCACTTATAAGTGGAAGCTAAACACTAGATATGCATGGACATAAAGATATAAATAATAGACACTGGGGACCCCAAAAGTGGGGAAAGTCAGGGAGGGGAAGGGTTGAAAAATTACCTGTTGGGTACAATATTCACTATTTGGGTGATGGGTATACTGGAAGCCCGAACTTCACCTTATGCAATAGATTCATATAAGAAGCCTATATGTGTACCCCTTAAATCTAAAATTTTTAAAAAGATTTATTTGAAAAGGGAATATCAATGCAATGGGACATTGAAGTCAAATATTTTTTCTGGCTGATTTTCTCTGACATCGCTGCTGTCTCTCCTTCCCTATAGCTCAAGGGGCTATCTAATCAGACTAATTTATGGGCTCTTTAGCAAAAACAACCCTCTTAAAGATGTCAGCAGAGAGCAAGACCAGCTAAGACTTTCCAGTGTTTGAAGTTGATTGATAAACCAGCAATTGGCTCCAAATTATATCTCATTTATAAATTTAAAATAGAAGTACATGTGGTCAACTATTCTCACTGAATCCAATGTCATCCTTTTATCACCCTTGAGAAGAAACTTGAAAGATCTTTTATCCTCCTGTCCTCACAAAATAAAAACTTCCCAGCCTATCAAATACATGGTGTGGTAAATTACATGGAAGGCCCAATTCTCCAGCCCTCCTGGGATCCACACCCTTTGCCATGTAACTTTGTAACGCGCTGTTGCTGAGTGGCTCAACCAGCTGCAGGGCCGGCCACACAATTTGTGGGGGCCAGTGCAAAATGAAAATGCAGACTCCTTGCTCAAAAAGCAGGAAATGAGTGCCATTACAACCACTAAAATACAAAGCTTCTTTCTTTCCTCCACAGTCTTTCTCTACTCGTCACGGTGTTTTAAATTTGCTATTTCATGTCATTCTAAGTAAAGAAAATTTTAAATTATTAGCATGGGTTTTACAGTTCATCTTTATATTTTGCAAGAAGTAACACCTGAGGCTGGGAAACCTGTGCAAAAATAAATAGGCTACTGTCTCCACTGGGCTAAGGATTCCTAGAATATGGAGACCATTTCTTTTTTTTTCTTTGAATCTCCAGTGCTAGGCATGGTGTCTGTTACATAGTAGGCAATAAGTAATATATTTAAAGGTGAAAGGAGGGAAAGAAATGAGTTTTAAAGTCAGTTATGCCTGTGAGACGGTGAAGAAATTGGCACATTCATACATTGCTGGTGAGAATGTAAAAGGGTACAGCTGCTATGGAAACACTTTGGCAGGTCCTCAAAAAGTTAAACGTAGAGTTAACATATGACCCAGCAATTCCACTCCTAGGTATATACCCAGGAGGATTGAAAGCATATGTTGACACCATACCTTATACATGAATGTTCATAGTAGCATTATTCATAATAGTCAAAAAGTTAGCTGGGCGTGGTAGATCACACCTGTAATCCCAGCTACTCGGGAGGCCGAGGCGGGCGGATCACTTGAGGTCAGGAGTTGGAGACCAGCATGGCCAACACAGGAAACCCTGTCTCTAGTAAAAATACAAAAAAAAAAAAAAAAAAAAGCCAGGCATGGTGGCGGGCACCTGTAATTGCAGCTACTTGGGAGGCTGAGGGACAAGAATCACTTGTACCCAGGAGGTGGAGGTTGCAGTGAGCCGAGATCGCGCCACTGCACTCCAGCCTGGGCGACGGAGCGAGACTCCATCTCAAAAAAAAAAAAAAAAAAAAAAAAAGCAAAAAGTGGAAACAACTCAAATGTTCATCAGCTGATGAGTGAATTTTTAAAATGTCATCTATCCATACAGTGGAATATTATTTGCCATGAAAAGGAACAAGGTACTGATTCATGCTGCAACATGGATGACCCTTGGAAACATCCTAAGTGAAAGATGCCAGACCCAAAAGACCCTATATCATATGATTATGTTTACATGAAATGTCCAGAATAGGCAAATCTATACAGACAAAGTGGTTGCCGGGGTCCGGGAAAGGGGGAGTGACTGCTGATGGGTATGGAATTTTCTTTTAGGGTCATGAAAGTGTTCTGTAAATATGATGGTTGCAGAACTTTGTGAATATACTGAAAACCACTGAATTGAACACTTTAAAAGGGTGAATTTTGTGATGTGTGAATTATATATTGATTTGAAAAATCATTTCTGCCTGACTCCGTTTTTTTAGTAGTGTGACCTTTGAAAAGTTATATGACCTCTCTGAACTTTAGTATCCTGGACTGTGGAAGAAATGGGGAGAAATAATACTTAAAACATGTAGAATTGTGAGGATAAAGTGAGATCTTAAATGTAAAACAGTTTGCACCGTGCAGTCCTCCAGCCCTCTTCTGTTACCCTCTCCCCTCAATATCAGGGAGGGACTATACGGGTTTCAAGGCAGTGACACAATGTGGTCCCTCACTCACCCTCTACCCACGGGGAAGTTATGGACCGATCAAAGTTCTCTTCTTCCTCCTGCAAGTGGATTCTCCCCTCCTCAGGGTGGTCAGATGGAGCTGAATGAACTTTCTTCTAGGGAGGAGCTCTCTGCCTTGGAGAGACCAGGTAGGGCCCAGGGAAAAGGAACTATCAGGTTGGGGCAAAAGTAAGTATGGTTTTTGACGTTACTTTAATGGCAAAAAACGCAATTACTTTTGCACGAACATAATAGACTGCTGTCTTCTTGAGCTTGGCTGGTGTCCAGGCCATATAATGGAGAGGGACAGGAGTTCTTGGGATTTCTGCTTGGTCCAACCCCCCTTTCCACCTTGGCATGGAATAAAGTGTAAATAGTGTGCATAATATCTCACTGGACCCAGACACTCAGCAGAAATACAGTTCCAGGGGAGAGAGGGGGAACCCCAGTGTCTGGCATAGCCAGGGCTATCTAAAAGAGTCAGATTTGCAGAGAGCAAGGAAGCAGAGAATACAATAGTGGCTGCCAGGGGCTGAGGAGTAGGGGAGATGTAGTGTTGCTGTTCAATGGGTCTAAAGTTTCAGATTGCTTGATGAATACATTCTAGAGACCTGCACAACATTGTACCTACACTTAATACGGTATAGTGTGCTTAAAAATCTATTAACAGGGCTGGGTGCAGTGGCTCATGCCTGTAATCCTAACACTTTGGGAGGCCGAGGTGGGCAGATCACTTGAGGTCAGGAGTTTGAGACCAGCCTGGCCAACATGGTGAAACCCCATCTCTAGTAAAAATACAAAAATTAGCTGGGCATGGTGGTGGACGTCTGTAATCCCAGCTACCTGGGATGCTGAGGCAGGAGAATCGCTTGAACCCAGGAGGTGGAGGTTGCAGCGAGCCCAGATTGCACCACTGCACTCTAGCCTGGGTGACAGAGGGAGACTCCATTTCAGGGTGACAGGGTCAATCTCATTTTAAGAGGTTACTACAAGACAAAAGGGACACAAGAAAACTTTGGGAGGTGTTGGATATGTCTGTTGATACCATCAAGATGATGGCATCATGGGGTATTTGCGTAGGCTCAAACACTTCAGATTGTATGTATTAAATATGTACAGTTCTGTGTGTATCCATTATACCTCAGTAAAGCTGTTAAATTATTTAGCGGCCAGGCGCAATGACTCACACCTGTAATCCCAGCACTTTGGGAGACTGAGGCAGGAGGATGGCATGAGCCCAGGAGTTCGAGACCAGCCTGGGCAATATGGTGAAACCCCATTTCTACAAAACATAAAATTAGCTGGGCATGGTGGTGAGTACCTGCAGTTCCAGCTACTCAGGAGGCTGAGGTGGGAAGATCAGCTGAGCCTGGGAAGTCAAGGCTACAGTGAGCCATGATCGTGCCATTGTGCTACAGCCTGGGCGACAGAGTGAAACCCTGTCTCAAAAACAAATTTAGTGAGGATGGGTGATATTGTTGAGGAGTGTTTTCACATTTGCACCAGAGGGTGCTATCTGCTTCCTTGATAGCCACACCGATGTTCTATGTGATGAGATAAGTGGAGTTAACTAGAACCATGTGACCAATTTATTACACCACCATCTCTGAATGTCAAAATCATATGTTTTCCCTCAGATTCAGCCCAAATGTTGCCACCACCATAAAACCTCTCTGAACCGCCGCCTCTCCTGCACTCTCACCAACTTTAAGTCAGCTCTTCTCCATCCAAACTGTCAAAGCATCTTATACTTTTGTTGTGGCATTTACCCCTTTCTGCCTGGTACCTAGCTACTGCAGTACAAGTTGCTGTATTGGTTTCCTAAGTGCTGCCGTAACAAATAACCACAAACTGAGTGGCTTAAAACAACAAATTCTGCCGGGTGTGGTGGTTCATGCCTGTAATCCCAGCACTTTGGGAGGCCAAGGCAGACAGATCACCTGAGGTCAGGAGTTCGAGACCAGCCTGGCCAACATGGTGAAACCCCGTCTCTACTAAAAATACAAAAATTAGCCAGTCATGGTGGCGGGCACCTGTAATCCCAGCTACTCGGAGGCTGAGGCATGAGAATCGCTTGAGCCTGGGAGGCAGAAGTTGCAGTGAGCCAAGATCACGCCACTGCACTCCAGCCTGGGCGACAGAGCAAGACTCTGTCTCCCCACCACCACCACCCCCCCCAAAACACACACAAAAAAACACACTGGAAATTTATTCTCTCACAGTCTGGAGCCCAGAAATCCAAAGTCAAGGTGTCAGCAGAGCTGGTTCCCTCTGAAGGCCTCAGTGGGAAAAATTAGAGATTCCTGTGCTCCGAGGAAACCTGATCATTATTCCAAGTATTGCTCAAAAAATTTAGTGCACAGAACGCAATGAAAAACCACTGCATGGCTTCACAGCCACATAGCTTAAAGGAAAAACCCTCGATTTTCCTTGGCTTGTAGCGGCATGAGTCGCTCTGCCTCCATCTTCCCTTGGCCATCTTTTTCTCTGTGTCTTCCTTTTCTGTCTCTTAAAAGGACACTGTCATCAGATTTATAACCCACCCTAAATCCAGAATGTTCTTATCCTGAGATCCTTAATTATGTCTGCAAAGGCCATATTTTCAAATAAGGCCACATTCATAGGTACCAGAGTTAGGACCTGGACATATCTTTTTGGGTGAGCACAATTCAACAGCACTACATGTGTCATTAGACTAAGCTCCTTGAGATGAGGATCTAGGTCTTGTCCATCTTTGTCGACAAGTGCCTTAAACATAGAAAGTGTTCCGTATGCTTGCTGAGTTCATGGGTGGATGGATTGAGGTGGTTGGCCAGATAATGAATATTGTCTAACCTCTTCCACTCCTAATGCAGTCAGAATTGGGAAGCATGCATTAGAGATTCCTGTGCCCCATGGAAACTTGATCATGATTCCAGGTATGACTCAAAAAATACAGTGTACAGAACTCAATGAAAAACCACAGCGTGGCTTCACAGCCATGTAGCTTAAATGAAAAACTGGATTTAGGGTGGACTATAAATCCAATGACTGTGTCCGTATAAGAAACTTCTCTCAAATCCTTGCAAATATATCCCAGATGAAGCTGCTCTGGCCTTCAGAGGTTAAGGTAAACTTGGCTGAAACCCCAGGTGTCACAGACAATGAGAATCCACAGCCCTTCCTACAATTTCTGCAAATCCTGGCCCTAATTCATGGCCCTAATTTGTTGTCTCTGCATGTGTTCTTGATTCCTTCCCTTGCCAAAGGTCAGACCCTTTCCCGGTTGTTGCACAAGATCCCTGACTACCCCCACCCCCACTGTCCCCATGAGCATTTTGTGACTTTAGAACTTCACTGAAGATTTGGGGGTTACAGAGTATACCCCATATTCCTCAGCCCATTTTCTTACTCCATTTTCTCATTTTACTTTTCTCTCTTCTCTCTCTCTGGTTCAAAACACAAATTTCTTTCCTTGTTTCATGCCAAGCAGTTCTGTTCATACTTAGGCCCCTTGCCATCTCAGCTTCTACTCTAAACAGGCTTTTTTTTTTTAATGTAAGGCAGGAAGGCAAGAGAGAAAGGAGGGAGGGAGACCTAGAGGGAAGAAGGGAAAGGAGGAGAGAGAATTGAAACCTTCTAAGAATTTTCATACCAGCTATCAAAATAATATTTTCCTTCTCTCTATTTTATAAATATTAATAGGTTAAAGTTTGAAGTTCTTTGAGTAGGGAGAGAAATTTCAACAGCCTTTGGTCCACTTGCTGTAGACACCCCTCAAATCCTTGGCGTCCTTAGCAGAGTGAAGCAATCCTCTTCTCAAGTTAACATTTAATTATAATTGCAACCATCATGACGATTAAACCTCCCTTTTTGTCATTGTCTTTTCTTGGTATCATTCCTTTGGCTCCATTCACATGATATAGACTGTGTATGAATCACAGAGTCTGTGCTTTTTAACTGTGGCAAAACCATAGGCAGCTTTTTGTTTATTCCCAGAATCAGTTCCAAAACAGCTGTTAAATGTTCGTCCTTGGTTCTGGCATCTTATTTCAGGGAATTGTAACAGCAGCATCTTCTGCTTTTAATTCTCTCGAAGAATGAAAAAAAAAAAAAAAAAACTCCCCAAGTTTGTGTGCCCTGTGTAGGTGCTAGTTAATGTCTTATTTCCTCTCATTTCCTTAATCAGGAAATTTCATAGTTCAGCAGCGGCAGGGTTCCCATTAATGTGGTTCTGACCAAGCTGTGTGAAACAGTCGACCGTGAAAACAGCTGGCTTTGCAAGCCACTGAGTGTTCTGAGCTGAGACAGACCAGGAGCTGCCATTCGACACCAGTAAGAAAAGCAAGGACATTTTTCACAGTGGCGGTTCCATCTCTGGTAGAATCGATCTGCTGAAAAGTAATACATTAGGTCGTCCACCGAGTAGTTTGGACATGAATTGGCTGGTGAGTTCTGTTTTAAGGAGATTTCCTTGTGAAAAACTGCCATTGAATGATGGACACATTTAATACATTGTGGTATGAAAAAGCGCTCAAAATCAAGACAAATTGTTTTTTCTTGGTTCAAGGTATTGCTTCATTTAAAATTATTACTGGAAGAGCAACAGCTTACCAAAATGGCCATTTTCAAATGACATGAGCTATGTATAAATTGCTCTTTACCAATGGTTTTCACACACCATAGTTATACGTCGGAATAATCTGAGGAGAGCTTTGGAAGAAAAACACTGGTAACTGAACCCTACTCCCAAAGATTTCAATTCACTGGCTGGGGGTAAATTCTGGGCAGTGGTGTTTTATAAATGCCCTCAAGAGATTACTGCCGGGCACGGTGGCTCACACCTGTAATGCCAGCACTTTGGGAGGCCAAGGTGGGTGGATCATCTGAGGTCAGGAGTTCAAGATCAGCCTGGCCAACATAGTGAAAACCCATCTCTAATAAAAATATAAAAATTAGCTGGATATGGTGGCACATGCCTGTAGACCCAGCTGCTTGGGAGGCTGAGCCAGGAGAGTCGCTTGAACCCAGGAAGTGGAGGTTGCAGTGAGCTGAGATCATACCACTGCTCTCCAGCTTGGGTGACAGAGTGAGACTCTAAAGAGATTCTAATGTACAGCCAGGATTAGAGCCACTGCTTTATGAAAATCACAACCACAGACAACTTTTGAGACCAATATGTTGTGTATGGGGTATGTACATTGCAGTTAAGTCAATTAATTTTCTAATTTCCTGCCTTTTAAGTAGAATTTGTTCTCCTTTGATCAGAGATGATGAACCCATGGCAAATCTTTGGCAAGCCTCAAACTCACTTTTTCATACCCAGCCTCCCTTCCGCCTCCCTCTCTGCCCAGGGAGACGCATATGTAATTTTCAGCCCATACTATCTTGTAGAGACCAAACATTCCCAGCCCAGTTCAGACTGCCCCCGATGGACTGGCTTCTCTAATACATATATCATTCCCTGTTTGAGTAAATTAGGCTTCTCTCTTTCTCTCCTCAACCTACAGCAGCGGGGAATCACCAAAATGGGGGCCTACAAAGAAACTCCCAATATCCCAATTGACCATACTGGTCTTTGTCCAGTATTCTCCATTTCAGGAGATGGTCCCCAAATCTACCCTCTTGTTAAGCCAGTCACTTGGATTCCTCTTTGATTCTTTCCTTTCCCTCATCCCTCCCATCTGATTCCCTTCCTCCGCAGTCAATAAGTTCTGTCTCTCTCTCTCTGAAGCATAACTAACATTCACCCGCTTCTCACCACCCCCACGGCCACCTGCCTGATCCAAGCTATTAACGCCTTCCACCTTGGTACTGCAGTTGTCTGCCGAATGTATCAGCCTCTCTCTCTCTCTCCTGCTCTTGCCCCATTCCACACCCAGCAGCCAATCTTTCTATATGGTGGTTCATAGACCACTTTGCTGCTGGAAACCTTACAATAGCTGCTTATTTATGAGATGGAGTCTCACTCTGTTGCCCAGTCTGGAGTGCAGTGGCGCAATCTCAGCTCGCTGCAACCTCTGCCTCCCAGGTTCAAGCCATTCTCCTGGCTCAGCTGCCTGAGCCGCTTGGACTACAGGCACACACCACCACAACCGGCTAATTTTTGTGTTTTTGTGTTTTGTTTTGTTTTTTTATTTTTTATTTATTTATTTTTTTTTTTTTTGAGACACAGTCTCACTCTGTTGCCCAGGCTAGAATGCAGTGGCATGATCTCGGCTCGCTGCAACCTCTGCCTCCTGGGTTCAAGCAATTCTCTGCCTCAGCCTCCCGAGTAGCTGCGATTACAGGCACCCGCCACCATGCCCAGCTAATTTTTATATTTTTAGTAGAGATGGGGTTTCACCAACTTGGCCAGGCTGGTCTTGAACCCCTGACCTCGTGATCTACCTGCCTCAGCCTCCCAAAGTGCTGGGATTACAGGCGTGAGCTACCGTGCCTGGTCATCAGCTTTTACTTAACAATTCTACTAGGTCCATTAGCTATTGTTGACACTAGGTCCATTAGCTATTGTTGACACATTTATCACTCGAGCTATTCTTGTAATGTGTGTCAGTTAGGGCCCTGGTTACAAATACAGAAACCAACTTAAGCGAACTTAACCAAAGCAAGAATTCATTATAAGACTACTGACCTGCCTTATGGAACTTACACAGTGGAGACCTAGAAAGGAATTAAAATCAAACTCATTATTGGGAAGCTGGGGAATTCTCATATTTCCTCTCTCTCTCTTTCTTTCTCTTTATCCTGCTTTTCTCTGCACAACTAATTCTTCTCTCTGCATTTCAGCTTTCAGCACACCTGCCACTATTTCTGAGTTTTTACATCTCTGCTGTCCTAAAACCCAGATGGACCTTGAATGTCACAGAATTAAACTTTCAAATTTCCTGGAAAAAAGATTTTAGTTGCCCTTGGGTTAGATGCTGAACCCAGGCAATTTTCTGTAGCCAGTGAGGTGTGGGAATCAGCGTACAAACACCCTCCAAGGGGTATCACTTTAAAAACTGGGGGCAGGGGTGAGAGAGTTTGGAGAGATAATTCCTGGTGACAGGGGTAATCACTGGCTTTTTGGCTAGATAGATACCCCAAAATATACCCACTAGAGGAGTCAAGTTGTTTACTGGGGCATGTTCATCCTCACACCCTCCTGGGTGTCTTTTTTTGGGGGACAGATTCTCTGTCACCCAAGCTGGAGTGCAGTGGCGTGATCTCGGTTCACTGCAACCTCTGCTTCCCAGGTTCAAGCAAGTTTCCTCCCTCAGCCTCCCGAGTAGGTGGGATTACAGGCAGGCACCACCAAGCCCAGCTAATTTTTGTATTTTTAGTAGAGATGGGGTTTCACCATGTTGGCCAGGCTGGTCTCGATCTCCTAACCTCAAGTGACCTGTCCACGGCAGCCTCCCAAAGTGCTGGGATTCCAGGCATGAGCCATCATGCTTAGCCTCTTCCTGGGTGTCTTTACTGTTTGTCCCCTATAGTCAGTTTACATCCAGGGAATTCCAGGCTTATGAGCTGGTTATTTAATTCCTGGAGGACAGCAGATGTAGAACTGGCACCCTATGAGAGAAAAGAAGCAAAGATGATAAGTATTTTTATGCCACTGAAAGAAGAGAATTAAATCAAGGAAAGACATAGTATATTTTAAAGCATGAAAGTGTGATACATTATTTCTAAGAGAAGAATTGGATTAAGAAAAGAATAGGGCACAGAAGCTCACACCTGTAATCCCAGCACTTTGGGAAGCAGGGGGCAGGTAGATCACTTGAGCCCAGGAGTTCAAAACCAGCCTGGTCAACATAGGGAGACCCCGTGTCTACCAAAAAAAATTTGTTTAATTAGCTGGGTGTGGTGACATGCGCCTATAGTCCCAGCTACTCAGGAGGCTGCAGTGGAAGGATCAGTTGAGCCTGGGAGGTTGAGACTGCAGCGAGCCATGATCGTACCACTGCGTTCCAGCCTGGGCAACAAATGGAGACCCTGTTTCAAGAAAAGAAAGAAAAGAATATATAATAAGTATGAAAGTTTGGATTCTTTTAAATTGTTGCCTTTTAGTCCTTTTGCAAATCAAATGACTCCGCCACCAAGAGATTCTTTAGTAATGTGATCAATCTTACTTCATTGCTAATATGGCAAGTTCAAATGGTGATCTATTTCTGCTTTAAGATTGCAGATTGTTTCTCCGTCCTTATGCTCAGCTGTATGAAGCATTATCTTCCAACATCGCTGCTTGAAGCTATGAAAATATACCCATAAATATACTTGAATTAAAAAATAAGTGGTTGAATTTGGGTTTCTGATTTCAAGATCTTATGTAATGATGCCATGCAAGATAGAACAATAGGCAGTTTTAGGAAAAAAAATAGAAAAAATCAATATGGTACATTGGTTAATATTTGCAGCCTAATGGTTAGAGCCCTGTGATATGGTTTGGCTGTGTCCCTACCCAAATCTCACCTTGAATTGTAGCGCCCCATGTATTACGGGAGGGACTCGGTGAGAGGTAATTGAATCATGGGGGTGGGATTTTCCCATGCTGTTCTCATGATAGTGAATAAGTCTCACAAGATCTGATGGTTTTATAAAGGGCAGTTCCCCTGCACACTCTCTCAACTGCTGCCATGTAAGAGGTGCCTTTGCTCCTCTTTCACCTTCCACCATGATTGTGAGGCCTCCTCAGCTGTGTGGAACTGTGAGTCCATTAAACCTCTTTTTCTTTATAAATTACCCAGTCTTGGGTATGTCTTTATTAGTAGCATGAGAACAAATATACCCTTGTTTCTGTCTCTTACTTAGCTATGTGATCTTCAACAAAATTTTTAATTTCTTAGAAATTAAATTTAGGAAATTAAATTTAGAAATTAACATTCCTAGTTAAATTAGGAATGTGAATAGTGCTTGCCTGTGAGGAGTCGGGTGAACAATGGAGTCTATCTGTTAGGAATTGTGTTTGATTGTGAGCAACAGAATCTCTGACTAAATAGTGGCTTCCTCAGATCAGGAGATGATTTTTTCTGACAAGCCCAGAGGTAGGTGGTCACTGGCCTTGGTGAAGGGGCTCAAAGATTTCAGAGCTGAGGTCTTTGCGGTTCCATGACCTTTCTCTCATGATCCCAACATAGCTGCTGCAGCCTTAGCCATCATGTCTGTATTTCTGGCAGGGAAAAGGAAGGAGGGGTGATGACTGAATCAAGAAAGCAAAAGCTTTCCCAGATGTTTAAGGCAGGGTAGGCTAAGTGCCGTAACAAACAAGCCCTACTCATCAGTGAATTAACACAATAGAAGTTTATTTCTCACTCTTGCCAAGGCCAATTGATAGCAGGGAGCGGGAGTTATGGGGAGAGGATGGGATGCAGCTCTTCTCAGTGCGGTCCTGCAGGGACCAATTTAGATGTGGCTTCCAGGGTCATAATAGGCATGAATGTGCCGCCAGCAGATGCGGGGAGAGAGGGAGCATGGGGAATTGTGTAGGAAGGTTTATGGATCAAGTCTAGAATCAAGGTATATTTTTGCCCACATTTTATTGGCCAGACTTCAGTCACATGGGTCCACATAGATTCAAAGGGAGCCAGAAAATATAGCCCCCGAATGGGCAATTCTTCCCAGCAACATCTCTATGCCATGGAAAGGGAACGTGAGTCTTTGGGGGGTACTGCTAACTATCTCTGCCACATTGGAAATTCACTGCAACTTCCACAGAAATTATATTGCCTAAAACTATGACGCTTGATCAGCCCTGGTTGCAATAAACGCTGGGAAATGTAATTTTCAGCTGCTATCATCGAAACCTTGGGTAGCTTGGGTTTCTCTTAGGAAGAAGAGGAAGATATGTAGGCAACTAGCAGTGTTTGCCACGTGTGAAAAAGGTATTTAGCACAGTGCCCAGCACTTAGTAAATACTCAATAAATGCTAGCTATTGTCATTGCTATGATATCTTTCTCAGGGAAAGATATACTCTCTTACCCATTTGTCTCTCCCGCTGTAAGTTACCTTCTTGGCATTCTGGTTGAGCACTAAACCTAGAATCAGAAGACCTGGATTTAAATCCTGACTTGGCCCTTTAATATCTTATCTGGGCCTTAGCCTTTTTTTTTTTTTTTTAAAGTACAGACAGGATTTCACCATGGTGGCCAGGCTGATCTCAAACTCCTGACCTCAAGTGATCCGCCCACCTCAGCCTCCCAAAGTGCTGAGATGACAGGCATGAGCCACGGTGCCCAGCCAAGGCCTTAGTTTTTTTAATTGAGAAACTGGAGAGAATTAAACCTGCCTCACAAGGTTGTTGTGTGAATTAACTGAGACAATGTGCTTGACTGAGCCAAAAGCATTATTTCACATATAATGCAGACATAATATTAAAACTGAGTCTCTAGTGGAAGCAACCCAAATGCCCATTGTATGAGTTTCCTAGGGCTATGTATTAATCCATTCATGAGAATGAATTAATTGCTATAAAGAACTACCTGAGACTGGTTCAGTTATAAAGAAAAGAGGCTTAATGGACTCACAATTCTGCAAGCTGTACAGGAAACATGGCTGGGGAGGCCTCAGGAAACTTTCTATCATGGAGGAAGGCAAAGGGGAAGCAGGCTTGTTTTACGTGGCCGGGGGAGGAGGAAGAGAGAGCAGGGGGAGGTGCTACACACTTTTAAACAGCCAGATTTCATAAGAACTCACTACCACGAGAACAGCAAGGAAGAAATCTGTCGCCATGATCCAATCACCTCCCTCCAGGCCCCTCTCCCAATACTGGGGATTACAATTCAACATGAGATTTGGGCAGGGATATAAATCCAAACCGTATCAGGCTGCCATAACAAAATTCCACAAACTGGGTGGCTTAACACACACACATTTATCCTCTCACAGTTATGAAGGTTTGAAGTCCAAAATCAAAGGCTGGCATGGCTATGCTACTTCTGAAGGCCCTAGGGGAGAACCTTCCCTGCCTCTTTCAATTTCTGGTGGTGACTGGCAAGCCTTGGACTTCCGTGGCCTGCAACCGCATAACTCCGGCCTCTGCCTCTGTCGTCACGTGGCATTTTCCCTGCATGTTTCTGTCCCTCTTCTCTTATGAGGATACTACAGTCATATTGGGTTAAGAGCCCACCCTGCTCCAATATGACCTCATCTTATCTCATTACATCTGCAACAACCCTATTTCCAAATAAGGTCACATTCTGAGGTACTGGGGGTTAGGACTTCAACATACCTTTCTTTTGGAAGCCGGCACAATTCAATCCATAACATTCATCAAACGATGATCGAAAAAATAAAACGTGGGATAGCCACATAATGGAATATTATTTGCCCATTAAAAAGGAATGAAGTGCTACAACATAGATGAACCTTGAAAACATTATGCTAAGTGAAAGAAACCAGACACAAAAGGACACATATGATTCCATATTAAGTGTCCAGAATAGACAAATCTTTTTTATTTATTTATTTGAGACAGAGTCTTGCTCTGTTACCCAGGCTAGAGTACAGTGACGCATTCTTGGCTCACTGCAACCTCCACCTGCCAGGTTCAAGCAATTCTCCTGCCTCAGCTTCCCAAGTAGCTGGGACTACAGGCATGCACCACCATGCTTGGCTAACTTTTGTATTTTTTAGTAGAAACAAGTTTTCTCCATGTTGGCCAGGCTGGTCTCAAACTCCTGACCTCAGGTGATCGACCCACCTCGACCTTCCAAAGTGCTGGGATTACAGGCGTGAGTCACCACGCCTGGCCCAGAATGGGCAAATCTAGAGAGACAGAACGTCGCACGTTAGTGGTTGCCAGGGGCTGGGGGAGGTGAGACTGGGGAGTGACTGCCAAAAGGTACCGGTTTCTTTTAATAGAGGACAAAAGTATTCTAAAATTGACTGTGGTGGTGGTTGTACAAGTCTGAATATACTAAAAATTATTGAATTTTACATCTTTTTTTTTTTTTTTCTTTTCTTTTTTTTTTTTTTTTGAGACGGAGTCTCGCTCTGTCGCCCAGGCTGGAGTGCAGTGGCGCGATCTCGGCTCACTGCAAGCTCCGCCTCCCGGGTTCACGCCATTCTCCTGCCTCAGCCTCCCGAGTAGCTGGGACTACAGGCGCCCGCTACCACGCCCGGCTAATTTTTTGTATTTTTAGTAGAGACGGGGTTTCACCGTGTTAGCCAGGATGGTCTCGATCT
This sequence comes from Homo sapiens, assembly GCF_000001405.40. Lineage (NCBI taxonomy): Eukaryota > Metazoa > Chordata > Mammalia > Primates > Hominidae > Homo > Homo sapiens. The sequence goes on along the minus strand of NC_000023.11, from coordinate 24,274,672 downwards.
CCTGACCTCGTGATCCGCCCGCCTCGGCCTCCCAAAGTGCTGGGATTACAGGCGTGAGCCACCGCGCCCGGCCCTGAATTTTACATCTTAAGTCAGTAAATTATATGAATTATATCTCAATGAAGTTGTGATAAAATACAAAACAATCTCTCATGAGCTAGCAGAAATCAGCTTTCTACAGTTGCATCACCATATTCTGAAACTTTAAAACAAGGTCAGAATCTGGACCCATCAGCGTCCCCATCTCCAAGTGGGCATTCCATGAGGTCCTGCCCAGAAGAGCCACATGGTGTCTACTTTCGACATCTCTTAACTGTTGTTTGTCCATCCAACAAGCATTAATGTGTCAAGTGCCAGATTAAAATAAATAGCACATGGTTTCTCACCCCAGAGAACCCACAGTCAAGTGCCACGAGGTGTTACTTCTCTAAGGGTAAGGACAGAATATAGTAATAATCGCATCCTTATACTACAAGACAAATGAAGAATTTAAAGGCAACTGGGGAATATTCTTCAGCCTTAAAAGGAAATTCTGACACATGCTACAACGTGGATGAACCTTGAGGACATTCTACTAAGCCAGACACAAGAAGACAAATACTGCATGATTCTACCTATACGAGGTATCTAGAGTAAATTAATTGACACAGAAAACAAAATGGTGGCCGGGTGCAGTGGCTCATGCCTGTAATCTTAGCACTTTGGGAAGCCAAGGCGGGTGGATCCTTTGAGCCCAGAAGTTCGACAACAGAGTAAAACCCCATCTCTACAAAAATACAAAAAAATAGCTGGGTGTGGTGGTGCACACCTGTACTCCCAGCTATGCGGAAGGCTGAGGTGGGAGGATCGCCTCATCCCGGGAGGTCAAGGCTGCAGCGAGCCAAGATCATGCCACTGTACTCCAGCCTGGGTGATAGAGTAATGCCCTGTCTCAAAAAGAAAGAAAACAGAATGGTGATTGCCAGGGGCTGGATGAAAGGGGAGTTACTGTTTAATGTGTACAGAGTTTCAGTTTTCTAAGATAAAATGAGTTACGGAGGTGAATGGTGGTGATGGTAGTACATTATTATTAATGTGTTTAGTGGCACTGAACTATACACTTAAAAATGGTTAAGAATTTTTTTTTTTTTTTTTTTTTGAGACAGAGTCTCGTTCTGTCACCCAGGCTGGAGTGCAGTGGCTCAATCTCGGCTCACTGAAACCTCTGCCTCCCAAGTAGCTGAGATTACAGGCATGTGCCACCACACTCAGCTAATTTTTGTGTTTTTAGTAGAGATACGGTTTCACCATAGTGGCCAGGCTGGTCTTGAACTTCTGACCTCAGGTGATCCACCCACCTTGGCCTCCCAAAGTGCTGGGATTACAGGCATGAGCCACCGTGCCCAGCCGTGAATTTTATGTTATGTGTGTTTTACCACAATTTTTTAAGGGGAAAAAACAACTGGGATTTTGGGCATTCTCCAAGATAGCAGGGACCAGGACTTTTAATTCTTTCAATGCATACTTTCTTCAATACATGTAGTGGATTTAATTGAATCCACAAAATTTCTGAACAAAGAAAAACTGCTTTACTTCAAAAACATAAAAATGAAGCCTTCATCAAATTATTTCCCAAGAAATTGCTTTAAAATAATACCTTGATGCAAAGCTAAAGCTTTGCTTTGCTCTGCTCTAACTTTTCTGCCAACTCTAGGGTCCCAAGGTACACGTTTGAAGTTACAACAACTAACTTTCTTTTTTGCGGGGGAAGCATCTCTTTTGAGGGGGGCAATTTTTTTCTGCTTGTTTGTATTGTGGCAAAATATAAAGTAATATTTATCATTTTAACCACTTGTACGATTCAGTGGCATTAAATGCATTCACAATGTTGTGTTACCATCACCACTATCTATACTCACAACTTTTCCATCATCTCCAACAAAAACTCTGTATCCATTAAACAATAACTCCTCCAAGCCCCTGGTAAACTCTATTCTACTTTCTGTCTCTATGAATTTGTCTATCCTGGGCACCTCATATAAGTGGAATCATGCCATATTTGTTCTACTGTGTCTGGCTTATTTCACTAAGCAGAACATTTTCCAGGTTCATCCATGTTGTAGCGTGTATGAGATTTACCTTCCTTTTTAAGGCTGAATGATATTCTAGGATATGCTACATTTTATTTGCCCATTCATCGGTGGATAGACACAACAAAAGGTTGTGTCCACCTTTTGGCTATTGTGAATAATGCTGCTATGAACATTGGGGTACAAATAGCTGTTTGAGTCCCTGCTTTCAATTCTTTTGAACTGAAAATACGTAGGAGCAGAATTGCTGGGTCATATGATAGTTCTGTGTTTAATCTTTTGAGGAACTGCCGAACTGTTTCCCATAGTGGCTGCACCATTTTACAATCCCACCAACAATGCATGAGGGTTCCAATTTTTCCACATCCTTAACACTTGTTATTTTCTTTTTTTTTTTCCTTATAAATCCTAGTAGGTGAGAAGTGGCATCTCATTGTGGCTTAGGAGACAGCAATTTCTAGACCGATCCATTAAGAAGATGCTGTATATTTCGTGTGTCTTGGTTTCAACCAGGTGTTTGACATCCTTTTGGACAGGAGGGAGACATGTAATTGGATAATAGTAGATATAAGTGATTGCTTAGTTGATTAAAAAACTATTTCTGTACCAGAAGTGAGATCAAAAGTGGTATGCCCCAGGTTGACCCTCACCTATTCAACACTTTTCTTAATTAATATTTTATCAACAGTGTGGATAAAAACATAGAAGGCATGCATATGAAATCTGTAAAGCTAAGATCCTACAGGAAGAACTGTGAAAAGTAATAAGAACCTCACTGAACTGGGTGAAAGATCAAAAGAAATTGATAAAATCTACCAAAGAGAAATGGAAAGTCCCAACTGAGGTCTAAAAGATAGTGTCCCCCAAAATGTCATGTCCACCCATGTATTAGTCTGTTCTCACACTGCTGATAAAGACATACCCGAGACTGGGTAATTTATAAAGGAAAGAGGTTTAATTCACTCACAATTTAGCATGGCTGGGGAGGGCTCAGGAAAATTAATGTATTTAATGGCACTGAACTGTACACTTAAAAATGGTTAAGATGGTGAATTTTTTTTTTTTTTTTTACAATCATGGCAGAAGGTGAATCAAACATGTCCTTCTTCACATGGTGGCAGGAAGGAAAATGAGTGCCCAGTGAAAGGGGAAGCCTGTTATAAAACCATCAGACTTCATGAGAACTCACTATCATGAGAACAGGATGGGGGAACCCCCAACCCCTGCATGATTCAATTATCTCCACCTGGTCCCTCCCATGACATAGGGATTATGGGAAGTACAATTCAGGATGAGATTTGGGTGGGGACAGAGCCAAACCATATCAACCCAGAATCTCAGACCTTATTTGGAAATAGTTTTTGCAGATGAAATCAGTTAAAATGAGGTGATACTGGGTTGGGGAGGGGTGGCATTAAATCCAATATGACTGGTATTTTACAAGAAGAGGAGACACAGACACATACAGAGGGATGCTGACCATGTGAAGATGTAGGAAGACATTGGAGTGATGGAACTGAATGCTGAGGAATGCCAAGAATTGCTGGCAACCACCAGAAGCTAGAAAGAAGCAAAGAAAGAATCTTCTCTGGAGCTTTTGGCCCTGCCAGCACCTTTATTTCAAACCTCTATGTGCCTTGCCCGAAAGACTGTTTCTTTGGGTCTGTCTCCCTTCCCTTCACCTCCACTTTTCAAGAAGGAATACTTCTGGCCAGGTACAGTGGCTCATGACTGTAATCCCAGCACTTTGAGAGACTGAGGTGGGAGGATCACCTGAGCCCAGGAGTTCGAGACCAGCCTGGGCAACATGGTGAAACTCCATCTCTACCAGAAAATACAAAAAAGAAAAAAAGGAAGGAATACTTCTTTCTGAGGTGACCCTTTCCTGGCCCCTGTCAGCCCCCAAATCAGCAGGTCATTTCTTCTGTTTCTAGCTGCCCTGGGCTTAAATACTAATGTGTTATATTAACGGAAGAAAATGGAACTGAAAGAAAGTTTGCCTAATTTGTAAAATAAAAATGAGTTTCGATCCTGGTGGCTTATGTATTATTCTTGTGAGGACTGGGTTTACATCGATCATCTTTTCCACGGCAGTCGAGTGTGGAATATGGCGAAGTTAGAAATGTAATTGTGTAGACATAAAAAATTGCATCTCGATAACCATCATTGGGACACTTTTCTCAAGATGCTGTCTCGGTGTCCTTCAGAGCAATAACGATATCAATTGAGAATGTAACAGAAGCAACTTAAATGTTATGCCTCGTTTACTTCTGGTGAGCCTAGTGTGCTTCAGAGCTATTGCTCATGACATAAGGTTCTGTCAGGCTGGAAACGCTTCAAGACCATTAAAAGAAAATGCCAGCCATTCCTGCTGTTCAAATATTCTTCAACTTCTAATTTAAGGCACCCACACCTAAGAATGTAATTGTGTTATTCTCTCTGATAGCTGGAATCTATCTAAGCCAAATACCTGGGAATTATGGACTATTGGGTCTACAGGAGTCCGGAAAACAAATGAGGTGGATAAAACGTGTTATTTTGTACTGGCACGTTCAACATTTGCGCTCCCTTATCGTTTCTGTGTTAAAATGTATTCAAAGATGAAAGTGCCTGAAGGGTCTTTTCTCAGCTGAATTGAAGGAGGTTGGCGAAATGCATAAACCGCCTCAGGATCTAAACTTAGAAATCTGAAAGAGAAAGACTCACACACCTGTACTCAGAATTCTTTTCCACACTAAATTTTCTCTAGTTGATTGTCCTTTATTTATTTATTTAGAGACAGTGTCTCGCTCTTGCTGCCCAGGCTGGAGTGCAATGGCGCAATCTCGGCTCACTGCAACCTCCGCCTCCCGGGTTCAAGCGATTCTCCTGCCTCAGCCTCCCGAGTAGCTGGGATTACAGGCATGCGCCACCACACCTGGCTAATTTTGTATTTTTAGTAGAGATGGGGTTTCACCATGTTAAGCTGGTCTCGAACTCCTGACCTCATGTGATCTACCCACCTTGGCCTCCCGATTGTCCATTTTTGATTCAGAAAGTTGTCATCTCAGTAAAGTAGGTCCCCCATACCTCTCCATTCTCTCCCTGATAAACAAGTGAGACCACAGTTTGAGAAAGGCAAGTTGGATCAGAAAAGGGCAATTTTAAAAGCAAATGCTGTGAAAGGTGAAGCTTCCCCTTCACACTGGTAAATTATTTCTGTTTAATGTCTGTCTTGGGAAGGATACACTTTAGGTTCAGGGACCCCATTGGCACATCAGGGCTTTGACTGGGACACAGTGCCAATTCAAACTGTCATACAGTACAGAGAGGGGAAAAAAGCCCAAATCAGTTTCTATTCTTTAGTAGAAAGCAATACTGTAGTTTAAATTAGCAAGGCGCTGCTGAACCACTATTTAAAATGCGTTTGCACTGACATTCCAAGAAAGGATTTTTTTTCTTGTTTAATTGCACTGTCAGTGTGGAACGCTTTCACTTAAAACCATTCTGAGGTAGACCTTTTAATAGAAAGTGACAATTTAAATTGCCATGATAGCAGCGTAAATGGTGCTTAAAGTCATTACTAAACTGATGTCGCAGTTGGCTTCAGACCAGTTTGTTAAAGCTGAAGAAAAGGTGTTGGGGGAAGGGAGGAAAGTAACTAAATGGTGAATCATTAATTCCTTTTCTAGTCATTGTAATACATTAGCTGTGATGAAGTCATCTGGCTCCCGATGGATGTAATATACATTTCTATTGAATTCTACATTATTCCATTCTAACATTGCCCTGATTAGTGTCGATTACTGAGGAATTGCTTCAATCACAGGCATCTATTTCTCTGCAGTTACTTTTTCTTGTCTTCACTCTCATGGTCCAAAGATAGGATCTGTTGCTTCCATTTTCTGGTTTGCGTTCTGAAGCGCAAGTCTTGGTTTTATCCGTGGCCTTTCTTTACTCTTGCTATAAGTTAGATTCTCTTGGCAGCCCTTGGAAATGACTCTCACTAGCTTTCATGAACCGAATGGAACATATGACATGAGGTCAAGGCCACCTGAGTGGGGTCATTGGTCAAACCTGATTGGTTTAACCGAACCAATTGGTTTGCCAAACTCTTGTTTCAGCATCTGGGGGCCCAGTGGGTAGGGGCACCATAAAATGTCAGGCAGTTACTGGGTCTGTGAACCTGGAAAGGAGCTCATAGGTGGGTTAAGGTTGAATTTGGTACATTGGCAACAGTGGGAGGGATGGTGGCAGGGGTCGGGAGGGACAGACGACAGATAAGCCTGTGAGTCAGTAACCACTCAGCCACTTTCATGGTCTCCCACTGATTTGTCTTGCTTCTGAAATATACCCCCATAAAAGTAAATGAATCATGAGGTGTTTTAGGAACAATAGGTAAACTACTTTATTATATGATTACCATGTTAAAATATACTACACACTCCTTTTCATTATGTACAAATTACCTCAAAGGCCAACAATTGTAGTTGGGCTCACAGTAGGGAAACATACTTCACATTTTAAATTTAAAACGTTATATTTAGGATGGGGTTTTTGAATAGTTTCCTGAGGTCATACAATTGAAGAGCTCTGAGAACAACTCGACACCCTTCAAAATTTCCCTAAATCACACATTGCAATTTCTGAAATTTCTATCATTCAAAATCGGAGGCAGTTACGGTGATCATCGAAGGCACAACATTAGGGTCTTAATTTGGAGGTCTTGGAATAGGTTATAGAGAGACCATGAAAAACTGGCCTCTGAGTTTTATATATATATATATGCGGAGATGCATGACGCAGGAAAGAGAGCTCTTTTTTCTTAAATCAGGTTTGCAAAGGAGTTTGCAAACCAAAAATAGTTAACAAATACTAATCCAATCTGACTTTACTAAAAACTAGAAAACAGAGACCCAGAGAGGTGGTACGCGCCTATAGTCACAGCTACTCAGGAAGCTGAGGCAGGAGAATTGCTTGAACCTGGGAGGCGGAGGTTGCAGTTAGCAGAGATCGTGCCACTGCACTCCAGTGCAGTGGGTGACACAGCAAGATTCTGTCTGGAAAAAAAAAAATCCATCCCCTGACATTTCAATCCCTTTTCCTGTTTTCTTAGCATATATCACTATCTAAAATACTATATATCTTACTCATTTATTTTGTTTATTGTCTGTGTATTACTAGAATGTCACTTATTTAGGAAATTTATCCATTTAGAGATTCTAGAGGATCGGGGTATATAATGAAACTAGCAGTTACATGTTATCATATGTCTAATGTGTAGTAGGTGCTATTTTTTAAACAAACGAATGAATAAACAACTAAAGGTATGAATGCTTGGTTGCTTGACTGGATGAGTGGATGAGTAATGGTGACATGGCCCCCAAAATACCACCCACTCAAGCCTACAGAGGTTTGAATCAGGCATGAGAAAATACCGAATACCACTGTTGGACTGAGACGACTTGCTGATGAAGCATGACATGACTTATTGTGACTCTAACAGTGTGACTGAGTCACAGAATGTGACCTTTTAATGTATTTATTATTTTATTATTACTTATTTATTTTTTGAGACAGGGTGTCAGCCTGTTGCTCAGGCTGGAGTACAGTGGCACAATCATAGCTCCCTGTAGCCTCGACGTCCCGGGCTCAAGCAGTCCTTCGTCTCAGCCTCCTGAGTAGCTGAGACTACAGGTATGTGCCACCACACCTGGCTAATTTTTTATTTTTTTTAGTAGAGATGAGGTCCTGCTACGTTGCCCAGGCTGGGAATATGCCTTTTATTTATTTTTTTTTTTTTTGAGACAGTCTTGCTCTATTGCCCAGGCTGGAGTGCAATGGTGCGATCTCAGCTCACTGCAACATCCGCCTCCCGGGTTCAAGTGATTCTCCTGCCTTAGCCTCCCGAGTGGCTGGGATTACAGGCATGAGGCTAATTTTTGTATTTTTAGTAGAGATGGGGTTTCACCATGTTGGCCAGGTTGGTCTCGAATACCCGACCTCAGATGATCCACCTGCCTCGGCCTCCAAAGTGTTGGGATTACAAGCATGAGCCATCGTGCCTGGCAAAATATGCCCTTTTTAAAGGCCCATTCTGAGGCGGGTGGTTGACTTACCAAAGTCACTCTGATAGCTATTGGCCAGTCTACAGAACCTTGGTCTCTGATTCGTGGTCCAAAACTACCTTTTAAATTTTTTACAATTGTTCCTTTTGGAAAACAATAGATCTGCAATGCTGCACTTTTCTGAAAGCCACTCTCCTGGCAACCTCAACTCCATGGAATATAACTCTCCCTGGCAGAGGCAAAAGAGGCCTCAGAGCCACTGAAATTACTGTTACAACACTCATGCACGTTGGCCCATGAGAGAAGCCCCCGAGAGATCATTGAACACCCCATTCATTTACTTAACAAATATTTATCGAGCTACTTACCAATGTTTTATTTGTACATAACCCTGGCAAATTTTGTTATCCAGTTTCACTGAAAATAAGGAGTTAGATGAAAGAGGACAGCAAAAGGCAGAGCTATTGATCCAGAATTGTGAGATATTCACTCACAGCAGAGGGAGAGCAAGAACATTGCCATACAATGATGTCTCTGCACCAGGAAGCAGACCATAAAAGACTTCTCATATAGTCTGTGAATGCAGGGTTGGGCAGAGTGCGTTTTAGAAAGTTCATCATTTAAAGGATTAAAATGTATGCCATGAGACTATATATCTCTATAGATATCTATGTCTAATTATATAGAGATAGATACCTATCTCTCTATATAGAGATAGATATCTATATCTCTATATATCTTTATCTCAATGTGTTCTCTCATCGGATAAACTTGGGTTTTGGACGCTAGTATCTATCACCTTAGCCACCTTAAGATAATTCTCGAAACAGAAAAGGGGAGGAAGTGTAACATAAATAAGCTTGCGGTGTGTTTGAAAAGCTGAGTCCATTGGAGGAAACTGAGTCCTGGGATCCAGAAAACAGAGTCTCTTGTGTTTGAAGGGTCAAAGGAGAGAAACTGCCTGATGGATTGGGGCAGTAGTTAGTGGAGAAGACAATCTAAATGTCTTCAGAAAGGGTATGACCTCTGTATTGTGTTTAGGGAATATAGGATGAGCCCTCTGGTGCTGTTGAACTCCCTAGGACTGGAAAAGAGGCAATAGTTGTGAGTTTCACAAAATATGGATACCTGGGCCAACCTGGACCCAGCACTTCTAAGACATCAGGGCACTGGAAGGGACAAACTTGCGTGACTGATGGGACCAGACACAAAGAACTGTGACCTATAGGTTGTGATATGGTTTGGCTCTGTGTCCACACCCAAATCTCATGTCAAATTGTAATCCTCGTGTGTCAAGAGAGGGACCTGGTTGGAGGTGATTGGATCATGGAGGCAGATTTTCCCCATGCTGTTCTCGTGATAGTGAGTTCTCATGAGATCTGATGGTTTACAAGTGTGGTACTTCCCCCATCACTCGCTCGCTCTCCTGCTCTGCCATGGTAAGACGTGCTTGCTTCCCCTTCACCTTCTGCATGACTGTAAGTTTCCTGAGGCCTCCTAGCCATGCTTTTGTACAGCCCACAGAACTGTGAATCAATTAAACCTCTTTTCCTCATAAATTAACCAGTCTCAGGTAGTTCTTTATAGCTGTGTGAGAACAGACTAATACAGGCTGGGTGCAGTGGCTCACACGTGTAATCCCAGCACTTTGGGAGGCTGAGACAGGAGGACTGTTTGAGTCCAGGAGTTTGAGACCAGCCTGGGTAACATAGCGAGACCCCCATCTCTACAAAACAAACAAAAAACTGTGACCTATGGATGCCCATGTGCCATGAGTCGAGTACCCTTGGTTGAACAAATCACAGAGAGAGTGGGGACACACTGGCCTGGGATAGGAGCTGGGTCCAGGGAACTTGATGGTGTGTAATCTGCTTTGTTCCAAGTCTACCGAGGAGGTGGCTTTTGAGGAAAAAAAAAAAATCTGCAGAAAGTGAGGAAGTGAGTCATGCAAATAAACATCTGAGAAAAAGAAATCTAGGTAGCATGAGAAGCAAGTTCAAAGGCCTTGAGGTAGACGTGTGCTGGACACGCTGCTGGAATAGAGTGACTGATGGTTAATAGTGTCAATTTGATTGGATTGAAGGATGCAAAGTGTTGGTCCTCGGTGTGTTTGTGATGGTGTTGCCAAAGGAGATTAACATCTGAGTCAGTGGACTGGGAGAGGCAGACCCGCCCTCAATCTGGGTGGGCACCATCTAATCAGCTGCCAGTGTGGCTAGAATAAAGCAGGTGGGAGAAGATGGAAGAGCAGACTGGCTGAGTCTTCTGGCCTTCATCTTTCTCCCATGCTGGATGCTTCCTGCCCTCAAACATTGGACTCCAAGTTCTTCAGCTTTTGGACTCTTGGATTTAGTGGACTCTTAGACCACTGGTTTGCTGGGGCTCTTGGGCCTTTGGCCACAGACTGAAGGCTACACTGTCAGCTTCCCTACTTTTGAGGTTTTGGGACTCAGACTGGCTTCTTTGCTCCTCAACTTGCAGACTATCATGGGACTTTACCTTGTGATCATGTGAGTCAATACTCCCTAATAAACTCCCTTTCATAGACACATCTATCCTATTAGTTCTGTCCCTCTAGAGAACCCTGACTAATACAGTGACCAAGGGTGAGAGCAATGGAGATTTGAAGTCCAGGGTGCAGAGCATGTGGGACCTTGCAGGTCTTAAGAACAACTCGAGTGTTATTCTGAGAAAATGGAGCAGAGGGATTGAACAAAGGAATAACACTATTTGACTTAGGTTTTAACGAGATTGTTGGCAGCTGTGGTGAGAACAGAGTGCAGGTGGGCAAGGACAGAAGCAAGAAACCGTTTGGGAGGCTATTTGAATAGCCCAGGTGAGAAATGGTGGTGGCTTAGATCTTGGTAGCAGTCAGAGACAGAGGGAAAGGTCAAGGGAAATGGCTGAATTCTGTCGATCATTTGAAAATATAGCCAAGAAGATTTGCTGACAGCCTGGATATGGGTTATGGGAGAAAGGAATCGAGGATGACACTAAGGTTTTTGTCCTGAGCCAGTGCAGCTGAGGTGAGGAAGTTTGCAGGAGTAGCTTGAAGTAGAGCGGAGGGTACACATCCAAGACTCTGATTGGGACAGGCAAGTGGGGTGCCTAACACATGTCCAGATAGAGATGTCTAGTAGACAGTTGGATGTACAGCTCAGGAGGGAGACAGGTTCAGGCTTGAGATATAAACTGGGGAGTTATCGACATATAGATGGCTTTAAAGTCCTGAAACACTAAAGGAGATGACAGAGAGAGTAGATACAAAAGAGGTTTAAGGATTAAACTTAACACTTGGAAGTTGGGAAAATGAAGAGGACCCAGCAAATGGGACAAGAAAGAGTGCCCAAAAAGAGAAACCAAGGGGGACTCCATCTCAAAAAAAAAAAAAAAAAAAAGAAGCCAGGTCGGGCACGGTAGCTCACACCTGTCACTCCAGTGATTTGGGAGGCTGAGATGGGAGGATTGCTTGAGCCTAGGAGTTTGAGACCAGCCTGGGAAACATACCAAGACCCTGTCTCTACAAAAAATTTAAAAATTAGCCAGGCTAGGCCAGGCACAGTGGCTTCTGCCTGTAATCCCAGCACTTTGAGAGGCCAAGGTGGGCAGATCACCGGAGGTCAGGAGTTCAAGACCAGCCTGGCCAACAGGGTGAAACCCCGTCTCTACTAAAAATACAAAAATTAGCCAGGCGTGGTGGCAGGTGCCTGTAATCCCAGCTGCTCTGGAGGCTGAGGCAGGAGAATGGCTTGAACCTGGGAGACAGAGGTTGCAGTGAGCCGAGATCACACCATTGCACTCCAGCCTGGGTGACAGAGTGAGACTCTGTCTCAAAGAAAAAAAAAATTATCCAGGCATGGTAGTGCACACCTGTAGTCCAAGCTACTCTGGAGGCTGAGGCGGGAGGATCACTTGAGCCCAGGTCAAGGTTGCAGTGAGCTATGATAGTGCCACTGCGTTCCAGCCTGGGCAACAGAGTGAGACCCTTTCTCAAAAAGAGAGAGAGAGGAGACAGCTGGGCATGGTGATGCACACCTGGAGTCCCAGCTACTTGGGAGGCTGAGCCAGGAGTTTAAGGCTATAGTGTGCTGTGATGCTTGAGCCTGTGAATAGCCATTGTACTCCAGCCTGGGCAACATAGCGAGACCCTGTCTCTTTAAAATAATAAAAGAAGGCAAAAGAAGTGAGTAGGGTATTGTGGGAGCCAAGGAGTAAAGTATTTCAAGGGGAAAGTGATCAACATGTCAAATGCTGCCACTAAGGACTGAGAAGTGACCATTGGACTTTGCAAATGTTGGAGAGCTTTTGTGACTAGGGCAGTTGCAGTTTGGTAGAGAGATGAGGTCTGATTGGGTAGGTTCATGGGAGAATAGAAGCAGAGAAATTAGAGACAATAAACAGAAGCAACTTTTTTTTTTTTTTTTTTTTTTTTGAGATGGAGTTTCTCTCTCTCTCTCACCCAGGCTGGAGTGCAATGGCACAATCTCGGCTCACTGCAACCTCCGCCTCCTGGGTTCAAGCTATTCTCCCACCTCAGCCTCCTGAGTAGCTGAGATTACAGGCGCCTGCCACCACACCCGGCTAATTTCTGTATTGTTAGTAGAGATGGGGTTTCGCCATGTTGGTCAGGCTGGTCTCAAACTCGTGACCTCGTGATCCACCCGCCTTGGCCCCCCAAAGTGCTGGGATTACAGGCGTGAGCCACCGTGCCTGGGCTTTTTTTTTTTTTTTTTTTTTTTTAAAGGCTGGAGTATTGAGCAGAGCACATACGGGCTGGAGTGCAGTGGCACAATCATAGCTCACTGCAGCCTTGAACTCCTGGGCTCAGGCAATCCTCCCACCTCAGCCTCCCGAGCAGCTAGGACTACAGGCTCACACACCACTATACCCAGGTACATTTTTATTTTTTTTCTAGAGACAGGGTGTCACTGTGTTGCTCAGGCTGGTGGTCTCCAGCTCCTGGCCTCAAGCAATCTTCTTATCTCAGTCTCCTGAGTCACTGGGATTACAGGCATCAGCCACAGGGCCTGGCCCAGAAGCAACTCTTATTAATTAATATCAAAGAAATAGTAGCACGTGTGCTGATGGGAGTGATGCGGTAAATAGGAGAAAACTGGTGATGTGGTAGAGAGGAAAGAATTGCCACAGCCTGTTCTTGAGAGGGGATAGAATCTAGCACTCAGTGGAGAGGCTGCGGTTGGCTAGGAACATAAGTCATTCGTCTTATTGGAGAGGAAGTGGAGTATCACGGGTTCAGATGCAGGGGGAAGGGAAGCTGCTGTGCTGGGAACTTGTGCACATGCTCTTCTAATAATTTCCATTTCCTCAGTGAAGTAGGAAGCAAAGTCAAGCTCAGCTGAGAGAGTGAAAATAGAGGAGGAGAGGTTGAAAGTTTGAGGAGAGAGTTAAAATATCCAGTGCTAAATTTTGCTTGGATTTCTATGCATCGAAAGCAAGCTCTTCAGTAGTTAGAGCACAAGACATACCAAGCCCAGGAGGGAGTTAAAGCAAAGTCCGAAGTACATTGTAAGATCAGTGTTGGCAGAAGGGAGGGAAGAGAGGAGTGCCAAGGACGCCAGGATGCCCGCAGCAAGACAGGAAGTACCCCAAAGTGGACAAAGGGCATACCAGGTAGGGGGCCAGAGATACCAGTAATGGGGGCCCAAGTTAGACCCCACTGTGAGGTCTGTCAGTGCCTCCAGGAAGCGATAGATAAAGGGCATTCCCTCCATTGTGCCTGTTTACTCCCTTCAAATGGAAGATGGGATGTAGAAGGTCAAGTAGGCCAGGAAGAAACATTTGTTTGCAGGGCCCCCCACCTCCAAGTGGCTGCCCCAGCTTCCCCATTAACACAGGGTGTGCTGTGATGATTATGCCTGTGAATAGCCATTATACTCCAGCCTGGGCAACATAGCCAGACCCCATCTCTTTAAAAATAGTAAAAAAAAATGAAAGAGAGAAGGCAAAAGAGGTGAGTGGGATATTGTGGGAGCCAAGGAATAAAGTATTTCAACGGGAAAATGAAAGTATTTCAAGGGAAAAGTGGCCCAGCTCTTCCATTAACACATGGCAATGGAGTGGGTGGCAGGGGGATGCTATAAGGAAGGAGAGAAGGATGATCTTCTGCACTTTAACAAGCTCCCAGTGCGAGAAGACTGTGGTTCTCAAGTGTGATCCCCAACCAGCAGCATCAGTTTCACCTGGGAAATTGTTAGAAACGCACATTATCGGGCCCCACCCCAAACCTGCTGCTATGGTTTGAAGGCATCCCCTCCAAAATTCATGTGGAAAGGGTATCCCCATGGTGGTGGTATTAAGAGATGGGGCCTTTCAGAGGCGTTAAGCCACGAGGGCTCTGCTGTCATGAATGGATCCGTGCCATATAAAAGGGCTGCAGGGAACGGCTTAGGCTTTTTTTGCCCCTCTGCCCTCTACTATGTGAGGGTGATGCTAGGAGAAGACACCATCCATGGAGCAGGCCCTCACCGGACACTAAACCTGTCGGTGATCTTGGACTTCCTTGATCTTGGACTTCCCAGCCTCCAGAACTGTGAGGCAACATTTCTGTTCTTTATAAATAACTCAGCCTCAGGTATTTTGTTATAAATAACTGAGTCTCAGGTATTTGGTTATAGCAGCACTACGAGACTAAGACATCTAGTAACTCAGAAACTCCGAGTGCAGTGAGGCCCAACAAGCTGTGTTTTAACATGATCATTGGTATGTACACCAAAGTTTGAGAAACAGCGCTTGAAGGCAGCCTGCAGCAGTTTCTGTCTGTTCTTATCCAGTACTGCCACCTATTGGGCAAGCTCTTCAGAAGCTCTGAGGTTAATACAAACATTAGGAAAAACAAAAGGGAATTTCCTTTTTCAATATTAAATAACTTTACAAACCAAAAGCAAACCCTTTGCATTATGCAAACACTAATTTTCCATGGTCACAATGAGTGTATTTAGACTCTTCTGTTTCTTTCATAAAACATTTTGTACCTGCTTTCCATGTATTCACCTAGTAAAACATAGAGTTAGTATTTTTGTTATAATATTCCATCAGGATAAAATTACGTAGTCACAGTGACCACACATTTCAAAGTAAACTGGATGCATGGTCTGGCCAAGCATAAACAGGTGAAGACAATGTGACCTGATATTTGGAATTCATACCATCTGTGGAAATCTTAGACGTTTGTTAGATCACAAATTAGTCTGTTGTTCCACGGTTTTATATGCTTGAGCTCTTTCTGGTTTTCAGTAGTTACTATCAATAAGGTAATAAGTACCATGTTACTATAGCTGGGTAGTTGTTTCTTTGGGATTATAATCCCTAAAGTAAAATCTCTAGCCCAAAATGTATAATAACAGACAGCATTATTTTAAATAAGTTAAAAAAAAAAACTAGAAATAACCCAAAGGTGTTTGCAACAACCTTATCACAACATAGTGCCAAGGAATCTTGCCAAGGTTCCTGGCTTCCCAGCATCTTTGGAAGCTTTGTTAGTCCTGCCTCCTTGGTAGAAGCCAGAAAACTTGCTTTCTCGGCTTCCTTTGCAGACAGTTCACACACGACCCAGGGCTCATCCATCAGCCATCTCAAAATCGGACTGATTACAAAGTGAGCAATGTGAAGAAGCAGGAAACACATGGAACCTACTTTCTGGTGAGGGTGGCAACGGCATCCAGAATCCAGAGGTTCTGGAATCCAGTTCTCAGTATCACAGGTGCAAGCTGTGGGTCCACATCCAGTGGTCTTCACTGGACAGCCAGTGATGCGGTTTGAGCAGTACTCCAGGCTGAGTAACATTTAAGTCCAACACTCCGGCCCTCTCAGAGATCTGTGAACTAATTTTCTTTGTTTGTTTGTTTGAGACAGATTCTCATTCTGTTGCCCAGGCTGGAACTCAGTGGCACGAACTCGGCTCACTGCAACCTCCGCCTCCTGGGTCCAAGCGATTCTCCTGCCTCAGCCTCCCGAGTAGCTGGGACTACAGGCACCCGCAACCACGTCTGGCTAATTTTTTGTATTTTTAGTACAGATGGGGTTCCACCATGTTGGCCAGGCTGGTCTCAAACTCCTGACCTCAGGTGATCTGCCCACCTCAGCCTCCCAAAGTGCTGGGCTTACAGGTGTGAGCCACCGCGCCTAGCCCGTGAACTAATCTTCTTTAATAAACTCCCTCTTGGGCCAGGCGCAGTGGCTCATGCCTATAATCCCAGCACTTTGGGAGGCCAAGGTGGGCGGATCATCTGAGGTCAGGAATTTGAGACCAGCCTGGCCAGCATGGTGAAACCCTGTCTCTACTAAAAATACAAAAATTAGCCGGGTGTGGTAACAGGTGCCTGTAATCTCAGCTACTTGGGAGGCTGAGGCGGGAGAATCGCTTGAACCCAGGAGGCGGAGGTTGCAGTGAGCCGAGATCGTGCCACTGCACTCCAGCCTGGGTGACAAGAGCAAAACTCTGTCTCAAAAATAAATAAAAATAAACTCCCTCTCTGCCTGCATGATTGTTCTAGTACTTTTGCTACATTACAAATCAACCTAAAACTTAGTGGATTATGTAGTTTAAGTAGGGTTTCTCGATCTCAGCACAGTTGGCATTTGGGACCAGATAATTCTTTGTCCTGGAGGCTGTCCTGTGTCCCTGCAGGATGTTTAGCAGCACCCCTGGTCTCCACCCACTGGAAGCAAGTACCACCATGCACCCACCTCCAAGTTATGACAATATCTCCAGGCATTGCCACACATCCCGGGGCGGGGTGCAGCGCGGTGCAAAATCTCCCCCAGTTGAGAATTACTGGCTTAAAGCAACATTCAAGTATTGAGGACTGTATTAGCTGGGAGGGTCTGGCTTAGTGTGATTCATGCAGTTGTAGTCAAATGGTAGTTAGAGCTGGACCAGTGGGGGATTGCAGCAGCGGGGGGCTGGCTGGAAATCTTTTTCTTCTCATGTAGCCTCAAGGGCTCTTCCCATGATCTCTCTGTATGAGCTTGTTTGGGCTTTGTCATAGCATAGTGACGTCAGGTTTAACTACTTGTATGGAAGCTCTGGGCTCCAAAGGGGTGTCTCAAAAAACTAGGTAATGCCTCTTAAGACCTAGCCTCAGAAATCACATGTTACCATTTCCACCATAGTCACAAGATTCAAGGGGAGGGAACACAGATGCCACCTCTCCATAGGAAGAATGCTAAAGTTACATTATAAGGTCATGTGGAATGGGAGACATTGTTGAGAATTTCTTTAGGAAAATCTCATCT
The DNA here is from genome assembly GCF_000001405.40 of Homo sapiens. Lineage (NCBI taxonomy): Eukaryota > Metazoa > Chordata > Mammalia > Primates > Hominidae > Homo > Homo sapiens. The sequence continues at coordinate 24,257,301 of NC_000023.11, read as the reverse complement.
GTCCCAGTGATCAACGTCACTACTCATCAGGAAAATGCAAATTAAAACCATGAGATACCTCTACAAATCCCCAGAATGGCTAAAAATAAAAAGGCTCATAATACTAGGTATTGGCAAGGATGTGGAGCAACTGGAACTTTCATACATTGCTGATGGGAATATAAATTGGTACAACCACTGTGGAAACATTATTTAACTGTATCTACTAAAGCTAAATACATGCCTGGTCTATGGCCCAACAATCTCTTTCCTAGGTTTGCACCTAAGAGAAATAAATGCATATGTATACCAAAAGACATGAATGAGAATGTTCCTAGAAGTTTTATTCAGCATAACTAAAAACTGGAAAAGAACCAAATGTCTGTCAATAGGAGAAGGAATATGTGATCTATTCATCCAATAGAACATTACACTGCAATACAAAAGGACAACTTATATACACAACAAGGGTGAATCTCCTAACTATATGTTCAGCAAAGGAAGTCAGACACATACGTATGGTGTAATTCCATGTATATAATGTTCAAAAACAGGAAAACTAATCGATGATGATAGAAATCAGAGGAAATGGTTACTTGTAGTGGGAAGAGGGGATTCATACTGGGAAGAGGCACAAAGAACTTCTGGAAGGCTGAGGAGGATCATCTATATTTTGATCCAGGTGGTGATTACACAAGTGTATACACATGTAAAAGTTAAGGTGTATAATGTATTAACTCTCTTTGAGTACTTTATTCCATTCCTCAGTAAAAAGTAGAAATAGGCCGGGCGCAGTGGCTCGTGCCTGTAATCCCAGCACTTTGGGAGGCCGAGGCAGGCGGATCACCTGAGGTCGGGAGTTCAAGACCAGCCTGACCAACATGGAGAAAGCCCATCTCTACTAAAAATACAAAAATTAGCTGGGTGTGGTGGCACATGCCTGTAATCCCAGCTACTCGGGAGGCTGAGGCAGAAGAATCGCTTGAACCTGGGAGGCGGAGGTTGCAGTGAGCCAAAATCGTGCCACTACACTCCAGCCTGGGCAACAAAAGCGAAACTCTGTCTAAAAAAAAAAAAAAAAAAGTAGAAATAAAATTCCTTTGCTGTTTAAAAGTAGTTAGTAGATTCTATCAGTTAAACTAAGACCTTCACCCTTCACGTCAGGAGGATGGTGACCCTTGCTGCTAGGAGGTCCGGGCTCACACTGCAGCCACAGTGTTCCTATGAGGCCTGCCCCTCTGCCAGTTAGGCCCTCTAGATAACCATTTCCACTAGGGATGCACCCAGGAGAATTTTCCTAGGGGAGAGAAGTACACAATCAAGCATTGTAACCATAAAATATTAAAAGCTTAGCAACCAAAAAATGTATCAGTGAATAGCAGATTATACACAGCTGAAAGATAAACCAGGAAGCTGAAGGCTATATTGAGAAATTTTCCCAGAACAGAGCACAGAGATAAAGAGATGAAAAGAATGAAGAAAATTGTAAAGACACATGGAGAAAAGATTCAGTAGTTACAAATTCCTCTAAAAGAATTTCCAGAAGGAGATAATTGAAGCAATATTCAAAAAATAATAGTCAACAAATTCCTGGAACTGCACCAAAACACAAGTCCTTAGATTGAGAGAGACCTCTCTGAATGCTAATCAGGATTTAAAAAAAAAAAAAAAAACATAGACACTGTGGTAAATTTTCAGAACAAGAAGGATGAAGAGCTACCTAAAAGTTACCAGAAGAACAAAAAGACCCCCCAAAAATGAGAACAAGATTAACATGAGATATCCCATCAGCAAAATGGATGCAAATATATTGATCATTGCTGAAGTCAAGGGAGGGATATCTGGGGTCTCATTGTGTTATTCCTTCTACTTTTCTGTAAGATTAAAATTGTTCAGAGTAAAAAGATTTTTTTTGTTTTTTTGGTTTTTTTTATGGATGCAAGAAGATAATAGAGTAATAGTTGCTAAGTGCTGAGGGAGAATATCTTTGGTTTTTGTTGTTTGTTTGTTGGGTTTTTTTTTTGTTTGTTTGTCTGTTTTTGAGATGGAGTTTCGCTCTTGTTGCCCGGACTGGAGTGCAATGGCGCGATCTTGGCTCACTGCAAGCTCCGCCTCCCGGGTTCAAGTGATTCTCCTGCCTCAGTCTCCTGAGTAGCTGGGATTACAGGCACCCGCCACCACACCCAGCTAATTTTTTGTATTTTTAGTAGAGACAGAGTTTCACCGTGTTGGCCAGGCTGGTCTGGAACTCCTGACCTCAGGTGATCCACCTGCCTCAGCCTCCCAAAGGGCACACTCTGCCAGGGAAAATATCTTTGAACTTCAAATTCTATATCTATTAATATTGTCCTTCGAGAATGAGGGCAAAATAAAAACATCCTCAGATTACAAGGACTCAGACATTTGATCATAACAGATGCTCCAAGAGCACTTCAGTAAGAGAAAAATGAAACCAGGCTGGGCACAGTGGCTCACGCCTGTAATTCCTACACTTTAGGAGGCCAAAGCGGGAGGATCGCTTGATCTCAGGAGTTCAAGACCAGCTTGGGCAACATAGTGAGATCCCATTTCTACAAAAAATACAAAAATAAACAGTCAGGAGTGGTGGCACATGCCTGTGATCCCAGCTACTCAGGAGGCTGAGGTGGGAGGATCACTTGAGCCCAAGAGGTTGAGGCTACAATGAGCTGAGATCACACCACTGCACTCCAGTCTGGGTGACAGAGTGAGACTCTTTCTCAAAAAAAAAATAAATTAATTAAAAAATGAAACCAATGAGAAGTGCGAGACTTCCAAACTGGCTGTTCTTTTTCAATATCGTTTTGATTATTCTGAGCCCCTTACATTCCATATGAATTTGAGGATCACCTTTTTTCATATCTGCAAAAAGACCATTAAAATGTAATATGAAATGTATTAAATCTTTTTAAAATTGTGGATATTATTGCCATCTTAACAATATTAAATTTTCCAGTTCATAAATAAAAAAAAAGAAACCAAAAGAAACGGTAGGATGCCAGAAGCAATAGACAACAAAGAAATTAATAAGATACGTGGTAGGTCTAAATTATTGCTTATAAAATTCATAGTCTTTAATACCAAATTGTAACTAAAATTCAAGATATATCAACATGGAAGAGATAGGAGAGGGAGGAAGGGAATTCAACCCTTTTTTTTTTTTTTTTTGAGATGGAGTCTCACTCTGTCGCCCAGGCTGGAGTGCAGTGGCGTGATCTCAGCTCACTGCAGCCTCCGCCTACTGGGTTCAAGCGATCCTTTCACCTCAGCCTCCTGAGTAGCTGGGATTACAGGCACATGCTACCATGCCCAGCTAATTTTTGTATTTTTAGTAGAGACGTGGTTTTGCCATGTTGCCCTGGCTGGTCTCGCACTCCTGGCCTCAAGTGATCCACCTGCCTTGGCCTCCCAAAGTGCTGGGATTATAGGTGTGAGCCACCACACCCAGCTGGAAATAAAAGCTTTCTAAAGGTCTGATTTTGTTCAGGTTGGTTATACTAGAACTAACTGACCCTTAAACTAGTGCTCCTCAAACTTTAATATGTATGCAAATCATCTGCAGAATTTTGTTAAAGAGCAGTTTCTGATTCAGCAAGTCCAGGTGGACCTGAGATTTTGCATTTGAAACGAACCCACAGACCACACATTGAGTAGCAAGACTTTAGACAAAACAGTGGTTCTGTACTGTGTTGATTCAGGGGGAACATATGCTAAGCTTTCTTCACTGTGTTTCAAAAATGTAAGAAATGATGGTGTGTTTCAGAAAATACTCAAGGACATGATTTTTAAAATTCATGGACTGGAAACTTAGTGGAAACCCATAGCAATAAGTGGGAGCTTAACGCATTGGCCCATAGCACCCAGGACCTGACACAAATAGCGAAGTCTGGAATTTCAACTCCAAGGAATAAGGAACCACTGCACACCTATTCACAGGAAAACTGATGCACTGAGCTCATGCTCAACCAGCTATGTCTGAAAAATTCTTACCTAGCTGCTGGAGAGTGCAACTAGAAACAAAGTTCTTGCCTGTGATAGAGTGGAAAAGCAGAGATATTTACACAGCAGGCACCAGGAATACATTTCATGCAAGCTCCCGGTTTGGAATTGTGATATACTCACAGGGCAAGAGCCCAGAGCCACTGAACTTTGTTCTCAGGACACTGGGCTGAAGCAATCATAAAACCATTTTCCAGGGAGAGTGGGAAAGAAAAAAAGCCTCCGTGTAAGATGAGCACTCAAAAAAAAATTACAAAGGCTACAATGAAACCCAACATATAAGAAGATTCACATAAAAGAAAATAGAAGTAATAGAGCAATCTGGAAAGGATTTAAAAATGAGTGCAGTTAAAGTCAACAAACAGGCCGGGCACGGTGGCTCACGCCTGTAATCCCAGCACTTTGGGAAGCCAAGGCAGGCAGATCACCTGAGGTCGGGAGTTTGAGACCAGCCTGACCAACACGGAGAAACCCCATCTCTATTTAAAAAATACAAAATTAGCCGCGCGTGGTGGCGCCTGCCTGCAATCCCAGCTACTCGGGAGGCTGAGGCAGGAGAATGGCTTGAACCTGAGAGGCAGAGGTTGCGGTGAGCCGAGATCATGCCACTGCACTCCAGCCTGGGCAACAAGAGCAAAACTCCGTCTCAAAAATAAAAAAAAAATTAATTAAAAAAAAAAAGCAGATGGTTATGAATCAAGAATAGATGAAACTCAGCCAGGTGCGATGGCTCACGCCTATAATCCCAGCACTTTGGGAGGCTGAGGTGTGCGGATCACTTGAGGCCAGGAGTTCGAGACCAGCCTGGCAAACATGTTAAAACCCCATCTCTACTAAAAATTTAAAAAAAAAAAAAAAAAAAAAAAGCTGGGCATGGTGGCACACACCTGTAGTCCCAGCTACTTGGGAGGCTGAGGCAGGAGAATTGCTTGAACCCAGGAGGCAGAGGTTGCAGTAATCCGAGATTGCAGCACTGCACTCCAGCCTGGGCGACAGAGCAAGACTCTGTCTCAAAAAAAAAATAAAAATAGATGAAACTCTTGGAAACCTTTTTAAAGCCACTGAACTAATTTTTAGATGGTATATCAGTCAGGGTCCAGTTAGGAAAAGAAAAATCTCTCTAGATATTTTCAACAGAGGCATCTTTATAGAAGGAATTTATTACACAGGTGACAGAGGAACTTAGAAGCCAAGAGGGGATGGTGAGACATCCCAGAGATTCAAAACAGGAAAAGAAAAGAAGAAAAGCTGCTACCTCCCCTATGGCTAAAGGGACAGCAGAAGGAGGGTGTATTACCAGAATTAAGCATTTAGAGCTATCTGATTGGGGCTAGAACCACAGCAGGATCTGAGACCATGGAAGGTGCAGCTATCTGGCAGGAGATGGAGACACAGTCTCTTCCAGAGACATTGCTTAAAGCCGAGACAGAGGGAGAGAAATACCCTAGTTTCACTCTTATCTCTCCCTCAAGTCATCTGCCAATACTTCCCACAGGCCAAACTTACACAAAAAAGACCATGGGGTATATAGTTCCCTGCAACACAGCACAGGGTAGAGGAGGATGGGGAATGAATCTGGGGACAAAGTAACAAGTGCCCAGCATAATGAGATAAACAAGAGAATGGACACAAAGAGTGAGTTTGTGATTTAGAAGGCTGAGCTGAGGAAGTCATCCAGAGTCAGTGATAAAGAGATGAAAAATATGAAAAAGTAGTTCAGAGCTAGGGGGATAGATTGAAAAGCACCAAAACATATTTAATATAAGTTCCAGAGAGAGACAGAAACTAGAATCAGGAGGTAGCAATATTTAAGGTGATGATGTCTGAGAATTTTCCAGAACCAAAGAAAGACAGCGTCCCTAGATTTAAAAAGCTATTTCTGGGAAAGATGGGCTGTACTATTTATACCAACCATCCCATTGAAAACAAATATGTGATATAACATTTTATTTTTTAATTTTTTTTTCTTTTCATGCTGTTTTAAGGACTTTATAAAATTGTAAATCTTTTTTTTTTCTTTTAAGAGATGGGAGTCTCACTATGTTGCCTAAGCTGGTCTCGAACTCCGTGGCCTCAAGCAATCCTCCTGCCTCAGGCTCCTGAGTAGGCAGGAATACAGATGCGCACCACTGCACTTGGCTTAAAATTTTAAATCTTAAGAACATTAAAAAGCTAATGAAAAAGTAAGTAAATTCCAGGCTAAGCTCCAAGAAAAAAGCAGAAGCCTATAGAAAGATAATTTTAAAGCACAAAACCATGCTTACCCCAAGGTGGTATGCTAATAAGAAACACTTGTGCTTCAATTTTAGTGGATTAATGAGACAATTTGGACATAAAACAATGCCAGGGCCTGCCCAAGGTAGAGAAAATAACAGGAGGCCTTTTACAGGCTAAGCTGGGATTGCACTGGCTTAGCGATATTTGGAGCAGGAAGAAAAGGAAAAGGAAAAAAATCTTGTGCCCATGAAGCTGGCTTTTGCGTGAATTTGCAGCACAAGTTCAGTGTCTGGGTAGTTCAGAGAAATTACAATTGTATCCTCATCTAAAATGGTCCCAGATGAGGAGTAATCCAAGAAGAAAAAGTAAATGCAAAATCTTTTTGAGAAAAGCAGCTTCATCTTGGGCTTCAGTGAATCTCCAGAATAATTTTTCAAGTACAGCAACCAGTATAAAGTAAAAAATATTGGCTTACACCTGTACATGCTTTGGGAAGCTGAAGCAGGAGGCTCCCTTGAGCCCCAGGAGTTGGAGACCAGCTTGGACGACATAACAAGACCTCGTCTCTACAAAACACAAAATTAGCCAGGCAGGTGGTGGTGCATAACTGTGGTCCCAGATACTCGGGAGACTGAGGCAGGAGGATTGCTTGAGCCCAGGAGTTGGAGGCTACCATGAGCTACGATCATGCCACCACACTCCAGCCTGGGTAACAGAGCAAGACCCTGTCTCTATTAAAAAAAAAAAAATTAATAATAAACAGGAGAACAAGGCACCAGGAGTGGGAGCCAGTTGAAACAACTGACTACAGAAACAGACATACCAAAACTTCAGAGAGAGACTAATTTTTTTTTTTTTTTTTAAGATGGAGTCTCACTCTCTTGCCCGGGCTGGAGTGCAGTGGCACAGTCTTGGCTCACTGTAATCTCCGTCTCCCGGGTTCCAGCGATTCTCCCACCTCAGCCTCCAGAGTAGCTGGGATTACAGGCGTGTGCCAACACGCCCCACTGATTTTTGTATTTTTAGTAGAGACGGGGCTTCACCATGTTGGCCAGGCTGGTCTTGAACTCCTGACCTCAGGTGATCCATCTGCCTCGGCCTCCCAAAGTGTGGGATTACAGGCATGAGCCACCGTGCCCGGCCGAGACCAATTTTTTAAATGCTTACTTTATTTAAAGAATAAAAGACATGATTTAAAATATCTGCAAGAAGAAACAACTCTAAACAGTGATCCTTCTTGGTTTCTAATACCATATTCTCCAGTGAAAGGAACCAGGGGCTTGGCGTGGTGGCTCATGCTTGTAATCCCAGCACTTTGGGAGCCCGGGGCAGGCGGATCACAAGGTCAAGAGGTTGAGACCATCCTGGCCAACATGGTGAAACCCTGTCTCTACTAAAAATACAAAAATTAGCTGGGCGTGGTAGCATGCACCTGTAGTCTCAGCTACTCGGGAGGCTGAGGCGGGAGAATCACTTGAACTGGGGAGGCAGAGGTTGCAGTGAGCCAAGATTGCACCACAGCACTCCAGCCTGGGTGACAAAGCAAGACTCCATCTCAAAAAAAAAAAAAAAAAAGGGAACCCAGGGTTCCTTGGAGAAATTGTTGATTCTAGGACTGGGGCGGGGAAAATACAAAATGAGCCTGGAGCATCTTGAAGGGCCAGAGATAATGAAGTGCTCAAACAACAAAATGATGGGGCTGTGTCAAAGGGACACAGGAAGCACCTGAGGGGAGCTAGCAATGGCCAAAGCTGGAACAATTTGGACAGGGGAAATAAAATGAAGAATGTAGTACTGAATTATAATCTGAAGCATACAAGAAATATCCGGCGGGGTGCAGTGGCTCATGTCTGTAATCCCAGCACTTTGGGAGGCCAAGGTGGGCAGATCACCTGAGATTAGGAGTTCAAGACCAGCCTGACCAACATGGTGAAACCCCATCTCTACTAAAAATATAAAAAATAGCCGGGTGTGGTGGCGCATGCCTGTAATCTCAGCTATCCGGGAGGCTGAGGCAGGAGAATCGCTTGAATTGGGGAGGTGGAGGTTGCAGTGAGCTGAGATGGTGCCACTGCACTCTAGCCTGGGTGACAGAGACTCTGTCAAAAAAAAAAAAAAATCCATGACTCAACAGTAATATAAACAATTGAAAAAATTAATAAATGAAATGAGGCAGAATGGACAGTCTCCTATATGGAAGAATTCTACATGATTTATGTAGCTACGCACTCCCCAGGGAGGTAAAACTTAACTCCCCACACCTTAAGTACAGGCTGTGCTTAGAGTTTTACTTCCAATGAAGACAGTATTAAAAGACTGGGGTGGAAAATAACAGCAGAGAAACCTCACGAGCACCATCTTGGCCAGGTGATCAAGGTTAATGTAATCTGTGACAAGTCACATTGATAGCATGTGTCCTTGATGGTGATGTGATGAGGGCCCATCACCTCTGCAGCCTCCTTCCTAAAAACCTGTAACCTTAGTCTAACCATGAGAAAAATATCAGACAAGCTTAATTTGAGGAATAGTCTGCAAAATACATGACCAGCGCTCCTCAAAACGGTCAAGGTCACCAAAAACAGGTGAAGTGTAAGGAACCGTCGCAGTCCAGAGGAGGCTAAGAAGATGTGATGACTATACATAACATATCTGGGAGGGATCCTGGAACGCAGAAAAGACGTTGCGGGAAGCTAATGAAATATGAATAAAGTCAGGAATTTAATAATATCAGTATTGGCTTATTAGTTGCAACAAATGTACCATAATGTAAGATGTTAACAATAGGCAAGACTGAAGGCAGGGTATATGGGAACTCTCTGTACTATCTTTGCAGCTTGAACTTTCTGTACTATCTTTGCAACTTTTCTGTCAGTCCGAAACTGTTGTCTTTGGGAGGCCAAGGTTGGTGGATCACTTGAGGTCAGGACTTTGAGACCAGCCTGGCCAACATGGTGAAATCCCCATCTCTACTGAAAATACAGAAATTAGCTGGGTATAGGAGCACATGCCTGTAATCTCAGCTTCTTGGGAAGCTGAGGCAGGAGAATTGCTTGAACCCTGGAGGCAGAGGTTGCAGTGAGCCAAGATCATCCCACTGCACTCCAGCCTGGGCAACAGAGCGAGACTCCATCTCAAAAATAAAATAAACTACTCTAAAATCAAGTTTACTTTGTTAAAAAAAAGATGACCCCAAAACTTGGAAAAACAAACATACTTTTGTATAAAAAGATGACCCCAAATACTTGGAAAAACAAAATAGACCTTCTAGAAATAAAAAAACACTCAGTAAGCAAAATTGAAAATTCAGTGGATAGGTTTAACAGTAAATAACATAGAGATGAAGAAAGAATAGCCAGTTGGAAGATGGTTCAGAAAACATTATCCAGAATTTAGCATACAGACAAAAACAAAATACAAAGAGAAGCTAACATGGGAAATAATGTGAGAAGTCTAACATACATGTAGTTGGAGTTCCAGAAGGAAAAGAGAGAGCAAGAATTAGGTAGAGGCATATTTGCAAGTGACGGAAGCTGAGATAAAAGACATTGATCCGTATATTCCAGAAGCCCAATGCATCACAAATAGGACTTTCTAAAATCCATACCTAACACATCGCATCAAAACTGAAGAAAAAGTCTTCAAAAATAAAAATTTAAAAATAGTCATGAAAGATATATTACCTACAAAGAAGAAACAGTGGACTTTTTGACAAAAATAAAACATAATTTCAATGAGCACAAAGAAAAATAACAATAACAATCTATACTTAGTGAAAATGTCCTTCAAGAATAAAGGAGAAGGCCGGGCGTGTTGGCTCACACCTGTAATCCCAGCACTTCAGGAGGCCAAGGTGGGTGGATTACCTGAGGTCAGGAGTTCAAGACCAGCCTGGCCAACATGGTGAAACCCCGCCTCTACTAAAAATAGAAAAATTAGCTGGGTGTGGTGGTACCCGCCTGTAATCCCAGCTACTCGAGAGGGTGAGAAAAAATGAGAAAAAGAAGAAAACTAGACAACAGAAGTAGAACCACAGAGATTCAGATGAGGTTATTAGATTTCAATTTAAAAATTACTGTGGTTAATATGTCCAAAGACTTAAAATATTTAGGCCGGGCACGGTGGCTCACGCCTGTAATCCCAGTACTTTGGGAGGCCGAGGCAGGTGGATCACTTGAGGTCAGGAGTTTGAGACCAGCCTGGCCAACATGGTGAAACCTCCCCTCTATTAAAAACACACAAATTAGCCAGGCGTGGTGGTGCACGCATGTAGTCCCAGCTACTCGGGAGGCTGAGGCAGGAGAATCACTTAAGCCCGGGAGGCAGCGGTTGCAATGAGCTGATATCACGCCACTGCACTTCAGCCTAGGCAACAGAGGGAGACTCTATCTCAAAAAAAAAAAAAAAAAAAAAAAAAAAAAAAAAAAAAAAAAAAAAGATTTTAAGTTTGGCAAAAAATTAGAAACTAGGAAAAGAAGAACCAAATGAAAATTGAAAACAAAAAAAAATACGGTAACAGAAATTGACTTGATCAATGGGTTTAACAGTATATTATGCACAGCTAACAAAATAATTGATGAACTGGAAGATAGATGGGGAGAAAAAAATCCATGACAAAGTACAGAAGGAAAAAAAGAAGAAAACAGGGTAAGAAACATAGGTTACAATGACTAGATCTAACAAAAGGGTAATTGGAGTTCCAGCAGGAAAGAAGAGATAAGTTGGAACAAAGGCAATATTTTGGAGATAACAGCTCACAATTTTCTAAAACAAATGAAACATATGAGCCATATATTTAAGTATCAATATTAATCTAAAGCAGGATAAATACAAATAAAACCACAGCTAGGTACATCATAGTCAAATTGCTAAAAACGAAGAAACAAAATCTTAAGACACAGACACACACACACACACACAAAGGCAATTGCCTTCAAAGGAGCAATAGGACAGCTAGCTTCCCAACAGAACAAGTTTGAAGAAACTAAAATGAGATCTTCAAAATGTTGAGAGAAAATAACTGCCTATCCCAAATTATATATTAATTGGAAATAACCTTCAAAATTGAAGGTGAAATAAAAATATTTTCAGACAAAAGGCTGACAAACTTCCTTAAAGGAAATACTAAAAGGTATCCTTCAGGCAGGAAGAAGTTGATCCCAGATGAAAGTTTGTATTTGCAGGAAGGAATGAAGAGCAACTGAAATTGTAAATATGTGGGCCATTCTAAATTAATACTGACTATAAAATACAATGAAAATAATGTCTTGGGAGGCTTAATATACACAGCTATAATGGCATATAGGTCAGGAGAGGGTATAAATGAAGTGTTCTAGAGTCCTTGCATTGTCTGGGAAGTAGGCAAAAATGCCAGTTAACATTAGACTTCAACAAATCTAAAATGCATGTTGCAATCTTACAACTACAGCCCATCAGTTTTACTCCTGGGTACGTGCCCAAGAAAAATGTGTGAGCATGTGCACCAAAAGAGAAGTGTAAGAATGTTCCTAGCAGCAGTATTCGAGATAGCCCCAGATGTCGATAGAGAAAAATAAATTGTAGTAGATTCATCCAATGGAACAAAACAGAATCAGGGAGTTCCAGAAAGTCTCCATGGTTTGACAGTCTTTCCCAGCACTGCCTCTGGAATGAATAGACTTGCTTCACTCCGTTTAGGATTAAAGGATTAAAAGTTCCGGAGGAGTGAGTCACCCTCACATACTTTCGGCAACATGCTGGCACCTTGGCTCTGTTGAAGAGATTAGAGGAAGAATCTGGAAGATGTTGCCTTCAGGGGCCTCTTCATTTCTGTAGTGAGAGTTCTGCTAGATCCTCGATTTATCATTCCACCAAGATGGTGCACACCTAGGGAACTGGCCAGAGGTGATCATGCGTGCTGTCAGGAAGGATGAATGGATGTGGGTGGTACCGCCTTCCCCCACGGAATAGTCCATCCCTTTGGACATAGCTTCCCATAGATAAACTTTCCAAAATTCTGTTGCCTAAAATAATGTGATTTTTTCCTCTTACAACGGAAAGTGGACTCACATTTCCCAAAGAGAGACACACCAAAGTCTCTTCCATTTCTGCACCTACCTCCAAGATAAAGATCTTTGGATCAGACCTCTGCCTCTTCTAATTTCATCACAATTCTGTAACCTATGGTCTAAATAGCAAGTTTATCCACATTGAGGAAAAAGGAGCCAAAGAGATGAGAAATTGTTTATGAACATATATATTTGGCAAGGAAGAAAATTCGAGGATCAGCAACAGTCTTTGTGTTTGCAAGTAGCTATGAGGCTCCTGTCCTCTCTCATGCAATCCAAATTCCTCTTCCCTTGCTGGTGTGAGGTGATCCAAGCTTTACTTCCTGAGGGTCCATGCCCTTGTTAGTCCTGCCTGTTTGGGTATTCAGTGGTATTCCATTAACTGTTACCTAGGGACGCCCCCTGAGTTCCAGCCATCCTCTGTCCTACCCCCATGGTGCAACAGCAACCTATTTTGATTTTGCACTGATTGGAGGCCATCAGTCCAGCCAATGTCCTAACCCTGTTGTCATTGCCTTCACACAGTGGGTGTGAGCAAGCACTTTGTGGACTGCATAACCCCAGTGGCTCTCTTTAGATTGGTGACCTTGCTGAAAGCAGTGGCTCCTCCTCACCCCAGAGGGAGAGGCTGTCTGTGATCTCAGTTTCTCACAGTCTCCTCCAGTGCCATCAGCAATGGCAGCTCATGTTCTCAGAACTGGTATGCAACTCCCCCAAGTAGTTGGCACCAAGGCTCAAATCCAATCCCCACCCCCACACCCCCACACAGACACACACAACTCCTCTCATAGGAGCCCTGTAAAAAGGGAGAGGACCTGCCAATTAATATATGAAAAGATTGTCAGCCTCACTAATAACCAGGGGAATGCAAACTAAAACAACAAGAAATCATTTTCACCTGCCAGATTGGAAAATATGACATTTTGGCAAAGATTGGGGCAAACAGGCAATTTCATTACTGCAGGAAGTATAAATTGGCACGGTCATTTTGGTGAGCAATTTGGGAGTGTGTCTAAGTCTTTAAAATGTTCACATGATTTCCCCTCCCCTCCCCAACATTTCCTGTCTTAGGTGTCTTCCCTAGAAAAGGACACTCTGACATGGACAAGCAGGCGGTGTTCACTGTAGCATCGTGTGGAAAAAATGAAAATCTAGAAACAACCTATAAGTCATCAGTGGGAAAATAAGTTTTCATTTTTTTATAGCTAAGAATTAACTAGATCCACATGTAGCAACAGGGATTTCAAAACTGAATGAGATGGTTGAGTGGAAAAAAGTGAGTAATGAAAAAAGTGAATGATATGGAAGGAGAGTATCATTGTTGCAAAAACAAACACATGTGTTTATGTAATTTTTTTTTTTTAGGTCTGGAAAGATTTACTCCAAACTCATAACTGAGGGTGGGGACAGGTGGGGAGGAGAGGGACCTAGATTGAGTTACTGTCAAAGAGGACTCTATTTATAACGTACTTATTTTCATAAGGAGAGTGTATTCATGTTATACTCTTGCAACAGAAAATTAATGATTAAAAAAAAAAATACATGTTCCTCTGGAAAGTGTACCTAACCTTCGAACACTCATTCACATGGTATATGATCAAGATTTACCTTTTGTGACATCTTTGCAGGACTACAGACTGAGTGGCCCCAGAAGCGTCCAAAAGTTTTCCCCTGGGAACACAAGGTCTAACAGGCTAAACGAGCAAGCACAGTAGAAAGTTTTTACTGAGGCTTATGAAGCCAAATTCAAACAGGAAACTTCTAAAGCTTTTGAAAATCCATCAGAATTAGTTTGGGCCCCTGAATTAGTTACCTACTGCTGCATAACAAATTATCCTAAAACGTAATGGCTCAAAACGACACATTTCTTTTCTCACAGTTTCTATGCTGCAGGAATCAGGGTCTCTCCCAGGGCTGCAATCAGAATGTTCACCGGGGCTACTGGCTCATCTAAAGGTTTCACAAGGGAAGGATCTGTTTGCAAATTCACTCACGTGGTTGTTGGCCAGATTCCGTTTCTCACAAGCTGTTGGACTAAGGGCCTTGGTTCCCCTGAGGGCGTCAGTTTCTTGCTGGTTGTTGGCCAGAAGCTGTTCTCAGTTCCTGGCCATGTGAACCTCTGCATGGGGTGGTTGACAGCATGGTAGCTGGCTTCCTCAGAACAAGCACGCAAGAGGCATCAGAGACAGTTTGCAATCAAGACAGAAGCCACAGTCTTGGCCAGGCGTGGTAGCTCATGCCTGTAATCCCAGCACTTTGGAAAGCCGAGGTGGGCGGATCACTTGAGGACCAGAGTTTGAGACCAGCCTGGCCAACATGGCAAAACCCTGTCTTCACAAAAAAATACAAAAATGAGCTGGGAGTGGTGGCATGTGCCTATAGTCCCAGCTATTAGGGAGGATGGCTTGAGCCCGGGAGGTTGAGGCTGCAGTGAGCTGTGACCATGCCACTGCACTCCAGACTCAGCGACAGAGCACGACCATGTCTCAAAAAAAAAAAAAAAAAAAAAAAGGTCACGGTGTTTTGTAACCTAATCTCAGATGGGACATCCCATCATTTTTGTCCTATTCTGTTCATTAGAAGCAAGTCACTAGTGTAGCCCACACTCAGGGGATCCAGGTCAGAAGCTGCCTGTCATAGCCTCATGGGAATTCTGTGTTCCGTTCCAGCTGTGTTAACATGGGGCTAGTGGGAGTGGGATAGGGGGAAGGGAAGGGAGGGAATACTCGCTTCCAAAAGAGTCCTGAAAGAGAATTTCTGATGTTGTCAGAGAAAATATTAGTATATCCAGTAGGTGGCACCCATCACTGTGAACAAGGGTCCCCAGCCCCTTGAGAATAGCACCTAACACAACAAACTCTGGTAATAAAGATTTAAGCAGCCAATCAAATATTCTTGTTAATAGGGAATTTTTGCGTATTATGCAATTGTTCTTTAAAAAATTATGATTAATTTCCGTTCTGTTACCATTCTAAGTGATTTAGATGATTTTCAAATTTTCTTGCAGATTTTGACACGTATGGTGGCAAATTATAACGACATGTAAGGTTTTTGCACGCAAGCCAGGATGTTTTACTAAGAGAACAGTCATTCTACACTAAGGGTCCCTTAAGTTAGCATCACAACTGATAAATTCAACATGTGATCATTTGTGCCTAACAAAATATACTTCAAAAAAACGTGGCTGCGCCATTCACAATGTACCAATTCATAACTTTTAAACCTTTCTTCATATGGCTAAAATATCTAGGTTGTTATTAAAGATAATCTAGCAGTGCTTTTCTACCTATTGTATGTGACTTATTCGTGGATCAAAATAACTTGGTGGATTTTGATAAGTAAATTTATATCACAATATTTCTTGGTAAATGGTAAAATGTACATATCCTAAAATATATCATTGTAATCACTTTAAGTGTACAATTCTGTGGCATTATGTATATTTAAAATGTTGTTTAGATCAGATGCGGTGGCTCACGCCTGTAATCCCAGCACTTTGGGAGGCCAAGGCGGGTGGATCACCTGAGGTCAGGAGTTCAAGACCAGCCTGGCCAACATGGTGAAACCCTGTCTCTACAAAAATTAGCCAGGCACAATGGAGGGTGCCTGTAATCCCAGCTACTCAGGAGTCTGAGGTGGGAGAATCGCTTGAACCCTGGAGGCAGAGGTTGCAGTGAGCCGAGATAGCGCCACTGCACTCCAGCCTGGGCAACAGAGTAAGACTTCATCTCAAAAAAAAAAAAAAAAAAAAGTTGTTTAAATATCACCACTATCTATTTCTAGAGCTTTTTCATCATCCCAAGCAAAAACTGTAGCATAGGCAATAGTTTCCCATTCTTTCTCTCCCCAGCCCCTGGTAACCTCTATCCTTCTGCCTCTATGAATTTGCCTATTCCAGATGTTTCATATAAGTGGATAATATATTATTTGTCCTTTTACATCTGGTATGTTTCATTTAACACAACATTTTCAAGGTTCATTCATGTTGTAACATGTATCAGAACTTTAGTTCCTGTTTTCAATTCTTTGGGGTATATACCTCAGATTGGAAGTATTGGATCATATGGTAATTTTTTTTTTTTTTTTTTTTGAGACAGTCTTCACTCTGTTGCCTAGGCTGGAGTGCAGTGGCATGATCTCGGCTCACTGCAATCTCCACCTCCTGGGTTCAAGCGATTCTCCTGCCTCAGCCTCCCAAGTAGCTGGGACTACAGGTATGCACCGCCACGCTCGGCTGATTTTTGTATTTTTAGTAGAGACGCAGTTTCACCATGTTGGCCAGGCTGGTCTCGAACTCCTGACCTCAAATGATCTGCCCACCTTGGCCTCCCAAAGTGCTGGGATTACAGGTGTGAGCCAGGCCGGATCATATGGTAATTCTATGTTTAACTTTTTAAAAACCACCATACTGTTTTCCACAGCAGCTGCAACGTTTTACATTCCTACCAGCAATATACAAGGGTTCCAATTTCTCTGTATCCCCATAACACTTGTTATTTCCATTTTTTTATAATAACCATCCTGGTGGGTATGAAGTAACATCTCATTGTGGTTTTAATTTGCATTTACCTAATGACTAATGACGTTGAGCATCTTTTCATGTGCTTTTGGTCCATGTCTAAGTCTTCTTTGGAGAAATGTCTATTTAAGTCTTTTGCCCATTTAAAAATTGGGTCGTTTGCTTGTACTTGAGTTGTAGGAGTTCTTTATATTTTTTGGATATTAAACCCTCATCATATGTATGATTTTCAAAACTTTCCCCCATCTTTTCACTTTCTTGATAATGTCCCCTGAAACATGCAAGCTTTTAATTTAGATGAAGTTCAATTTATCTATTTTTTCTTTTGTTTCTTGTGCTTTTAGTGCCATATTTAGATAAATGAATGTCTTCATGAAATACAATAGAAAAATCACAATGTGGCCAGGCACAGTGTCTCATGCTTGTAATCCCAGCACTTAGGCCAAGGCGGGTGGGTCACTTGAGCTCAAGAGTTCGAGACCAGCCTGGGCAACATGGGGAAACCTTGTCTCTACAAAAAAAATATAAAAATTAGCCAGGCATGATGGTGTACACCTGTAATTCCAGCTACTCAGGAGGCTGAGGTGGCTGAGGTAGGAGGATCATTTGTGCCTGGGAGGCGGAGGCTGCAGTGAGCTATAATTATCCAACTGCACTCCAGCCTGGGCGACAGAGGAGACCCTGACTCAGAAAAAATCAGACTGGGCGCGGTGGCTCATGACTGTAATCCCTAATCCCAGCACTTTGGGAGGCCGAGGCAGGTGGATCACCTGAGGTCAGGAGTTCAAGACCAGCTTGGCCAACATGGTGAAACCGTCTCTATTAAAAATAAAAAAAATGAGCCTGGTGTAGTGGCAGGTGCCTATAGTCCCCAGCTACTCGGGAGGCTGAGGCAAGAGAGTCGCTTGAACCCGGGAGGCAGAGGCTGTAGTGAGCCGAGACTGTACCACTGCACTCCAGCCTGGGCAACAGAGTGGGACTCTATCTCAAAAAAAAAAAAAAAAAAAATTCACGATGCCTTACACATAGGGTAAACATTGTTTAATGAAACTCTTGTCTCAGTTACCTGTATCATGAATGAACATCTATGTAAAATGTATTTCTTCTTACAGGTCACAGTGAACATTTTTTGAAATTCATCAACGTGGAGTAATTCCCTGTCACATACTTAAATATTCTCCTTCTTCCTTCTACTTAAACACAGAAGCCTGTCACGGTGGGGAGCTTGCGCCCTTCCAAGGCAGCCTCCTGGCATTTAGATACAAATTTCAAATGGATCACATGCACCTAAATCCCTTCCAAATGACTGAAATCACAGGAAAAAAATTTTTTAATTATTTATGTATAATACCACTAGAAAGCCAAACACTATAAACCAAAAGATTTGAGGAACTCTTGAAGGAAAAACAGAAGGTGAGAACAAACCCAAGAGGAAACTGAGGAAGGAGACTGGAAAAATTGGGGAGCAATAGATGGAGTGTGCAGGGGTCATGGGACAATCTTCCAGGTGGTTAATTTGAAGACTACATGTGGAATATTCTCTCTCTTTCTCTCCCTCTTTCTCTCCCTTTCCCTACCCTCCCACCTCCGCCCCCGCTCAGCCCCCTCTTCGCCCCCTCTCCTCTCTCCCATTTTCTCTAAGGGCTTGTGCTTACTCTTTGCCTAAAACTGCCCCCGGGGCCACCATTCCCCAAGTGACAAAGGCAGCCCCACTCCACTCAACCCCATAATCCTCAAAACAAGCTTCTCCATCAGAGCCAGCATCCGTAGCCGCAAAAGCAGAAGATCTCACACAGCAAAAGGAGCACACAGACAAAAACCACAGGACACCTGAAGAAATCCATTGCCACGAAAGACAGGCACCAAGCTCAACCAACACAAGGAACAGCTTATGGAGAGATAGTTTTGTGTGTTTTTTTTCTTTCCACTCCACCTCAAGGAGCCTGCCACATCCCAAGTTAGGGGTGATAAGAGGGCTTTTTAAAAACGTAACTGATCACACCTGTAATCCCAGCATTTTGGGAGGCCAAGATGGGAGGATTACTTGAGGCCAGGGGTTTGAAACAGCCTGGGCTTAATATAGTGAGACCCCATCTCAAAAAAAAAAAACTAATTAAATGTTGAGAAGGAGACACGAACTCTTTCAGCATAATTAAGTTCAAAATATACACCAACAGGAAGTTCTCCTTCACAGAAATGTCTGATTGCTTTATAACTATTTCACCCACAAGTCACGGCATCACGATGAACTCTTCCACTGTCGACTTCCACCTTCAGGACCCTAAAGGTTTCTCCCCCTCACCTCTATCCAAGAGGGAAAGTGGATGGGCTACAATGTAACTGACAGTCCATGACAGAAGAGGAGACAGGAAGATGAAAGAGGATAACAGATAAAAAGACTAAGGAATATGGGGAAAGGGACAAAGATGGGAAGGAAATGGTTCAAGGAGGTCACTCTCTACTGACTGAAGGACCGGACACAGGTACATAAGATGAGTTGAATGGATAAGGGCCAACCTTCCAAGATCTTTAGACTCCATATGGCACAGAAGATGAAGGAAATAACCAACTTCGTATGTTTCCTTGGCTGAGGGTGTGGGCATGCTACACGTTTTACCTCTCTAATCACCCAGAATACTTTGCTTTTTCCCAAGTAGAAGACAAAGACAGGAAAAGGTCATGCAGGGGATAGTTCTTGACTGTCCTGTCCCTTCTCCAGCAAAGCAAGGGGCATAGGGCCTGGGTTATATTTGGAGTGCTGTAAACCATCTTTGGGGTTTAAGGTCTGATATTCAGATGGACTTCAGATTAAAAGTTGCATGCTGGCTGGGTGTCGTGGCTCACACCTGTAATCCCAACACTTTGAGAGGCTGAGGCAGGAGGATCACTTGAGCCCAGGAGTTCGAGACCAGCCTGGGAAACATGGTGAAACTCCACCTCTGTAAGCAAAATAATAAAAAATTAGCCGGGCATGGTGGTGCACACCTGTAGTCCCAGCTACTTGGGAGGCTGAGGCAGGCAGATTGCTTGAACCCAGGAGGTCAAGGCTGTGGTTAGCCGTGATCTCACCACTGCACTCTAGCCTGGGCGAAACAGTGAGACCCTGCCTTATTTTAACAAAAAAAAAAAAAAAAAACCTTTCATGCTAAACCTGAACCAGAAAACATTTTCACCATGTTTCACCAACAATGATGTCAAAAAATAGGAGCTGCCCAGCTCCAAGCCATGATAATTCTGACATTAACCCCAGATAGCCCAAGAGAGAGACATTGTGAAGTCTGGTATCAGAGTGGTACATCTGGTGAGAATATGCTGTTTGAATTGTATATACCAGAGAGAAAACCAAACATACGTGATATTATGTAAGTCTACCAAATCGAGAAAATCCATTGTCTTTTTAACACCTAATCTCAGTTGGGCGCGGTGGCTCACGCCTGTAATCCCAGCACTTTGGGAGGCCGAGGTGGGCGGATCATGAGGGCAGGAGATTGAGACCATCCTGGCTAACACGGTGAAACCCCGTCTCTACTAAAAATACAAAAAATTAGCCGGGCATGGTGGTGGGCGCCTGTAGTCCCAGCTACTCGGGAGGCTGAGGCAGGAGAATGGCGTGAACCCGGGAGGTGGAGCTTGCAGTGAGCCGAGATCGCACCACTGCACTCCAGCCTGGGCGACAGAGCGAGACTCTGTCTCAAAAAATAAATAAAAGTAAAACCTAATCTCCACCAATGACCAAATTTTTTATTTTTATTGTTTTTTTTGATGGAGTCTCACTCTGTCACTAAGGCTGGAGTGCAGTGGTGAGATCTCAGCTCACTGCAACCTCTGCCTCCTGTGTTCAAGCGATTCTCCTTCCTCAGCCTCCCAAGTAGCTGGGATTATAGGCTTGTGCCACCATGACCAGCTAATTTATTTTTTGTATTTTTAGTATAGACGGGGTTTCACCATGTTGGTCAGGCTAGTCTCAAACTCCTGACCTCAAGGTGATTCGCCCTCCTCGGCCTCCCAAAGTGCTGAGATTACAGGTGTGAGCCACACCACACCCGGTCTTATTCTTATTTATTTATTTTTATTTATTTATTTTTTTTGAGACGGAGTCTCGCTCTGTCGCCCAGGCTGGAGTGCAGTGGCACGATCTCGGCTCACTGCAAGCTCCGCCTCCCGGGTTCACACCATTCTCCTGCCTCAGCCTCCTGAGTAGCTGGGACTACAGGTGCCCGCCACCATGCCCAGCTAATTTTTTGTATTTTTAGTAGAGACGGGGTTTCACCGTGTTAGCCAGGATGATCTCGATCTCCTGACCTCGTGATCTGCCCACCTCGGCCTCCCAAAGTGCTGGGATTACAGGCTTGAGCCACTGCGCCTTGCCCCTTATTTTTATTTTTTTGAGTCATAGTATCTTTCTGTCACCCAGGCTGGAGTACAGCCGCATGATCCAGGCTCACTGCAGCCTTGACTTTCTGGGGTCAAGTGATCCTCCCACCTCAGCCTCCCAATTAGGTGGACCACAGGTGTGTACCACCACACCTGGCTAATTTTTGTATTTTTAGTAGAGATAGGGTTTCACTATGTTGCCCAGGCTGGTCTCAAAATCCTGATCTCAAGTGATCCGTCTGCCTTGGCCTCCCAAAGTGCTGGGATTACAGTTGTGAGCCACCCTTGCAAGATGGCCAGTTTCTTAAGAAATTGAAGTTGCTTCTGGATGGGGACAGGGGATCCATGACCAATATGCCTGCACTCACTCAGGGTCCTATTGGGCTCCACCAATGCTATCAGCTCCCTGGGACTTAGTAGCCTCTGTGAGGCTTGTGACAACATAGGCTTACCAGAAACAAATTAGTAAGAAGTACCTCTTAAGGTACCAGATCAGAAGGCTTGATCTGTGATTAGAGGTGCCAATGAAATAGTAAACAGGTGGAAGCCCCAAGAAGTGAACATCAATTAAGTGACTCCAGTGTGAGAGTTGTTCATGAACCTTAGGTCACCAAAATTGGTTTTGGTTTTGGTTTTGGTTTTTGAGGGCTGCTTTATACCCCTAGAGAGAATAGCAGAATGGACAACTACTGAAATTCACAGGCCCAATTTATCAGCACAGGTTGGTGAGAAAGGAGAAAGGGCACCTCTGTTTCTTCAGATTGGAACAACAATCACAGCAGGCATCTACTGGGGAAGAAGCCAGCAAGGCTAGAAGGGCCAGAGGCGCCAGGAGCAGCAGCTCTCAACCTCGGCTGCACAGAGTCATCTGGGGAGCTTTTTATACTGATGCCTGCCCTCCTCCCAAGAGATTCACCTTCAATTGGCCTGGCCTGAGTCCTGCAAAGAGGAACTTTGAAAGGATCCCAGGTGAGTCTAGCATGTAGCTAGAGCTAAGAACCTCTGATGTAGATGAAGGGCCTGTAATCCTAATTTATACTCAAGATGTATTCAGTTATCATGGACTTCATCATAATCTTCAGAATTCTCATAGTTGGTGTAGCTGATCTGAGGGAGAGGAAAAGGTTACCATATCTGTTCTCCAAAAGCAAGTTTACATGATGTATTAGTCTGTTTTCCCCTGCTGATAAAGACATACCCGAGACTGGGTAATTTATAAAGAAAAAGAGGTTTAATGGACTCACAGTTCCACAATCATGGCAGAAGGTGAAAGGCACATCTTACATGGCAGCAGACGAGAGAAATGAGAGCCAAGCAAAAGGGGTTTCCCCTTACAAAACCATCAGATCTCATAAGACTTATTCACTACCATGAGAACAGTATGGGGGAAACTGCCCCCGTGATTCAATTATCTCCAATTATGTCCCTCCGACAACACGTGGGAATTATGGGAGCTACAAATCAAGATGAGATTTGGGTGGGGACACAGCCAAACCATATCACATGATAAAGCTCAGATGGAGGATTCTGGTGGAGATCTGTGTGAGAGAAGTGATTCCAAATACAAGATGTACCCAGGATGAGCAAGATGCCAGTGCTTTGCATGAGCAAAGTCTGAAACCTGAATAGGGCCCCCCTCCCAAAAGTTCAGTTACAAGACTGTACCCACTAGTTTGCTTTCAGCTGAACAGAATGAGTTAGAAGTGGGGTAGCACAGGTCGGATGCGGTAGCTCACACCTGTAATCCCAGCACTTTGGGAGGCCGAGGCGGGCAGATCATGAGATAAGAATTTGAGACCAGCCTGACCAACATGGTGAAACCCTGCCTCTACTAAAAATACAAAAGTTAGCCAGGTGTGGTGGTGCGTGCCTGTAATCCCAGCTACTCAGGATGCTGAGGCAGAAGAATTGCTTGAATCCAGGAGGCAGAGGTTGCAGTAAGCTGAGATCATGCCACTGCACTCCAGCCTGGGCAACAGAGCAAGACTCCATCTCAAAAAAAAAAAAAAACTGGGTAGCACTGAGTTTTTGGCTACTCATAACCCTGGCATTTTGGAAACCCAGACACATGCAAAATGAAAGCTAAAGGGCTAGCTCCAAACATTGGGAGGCTCTGTGTGTCCTGGGTTTGCTTCAAGCCGCAAAGAAAGAAGGTCATGCAGCAGCAGTCTACAAACACAAAGATAACCGCTTGGTGAGCATATCCTCCTTTTCATATTATGTAGGGCAGAAACTGTGGCGTGTCTGCCACTCCCTGGCTCTGAAGTTTGTGAGAAGGAATCATGATTGAGTCAAGCTCGACCTGGCAGGACCTCCAGGATTTCAAAAAATAAGTAATTAAATTCACCCCAAAAGGAAAAGGATAAAGATTGAACTGGAAGAAAAGTTGTCTCTGGGTGCTACCATAAAATACCAGGATTCTGTTTAGAGAGACTTTCAAATACTTCCTTGGGAAAAGCCTAACAGGGACAAAAATTCACAATCTTCCCTCACTATCTTCATTTTCTAAGGGAGGAAAATTCTTCATGTTACAGCTCCTAGGTTTCCTTTGTTGTAGAGAACCCACAAGGAGAAATTAAAAAAAAAAAAGGAAATAAGGCCAGGCACGGTGGCTCATGCCTGTAGTCTCAGCACTTTGGTTGGGAGGCTGAGGCAGGCAGATCACTTGAGCCCAGGAGTTCGAGACCAGACTAGGCAACATGGCAAAAAAAGCCGGGCGTGGTGGTGCACGTCTGTATTCCCAGTGACCTGGGAGGCTGAGATGGGAGGATCGCTTGAGCCCAGGAGGCAGAGGTTGCAGTGAGCCATGATCATGCCACTACACTCCAGCCTTGGTGACAGACCCTGTCTCAAAAAAACTAGATAAGATGTTTAAGATCTATTTGAAGGTATCAGAGATTCCAAGTTGGAAAAAGATGGGCAAAAGGGAAAAAATAGAAGCTGTATGGACTAGATATTAGAGGGGACTTGGGTAGGGCTGAAAAGTGCTAGTTGGAGAGATTTTCAGAGCTCTATTGCCAGAGGTGTAGGGTATATTTGGGGAGAAGAAATATTTAAGATGTTAGGCATTAAAAATACATTTCCTCTTTGGCTCTTCTCAAGAAACAAAATGCTGCAAATTACTTGTCATGAATTTTAGCTGCTGACCTAGATTTCTTTGGATGGATGCCTTGCAATAAATGGATTACATATGGTCTTGATTTACATTAAAATTATTAGGGGTATATATGGAAAACAGAAGATGACTTAAAATCCATTATAATTAATATCTGGAGAAAGATTAAAGAGGTGATCACATTCATAAAACAAGAACTGGCTGTGAAGAAACAAACCAGTGAAAGATTAGAAAATTAAAAATTGAATATCAAAAAACTCTAGCTGGAGAAAAAATTTTTCTGAGTGATTTTTAAAAACACAGTGCAGGCTGGGCACGGTGGCTCACACCTGTAATTGCAGAACTTTGGGAGGCCGAGATGGGTGGATCACCTGAAGTTTTGGAGTTCAAGACCAACCTGACCAACATAGTGAAACCCCATCTTTACTAAATATACAAAATTAGCCAGGCATGGTGGTACATGCCTGTAATCCCAGCTACTTGGGAGGCTGAGGCAGGAGAATCACTTGAACCTGGGAGGCGGAGGTTGCAGTGAGCCAAGATCACGCCATTGCACTCCACCCTGGGCAATAAGAGCAAAACTCCATCTCAAAAAAAAAAAGTGCAAAAGGGGAACAAAAGAGACAAAGACAAAAATGTCCAAGAAAAGTTAGAAAACAAAGATCCAGATGTATCAACATTGATCTGATGAAAGTTCCAGAGAAGCTAAAGAAAAGAGAGGGGAGAAAATCATTTTTGAAATGAGATGAAAATTCCCCAGAGGTGAAAACAAGACACCAGTTTTCATATTTAAAGAGTCGCTCAAATGCAAGGAAGATCAGTTTTTAAAAATATATCTGGGTCTATCATGGGGAAATATCAGGACACCAAGAATAAAGAATAAAATTCATAAAGTTACCAAAGAGAAAAGACATACTGCTTCAAAATAAAATGGAATGAGATTATGCTTAGAATTCTCATCAGTACCTCTAAATGTAATAAGAAAGGCACTAATATAGCTGCAACTGTCAAGAGTGAGAACAGAAGAAAGACGTATTGAGACATGCATGGACTTAATATTTATCTTCTTAAACCCTTTTCAGGAATTTAGAGGATGTGTTCCAGCATGTGACTATGTAAGCCTAGAAAGAGAAAGATATAATGTTAAAGAAATAGTAAATATAACTAGGAAAATAATAAGTAATTCAAGGATAGCAGCTGCACAAATCAACCTGGAGAGAAATCAAGCCAGTTGGAACAGGGGAAGGAGGATCCCAGAGAAAAATTTTTGTGAATAAAATCCAGCCAACTAAATCCTGAATCAAAATAAACAGCTCAAAAACAGCACTGCAATGGTGAAAAGGCTGGTGGTGAACAGTGTAACCATATACATTTAGAACTACCACTAAACAACTCTGTAAATTATGACCATAGAATAGAATGCCAATTCCAAACACTTTGATGAAGTAAAATAACCAACAACAAAAAATGAAAGGTAGGTTTTCTGTTTCAGGCAGAAGTAGACTAACTTTTTGCATACCAACTCTCTCACTAAGCACAATCAGAAAAACTAGACAAGATGTTTAAGATCTATTTGAAGGTATCAGAACTAGTACAATGAGGACGTGAGAGCAAAGATAGATGAGAAACATACAAAGATGAGACCAACATTCAGTGCTGCTTTTCCATCGAGTCATCTACTGATTTAAAACACACACACACACACACACACACACAGCTGAAAGGCTGAAAAGCTGAGCAGAAAGTGATGACTCATATATACGGAGGAGCTGTGCAGTGCTTCCAACAGTCTCAAAGGGATAGGGAGGAAATTAGACTTTAGAGTCCACCAAGGAAGAGACCCTCATAAACACTCCATGCTTTCAGCTGGAATATCTGAAAGGCCAAATATTTAGAAAACTGGTGAATCAGAAGTGAATAAGCCCTCAAAAAGACTTATTCCCAGATTCAAATCAGCTCAATCCCTGAGTAGATTAAGGAGAACTGGCCCACTTTCAACTGACAGCCAGAAGCTAAAATAAAACTATAAGAAAATAACACCGTAGGCAGGGCGTGGTGGCTCACACCTGTAATCCCAGCACTTTGGGAGGCCAAGACAGGCAGATCATCTGAGGTCAGGAGTTCGAGACCAGCCTGGCCAACATGGTGAAACCCCATCTCTACTAAAAATAACAACAACAACAACAAAAAAAATTAGCCGGGCATGGTGGCATGTGCCTGTAGTCCCAGCTACTGATGAGGCTGAGGCAGGAGATAATCTGATAATTGCTTGAACCTGGGAGGCAGAGGTTGCAGTGAGCAGAGATCACACCACTGAACTCCAACCTAGGCGACAGAGCAACACTGTCTCAAAAACAAAGAAAAAACACTGTACAGGGAATCAAATTATGTCTATAATTTTTCATGTGCAATACCAAACATTCAATGAAAAACTATTAGGATGATTCTGGCCAAGATCGACTAAAAAGATTACCTTTATCCTCCCATCCAAAACAACCAAAAAGATGGTGGGGGGGGGATGAAACAATAGGTTACAAGACACTGAACATTAAAGCAACAAATAACAGTCATGGAGAGAGCTTGGAAACAAGGTAAACCCTAAAATTGCCCTGCATTACTGCCTTGAAAGAGTTTCCAGGTCACGGTGCGGGGAAGGAGAACCCTGCATAACCTAACAAACAGCCTGAGTTGAGGAGACAAACTGAGAATCTGGGGTGACAAAGCAGCTAGAATCTGCAGGAATGAGTACCAGAGAGGAGGAAACTGCAAAGACAGAGAAAACTCCAGATATCTGCAGAGGGTTCCCCTTGAGTATTCAACAGAGTACTAATCAGTCCAAGCATGTTTGGAAACTACCCAAGGCCAGGGAATGAACCAGCTGAAGAGATTAGAGGGAATGGTGCTGAGAATTTACACAGGGCCAAGTGGAAACGGACTGTTTCCACTAACGAGACTGGAAAACCTCAAAATGCACAGGGAATTTGGTAGAGTACGCAGAAGAGTCTTGGGTCAGTTGTGGGAATAATTAATCCTAAAGGATTCTGGTCCTGCCTAACAGATTTTAAAAGCAAGACCTGAAAGGATCAAACTGTTTCCAAGTAATTTAACTGTGTCCCAGAATAAAGCTCAAGAATGTTTATGGGAATAAAAATTATCAAACATTCAGCAAGGTAAAATTCATAACGTCTGGTATCCAATCCAAAATTATTAGGCACAGGTCAGGCACGCGCCTGTGGCTCATGCCTGTAATCCCAACACTTTGAGAGGCTGGGGTGGGAGGCTCGCTTGAGCCCAGGAGTTCGAGAACCAGCCTGGGCAACATAGTGAGACCTCATCTCTACCAAAAATTTTAAAAATTAGCCAGGTGTGATGGCACATGTATGTGGTCTCAGCTACTCAGGAGGCTGAGATGGGATCGCTTGTGCCTGGGAGGTCAAGACTGCAATGAGTCACGATCACGCCACTGCACTCCAGCCTGGGTGACAGAGCAAAACCTTGTCTCAAAAAAAAAAAAAAAATTACTATGCACGGAAAGAAGGAAGATACAACCCAAAATAGGGGGGTGGGTGGGGAATAAATCAATCAAAACCAACCCCTAAATGAACGGATGTTAGAATTAGTAGACAGGAACATTAAGAGTTATAACAGTATTTCATATGTTCAAAAAGTTAAGACATGGAAGATTTATTTTAAAGACCCAAATCAAACTTCAAGAGATGAGAATTACAATGTCCAAGATGAAATATACTGGCTAGAATTAATAACAGATTAATAATAGCCAAAACTTTTGCAAGATACAAACTAGAAGAAAACATTTGCAAATCATATACCCAACAAAGGATTTGTATCCAGATAATAAACTCATAACAGTAAAAAAAAAAAAAGCCTATTGAAAAGTGAGCAAAATGTATTAAACCAAAAATGATATGTGATAAGTGAGCATATGAAAAGATGCCCAACATTATTAGTCATTAGGGAAATGCACATTAAAATGGCTAAAAAAGGCCAGGTGTGGTGGCTCATGCCTGTAATCCCAGCACTTTGGGAGGTCAAGGCAGGTGGATCATCTGAGCTCAGGAGTTCGAGACCAGCCTGGGCAATATGGCGAAACCTGTCTCTAAAAAAAATACCAAAAAATTAGCCAAGCATGGTGGTGCGTGCCTGTAGACCCAGCTACTCGGGAGGCTGAGGCAGGGAGGATCACTTGAACCCAGGAGGCAGAGACCATCGTGAGCTGGATGCCACTGCACTCCAGCCTGGGCAACAGAGTGAGACCCTCTTTCAAAAAAAAAAAAAAGGCTAAAAAAGAAAAGAAAACTGACAATACCAAGTGCTGACAAGGATGCAGAACCACTGGAACTCTCATATATTTCTGATTAGAATACATATGGTACAGCTACTCTAGGAAATATTTTGACAGTTTCTTAAAAAGTTGAATATATACTTACCACACTACCCAGCCATCCCACTTCCATGTATTTACCCTGCATAAATGAAAACTTATGTGCACAAAAACCTTTACGTAAATGTTTATAGCAGCTCAAACCATAATTGTGAAAAAAAAGGAAACCCAAATGCCTTTCTTTTTTTTACTTTTTTAAAAAAATGTTTTAATTTTTCATTTTTGTGGGTACACAGTAGATGTATATATTTGTGGGGTACGTGAGATGTCTTGATACAGGCATGCAATGTGAAATAAGCACATCACGGAGAATGGGGCATCCATCCCCTCAAGACTTTATCCTTTAAGTTACAAACAACCCAATTACACTCTTTTAATTATTTTAAAATGTTCATTAAGTTATTGTTGACTACAGTCACCCTGTTGTGCAGTCAAATAGTATGTCTTATTCATTCTTTCTAACTATCTATTTTTTGTACCTATTAACCATCCCCACCTTCCTCCCAATCCCCCCACTTCCCATTCCCAGCCTCTGGTAACCATCCTTCTATTCTCTATGTCCATGAGTTCAATTGTTTTGATTTTTAGATCTTACAAATAACATGCAATGTTTGTCTTTCTGTGCCTGGATTATTTCACTTAACATTATGATCTCCAGTTCCACCCATGTTGCTGCAAATGATAGGAATTCATTCTTTTTTATGGCTGAATAGTACTCCATTGTGTATATGTACTACATTTTCTTTACCCATTCACCTGTTGATGGACACTTAGGTTACTTCCAAATCTTAGCTGTTCTGAACAGTGCTGCAACAAACGTGGGAGTGCAGATATATCTTTGATGTACGGATTTCCTTTCTTTTGGGTATATACCCAGCAGTGGGATTGCTGGATCATATGGTAGAGATCCATTGCTGGATCTCTATTTTTGGTCTTTTGAGGAACTTCCAAACTGTTCTCCATAGTGGTTGTACTAATTTATGTTCCCACCAACAGTGTATGAGGGTTCCCTTTTCTCCATGTCCTCACCCGCATGTGTTATTGCCTGTCTTTTGAATATAAGCTTTTTTTTTTTTTTTTTTTGAGATGGAGTTTCACTCTTGTTGCCCAGGCTGGAGTGCAATGGCACGATCTCGGCTCATCACAACCTCCGCCTCTGGGGTTCAAGTGATTCTCCTGCCTCAGCCTCCTGAGTAGCGGGGACTACAGGCGCCTGCCACTAAGCCCGGCTAATTTTGTATTTTTAGTAGAGACTGGGTTTCTCCATGTTGGTCAGGCTGGTCTCAAACTTCCGACCTCAGGTGATCCGCCCACCTCAGCATCCCAAAGTGCTGGGATTACAGGCGTGAGCCACCGCGCCCGGCCGAATATAAGCCATTTTAACTGAGGTGAGGTAATATCTCATTGTAGTTTTTATTTGCATTTCTCTGATGATCAGTGATATTGAGCACCTTTTCAGATGCCTGTCTGCCATTTGTATGTCGTCTTTTGAGAAATGTCTATTCAAATCTTCTGCCCATTTTTTGATAGGATTATTAGACTTTTTCCTATATAGTTGTTTGAGCTCCTTATATATTCTGGCTATTAATCCCTTGTCACATGGGTAGTTTGCAAATATTTTCTCCCATTCTGTGGGTTGTCTCTTCACTTTGCTGATTGTTTCCTTTGCTGTGCAGAAGCTTTTTATGTGACCAAATGCCTTTCAATGGGTGAATGAATAAACAATTGTGGTATAGCGTTATAATGGACTACTACTGAACAATAAGAAGGAACAGACCATTGATACATGCAA
Source organism: Homo sapiens (assembly GCF_000001405.40). Classification (NCBI taxonomy): domain Eukaryota; kingdom Metazoa; phylum Chordata; class Mammalia; order Primates; family Hominidae; genus Homo; species Homo sapiens. The sequence continues at coordinate 24,226,842 of NC_000023.11, read as the reverse complement.
CTACATAGATGAATCTTAATGACACTATGCTGAATGAAAGACACCCTCAAAGATGTATGATTTCATTGATATGACATTCTGGGAAAGGGAAAACTATAGTGATGAAGAACAGATGACTGTTTGCCAGGGCTTAGAGGTGGGATGAGGGTGTAATTACTAAGACACAGCCTAAGGGAGATTTGGGGGATGATGGAATTCCGTATCCAGTTTGTGGTAGAGGCTATATAAATCTATGCATGTGTTAAAACTCATAGAACTTTACACCAAAACAAGCATCAATTTTACTATGTGTTATCTTCTAAATACAGACCTGAACACCAAATAGGTCAATTTTACTCTTTATTATTTAAAAGTAAAATGGAAACACAATGAGATATCACAACGTACACCCTAAAATGGCTAAAATGTTTAAAAGACTGATCATAACAAGTGCTGGCGAGGATGTAGAGCAACTGCAACTCTTAACACTGCTGGTGGAATTGTAAAATGGTACAACTATGTAGGAAAGTTTGGCTATGTCTAAAATATTAAATATATACCTACCACACAAACTAGTCATTCCACCTACCCCAAAGAATTGAAAACATATGTCCACACAAATATATAAATGTTCATGGCAGTTTTATATGTAATAGCCCCAAACTGTGAACAATCCAAATGGCTATCAAGAGGTGAATGGGCAGATTGTGCTGTATCCATACAATGGAATAATACTCAGCAATTAAAAGGAATAAACTATTGATATATGCAGCAATAGAGATGAATCTCAAAATAATGGTTCTGAGTGCAGGAAACAAGACTAAGAAGGGAAAAAAAAGGAGTAGCAGAGTTAAGAGATGATATGTAGCCCATAATGAAATTACTGAACTAGAAGGCAGGTTAAAAGAAACTATCCAGAATGAAGCATGGAGAGACCTAAAACATGGAAAATATGTTTTGAAAAGTGCAAGAGACATACAGGATACAATGTGAAGGCCTAACAAATATTTCTCCCTTTTTTTCTTTTTTTGAGACAGGGTCTCACTCTGTCGCCCATGCTGGGGTGCAGTGGTGCAGTGGTGCAGTCACGGCTTACTGCAGCCTTGATTTCCCAGGCTCAAGTGATCCTTCCACCCTCATACACTGCTGATGGGAATGTAAAATCATGCAACTGTTTTGGAAAATAGTCTGGTAATTGCTAAAAATGTTAAAAGTCAAGGTACTATATGAGTCAGCAACTTCACCTCTAGGTTCATGGCCAAGAGAAGTGAAAACATGTACACACAAAAACTTGTACACAAATACTTACAGCAGCATTATTCATAATAGCCAAAAGGTGGGACAACTCAAATGTCCATCAACTGATGGAAGAATGGATAAACAAAATGTGGTATATCCATACAATGGAATATTATTTGGCCATTAAAAAGAAACAAAGTACTGAGACATGCTACAACATGGATGACACTTGAAAACATTGTGCTAAGTGAAAAAAGCCAGTCAAAAACAGCATATATTTTATGATTCCATTTATATGAAGTGACCAGCATAGCAAACCTATAGAGACTAAAGGTAAACTAGTGGATGTCAGAGGCTAGGAGGATGGGGGGAGTGGGAAGTGACTGCTTATGGGTATGAAATTTCTTTTTTATTATTATTATTTTTTATTTGGAGACGGTGTTTTGCTCTTCTCACCCAGGCTGGAGTGCAATGGTGTGATCTCAGCTTACTGCAACTTCCACCTCCCAGGTTCAAGCGATTCTCCTGCCTCAGCCTCCTGAGTAGCTGGGATTACAGATGCCCACCACCATACCTGGCTAATTTGTTGTATTTTTAGTAGAGAGGGGTTTTGCCATGTTGGGAAGGCTGGTCTCGAACTCCTGACCTCAGGTGATCTGCCCGCCTCAGCATCCCAAAGTGCTGGGATTACAGGCGTGAGCCACCGCAACCGGCACTGGGTATGAAATTTCTTTTGAGAGTGATGACATATTCTAAACTTAGATCATGTTGATGGTTGGACAATTCTGTGAATATACTAAAATTTGAATTGTATACCTTAAATGGTTGGATTTTACGGTGCGTGAATTATATCCCAGTAAAGATTGTTTTAAAAAGCCATGATGGGGCCAGGTGCACTAGCTCATGCCTGTAATCCCAGCACTTTGGGAGGCTGAGGCGGGTAGATCACTTAAGGCCAGGAGTTCGAGACCAGCCTGGCCAACATGATAAAACCCTGTCTCTACTAAAAACACAAAAATTAGCTGGGGGTGGCGGTGCGTGCCTGTAGTCCCAGCTACTCGGGAGGCTGAGGAAGGAGAATCACTTGAACCCGGGAAGTGGAGGTTGCAGTGAGCTGAGATTACACCACTGCACTCTGGCCTGGGGGACAGAGTGAGACTCCATCCTCCCCCGCCCCTGCAAAAAAAGTTATGGGGCACAGTTACAGAGAAAGACAAATGACAAATGGAACAAAACAGAGATCCTAGAAGCAGATCCACTTACACAGGAATATTTTATATATCATGGAGCTGGCTCTGCAAATTAGTGGGCAAGTATTGATTTTTTCAATAAAGAGTTGAACTGTATGAAGTTGAAGTTGAAAAACGTTAAAGTGAATGCTTAACTCACACTATAATCCACATCGAATCCGTTTCAGGATAAAGACATAAGTATGAAAAGTCAAACTACAGAGCTTTAAAAAACTAATATCAGAGAATAACCTCATTACTATCAGGAAGGATTTCTTAAGACACATAAAGCATTAATCATAAGGAAAAGATACCAATTTTACCAGGTTATAATGATGAACTTAAGTTAATCAAAAGACACAATAGAGTAAAATGGCAAGCCACAGACCAAGAGAAGATATTTACAGAGATTTTAAAATTACATGTATGGCCAGGTGTGGTGGCTCATACCTGTACAGCACTTTGGGAGGCCAAGGCAAGAGGATCACTTGAGCCCAGGAGTCTGAGACCAGCCGGGGCAACACGGCAAAACCCCATCTCTACCAAAAAAGAAAAAAATAGAAAAATTAGCCAGGCGTAGTGGCATGCACCTGTGGTCCCAGCTACTCGGGAGGCTGAGGTGGGAGGGGTGGTTGAGCCCAGGAGGTAGATGTTGCAGTGAGCCAAGATTGCGTCACCGCACTCCATCCAGCCTGGGCGACAGAGCAAGGCCCTGACTCAAAAACTAACTAACTAAATAAATAAAATTACATATAACTGACAAAGGACTAATATCAAGACTATATAAAGGGGCCAGGCATGGTGGCTCACACCTGTGATCCCAGCTCTTTGATTGAGCCCAGGAGTTCGAGATCAGCCTGGGCAACATAGTGAGACCTTGTCTCTTAAAATAGATGATAGATAGATAGATAGATAGATAGATAGATAGATAGATAGAGATATAGATGTTTATGGATCAACAAGAAAAATGTAAGTGATCCAATAGAAATGGGCCATTCATAGAAAATAGGCCAAAAAAAAAACCAATATAGGCTTGTCACAAAAGAGGAAATGTGAATAACCAATAAATATGTGAAAAGATGCTCAATATTATTCATAATTAGGGATATGTTCATTAAAATCTCAATATAATATTCTTTTACATGCACAAAATTGGCAAAACTTAAAAGTGTGCCAATATTACCGTGTTCTCATTGCTGCACATCCTCACCAAAACTCAATATTTTCCAATTTTGCTGTGAAGAGTGTAAATTGGTCCATTTTGAAACAAAGCTTAGGACTGCACATGTGAACAAAAGTTCTCTGGAAAGGAATTTGGAGGAAAGATACTTTATTTCAGTGCATGGTTTGCAAACTAGGGAGAGGAAGGCTTCCCTGTAAAACAAAGGTGTTTTCCAGAGAACAAAAACAGGGTTACGGTCTCATAGCAAAAGTTCTCGACCAAGTTCCCAATCTGGTCTGTTCATGCAAATAAAGGACTGAAACTTAGTTTTGATTGGTCAGTGAAGCTGAGTTCTGATTGGTTGATACAGCTGAGCCCTGATTGACTGAGGCAGGTATGCTCTGATTAGTTGATTCAGGTGAGTTCTGGAGTCCCAAAGTTGAACAGAGGTGTGGATTTAGGGGGAATTCAGAGGATATGGGTGACCTCTAGTCAGCAAATGGCTGCTTGGCTCTGTTTTATTTTTACAGTTTTTTTCCTTTTTTTTTTTTTTTTTTCCTATACCAGTTGGTTCACATCTATTTTAAATTTAGGCCCAGTTAGCCACTGGGGATCCGTCTTGAATGATTGGCTCTCTCAGGTTCACATTTGTTCACACATGTTAAATTTGAATAAGATCAGGAATGACATTCAGGGACAGTGGTGATGTCTGCTACAACAATGCTCTCATTCTTGCTCATTTAACAAAATGTGTAACGTATAGGGAAAGGAAGAGATGGAGAACTCTTATTCAGCACTGTGTACCTAGCATTAAGACTTTTTTACATGCTTCTTTATTTAAAGTTGAGGCAAAGAAGGTACTCAGAATGCTGTTATTCTATGAAAGGAAATTTCTGGCTGAAGTTCCTTCTACTAGGGAGAAATAAATCAAGAGCACTGTTACTCCATCAGGACAGGTTGCACATTTACAGACTATCACTCTCTTGCTTCTTTTTTTCTTTTTTTTCTTTTTTTCTTTCAGCAATCCCACCACTGGGGACATACCTTCTCTCTTCAAGAGACATCCCTTTCAAACATTTAAATTTTTCGGTACAATAATGATCACACGCTGGGGCACGGGATTAAAGGGATTCTTTCTTCTTGGTGCCATTTTATGATGACAAGACAAATCCAGGAGATGTTATATGTGAAAAATAGGAATTCCCGAAGAAGCAAAATGCCAGTATGATAAGTAATAATTACACACAAGATGTAAGAAAACTTCTTTAGCTGAAGAGAGACTTAACAGAAAGAAAGGAATCAGCAAATAACAAATCCCAGATGTGATTAGAAGTACACACAAACACACACGTGCACACACACACCCCTAGATAGATTCTAGTGACCTTTCTGAGTTCCAAAGACAAAGGAAAATTCATATGAACTTCAGGAAACAAAGGAAGAGGCATTGGAGTTCTCATAACACTAAAGTTGGAAAACAATGAAACATCTATAAACTGTGAAAGAAAAGAGACTGTGAACAGAAGTTTATACCTACTAAGATCATTTGTCAAGGCAAAAATAGATGTTTTGGGGTAGTCAAGGTTTTAGAAAGAATATACACCCACATACCAAATATGAAGGAACAAACGAAGTATACATCAACCAAATGAAAATTTATTCAGCACAGAGATGTCAAATGGGGAAAGATGAAATGGACAAGAAACAGCAGTAGCCAAAAATTCTGCAGTGTACACTTATGTCTAATAAATTATGATAACAGAATTTGTAATATAAGACATAAGAAAGGATTGAAATAGAAAACACATATCAAAGTAGAGTTCAAGACCAAATACGTTAAAGAGGACAAAAATATCCTGTAAAAGGTACAATCATAAATAAGATCTGTCAAACATCTATGAAACAAAAATCGATAGAAACCAATTATATAAAGCAAAACTTTAAGTACAAGGAAACTCCATAAAACTCCCTTATAGTGAGATATTTTGATATTTTTTCAAAAATTAAAAATCAAATAGTCGCCAGGCACGGTGACCCATGCCTGTAATCCCAGAACTTTGGGAGGTTTAGGTGGGAGGCTCGCTTTAGCCCAGGAGTTTGAGACCAGCCTAGGCAACACAGCGAGAACCTGTCTCAGAAAAAAACAAACAAAAAAACTCAAGTAGTCAAAAAATAGCAAGGATATAGGATATAAAGGATCTGAATAATCAACAAGCTCAGTTTTATCTATAAGTTTATACCTATAAATGTAAAGATGTTATACTATATCTGTGTTGTATTTTCAAAAAAATTATGTCTTGCCGAAAAGGAAAACTTCAAAAATTCCAAAAAAAAATGTAGAGGTTATACAGGCCATACTTTGAACTCAGACCAACAAAACTAGAGATCAAGGCTAAAGGGATTAATAAAAATGTTTACTACTTGAAAGTTAAACTCTACTTAAATAGGAAATCAAAACAGATGTAAAACTATCTAGAATACAAAAAAGGACAATTCATATACAATGGCCTATAGCTAAAGTTGTATACCAAAGGAAATACACAGGTTTCAAGGATTTCCTTTAAAAATAAATGAAAATTAATGAAATACAAAACATCAGACATTTTAATTAGATAGTAAAATATACCAGAAGAAAATAGGAAAAGAAAATAGGCCAGGCAGGGTGGCTCACACCTGTAATCCTAACACTTTGGGAGGGGGAGGCAGGTGGATAGCTTGAGTTCAGGAGTTTGAGACCACCCTGGGCAACATGACAAGACACTGTCTCTACCAAAAAAATACAAAAATTAGCTGGGCATGGTGGTGCGTGCCTGTGGTCCCAGCTACTCGGGAGGCTAAGGTGGGAGGATCACTTGAGCCCAGGAGGTCGAGGCTGCAGTGAGCTGTGATCACACTACTGCACTCTAGCCTTGGCAACAGAGTGAGACCTTGTCTCAAAAAAAAAAAAAAAAAAAAGAGAGAAAAAAAAAGTAACAACGAAAGATAAAATTAAGTAGAAAACCAAAAAATATAAACAAAAGAGCAGTTTCTTTGACACCACCTATGAAATAGCAAAACCTCTGAAAGCCACTTAAAGAAATATGAGCCAGGCACAGTGGCTCACACCTGTAATCCCAGCACTTTGGGAGGCTGAGGCAGGCGGATCACCTGAGGTCAGGAGTTCGAGACCAGCCCGGCCAACATGGTAAATCATCATCTCTACTAAAAACACAAAAATCAGCCAGGCATGTTGGCGTGTGCCTGTAATCCCAGCTACTCTGGAGGCTGAGGCAGGAGAATCTCTTGAACCCGGGAGGCAGAGGTTGCAGTGAGCTGAGATTACACCACTGCACTCCAGCCTGGGCGACAGAGCAAGACTCCGACTCAAAAAAAAAAAAAAAGAAATATGACAGAAAACAAAACATATAACATTTAAGATGAGGAAGGAGATGCAACCAGAAATGCGAGAGAATGAGATTATTAAATAGTAAGAAAATATTGTATCTCTATGGCAATAAACTGCAAATCTAGAAGAGTGGTTCACATCTTGGCTGCACATTGTAATCACCTGAGGAACTTGAAAAATTACTGTCTGAGACCCATTCCCACCGGGCTCTGGGAAGTTCAAAGGCTGCCCCGTGTAATTCTATGACCGAAATCGAGAACCACTGAATTCTTCCAGGGCTTGGACCACGTGGTCCATGGACCACAGCGTCAATATCACCAGGGAGCTTGCAGGAAGTGCACAGTCACAAGCCCCACTCTGGACTCACTGAATCAGAATGAGCATTTTCACAACATACCCCGGATGATGCATATGCACATTAACAACATGAGAAGTATGGATCTAGAGAAAATGGATGATTTTCAAAGATACCAAATCTTAAGAAGAAAAGCTGATGGGCTAATTAATGTAGAAGAGATCGGAAAAGTAAAGGCCTCCCAATTTTATTTTATTGATTGATTGATTGAGACGGAGTTTCGCTCTTGTTGCCCAGGCTGGAGTGCAATGGCGCGATCTTGGCTCACCGCAACGCCGCCCAGGTTCCCAGGTTCAAACAATTCTGCCTCAGCCTCCCGGAGAGTAGCCGGGACCACGGGCGAACCACCACACCCAGCTAATTTGTGTATTTTTAGTAGTGGCGGGGTTTCACCATGTTGGCCAGGCTGGTCTCCAACTCCTGACCTCCAGTGATCCGCCCTCCAAGTGCTGGGATTACAGGCGTGCGCCACCGCCGCCTGGCCCCAAGACCTACTATTTATAAAAAGGCATCAGACCCAAATGCTTTCACAACTGAGTTCTATCTAATCTTCAAGGATTAGATAATGCTTCCAGTTTTTAAACTATTGGAGATTGTAGAAAAGTTTCCAAGTTTATTTTTTAGAGCTAGAGTTAAATTAATATGCAAACTAATTAGTATTAGTCTCGGCCGGGGGCCATGGCTCACGCCTGTAATCCCAGCACTTTCGAAGGCCGAAGTGGGCAGATACCTGAGGTCAGGAGTTCAAGACCACCGTGGCCAACATGGTGAAACCCCGTTTCTACTAAAAATACAAAAATCAGCTGGGCGTGGTGGAGCATGCCTGTAATCCCAGCTACTCGGGAGGCTGAGGCAGGAGAATCGTCTGAGCCCAGGAGGTGGAGGTTGCAGTGAGCCGAGATCTCACCACTGCACTCAAGCCTGGGCGACAGAGTGAGACTCCATCTCAAAAAAACAAACAAAATGCATGCAATCTGAATCAAAAATCCCAATGAGGCTTTTAAGGGAAACTGGGTAAAATGATTTTCATGTTCCTATGGAATAAGTGTCAAGAAAACTATGAAAAAGAACTAAAGAGGGACTTGCCTTCTGGTTCACCAGACTATTGTGAGAAAAACAATATGACATTGGCACAAAAATGACAAACATCAGTAAAACAAAATAGACTTCAGAAATAAATCCAAGGACATATATGATGACAACATAAAGTGTCATTTCGGCTCATGAGGGTAAAGGGTGACTTCATAAACAGTACTGGAATAGGTGGCTCTCTATCCAAGAGAAAACAGAAATTAGATGCCCTACCAAACAATACATTTTAAAAAAATTTTTTTGAGATGGGGTCTCACTCTGTCACCTAGGCTGGGGTGCAGTGGCACGATCATAGTTCACCATAGCCTTGGATTCCTGGGCTCAAGCTATCTTCCCACTTCAGTCTCCAGAGTAGCTGGGACAACAGGTGCATGCCACCTTGCCCAGGTAATTTTTTTTTTCAAAATAATTTTTAAAATCACCATTGGATCTGCTAAACAAAATAATTTTAATTACATAAAAATCCAAACAAAACAATAAAAATATAGGAAGAAAATCTAGGCATATATTTGTAGAACTTTGCGATGGAAAAGACCTTTTTAAGCAGAACAAGAAACACTAGGAATCATAAAGGAAAAAAACATTTGATTACACAAATATTAAAGATTTTTATATATGAAAAGATTACATAAGCAATAACAAGATAAATCATGGACTACAAAAATGTGCAGCAAATGTATTGGAAAGTTAATAGGCTTAATGTACAAAGAACTCCAAATAGAAAATGGGGCACAGGATTTGAATAGGCAGTTTATCAGAGCGACAACTTAAAGTGCTATTATATACATACAAGTATTAAACCCCACTAGGAGTCCAGTCAAAGCAAATTGAAACAGCAATGACATATTCTTTTTTTAACCTGTGAGATTAGCTGTAACACCCACTGTTTGTAAGGTTGAGGGGAACGAACTCTCCCATATACTGGTGTAGACACATGAATTACATTTGATGTTTGAAAAAGAAAATCCCTGAACCCAGAATAGAATTGATATTGTGGTTACAAGACAGATAAAAGATTTATGTGTATGGACTAAGACTAGAAGAGAACAAAGACAAGCAATCCCTTTAATAAAGGTGGTGGCCTTGTGGGTGATCATTTTCCCAATTTTTGTTACGAAAGCATGCAATAAAAATAACTTGCAAGATTTCCATCTTTGTATAGTAAGTACATTTGCCCTTTAAAAATTAATTTTCTGAAGAACCACCAAAGCATACTGCCTTGAGAGAGAAAGGAACTTTAGAAAGTCTGCCACAACCACCACTTCAAGGGGGAACAGTAAAAATCAATAAAAGTGGACACAAACATGCAAGGCTAATGGCGAAACCTCACATGTTGCTAGTGTGCTAATGTCAGAGGGCAATCCAGAATTGGACTAACCTTTATTAGGATGATGTAAGGGAACTCTCCCCCTTTTCCTGTGTTCTAGCCTGGGAGGGCTGGAGTAGATGCTCCCTTTCTCTGATGACAGAACTAGTCTCCTGATAGCTCACAAAGGAGTGGAAGGTAGGCCCCATGCCTTCAAATGACTGGCTGCATCAGTCAAGGCCTACATTGGAGGGAAAGAGATTGGAAACAGACTCATCTCAGCCTCTGGGTCTCCCAATCCAGCCTTACTAGAATAAATCGCACACTTAATTGGTGGTTTCTTGTCTATCTTCAATGTGGTTAGAACTCAAGAGGGGAGGACAGGTGACTAGAACCTTCAAAACCCCAACAGATGGCTTTGCAATACCCCTCCTATTTCAAAGAATCTCAGACAAAAGGAAATGGGTTCTGCATTTAAAAGCAGAAACTGGCCTCTTAGAAAGCAAAATAATATAGGTCTAGTTAACTATTCTATACTTTTAGTCAATGTGTTTAGATACTTCTGTGGTAGTTCAGAGCCAAACAACATCTAGAAGTCCTGAGCAGGTTTTTAGTAGCCAAGTCTCCTAGTGGCTTTACAGTCTCGACAGGTCACTGTAATGCCAGATCCTTTGTGTCCACCAATACCAGCAATACAAGTAACATGAGAGACCAATTGAATAGGAAAAACCAAGTAAAGGAAAGTAATTCTTGATTTTGACCTCAAACTTCATGGAGTGAGTACTTCCATCACAGAGGTCAAAACATGATTTTGAAATCCAAGTCGGTACAGATGCTATGCCTATATGCACCAGTGACATGTTCCTTGGTGCTATTATTAGTGTTGAACCACTGAAGGGAGTCGAATCACCTCCAGCTTCAAACAAGTTGGGAATTCATTAACTGTGTGATTTAAGTCTCCTCGTTTCGAGTATATACCTTGTCTATAGCCAACACTCCACTAGGGTAACTTAAAACAAAATAGTAATTTATTTACAATAGCAAAGATGTCAAAAATAACAGGAACAATATATAACAAATCCAAGATTTTTATGAAAAAGGCAAACAGTATATACACGAAACAAAAGATGAAACAAAATCCATAGGGTAAACTTAATTTGACCTTAGCTAAACAGTTACAGAATGTGGCAAAATGGTTATGATTTATTTAAGTAACCCTGGGCCAATTAAACACACACACACACACACACAATCTTTTTCAACCCTTCTCTTTTAAATGCTGAATCTTCCTCTCAACTCAGTTTACCTTTGAAGAATGTAACCATGGGAGGCCACACGAGATTTAGGAAGTGCAGGCTATTTACATGTGCGCTAAAGGCATACTTGTTGACTTGGCAGGCTCACACTTTTAAAACAGCAAATGGAAGGTATAAACTGTCTGGGGTCCTATTTTTCTCTCACTGTTCATTTCTGATTTTTTGTGATAATTTCTTTCTTATCTACCACACAAAATGCTGAACCAGTCATCTTTTAGGTTCCTCAAGTGCTCTAAAAGTGTTTCCCAAGTTTGAACAGGCATCAGAATCACTTGGAGAACATGTTAAAACAAAGACTGCTGGGTCCCACGCCAGTTTCCCAATTCAGTAGGACTAGGGTGGGGCTGAGAATTTGCATTTTTAACAAAGTCCCAGGAGATTAAGATGCTGCCAATGCTGTCCGGCCATACTTTGAAAACCACTGCTCTGAAAGATTGCCCCTTTAAGATATTGATTAGCCATGTTTTTCCTTACATGAATGCTAGAATTTGTGGGAAATGAAATTATTAATACTGAGATTCCCAGAGAATACAAATACAGCAGCATGTTATCGGACTTGTTGGATCACAGACAGGTTAGGTGTCATTTGTTGGGTGTTCCATTACAAAAGTTTTTCAGCATGCTATGTATGGTTTTGTCTGATTTATGGCTCTGGACAGTGACATTCACCACATTCCCTTCGTCATTTACCTAAAATTTTAATTTATTGTTTCAACTATTAGGCAAACGTTTGTTCATACAGTTGGAAGAACTGCAGAATCTTGTCTATAAAATCAAAGATGGCACAACTCTATCTCTTTTGACTCCTGACATTTACTTAACTGCCGATTTTTAACTGTGGCAATGACCATTCCCTAGTATGTTAGCATCTACTAGTCCTCTAAACTGGGCGCAGTGGGGTAACTCGAGGGCATGATTTCTGTTGTGGAGGTGGTAACAGTCCCCACTGATTAAATATGCTGTAAATTAATACTGAAATGAACTTTAAGTGCTCTCAAAAACCACTTTATGCATGAGTAATTTATCTCAGGGGAATTGGAGATGCTAATAAAACAAATCCTTTATGAAGATAAAAGAAAAAATGAATTCCAAGGACATGCTCATCAAAGGACTCACCAATCACCTCTTAACTTCTCTGAAATATTACTTGCAAATTCACAGAACTGAAATATTACCAGTATTTGCATCCGAGTCACAAAATTCAAAGCAATCAAGCACTTTGCATTCCACTGCTGTGAAAAAGAAATTAAGAAATGGGGGGATGAAAATAATCCACTGCTTTTGATGTTTATTAGGTTTACAAAAACTGTACATTTTTTTTCCTTGAGAAAAAGCATTAACTTAGTACTGGTATCAAATAGACTAAACATTCAATAACAGGAAAATATTCTGATTTTTATTTTTGCACGTTATTCTCAAGTACACAATTACAATAATGTCACACATCCCTATATGATTTTCTTTTTATGTATTTTACTTTCTTTACAAAGTGTACAGAGGGAGGGACATACAATATTTAATAGGATATTTCTACAGAACAATAACTTATATTATGTCCTTGTAAAAATCTGTACCTCTTTAAAACATTTAACTGAAACATCCATTTTTTTTTAGCTTTGCTAATCAAAATTGTTTTAAGAATTAAAACTAGGTTGTAACTAATGTCAGTACATAACAGTGACTACAATTTCATTTTCTCTTTATACAGACAAGTATGTTTTATCATATTCACTTGACCAAACCCTTAAATACCTTTTAAAGGTTTTAATGTTGTGCTTTAAAAAGAACTGTGTATGATTCCGGAGTATGTAAGAGAAATATAAAATGTGTGAAGTGTTGTGTTCTTTATCTTTCAGTTTATTTAAAAAAATATAGTTAAATGACCCAATCATTTATATTTTCTGTATTAATTTTATAGGATTTAAAATTAATACATTTCCACTTTCATTTAAGTGTTTTTACATTATTTCTGGGAAAATAAAAATTAAGGGAGATTTTAAAGGTTCTCACAAAAAAACAGACAGAGCTTTCAAGAATCGCAGGGCAATGAATCACGGATCACAAAATTGTAAGTTAGTTTAAAAAAAAAAAAAAAAAAAAAACACATTATGGGGGCCAAGAAGGTACAGGAATTTCCTATAAGATAGGCTAGGAAAACCCATGCCTTGACTTTGACTGGCATTTGGGCTGGAGTTCACACCTGCCTAAAGCACTTGGTTTAAAACTAGACTAAATCAGTCTAGCACTTCAGAGGTTTGCCAAACACCAAATATTTTGATTTCTAACCCTAAAAATATAACTCTTGAATACAAACATCAATGGCAAAGAGAAAGATGAAAGGTAAAAACCTAAGCACACAGGGGATGGAGCACCATAATGAGGTGACAAGGCAGCTATCGGGTGGGAAGACAATTTCTAAATCTCCTACAATGTGCTAGATGCATACGGACCAATAGCCAACTGAAGGGACCCCAAAAACTGTTTTCTGTTCTCCCAGATTCGTCTTAACATAACCAAGTTCTAATTAACCGAGTTTGTTTTATGAATGTATGACACTGATTCAGACCTATGTGGTGTCTGGGCACGGTGGCTCACGCCTGTAAACCCAGCACTATGGAAGGCCGAGGCAGGTGGATCACGAGGTCAGGGTTCAAGACCAGCCTGGCCAAGATGGTGAAACCCCATCTCTATTAAAAATACAAAAAATTAGCCGGGCGTGGTGGTGGGCGCCTGTAATCCCAGCTACTCGAGAGGCTGAGGCAGATAATTGCTTGAACCCAGGAAGCAGAGGTTGCAGTGAGCTGCAGAGGTTGCAGTGATCACACCACTGCAGTCCAGCCTGGGCAACAGAGCAAGACTCCGTCTTAAGAAAAAAAAACAACAAAAAAAAACAAACAAACAAAAAACCTGTGGAAGACTTAGTGATGTTCCAAATAAGGCCTCAGACTTTCCTTATCCACTTAAAACACATCTTTACCTTTTAATCAAAGCCAACTTGAGTGTTAAGTTTTTAAAGTTTGCTAACTGTAACTGAGAAATAACAGATCAGCCTGAACTTGCCGAGTGTGAAGTCATAATTAGCACCCGTTCTCTGGTCCACAGAGCCATCACTTCTTTTCCATCCCCCTCACTAGGTAAGACAGAGTTCCCTCTCAGGCTTCTCAAAGAGAACTGTGGGAGTCATGTCTGGATACTCATTTGCTTTTCAGAAAAACATAAAGACATGGAGGTGAAATTGTATGAAAACATTCTACCTAGAAACATCTTAACCTCTATGTTTCAATTACCAAAGATATTTAAAAGAAAATATCTTTACTCTTTAAAAATACTAGTGTCCTTATTTTCCTTCTAATTCTTCACCTGAGTAGTCTCTCTGAAGAGCATGACTTACAAAATGCTCTCTCATGCATCCCTGGATCTTTCATGTTATTGTAAATTTAATACTTTTCATTATAGATTTTAAACAACTACTACTTGGGGTTGTGTGTATAAATATGTAAAATAAGCAATACACACAGGTACATGATATATATGTGTATATATATAATTCAGGGTACATTTACATACATAAAGTTGCAAAAGATCCTATAAGCCATGAGTTACCTCTAGGAGATTCCAAAATGCAGTCCTCAGTAAGTGTCATTTGTAGCACACAACCATTCCAAGATGAAGCCGCACAGACAGAATAATCAAAATACAACATGAGCAAGCACAGTTTTTCAATAAGGTTTTCTAAAAGTTTGCTACGCTGACAAAAGATGTAAATAATCCAAAGAAAGCCAAAAGAAGTATATTTGAAAAGTAAACACGAACCCAGCCACTGCTCTTTACTCAGCAAAGCCAGGGACGCAACAGCTCAAATGGAAACTTTCACTGTCAAGTGGTCTGAAAATATTAAGCAAGACAAGTAAATGACTTCCATGTTATGATAATTAGACCTGACTGTAAAATCTCCCATTTATATTAGTAGATGTCTCTGACAATTTTATTGTGAGAAATGTATGGGGAAAAAAATGAGTCAACATGAATACTTTCAGAGTTACCAATATAAAGTTACCTTAAGTTAATGGTCTTAGAAGAGTACCATCAAGGTAAGCAAGGTAAATATTTAAATAAATATAAAATTCTAAGATATAAAACTTCGGTATAGAATCAGGGATTACTTTATTAAAAGTAACTAGCATGTTGCCAGTTTTCCCTATTTATTAAACAAACTGAATAGAATTCAGAACACACTACTGAGCAAAATGTATATTTAAAAAAAAGTCAACTAGAAGTAATAATTCTATTTGTACACAGCATAAATCAATATACAGTATTGTATGTGAATGAGACTGATTGGCTTTAAAATGAATTTTCTGCTTCAAGGCCAATATCTCTACAAACGTTCTGTAGAAGTATTGTTAGGGCAGGCCAACTTCTTTATGATGTCGCATTATGTGCTGGTTCTTTTCTGAAGGTCTTCGGAAGCCTTTCTTGCAGTACTCACACCGGTGAGGATAGTCTTTCGTGTGAATGGAAATAACGTGCCGTTTAAAGCCTGAGGCATCTGTAGTGCTATACTCACAGTACTCACACTGATACACTTTCCTGCCACTGTGTGTCTTCATATGCTTTTTAAGCTCACTCTGTTGCCTAAATCCCTTTCTACATCTCTTGCACCTAAATGGAAGATCCTTTGTGTGAACTGAGAGAATATGGCGACTTAGAACAAATGGATCTGCAATCTTAAAGTCACAATGTCTACACTGGTGCATTTTTTTGCCCTTGTGGGCAGCCACGTGTTTCTTGAGTTCTGAAGGCCTGTGAAAGCCTTTATCACACATGTCACACTTATGGGGGTAGTCTTTCGTGTGAACTGAAATTATGTGTCGTTTCAAATCACTTGAGTTCGAACTCTTGTGGTCGCAATGCAAACACTGGTGTGTTTTGCTTTCTTGGTGGATAAGAGCATGTTGCTGCACCTCTTTGGTATCCGAGAAAGTCAGAAGACAAATGTCACACTTGAATGGCATCTCTTTACTATGCTTAGTTTTGACATGCGTTTTCAAGTTAGAAGAGTCTGCAGACCTATATTCGCAGTACTGGCATTGGTACGGCTTCTCCCCAGTATGGATTCTCATGTGCTTTTTGAGCTCTGACGGGTGACGAAAACCCTTACCACACTCCACACAAATATGAGGAAAGTTCTTGCTGTGGACTGCCAAGAGGTGGCGATTCAATAACCCTTGTTCAGCTGTCTCGTATTCACAGAATTTACACTTGTGCATTTTGTTGGCTCCTTTTTCCTTATGCACCATTTTGTGAGTAAACAAAGCCCCTGCATGAGAGAAATGCTTCCCACACTCATCGCATTCAATGGCCTTCTCTGCCTTGCTGGTCAGCTTGTGGCTCTCCAGGTGGTTGTGTAAACTTATCTTCTTGTTGGTAGTGTAATCACAGTCAGTACAGCGGTATTTCTTCTTGGCAAGGTGTTCGGGATGGTTTTTCATGTGCCTTTTCAAAAAACCTCTCGACTTAAACTTCTTCCCACAAATCATGCAAGGATAGACAGTCAAAGGATGTCCATCAGGGCCAATAATTATTGCTAAAAAAGGAAAAGAAAGGAGTATGAGTGCTCAAACCAAGTTCTGTTCCAGTTTCTTTGCGAATATAAAGTGTGGGTTCTGACCACTGTTGGCCAAGGACTCCTAAATTGGACTATTTGCTGCTTAACATTCCTTTTACTGTTTTTCAACACAAGAGATATAGCAACCTAGTCATAGAGAAAATGGTCTGGAAACTTCCTTCATGAAGACTGTACCGCCTTCACTCCCTCTAGTTTAATAAAATTAATGAATATGTAACTTTTATCAATTAGTGATTAAACCTACAGCAATTTAGAAATTGGTGGAAAATTGGCTGGGCACGGTGGCTCACGCCTGTAATCCCAGCACTTTCGGAAGCCGAGGCAGGCAGATCACCTGAACTCAGGAATTCGAGACCACCCTGACCAACATAACATGCTGAAAACCCGCCTCTACTAAAAATATGAAAATTAGTGGGGCACAGTGGCACACATCTGTAATCCTAGCCGCTTGGAAGGTTGAGGCAGGAGAACCACCTGTACCCAGGGGGCAGAGGTTGCAGTGTGAGTTGAGATCACGCCACTGCACTCCAGCCTGGGCAAGAGAGCAAGATTCTGCCTCAAAAAAAAATAAGTAAATAAACTGGTGGAAAATTATTCATAAAAATAAACTTTGGTGACAAAAATTTCCACTGTTTATTCCAAAAAACATAACTTACGTTAACTTACAGCAAAGTTTAAATATACCCATAAAATTTTTAATACGCAAATCATCATACAAGAATAGGAATGTCATATGAACTAAAGTACTTATCCTGCTGCTCTGTAAATTATGCCTGCTTTATGCTGACATAGATTCTCTAAATGTATTAATTTATTTAAAAAGTTAATGCTTATAACATATTTGAGGGATTTCATTCCATGTACACATAAAAATCATCCAAGTTTTCAATTTTTCTCATCCATGTTTCAGCCATGTCCTGTTTCTTTTTATCCAAGGAAATCATTCATGAATATCACTGAATTCTGAAAATTATATTTTCAAGTTCAATAGACAAAGCTATATATGGTCTAGCAGCTAAAATGCCATTGTGACACCCCTGTGGATACATACTAGAGTTTCCTCTGAGAGCTCGCAGAGCACGCTGCGCCATGGAACTCGTGCGCCCTCACCTGTTTGGTACTGCCTGGAATCAGGTCTTCTCCTTTTCTTTGGTTTTTGTTTAGCCAGTCTGCCGAGGCCAGCAGACTCATCTATGTGCAAGAGGGCACTTGCAGTGCCATTCCGGTTTTCAATTCCATCAGAATTATTACCTAACAATGTGTATTAAAAAACAAAATTATACAGTATTATAAATTTTAAAGAATTAGGAATTCTTCATTAACTACAACAACGAAAAGTAAGCCATGATACTCATGAATGACAGAAATTCCCCATTCTAGGTCATGGGTTTTATGAGCACATTTATTATCGCGAGACCGTAGGAAACGCCTAGCTTCCAAAGCTAAAAAACACATGTCAGCATTTTTGCGCCATGGACTCCCTTGTTGTCTCCCAAAATGAAAAAGTCATGGGCCAAACATAATCAAGATGAAAACTTTCAGCCTGAAAGCCTGTGTACTTCTTGCAGTACTTCCTTCTACATAATATACACATGAAGGAAATTCCTGTTAAAAATAAAGACAAAAAGTAGACTTTATACTCTAATTCAATTCAAATAATCCTTACAGGATACTGGTATTTCAGACTTCTGAAACCTAAGACCACAGAAACCATTTTTCAATCATGGATTCATGTTTAAGAACCAACTTCTTCAATGCTAAGAGCTGCTGGGCAACTTACCATAAGCTGCTGCCCATGCAATCGGCATGAAGGTTTTGATTTCATTGTCATCCATTTGCTGCTCGTGCACGGCGGCGGCTGCCGCTGCTGCTGCAGCATCCTCCTCTCCTACGATCACTTCCATATAAACTTCGTCAGCGATTTCAGCAACATCTAAGTAGAAAGTTACAAAAACTTCTGTGACCAGGTTTACAGAGATCACAGGAAACACGTTTTTATTTGAATTCAGTTAATAGACAAAATGGAAAGATGGTCCAAATATTACATACCTAGAACATAGCTTTCACGTAGTAAGCACTCAATACATATTTGTTGAATGAATCATTTACTTCTTGGCTTTCACCATAACTTGGTTTTAAAGCAACATCATAAGCATATATAAAAGAGTCAAAGATGTTTCCCTTGGAATGTAGTAGCATAATAATCTCTAAAATAATGCTACTTATTTCAAACACTGGCCACTTAAAAGCTCCAGAAACATAAAATTTTCTCCCACAAAAAGGCCACCTACTTACTTAAATCTTCATCTTCTGGCTGAGAGTCATTGACAGTCATATAAACCATCTTTTCCCTGGGAACACGAATACTGCTGTTCTGATCAAGCAGTTCAACTCCATGATCATTCTCAGGCTCACTCTCCACAATGTCTACAGTTCCACCTATCAATCAGGGAAGAAGACAGCTTCAATAATTTATTTGAAAACTGCATTTCCACCTATTTCTTTTTACATAATTTTCTTATTACTTTTTACAAACTTTGGTATTACTACACCGGAATTCTTACATAAAAGTTACTTCAGAAGAGACTCCAAATGTTCTCAATCTAAATAACCCAAAAGTAATCAGGCTGAAACATTTGGATGAGGATGTATAATGTCTAAACACTTCTTCTTACCTAAGTCATCTTCTCCAGGGTCAGCTTTAAAAATGTACACCTTGATGACCTCAGGGCAAGTGCCATCCACTTTACAAGGATCAATTTCCGACTCTGTGTCCATGGTCATTCCAGAAGAACCATCGTGTTCTATTTTGCCAGCATCATCCACTAAAAAGGAAGGAAATAAATCACAAATAGTAACAGATATTTAAATAAAATGTTACTATTCGCAAAAAAAAAAAAAAAAATTTTTTTTTTTGAGACGGAGTCTCACTGTCACCCAGGCTGGAGTGCAGTGGCGCGATCTCAGCTCACTGACTGCAACCTCCGCCTCCCAGGTTCAAGCCATTCTCCTGCCTCAGCCTCCCGAGGAGCTGGGACTACAGGCGCCTACCACCACGCCCGGCTAATTTTTTGTATTTTTAGTAGAGACAGGGTTTCACCATTTTAGCCAGGATGATCTCGATCTCCTGACCTCGTGATCTGCCCACCTCAGCCTCCCAAAGTGCTGGGTTACAGGTGTGAGCCACTGCGCCCGGCAAAAGTTCTTTTACAAATATAATCTCTAACTTGATTCACATAAAATTGGATTTTACCTAGACAACTAGAAGATTCAATAAATACATTTCTAAAGACTTCTAAAAACAGAATCAGATATTAAAGCAAAAAATACTATACATAGAGAAAACTCCTGGTAGCCTAGAAAACTGTAAATACAAAAGAATATACTTAACAGCCTTTGCTAAGCCATAAGGTAAAAGCACTCTTATATTAAAGATCTTCTAATACTAAAACCTTAAAAGAACCAGCCAGGTGCAGTGGATCATGCCTGTAATCCCAGCACTTTGGGAGGCCAAGGTGGGTGGATCACTTGAGACCAGGAGTTTGAGACCAGGCTGGGCACCATGGCAAGACCCCCATCTCTACCAAAAAAAAAAAAAATACACACACACACACACACACACACACACACACACACACACACACACACACGCCAGGCATGGTGGCATGCGCCTGTAGTCCCAGCTACTCAGGAGGCTGAGGTGGGAGGATCACATGAGCCTGGGAGGTGAAGGTTACAGCCTGGGTTACAGAGTGAGACCCTGTCTCAAAACAACAACAAAAAAACTTAGAAGAATGTCCTAGAAGTAAAATCAAGAAATAGTCTTCATATAAATATTTTATAAGCAGTACTTCGTGGTCACTATTCTTGAATATCACTTGATATGATCTATTTGCAATAGAATAATACATTTGAAAATAATCAAAACATGATTGCCAGAAAGGTACACCACAATGAGATTGGTCAATGGAAATTCAGCTTCAATCTGCTTAAATGTAAATATGCATAACATACACACACAACTTTAGTTTATGACAATAATGAGTCTAGGTCCTTGCTGGCAAATGCAGCAATACGTGAATTTAAACATATTCTCATATACCCATTGCTCTCATTAATGAAGGTATAATAGCCTGTATGTGTTAAAAAATGAACAAACAGAGAGAGACAGAAGGGGAGAAAAAGAGGAAAAAAATTTAAAAAAAAAAGAGGTACATATGATTTCCAATAGTAGAGACTCAGGGGATATACAACAAACATCACATTTATTTATTTTTATATTTTATTTTATTTTTATTTATTTATTTTGAAACAGAGTCTCTGTCATCCAGGCTGGAGTGCAGTGGCACAATCTTGGCTCATTCTGCTTCCTGGGTTCAAGCGACTCTCCTGCCTCAGTCTCCCAAGAAGCTGGGATTACAGATGCCCGCCACCACACCCAGCTAATTTTTGTATTTTTAGTAGAGACAGGTTTCGCCATGTTGGTCAGGCTGGTCTCAAATTCCTGACCTCAAGTGATCCACCCACCTCGGCCTCCCAAAGTGCTGGGATTATAGGCGTGAGCCACCACGCCCAGCCAAACATCACATTTTTTAAAACTTTACAAAGTAGCCAAGAAAATAAGTGTCCTGTTATTCACAGGACCTGGAAAATAAAGCTGCAAAAAATGGTGTCTTCAAATAACAGACTCTGGATTTGAATAAATACCAAAAGCATAATCCCCATATAATGTAGCCTTACATTACATGTCACTTATGGACACTCACTGCTATGTCTAGCTCAACAAAAAGTGTGGCAAAGACTAATGAAAAGTTAGCACCCAATACAATTTAATTTATCACAAAAAGTTGGGTTTTTTCAATGTTGAGTCCATTAGTGAAACACTGAAGGAATGTTCTCTCTGCTCTAGGCCCAGCTGGCCTATCTGACATGGTGGAAGACCAACTAGAGGGGAGCAGGACCGAGGCCCAGAAAAGAAGGCTCATTGAGCTTGTCTGTAATACCTGCAACAACAAGCCTTTTCATTTCCCCTTTGCCCTTTTAGTTCCCTTTCTGGTGTTCCTCTGCTAGACATATCTGTTTTCCTTTTGGATGGACATTGTTTTATTCAGTTCAACAAACAGTGAATCACAACTACATTAGACTCTAGGCAGGTATTGGAGATGCAAATATGAAAAAGTCAAGGGCTCCAGAAATTTACAGTCTTATGGCAAAGTGGACAAGTAAACAGGTGAGTATTTTTAAATGTAGTAATAATAATGCAGCTACCATTTACTAAGTGATTATGGTAAGTACTACTTAATACCTACAACAACCCTGTGAGGCAGGTGGTACAATATTCTCTACATTTCACAGCAAAGCAAACTGAAGTTTAGAGAGGTTGAGTAACTTATCTGGAGTCACGCAATTCAGATCTCAAGCTACGTTAGTCCCAATCAGGGCTCGTCAACTTCTGGAATATGGAGCATGGGGTTTAAATTGGTAGAGGCAACTGTGATTTTTGAAAAATCAGAAAATAGTGTAACTATCTAAACATGCTTTCTTTTCGTGAAAAACAAATGAATGTGCTCATGACTCAGGCAGGCATAATCAGTATTGCAACCAAGGCTAGGTGGTGGTGGTTCTGACCACTATAACTTTTAAAATTCACAGTCATCCCTTGTGTAATTTACACCAGTTATACCAAGACAGAACTCAGATTCTGACGTCTTTGAAATGATACTTCTGCAAAGTTCTGTCGTGATCTCCATCAGATCCAAAAACTGTGTTTACCTAATCAAAATTCTTACACAGAACATCAAGATGAATCTAATATCTCAAAAGCCAACATTAAAAAGCAAAAATACAGTGACAATTTGTCAACTTAACTTCTGACTTACTGAGAATCAAGACCATCCACATCCCAAATTACTTGCAAAGAAAAGCTTGAAAATGGCAGCCCCAAACCTTTGTCATTTACAAACATAAAAATTATAAAATTTAATCAGCTTGTTTCAAATGCAAAGTTCAAGATTCCCAAACTCTGGGTCACTGAAAGCAGTTGTTGTTTTGGTCTATTTTTGATATCACTAATCAACAAACTACATTTTAATATACCTTCAGTTTCAAAACCAAACAAGTCACTTAAAAATGCACTTGTTGATAAATTATACTTTTTCCTACATAAATTGAAATGAAGGTCATTTATGAGAAAAAAGCAAAAGCTTATTTATGTATATTGTAAGATGACATTAATGTTGAACCCTCTAATGCAATCTTTAATAAACTGATACAGAAAATGAGAGGATGAGAGTCTGAAATGACTGGCAAATATCACTGTGCACTGATCGCTGCCATGGGAACAAAGGAAAGATACCTCACTCAGGTGAAGAGAAAGAGAGGGGACAAATGAAGGGAGACACAAAACGGCGTGATGGTAAGGGAATGCATGGTTCAATATTGCTGGAATGTGAGGGTAAAGGGTGGCACAGGACATGGCAGGAAATGCAGCCGACTGCTAAGCTGAAGCCAGGTCATGAAGGGCCTCATGCACAGGCAGAAGGGCTCCGACTTTATCCTTGCAGGCCAAGGGTTTCTCAATC
This sequence comes from Homo sapiens, assembly GCF_000001405.40. Taxonomy (NCBI): domain Eukaryota; kingdom Metazoa; phylum Chordata; class Mammalia; order Primates; family Hominidae; genus Homo; species Homo sapiens. The sequence continues at coordinate 24,203,569 of NC_000023.11, read as the reverse complement.
TGGTCAGGTGTCAAAATCTCTTAGGGAATTTAAAAACAAAGCATCCAGTCCAGCAGCTCTACAGAATTAGAATCTGCAGCGCTGGGACCCGCTATATAGAGACAGATTTAGGGGCGCCCTGCCTCTGGGACTCTGATGAGAGGCTGGAGAACATCTGCTGCAGGACTGGGAGACTTTCACACGGAGCAGTGACTAAGTCAGGTGCCCGTTTTTGCTGGCCTTGGAAAGGTAGATCCAATGAGATCAAAGCATGGAGCTGACCTGAGTCTACTGCAGTAATGCAGGTGATAGATGACGAGGCCTTGAATCAGGACGGAGGTAGTACAACTGGCGGAGTGGGCTGGATTTGAGGCCTATCTTGGGACTGAAATGAGTAGAACTTGGTGTCTGACTGAAAACCCAACATGACGAAGAAGCCAAGGATAACTGGGTTTAAATTTAGGTGACTGAGTGACTGGGGTAAGAAATGTGAGAGAAATGAGGAAAAGGATCTCTCTTCCTGCATGTTTGATTAACTTAAGGTCCTAAGAATAACGTCCTGAAAAGCCCTAAGAACCAGTGATTGTCACTATTGCTTTGTGCTCACGGCACCCTTTGCTTGCTTCTCTTGGAATATGTGATTCACTGTGTGGCCACTGTCTGGTTTTTCTCCCCGTCTTTCCCATTGACACAGCAGAACCTGTATTTTCATTACTCAGTCTTTTAAGACCCAGTCTGGTGATGGTAGATGATCAGAATATTGATGAATCAACGATTCACTGAATGAATGAGATGTGAAGCCAGCTGCTTAATATTCAAGTCTGAAATTGGAAGGCTGACACACTTTGGGGAGCCCTCAACTGTGTTAACTAAGCTTTGCCATCATGCAGTGAGAATCTGCAGTGTGAGGACAGAGTCCTGGGGAATGCCACAGTTGAAGGGAGGGGCAAGAGTAGTTCATAAACCAGAGAAGGGAAAGCTGGAGAGGGCAGTAGAAGGGCATGAAGGAAGCTAGGGAGTTAAAAGATGCAGGAACCCTAGTAAGGCCCATGGCAATAATGCAGCACCACACAAGAAGGAACGTGGAGGAGGAATGTCCACCGTAGTAGCATGAGGTCGCTGATGTTCTTGGTTAAAATCAGTGGAGTGAAGGCTGTAGGGGGTCAGACTAGAGTGGGCTGAGGAGTCAATGGAACATGTGAATTTCTTCAAGTATGTAAAAAGGCAAACAAAAGGACAATAACTAGAATGGGTTGCAGAGTCAAGGACTTTTCCGTTTAGTATTAATAGATAAAAATACTCAAGCATGCTCAGTCTGTGGGAGAAAACGGAATAGAAAGTGAGAGACTGAAGCCAGAGCACATGATGAAATTTTGGGATCCAGATCTCAGAGGAAAAGGGATAAATGAAACTAGGAGCAAAGATGAAGGAATTTTCCTTAAATAGAAGAGAAACATGCTATCCTTCTGAGACTTGAATGAGAATGTAGCTATGCTGGGTTTAGGGAAGCAGGGAAGGTGATAATGCAGAAAGTTGTAGTTCATGGCTGGTGGCTTCAATCATAGGTATGAAACAGGAGGCAAGAACTTGGATAATCAGTGAGAAAACAACAGACTGGGTTAAGAGCTTGAGAAACTAGAGAAAATGAGTGATCCAGGACAAGCTTAATGATATGAAGGCTTAAAGAGTCCAACTGGTTAAAGTCTTTGCAGTTAGAAAACAACTACAGGTTCTCTAAACGCTGGACATAACTATCTAAATTAAAGTATTTTGATTATGCTTTATAAAAATGGTTTGTAGGGAGAAAGAGTCAATATTAATGTTCTTACTTCTGGACTGATATGTACTTACCCTTTTTCAAAGCTATTTTTATGATATACCCGGCTAACTGGGCCAAGGTTATTTTCTTAAAGGTGGTTTGGAATTTCAAACTGAGGTAGCAGTGGAGGGATAAAGTTATCACCAAACTAGGCAGAAATCTGTAACATCTTTGGATAACTCAACTCGAAACAGTTTGATGTTGTTGATAAAGCTGGCCTCTTTTGACAAGGCTTGTCAAAACTGATTCTAACAAGTACTGGAAAATCCAATGTCCTTGTGTTTACAAAGAACAGGGCCAGGCTTGTTGTTTTTGCATGTCAATTTGTCTGTACCCTTCAGGTTAAACCTCTGATGACTAGAAAATCCAATCATTTTAGAGCTTGCAAAATGTCATGGTTTTACCTGTAACTTGGAGTAAAAGCCCTTTGTTTGCTTTCACAAATGTGAGGGAAAACACATTCCAAATATATGAGCTTACCTGGTAGCAAAGCTATTCTATTACATAAATATAATTCACCTTCAGATTTTCACCTTGAACATTTATCCCACTAACTCAATCTATAAAATTATTCTGAATATGAAATGTTACAGGAATGATTTATCTTTAAAAAAGACACTTTTATGGTCCTGTTAAGTACTCAAAATTTCACTATGATTTTAAAGCTACCATTATTAAAAATGAATTTCTAAAAACAGACAAAGAAGGCTTCGATAAAATTGAGTCATCCTACCTATGATTCCTGCATAAGTGCCTTCTCCTAATGTAGTAATGAAGAACTAGAGCTTTAGAATAAGGCTTCTCCAAAATAGAAGAGCATAATTTCTGGAAATTAAGACTACTTCTAATAATAACTACCAATTGCATGGCATTTTGTAATATCCTTAGCATTTCTACATTTTTTTATTACATCTGATTCTCATCTTTTCCAGATAAAGAAATACAGGCTCTGAAATGGCATGTGATTTGCCCAAAGTCAGTGAGCTACTAAGTGAGAGGTGGAAGAGAAAGTGAGGTGCCTGTCTTTAGAACTCAGACCTTTATCTTCATCTTCTGAAAGAAATGAAAATGTGCTCAAAATCCTGCCACTGGGAACTATCAACAGAATTTACAGATCATTAGACATTTCTCCACGCATACTACAAATAAAAGGATGGAAGAAAGAACAGAGATTTTTTTGTGAAAATAAGATATTGTAACATGCTCTTTTTAAACAAAGGTACAACATTAGAATTTAAACTCAACAACAAAACAATTTTAACTCCAAAGTCGATCCCATTCCCTTGCCCACGATCTCAATTCCCTTTCCCTACCCCTTCTTTTGTTTCATCACACAGGCTTGGCACAATCAGACACTTTACAATTTGCCTCTTTGCCTCTGCACTAGCACCTATGTAGCTAAATGTGGCTGGAAACACACAGAAACACAAACACACACCCAGCAGATGGTTTCACTTTAAATTCATAACCCTGAACCTGCAGTGAGCCATTTCTGCTACTTTCTGTTCTCTCCTCTTTTCCCTATTCTCATCTCCCCTCAAATGTCTAATACCACCTCCCCATCATCACTTACTTCTTACTTCACCTAGAATTCAAACAATCAGAAGAGAAGATTTGCTAGCACATCTAATCCACCTACCAGCAACTAAGCCCATAAACGCTGTCTTCAGCCTGTTCCCACAAACCATTGTGTTCCTTCCTATCGCCCATCCCCTCTTTCTGAAGGCCCTTCACTGCTTGAGCACCTCTCCCCTCTCTTTCCCTGCATCCTCTACTGGATCATTCTCATCAGGATACAAACAAGCCATTCTTTCTCCCCTGCTTAAAACGAGCAAAAACTTTTTTTTTTTTTTTGAGACGGAGTTTCGCTCTTGTTGCCCAGACTGGAGTGCAATGGTGCGATCTCAGCTCACTGCAACCTTTGCCTTCCAGGTTCAAGCGATTCTCCTGCCTCAGCCTCCCAAGTAGCTGGGATTATAGGCGTGCGCCACCACACCTGGCTAATTTTGTATTTTTAATAGAGATGGGGTTTCACCATGTTGGTCAGGCTGGTCTTGAACTCCTTACTTCAGGTGATCCACCCACCTCAGCCTCCCAAAATGCTGGGATTACAGGCATGAGCCACCGTGCCCGGCTAAGCAAAAACTCTTGATCCCATTTCTCCACCACCTCCATTTCTCAAATTAGCCTCATTTCATCCTTTAAAGTCACTTCAAGGTTGGGTGCAGCGGTGCACACCTATAATCCCAGCTCTTTGGGAGGCCAAGGCAGGAGAATTGCTTAAACCCAGGAGTTAGAGACCAGCCTGGGCAACACAGCGAGACCCTTATCTCTACAAAAAATTAAAAAATTAGCCAGGCATGGTAGTGTGCACCTGTAGTCCCAGCTACCCAGGAGGCTGAGGTGGGAGGACAACCTCAACCTGGGAGGTCGAGGCTGCAGTGAGCTGTGATTGTGCCACTGCACTTCGGCCTGGGTGACAGTGAGACCCTGCCTCCAAAAAAAAAAAAAGATTCACTTCAATCAGGTCATTCTTTGCCCATAACTTCACCAAAACTGTTCATCAAGGTCACTCGTGACCAATTCTCAGCCCTCGTGTGACTTGCAGCGGCAGCATCTGACAGATGCTCACTCTCTGTGATTTACTTTCCTCACTTGGCTCCCCTGACCCAACCTCTTGGTTTCCTCTCACCTCACTAACCAAGACCATGCCTCCTCACTCTTTTGCTGGAGCCTCCTCTTACCGCCTAATGCTGCAAACCCCAGGGCTTAGTCCTTAGTCTTAGTTTGTCTACAATCACTCCTTTGGTTATCTCTTTCTGTCTGATGGCTTAAATTTCATCTATGTACCAACAACTCCCAAATTTACATCTCCACTCTAGACCTGTCTCCATAACTCAGATTTGTACATGTATTTCCTCTTTGGTGTCTATCAGATGTCTCAAAAATAAGTCTCTGCTCAAATGTTACCTTCTCAGCAAAACCCTGACCATACTTATAACCCAAATCCTCCTTATACTGCTTTTTACCTCCCTAAGTACGTATCACCTTATAATATGCTGTATTACTCACCTATATCTGTGTACCTCTGCTAGAATGTAATGTCTATAAGGGAAAGAAACTTCCCTGTGTTTTGTTCACTAATGTATTCCAAGTGCCTACAATACTGCCCAGCATATAGAGTAAGCAAGCAACATTCATTCGTTAAATATATGAATGCTAATCTTCAAGTAAATGTTTGGTCATTAAGATATTAGTTCTTAACCCTCTAAAAAAAAAAAAAAAAAACAAAGCCAGGTGCAGTGGCTCACGCCTATAATCACACCACTTTGGGAGGCCAAGGTGGGAGGATTGCTTCAGCCTGGGTAATATAGTGAGACCATCTCTAAAAAAATTTTTAAATTAGCTGGGCATGGTGGTATGGGGCTGTGGTCCCAGCTGCTCGGGAGGCTGAGGTAGGAGGATCACTTCAGCCCAGGAGGTCAAGGCTGCAGTGAGTCATGATCGTGCCACTGCACTCTAGCCTGGGCAACAAAGCGAAACCCCACTTCAAAAAATAAATAAAAGAAAAAATATTATAAAAGCATCCATATTTTGCCTATAATACACAAATAAGTTTTAGAGCCAGCATCTACTGTCACTATGTGAAAGATGTGGAAGTTAACATTTTGACTTCTCCACTCCCCCAAATATTTTATAGCTAGTTTTATATTAAATGAATTCACTGCTCATTTCTAGTTTTTTTAAAATCAGTTTCTCCATTCTAGGGTTCTTTCTATTGATTGATCCTTTCATCTGCTAGATTCAATACCAAATAGTTCCCCCATCCCTGTCAAGAAAGGCCAATGGGTACTACAGTCCCTGAATTCCTGAATACTTGAAAATGTTGGTCCATGGCCTTTACTTGAAGAATGAATTGGCTGAGTACAAAACTCTTAGGTTACAATTTCCTCAGAACTTTGCAGACATTGTTCCACTGTCTCCTAGCATTGAGCATTTGTGTGTGGATGTCCCTGTAATTCTTGATCCTTAAAGTTCACTAAATAACAGTATGATTATGATTTGCTTGTTTTACCATTTTGACAATTTCTTGGAACAAGAAAGATCCTAATCTTTATCTCAGGAAAAAAATCTCCCATTATAAATATTTTTCTAGTTCATTAGTTGTTCTCTTCTGGAATTTCACTTATGTGTGTTTGTATCCTTTATCTTTCTCCATATCTATCCTCCTTCTCCATAAGCATTTTCACAATTTTATTTTCTTACAATTTCATTTTGTGATTTCTTAAAGCCCAATCCCTCTGTCCTTGGCTATATGCTAAGATACATTTTTTCTTATTGTTGCTTCTCTGGTGGCTTTTACCTTGATCATATTTTTTTCTCTTCAGCTTCTTTCTGAATTTTGTCAATTTCTACTCTAACTGCCCCTATTGCCTTGTAATATATGATAAATAAATGTTTTTGTTTTGGTAGAGATGGGATCTGTGTTGCCCAGGCTGGCCTCGAACTCCTGGCCTCAAGCAATCCTTCCACTTCCATTTCCTACAGCGCTGGGATTACAGGTACAAGCCACCACACCTGGCCTGTCTCAAGTTTTTAAAAAGACATCATATTGTTTGCAATTTCACTGAGCCTGCAGATCAGTGCTAACCAACAGAACTTTCTTTGATGAAGGAAATGCTCTGCACTAGCCACATGTAGCTATTGAGTACTTGAACTGTGACTGGTGCAACGCAGGAACTGTATGTTTAATTCATTTTAACAACTTTATTTAGCCAAATATGTGGCTAGTGGCTACTATTAGAGGAAATCTCCAAATTCAAAGGGCTCCCATGCATGAAAATACAATGCATAAACAAACAAACAAACCAACCTACAGCCAAACATGGTGGCTCACACCTGTAATCCCAACACTTTGGGAGGCCAAGGTGGGAGGATCACTTAAGCGAGAAGTTTGAGACCAGCCTGGACAACATAGTGAGACCCCATCTCTACAAATAAAATAAATTAGCTGGGTGTGGTAGCACATGCCTGCAGTCCCAGCTCCACAGGAGGCTGAGGCAGGAGGACTGTTTGAGCCCAGGAGTCCAAGGTTGCAGCAGTGAGCCATGATCACACCACTGCACTCTAGCCTGGGCAACAGAGCAAGATCCTGTCTCCCAAAAGAAAAAAAAAGGTAATACAAGGGGGAAAGGAGACAATTAAAATTTCTAGGGGAAAAAAGCTGTATGCAAAAATGTAATCAAAGTGATCAATGGTTATGCTGCAAATGATATTTTCACAATCAAAATAATGTAAGCACTGAGTACTGATTTTCTACTTTATTGGAAGGCTAATGGTTATAGAACATACATGGATTGGCTGGGCGCAGTGGCTCATGCCTGTAATCCCAGCACTTTGGGAGGCCAAGGAAGGTGGATCACCTGAGGTGAGGAGTTCGAGACCAGCCTGACCAACATGGAGAAACCCCGTCTCTACTAAAAATAGAAAAATTAGCCGGGCGTGTTGGTGCATTCCTGTAATCCCAGCTACTCGGGAGACTGAGGCAGGAGAATCGCCTGAACCCGGGAGGCAGAGGTTGTGGTAAGCTGAGATCACGCCACTGCACTCCAACCTGGGTAACGAGCAAAACTCCATCTCAAAAAAAATAAACTTAGATGGATCAGCCTCAACAATACAAAGTAAACATAGATTGGAAGGTAGGCTGAACAGCTCAAGGAAAGTGGAGGGCAAAGGCACTGATATCCTCATCTTAAAAAGGAGGAGTCAAAAGATACTGTCCACATTTGATGGAACAAGAAATAAAGATGTTAATGTATTACTTAAATTCTAAAAGGCAAAGAACCAAAAATTGTAACACACTTATCATGAAAAGTCACGGGAAAGGGAGGTGAGAACAAAAGTGAGCAAAATTGTCAGCTATCACAACAGGACGTGAAGAAAGAACATATAAAACAGAAGTAATAAAAATCAAGAAAGTGGCCGGGCGTGGTGGCTCATGCCTGTAATCCCAACACTTTGGGAAGCCAAGGTGGGCAGATCACAAGAGACCAGCCTGGCCAACATGGCAAAACATCGTGAAACGTCTCTACTAGAACTACAAAAATTAGCCGGGCACGCCGGGCATGGTGGCTCACGCCTATAATCCCAGCACTTTGGGAGGCCGAGGCGGGCGGATCATGAGGTCAGGAGATCCGAGACCATCCTGACTAACATGGTGAAACCCCGTCTCTACTAAAAATACAAAAAAAGTTAGCCAGGCGTGGTGGTGGGCATCTGTAGTCCCAACTAGTCAGGAGGCTGAGGCAGGAGAATGGCGTGAACCCGGGAGGCGGAGCTTGCAGTGAGCCGAGATCGCGCCACTGCACTCCAGCCTGGGCAACAGAGCGAGACTCCATCTCAAAAAAAAAAAAAAATTGGCACGGTGGCAGGCACCTGTAATCCCAGGTACTCAGGAGACTGAGGCAGGGACAATTGCTTGAACCTGGGAGGCAGAGGTTCAGTGAGCCAAGATCACGCCACTGCACTCCAGCCTGGGTGCAGAACGAGACACCGTCTCAAAAAAAAATCAAGAAAGCGTATTATTTACAATCATATAGATAAGTACCATTAGAAATAGCTGAAAGAGAAGTACAGTGTAAGTCCTCACGTAATGTCATTGGTAGGTTCTCGGAAATTGTGACTTTCAGCCAAACAACGTAGTATATAACAAAAGCAGTTTTTTGGCCGGGTGCAGTGGCTCACGCCTGTAATCCCAGCACTTTGGGAGGCCAATGTGGGAGGATCACTTGAGGTCAGGAGTTCGAGATCAGCCTCGCCAACATGGTGAAACCCCCATCTCTACTAAAAATACAAAAATTAGCCGGGCAGGGTGGTGCATGCGTGTAGTCCCAGCTACTTGGGGGGCTGAGGCAGGAGAATTGCTTGAACTAGGGAGGTGGAGATTGCAGTAACCCGAGATAGCACCACTGCACTCCAGCTGGGGTGACAGGGTGAGACTCTGCCTCAAAAAAAAAAAAAAAAAATTTTTTACTGTAGGCTAATTGATATAAACAAGAGTTAAGTTCCTATGGCACATTTCTGGTCACAAAAACATCACCAAACTTCTAAATATAGTCTAAAACACTTGTAGCATTAAACATGGAAATAAATGTGGGCTACACATATATTTAAGAAAGAGTAGTAAAAACAAGATAATTATTTGCCCAGTGATTCTAGATCAGGGTCATGGGTGTAGGAGCCTCTCCAGCAGCTCAGGGTACCAGGCAGGAACCATCACAGGGCATGCTCACTCACATTGGGACAGTGTAGACATGCCAATAAACCTAATGTGCACAGCTTTGGGATGTGGGAGGAAACCCACATGGACATGAGGAGAATGTGCAAACGCCACAGGGACAGTGGCCCCAACAGAAAGTCGATTTTCTTTCTCATCAACATTATAAGGAAATAACGTGTTATTCCAGGACCTGCTACAGTTGCTTTGGTGGGGGGGAGAAGGGTAAGCCAGGAAGAACAAAGGGTAGGTAAGGCAAAGGATTACTGCTTTAAAATAGTTTTTCACTGGATAAACACAATATGGTCTATCCATACAATGGAATCCTATTTAGCCTTAAAAAGGAAGGAAATTCTGACACAAGCTACAACATGAATAAATCTTGAAAAATCATGCTAGGTGAAATAAGCCAGCCACAAAAGGAAAAAATACTGTATGATCCCACTTATAAGAGGTAGCTAGGGTAGTCGAATTCCTAAGAGACAGAAAGTAAAAGGGTGGCTGCCAGGGGCTGAAAGGAGGGGATCGGGGAGTTAGTGTTTAATGGATATAGAGAGTTTGTTTTGCAAGATGAAGAGTTCTGGGGATGGATGATACTGATGGTTGCTCAACAGTGTAAATGCACTTAATGCCACTGAACTGTATACTTAAAAAATTGTTAAGATGGTAAATTGTAGGTGTATTTTATAATTAAAAAACAATAATTTTAAAAACTAAATTAAAAGCTTTTGCCACAATTCCACAACTATCACCTCTCCTTTTTTAAACATCCCTCATGATACCTGAAGATATTTTACTGAAAAAAGTAATTGCTTAAAGAGGAAAAGCTAATTTGGGACCTTTAGTAAATAGAAAAGCTAATAATAAAGGCTCTAGGGGATTGTTGCTTGGCCCATTTGGCTTTTATCATTATTGAGATATAGTTTACATAACAAAATTATCCATTTTAAAGTGTACAATTAAGTGATTTTTAGTACATTCACTGTGGTGCAACCATCAGCACCCTTCTAATTCCCCATAAAGAAACACCATACCCATTAGCAGTCAGGCCCAACTCATTCTTCCCCCAATCTCCTGGAAACCACTTCTCTACTTTCTCTATGGCTCTGCCTCTTCTAGACATTTCACATAGATGGAATCATACAACATGTGGTCTTTTTCGCCTGGCTTCTTTCACTAAGCATAACGCTTTCGAGGTTCATCCATATTGCAGCATTCAACAAAACTTAATTCCTTTTTATGACTGAATGATATCCCATTGTATGGATATACCACATTTCAGTTATCCATTCATCAGCTGATGAACATCAAGGTTGTCATCACTTTTTGGCTAATGTGAATAATACTGCTATGAATGTGCAGAAGTTTTTGTGTGAACATGTTTTCAATGGCCCATCTGGTTTTACATCTTTAAACCAATATACTAGTGTCTGCTAATGACACTAGAAGGGCATAACATGGAAGTACTAAGCCTTTGGAAGTATAAAAGAAACAACAAGACCTGAAAGATAAGAAATGATCTCTTAAATAAAACCCAGAAAAGAGAAGTCATTAAACAGTCATTAAAATAAGCTCCAATAAAATCTTTTTTTTTTTTTTTTTGAGACAGGGTCTCGCTCTGTCACCCGGGCTGGAATGCAGTGCACAATCATGGCTCACTGTGGCCCTGACCTTCTGGGCTCAAGCAACCCTCCCACCTCAGCCTCCTAGGCATGTGCCACCACACCTAGCTATTTTCTTTTTTTAATTGTTTCTAGAGATGGGGTCTCCCGATGTTGTCAAGTCTAGTTTGAACTCCTGGGCTCAAGTGATCCTCCCGCCTCAGCCTCCAAAAATGCTGGGATTACAGGTGTGAGCCATTGTGCCAGGCTTCAAAATCTTAACACTGCAACACTGATTGCCACATTTCAATAAAGATTGAAAAGATCTTGTGCTCGTCTTGAGAACAACTGAAATTATCTAGGAGGCACAAACAAGAGGGAAAATCTATGCCATGAGGACACAATCAGTCTCAAACTCTAATTAAACTTGAAGTCAATAAACCTACGGCCAATACTCACAAGGTAGACATAAATTCATTCACTAAATCCCAGCCTTCCAGACACCTGATAAATCTTTAAACAGGCTAATCTGAGAGAAAAATAAAGATGATTTTACTTCCTAAGTAAGTTACCTCAAGGGGCAGTATGAATACACAAATCTTTTCTAAAGTTTTAACAAGATTCACACCTGTGATCTTGGGACTGATGTCAATGAGGGAAACCAGGCCTTTCCTTACCATACACCTCACTATTGCTAAGATAAAATTAGGTTCTGTGAACAATGAGCCTATTCTAACTTACTATGGCAAGTCTAATAGTCTTACTACCTAATTACCAGAATGTTTTTTAAACCTCTAACCCCAAAATCCAATCAAAAGAAAAACTGTAGGATAGACTTGATATTATTCAACATCCTCAGGGTCCCTGTGTGGATGGCTATTTAATACTCAATGAAGGCCGGGCTTGGTGGCTCACACCTGTAATCCCAACACTTTGGGAGGCCAAGATGGGTGGATCACCTGAGATCGGGAGTTTGAGACCAGCCTGGCCAACATGGCAAACCCCCATCTCTACTAAAAATACAAAAATTAGCTGGGTGTGGTAGCGCACACCTGTAATCCCAGCTACTCGGGAGGCTGAGGAAGGAGAATCGCTTGTACCCAGGAGATGGAGGTTGCAGTGAGTCAAGATCGCACCACTGCACTCCAGCCTGGGGGGACAGAACAAGACTCCATCTCGGAAAAAAAAAAAAATCCAATGAAGATATCAAAGATGGGTATTTCCTCCTAAAAGGATATCTGAGCAACTATTATGTCCCAGGCACTATGGTAAGTAGTTTCCCTGTATTTTATTATGAAATCAATGACGACAACCCCAGAACTTAGATGTTCTGTCTCTACTTGACATATGTGAAAACAGAGCACCTAAAAGACTGAGTAACTTGCAGGAAGTATTCTGTCAAGAAGGCAAATGCTTTAGTAGATAAATACATTTAAATTTCACTCTTAGACCTTCCTCTCTTAACTTCCTCCTCAGGAACCCTCTTTGTGGGGTTAAAATTCCACCTTATTTTTATTATATAGCCTATAAGAGACTTGAAAGAATTGGGTACGATCTGATCTCCTTTAATTCTTGAAACATTCCTAGAGCGATTCAAAGGTTTAGTGAAATTAGCCTCATTCCGTAGACGAGGAATTAAAGGAACAGTGCCAGTCAGGTCCCTGTCCTAAGTTAGAGTGATCTGTAGCATGGTGTCAGAGACCTAAGTAATGAAAAATAGTTGAATAGGTCTAAAACTAGTAAAACAATAACTGATTTCTTTATACATTCAGGAGGAAAAAAAAGGAATAACTGTTACAATCCCACCCTGTACCTGCCCTTACCCAGGAAGAATTCCCTGATGGGACAACAGAAAGGTCATAATGAAGCTAGTCGAGATTGAGCCTTGCTAGCCCAATGGATGCTACTGACTGAAAGCCTCTGGATGATAACCACAGCAACAGCTAGCAGTGACTGACAGGATCTCTCATTCTCACAACCACCCTGGAAGTCAAGCAGTATTGCTGCCATTTCACAAATAAGGAAGCTAAAACAAAAAGGTTAGTTAACTTGCCCGAATTCATTCAGCTAATGAGTAGCAGAGCTGGTATCCAAATCCAAGGCTGCCTGACTCAGCTGCAAGCTGAGTTTCCATATACCAGATGTTGCTTCTCTAAGATAGGCAAGGAGAGGTATGTTCTCTCTCTCCCTCTCTCCTTTTCTCTTCCCTCCCCAAGCCCATTACCTCACAAAGTAATCATATATCTGTTCAAAGGGCAGGGTGACATTTTTGTCTAGGTTTCAGCAGATAAACAGTAAATATTAACCACAAGGCCAGTCTGAAGCTCCAATTGCTTGTAATGCTTTCAAAATAGAGACCTTTTCCCAACCTTGTTTTTGGCAGGGGAAGGGAGAAACTAAAACATCTTTGCCTTATTTGAGTGCTTTATTCTTGTTATAAAGCTAGCCAACACCTAGATTGAACATTATACTGAAAACTCTTAAGTCATTAATTGTAGTGTTGATTTCTAAATAAATTTCAGTTTACAGTAAAGATACAATTTTAGATGGATTAAAATAACCACTTTTCGAATTTTATCTGAAAAAGCTTTAAAAAGATGCTTGAGGTGACTACAGTTAATAACAATGTACTGTATACTTGAAAATCACTGAGAACAGATTTTAAGTGTTCTCACCACAAAAAAATAAGAATGTGAGGTAATATACGTTAATTAGCTTCACTTAGCCATTCCACAACACATACATATTTCAAAACATCATGTTGTGTACCATAAATATATACCATTTTTACTGGGCAACTAAAAAAATTTAATTAAAAAATAATGAAATAAATTTTAAAAATCTTCAATACACCTTCTCCAAAATATCCTTAGTTCAGTAAATAACACTTTTCTCACATTTCAGAAATATTCCCATGTAGATATATAGTTTTCAAATTCCAAACTTTTTCCTGTGTTTTATCAAATGGTTTTTAAAAAATTGGTAGGGTACATACATAAAAATAATAAAATACATACCTAGCCAATAATTAACCCATGGAACAAAGGAGTAAATATTTTACTATCTCTTCTGTGCTAATAGTCCCTAGAATCAATCAATAAACTATTAGGATGTGTTGACCCTCAGAGTTTATACATTAAAGATAGGAGTTTGGACTTTATGTATTTATTTGCTCCCTGGTTTAAAAAAACTGGTAGGGTACATACATAAAAATAATGGTAAAATACATACCTAGCCAATAATTAGCCCATGGAATGAAAGAGTAAATATTTTACTATCTCTTCTGTGCTAACAGTCCCTAGAATCAATCAATCAACTATCAGATTGTGTTGACCCTCAGGGTTTATACATTAAACATAGGGGTTTGGACTTTATGTATTTATTCGCTCCCTGAACCACGTTTTATTGGATGTCTACTATGACCAAAGTCATGCTTAATTAGGAGCTAATATTAGAATGACTGGTCAAAATACCTAAACTAGATGGCCAGGGCAAACCAGGGCCACCTCATTACACATTTGCAGGAGTCCCTTTACATTGTAGTTGTATGCAGCAACCCTGTAAATAAATCTTTAGCATGTCCATCTGCTCCTCTTCTAGTAACAGTTTTGCCATGTGCCCAGTTGCATAAGCTGGAAACCAAGAAGTGAGCTGCAAACCCTCCCCTCTTCCTCAACCCTAAATTTAATCCAAATTCTACTTCCTACATATGTCATGAATCAGTTTCTGCTAAATTCTACCGATAAAACCTTATTTCAGGCCAGGCGCGGTGGCTCACGCCTATAATCCTAGCACTTTGGGAGGCCGAGGCAGGCGGATCACGAGGTCAGAAGATCGAGACCATCCTGGTTAACACAGTGAAACCCCGTCTCTACTAAAAATACAAAAAATTAGTCAGGTGTGGTGGCACGCACTTGTAGTCCCAGCTACTCGGGAGGCTGAGGCAGTAGAATCGCTTGAACCCAGGAGGCGGAGCTTGCAGTGAGCAGAGATCGCACCACTGCACTCCAGCCTGGGTGACAGAGCAAGACTCCATCTCAAAAAAACAAAACACAAACTTATCTCAAACTATTATCATCTGTTTCTTACCTAGACTACCACAATAACCTTCCGAAATGTACTTTTTGTTTCTGAATTCGCTCTTACCTTGCGCCTGCCCTGAACATTGCCATTATCTTTCTAAACTATAAATCTAAACATGTTATTATTAATCTGCCTAAAATCCTTTAACAGCTTCCCACGTCCAAAAAGTAAAGCAGGCGTCTATGTTCAAGAGCCTTTATGTTTTGGGCCCTATTTGCCAATCTTCTTTCTCACCACTTCCTCCATCCTCCTCACCAGACATTATTAGCACCCAAAGAATAGGTCTCTGAACACTCAATGATGTCTCACATCTCTCTGCCTTTCTTCCCTCCTCAGCCACCTCATGAACATTTTATTTTATACACCCTTCAGATTGAGTTCATCTCAAATTATTTTTTAAAGCTTTGAAAACAGTTTTTTTTTAATCCTTGTCTTTGAAAAGCAAATACTGAAATACTTATGAAAAAAATGTTATGTGGAATTTGCTTAAAATACAGGAGGGAGGAAAATGAATAGGAGATAAAATAAACTTGGTCAATATCTTCAAGTGAGCTTCCATAGAACTTCAGTTTATAACGCTTTTGTAGCATTTGTCTCCCTCAAGCGTACCAAAAAAAAAATTTTTTTTTTTTTTGAGACAGTCTCACTCTGTCACCAGCGTGCAGTGGCTAGAGTGCAGTGGCATGATCTCAGTTCACTGCAACCTCTGCCTCCCGTATTCGAACGATTCTCCTGACTCAGCCGCCTGAGTAGCTGGGATTACAGGTGCGCACCACCATGCCCGGCTAATTTTTGTATTTTTAGTAGAGACAGGGTTTCACCATGTTGGTCAGGCTGGTCTCAAACTCCTGACCTCGTGATCCGCCTGCCTCGGCCTCCCAAAGTGCTGGGATTGCAGGCGTGAGTCACCGTGCCCAGCCCCATCCTCTTAGTGCTTCTAAAGTACTTTCTATATCTATTTACATACCTTCCTACACTCAACTGTAATTGCCTGTTTCTGTTTATCTTCCCTCCCAGACTGTGAACTTAAAAAGCCAGGGACTTTGCTGTTTATCTCCAACCCCTAGTGAGGTTCGCAGCTCATTATGGCTGATCAATAAATGTTTTCTGAATGAATGAAGGCAAAAGAAAAATCAACACTGGCAAGAGTAAAAGTGATAGCGTATATATGATTCCTTTTTCTCATGTAAATACAAATTTGAAAAAAATTAATACTTTTCAGTTAGAAAAACAACAGGATGGGGTTTGGAAGCTGTCTGGGCTTCTGCTAGAATGAGTTAAATAAAAAAAATGCTTAAACCCTCCCAACAAATTATTGTTTAACATTGTTGAAATTTGGAATTCATTATTATTGTAAATTGTAGTTATCTTTGGAATTCTATTTGCCTCCCCCATCTACCAATAAGCACTATTTATCATGAACTCTACTGCTTTGTAGTATTAAATTATACACACATACATACAAACATACAAACACAGAGAGAGAGACACAGAGAGAGAAAGGGGGGGCCAATAAGAGAATTAAGAGTGGACACTTTGGAATAAAACATAACTGGTTTCAAAGCCTCACCCTAATGCTGCTGGGAGTGACCTTGGAGAAGCTATTATTCGAGGCTGCAGTGCACTATGATCAGACCTGCAGATAGCCACTGCACATCTACAGGCATGTATGTATGTATGTATGCCTGGGCAACACGGTGAGATCTCATCTCAAAAACTAACTATATTTTCAATTCCGGCACATAGATATCATTTATTGAAGATTTACTATTACCTATTTTTATCAAGAGACAATAGCTACTGGTAGGGAAGAAATTTATCGTTAATGCCTTGGATGAGGCATGATGTACACGGACTTTCAGCTATAACATTCATATATTCACTTATTCAACAAATATTTATTTCATACCTAATATACATACGGTGTGATGGGGAAGATACATAAGCAGCAAAGATGCAGTAAATAGTTCCTGTCCTCAAGAAACATATAATTAACTTAGAAGCCAATCATAAAATCTAGATTGCAAAGACTGAAGAAGGCAGTCATCCTGACCTCAAAGGTAGCTATATACTGTGACAATGAACATCTGTGTCTATATACACAACCATGATATTATAAAGAATGAGGACTGCTTCATCATCATTTATTGTTGTTTTGTGTGGTTTTTTGGTTTTTGATTTTTTTTTAAGAGATGGGGTCTCGTTCTGTCACCCGGGCGGAAGTACAATGGTATGATTACAGCTCACTGCAACCTCGAACACCTGTGCTCAAGGGATCCTCCTGCCTCTGCCTCCTGAGCAGCTGGAACCACAGGCACATGCCACCACACCAGCTAATCTTTTTTTTGGGGGGTTGTGGGGAGTAGAGATGGAGTCTCGCCATGTTGCCCAGGCTGGTCTCCAACTCCTTACCCTCGAGATCCTCCCACCTCAGCCTCCCAAAATGCTGGGATTACAGGTGTGAGCCACCTTACCTGGCCCATCATCATTTTAAATGAGACGTGCAGAGGGAAGAAACCTGCCAAGATGGATACTAAAGACATTGTAAAAGCTGTTTATTAGACACTCAGATCCAGTAACTTACTGAAATTTTTAAAGAAGAGAGTAGAAAAGAGAGTACTTGGACATCTGGCCACATTTCTGACCTAAAGATAGAGTGTTTAATAAATATAAGATTCAGAAATACTACCATCTCTCATCATAATATGAAAAGCATTAAAGTTGACTACCGATA
Source organism: Homo sapiens (assembly GCF_000001405.40). NCBI lineage: Eukaryota > Metazoa > Chordata > Mammalia > Primates > Hominidae > Homo > Homo sapiens. Next base: position 24,186,077 of record NC_000023.11, on the reverse strand, counting down.
ATGGTATCTTCACATTCTCTATCATGGATTAAATCAGCCCATAGTTCCTCTATATACTTACGACAAAACCTTTGTTAATCCTTAACTTCTGAAATCAATATAGGTGTTTTAGGGGGGTTTTGGGAGGGGTTGTTTTTTTTTTAAGAAACAGGGTCTCATTCTGTCGCCCAGGCTGGAGTACAGTGGCGCAATCAAGGGTCACTGTAACCTCTGAACTCCTAGGCTCAAGCGACCCTCCCCCATCTCGGCTTCCCAAAGTGTTGCGATTACAGGCATAAGCCATTGTGCCCGACCTCAATATAAGTTTTAAGTTAAAATGCATCATTAAGGCCGGAAGCAGTGGCTCACGCCTGTAATCCTAGCACTTCGGGAGGCCGAGGTGAGCAGGTCGCTTGAGGCCAGAGTTTGAGACCAGCCTGGCCAACATGACGAAACCCTGTCTCTACTAAAAATACAAAAATTAGCCAGGCGTGGTGGCACGCGCCTGTAGTCACAGCTACTCAGGAGGCTGAGGCAGGAGAATCACTTGAACCTGGGAGGTGGAAGCTGCAGTGAACCAAGATCATGCCACTGCACTCCAGCCTGGGCGACAGAGCAAGACTCTGTCTCAAAAATAAATTAATTAAAATAAAATGCATCATTAAGTATCTTTGCTGGGAGGCACAGCCAAGAGAAATATTAGTTAATTCTAAAGTGTTCAATTGGTTTGATCCCAAAGCCAATAGTAAATTAAATTTTAAAATATGATCATTACTTTGAAAGGAAAGGGGATGATGAAGTAGAGGGAAGTAAGAGTGCAAAAGTGGCTGTAGAGGCCGGGCAAGGTGGCTCACACCTGAATTGAAGAAATTGGGGAGGCTGAAGTGGGCAAATTGCTTAAGCCCAGGCTGGTTCAAGACCAGGTTCAAGACCAGCCTGGGCAACATGGCAAAACCCCCTCTCTACAAAAAATGTAAAAATTAGGCGGGTGTGGTGGCACATGCCTGTCATCCCAACTACTCGGGAGGCTGAGGTGGAAAGATTGCTTGAGCGCAGGAGGCAGAGGTGGTAGTGAGCCGCGATGGCACCACTGCACTCCCAGCCTGGGTAAGGGAGCGAGACTTCATCTCAAACATAATAATAGAGAAGACAAAAGATACTACTAAAGGCCACCATCTCTAAACCCAACTTAAAAACAACCATTTCATTATAGTGAAATAGGGGAATAGCACATGTGTGCACGCAAATGCTCATGTGTGTATGTATTTGTTTAAATGTATCTCTGCATTATTTGAGTTTGGATATGTTTTATTTTAAAAGGAAAGAAATTATATTATCAAAATATATACACATACATAAAACATATATTAAAATATATAAAATACACTAATAGCCATTTATGTTCATCCATATTTACTTTTTCAGGAACATTAAAATCTATATAAATTAGAAGAAACCCAGGGCCTAAAGATGACTATAAATAAAATTTTTAATGAAAATTTTACAAGTCTGTAAAATTTTACATGTCTTGTATTACAAATTCTGTAATACAAGAACCTGATATGCTGAGTAAATTGTTACTAAAGCAACTTCTGGGTTTTTTTCAATGACTTCCTTGGAGGGCTGAACTTCCTAAAAGAGGAGAAAGTAAAGGCAAGAGATAGTGCGCAGTTAAAGGGCAAACCAATACCATGCATTTTACTCCTTAGCAAAAAAGCTGAGGAAGACAGAAAGGGCAGAAAGTGCAGAGAGAAGTCAAGGAGAAGCGAGAGTGCTTTATCCTCTTCAGTATTTCACCAGGCCCTCTTCCCCTCACAAACTGGGACGAACTCAACTCTCTGCTTTCTCTAGCCTTGGTCCTGGGTTGCCCGGTCTTGTAATAGAAAATCTGGCAGTCGTAAGGGTTGAGTAACCCTTATCCAAAATACTTGGACCAGAAGTGTTTCAGACTTTTGTGGATTTTGCAATATTTGCATATACACAATGAGATATCTTAGGGATGGGACCCAAGTCTAAACATGAAATTTATCTGTGTTTCAGCCAGGCATGGTGGCTCACGCCTGTAATCCCAGCATTTTGGGAGGCTGAGGCAGATGGATCACTTGAGGTCAGGAGTTCGATCGAGATCAGCCTGGCCAACATGGCAAAACCCCGTCTCTACTAAAAATACAAAAAAATTAGCTGGGCATGGTGGCACGTGCCTATAATCGCAGCTACTCGGGAGGCTGAGGCAGGAGAATCACTTGAACCCAGGGGGTGGAGGTTGCAGTGAGCCGGGGTGGAGGTTGCAGTGAGCCGAGGTGGAGCCACTGCACTCCAGCCTGGGAGACAGAACAAGACTGTCTCAAATTAAAAAAAAAAAAAAAAATTATCTGTGTTTCATATACACCTTATACACATAGCCTGAAGGTAATTTTATACAATTTTTTAAAACAATTTTGTGCCTGAAATAAAGTTTATATACATTGAACCCTCAGAAAGCAAGTGTCAGGTGTGGAATTTTCCACTTGTGGTGTCATGTCTGTACTTAGAAAGTTCTGGATTCTGGAGCATTTCAGATATTGGATTTTTGGATTAAGGATGCTCAACCTGCATTTTAAAATAGCATTTTCGGCCAGGCGTGGTAGCTCACGTCCGTAATCCCAGCACTTTGGGAGGCCGAGGCGGGTGGGATCACCTGAGGTCAGGAGTTCAAGACCAGCCTAGGCAACATGGTGAAACCCCGTCTCTACTAAACAATACAAAAATTAGCTGGGCATGGTGGCGAGTGCCTGTAATCCCAGCTACTCGGGAGGCCAAGGCATGAGAATCGCTTGAACCCGGGAGGCGGAGGTTGCAGTAAGCCAAGATGGCGCCATTGCACTCCAGCCTGGGCAACAGAGTGAGACTCCATCTCAAAAATAAAATAAAATAAAATAGACTCCTAACCTCAGCTGGCCCCTCAATGCGGTTCAGCAATCTATCTCATAAATTCTTGGCTTCCTACACTGGCCCATCCCCTAAAGACTAAAGCTTTTCAACCCTTTGCCATTATCCTTCAGCTTTCCACCCAGCCTCTGCAGTCCTTCCATATGTGCAGATGAACCTGCTTCACAGACAAAATAGCTCCCAACATTCAAGTACTCCTTTTACCTTCTGTCCCTGGAAAGGGGCCTCATCCTTAACTGTCTTCCTGTCTCAGAGAAGGGGACTCACTTTCCCTCTCCAGGACTTACCTAACAGCCATCTCCTGCAGCCCTGGACCCCAGTCCCTTCCCCTTCTCTGGAACCTGCTCCACTAGCCCATCCTTTCTTTATCTTCAGGTTCTCTCTGTCCAGTGATTTTTTTTTTCCCTTAAGTCTATAAACATGTTCAACTTACTTTCGCCATCCAGGCAACCATCAAAAGCTATACTCCCACCTCTTTAGTCCCTTTGCTGACCAAAATGGCAATTTATCCAAACCGCTTCACCTAACTCTACTTCCACTAACTTCTCAATCCATCACAGCTCATCTCTTCCATCTCCTCTCCAATAGCCCATGCCTTACTGAACCTACTCTAATTTAGATACCAATGACCTCCTAAATGCCAAACAAAAAAGCCTGCTTTCTCCTCAGTGGCTGATAACTTGTAGAAACTCTATCCTTAACAGTGTTGGAAATACTTTTTCTCCTCCTTCTCTTCCCAAAACCTCCTGATTTTTCAAGGACTCTTTTCTGCCTACTTCTTAAATACCTAAAGGAGCCATACTTGACACTCTCACTCGACAAGCATGCTCTGGAGACTACCATCCATTTCCATATATGATACTGCCTACATTCTGTTGTCCTAAATTTCTTCCTCTAGCAACAAACTCTCTCAAAAGCACCAAAGTCATATTTTCAACTGCCTAGAAGAAACATCCACCAACAAGCAATTCAAACTGTAACAGATCCTAAATCTTCCCCCTTCCCCCACCTTCCCCCACCAAACCTACTCCTCCTTTCAGGTAATGGCATGACTAGGCATCCAATCTCCCAAGGTAGAACACTTAGGGTCATCCTTGAATTATCTTTCTTCCTCAAACCCCTAGCCTCTTTTATCTATCATCGAATCTCATCCATTTTTCTTCCTAATCTCTCTTGAATGCAGCTACCTCTCTGTCCCCTTTACTATTATTAACGTACTTCAGATCATCTTATATATGAACCATTTCAACAGTTCACTGCCACTAATCTCTCCCTCACTTAAGTCTTATTCCACATACAAGGATCATCATCCTAAAATAAATTCAAAATTGAAACAGGGTAACGTATTTTTCCCTATCAGAATGGCGAAAACTAAAAAGAAAAATAATACTCTGTGTTGGTTCCAGTGTAGGGAAATGAACATTCTCATCAACTTGGTGAAGGGAATATTAAGGCAAAATACCAAGAGAATTTAACCAAACTTCAAGCATAACCAAACTTGTAAATGTGTACACCCTTTGATCTATCAATTCTATTTCTACAAATTTATTCTAAGGAATAAAATAGAACGTACACAAAGATATAAAAGTGTATCCTAAAGTTCCCATCATTATCAGCAATATCAGCAAAGGCCAGAACTTTTTTCTTTTTTAATACACTATACTATATGCCTGGAATGTCTTCCTGCCACCCGTGCCCTTCATCCTGTAAAACTAGAATTCATCCTTGATTTCAAAGGTCAGCTACTCCATCCCATCTCCATGGCAGTTTAGTCACACCTCTGCATCACACTACAAACTTTCTCTCCCACAGCAGATCAAAAGCTCTCCAGGGATAATGGTCTTATGTATGTATTTATTTAGCACATATCTGTATCTACGCTACCTACAACAATGTCTCACACATTCAGGGTCCAATAAACGTGTTGAATGAAGGCATTTTCTTCCCTTTTCCACAAATAATTCTTTGATTTTCAAAATCTCAAGAAGTTTTCAAAGGAGTTTCAAAATCTCAAAGAAGTTTCCTAAAATGCTGGTGGACTCCAGTATATTAATGTTATATTAAATTCCTGTATGAAAACAGGTATTCGAACAAAGCAAATATTCTTGTAAATTTATAAATAGTCTGTGAATCCTTTATATTTTAAGTTTAGTTCCTTAAGGCATAAGAATTTCCACACTGGGTCAGAACCGTGGCCTAGCCAATCTAGAATTTTATCTCCGAAATTGGTACCAAGAAGTATGTTGTAAGAAGATAACGGTTGTCTTTCCAGATGCTAAGATAAACATGTAAAGGTGTGTTTCAAAATACTTTACTTTTCTCCAATAACCTAATATGAATCCATCATACTTGATACCATGTTTTGGAATCATGTTTCATACTATACCAGAGCTCTTTTTCATGTTATCTGTTATGCAGTGTTTTACATATTATATAAGTACATAAGTATTACATAAACAGTACCGTGTATCCATATTCAAGAAAATAAGTAGCAGCGTGATACCTCACACCTGTAATCCTCCCACTTTGGAAGGCCAAGGCAGGCGGATTGCCTGAGCTCAGGAGTTCAAGACCAGACTGGGCAACATGGCAAAACCCCCTCTCTACTAAAAATACAAAAAATTAGCCAGGCGTGGTGGTGCGTGCCTACAATCCCAGCTACTTGGGAGGCTGAGGCACGAGAATCACTTGAACTCGAGAGGCAGAGTTTACAGTGAGCTGAGATCGCACCACTGCACTCCAGCCTGGACGACAGAGCAAGACTCTCCCTCCGAAAAAAAAAAAAAAGTAAGTAGCTTGGTTAGACTTTTTGTTTTTCCAAGTTGAACTCCTTTTAGGTTTCAAGAGAGTTCATAATTCTAATAAAGGCTGGTAACAGCCTAATCACATTCTTCATGATTCCAAAGTTCAGTTCTGTTTGTTTCAGCTTTTTTTTTTTTGAGAAGGAGTCTTGCTCTGTCACCCAGGCTGAAGTGCAGTAGCACAATCTTGGCTAACTGCAACCTCCGGCTCCCGGGTTCAAGCGATTCTCCTGCCTCAGCCTCCCAAGTAGCTGGGATTACAGGCGCCCACCACCACACCCGGTTAATTTTTGTATTTTTAGTAGAGACGGGGTTTCACCATGTTGGTTGGCCAGGCTGGTCTCGAACTCCTGACCTCAGGTGATCCACCTGCCTCAGCCTCCCAAAGTGCCCGGACTACAGGCATGAGCCACCACACCCGGCCTCACTTTTCTTAATTTTCAGTTATCTTGTAGGCTGCAAATGGAAACAACAATGCAGGTAGGTCTATGAGATTTACTTTTACAGACATTTAAGTCAAGAAAATTTCACCCCTGATGTAAATTAGAAGAGGCAGCCTACAAAAACACCTTTGACAATCACTGTACCCCAAGACTTACAGGAAATCATAAGGTAGTCCTCACAGTTGCCTTTGTCATCATCCTGCTGGTCCACAGGGATCCCATTGGCATCTATGACTGCTTCAGAGGCACAGTCTGCTACCAATACTTCTTCTGAAACTACGTCGGTAGTCAGAGGATCAGTGACAATTTCTGCTTCCACTACACTATCATGAACCACATGTTCAACATGTCCAACATGTCCAACATGTCCAACGTCAGACACATGTATAGAATCACCCGTCAAGACGTGTTCTGGCATAGACATTGAGGCTGAAGTAATGTCAGAAGCTAAAACATCATCTGGGACTGTGCAATGTGCTAAAGAAACTTCTTCAGTTACATCTGAGTCCAGCACTTGCTCAGGAATGATGACCGTTTCAGACACATCTGCTTCTTCCATGATATCTGGGCACTGAACATCTTCTATAACAACGTCCTCAATAACATCTTGGATTACAACTGAATCTGGGTCATCAGGAACAAAGTTATGCACAGTTATGTCTGAATCCACAACATCTGAAACAAAAACAGTTTCTTGTACTTCCACAACAATTTGATCACCATCCATGTGTGTACCATCAGCTCCTTAAAAAAAAAATTAAAATGACAAATTTCAGGTAAGTATGCATGACTACAATTAACGTAAATGTTACTTAATTTCTACTGGGAAAACAGATTAGCTCCTCAGTTTTCTTAAACATTAAGATAGATTAAAGAAATAAAGAGGGAATCTATTTTTGAATCACATGTTTTTAACCCAAGAACTTTTGTAATCATCTCAAATCAATAGATTTTTAAAAATTAGGAGAACAAAGCAATTGAGGCAGTCACAGAAAAAATACATACATGAAAGTAAAATTTTAGGCACACTAATAAAATCCATATATAGCCAGGTGCAATGGCTTCACACCTGTATTCCCACCACTTTGGGAAGCCAAGGTGGGCAGATCACTTGAAGCCAAGAGTTTGAGACCAGCCTGGGTAACATTGTGAAACCCCATCTCTACTAAAAACACAAAAATTAGCCGGGCATGGGTAGCACAAGCCTATAATCCCAACTTCCTGGGAGGCTGAAGCAGAACTGCTTGAACCAGGGAGGCGGACATTGCAGTGAGCCAAGGTGGCGCTGCTGCACTCCACCTGGGTGACAAAGCAAGACTGTTTTAAAAAAAAAAAAAAGGCCAGGCGCGCTGGCTCAGTCCTGTAATCCCAGCACTTTGGGAGGCCAAGACGGGCGGATGACCAGGTCAGAAGCTTGAGACCATCCTGGCTAACATGGTGAAACCATGCCTCTACTAAAAATACAAAAAAATGAGCCGGGTGTGGTGGCGAGCGCCTGTAGTCCCAGTTACTTGGGAGGCTGAGGCAGGAGAATGGCGTGAACCCGGGAGGCAGAGCTTGCAGTGAGCCGAGATCACGCCACTGCACTCCAGCCTGGGCGACAGAGTGAGACTCCGTCTCAAAAAAAAAAAAAAAGAAAAGAAAAGAAAACCATACACATAGGTACTTAAGGGAAGATTACAAAAATTAATTAAGTAGGCCGGGCGCAGTGGCTCACGCCTGTAATCCCAGCACTTTGGGAGGCCAAGGCAGGTGGATCACAAGCTCAGGAGATTGAGACCATCCTGGCTAACACGGTGAAACCCTGTCTCTACTAAAAATACAAAAATTATCCGGGTGTGGTGGCGGGCACCTGTAGTCCCAGCTACTCGGGAGGCTGAGGCAGGAGAATGGCGTGAACCCGTGAGGCAGAGCTTGCAGTGAGCCGAGATCGTGCCACTGCACTCCAGCCTGGGTGACAGAGCAAGACTCTGTCTCTAAGTCTCTTAAAAAAAAAAAAAATTAAGTAATGCAACTTCAGGTGACAAACATACTATTTTCCTTCATTATATGTGTTTTACCTTTTTGCTCCACCTCCCTCTCCTCAACTCATATTTGTTCTTCTTTCCATCTCTCCCATGTGTTTCTTTTACTTCTATTTTTTTTCCTTTCTCCCTTCACACGCTTCCCTTTTTGTTCTGGTGCAATATACCACCAATATGCTCCATCTATGGCTATAGAAATTTAGAAATCATCCTCTGAATCTAGGACATACAAGGATCAAAGGATAAATTAAAAGAGGGACTAAAGACCACAGTTGAGGAGGAAAGACAACTGGGTTGAGGAGGCTCTGGAGACTGATAGGATAAATACAAGTGCAGCTGCGCTGGAGTGGTGGAGGTTGAGAGTAGTTGGAGCAGGAGCTGCCCCAACTTCACCAGGGTACGTTGCCTCCATCTAGCCTCCTCCCGTCCCCCTAGACCCGAACTCCCAAGGCAGTTCCTCGGAACATAGTTCCCCTACTCTAGTCCATTTTGCAGTTAAGGAATGAAGGTAGAGGACTGAATCAGTTGAAGCCCAGTGAGATTAAATGACTTAACCAAGATCACACAGTTTGCACAGTGTATGGTGCTCAGAAAATATTATTCTGAATGAATGTCACAAATGGAAATAGAATCAAATATCCTTATCAAAAATATAAAATAAAATAAAAGAAGGCTGGGCACAGTGGCTCACGCCTGTAATCCCAGCACTTTGGGAGGCCGAAGTGGGCAGATCCCGAGGTCAGGAGATCGAGACCATCCTGCCTAACACTGTGAAACCCTGTCTCTACAAAAAATACAAAAAATTAGCTGGGTGTGGTGGCACGTGCCTGTGGTCCCAGCTACTAGGGAGGCTGAGGCAGGAGAATTGCTTGAACCCAAGAGGCAGAGGTTGCAGTAAGCCGAGATTGAGCCACTGCACTCCAGCCTGGGTGACAGAGCAAGACTCCGTCTCAATAATTAATAAATAAATAAATAAAATATCTTGGCTTCTGTTCTACAGAAAAGCAAAGAAAGTTTTATAAGTCTTACCTACATAGCTATTCAGTAGATTAGTGCCTCTGGTTGACTCAGACCAGGCTGAGTCCAACCAGGTGCCTAACTCAATGACTATGTGTCACTGGCCAGGCCCTCAGAGAAATACACAGCTTAATCAACAACCAAAAATGATCAGGTCTGGCGTGGTGGCTCACGCCTTGTAATCCCAGCACTTAGGGAGGCCAAGGTGGGCAGATTACCTGAAGTCAAGGGTTCGAGACCAGCCTGGCCAACATTGTGAAACCCCGTCTCTACTAAAAATATAAAAATTAACCAGGCGTAGTGGTGCATGCCTGTAATCCCAGCTACTCGGGAGGCTGAAGCAGGAGAATCCTTGAACCCAGGAGACGGAGGTTGCATTGAGCCGAGATTGTATCACTGCACTCCAGCCTGGGCGACAGAGTAAGACTGTCTCAAAAAAAAAAAAAAAAAAAAAATCAAAGGCCAAAGAATATTAGAAATTATAGGAAGTCAACTAATATCTATTTTAATTACATCTAGAAATAATAAAAAGAATATGTTCACTTTAGGCTGGGAACGGTGGCTCACACCTGTAATCCCAGCACTTTGGGAGGCCAAGGCAGGCGAATCACCTGAGGTCAGGAGTTCGAGACCAGCCTGACCAACATGGAGAAACCCCATCTCTACTAAAAATACAAAATTAGCCGGACATGGTGGCGCATGCCTGTAATCCCAGCTACTCAGGAGGCTGAGGCAGGAGAATCATTTGAACCCGGGAGGCAGAGGTTGTGGTGAGCAAAGATCGCGCCATTGCACTCCAGCCTAGGCAACAAGAGCAAAACTCCATCTCAAAAAAAAAAAAAAAAGAGTATGTTCACTTTAATTTCTACAGAATTTCTACAAAATGCTTTAAACTTGTTTTCAATATCCACAATATTATCATTAAGTAATAGATCACTAATCTCCATTTAGCATACATAAAGATGAAAGCATCTAGTGGCAAGAGCACTGGTTATAAAACGTAAATCAGCCGGGCGCGGTGGCTCACGCCTGTAATCCCAGCACTTTGGGAGGCCGAGGCAGGCGAATCACTTGAGGTCAGGAGTTCAAGACCAGCCTGGTCAACATGGCAAAACCCCATCTCTACTAAAAATACAAAAATTAGCCGGGCATGGTGGTCTGCACCAGTAATCTCAGCTACTTGGGAGGCTGAGACAGGAGAATCACCTGAACCAGGGAGGTGGAGGTTGCAGTGAGCAGAGATCATGGCCACTGTACTCCAGCCTGGGCAACAGAGCAATTCTCCATCTCAAAAACAAAACCAAAAAAAAACCAAAATCTAAATCAGAGAGTACATCAGGGTAGGACACTTATTAGTTTTGTGACCTTGGGCAAGTCATTCAACCTCTGAGTTTCAGTTTCCTCATCAGTAAAATGAGGACAGTAGTATCTGCCATGCATACCTCACAGGACTGTGGTGATGATCAAATGGGAATGTATGGGAAGTGTTCTGAAAAACTGTAATGAGAGGTTTCATTATTATTATGACATATGAAAACGGAGGCCCTGGCAGATTAAGTGACTTGCTCAAAGATAAACAAATACCATTAAGTGTTATCAATCAAGACTAAAACGCAATAGCCCTTCAATCTACCACTTAGTCCATTACCTAGGTTTGCCTGTGGCAAGATTAAGTGAACAAACACTGCACATTTTTCTCCAAAGAGTTTAGTCTCTTTCAAGTATATTACTTATATTTCATGTTCCAAGGAAGAAAGAATTATAAACCTTACATTTATCATTATCAAATTGAAATTACCAAACGAGTTAAAAGAGTATCCCAAGTTGTTAAGAAACACACACACATCCCCACTGGATTTAGAGATTCAAGAAAATTTTAAAATTTGACCGAGCACAGTGGCTCACACCTGTAATCCCAGCACCATGAGAGGCCAAGGTGGGAGGAGCACTTGTTCGAGACCAGCCTGGGCAACATAGCGAGACCCCGTCTCCACAAAAAATAAAATTAGCTGGGCTTGATGGCGCCCATCTGTAGTCCAAGGTACTCAGAAGGCTGAGGTAGGAGGATCCCTTGAGCACAGGAGTCTGAAGTTACAATGAGCTATAATCATGCCACCGTACTCTAGCCCAGGCAACAGGGTGAGACCCTGCCGCTAAAAGAAAAATAAAATAATAATAAAAAGAAAATTTTAGGGCCAGGTGCGGTGGCTCACCCCTGTAATCCCAGCACTTTGGGAGGCCGAGGCAGGCGAATCACGAGGTCAAGAGATCGAGACCATCCTAGCCAACATGGTGAAACCCCGTTCTACTAAAAATACAAAAAAATTAGCTGGGCGTGGTGGTGCACACCTGTAGTCCCAGCTACTCGGGAGGCTGAGGTAGGAGAATCACTTGAACTCGGGAGACAGAGGTTGCAGTGAGCCGAGATCATGCCACTGCACTCCAGCCTGGTGACAGAGTAAGACTCCGTCTCAAAAAAAAAAAAAAAATTTTAATTTAAAATCACTGACATTTAATTTCCTGATAAAGTTGATTGCTATTTCTTTAATATACTACAATCTGATCATTTACAGTCCAATGGAAAACTTATTAGCATTTTATTTATAATAAGGGGTAGCTACCTGGTGTGATATAAAACCCTTTTATTTTTTATTTTTATTTTTTTTCTCTTTTGAGACTGCGTCTCGTGCTATCACCCAGACTGGAGTGCAGTGGTGCGATCTCAGCTCACTGCAACCTCCGCCTCCCAGATTCAACCGATTCTCAGGCCTCAGCCTCCCGAGTAGCTGGGATTACAAGTGTGCACCACCACACCCAGATAATTTTTTTGTATTTTTAGTAGAGACGGGGTTTCACCATGTTGGCCAGGTTGGTCTTGAACTCCTGGCCTCAAGTGATCCACCCACCTCAGCCTCCCAAAGTGCTGGGATTACATGTGCGAGCCATCGTGTCTGGCCTCAAATCCCTTTTATGTTATAAAACCAAGTATAGGCCAGGCATGGTGGCTCACGCCTGTAATCCCAATACTTATAGGAGACCGAGGCAGGCAGATCACATGAGCCCACGGGTTCAAGACCAGCCTGGGCAACGTGGCAAAACCCCGTCACTACCCAAAAAAAAAAAAAAAAAATACAAAAGTTAGCCAGACATTGTGGCACACACCTGTAGCCCCAGTTACTCGGGAAGCTGAGCAGATCACTTGAGCCTGGGAGGCGGAGGTTGCAGTGGACCCAGATGGCGCCACTGTGCTCCAGCCTGGGTGACAGAACGAGACCCTGTCTGAAAACAAAAAAACCCAAAACGCAAGTGTAACCACTTTACAACGTTATATAATTATAACCATGGGTAATCTGAAATACATGTTTTCTAATACTGTTTTTTTTCCTATTTTTAGAACTTCCTGAGTATAATTTTTCCTTGTACACTATGGGGAGTGAAGACTCCATCTTCCTGAAGCAGAAGTCTCTTTTTGGGAACTTGCAAGAGAGAGAGTTATAAAAATAGGACAGGGTCAATGTGGGAGACCTTCTTTATCTACTGGGTATTAGAGAATAGAGAAATGACAGGATCCACATGTTATTTTACAGTGAGTACTCTGATCAGCAGGCTAGATAAGAGAGACTAAGGATAAGGAAAATAATGCAAAAGTTATTTCCAGACTAAGAATGAGACGTAGAGCCTGTCTATGTGGTAGGCACTAGGATGAAGAAGAGCAGATGTAAATAAAGAATATTTTTTCTTTTTCTTTTTTTAAACAAAGGTCCAAACAAAGCTAACAAGGAATATTTTCAAAGGGAAAAACAACAGGAATTAGGGACATAACTCGTCAAGATATTATCTTCATAACTGAAGATAAAACTAAGGTTTGATATTGCTGCTGTTACTGACAAGAATATGAGAGTTGGTTGTGAGGGAGCCACATCTTTGAGGAGGGTAATAATAATGTGCTCACCGTAACACCTGTGAATTTTGACAGGATAACAAGATAACCTGTGAATGATCAATGTGAGAGTTCTAGCAATTCATTGATGACAACCAACTCCAAATCTGGTAGATGGGAAGTGGAACAATTCAAGTAGTTATACCTGTTGCATCAAAAAATGAGTTTGGCTCTTGTTGTAATTCAAGCCCATCTTCATCCATGGCCTTTAATTCTCATCAGTCACAGCTCCTAAATCAGGGAAAAAAGTAAACCAAAGCCATTAGTTTTTTCATATCAGGTATTAAATGCCATCATGATAGTTTCATTTCTGAGACACTCAAATTATGTGAAAGATAAATGTGTATCAAAAACTTACTTATCTAAAGTAAAATAGAACTTACTTGATTTACAATGATAAATGGGCATCTATATGACAAAGCAGGGCAGATAAACAAGTCAACTTTGCCTGGACTTCTTTTTAAGTTGAAGCAATAAATGTATTGCTTAGGTCTATCAAGTGCACACATCTTGATGAATTCTAATACATACATAAACTTTTGTAATCACTACCCTGATCAAAATATAGAACGCTTTTAAGACCCCAGCACTCTTGTGTCCTCAGTCTGTAACACCCCATGTTCCCACAAGGGTAACCAGTTGTGTTAAGATTCAACTTAAAATACATTCTGTAGCTTACTGGGGGAAATTTTTGCACAATTTTCATATTCTCTATATGTAATTAGTCTACTAACTTCCAACCAGTAGATTACACAATGATAAAAATTCAAAGTGCATAACTGTAGTAAACAACCCTTGGGATTCTGCCTAACCTCTCTTAACTAACCCTCTCATCTAGAGAAGTAAATTCCCATAGTGTATTTATATTCTCCTGGCCACAGTTGATTGGCACTAGCTATAAAACGGTAAACAGTAAGCTCATCTTTAAGCACAATAAAATCAAAGTCCTATCCCTGAGAATCCAAAACCATGAGCAAGAATCAGTGTCTGTCTGTCTGTCTGCCTCTCTCTCTCTCTCTCTCTCTCTCTCTCTCTCTCTCCTTCTCTCTCTGTCCTGGTGGCTGGAACATAAGAGCTGAGAAAAGTCATTTTGCAACTCTGGCTTAGACTGTGAGTGCCTTGAGTAACAGAATAGAGTAAGCAGGGAGGGGAGACAGCTGTTTAGCTCCTGGTTCTAGACCTATCTGAGGTCCAGCTATATTCCTGCCTTGAATTCTTGTAAGACATTCCAATGGCCTTAATTCTCCCTTTTCTACTTAAGCCAAAAACTTCTGACAAAAAGAACTCTAACCAATAATTTTCACCTTTACCGCTTTTTTTTGCTGATTTTATAAGTACTACATGCTTATTAAAATTTCAATTAACAGAAACACAAGTCATTTTTCTAAAGCTAGGTGACATCATTCCTCTGTTCAAAAATGTTTAATGGCTTCTTGCTCCCTCTAAATAAAATTCAAACACCTGTCATCTTCTAAGTTCTGGCCCCAAACTACCTTCCCATCATCATCTCCCCTAACTTTCCTTCAAGCACTTCCCTCTACCACTGTCAGCATGTACACAAACACATGGTCCCCACCCACACAAAGTTCAGCCAAACAAAAATGCTCAACATCCCCATAAAACCCCAACTTCATATTTGATTCAGGGATCCTTCTACCTGGAACCCCTTTCCCCCATTATCTCTGCTTTGATCTTTCCCTCTAAATCTCCTTCCCCACAAAAAAAAGAGAAAGCTGGAAACAATTTTTCCCTCTGAAATTTCCACAGCACTCTATTCTTCTCTTATTGTACTGGTTTGTCATATTATGATTATTTATATATGTCTTACTTACAGATACTAAATTACATATATAGTCCTTAAAAAAATCCATTAACATGGAATAGTAATGGAAATATCCATTAAATGTTAATTGAGAAAATTAACATTCATAAAAGGAATTCTCAACATACCAACTCTGAGATATATTCTACTCATTTTTAAGAAATAGCATGTTTCATGTTATTTATTCAAACTGTTTCAAATAAAAGTAAATGGGCTGGGCATGGTGGCTAACGCCTGTAATGCCAGCACCGTGGGAGGCCGAGGTGGGTAGATCACCTGAGGTCAGGCGTTCGAGACCAGCCTAGCCAACACGGCGAAACCCCTCCTCTACTAAGATACAAAAAAATTAGCAGGGTATGGTGGCGCATGCCTGTAATCCCAGCTACTCAGGAGGCTGAGGCAGGAGAATCGCTTGAACCCGGGATACGGAGGTTGCAATGAGCCAAGATCATGCCATTGCACTCCAGCCTGGGCCATAGAGCAACACTCCGTCTCAAAAAAAAAAAAAAAAAAAATTAAAGAAAAAAAATTAAAGCAAATGAAAAACAGAAAGTGTACATGCTCTGAAAAAGTTATTACTGCCCCACTCCCGCAAAACCACCTCTGGCTATAGAATACCTTTTCCCCCTTTTAAAAATGATAAACGTAAATTAATCTTCTAAGCATTGGCTGGACGTGGTGGCTCACATCTGTAATCCCAGCACTTTGGGAGGCTGAGACGGGTGGATCACCTGAGGTCAGGAGTTCGAGACCAGCCTGGCCAACATGGCGCAACCCCATTGCTACTAAAAATACAAAAATTAGCCAGGCGTGGTGGTAGGTGCCTGTAATCCCAGCTACTCAGGAGGTTGAGGCAGGGAGAACTACTTGAATCCGGGAGGTGGAGGTTGCAGTGAGCCAAGATTGCGACACTGCACTCCAGCCTGGGCAACAGAGCGAGACTCTGTCTCAAAAAAAAAAAAAAAAATTCTAAGCATTATGAAACACTATGACATTAAAGCAAGCCAATTAAGAAGGCAATAAAGGGGATACATTAAGGTATTTAAGCCCCTCACCGCACAAATTTCCCTACATAAACCCAATCCCATCAGCTCTACGGATTCTCAACTTGCAGAACAACTTTTCTTGGCATTCATCCTCCTTGGCATTTCTATTAAACAATCAACTCCCTAATTTGTGAAGTGCTCTCCTTCCTCTGTTGCTTTAAGTGACTTCTAGTTCTCTTCCCTCTTCTTAACTGCTGGCTGCTCACCCTCCCCTCACCCCTTACTGCGGCTCAGCCCAGGTGTGTGCTCAACCCTCTCCTCTTCTGCTTTCTCTTTATTCCCATGGTTTCAACTACTATTTCCACAACAATGATTCCTACAATCATCCTAACATGTCCAACAGACTGTTGAATATTCTCATCCGGATAAAACCCAGCCTTCTCCTGATATGACCACTATGGCCTTTTTCTTCTTCTCTGCTCACAGTCAGATTGCCAGATCTTGTCAATTCTCAACTTCTCAAGAATCTTTTTTTTTTTTTTTTAATTCCTAGTTAGCATTCCCACTCAGCTTCATATTTCCTGATCCCTGGGGGATGAAAATAGCCTCTGGACTGGCCTTGCTCCTTTCTGCCACTCCCACAACAAATGACTAGAAACCCTAAAACTACACGTAAGGGCTGGTGCCAAGTATTGAGGCATTTCTGCAATCTGTAGGCAAATTAACCCTCCTGAAGCACTGCTTTGATCATACTACTTCCCTGCTCTGAACACTTCAGCAGTTCCTCAATACTCAAAGGCTCTGCAGTATTAACCCAAGCTACCATTAACAGACTGATTTGCTTTCTTCCCATCCTTTTACATCACGTGCATTTCCTAATAGATATTCTGGCCTACATGGGGGTGCCCGCTCATCTCATCTTAAGTGAGCAGTAATTATTCAACAAACTATTGTTTTGCCTGGTCATTTTCCCTTCGGTTTTGTCATTACAAAAATTCAAACATTCTAAACAGAGATGACTATACCTCAACTTTGTAACCCCTCTGGAGTTAGAATACTAACTCCCTTTGACAATCAGAATGAAACTGTTCTCAGAACAGAACCTACTCAGAGGAGTTCTCAGATATGATAAACGAAGGGTGGAAGAAGGTACGTGATAATGTAACTGGCGGTGTCCATGCCTTTGTAGTACAAACCAAGCCCAGAGATCAGTTGAACCTAAAGACAAATAAGTAGGATGGTTCAGAGAACCAAGAATCTCAGAATTTGGGTGAACAAGTACTAACATTTAGTCTTACTATCAAACGCCCTCAAGGTATTTCTGGGACTCTACTAACACCTCAAACTCAGTAAGATATTCCCTTCCCAGTTACGAGAATCATGATCCTGAAAATAATTCACAGTGGAAAAACATAGTTTTTGGGAACAGACTGTGAGGACAGAAAGTAAAAAAAAAAAAAAAAAAAGAAAGAAAGAAAAGAAAAACATATAGTTTTGAGGGAAATAATGGGCTAGGAGAACCCAGGAAATTCACAAAAATGTCCTTCCATTCTTTAAAGCAATATCATCCTAGAAGAAGGTAATTATAAATAAAATATATAATAAAGCAATAAAAGTTAACAGGTATAGCAATGGCATTTTATCTATCTTAAATTAGGGATCACAGATATAATTTATTTGTTTTATATATTTTGATGCTTAGATACTTCTGTGATCTCCCTCTTGGGCAAGTTAACAGGATTCTTATTTATTCACTTTGCTTTTTGCAGCTAATATGCATATAAAAATCACTTTTCTGCTTTAGGTCTCCCAAAACCTCACTGCCTGTTAATTCTATGACTCAACTCTAATTCTTCTCACTAAGTCACACTCAGAGAACTAAATTTTATTATACATGGTAGAAGGAATGCTTAAGCTGCAGGAAAGGCAAACAAAGGCAAATGTGTCTATAACAATTTGTCTTAGAGGGAAATCAGAACTGGTGAAAACTTATATTTAAGGCCTAATTAATATCTTCTCTCTTAAGCTGCATTTCTTTCCTAATTTTTCCCCCATGTTGTTCAATGTTAGCCATCATTTCTCCAGATATCTCATTTTCAAATCTGGAGTCATATTTCTCTTCTCTGACTCTATCAGCCCTTAAATTAAATTCATCTCAAAGCCAGTAACTCTTATACTTATCACTTCCTCTTTATTATCACTGCTACCACTCTAACAAGTTCTCTTCTCACATGCAGACCATGTGGGGCCTTTCAATCAAAAGACTTAAGCCCTTCTTGAACTTAGGAAAGTTTCTTGTTGTTTCTATACTTTCCTCCATTTTCTCTGTTCATTCTTACTAGCATTTATTACAGGATGTAAAAAGGCTACTAAATCTAGCTTCTATATTGCTTTAACTTTTCTCTCAGATTTTGTCTTTCTACTACACTCTCAGAGAATCCCTGAATTCTTTCTTCTAAGCTAGCTAATTTGATCTCCACCCCATCTACTGAATTTTTCTTTAAAAGTTCATATTTTAATTCTAATAGTTTCTTTTCCATAGCAATCTTTTCTTTTTTGGGTGGACACGGTATCTTCCCAAATCTCTCTGTGGATTTAAAGTTCATTCTGTACCCTATATAAACTGTCTCCTCTGGTGTTTCATTATTCAGTTAGTTGAATTTGGTGCCTCTCTTTTAAACTGCTGGTTTTCCTGAAAAGCATGGTTCTTCCTGGTTGTCTATTCCTACTTGTAGATGAGGGTCCAGACTAGAGTTATATTCTGACTGCTGGGGTGAACTTCTTCAGCCCAAGTGATAATTCCTGTTTGCCCAACAATAAACTTAAATTCAGATCACAGAAGTCCTATCTAGAATGAGTCCATAGGCGAGAAAGGAGCCATGTAACCAGCCAGGTTCTCCTTTAATGGTGGAAGAGTATCCCATCTTCCAGGTGCTGGAGGTTCAATATCCTTCAGGATAGCCACAAGCTACCTAAACTACTGCCCCTATCTTTCTTGCTATACAGCACTCACTTTGGAATTTCCTATGGACAAACAAGCAATTCAGAGAGCTGAATTTTGGGCATTATCCCAGCAGGAAAACCATTGCGGGCACCTATACTAATAGGTAAATGGCTTAGCTTTCCATGGCTTTAATTATCTGGCTGTACTCATGGCTTGTTCTATCTCCAAGTGCCTCCCTGCTTTTGATGTTGGTGGTACTGCAGGATGCCAATTCTTGGCTGGTCCCTTCTACTTTCTGAATAAGGTCACACGTTCACTAAGCTCTCTTGGGTTTTGACATTAATTGATTTCCAATTGCTTTATTCAACCAAAAATTCATCATATTCTGATTCATACCACTGAGGTTTTCTTGTTTCTCTGGATTTGTTTTTATATTCTTTATGTGATTTTAGAAGGAAGAAAAAATAAGTGTGTGTGTTCTCTAGTCTATGTTGAATTTGAAGTCATTATGCATTTTTATGTGCCAAATAAAACAGCATGGAAATATGTAAATATAAAAAAAGCAAAAGAACCTATGAGACAGTAATAAAAAAAATCAATAGTAGTGGAAGGTTACAACAACTATCAACACTTAACAGATCAACTAGTCTAAAAGGAAAAGAGAAAATGTATATAATCGATATTAATCTAATAACTGTAATTCAAGTTCCATTCTCTAAGAAAAGAATATTTTATTTTCAAATAGCCCTGCCTACTCCACGTCAAGAAGAGGAAAAGAAAATATCTGCTGTTGTAAATAGAGCCCCATCCTTCCTTGCCCTGTCCCATCTGGAACTTTTGTAGGCTTTGCTCAAATAGTCAAGGCCAAGTTTTTGTATTAGTTTTTCCATAAAACCACGCTGAGCCAATCAGTAATTTCAAGGTTTTGTTTGTTTAAAATCTAAGAGTCCAAACTTTCACAATCTATTAAAACTTGGCTGTAAAATGACAAACCTTCTTAAAGCCTATTTTCTCAAAGCTTCTATTCCTGCTCAGATTAAGAGTTGACACAATACTCTCTGAACCTACTTGTACCAATGAGCTACAAACACTAGTTTTAAATGCTTTTGTTTTTAAGGCTTAGCTTGATGTGAGGAAATGCACACATTCTAACTAGTTTTCAGATATTTAAAGCAGTACAGCCTCCTTAATAAAGTACTGCCATTTAATGCATTCAATAATTTAGCAATATCCATGTTCATTCCATAACATTCTACCATATATCATAATGGAATGAGTAAAACAACTCAACTCTTTGGATCACTCTTTTATTTCATAGTGAAAAACTTTAAAATAGCTTATTAGTTTTTGCTGAAATTCTGAAAAGAAATTCTATTCACGTTTCCTCTACTGAAGTATTCTACCTTTAGTTGCAGACTTAGTTCGAGCAGTGTGAGAAACACTTGATGTAATCAAAGGATGAAGACAGGATTCTGACATGGTATCAAGTGGAGATTTAGACTACATTGTACATGGAATAAATGAAATAAAACCATCCTAGGTAAAATTTTTAAAAGGTTAATTTCTGTCAAATGCAGTACATGATGAAGAAAGGTTTAAGTATCAGAAACTGTTTTCTTATACATTTCCTTTTTCTTGCACCTGCTACCTTTCCCAAAATTGGGCATTTAATTTATCTCTGAACTAGTCATTAACATAGTTGTTAACTTAGTAAGTTTTCTTATCAAACCCCTTCTCAATGAGCAATATGTCTCCTTGTATTAGAAAATCTTTCTGGCCGGGCGTGGTGGCTCACGCCTATAATCCCAGCACTTTGGGAGGCCGAGGCTGGCGGATCACAAGGTCAGGAGATCGAGAACATCCTGGCCAAGATAGTGAAACCCTGTCTCTACTACAATACAAAAAATTAGCCAGGCGTGGTGGCACGTGCCTGTAGTCCCAGCTACTCAGGAGGCTGAGGCAGGGGAACTGCTTGAACTCAGGAGGCAAAGGTTGCAGTGAGCCAAATTCATGCCACTGCACTCCAGCCTGGTGATAGAGCGAGACTCCGTCTCAAAAAAAAGAAAGAAAAGAAAATATTTTTCTGATACTGTATTAGGATTTGGGGTTTTTTTAAATTAGTGCAGTCTCGCTTTCATGTTACTTTATTCAAGCTAATTATGTGCTTTCCTTCATTTTCTGGTAACTAGTTGTAAAAATCATGCCTTGCAGGTTTACAGTTTTCAAAACACTCTAAATTTTTTTTTTTTTTTTCAGACGGAGTTTCACTCTTGTTGCCCAGGCTGGAGTGCAACATCGCCATCTCAGCTCACTACAATCTCTGCCTCCCAGGTTCAAGCAATTCTCCTACCTCAGCCTCCCAAAAGTAGCTGGCATTTACAGGCATGCACCACCACGCCTGGCTAATTTTTTGTATTTTTTACTAGTAGAGACAGGGTTTCACCACGTTGGCCAGGCTGGTTTCGAACTCCTGACCTCAGGTGATCCACCCGCCTCAGCCTCCCAAAGTGCTGGGATTACAGGTGTGAGGCACCGTGCCCAGCCCTAAATATTCTTAAACTATGATCTTTCTTAACATAATTGTCTTGCCAACTCCCTTGTCACTGATCACCAACGCTGTAATTTGACCCATATTGACCATACTATATCTCACCTACATGAATGCATACTTACTATTATTGCTTTTCCTAAATACATTACTTTCGGCCTATGAGGTTCTGTAAACTCAGTGTTAACACTTACAGTATTCTCTGTATACCTTAAGCACTGGCAAGAATATAACACTGGGCCTTTCAACAACTAGAACAAATATTTTAAATGGACAGTTCCAGAATTGTGGGGTATTTTTACATTGATCTTTTGCTAATGCAATCAGCAATGTGTTTTGCACATGGAATTTAATAAATCCTTTAATCATTAAAAAAATAATAAAAGAAAAGAACAAGCTGGGCAATGCAGGGGCAGGTTTGAAATACGCCTGCTTCTCAAAAGACCAACAACAGGCATGCTCCAGGTTGAGTATCAGCAACCATTAATTTCATGACCATTCTCTGGAGCAAAGCTAGGGAGCCAGCTAATTTTTACCCCAAAAAAATCTCCAAACCAAGCTTTTTCCAGGGGGTTGGGAAGACAATAAAATACAAGATAATAATCTAAAAGAGGGGAAGAAACTGGGAGAAAGCACAAACATATACAATTTGAAATAAGAAAAAAAAAAAACAGAAAAAAAGAAAACAACTTGTATGAAAATGGTCTAGAATTCTACACTAGCACAGTGACGGAAAATGTAAATTACCAGCATTAACTCAATAAAAGAAAACCCGATCGTAATGAATTTTTTTTTTTTTTTTTTTCTTTTTTTTAAAAGAGGGGGCCTGGGCACAGTGGCTCACACCCGTAATCCCAGCGCTTTGGGAAGCCAAGGCAGGAGATCACTTGCAGCAAGGAGTTCAAGACCAGCCTGGACAAAATAGCTAGACTCCATCTTGACAAAATAATTTTAAAAATTAGCTAGGCGGCCGGGCATGGTGACTAATGCCTGTAATCCCAGCACTTTGGAAGGCTGAGGTGGGTGGATCACCTGAGGTCAGGAGTTCGAGACCAGCCTGGCCAACATGGTGAAACCCCATCTCTACCAAAAATACAAAACTTAGCTGGGCGTGGTTGCTCGCGCCTGTAGTCCCAGCTACTCAGGAGGCTGAGGCACGAGAATCACTTGAACCCAGGAGGCAGAGGTTGCAGTGAGCCAAGATCGCGCCATTGCACTCCAGCCTGGGCGACAGAGTGAGACTCTGTATCAAAAAAAAAAAAAAAAAAAAAAAAAAAAAAACCTAACAAAAATAATTTAACCAAATTACAAACTTGGTTAATTATGAATCCCAAGTCAAGTATCCGCAAATATGATCCGTCATGTAAAAAAAAAAAAAAAAAAAAAAGCACATCCATGTACATGTACACACACACACACACACACCACAGACCTTGGCACAGTATGGGTACTCTAGAATTCAAGGATGGAGCCAAATAATGGCCCAAATTAATAGGTCAAAAAAAAAAACGCCTGATATTCTCAACAGATGCTGAAAAGTTGAAACTGAACGCCTACTTTTGATTTAAAGCAAACTTTTGAGTCAAATTGGGATAGATATTTTAACAGTTAACAAATTAAATAAATAGGATACACGCTAAAACATGGATGACCTTGAAAACAATATGCTAAGTGAAAGGAGCCAGACACGAAAGACCACGTTATAGGATTCCATTTATATGAAACGTCAGGAACAAGCAAATCCACACAGACAGAAGGTAGATTAGTGGTTGCTAGGGGATGAAGGAAGCGGGGAGAGGAGAGTGATTACCAGTAGGTGTAGGGTTTCTTTTTGGGGTGACGAAAATGTTCTAATTAGTGATAATAGTTACAGAACTCTGAATCTACTAAAAAACCACTGAAATGTACATTTTAAAGGGTAGATTTAATAATAGCTTTATCTCAATAAAGCTGTTTAAAAAATACTCAAGTATATGCAATCTTAAACCAGTTCATGTCAGAACATGTGTTTTGGGATATGAGAATGATGTCAGTTATCACTTTATAACAAAAAGACATCTATTAAACCTAAGGTAAAACATTAGAAGTATTCTCTCTAAAGTCAAAATTAAGAATGGCCATTAATACTATTATTATAGGATTGTGTGACAAATGCCAGCCAGTGTAATTAGGTAAGATGATGAAATAGAAGATATAATTATTACTTGAAGGAAATTAAACTTATTTGCATATGCTATATCTAGGAAATACAAGAGAATCAACTGAAAAACTATTATCGGTATGAATTCATAAGGTGTGCTGGTACAAAATTAATATACTTGAAGACAAAAGCTTTCTCATGTAAACACCTAAGAATGAAAAAATCCCACTGATAAGAGTAATTAAAAACTCTACTGTGTGGGATTTTTTTGTTTTTTGAGACAGAGTTTCACTCTTGTTGCCCAGGCTGGAGTGCAATGGCACGATCTCAGCTCACCACAACCTCTGCCTCCCAGGTTCAAGCGATTCTCCTGCCTCAGCCTTCCAAGTAGCTGGGACTACAGGCATGTGCCACCACGCCCAGCTAGAGATTTCTTTTTTTTTTTTTTTTCCTTTTTAGACAAATAAATAGAGAAAGCAATCTTGCTCTTGAATATGTTACATTAGGGCCAGGTGCAATGGCTCACACCTGTAATCCCAGCACTTTGGAAGGCTGAGGCAGGTAGATCACTTGAGGTCAGGAGTTCGAGACCAGGCTGGCCAACATGGTGAAACCCCGTCTCTACTAAAAATACAAAAGCTAGGCAGACATGGGGGCGCACACCTGTAATCCCAGCTACTCGAGAGGCTGAGGCAGAAGAAGAATCACTTGAACACAGAAGGCAGAGGCTGCAGTGAGCCAAATTTGCACCACTGCACTGCATTCCAGCCTGGATGACAGAGGAAGACTGTCTTTAAAAAAAAAAAAAAAAAAGAAAGAAAAAGAAAAAAAAGAATATGTTAGATTAGTAGTATCACTTCTCCCTTAATTAACCTCTACATTCAATCAAAATCCCAATACACCTTTCTTTAAATCAACTGACCTTGTATGTGTAGGTCAACTTTTGGACTCTATCCTGTGCCACTGGTCAATCTGGCTTTGCGCCCACTAATTTAATCACTGTAGCTTTATAATAAGTGTTGATATATGTTAGTGTTAAGTCTTCCAACTTTTTCTCAAGATTGCCTTTGCCATTCTTGGCCCTGTGCCTTTCCATGTAAATTTGAGAACTAGCCTATCCAAAAGAAAAAAAAGCAGCAGTGGCAGCAGCAACAGCCCTATTGAGATATTTATTGCGATTGCACTGAATTTCTGTATGTATCAATTTAGAGAGAACGGACATCTTTACAATACTGACACTTCCAATCCAATGAACATGGTTATCTCTTGCCATTAATTTAGGTCTTCTTTCATTTCTCTTAGTAAGGTTTTTACTGAAGGTCTTGGTATGCTTTGTTGGATTTATTTCAAGGTATCAGATGTTTTTTGACCTTATTATAAATTATATTAGTTTTCAAATTTGATTTTCAAATTGTTTGCTGCTGGTATAGAGAAACAGAGTTGATTTTTGCATCTCAATGTTCCCCAAGTATAATACAATAAAATTAGAAATAAATATCACAGAGATAACAGTAATACAAAAAGAAAATCCTGTAAATACAAAGTTCTAAATAATTTTAATGGGCAACAGGAAAATTATGGAGATCACAATATATTTAGAACTAAATAATAAAAACCAATTCATGTCAAAAATCATAGTATCCAGAGATAGGGACAGTTTGGTTAACAGATACAAATTATAGCTAAATAGGGGGAATAAGTTCTAGTGTTCTATAGCACTGTAGGGTGATTATAGTTAAAAATAATTCATTATGTATTTTCAAATATCTAGAAGAAAGGATTCTGAACGTTCCCAACACAGAGAAATGATAAATGCTGGTGTGACAGATATGCTAATTACCCTGATTTGACCATTACACATTGTATACATGTACATAATCACTCTACCCCATAAATACGTGTATTTCGGCTGGGCTCAGTGGCTCACACCTGTAATCCCAGCACTTTGTGAGGCCGAGGCAGGTGGATCACCTGAGGTCAGGAGTTTGAAACCAGCCTGGCTAACATGGTGAAACCCCGTCTCTACTAAAAATACAAAAATTAGCCAGGTGTGCTGGTGCACGTCTGTAATCCCAGCGACTCAGGAGGCTGAGGCAAGAGAATCGCTTGAACCCGGGAGGCAAAGGTTACAGTGAGCCGAGAGTGCGCCACTGCACTCCACCTTGGGCGACAGAGCGAGACCCGCTCTCAAAAAAAAAAAAAAAAAAGCATTTCAATTTTTTTAAATAGCATCCAATTATAGTCTAGAGAAAATTTTATAGTTTTTAGTATATATATTATAAAAATAGATTAAATATGAATGAGCTAAGCCTCTAACTTACATTTTTAAATGTCAGAATGAATGCAAATAAAGCAGAAGGAAAATATTAACCACAGGAGTAGAAATAGAAAGGATCAATAAAAATAACTATGTTAAAAAATCCAATAATAAAGGCAGTTACTGGCAATACTGATCAGAAAAAAAGGAACAAACTAACAAAATTAGGTTTTTAAAAGTCATCAGGGAAATCTGTATTTTATAATAATGCATTTGAAATTTAATATTTTTCTAGAAAATTGTTCATTTTGTATAAATGACCAAAAAAACTCAAGAACAGCTAAAACAAGACTTATCATCATGAAAGAAACAATTAACAAATCAGAAACCACAAATTTACACTCAAAAGACACCAAGCACAGATAATCTCACAGATGGGTTCTTACTTTTAAGAAACAGATCGTCTCGCTCGGACACGGTGGCTCATGTCTGTAATCCCAGCACTTTGGGAGGTCAAGGTAGGCCCATCACCTGAGGTCAGGAGTTCGAGACCAGACCTGAGGCCTGGCCAACATGGTGAAACCCATCTCTACTAAAAACTACAAAAATTAGCCAGGCATGGTGGCGGGCACCTGTAATCCAGCTACTCAGGAGGCTGAGGCAGGAGAATCACTTGAACCAGGGAGGCAGAGATTGCAGTGAGCCGAGATCGTGCCACTGCACTCCAGCCTGGGCGACAAGAGAGAGATTCTGTCTCCAAAAAAGAAAAGAAACAGATTGTCTCTATTAAACAGCAACTGTTTAAAAGAAAAAAGAAAAAAATACTCCCCAATTTATCTTATGAGGTTAATACAACTTTGTTATCCAAACAAGATTACATAAAAAAGGAAAAGTACATGGCAATAACAAAGATATGCGAATATCCGGGAATCGAAAAATAGTTTAAAATAGAAAATGTAGGACCCACGCTGTAGCTCACGCCTATAATCCCAGCTCTTTTGGAGGCCCAGGCAGGACAACTGCTTGAGACCAGGAGTTCAAGACTAGCCTGTGCAACAAGGCAAGACCGTCTCTACAAAAAAATTAAAAAATCAGGCCAGCATGGTGGCACATGCCTATGGTCCCAGCTACTTGGGAGGCTGAGGTGGGAGGATGGCTTGAGCCCAGAAGGTCAAGACTGCAGTGAGCCATGCACTCCCACCTGGGCGACAGAGCAAGACCCCATCTCAAAATGAAAAATAAAAAAAACTAAAAATAAAATAGAAGATTAATGGACTTCATCACGCCAATAGATGTAGCAAAAGCATTAGCAAAATTAAACTCCTGCTCACAGTAGAAACTCTAAAATGATAAGTAAAAGAGAACTGCAACTAAAAAATATCATCCAGCCTGGCCAGGATGGTGAAACCCTATCTCTACTAAAAATACAAAAAAAAAAAAAAAAATTAGCCGGGCATGGTGGCACATGCCTGTAGTCCCAGCTACCTGGGAGGCTGAGGCAGGAGAAGGGCTTGAACCCAGGAGGCGGAGGTTGCAGTGAGCCGAGATCGCACCATTGCACTCCAGCCTGGGCGACAGAGCAAGACCCCGGCTCAAAATAAATAAATAAATAAAAATATCATCAGCACCCCCTCTCAAAAAAGCCCACTACAATATCATATTTAATGATAAAACATTAGAAGCACTCCATTAAAGTAACTAGAGAAGGATGCCCATTATCAATGCTTCTACTGAACACTTCAATAGAGGAATTAGTCAATGCAGTAAAACCAGAACAAGAAACAGGAGGCAAGAAGGAATGGAAAAGAAGAAATAAAACTGTATTATTCACAGACATGAAAACTATATACAAAAGAATTATGAACTGTGTTTTTTTGTTTTTGGTTTGTTTTGTTTGTTTGTTTGTTTGAGACAAAGTCCACCCGTCTCGGCCTCCCAAAGTGCTGGGGTTACAGGCGTGAACCACCACACCCGGCATGAACTGTTATTACTACTACATTTCACTGACTCTGAAGATACCAATTGTAAGCTGTACCCTTATTTTACATGACTAAGAAAAAAACATTGCCAATTAAACTGATACAGTATTTTCTTATTATCTAGGATTTTCATTCTAGATTTATCAAGACAATTCAGACTTATTTAGACAGACTTTTATCATATCTTGTGTATACAGAAGCAAAAGAAATTGGCCGGGCACAGTGGCTCATGCCTGTAATCCTAGCACTTTGGGAGGCCGAGGCGGGCAGATTGCCTGGGTTCAGGAGTTCGAGAACAGCCTGGGAAACACAGTGAAAACCTGTCTCGACTAAAATACAAAAAATTAGCTGGGCGTGGCAGCGTGCACCTGTAGTCCCAGCTACTCGGGACGCTGAGGCAGGAGAATTGCTTGAACCCGGGAGGCGGAGGTTGCAGTGAGCTGAGATCGTGCCACTGCACTCCAGCCTGGGCGACAGAAAAAAAAGAAGCAAAATAAATTGGTAAGGTATTCCTACAACTTCACATTCAAGGTCCTACTATGGATTGCTCTTCCACTCAAAACTGTTCAACTGTTGCTAACAATATTGTGCTCTGCCAATAAGAGTGTTGGTGATGCAGCACTTCTTAAAATGATCCATTATTATTTATGGGATTTTCTTTCAAGGCAGACACCCACTTTGCAATTTCTTCCGCCTCCAGTTTTATTGTTTGGCATGAAATAACAATACAGCAATGCACATACTCATTTAAAGTGATGACAAAATGAAGAGCCCTGACCAAGTTTGTGCATGTGCAAGCAATGATAACTACATCATGACTGCTGCCTAGACAACAGTGATTATGGGACACCATCAAAGATCTATTTTGACTTCAGATATGTGAAGATGTAGGGGGGAAAAGTGTACCTCAGAATCTATGAAATATGATGAGAGTTCAGCAAGGTTACGTGATCAATACATATAAGTCAACAGTGATCCTTATACATCAGCAATAATAGCAACTATAACTAAAAGAAAATCCTATTCACAATGACAACAAAAATTACACAGTATCTAACAAAAATATCTAACAAAAGTTGTGCAAGAGCTTTATGAAAAGTAGTAGCACATACCCAGAATTCAAATCCCAGCTCTATTAGCATTTATCTACATGAATCTATGTATTTATTCTATAAATTTGAGGCAAATATAAAAATCCAACAGTTTTCACAGAAAATGACAAACTAACCCCAAAATAAGCAAAGGGAGGAAAACAGCTAAAATAATCCTGAAGGAAAAGAAGATATACTCAGTTTTAATTATAAAGCTATTATTAAGGCCGGGCACAGTGGCTCACGCCTGTAATCCCAGCACTTTGAGAGGCCGAGGTGGGCAGATCATGAGGTCAGGAGATCGAGACCATCCTGGCTAACACGGTGAAACCCCGTCTCTACTAAAAATACAAAAAATTAGCCGGGCGTGGTTGCGGGCGCCTGTAGTCCCAGCTACTCGGGAGGCTGAGGCAGGAGAATGGCGTGAGCCCAGGAGGTGAAGCTTGCAGTGAGCTGAGATCGCACCACTGCACTCCAGCCTGGGCGACAGAGCAAAACTCCGTCTCCAAAAAAAAAAAGGCTATTATTAAATCAGGATAGTATAGATATAGAGATAGGCAAACAGACCAATGAAACCAAAAGAGAGAAACTAAAAACAGATACATATGTGGGAATATGATATATCTCAGGAGTTGCATTATAAATCAGTGGGGAGAAACGCTGAACCATTTGATAAATCCACATGAAAAAGATATTAGATTCCTACGTCACACAATATACAAAAAACTCCGGTGAATTAACGACCTAAATATGAAACAGCACAGTATCATTACAACCTTGGGGTAAGGGAAGAATGTATTGAAGACATAAGAAAACACAAGCCATAAATGAAAAAAACTGAGAACTGGCTACCATCATATTATGAAGTCCTACATAAAAAACTTTCCACAAACAGAGCTAAAAGCCAAGCCACAGACCAGGAAAAGATATTTTCAGTGTATATAATCACAAATTAGTATCCAGAATATAAAACCCATAAACCAGCCAGCCACAGTGGCTCACACCTGTAATCCCAGCACTTTCAGAGGCCAAGGAGGGCCGATCACTTGAGGTCAGGAGTTCGAGACAAGCCTGGCCAACATGGTGAAACCCCGTCTCTACTTAAAGCACAAAAATTAACCGGGCATGGTGGCAGGCGTCTGTTATCCCAGCTACTCAGGAGGCTGAGGCAGGACAATTGCTTGAACCTGGGAGGCAGAGGCTACAGTGAGC
This sequence comes from Homo sapiens, assembly GCF_000001405.40. Lineage (NCBI taxonomy): Eukaryota > Metazoa > Chordata > Mammalia > Primates > Hominidae > Homo > Homo sapiens. The sequence continues at coordinate 24,155,966 of NC_000023.11, read as the reverse complement.
CCAGACCACGTGCCACTGCACTCCAGCCTGGGCAACAGAGCAAGACTCCATCTCAAATAAATAAATAAATAAATAAAACCCATATACCAATAAGGAGGAGGCAACAATCCAACAGAAAAATGAACCAAAGGTATGCACAAGCAATTAATAGAAAACTCTGATGGCCGATAAATACATGGGGAAAAAAGGTCAACCTCACTAGTAATCTTAGAAATGCAAAATGAAAATAGCAAGGAGATGCCATTTATACCCAACAGATTGGGAAAAAATTGCAAAATCTAATCCTTTGGCAGTGATTTGGAGAAACGGGATCAAACACAGCGGGAGTGTCAAATAGAAGACAATTTGCCATTTTGGCAATTCCCAGTAAAGTTGATAATGCACAGACTTCTTAAATGAAGCAATTCTACTTCTACTATATGTATATAATCCCAAGAAAGACAAACCATGTATAAGGATGTTCATAGCAGTAGTGTTTGAAATTCAGAAACTGCAAACAGTTTCTATCGGTCCCTCCAAGAAGAAAAGATAAATAAACCACAGTATATTTATTTATACACTGAAATACAAATAAAATGAATGGAATCAGTAGTTTTCAAACTTCGTGGTCTCAGGACTCCTTTGCACTCTTAAAAATTAAGGATCACAATAAAATTTAAAAAACAAAACAAAAAACAAAAATTAAGAACCACAAAGAGTTTTTACGTGGGTCGTATCTATAGATGTTTATCATACTAGAAATTAAAACTGAGATATTTAAAAGCACTTATTAACCCATAAAAATACTTTTTTTCTTTATTCCTTTTTTCCCTTTTGTTGAGATTTTTTTAAAACTCTTATTTTAGGTTCGGGAGTACATGTGCAGGTTTGTCACATGGGTAAACTTCTGTCACGGGGGTTTATTGTACAGATTATTTCATCACCCAGGTATTTAAGCCCAGTACCCAATAGTTATCTCTTCTGATCCTCTCTCTCCTCCCTCCCTTCACCCTCTAGTAGACCCCCAGTGTCTCGTTTCCTTCTTTGTGTTCATCAGTTAGCTCCCACCTGTATGTGAGAATATTCGGTATTTGGTTTTCTGTTCCTGCGTTAGTTTGCTAAGGATAATAGCCTCCAGCTCCATCCATGTTTCCGCAAAAGACACGACCTCGTTCTTTTTTATGGCTGCATATTTATTTTAAAATAACTATTTTTCTAAACAAAAAAAAATAGTAAAACAAGTGGCACTGTTTTACATTTTTGCAAATCTCTTTCATGTCTGGCTTAATAGAAACCGGCTGGATTCCCGTAAGTGTTTCTGCATTCTATCTATTATGACATCATATGTCATGCAGCCTCTGTACAGTATTCCTATAGTGTACAGGAAAATGTGGGTGAAAAGAGCAAATAAAAAGTATTATGAAAATAGTTTTGACCTCATGGACCCCCTGAAAGAATCTTAGGGATCCCCAGGAATCCCTGCAGCACACTTTGAAAACTGCTGGACTAAACACATTACATGGATAAATCTCAAAAACACACTGTTAAGTAAAAATAATATATAAGGTATGGTTATGATACTGTTTATGTAAAGTTAAACACACAAGCAATACCTGATATTGTTTTGGTACATACATATTGGGACAGGTGGTTACTTCTGGAGAAAAGAAGACAGGAAGGGGATGGGGAGGGACCCTTTGAATCTGTGAGATTTTATTTCTTTAAACAACAAAAAGATATGAATCAAATATGTAGCAAAATATTAAGATCTCTTAAATCTGGGTGATTCTGATTTTCAGTAATTTAAAAATATTCCATAAAACTTTTTAAATATATTTTTTAAATGCCTAATGGCTGTGTACCTCAAGGCCACACAATTTCCTTAGAGTATACTTCCTTTGAGTAAAATACAATTACAAGATACCTGGGTTTTATAAAATGTTGTCTGGAAAAATAACTTGGCAGGAATAAGAATAGGCTGGCCATATTCCAATCAGATAAGGGGTGGTGGGAGGGGTTACTCCTTGACCTGGTGCCCTAATAAGTGTGCCTTAATATGTATGTCCCTGAGTCAAAAAACACACTGACTGGATACCTGATTTTTGAACAGCTGAAAACTATTAACTACGTAGAATTCTCTGTACCCAGTAACCGAAATTATTGCTTTGAGAGATAATGGTCCATATGCCAGGTACTGCTTGGAGACAAAGATAAATCAGAACTTGTCTCTATATTCACAGTGTAGAAGGAAAAAATATAAACACACAGTTCAAATATAATACATTAAATGATAAATTAAGGGGAATCCCACCATAGAAGACAGAGAAGGCACAGAGAGTTTCTGAAACACAGAGCACTTTTATATAACACACCTGTTAACATGCTGTGCAAGTTTCCCAATTTGGGTAATACTGGATTTAAGAATAAGTGGGGTGCAAAGAAAGTGAAGACAGGTGAGGCTTTTGTAAGATGAGCAAACCTAGGAATATTTGTAAAGAGAGGTTAATGATGCAAGAGACGGCATCACGCACAGAGCTTGGTCCCTAAGGAGGCAGCCAGGGTGAAGAGCAGGCTCAGAGCAGCAGTGGGGCTTGTGAGACAGCAATCCCTCCTGCAACCTCCCCTGCGGCAAAAGGAGGAAGGCCTAGGTGAAGACAGGAAAGGCATGAAGGGGAAGGGAGGGGAGACTTGGCTCTTTATCAGATGGCCATCTACCCTTCTCAGTGAAGTGAAAGACTGGGTAATCTTTGCTGAAGATGAGAGATTTCAAGGACCCGTTGAGTAGTTTTAAGAGTGAAAAAAAGTTTGGAATTGCCAGTGTACACAAGAACAAATAATACAAAGAAGATTATCAGTGACAGAATCAGTCTAAATGGGTTAAGTGAGAGTAAGCATTTGCAATGAGAGTAAGCATTTACAAAAAGCAATGTGGAAAAAAAAATTTGTAACACATTCGTGAGCATGTTTTTTTAAAAAAAGAAATCTGCATCTATCTGAAAAATACACAGAAATTAAAAACTAACACCTTATTCATCCAGGGTGGTTGGGTTCGAAGGTGTTCCACCAGTCAGTTTTCCAAAGTTTCAAGGTCTACCCTTTCAGGCAAAAATAATTTTATATTTAACCATTTCTAATTGAAACTAAACTACACACTTACCTGTCTTAATCACACAACTTGACTCTAATCTTAATCTTGAACATCCACTGTTGCTGTACTGCGCAGCAAAACAATTCTATCTTCTTAATAGTTCTTCTATGTCTTTCCCAGCTGTCAAAATATAAAAGCACCTGGTTCTTCTAAGTTTATGTTTACCCTTAACACCTCAACAACCACAGCCCGCCTTCTCAACTTGCTTCTAGTCAGCCTCATGCAATGCACTGTTTCTCGAACTTTTCTAAACCATAGCCCTTTATAATAAACATGAGACTCTCATTCCCTCCAGCCCTTTCATGGAGCACCGCTGCTCACGACCTGTTACAGTCTAGAAAAATGGAAAAACTGAAAATGGGTATCTATGCCACCTAAAGGTTTCCATCATAAAATTCTAGGAAACAGGCAGGGCACGGTGGTTCATGCCTGTAATCCCAGCACTTTGGGAGGTCAAGGCAGGCAGATCACTTGAGGTCAGGAGTTCGAGACCAGCCTGGCCAACATGAAACCCTGTCTCTACTAAAAATACAAAAATTAACCAGGCATGGTGGCAGGGTCCTGTAGTCCCAGCTACTCGGGAGGCTGAGGCAGGAGAATTACTTGAACCCGGGAGGCAGAGGTTGCAATGAGCCAAGATCACACCACTGCACTCCAGCCTGGGCGACAGAGTGAGATTCAGTCTCAAAAAAAAAAAAAAATTACCACGGGAATACTCATTTCTCATTTTCGTCAAATAACCCACAGCACTAGTCCTGTACTTTTCAACCATGGTAAATGAAATGTTAGAAACCCCTCCCTATTTGTGTACCATAGAAATTCTGACAACTCTGAGCAAAAGATTATTTCGGATGAGAAATCAGGATAGAAAAAAGGAGCAGCTGTCTTAATAGAGACGCATCGTTCCAAAAGTAGCAAAATTTGCTTAACTTCTGAACATTCTTGTAATCGTTCTGATAATGAAAACACTGATCAACTTACTACTCTCATTATTTTTCAACTTTGAAACTTTTCCTAGTCCAATGGAACTACTAAGTACCGTAAAGCACAGCTCAGGGAACAGACGGCAGTGACAGGCGGGCAGTGGGAGGCGGGAGAACGGCTTGAGCCCAGGAGTTCGAGACCAGCCTGGGGCAATATAGCAAGAACCTGTCTCAAAATAAAAAATAAGTAAATAACAAGGTGCAGCTCAGGTGTGCCATCACTCTTCTAGTTGAGGGCACCCCCGCTGCCTACCCCATTGAGTATAAGCCCCTCCACCTGGCAAGCAAGCCCTTCTGCAATCTAACTTTTCTAGCCTGAATTCCCACCACTCCCCTACCTATACCATCCACTTTTGCCAAACTGTAAATACTTACTGTTTACTGAAGAAGCTTCACCCTTGAAACGTCCTTTCTCCACCTCCACCTCTACCTAACAAAGTCCTACCCATCCCTCGGTAACCTTCTCAAAATGCCACCTATTAATACTTCAGGAACCCGTCCCTCCCTGATCCTCCAATGGCAACCTTGCTTCCCTCGGAAATCCCAGTAATTAGTTGTACCTCTCACTTTACTGCATTTCACCTTGCCCCACCTACCTCTAAACATGAGACTTCTTGCAGCCACCGTCTGCATTACAAGAACCTTTTTAATGTTTCTTAGCATCTAGCACGGTGCATCGCTAACAGTAGGCTCCGAGTTTATCAAGAAAGTTGCACAGTGTGCAATCAAAAAAGTACGTTAGGGGATGAAACTCCGCCTTAAAACTTCACAAATGAAAAATCGAAATACCATGACAGGCAAATGCACAATAAATATGCACCACACTAAGTTGTCCTCCAATAAGAAAATAAAAAAGTCTGCCCTTATTCCTCGATTTAAAAAAATACCACCAACAGATCACTACTTAAATCGTTTTTCAAGAAAGTTGTTTCCACATAAATGAGTACGAATGATTCAAAATTTTATTCCTCCGCTCTCGTGTTGTGCAATTTTTTTCCCTATAGGACAAAAGAATGGCAAAAACTTTCCCATCAATCTTTATTTTTCTTCCTTTATTCAGATACTCGGGGCGGCAAAGATTGTTGGAAAAACAACTGCATCGAAAGCACCTTAGCAGCCACATATGATTTGACTTAAGCAAAAATAACATTTCCTGGGGTCCCGTATGCCCTGGTAAGCCCAGGTGTCCGGAATGCCACCTGCCCCGACTGCCCTCGGGTGGCTACAGGCGCGGGGGAAGGCGCAGGGCCAGGGGCGCTGAGGGTGAAACGGTCCCGGCGTCCGGGCGGCGGCGGTGGCCGCCTGCGGCAGCTCAGCTGAAACGCAGCGGAAACTGCAGCCAGTCACGGGGCTGCGGGAGGCAAGGCAGGAAGGTGGCGCTGCCGCCGAGCGCCTGGAGCCCGAGCGCTCATCATGGCGGCAAGGGCAATGGCCGCCACGGGGAGCGAGCACGCCCCTCCGCGCGCACACGCCGCCGCGCCGGGCCTCCGGGGCCCGTCACCGGCGCCGCTGCCGCCGCCGCCCGCTCTCCCACCCCCCCTCACGGGCTGTAGCGGAATTTTCTCTCCAGACACCGCCTCCAAGATGGCGGCTCCCCCTCCCGGCAACCCCCTCTATCGTCCCCTGCAGCAGGCGCCGAGCCGCCGCCATCTTGTCCCCCGTCCCTCCCCCCCCCTCACCGATATTTACATAGCGAAAATCGGCCCGGCCGGCCTGCGGCCTTCACCTCACGCCTGCAGCCTTCGCCTCCTCGCCAGGCCTCACCCCGGCGCGGTGCCCCAGGTCGGCCGCGGAGCCGACCCGGGGCCCCTCGACCGCCTCCGGCACAACCGGGCGACCCTCCCCCAACCCCCGCCCGCTTACGGAGCGCGCCTCCGCCGCCGCTCGGGGCAGCCGGGCTCCTCCCCGGGCCTAACTGCGGCCTCCTCGGGGCCTGCTCGGCGCCGCGCGCCACGCCGCCCGGCCTAGCGCGGGAGGGCGCCTTGCGGGCCGCCGACCAGGCCGAGACCAGGCCGCTGTGCGCGCACTAGGCCCCGCGGCCGCGGCGGCACCCGGGACTCACCGGACGGACGTGCGGGCGGCCGGCGACGGTGGCGGGTGCTGCAGGCCGGCCTTTCTCTGGAGCACTGGGCCGGGCTCCGGCTGGTGGGGCGGGCGGAGGGAGGGAGGAGGGGCCGAGCTCGGAGCTGACAAAAAGCGGCCCAGCTCCCCGGCACGGGCCCGCCGTCAGCACGTCACGTCACCGCCCGGGAGAGAGACCCAGGAAAATGCGGAAGGGTAGACAGGCCCCCTCCTCCGCCCGGTGGGTCCTCCTGGCACCCCGTGTCGGCGCCGCTCCCGCCCCGCGACCGGGGAGCCCAGTGGCCTCGCTGCGGCGGGGTCTCCGGCGGCCGGAGTCTCCGTGACAGCGCCCCCCTTCTTTCCACCTCCTCCGCGCTCCCGCCCGCCGCCGCCACACACGCGCCGCTGCCGCCGCCGCCTCGGCCGTAAAGCCCGCGCGGGGCCGCGGTCGGCCGACCCCGCGGAGAGGCAGGCGGCCCGGCCGCCCCCCACCATGTCCCGTGGGCCGCGGCCGCCCCCCGGGGGCCTCCCTGGAGACCTACCGCCTCTCGCGCCGGTCCTGGCCGAGGCTCCAGCTCGAGTTGTTTGCAGGCCCTCAGACCCCCGCCCGCAGTAAATGTGTTTTCTTCATCCCCGTGGCTGGGGAGGAAGATAAATTTAGCAACCCCCGCCGTCCCCTGCCTTCGCTTAAAAAAAAAAAATCTTTGAAATAAAATGAAAACGGGCTTGCCAGTCTAAATGGGTGTGCGGGAAGGGGGGTGGAGTGGGGGGAGAAGGGTTATCCCTAGAGCACCTACCAGGCCGTCTACTTTTTAAAAATAAGCAGTCAGAGCCAAACTGATTTTATTAGTTTGTACGGGGGAGGGAGATGAGCAAAGTTGCATTTTGAAACGTTTCGCACGTTGCAAAGAACAGGAATTTTCTGTGTATTTTCCTATGTACCCGTGTTTCAGAGCTTGGGAGCCTGTGAAATGTAAGACTGGTGTCATCGTTTCATAAATCATGAATTTTCCACATTCCTTAATAGAGAGGAGCCCAATTGGGTATGGATTTTTTTTTTTTTAAACACACTGCTTAAACAAGCCTTTTGAAGTTTCAAAAGACTTGGGAGAGAAGGGGAAAATGATTAAACAGCACTTACCAACTTCAAAAATGTGTATTTCGCACTTTACTTAGTTTAAATGTTTATGCTATCTTTCCATGCTGAACTTGGAACCCAAACTCTGTTTTAAAGTTACTAGGGAAAAGTTAAATAGTGGAGTCTTTACATTAATCTGGAATCTGGCATGCTATCCTTTAACACAGCACTAAATGTTAAAGGCATTTTTAAACAATAAGAAACACAAAAATTATAAAGCAAATAGTATACTGGTGTGAAATCTCTTTAAATACAGAGGCCACGTATTTTAGTTGCCTGACATAACTCTTTAAAACTCCCAGAATGCAATTTGTCCCTTCCCTCAGACATCTCTCAATCACAAATGCTTTCAAAAAGGAAAAACAAAAGTAGAGTAAGAAGAAATCTCTGAGCATGCACTGGATGATAATTTTCCTCTCGGGGCTTTAGTCTGAATTTTTCCAAGCGATTAAATTTCCTTTCAAAAATAGTAACAGCATGTATTCATTGTTTATAAAAATTACATCAGGCTGTGATAGACTTTCACAGAAAGACATTTCACAGAAAGGTAAATGAAACTAAGCAATGTTGTTTCAATAAAAAAAAATGAGAAATAGCTTGTGTGCCCACATTAATATTTCTTGCACTCCCAGACTGGAGTGCAATGGCGTGATCTTGGCTCACTGAACCTCTGCCTTCGGGGTTCAAGCGATTCTCCTGCCTCAGCCTCCCGAGTAGCTGGGATTACAGGCACTTGCCACCACGCCTGGCTAATTTTTCTATTTTTTTAGTAGAGATGGGGTTTCACCATGTTGGCCAGGCTGGTCTCCAACTCCTGACCTCAGGTAATCCACCCGCCTCGGCCTCCCAAAGTGCTGGGATTACAGGCGTGAGCCACCGTGCCCGGCCGCCCACATTAATATTTCAAAACATTGATAATCAGCGTTTAAGTACTTTCCAAGGGCCTCAGTGTGATGCTACGGTATGGCAAGAATGGAGGCCAGGTTCCCTGGTTCAGTCCTGTAATCACAGCACTTTGGGAGGCCGAGGCGAGAGGATCACTTGAGCCCAGGAGTTCAAGACTAGCCTGGGTAACATGGTGAGACCTCGTCTCTATTAAAAAAAAAAAAAAAGAAGAAGAATAGAGCCTCACTTCATCCATGCAACTGTAAGCAGCATGTTCAAGACAGAAAAACCTAATGTCACCATTCTTGTTAGTTTTTCCATAATTACCATCAAAAATACTTATACATCCACCAGTGTAAAGCACTTAAGAAAACAGTGTCCAAGGAGCATGAAAGAAAAAGAAGTTTTCTCAGTTTAAAAGATCACAAGTAGTTTAGGGATTGATACTTTCAAAGAGCCCTTTGTCATTACTTTTCATACAGGAAGAGACTGTTAACTTTGGTGGGAAACAAAGAAAGGATGGCCTAGTTCTATTAGATTAGATAAACCTTTATTAAAGTCCAGCAAACTTTATAAAGTCCAGTTATTTTATAGATGACTATACAGATAAGGTCAACTATATTTTTTTTAGTTAAAAAAAGGTAAAGTTGTACTTTAAGCCCATTTATGGAAGTCTGTAAAGAACATTGTTTAACTGGTAAAAGAACAATGGTAAAAATCATTTCACTAGAAGTACACTTAGTATTATACTCATGATAAAGTGAAGATGAAAAGGAAGTGTAAACAGCAGAGATCAGAAATTGTTTGATGTGACAAAATACAAAATGCATTTTATGAAAGTACTCACAATAGGACCTTGAGGACACCTAAGATCCTTGAAAGCATTTGGTAATTAAGCACCAGACATCTTGCACTTAAAGGACCTACTGCAGCCTATCTTGCCTTGATAATTGTTTTCGTATTAGGGACCTTTAGAATTCTGGGCACAGGAAGTAACAAAGATGTGCTTGCCCTTGGGGAACTCGAATAAGGAGGCTGTGTAAGGCAAAATAAAAACATTCCTAAGTACTTTCATTTTCTCACTTAAGTAAACATAATAAAAGGAAATTTTATCTAGGGAGGTCGAGAGCAGAACATTTCAAAAGAGAATGCTATGAATACAAAATAGCTGGTTTCAAAGCAGTAAAAGGAATTTTGATTACGTGCTAAAATGTATTTGTTCCTTCAGAGCTGTTAATGTACATCAGATAGTTAAAAGCATTTACTCAAGGTTTTGACAGTGTTTTAATAAATTAACTAAAAATCTCTGACATGTTTATAGGTCCTTGAGCCAGAAACGATAGAAGGCCTTTCAATCATTTTTCCAGAGAAAGATTAGTCAGAAAAGAAGCTGTTGATTTTCACTCCACATCGGAGACTGATGGGAATTCAAATAAGAAGCAATAAATTATTGGCTTATGAGAAAATGTAGACCTTCTTGAATAAAGTTGTGGTAATTCTTTTTTTTTTTTTGTATCCCAAACATTAAAAAATATTTATCTTCCCCTAGAAAGGCCCTAGTTTTATTGAACTAAGCATGCCCTACAAAAATTAACCATTTATCTGACACCTGATACTTAGGTTATACTTAGCGTGAGCAAGTTGCATCTTCTGTTGGAATTCAGTTGGCCATAATTAATGCCAAGTAAGAATTTTTCATCTGAGCCCTTAAGCCACACACTCTCCCCAAGGAGAATAATTTTAAAATAAACAATGACTGGCAAATAGGTGATTTTCAAGCAGTGCTTTTTACATGAGTCATTAGTCGAACAAGACATTGTTTAATTCCTGAAAATAATAGCCAAATTCTTCATGGATTATAAATCACAGGGCACAGCAAACAAACTAGCTCCACTAAAGAGATAAAAAAATCAATATAGAGGCCTAGAAACAATGAGCAGTAGCAGTGAGCACCCCTGGTGTCCAAGTTGGGGCCTCTACAGTTTCCCACCAAAGGAAAGGGAGAAGTGATTGATTCCAGGGCTGGAGCAGGAAAGTATAAGATAAGCCAGGAACATCTCCTTATAGCAGAAAGCAAAAGAAGAAAGTGTCCAAGCTTACTAGGTTGTCTAACATTAAGAAAATTTGGATGTCAAAAAAAATTGCTATGGAGTGAAACATAGTGGATATGTTAATGAATTTATGAGACTTTAAAAATGATCAACTAGTGGTGATGGTTGCACAACTTTGTAAATGTACTAGAAATTAGTGACGTATGTATGCTTTAAAAGGGTGAATTTGATAGTATAAGAGTCATATTTCAATTTTTTAAGTGATCACTTTTGGAGAATGCTAGGGAACCAACTCAATATTTTGAAAACTAGTGAAGGAAAAGAGATGAAGCCTGTAAGATCTACTCCTCAGAGTAACCAAATAGTTGACGAAGGGACCTTCCTTTTAATAGAAGTATTCCAACTAATACATGAAGAAGTCCTGATGAAATTAGAATATCACCATTTTGGATTTTGTCGACTGCAAAATATCACCATTTTGCAACATCTAATGAATTAATGGACCTTGGCAATGATCATCAGTGGCTGCTAAGCAGAGAGAAAACCAGAAACATGCCTCAAGATGGAAGGACAAAATGCTACTAGACAAAAAAAAAAAAAAAAAAAAATCGAACCTGAGTTTGATCAACCTTCTAGCTCTAACTACCAGTTTACAGGAAATACAGGAAACAGAGAAACATATCAATGAAACCACAGGGATGCGGTCGACAAAATCCAGTTGATGAGAAACTCTAAAGGACAAATGAAAGATAAGAATAAACAAATAAATTATAAGAAAACAAATTATAAGAAAAATTCAACATTTAACAAATACATTTCTTCAACAAACAACTTATTAGAAAAAAATAGGAGGGGAATCAATAGATTAGAAAAGACTTAAAAGACATGTTCATCAATGGCAGTGTATGAACTTCATTTCATTTTTTTTTCTTGTGGCAGGGTCTCTCTCTGTTGCCCAGGCTGGAGTGTAGTAGTGCAATCACGGCACACTGCAGCCTCGACCTCCCAGGCTCAAGTGATCCTTCCACCTCAGCCTCTTGAGTAGCTGGGACTGCAGGTGCACACCAGCACACCCAGGTAATTTTCGTATTTTTCGTAGAGACAGGGTTTTGCCATGTTGCCCAGGCTGGTCTTGAACTGGACTCAAGTGATCCACCTGCGTCGGCCTCCCAAAGTGGGGGGATTACAGGCACAAGCCACGGCACCTGGCTCATTTCAATCTTGATTCAAACAAACTGTAGGTAAGGTGCGGTGGCGCATGCTGTAATCCTAGCACTTTGGGAGGCCAGTGAGCTCAGGAGTTCAAGACTAGCCTGGACAACATGATGGAACCCCACCTCTACAAGTACAAAAAAATTAGCCAGGCACGGTGGGGCTCCTGTAGTCCCAGCTACTCAAGAAGCAGAGGTTGGGAGGATCGCTTGAGCCCGGGAGGTTGAGGCTGCAGTGAGCTGAGATCATGCCGCTGCACTCCAGCCTGGGAGACAGAATGAGACCCTGTCTCAAAAAATAAATAAATAAATAAATAAATAAATAAATAAATAAATAAAAACAAAAAACTAAAAATATGAGACAATTGGAGAAATATGAACACTGGATTTTGTCAATACTGACTGGATACATGCTCATATAAACAAATTATTGTAATGTTAATTCATTTAGATATAATGATGGTGTGATTATGTCTAAAAACTAGTCCTTATCGGCCAGGCACAGCGGCTCACACCTGTTATCCTAGCACTTTGGGAGGCCGAGGTGGGGCGGATCACGAGGTCAGGAGTTTGAGACCAGCCTGGCCAACATGGTGAAACCCCATCTCTACTAAAAATACAAAAAATTAGCCAGGCGTGGTGGTGAGTGCCTGTAACCCCAGCTACTCAGGAGGCTGAGGCAGGAGGGTCACTTGAGCCCAGGAGGCAGAGGTTGCAGTGAACTGAGATTGTACCACTGTACTCCAGCCTGGGTGACAGAGTGAGACTCCATCTCAAAAAAAAAAGATCTGCCGTTACCAACGCGGGTGAACATCGTCCAATCCATTGAGGGCCTAAATAGAACAAAAATTCAGAGGAAAGGTGAATTCTCTTCTTGAGCTGCCCTGGGACATTGGAGCTCCTGGTTTTCAGGCCTTTGGACTCAGATCAAATTACACCACCAGTTTGCCTTGTTCTCCAGCTTGCATAAGGCAGACTGTAAGACTGCTTGGCCTCCATAATCACATAAGACAATTCTCATAATAAATCTCCTCTTATATATCTATGTATATATCTTATTGACTCTGTTTCTCTCTGGAGAACCCTGACTGATACAGTAGGTATGGGATAGGGCCAGTTTAACCAGGAGTCTTGGTGATACACAGACAAGTCATCCACACACCAATAACACTTTAAGAAATATTAGTACATCCTTGTAAATGCCTCTTGCCCACATGTATAAGAGTTTTTCTTGGAGTATAAACAAGTAAAATTTCAGAATATGGCACATTTTCAATATTACTCTCCAAAATGACTATCCTAATAAACATTCCCTCCAGCAGAATATGAGAATTCCCAATTCCCTACTCCTTCGTAACTCTTGATGTGCTCATACTTTTTCACAATCTAATAAGTGAGAAATGGTAAAATTGTTTTAATTGACATTTCCTTGATAACAAGTAAGTTCAAGGTATCTTTCACTCTTTATTAGCTATAGTTTTCCTCATCTGAAAATTGCCTTGGAATAACCTTTGTCTGTTTTTCTATTGTTCTTATTCATTTGTAGAAATACTTTCTACATTCTGAATATACTTCTTTGCTAATTATGTATGTTACAAATATCATTTCCTTGTCTGCTGCTTGTCTTTTAACTAATTTTGTCTAAGGTAGTTTTTCTAGTTGCACATCTTAAAGTCAATTAAAATCCTGGGGAACTTTTTTTTTAAATGAGATAGGGTCTCACTATGTTGCCCAGGCTGGTCTCGAACTCCTGGCCTCAAAAGAGACCCCCCCCCCCCTCCCCCGCCGCCTTGGCCTCCCAAAGTGCTGGGATTACAGGCATGAGCCACAACACCCAGCCAAAGTAATGTCTTTTTATTTATTTAGTTAGTTAGTTAGTTAGAGACAGGAGTTTCGCCCTTTCGCCCAGGCTGGAGTGAAGTGGCAGGATCACACCTCACTGCAACCTCTGGTTGCCAGGTTCAAGTGATTCTCATGCCTCAGCCTCCCAAGTAGCTGGGATTACAGGTGCACACCACCACACCTAGCTAATTTTTGTATTTTTAGTAAAGACAGAGTTTCTCCATATTGGCCAGGCTGGTCTCGAACTCCTGACCTCAGGTGATCCTCAGCCTCCCAAAGTGCTAGGATTACAGGCATGAGCCACTGTACCCGGCCCCAAATTAATATATTTAAATCTACCAATACCACTATACATTTTGTGGAATTAAGAAATTTGCTGTAGGCACATGACCAGTAAGTACTTTAGTGCTGGTACATGCTTGGACTTTCTGGGTTTTTTGTTGTGGTTGTTGTTGTTTGTTTTGTTTTGTTTTGTTTTTGAGACGAGTCTTGCTCTGTTGCCCAGGCTGGAGTGCAGTGGCACGATCTCAGCTCACTGCAATTTCCGCCTCCCGGGTTCACACCATTCTCCTGCCTCAGCCTCCCAAATAGCTGGGACTACAGGCGCCCGCCACCACACCCAGCTAATTTTTTGTATTTTTAGTAGAGACGGGGTTTCACCGTGTTAGCCAGGATGGTCTTGATCTCCTGACCTCATGATCCACCCACCTTGGCCTCCCAAAGTGCTGGGATTACAGGCGTGAGCCACTGCGCCCGACCGACTTTCTGTTTTTGTCCTAAATTTTCTTTTCTTTAAAACCTTCCTTACCAAAAATACATCTTCATATCTATAACTTTCTTCACATCTCTCCTCTACTTCCTGGTTCCTTTCTACCTTGTTTCCTGAATAACATTTTGAAGTCTGTAATTTGAATTAATCTTCAGATAACTTCTGAATTAGATAAAATTATTCTTTCTCTCAATAAAACCACATCTTCTTGGGCACATATTATATACAGAATTATATCTTAACTAGAATTCTTTTCCTTAGTAACTTTAAATTTAGTGAAAACCTGGGAAGCAAGAAATCCTGAGCTGCCTATCACATATTAGCATTTTATAGATGAGAACCATTCCACGATTTTTAGAAACATGTTTCCCCATATCATAATCTTTTCTTAATGGGAAATGACCCAGACATCCAATGAAGCAGCAAAAATAACTTTAAGATTTTAAGTTAGACAAGAAGTTCACCTATAGCACTTACTCATTGATATTTTGTTTTTAGCAGTTTAGGTTATTTATAAATCATTTCCTTGTTATCTATTTTACAAACTGTGAATATCAGGTGTTCACCTTTTAAGAACCTTAAAGGTAACTACATGGGCATTTTCACCACTAACTCAGAATATTCTGCTGTTTTTTTTTTCATTAAACCAATAATATTAAATTAGTCTTACTTACTTAAAAATGTGCATAAAGGTCATTTTGTTTTGGCTGGGTTTATAGTTTTATAACCTTCTGTGCCAAACCCTGATATCTCAAGATATCTAGCAGAGACAAATATAAAACCCAAACAAAAATGTATGCTGACAACTCTGAAGACATTTCTATTTTTATTTTACCAATAATTTTATTTATTTATATTTATTTGTTTGTTTGTTTTTTGAGACAGAGTCTCCATCTGTTACCCAGGCTGGATTGCAGTGGCGCCATCTCGGCTCACTGCAACCTCCACCTCCTGGGTTCAAGCGATTCTCCTTAATCAGCCTCCCAAGTAACTGGGACTACAGGCACCCACCGCCATGCCTGGCTAATTTTTGTGTTTTTAGTAGAGACGGGGTTTCACCATGTTGGCCAGGCTGGTCTCGAACTCCTGACCTCCAGTGATCTGACCGCCTCGGCCTCCCAAAGTGCTAGGATTACAGATGTGAGCCACCGGGCCCAGCCTCAGTTGGGCTTGTTCAACCTGCAAATGGGAATTCCTTTACAAATTTCCCAAACTGAAAGGAGCAGATCCTGCTGTCTGGGCCCAAAAAGTGCACTCATCCTATCTGGATGCAGTTGTCAAATTTCAAAGACTGTTCTTCCGAGGCAATCAGGAACCCTGTTGGGGCTGGCTGCAGAGGGGCCAGAGAAAAGGAAACTCACCTCCAGCCTAAATTGGGTGGGCAGCTGCTTAGGAGGGCTTCTGAGACTCCCAGCAGCCCACTGCAGCCAAGCCACAAGCAAAGCATACTGGGTCAGGGAACCAAAATCTGTTACTAAAACACCAGGGGCTCCATCTAGGTTCTGCTGCTCGTGCACAGAAAGACAAATCACTGAGACAACAATGATTGCCAAGGAAGAAGGTTTTAATCAGGTGCTGCAGCCAAGGAGATGGAAGATCAGTCTCAAGTCCATCTCCCTGACCAACTAAAATTAGGGGTTTATATAGCAGGAAAGAAATGTTAACTATGTATGGGAAAACAGAGGAAGCAATCATGATGAATGAGGGTGTCTTAACATCTGGATGCAATGATCTGGTGGGTTTCAGTTATTTGATACCTTTTGAGAGGCTTGGTATCCCATTGCCTAGATCTGGTAAGTTTCAAGTTTTAAGACCAGAAAGGTCAATTTCTATGTTTATCAAAAAAAAAAAAAAAAAAAAAAAAAAACCTGTCTTGGCCAGGTGCAGTGGCTCATGCCTGTAATCCCAGCACTTTGGGAGGCCGAGGCAGGCGGATCACCTCGGATCACCTGAGGTCAGGAGTTCCAGACCAGCCTGGCCAACATGGTGAAACCTGGTCTCTACCAAAAATACAAAAATTAGCTGGGCGGGGTGGCAGGCACCTGTAATCCCAGCTATGTGGGAGGCTGAGGCAGGAGAATTGCTTGAAGCTGGGAGGCTGAGGTTGCAGTGAGCCAAGATGGCGCCACTGCACTCCAGGCTGAGTGACAGAGGGAGACACCGTCTCAAAAAAACAAACAACCGAAAAAACTGTCTATGGGACTGTTAGGTTGGTTTCAATATTAGCTTATCATTTTCTTTCCATGTGAGATCTTTTTCCAGTTTTTTTGTTTTTGGGTTTTGTTGTTGTTGTTGTTGTTGTTTTGTTGTTGTTTGAGACAGAGTCTTGCTCTGTAGCCCAGGCTGGAGTGTAGTGGCACAATCTCAGCTCACTGCAGCCCTGAGCCTCCAGGCTCAAGCAATCCTCCCACCTCAGCCTCCAGAGTAGCTGGGACTATAGGAGTGCACCACCACACCGGCAAATTTTTGTGTTTTTTGTAGAGATGTGTTTCGCCATGTTGCCCAGGCTGGTCTTGAACCACTGGACTCAAACGATCCACCCACCTCGGCCTCCCAAAGTGCTGGGATTACAGGCATGAGCCTCTGGATCTGGCCTTTTTCCAGTTTTCATATTAAGGTTAATGTAGCCTCTTAAATGAGTTGGATAGCATTCTCTTTTATTATTGTTATTATTGTTATTTAAATAATTAAGATAAGGGTTTTCTGTTTTCTTGTGGGTTGAGCAACACTCTCCTATAAAACCCTCTGGGCCTGGTTGTATTTTGTTTATGTGTGTGACTATTTTAGGTGATTAAGTATTTTCACTATTATATCAGTTCATTAATAGTCTGTGTCTGAATTCTATTACCTCTTGAATTCATTTCGAAAATTTATATTTTTCTAGAAAAGTGTCTGTTTCATTGTGAGTTTTCTAATGCATTTCTATAGAGGAGATCATAATAATCTCCTATGAGTTTTGGCAACTTTACTGTTTCTATCATAGTGTGCCCTTTTTCCTTCGTACTATTGTCTATTATGCCTCTTATTTTTCTCAGTTAGTTTTCTAAGTGATTAGCCTATTTTTAATTCTCTTAAATTAATTGACTTTCAGTTTTGATCACCTATTGTTCCTTGTTATCCTTGTTTATAGCATTCTGCTTTTATACCTATTGTTTTCTTCCTTCAATTGTCTTTGAGTTTACTAATATGGTTGCTTATGGCAGTTTGGTAATCGTCCCCCAATATCTTTTTCCCTTTCCTTCAGAGATATGGAATTGTAATTGGACTCAGGACTTCTTATCTAAACTCCATAGTTCTTAATAATCCCCTTTGCCGCTACCTGTCATCATATGACCAAGTTCTAACCAATGGAATGGAGGACCACTTCAGGGTCTTTTTTTTTTTTTTCTTTGAGACAGTGTCTCCCTCTTGTCATCCAGGCTGGAGTGCATTGGCACCATGAATCGTGACTCATTGCAGCCTGTACCTCCTGGGCTCAAGCGATCCTCCCACCTCAGCCTCCCAAGTAGCTGGAACCACAGGTGTTTGCTGCCATACCCAGCTAATTTTTTTACTTTTTGTAAAGACGGGGTCTCACTATGTTGCCTAGGCTGCTCTTGAACTCCTGGGCCTCTTGAACTCCACATCGGCCTCCCAAAGTGCTGAGTTTATAGGCAGGAGACATCTCACCCAGCCCAGGTCTTACATTTTTTAAAAATTGTGTGTGCACTCTCTTGAGCTCATTTCCACTGTCTGATACTGAAAGGTGATGACAACCAGATAGTGCTACTTTTGACATGCAAATGAAAGGCTTATGTTGAGTTTGACATAAATGCCTGCCAACCCTGGACCTACCACCTACCACAAGACTATCTTATGAGAAGAAAACAGTGGTCTATCTTATTTAAATTTCTATATTTTGGGGACTCATTGATAAAAGTACTGAGCCTGGCCGGGCGCGGTGGCTCACGCCTGTAATCCCAGCACTTTGGGAGGCCGAGGTGGGTGGATCACCTGAGGTCAGGAGTTCGAGACCAGCCTAGCCAACACGGTGAAATCCCGTCTCTACTAAAAATACAAAAATTAGCCAGGTGTGATGGTGCGCCCCTGTAATTCCAGCTACTCAGGAGGCTGAGGTGGGAGAATTGCTTGAACCGGGAGGCAGAGGCTGCAGTGAGCTGAGATTCTGCCACTGCACTGCAGCCTGGGCGACAGAGCGATACCCTGTCTCAAAAAACAACAAAAAAGTACTGAGTACTGATTCTCTACCTTTTCTGAACATTCTGATCATTAAGTGTAAATTTTTTTGTCTAATATATGCATTTAAAACTTTAATTTCTATCTAAATACCACCTTTTATCACACAAGCTTTTTTTTTTTTTTTTTTTTTTTTTTTTAAGACAGAGTCTCACTCTGATGTCCAGGCTGCAGTGCAGTGGCACAGTCATGGCTCACTGCAGTCTCAACCTCCTTGGCTCAAGTCATCCTCTCACCTCTGCCTCCTAAACTGCTAGGATTACAGGCAGAGCTCCCACACCCAGCCCACACAACCTTTCATGGATTCTGTTCTGTTGCTGTTCAGCTCTAAGTATTTTGTAATTTTCTTTTCAGTTTCTTTTTTTAACCCAGTCATTATTTAGAAATGTTTTTAAATGTCCCTACTAGGGGCAGAGGAAGGTTATACTTTCATTCTATTATTTATACCAAATTTGATTTCTTGAAGCCAGATAATATGCTCTATATCAGTGCTGTTCAAACCATCTGCAGTGAAAAACCAATTTTAAAAAATTTTCCCATCTATTGCACACTGATATTTCTGTAAGATATAATAAAAATAAATCACTAGAAAAATAAAATTTTAAAATGATGTATAAAATACAAAGCCAAAGTTTTACTGTTAAAGGCAGCAGACATAAAAATATGTTATAAAAGTTTCTAAACACTCTCAATTTCTGTATTTATCTCATCACAGATGGGTAACAAAGAGTTCACTGACTGACACCGCTCTACAAACTATATTTGTAATGGCACTGGGGTTTCTACAATATATATAACATATAATACACAACTACCTTACATAATGACCCTTCAGTTAACATTTGCCAAAGCAGCTCTCGAAACTTATATCACCTTTTGAACAAAGACTCCTTTTTTTAATGACATAGTGACTTTTCACCCCCAACATATATTTAAATAAATATGCTAAAAGAAGTGATAATTCAACATTACAGCTTAATGCAAAAATATACTCACCAATTATAGGACATAAGAATTCCTAGTCAGAGACTATCATATGGAACGAATTTGGATCGTGCCCTGTGCTTCAATGAGCCGCAATGTGTTCTGCTTATTTATTTCTTTTAGCATACAGACATCAAGCAAAAGAAATAAACATCCCAAATTGAGAACAAAACAGGAAGAAGCAGCTGGCAGAACTGTGGAAAGTTTTGTAATTCTCGAAAAGGTAAGGCAAGCCAAGGACACAGTAAAATTAAAGTTTCAATGAAGTCTGAATTGTGCATACAAAACTTCAAAGTGCCCTGGCAACAGAGCTCCCACTTTATGGCAATAACATTACATTGTTCTTAAGAATTTCTGAGTTTGAAAAAATAAAAAATAATAAAATAAAATCATTATATTGAGGGAAAATATCACACAAAAACGAAGTAGGTATTAATAGTAAAGAGAGTCAGTATTATATGATCTCATCTGGTGAGGAGTTGGGGGTTTTCACCGTAAAGAATGACTTTGTGGGTAGACAAAAAATGGATTATGAAAAAAGGGTTAAACTGAGCCTGCACCCTGGAGCTGAGCTTCGCAAACTTTAATGTGCACACGAATCACCCACGGATGTTGTGGAAATACTCGTTCTGATTCAGGGGTCCAGGATAAGGCACGAGAGTCTGCGTTTCCAACAGGCTCTCAGTGCGGCCTTTGGAGCTGCTGGGCTACACAGCAGGGGTCTCTGGGATCCTGCAGAGCTGTTGCATTTCCCACTGGCTTTGCAGAAAGTCTGTGTCACCAAGTCCTATATCACCCACACCTGCCAGCACCACTGCTAGAAAGACAATGGGGGACCCAGACGAGGCAGAAACTCATTTCCCCTGGTGGCCTGTGGGAAGGAGCTGGGCTCGAGGCAGGAGGTGGCTTAAGATTCCTCCTCTGTCCCTTGGACGGCCCTTGGATGGAAGGTTGGGGTGGAACAAGGAGTCAACTGCTCTCATAATTAATACTTTCACCAAGGCCAAGCCCTGAGGAATTCCCACATTCGGAGGTGGAGGAGAGAGAAAATTATGAGAGAGATGACAGATACGGAGAACAGAGAATGCGGCACCAACACACAGATAGTTACCGTTCCTGGCCAAGAGATGCAATCATGAAAGAGCTTTGGAAACAATTTTCCTAAGCTTAAGAAAGATCAGTATCTGCAGACTGAAGGAATTTACCACATTTCAGGAGAATCAGCTACCTACACGTACACACATTTGGCAACAATTTTATTTTTTCTTTTTTTATTTTTGAGCAGAGTCTTGCTCTGTGGCCCAGGCTGCAGTGCATTGGCGCCACCTCGGCTCCCTGCAACCTCCGCCTCCCGGGTTCAAGCAATTCTCCTGCCTCAGCCTCCCAAGTAGCTGGGACTACAGGCACGTGCCACCACGGCTGGCTAATTTTTATACTTTTAGTAAGAGACGGGGTTTCACCATATTGGCCAGTCTGGGTTCGTACTCCTGGCCTCAAGTGATCCTCCCACCTTGGCCTCCCAAAGTGCTGGGATTACAGGCATGAGCCACTGCTCCAGGCCCAACAATTTTTAACTACAAGGAAAAAAACTCCTACACTCATTATGACAGGAGGAGACAGATCATCTTTTCTTGAGGACTTGCCTTGTGTCTGACACATACTTGGCGCTTTACACGAATTCTCTTATTTAAACCACACAGCATCCCAATAAAGTGGCGGCGCCAGCCTGGACGTTGGCTGGATGCAGGAACTCAACCCATGTTGTCGGGGTGCCTCTGCTCTCCAGCTGCTCAGCTCCGGTTGGTTCTTGTGGTAGCCTGAGCCTCTCCTACTGCAGACAGGCTTCCAGGTGAGGCCCAGGCAGCTCCAGGTTCACGTAATCCTAGCTCAGGAACCCCAGAAGGAAGAAAGAGTCTCCCTCCTGGTTTGCCCATAGAAGGACTCCTGTTGTCTTCAGGGTACATGCTCAACACTTAGATCCAGCACAGTGGCCAACAGAATTCAGTGAGATATTGGCAAGGGGGTGAAGCTGCTATGAATGCAAGTCCCACCTGAATCAAAAGGTTGGAGTGAAAAAAACCCAAACAACTAAAAGGGAGGAAGGATGGTTTGGCCAACAAATGCAAAGGGTCCACGAAAGGGAGGGTCTATGAGTTGCCCCACATTACAGGAGAGATCAACTTGTCCAAGGTCACACATCCAGTAAATGGGAGAGCCAGGACTCATACCAAGGCAGTCCAACCCCAGACTCTTAACCACCCTGCTCTAAGGAAACAAAGCCTCTTTGGTTTCAGAATTCTCTGCAACATTAGCTTTCAGAAGAAAATGGAGCAACAGCTGGACTTTCTGGAGAAAAAGATTGTAACTGAAGATTCATACACTCTGCCAAATTGTCTTTCACAATTTCAGGATAGCTAAAAAGCATTTAAACACACACCATGTGACAGGCACTGTTCTAAGTGCTTTATATGTATATTGAGCCATTCACTCCATGAACAACTCTATAATATAGGACTTCTTATCCTCATTTCACAAATGAGAAAACCAAAGCCCAAAGAAGTTAGGTAACTTACCTAAGAGTCAGGATTGAGCCTAGGCAGTCTGATCTTCTGAGCTCATGCTGTAAACTTCTCTGATCTCAGAATATGGGATGTCTCCTTTTATTTAAGCCTTCTTTAATTTATTTCAGCAATGTTTTGTGGTTTTCAGTCATTCTTTCTTCAAATATTTTCTCTTCTCCTTTCTCCTTTTCTTTTTCTAGTATTCCCATTACATGTATATTGGTGTGTGGTTAATGGTGTCCCAGATTTCTGTGAAGCTTCTAATTTTTCTTCATTCTTTTTCTCACTCTGTTCTTAAGATTGCATAATCTCTATTGATCTTCAAATTTACTGATTGTTTCTTTCTTTCTTTCTTTCTGTCTCTCTCTTCCTTCCTTCCTTTCTTTTTTTCTTTCTTGGCGTACCCGAGTTTATATGGGGCACACTGGGGTGAGAGGCCCCTGCAACTAGCAGAAGGTGTTGGTCCTCTTGGTAGTGAAGCATGGCTTGTGCTGATGGTGCAGGACGCGGTGGAGCAGCAGGAACTTGATGGATTTGTGGAACTGCACTTGCTGGCTGTAATCTCCTCCAGTGGGCCAGGGTGTGGTGCTGGGCACCCATGTCTAGGTCTCTAAAAAGGGGGAGGGAGCAGGGTAACCGCATTTCCTGGACTCTAGGCATTTGGCAAACCTCCTATCGAGTGCCTGTCCAGTGACCTGGTACATTCTGTCAGGCACAGCCATTGCCTGGGGGCGATGACTTGGGGCTGACTGGGGGGCCAGATGGCCACAGCCTCTGGTCCCAGCAGGCACTGGCCACCAGGGATGTAGAGCCTCTAAGTTCACTTTAAGGAGCATGGCCACAGCCACCAAAAGTAATGAGATTCGCTTGCTGTTTGCACCTTGTTTAAACCACCACTTCAAGAAACAGTGATTCTTTGGGTTTAGGTGCAAGTGATTCTTTTTTTTTTTTTAAGGGACAGCTGTCCCAGAGGGTAACACCAATTAATTTTGACACTTTTTTCTTTAGTGCATTATTATTATTTATTTATGACAGGGTGCCACTCTGTCACCCAGGCCAGAGTGCAGTGGCACACAATCTCGGTTCACTGCAACGTCTGCCTCCCAGGCTTAAGTGATCCTCCCACCTCAGCCTCCCGAGTAGCTGGGACTACAGGTCCACACCACCAAACCCAGCTAATTTTTCTATTTTTAGTAGAGACGGGTTTTCACCATGTTGGCCAGGCTGGTCTTGAACTCCTGACCTCAGGTGATCTGCTCACCTGGGCCTCCCAAAGTGCTGGGATTACAGACATGAGCCACTTTGCCCGGCCTCCTTCAACCCTTTAAACATGGTTTCGCCTGGTTTTTTGAATATATTTGTAATAGCTGCTTTGAAGTTTTGCTAAGTTCAACCCATTGACCCCTCAAAAGCAATTTCTATTGTGTGCTTTTTCCTTATGTATTGGTCACACTTTCCTTTTTCTTGCATGTCTTGTAATTTTTTTGTTGTTGAAAATGACATTTTAGAGACTATGGTAGCAACTCTGGATACTGATTCCCCCTTACCTACCTCCAGGACCTGTTGTATTTGCTTGTTATTTGTTTAGTGACTTGATTGGACTAGTTCGGTGAAGTCCAGGTACCCATGCAATGTGGAGCCGCTGGTGTCTTCCTCAGAGGCCACAGCCTTGGGCACACACAGTCTCCATGACCACCAGGGATGACTGACTCTAGGCTCTCTATCTATTTCCCTGATGAACTGTTAAGCTTTTGGCTGGTCTACTTCACACCCACTTAGCCTCTTCTAATTTCTAGGTGATTGTTCTATGGTTTTGTTTTGTTTTGTTTTGTTTTTTTCAGAATCTCGTTCTGTTGCCCAGGCTGGAGTATAGTGGCGTGATCTTGGCTCACTGCAACCTCCACCTTCCCAGTTCAAGTGATTCTCCTGCCTCAGCTTCCTGACTAGCTGGGATTACAGGTGCCCACCAACACGCTCGGCTAATTTTTGTATTTTTAGTAGAGACAAGGTTTCCCCATGTTGGCCAGGCTGGTCTCAAACTCCTGACCTCAAATGATCCGCCCGCCTTGGCCTCCCAAAGTGCTGGAATTACAGGCGTGAGCCACCACACCCAGCCAGCAATCTGTTCTTTTGGTTTGCCTCTCCTGTTGGACAGAACCTCTGTACCACTACTCCTGAGCTGGCCGGGGGAGGAAGATGGTGGCCTGCTTTTCCCAGAATGACACACTTGCTCTTCAAGAGGGGCACTGGGCAAAGATAGTATCCCCTGGTCTTCTCATCTCCCTCCTCCTGGTGTGGAAACTCTACCCTGTGAATAAGCAAGGCAAAGTACTGCAGCCTGCCTCCATGTAGTAGAACTTCTGCTCTAAGGTGGAGGCTGGAAGGAGGAGGGAGCTCCAATCCTCTGCCCTGCAGTTGCCTGGAATACAACTTCTGTAAGACAGAACTGGTGGTGATGCGATGCTGATGGCATGCCCTTCCTAGAGTAAAACCATAGCCCTACTCTGGGATCTGGGAAGAAAGGGTGCCCCATCTTCTTGGCTGTGTCTTCCCAGAGTAGAGCTTCTAACACACTGAGCTTGAGGTGAGAGGACAGGAAGCATTTTGGGGTTCAAAAGCCACAGACTCCCATTGTTCTTCCCAAGGTTTAGTAGGTAGATTTTCTTGAATAAGTTTCTCCACTTGAGGAGTTCAAGACCAGCCTGCGAGGTTGAGGCTGCAGTGAACCATGATCATGCCACTGCACTCTGCCCTGGGTGACAGAGCAAGATCCTGTTCCCCCCCAAAAAAATGAAGACAAAAAGAAAAAAACAATAATAATTTTCACCAGTTAAAGTTTGTTCCATTTGGGAGTATATCTACTGATCTCCTCATCCCACTATTTTGGAAGTCCTCTACCTCAATCAGGTTTTTTTAAAGGTAAAAATAAGTTTGTTTAGTAATATTATATATTAATGGGCTCAAACTTATTTGATGTGTTTCAATCAACTGCAATTATTTCTGTTGATACTCAAATTATTTTAATTTTGGCTAGTAGGAACTTCTTTAAGTTGGCTCCTTAGTCCTTTAGACGGGAACCTAGCAATTGTTGATAACTTTCTTGCTATTAAAATGCCTTATATAGGCCGGCCACGGTGGCTCACGCCTGTAATCCCAGCACTTTGGGAGGCTGAGGCAGGAGGATCACCTGAGATCGGGAGCTCAAGACCAGCCTGACCAACATGGAGAAACCCCATCTCAACTAAAAATACAAAAACTAGCCGAGCATGCTGGCACATGCCTGTAGTCCCAGCTACTTGGGATGCTGAGGCAGGAGAATCGCTTGAATCCGGGAGGCGGAGGCTGCAGTGAGCTGAGATTGCGCCACTGCACTCCAGCCTGGGCGACAGAGCGAGACTCTGTCTCAAAACAAAACAAAACAAAACAAAACAAGATCTACATCATCAGACTAAAACTGAGTTGTTAGCTGGCCTTCTGAGAAATCAGGAGACAGACAAAGCCCAATATCCCAAGCAGGCCAGTTTCCATCAGCATGATAATGAAGTTCCCTTTGCCTTTAGTCCTTACAACAAAAAGTAATCTGAAGTAACCTCATGTTAACCAATCAATTATTTGTCTATTGTTCTGTTTCCCTGTTCCCACTTTACAAGGAAAGTAACTTCGAAATGACCAGTCCACTTTTTGTTCTTTGTTTCTGCTTTCTTCAGCCCTTTCTGTCTATAAAATCAACCTCCTCTGCTCAGTCCGTTGGAACATTTACTCTATTTTACAGAATAAAGTGTTGCCCAATTCTAGAATCACACACAAAAAAGCAAACTAAGATCTTAAAACTACATATTTGTGATATTGTTCTTTGATGCTCCCAACTAAAGTACTGTGTTTATGTACAGTTTTTTGTTGTTGTTTTTTTGTTTTTTGACACAGTTTCACTCTGTCATCCAGGCTAGAGTACAGTGGCGGGGTCTCAGCTCACCGCAACCTCCATCTCCCAGGTTCAAGCGATTCTCCTGCCTCAGCCTCCCTAGTAGCTGGGATTGCAGGCGCCCGCCACCACACCCGGCTAATTTTTATATTTTTAGTAGAGATGGGGTTTCACCATATTGGCCAGGCTGGTCTTGAACTCCTGACCTCAGGTGATCTGCCCACCTCAGCCTCCCAAAGTGCTGGGATTACAGGCGTGAGCCACCTCGCCTGGCCTATGTACGGTCCTTTTTGTCTTTAGCCTTACACTATCAAAACACTTTTTAGCAAACGTTGCTTAATCAGCAACTTCTTCTCCACCATCTTCAGTAATGTCATATATTTTTCATAAAATTAAATTATTTTATTATTTTTAATTGACAAATAAAAATTGTCTGTTAACCTTGTACAACATGTTGTTTTGAAATATGTATACATTGTGTGAAATGGCTAAATCAAGCTAATTAACATATGCATTACTTCTCACACTTATCATGTTTCGTGGTATACCTAAAATATACTCTCTTAGCAATTTTCAAGTATGCAATATATTGTTATTAACTACAAGCACCATGATGTACAATAGCTCTCTTGAACTTATTCCTCCTGTCAAACTGAAATTTTGTATCCTTTGACCAATATCTCCCCAACACCAGCACCCCTCCCCTTCCTCAGCCCCTGGTAACCACCTTTCTACTCTCTGCTTCTTTATTTCTTATTTTTTCAACTTTTTTTTTTTTTTTCTTGAGATGGAGTTTCGCTCTTGTTGCCCAGGCTGGAGTGCAATGGCGCGATCTCAGCTCACGGCAACCTCCGCATCCTGGATTCAAGCAATTCTCCTGCCTCAGCCTCCCGAGTAGCTGGGATTATAGGCATGTGCCACCACGCCCGCTAATTTTCTATTTTTAGTAGAGACGGGGTTTCTCCAAGTTGGTCAGGATGGTCTTGAACTCCCAATCTCAGGTGGTCCACCCGCCTCGGCCTCCCAAAGTGCTGGGATTACAGGCGTAAGCCACCACGCCCGGCCAATTTTTTCCTTTTTTAGATTCCACATATAAGTGAGATCGTGCAGTATTTGTCTTTCTGTGCCTGGTTTATTTCACTTAACGATTTCCTCCAGGTACAATTAATTTATTTTGTCATCCTCTGCATTTCATCCTGGAATCACTGAAAACCAGGTTGATTCTTTTTTTCAATTTGCACACAGTAATGTTCACTCTTGGGGTTGTACCATTCCACAGGTTTTGACAATTGTAGAGTCGTATATCCACCACCAACCTCATGTACTCAACCCTTCCTTCTCCCCTACCCCTGACAACCACTGATCTATTTTCAGTCTTGTTCTAGACTGAATAATGACCCCGGAAAGATATCCTGTCCTAATCCACAAAACCTGTGAATGTTACCTTACTATGACAAAGGGACTAGGCAAATGTAATTATATTAAGGATCTCAAGACGAGATTATCCTAGATTATCCAGGTGGGCCCTAAATGTATTAATAATAACAAGGGTCCTTAAAAGAGGATGGCAAGAAGGTCAAAGGACGTCATATGAGAGGTGAGGATAGCAGCAAGAGGTTGAAGTGATGTGAGGAAGGGGTCATCAACTAATGTATGCAGATGGCCTCCAGAAGCTAGAAAAGGCAAGGAAATGAATTTCCCCCCAGAGCCTTGTATTAGTCTGTTCTCACGCTGCTGATAAAGACTTATCAGAGACTGGGTAATTTTTTTTTTTCTAGACGGAGTCTCACTCTGTCGCCCAGGCTGGAGTACAGTGATGCGATCTCGACTCACTGCAACCTCTGCCTCCCGGGTTCAAGCAATTCTCCTGCCTCAGCCTCCCAAGTAGCTGGGAATACAGGCGCGTGCCACCACACCCGGCTAATTTTTGTATTTTTAGTAGAGACCGGGTTTCACCATATTGGCTAGGCTGGTCTCAAACTCCTGACCTCGTGATCCATGCCCCTCAGCCTCCTGAAGTGCTGGGATTACAGGCATAAGCCACCCCGCCCGGCGAGACTCTGTTTCAAAAAAAAAAAAAAAAAAGATTCATCTATGTTTGTTATATATATTTTGCCACTAAAAGAAAACAAGATTTGGCTGGGCGAGGTGGCTCACACCTGTAATCCCAGCACTTTGGGAGGCCGAGGCGGGCAGATCACGAGGTCAGGAGATCGAGACCATCCTGGCTAACACGGTGAGACCCCCGTCTCCACTAAAAATACAAAAAAATTAGCCAAGTGTGGTGGCGGACACCTGTAGTGCCAGCTACTAGGGAGGCTGAGGCAGGAGAATGGCGTGAACCCGAGAGGCGGAGCTTGCAGTGAGCTGAGATCGTGCCACTGCACTCCAGCCTGGGTGACAGAGCAAGACTCCATCCCAAAAAAACAAAAAACAAAAAAACAAGATTCACCTGTATTGTTGAGTGAGTCGATAGATCTTTCCTTTTTTTCATTGACGAGTATTCTACTGTACACATATACCACAGTTTGTTTATCCATTCACTTGCTGAAGGAGATCTTGGTTGTTCCCAGTTATTGATTAATAAAACTGCTATAAGGCCAGGCACGGTGGCTCACACCTATAATCCCAGCACTTTGGGAGGCTGAGGTGGGTGGATCACTTGAGGTTAGGAGTTTGAGAACAGACAGCAAACATGGTGAAATCCCATCTCTACTAAAAATACAAAAATTAGCCAGGTGTGGTAGCACGCACCTGTAGTCTCAGCTACTCGAGAGGCCGAGGCAGGAGAATTGCTTGAACCTGGGAGGCAGAGATTGCAGTGAGCCGAGATCACACCATTGCACTCCAGCCTGGGTGACAGAGAGAGATTCTGTCTCAAAAATAAATAAATAAATAAAACTGCTATAGGCCAGGCACAGTGGCTCATGCCTGTAATCCTAGCACTTTGGGAGGCTGCGGCGGGTGGATCACCTGAGGTCAGGAGTTCAAGACCAGCCTGGGCAACATGGTGAAACCCCTTCTCTACTAAAATTAGCTGGACGTGGCAGTGTGCGCCTGTAATCCCAGTTACTTGGGAGGCTGAGGCAGGAGAATTGCTTGAACCTGGCAGGCGGAGGTTGCAGTGAGCCAAGATAACGCCATTGCACTCCAGCCTGGGTGACAGAGCAAAACTGAAAATAAATAAATAAATAAATGTATTTATCTCAAAAATAAATAAATAAAATAAATAAAACTGCTATAAACATTTACATACAGGGTTTTGTCTGCACAAAAATTTTCAATTCACTTAGCTATTAAAGAAAACTTGGCCGGGGGAGGTGGCTCACCCCTGTAATCCCAGTAGTTTGGGAGGCCGAGGCGGGTGGATTGCCTGAGGTCAGGAGTTCGAGACCAGTCTGGCCAACATGGTGAAACCCTGCCTCTACTAAAACTACAAAAAAATCAGCCGGGTGTGGTGGCGTGCGCCTGTAGTCCAGCTACTCGGGAGGCTGAGGCAGGGGAATTGCTTGAACCAGGGAGGTGGAGGTTGCAGTGACCTGAGATCGCGCCACTGCACTCCAGCCTGGGCGACAGAGAGAGACTCCGTCTCAAAAAAGAAAAGAAAAGAAAAGAAAACTCATAGGTATTCACAGCTTTTAGGACATGGAGAGGTCAATTTAAATATTATCACTAGGGGAACAGATTATTAATTGATACAAACCAAAAGAATTACAGACTTTTCTTCTTTTCTTTTCTTTTCGGAGACAGAGTCTCACTCTGTTGCCCAGGCTGGAGTGGAGTGGCATGATCTTGGCTCACTGCAACCTCTGCCTCCCGGGTTCAAGCAATTCTCCTGCCTCAGTCTCCAGAGTAGCTGGGATTACACGGGTGTGCCACGACGCTTGGCTAATTTTTGTATTATTAGTAGAGACGAGGTTTCACTATGTTGGCCAGGCTGGTCTCAAACTCCTGACCTCAGGTGATCTGCCCACCTCAGCCTCCCAAAGTGCTGAGATTACAGGCGTGAGCCACCGCGCCTGGCCAAGAATTTCAGGTTTTTTAAGGCCAAGGTTACATTCATAGATCAAGTCACAAGCTCAGAGTTCTAGATGTCTTACAAGAGCCCTTTGTTAGAAATAACATTTTCAAGGGTATTTTAAGAGACCAGAAAAATAACTTTTTCCTTATTCCGTTGCTAGGATTTCTTATACCAGCAGTCAGGAGGGCCTGTGGTGTTGCAGATGAAATGCTGGAATTCCATTATTTAGAACTGAAAAAAGTAAAGACAGATCTGAGAAGCTTAAAAGCTACTATGGAAAAGAAAGGGGCAAAATAATATTATAAACAATTGGAATTTGAGGCATGTGATGTTATCCATCTATAGGATGAATAGAAAAAAATGACAATATTTAAATTTCTGGTTTATTATATCGGCAATCCAGTTGCCCTTAGTCCTTAGTACTGTTTGCTATGAAACTCTGTCAAACACGTTCATGAAGTTATTAAAAGTGACCTGTTTTTTCCAACAGATGTGCAGTGATACCTTTGCCAGTGGAGTTTTGCCTGAATAACAACAACAAAAAAAAATCATTCAAACACAAAAGTGACAAAGTTTTTCCCTTAGGGACCAAAACTACAGAGAAATAATTGAGTTGTACCCTCCAATGCGAAATCACATACAAGTCACATGATGTCCAAAAGCTTGTAAAACCAACTGCAATGTTTCTAACGAATATTTGCCAGGGTCTGGGATTTCCCCCTATTTACACGTTAGCCTTTTGTGGATCCACATATCCATTTCACGGATGTCAGCAACACGAGCTAGCAGCATGAGCATCAGCATATTTGTGTCAGTTCTCTAAGTCTCACATGGGATCATGCAGTTCCCTAAGTCTCCAAGTCCCACAGGACCTTGCGAAGGGGCCCAGGTGGATACACTGTGTACACAGTGCAGGTTTGCCTCACAGCCAAGGAATACCAGCCTTGGGGAAAGCAAGCCTGCTCTTTGTCCCAGAAGGAGATATCACCTCATCCCCCAAGGCAGCTCCTGGCAATAGAGCCCTGATAAACGGCCCAGCTAAAGAGCAGTCAGGACCTTGCATTTTTGGCATGCCCAGCAAGAACAAGCAGGAACTCTCTGGGCCATGGGGGATCACCTCTCCCAACAATATGCCCGTAGAGAAAATAGGCCATCTCTCCTTCCACATGAAAGGGACAACAAGAAGTACTGCCCAAAGTGTTGCCCCTTCACCACTGTCTTTCAGGGGCTAGAATGCAGCTACCACCCACTTTTAGGTTGTGCTGGGAAACTGTGCATCATAAACCTTGCTCTTTCTCTGTTATCCAGTCATAGGGAACTCTCCAGGAAGTCGCAGATCTGGGTTAAAGGAGAAGTAAACCAGTAGCAGCAAGCATCGTGAGGGTCTGAACCACCTCTTCATGCAGTTTACTTGTGCCTTCCAACCAGCTTGGACCCAAACTTATATATTACGTTTTCATTTTCTAATGGAATATGGCTTTGCACATTCAACCTAGCCTTGATGGTCATTTCAAATGGCACACCTCACTCTCCTCCCACCTTCCAGATCTCCTGCCAATGCTTCCCACTGAGTGAACCCACCCAGAAGCTGGAAGGCAAGGAAACCTGTTGCTACAGCCCCTTTGCTGGGCACAGAGTAGGTAAAGAAGGGTGGAGTGAATCTGGAAAGGCAAATGGAAGATATCCAGCACAGCCCATAAATGACATTTATGTCATTGGTGTGATTTTCTAAAACATTAAGCTATTCTTGGAAAAGTTCCAAACAAAACAACACACACTCCTTTCAATTTACATAGTAGTTCCGTTCCTGGAAAATTCCACATATATTAAAACCGTGCAGAAAATCCTTTGAGTTATTGCTTGCTTTAGCAGCAATATACTAACATTGGAATTATATTGATACTAAGAAAATAAGTATGGCCCCTGTGCTAGATGACATCCTGCTAGATGACATGCACATTTGTGAAAGCATTTCATATTTTAAAAAAAATAAATTTCATAAAAAAGTAGTACTTTGAGTTTACAGGTAAAACAAGGTTAAGTTTAGGCTCAGATAATCACAAATAGGTTTTCATATACACAAATGTCTAGGGAGACATTTGAAAATTATGTTAGACGTAGGAAAATTCTTCCTTGCAGGAATGTCACATGCATTGAAGGACATATGACATTCTTGGCTCCTGCCCACTAAATGGAAGAAATGACTTCTCAATTTGTGGGTCCCTGTTCCATCCAACACACAGAAGTTTCTGACCTAGCTACCAAACTCTTGCTGCCATTTCTGACAACGTAAAATTATGAATTGGAATTTTCTGATTTAGCATGAAGTAATAACTGGCTACATATGAAACTGAAGCTTCAGGACAGGCGAGGTGCCTCATGCCTATAATCCCAGCACTTTGGGAGGCCGAGGTGGGCAGATCACTTGAGGTCAGGAGTTTGAGACCAGCCTGGCCAACATGGCGAAACCCTGTCTCTACTAAAAATATAAAAATTAGCCAGGCGTGGTGGTGCACACCTGTAGTCCCAGCTACTCGGGAGCCTGAGGCAGGAAAATGGCGTGAACCCAGGAGGCGGAGCTTGCAGTGAGCCGAGATCGCACCACTGCACTCCAGCCTGGGCGACAGAGTGAGACTCCATCTCAAAAAAAAAAAAAAAAAAGTTAATAGTTAATAAAAGATAAATAACCACATTTCATGTCACTTGAAAATAAACTATAACATTGTTCTATTTTTAACATATGCACTTTAAGTAATTCATGCACATTACATAAAATTAGAAAATGCAAACACAAAACTAAAAACTAAAACCCACATTCTGTAGTAGACAGAATAATGGCCCCTTAAAGATATCCATAATCTAGTTTCTGGAATCTTTTACATGGCAAAAGGGACTATGCAGATGTCACTAAATTAAGGATCTTGGGATGGGGAGATTATCCAAGATTATCCAAGCAGGGCCAACGTAATCTCAAAGATCCTTATAAAAGGGAAGTGGACCCGGTGCAGTGGCTCATGCCTGTAATCCTAGTGCTTTGGGAGGCCGAGGCGAGAGGATCACTTGAGGCCAGGATTTTGAAACCAGCTTGGGCAACATAGTGAGACCTCATCTCTACAAAAAAAGAAAAAAGAAAAATTAGCCAGGAGCCTGTTGTTCCAGCTACCCGGGAGGCTGAGGTGGGAGGACTGTTTGAACCCAGGAGGTCATGGCTGCAGTGAGCTGGGATCACACCACCGCACTCCAGCCTGGGCAACAGAGCAAGACCTTGTCTCAAAAAAGAAAAAAAATCATGGACTTTTTCATAGATTCCATCTGTTTCCACCATTAGCCTTTATAATGTTCTAAATGTCATGACTGTGACCAATGGTATATGACCCAAATGATACTTGAGAATTTGACTGATTTCTAGCACAATCAAATAGACTTGGCTTTCCTTATACTTTCCCTGCCCCAGACCTGGAATAAGACATTGCTTCAAAGAGCCCAGCTTCCCTTTAATGGGGGGGATGGTTTGGTTTGTTGTAGTTGTTGTCGTTGTTGTTGTTGTTTTGCTCTTGTTGCCCAGGCTGGAGTGCAATGGTGCGATCTCGGCTCACCGCAACCTCCGCCTCCCAGGTTCAAGCGATTCTCCTGCCTCAGCCTCTCAAGTAGCTGGGATTACAGCTGCCCACCCCCATGTCCAGCTAATTTTGTATTTTTAGTAGAGACGGGGTTTCTCCATGTTGGTCAGGCTGGTCTCAAACTCCCGACCGCAGGTGATCCGCCCCCCTCGGCCTCCAAAAGTGCTAGGATTACAGGTGTGAGTCACTGCGCCAGGCCGGGGGAATGGTTTTTAAGGACCACAACCTGAGCACTAGAGATGTTCATTATTACAGAGTGAAGTTGCTTTTAGGCTACTTCAATGGACACAGCTAGAAAAAAAATGTATACATATTTATGACACACAGACTCTAGAGTGGCACTCATGATCCCTGCCTCCTGCTGTTCATGCTCCCGTGTGATCCCCTCCTCTTGAAAGTGGGAGGAACCATGACTTGCTTCTGATCAGTAATATATGTCTAAGGTGACAGGATGTACATGGTTACATATACATGAGTACATTACGTTCAGAATGATTACATGATGATTGTAATGCCCCTCTTGCAAAGACACTCTCTCCTTGTTGGCATAAAAGAAGCAAGCTGTGTATGGAGAGGGCCATATGGCAAGGAGCTGAGGGCAGCCTCTGGCTAACAGCCAGCGAGAAACTGAGGACATCAGTGCAGCAGCCTGCTAGAAACTAAAGGTTGCCAACAACCACGTGAGCTTGCAAGCAGATGAAACTGCAGTCCCTCCAACACCTTGATTGAAGCTCTGTGAGCCATAAGCAGAACATCTAGCTAAACCATGCTCAATCTCCTGACTCACTGACAGTGTGAGATAATAAAAGTGTCTTGTGTTTTTTGTTGCTGTTGTTTTTTTGTTTTTGTTTTTGTTTGAGAAGGAATTTTGCTCTGTCACACAGGCTGGAGTGTGCGTTCTCGGTTCACTGCAACCTCTACCTCCAAGGTTCAAGCGATTCTCCTGCCTCAGCCTCCCAAGTAGCTGGGATTAGAGGCACCCCGCACCACACCCAGCTAATTTTTGTATTTTTAGTAGAGACAGGGTTTCACCATGTTGGCCAGGCTGGTCTCGAACTCCTGACCTCAAGTGATCTGCTCACCTTTGCCCCACAAAGTGCTGGGATTAAGGCGTGAGCCACTGAGCCTGGCCTGATTTTTTGTAGAGACGGGGTTTCACCATATTCCCCAGGCTGGTTTCTAACTGCTGGACTCAAATGATCCTCCCGGCTCGGCCTCCCAAAGTGTTAGAATTACAGGTATGAGCTCCGTGCCTGGCCAATAGATTAACTTAAATCAAAGACTTTTCTAGCACAACTTCACAAGTTCTTTACAGTTCTGCTCTATGTCATGAAATTGTTTTCTCTGGATTAACAATGCTTTATTTATTTATTACTTTTTTAATTTTTATTTTTTTGAGATGCAGTCTCGATCTGTTGCCCAGGCTGGAGTGCAGGCTGGAGTGCTGGAGGCATGAGCCACTGCACCGGGTCCACTTCCCTTTTATAAGGATCTTTGAGATTACGTTGGCCCTGCTTGGATAATCTTGGATAATCTCCCCATCCCAAGATCTTTAATTTAGTGACATCTGCATCTGGCGCGATCTCAGCTCACTGCAGCCTCTGCCTCCTGGGTTCAAGCAATCCTCCTACCTCAGCCTCCTGAGTAGCTGCGATTACAGGCGTGTGCCAACATGCCTGGGTAATTTTTGTATTTTTAGTAGAGATGGGGTTTTACCATGTTGGCCAAGCTGGTCTCGAACTCCTGACTTCAAGAGATCCACCTGCCATGGCCTCCCAAAGTCCTGGGATTACAGGCGTGAGCCACCAAGCCCAGCCTGGATTAATGCATTGAAGAGGCTGAGGAATCCTGAGGAAAGGGTCTGAGTTTTATTTCTCTCTCTAACCCTGGACCTAGTATAGAACCTGGCATATTAATTCAATTAATGTTAAGTAAATGACTGGATAATTAGAGGGACAGAGGGGAGAAGGAAGAAAGGAAAAAAAGAAGGAAGGAGGGAAGAAGGAAGAAAGGAAGAAAAGAAGGAAGGAGGGAAGGAAGGAAAGAAGGAAGGAAGGAGGAAAGGAAGAAGGAAGGAAGGAAGGAAGGAGACAAAAGATCCATGAGATGGCTTTAAGTGGCTTTAAAGTTACCCTGAAATATATTTAAGGCCGGGTGCAGTGGCTCATGCCTGTAATCCCAGCACTTTGGGAGGCCGAGGCAGGTGGATCACCTGAGGTCAGGAGTTTGAGACCAGCCTGGCCAACATGGTGAAACCCCGTCTCTACTAAAAACACAAAAATTAGCCGGGCATGGTGGCGCATGTCTGTAATCCCAGCTATTTGGGAGGCTGAGGCAGGAGAATTGCTTGAACCCAGGAGGCAGAGGTTGCAGTGAGACAAAATCGCACCACTGCACTCCAGCCTGGGCGACAGAGTAGGACTCCATCTCAAAAACAAAAACAAAACAAAACAAACAAAAAACAAAAAAATATATATTTAAATATCTTAAAAGGAATAAAGAAATGCAAAGCAATGAAGTAGTGAAGGAAGTTAGCTAGTGAAGGAAGTTGTCTTCATGAAAGCTGCAGATTTCCATGAACCAGTGAAAGAAATAGGTACTGGTAGGATATAAGCCCAGAAATGAGAACTATGTGGACTGTGGGAACAACCCCTATCTAAAAATTTTGGAATCCATGTCATTTTGTCTATAAAAAGGGGATTAGTCTAGCCTTTGAACTCATGAGAAACTGGAGATCTACAGCCCACATCTTCTTACAACCCAGCCAGTTTCTGGACAAAAAAGCAACCTCAGTCAAAAGAGAGAGTAGGCTGGGCGAGGTGGCTTACGCTTGTAATCCCAGCACTTTGGGAGGCCGAGGCAGGAGGACTGCTTGAGCCCAGGAGTTTGAGACCAGCCTAGGCAACATGGCAAAAACCCGTCCCTACAAAAAAATACAAAAAAAAATTAGCCAGGCATGGTGACGTACATTGTAGTCTCAGCTATTCAAGAGGCTGAGGTGGAAGGATGGCTTGAGCCCAGGAGTTCCAGGCTGCAATGAGCCACAATCGTGCCACTGCACTCCAGCCT
This sequence comes from Homo sapiens, assembly GCF_000001405.40. Taxonomy (NCBI): domain Eukaryota; kingdom Metazoa; phylum Chordata; class Mammalia; order Primates; family Hominidae; genus Homo; species Homo sapiens. Next base: position 24,119,486 of record NC_000023.11, on the reverse strand, counting down.
GGGTGACAGAGTGAGACCCTGTTTCAAAAAAGAAACAAAAAACAAAAAAAAACTGCAAAAGAGGCCAGCTGTGTCTCACACCTGTAATCCTAGCATTTTGGGAGTCTGAGGCAGGAGGAGAGCTTGAGCTCAGGAGTTCTAGACCAGCTGGAGCAACATGGGGAGAACCCTATCTCTACCAAAAAAAAAAAGTTTTTTTTTTTAATTAGCCAGGCATGGTGGCACATGCCTGTGGTCCAAGCTACTCAAAAGGCTAAGGCAGAGGATTGCTGAAGCCCAGGAGGAGGAGGCTGCAGTGAGCCATGATGAGACCACTGCACTCCAGCCTGGGTGTCAGAGTGAACAAAAAATGTGTCTAGGCTGGGCACGGTGGCTCACGCCTGTAATCCCAGCACTTTGGGAGGCCGAGGCAGGCAGATCACAAGGTCAGGAGATCGAGACCATCCTGCCTAACACGGTGAAACCCCGTCTCTACTAAAAATACACAAAAAATTAGCCGGGCGTGGCTGTGGGCGCCTGTGATCCCAGCTACTTGGGAGGCTGAGGCAGGAGAATGGTGTGAACCCGGGAGGCGGAGCTTGCAGTGAGCCAAGATCGCGCCACTGCACTCCAGCCTGGGTGACAGAGCGAGACTCTGTCTCAAAAAAAAAAAACAAAAAAACCTGTCTAGACCAAAAAACGAAAGAGGGAAAAAAAAGGCATTAGCACTAAGAAATGAAAATTAAATCATTAGCCAACTTTGCATCTGCCAACAACTGATACCAGAAGACAGCAGAATGATATTTTCGAAGTGAAAAAGGAAATAATTAGCCACCTAGGATTTTATACCTAGATAAATGATTTTTCTAGAGTAAAGGCAAAATAGAGACATTTATAGACATATAAAAAAGTATTGTTTACCACTCACAAACTCACTAAAAGAAATATTATGGGCCGGGTGTGGTGGCTCACGCCCGTAATCCCAGCACTTTGGGAGGCCGAGGCGGGTGGATCACTTGAGGTCAGCCTGGCCAACATGGTGAAACCCCGTCTCTACTAAAAATACAAAAAAAAGGCTGGGCGCGGTGGCTCACGCCTGTAATCCCAGCACTTTGGGAGGCTGAGGTGGGCGGATCACAAGGTCAGGAGTTTGAGACCAGCCTGGCCAACATGGTGAAACCTTGTCTCTAATAAAAATACAAAAATTAGCTGGGCGTGGCGGCACATGCCTGTAACCCCAGCTACTTGGAAGGCTGAGGCAGGAGAATCGCTTGAACTAGGGAGTCAGAGATTGCAGTGAGCCAAGATCGCGCCACTGCACTCCAGCTTGGTGACAGAGCGAGACTCCATCCCCCCAAAAAAAAATAAAATAAAAATAATAAAAATACAAAAAAAGAATTAGCCAGGTGTGGTGGCACACGCCTGTAATCCCAGCTACCCGGGAGGCTGAGGCAGGAGAATTGCTTGAACCTGGGAAGTGGAGGTTGCAGTGAGCCAAGATCACGCCACTACACTCAAGCCCAGGTGACAGAGCAAGACTTCGTTTCAAAAAGAAAAAGAAAAAGAAATATTATGGATGTACTGATTTCTGTTGCCAGCCAAGATGGAGTAAGTCCACTGTAGTCTCTCTCTCCCACTTATGACAACTAAAATTTCTGTAGAAAACACAAAAAGCAACTACCTGAGAACTCTGAAAAGTAAGCAAGACTAGGTAAATTGGGAAGAAAAACCAAAACTTGAAACAGTGCTCATACAGGGATGAGTTACTTATATTTTTTTCCCCACCTTCTCTTCCAACATTTATCAGTGAGGAAGTCTCCAGCAAAGCTGCTGTAGGTGATGCAGGGAAGAAAACTCCAAGGAGCCCCATTTTACTGGCCAGAAGACTGAGAAAATGGGCCCCTGAAAACTGGACAGTGTGGAGGGAATCACAGAGGAGAGAACTGGAGAGAGGATCCTTTAATTGTGTGTGTGTATGAACATGGCACAAATCCCAGACTCATCTCTGAGCTGAGCATGCGTGAGTCAGACCCAAATAAACAGCAGACTTTGAAAACTGAACTACGATTTAAAACAGCAGACTAACCCCTGAGGAGGCCATATGTGAAATAAGCCCAAAATAGCGTGGCAAAGGCTTTGAAAATTGAACTGACACTGAACCAACTGCACACAGAAGGTAAGATAGAACTTGTAGTCTGAGCCTAACCAGGTTGATAGCCTGATTTAAAAAAAAAAAAAATCACATTCACCAGAGGACTTGAACAGGACCCAGATTCTTACAATATAGTATTTAAAAATGTCCAGGATCTAATCCAAAATTACTTTGCATACAAAGAACCAAGAAACTGTAATTCTCAAGAGGAAAGACATTCAACAGATGCAAAATCCAAGATGATTCAGATGTTGAAATTACAAGACAGACTTCAAAGCAGTGATTATAATTATGCTCTGTGAGGTGAGGTAAAGGTAAAGGTGAACACTCTTCTTCTTTATTTTTTATTTAGTTTTATTTTTTTGAGACAAGGTCTTGCTCCGTAGCACAAGCTGGAGTGCAGTGGAATGATCTCGGCTCCCTGCAGCCTCGCCCTCTGGGGGCTCAAGCAAGCCTCCAGCCTCGGTCTCCCAAAGTGCTGGGATTACAGGAGTGAGCCACCACAGCTGGCTTGAACATTCTTTAAATAAATGAAAATATAGTACTCAGCAGAGTAGAAAGAAACTATAAAAAATAACCAAATGGAAATTTTAGAGAGTAAAAATACAATATATTTTAGGGCAGTGAAAATACTCTGTATGATACTATGAGGATGGATAACATGTCATTATATATTTGTCCAAACCCATAAAATATACAACACCAAGAGTGAATCCTAATGTAAACTATGGACTTCGGGTGATTATGATTGTTGATGTAGGTTCATCAATTGTAATAAAAGAACCACTCTGGTGGGGGATGTTGATCATGTGGGAGGCTATACATGTGTGGGGCAAGGGATATATGGAGATCTCTGTACCTTCCTCTTAATTTTGCTGTGACCCTAAAACTGCTCTAAAAATGAAGTCTTGGCCGGGTGCAGTGGTTCATACCTGTAATCCCAGCACTTTGGGAGGCTGAAGCAGGCGGATCGCTTGAGGTCAGGAATTTGAAACCAGCCTGACCAACATGGTGAAACCCTGTCTCAAATAGAAATACAAAATTAGCTGGGTGTGGTGGCACATGCCTGTAATCCCAGCTACTCAGGAGGCTGAGGCAGGAGACTTGCTTGTACCCGGGAGGCAGAGGTTGCAGTTAGCCGAGATCGTGCCATTGCACTCCAGCCTGGGCAATAAGAGGGAAACTTCATCTAAAAATAAATAAATAAATAAATAAATAAATAAATAAATAAGAAGTCTCTACAAAATACCAATGCACTAAAAATAATAAGAATACAATATATCAAATTAAAAGCTCACTACATGGGCTCAATAGCAGAAATACATGTATATTAGTCAGGGTTCTCCAGAGGAACAGAACCAATAGGACATATGTGTGTGTGTGTCTCTCTCTCTCTCTGTGTATATATATATATAGGCAAGTCCAAGTTCTGTAAGGCAGGCCAGCAGGCTGGAGACCCAGGGAAAAGTGCATGCTACAATCTTGATTCTGAAAGCAGTCTGGAGGCAGAATTCTTTCTTCCTCTTTACTTCTACAGACTCCCACTGATTACATGAGGCTTACTCACATTATAGAGGATAATATACTCTACTCGAAGTCCACTGATTTAAATGTTAATCACACCTAAAAAAATATACTGGCTGGGCCGGGCGCGGTGGCTCACGCCTGTAATCCCAGCACTTTGGGAGGCCGAGGCGGGTGGATCACGAGGTCAGGAGTTAAGAGACCAGCCTGACCAACATGGTGAAACCCTGTCTCTACTAAAAATACAAAAATTAGCCAGGTGTGGTGGTGAGCACCTGTGATCCCAGTTATTCGAGAGGCTGAGGCAGGAGAATCAATTGAATCTGGGAAGCAGAGGTTGTAAGTAGCCGAAATCACACCACTGCACTCCAGCCTGGGTGACAGAGCGAGACTCCAACTAAAAAAATAATAATAATAAATAAATAAATTTTAAAAATAAAAAAAATAAAGAATGGAAAGAAGATTGAAAAAAATTTAACAGATCCTCAGTCCTGTGAAAACATATCAAAAGATCTAACTTTTGTGGCTCTGGAGTCCCAGCAGATTGGTGCAGAAAAAATATTTGAAGAAATAATGGCTGAAAACTTCCCAAATTTGGAGGAAGTTTTTTGCTGCTGTTGTTGTAGTTGTTTTGTTTTGTTTTGTTGTTCAGACAGAGTCTCCCTCTGTCGCCCAGACTGGAGTGCCATGGGGTGATCTCAGCTCACTGAAGCCTCCACCTCCTGAGTTCCAGCGATTCTCCTGCCTCAGCCTCCTGGGTAGCTGGGATTGCAGGCATGCGCCACCACACCAGGCTAAGTTTTGTATTTTTAGTAGAGATGGGGTTTCACCATGTTGGCCAGGCTGGTTTCAAACTCCTGACCTCGGATGATCCACCTGCCTAGGCCTCCCAAAGTGCTAGAATTGTAGGTGTTAGCCACCACACCCGGCCAAGAAAGACAAGTTTTTTATTCAAGATAAGCAAACCCAGAACAAGATAAACTCACCAACAAGAAAAAATATGTTCGTTCTCCTTAGTTACATATGAAGCATTCACAAAAAAAAAAATCAGATATAAATGATGGACTGGATGCAGTGGCTCACACCTGTAATTCCAGCACTTTGGGAGGCCGAGGTGGGTGGATCACCCGAAGTCAGGAGTTCAAGACCAGCCTGACTAACATGTGAAACCCCATCTCTACTAAAAATACAAAAATTAGCCAGCTGTGGTGGCAAGCACCCGTAATCCAAGCTACTTGAGAGGCTGAGGCAGGAGAATAGCTTGAATCAGGGAAGCGGAGGTTGCAGTGAGCTGAGATTGCACCACTGTACTCCAGCCTGGGTGAGAGAGCGAGACTCTGTTAAAAAAAAAAAAAAAAAAAAAAGATATAAATGATGAATGAAGTCTCAACAAATTGGAAAGAATTAATATTAAATAGACCTCACTCTCTATTATTATTATTATTATTTTAATTTTAGAGATAGAGTCTCAGTCTGTTGCCCAGGCTGGCCTCAAACTCCTGGGCCCAAACCATCCTCCCATCTCAGCCTCCCAAGTAGCTGGGACTACAGGCATGCACCACCATGCTCAGTCAGAACCTTACTTTCAAAAAGAAAAGAACAATAAAAAGATAAGTTTTAAAAATAAATGTTTACAACACTAAAATGTTACTAAATAACTCATGGGCTTAAGAGTAAGTCACAATTGCCGGGCACGGTGGCTCACGCCTGTAATCCCAGCACTTTGGGAAGCCGACGTGGGCGGATCATGAGGTCAGGAGGTCGAGACCATCCTGGCTAACACGGTGAAACCCCGTCTCTACTAGAAATACAAAAAAAAAAAAAAAAAAAAAAAATTAGCCAGGCATGGTGGCAGGCGGCTGTAGTCCCAGTTACCCGGGAGGCTGAGGCAGGAGAATCACTTGAACCCAGGAGGTGGCAGTTGCAGTGAGCCGAGATTGCACCACTGCACTAAACTCCAGCCTGGCGACAGAGCAACACTCCGTGTCAAAAAAAAAAAAAAGGAAATTGCACAAAAAACCCACAGAATGGGAGACCATATTTGCAAATCATAAATCCATTAAGGAATTTGTATCTAGAATTAAAAACTCTTAAAATTCAATAATAATAAGACAGGCCAACATTTTAAAAATAGGCAAAGGATCTGAATAACATGATCGGTATCTCTCCAAGGAATATATAAATGGCCAATAAGCACATGAAAAGATGCTCAATATCATTACCCATTGGAGGAATTCAAGTCAAAATGAGAATGAGATACCACTTTGTACCCAGTAGGATGGCTAGAATCAGAAAGTCATAATAAGCAACAGGAGCTCTCATTCATTGTGGGTGGGAATGCAAAATGGTACAGCCACTTTGGAAGACAGCTTGGCAGTTTCTTACGAAACTAAACATACTCTTACCATATGATCCAGCAATCGCACTTTTTGGTATTTACACAAATGAATTGAAAACTTATGTCCACATAAAAACCTGCACATGAATGTTTATAACAGCTTTATTCATAATTGCCAAATGTGGAAGCAACCAAGATGTCCTAAAATAGGTGAATAGATAAACAAACTGTGGTACATTCATACAATGGAATGTTATTGAGTGATAAAAAAGAAATGAGCTATGAAACCAGAAAAAGACATGGAGGAACTTTAAATGCATATTGCTGAGTAAAAGAAGCCAAACTAAAAAGTCTACATATTGTTTGATTCCAACTATATGACATTCTGGAAAAGGCAAAACTATGGAAACATAATGGTTGCCAAGGGTTGGAAGGGAGGGAAGGAAGGAGGGATAAGTAGGTGGAACATGGGGAATTTTTAGGGTATCAAAACTATTCTGTGTGATACTGTAATGGTGGATACATGTCATTATACATTTGTCCAAATCCACAGAATGTACAGTGCAAAGAGTGAACCTTAATGTAAGCTACGAACTTCAGTTAAAAAGAAAACCTGGCCGGGCACGGTGGCTCATGCCTGTAATCCCAGCACTTTGGGAGGCCAAGGCAGGCGGATCACGAGGTCAGGACATCGAGACCATCCTGGCTAACACGGTGAAACCCTGTCTCTACTAAAAATACAAAAAATTAGCCGGGTGCAGCAGCGGGTGCCTGTAGTCCCAGCTACTCGGGAGGCTGAGGCAGGAGAATGGCGCGAACCGGGAGGCCGAGGTTGCAGTGAGCCAAGATCGCGCCACCGCCCTCCAGCCTGGGCAACAGAGCAAGACTCCGTCTCAAAAAAAAAAGAAAAGAAAAGAAAAAAAAAAACCTGCTGAAGAGTAAAATAAAAAGAACACAGCCAAAGAAGTCATAGTAACAAGTGCTGGTGAGAATGTGGAGGAATCAGAGACCTCATACATTGCTGGTGGGAATGGAAAATGGTACAGCTGCTGTGGCATATAGTCTGGCAGTTCCTCAAATAGTTACCATATGACCCAGCAATCACACTTCTAGGTATACACTGAAGCGAAATGGAAACATATGTCTACACAAAAACCTATATAAAATGTTTAAAGCAGGCCGGGAGCAGTGGCTCACGCCTGTAATCCCAGCACTTTAGGAGGCCAAGGCGGGCAGATAACCTGAGGTCATGAGTTCGAGACCAGCCTGGCCAACATGGTGAAACCCCGTCTCTACTAAAAATACAAAAATTAGCCAGGCGTGGTGGCGGGTGCCTGTAATCCCAGCTATCCAGGAGGCTGAGGCAGGAGAATCGCTTGAAACCGAGAGGCAGAGGTTGCAGTGAGTCGAGATCGTGCCTCTGCACTACAGCCTGAGCAACAAGAGCAAAACTCCGTCTCAAACAAACAATGAAAAATAAAAACAAAAATGTTTATAGCAGCAATATTCATAAAAGCCAAAAGGTGGAAATCCAAATGTCCATCAACGGACGAATGCATAAACAAAATGTGTTATATCCATACAATGGAATATTATTCAGCAATAAAAAGGAATGAAGTACTAATAGATGCTACAGCTTGGATGGACCTTGAAAACATTATGCTAAATGAAAGAAGCCACATATAAATGAAAAGACCACATATTATATGATTCTAGTCATACGAAAGTTTGCAACTTAGAAATCTACAGACACAGAAAGTAGAGCAGTGGCTGCTTAGGGCTGGGCGTGGAGGAGGGTGCTAAGGAGTAGGGGGATGATGGCTAGAGGGTACAGAGTTTCTTTTTGAGGAGATAAAAAGGTTCTTTTTTTGGCCTTTTTTTTTTTGAGACAGAGTTTCGCACTTGTCCCCCAGGTTGGAGTGCAGTGGCATGATCTCGGCTTGCTGCAACCTCTGCCTCCTGGGTTCAAGTGATTCTCCTGCCTCAGCCTACCGAGTAGCTGGGATTACAGGCATCCGCCACCACGCCTGACTAATTTTTATATTTTTAGTAGAGACAGGGTTTCACTATGTTGGTCAGGCTGGTCTCCACCTCCTGACCTCAAGTGATCCGCCCACCTCAGCCTCCCAAAGTGCTAGGATTACAGGCGTGAGCCACCACGCCTGTCCCCAGGCAGAACCCCAAGGTCGCCAAGTAATTAATGGAGAATACTTTGTCTCCATAGAAGAATTCCAGATAAAAAAGTACAAAAAGAATGAGAGAATTAGAAAATCAACATTTTGCCACTGCAGCCTCCGCCTCCCGGGGTTCAAGCAATTCTCGTGCCTCAGCCTCTGGACTAGCTGGAATTACAGGCATAAGCCACCACACCCGGCTAATTTTTGTATTTTTAGTGCAGATGGGGTCTCGCCATGTTGACCAGGTTGGTCTCGAACTCCTGACCTCAGGTGATCCACCTGCCTCAGCCTCCCAAAGTGCTGGGATTACAGGCGTGAGCCACCACACCCGGCCGGATAAAAAGGTTCTAACATTGACTATGGTGATGGTTGCACAATTTTATAAATACACTAATGGCCATTGAATTCTACACTTTAAATGAGTTAATTGTGTGCTGTGTACATTATATCTCAATAAAGCTGTTTTTAAAAAAGGAATGGGGCCAGGTTCGGTGGCTCACCCCTGTAATCCAGCACTTTCGGAGGCTGATGCAGGCAGATCACTTGAGCGCAGGAGTCGGAGACCAGTCTGGGCAACATAGCGAAACCCCATCTCTTCTGAAAATACAAAACCTAGCTGGACGTGGGTGGCACATGCCTGTAGTGCCAGCTACTCGGGAGGCTGAGGTGGGAGTATCACCTGAGCCCCGAATGTCGAGGCTGCAGTGAGCTAAGATGGTGCGACTGCACTCCAGCCTGGGAAACCGGAGTGAGAACCTGTCGAGAGAGAGAGAGAGAGAGAGAGAGAGAGAGAGAGAGGGAGGGAGGGAGGGAGGGAGAGAGAGAGAGAGAGAGAGAGAGAGAGAGATCTGTCCCTTAAAAAAATAAAATAATAAAAATAAAATAATTTAAAAATAAAAAGGAATGAACTCATGCTATAACATGGATGAACTTCAAAGACATGACCACATATTATATTATTCCACTCTATGAAAGTCCAGAATAGCAGCCAGGTGCAGTATCTCATGTCTGTCATCCCAACTATGTGGGAAGCTGAGGGGGGAGGATCACTTGAGCCCAGGAGGCGCAGGTGGCAGTGAGCCAAGATCACCATTGCACTCCAGCCTGGGTGACAGAGCCAGACCCTGTCTCAAAAAAAAGAAAAAGAAAAAAATGTCTAGTATCGAAAAACCTATAGAGACAGAAAGTAGATTTGTGGTTATTAAGGTTGGGAGGTTGGGAGGTTGGGAGGTTGGGAGGTTGGGAGGATGAGGGATGAGGGAATGATAACTAAAGGATATGGTTTCTTTTTTTTCTTTTTTTAAGAAATTGATTTTCTTCATTCTCCTTTTCTTGTTTTACTTTTGTATTTCTTTGTTGTGTCCCCAGCTTACTGAAGGGTTTCCTTCTGAAGTGATTCAAATGTCCCAACTGTCACGATGGTGGCATATATCTGGTAATATACTAAAAACCATTGAATTGTACACTTTAAATCAGTGAGTTGTATAGTATGTAAATTACATCCCAATAAAACTGTTTTTTAAAAAGAGTAAATCAAAATAAAAATTACAAAATAGGCTGGGCACGGTGGCTCATGCTTGTAATCCCAGCAATTTGGGAGGCTGAAGCAGGAGGATCACTTGAGCCCAGGAGTTCGAGCCCTACCTGGGCAACATGGTGAAACCCCGTCTCTACAAAAAATAGAAAAAATTAATCAGGTGTGGCCATGCCCATAGTCCCAGCTACCTGGGAGGCTGAGGTGTGAGGATCGCCTCTGCCCAGGAGATTGAGGCTGCAGTGAACCGTGACTGAGCCACTGCACTCCAGCCTGGGTAACACAGCAAGACTCTGTCTCAAGATTAAAAAAAGAAAAAACAAAATATTTATATCTCAACTGGAATGTTAGTATTTCACACCAAAACTTACTGGATGTAGCAAATCAGTATTTTGAGGTAATTTTTATTCATAAGTGGATTAACTTGGGTTTTTTTGGTTTTCGTTTGTTTGTTTTAAGACAGAGTCTTGCTCTGTTGCCCAGGCTGGAGTGCAGTGGCACGATCTCGGCTCACTGCAACCTCTGGTCCCGGGTTCAAGCGATTCTCCTGCCTCAGCCTCCCAAGTAGCTGGGATTACAGGCACCCGCCATCATGCCTGGCTAATTTTTGTATTTTTGTAGAGATGGGGTTTCACCATGTTGGCCAGGCTAGTCTCAAACTCCTGACCTCAGATGATCCGCCTGCCTTGGCCTTCCAAAGTGCTGGGATTACAGGCATGAGCCACCGTGGCCAGCCAGTGGATTAAGTTTTAAAAAAGAAAAGCCCCCAAATGGCTGATTCCACATCTGAGACAGGAAATTTATAACACAAACCTGGGACAGCTTGCCAGGATACTATCAGGAAGGCACAGGAGTCACCTTGAAGGGGCTCCCACTGGCCAAACAAGAAATAATTTGAGCATCATAAACAATAATGAGTGTAATTGATTGAAGTATGTAAAATATGTATGTGAGCCCACAGAGATAATTTTAATAACCCTCACCATGCTAAAGCACCATCTCATAACTCTGCAAACTGATAAATGGAAAGAATTAAACATTTATCATGGCATTTCTGTCCCCAGGCAGAACCCCAAGGTCACCAAGTAATTAATGGGGAATACTTTGTCTCCATAGAAGAATTCCAGATAAAAAAGTACAGAAAGAATGAGAGAATTAGAAAATCAACATTTTGCCACTGTAACCTCCGCCTCCCGGGGTTCAAGCAATTCTCGTGCCTCAGCCTCCGGAGTAGCTGGGATTACAGGCATGAGCCACCACGACCGGCTAATTTTTGTATTTTTAGTACAGATGGGGTCTCTCCATGTTGGTCAGGTTGGTCTCGAACTCCTGACCTCAGGTGATTCACCTACCTCAGCCTCCCAAAGTGCTGGGATTACAGGTGTGAACCACTGCACCTGGACTTGCTCTCCCCACTTCTATTCTACATTGTAGAAGAGGTTCTAGCCACGACAATCAGGCATGAAAAAGAAATAAAAAGGCACTCAGATGGAACAAAGAAGCAAAACTATCTCTATTTGCAGATGACACAGTCTCAAATGCAGAAAATCCTAAGAACTTTGCTAAAAAAAAAATCAGAACTAAGGAACAAGTTCAGAAAAGTGTCAGGATACAAAATCAACATGCCAAAGTCAGTTGTATTTCTATACACTAGCACTGAAGTATCCAAAAACCAAATTAGGATAACAATCCCATTTATAATAGCAGCAAAACCAAAGAATACCTAGGAATAAATTTAAGAAAAAAGCACAAGATTTGTAAACTGAAAACTATAAAACACTGTTGAAAAATCTTTAGATCTAAAAAATGGAAAAATATATATGTTCATGGATTGGAAAACAAACATTGTCAAGATGATAATACTCCCCCAATTCACCTACAGATTCAATGGAATCCCTATCAAAATCCCAGGCTGCTTTGCAGAAATAGATAATTTAACCATAAAATGCATATGAAAACGCACGGGACTCAGAATAGCCAAAAAAATATTGAAAAAGATCAAAGTTGGAGGAGTCACATGTCCCGATTTCAAAACTTACTACAAAACTACAGTAATCAAGACAGTGCACTACCGTCATAAGGATAGGCTTATACATCAATGGAACAGAATTAAGAGCTCAGAAATAAACCCTTACATTTGTGGTCAACTGATTTTGAGAAGGGTGCCAAGACAATTCCATGGGGAAAGAATAGTCTCTTCAACAAATGGTGCTGAGACAACTGGATATCCCCATGCAAAAGAATGAAGATGGACCTCTTCCTCACTCAACACACAAAAATGAACTCAAACGGATCATGGCCTGAGTGTAAGGGCTAAAACTGGAAAACTCTTAGAAGAAAATTTAGGAGTATGTCTTCATTACCTTGGATTTGGCAGTGGTTTCTTAGACACAATAACAAAAGTACAAACGACGAAAGAAAAAATAAACTGAGCTTCCTCAAAGTTAAAAACTTTTGTGCTGCAAATGATCAAGAAAGTAAAAAGACAATCCACAAAATGGAAGAAAATATTTGCATATTACATATCTATAAGGAACCTGTATCTAGAGTACCTAAAGGGTTCAATAATAAAAAGTCAAATAACCAAATTTAAAAATGGGCAAAGGAGGCCATGCGTGGTGGCTCACGCTTGTAATCCCAGCACTTTGGGAGGCCAAGGCAGGTGGATCACCTGAGGTCAGGAGTTCGAGACCAGCCTGACCAACACAGTGAAACCCCGTCTCTACCAAAAATATGAAAATTAGCTGGGCATGGTGGCAGGAGCCTATAATCCCAGCTACTCGGGAGGCTGAGGCAGGAGAATTGCTTGAACCTGGGAAGTGGAGGTTGCAGTGAGCCGAGATCGCGCCATTGCACTCCAGCTTGGGTGACAGAGTAAGACTCTGTCTCGGAAAAAAAAAAAAATGGGCAAAGGATTTAATAAACATTTCTTCAAAGAAGATATGCAAATAGCCAACAAATACATGGAAAGATGCTCAGTATCCTTACTTGTCAGGGAAATGCAAATCCAAACCACAATGAGATACCACTTCACATCCACTAGGATGGCTAGAATCAAAATAATACATGCTGGTGAGGATGCAGAAAAATTAGAACCTTCCTACATTGCTAGTGGCAACGTAAAATGCTGCAGCAGCTGTGAAAAACAGCCTGGCAGTTCTTCCAAAGGCTAAACACTGAGTTGCCATACATCCCAGCAATTCTATTCCCAGGCATATACCAAAGAGAATCAAAAATATGTGTCCACACAAAACCTGTATGTTCATAGCAGCATTACTCATAACAGCTAAAAGGCAGATACAACCCAAATGTCCATCAACAAATGAATGAATAAAGAAAATGTGGTATATCCATATTATTCGAATATTATTTGGCAATAAAAGGAATGAAGTGCTGCTATGAGTTGAGTTGTGACCCTCAAAAAGATATATTGAAGTCCTAACCCCCCAGTATCTCAGATTGCGACCTTATTTGGAAATATGGTCTTTACAGAGGAAATCAAGTTAAAATGAGGACATTAGGTTAGGTCCTAACCCAACAGGACTGGTGTCCTTAAAAAAGAGGAAACTTGGACACAGAGACAGGCACACATACAAGGAAAATGCCACATGAAGATGAAGGCAGAGATAACGGTGACATGGCCGGGCGCAGTGGCTCAAGCCTGTAATCCCAGCACTTTGGGAGGCCAAGGAGGGCGGATCATCTGAGGTCAGAAGTTCAAGACCAGCCTCCCCAAATGGTGAAACCTCGTCTCTACCAAAAATACAAAAATTAGCCAGGCGTGGTAGCAGGCACCTCTAATCTCAGCTACTCAGGAGACTGAGGCAGGAGAATTGCTTGAACCCGGGAGGCAGAGGTTGCAGTGAGCCAGGATCACGCCACTGCACTCCAGCCTGGGCGACAGAGTAAGGCTCCCTCTCAAAAAAAAAAAAAAGATATAAGGGTGACACATCTTATCTTTGGAATGCCAAAGACTGCCAGCAAGGCAGCAAAAGCTAGGAGAAAGGCCTGGAACAGATTCTCCCTCACAGCCCTCAGAAGGAGCCATTCCTGCCAACACCTTGAACTCAGACTTCCAGCCTACAGAACTGTGAGACAATACATTTCTGTTGTTTTAAGCCACCCAGTTTGCAGTACTTTGTTACAACATGGATGAACCTTGAAAACGTTTGGCAAAATGAAAGAAACCAGGCAGAAAAGGCCACATATTATATGAATCCATAATAAAAGTGTCTAGAATAGGCAAATCCATAGAGACAGAAAGTAGATTAGGGTGTGCCAGGGGCTGGGTGTGTGTTTGAGGTAGTGCTGGGATGGCTGCCTAATGGATATGGGGTTTCATGTTTCAGAATTAGATCGTGGTGGTGGTTGCATAACTTTGGGAATATACTAAGAACCACTGAACTATATATTTTAAAAGGGTAAGTTTATAGTATGTGACTTGTATTTAATAAAAAATAAGTCCTGGCCTGGTGGCTCACGCCTGTAATCCCAGCACTTTGGGAGGCCAAGACGGGTGGATCACCTGAGGTCAGGAGTTCGAGACCAGCCTGGCCAACGTGGTGAAACCCCCGTCTCTACTAAAAATACAAAAATTAGCCGGGCGTGGTGGCGGGCGCCTGTAATCCCAGCTACTCGGGAGGCAGGAGAATCACTTGAACCTGGGAGGCAGAGGTTGCAGTAAGCCGAGATCATGCCATTGCACTCCAGCCTGGGCGACAAGAGCGAAACTCCATCTGAAAATAAATAAATAAATAAAATAAAATAAAATAAAATAAAAGGCTGGGTACGATGGCTCACGCCTGTAATCCCAGCACTATGGGAGGCCAAGGCAGGCGGATCACTTGAGGTCAGGAGTTTAAGACCTGCCTCGCCAATACGGTGAAACTCTGTCTCTACTTAAAATACAAAAAACGAGCCAGGAGTGGTGGCAGGCGCCTGTAATCTCAGCTACTTGGGAGGCTGAGGCAGGAGAATTGCTTGACCCCGGGAGGTGGAGGTTGCAGTGAGCCGAGATCGTGCCATTGCACTCCAGCTTGGGTGACAAGAGTGAGACTCCATCTCAGAAAAAAAAAAACAAAAATACAAAAATTAGCTGGGCATGGTGGCACACACCTGCAATCTTAGCTACTTGGGAGGCTGAGGCAGAAGAATCGCTTCAACCCAGGCCAGACGCAGTGGCTCACGCCTGTAATCCCAACACTTTGGGAGGCCGAGGCAGGCGGATCATGAGGTCAGGAGTTCAAGACCATCCCGGCCAATCTGATGAAACCCCATCTCTACTAAAAACACAAAAATTAGCCGGGCGTGGTGGTGCACACCTGTAGTCCCAGGTACTCGGGAGGCTGAGGCAGGAGAATCGCTTGAACCTGGGAGGCGGAGGTTGCAGTGAGCCGAGATCATGCCACTGCACTCCAGCCTGGCGATGGAGTGAGACTCCGTCTCAAAAAAATAATAATAATAAAATAAAAAAATAAAAGCATCACTTGAACCCGGGAGGTGGAGGTTGCAGTGAGCCGAGATCATGCCACTGCACTCCACCCTGGGCGACGGAGGAAGACTCTGTCTCAAAAAAATACAAATAAGGGCTGGGCGTGGTGGCTCATGCCTGTAATCCCAGCATTTTGGGAGGCTGAGGCTGGCAGATACTTGAGGTCAGGAGTTTGAGACCAGCCTGGCCAACATGGTGAAACCTCATCTCTACTAAAAATAACAAAAATTAGCAAGGAATGATGGCAGGTGCCTGTAATCCCAGCTACTTGGGAGGCTGAGGCAGGAGAATCACTTGAACCCGGGAGGCAGAGGTTGCAGGGAGCCGAGGTCGCGCCACTGCACTCCAGCCTGGGCAACGAGAGTGAAACTCCATCTCAAAAAATAAAATAAAAATAAATAAATAAAATAACAAAAATAAATAATCCCTCAAGCCTCAAGGAACAGGACAGGGCCCAGTGGCTGTTCCTGTTGTGGCTGGATGTTGAACCACTGGTTCTTGGGGAAGGGGCTTGATTTAAAAAAAAAAAAAAAAAAAAGTTGTGAAAACAAAAATAGGGGCCGGGCGCGGTGGCTCACGCCTGTTATTCCAGCACTTTGGGAGGCCGAGGCGGGAGGATCACTTGAGGTCAGAAGTTCGAGACCAGCTTGACCAACATGGAGAAACCCCATCTCTACTGAAAATACAAAACTTAGCCGGGTGTGGTGGCGCGTGCCTGTAATCTCAGCTACTCAGGAGGCTGAGGCAGGAGAATTGCTTGAACCCGGGAGGCGGAGGTTACGGTGAGTGGAGATCACACCATTGCACTCCAGCCTGGGCAACAAGAGCGAAACTCCGTCTCAAAAAAAAAAAAAAAAAAAAAGAAAAGAAAAATAGAAAAGACTGAAAATAAGTGAGTTATATATTCAATTCAGGATCTTAGACTGAAAAAAGTAAACCCCAAAGAAGTAGAAAGATGGGTATAAAGTCTATAAGAGCAGAAATTAATGACAGAAAGGAAAGAAAAAGGCAATCAGTGCAACCAAAATCTTGTTCTCTGACAAAACTACTAAAATAGAAAAAATTGTTGGGCACAGTGGCTGTCGCCTATAAACCCAGTTACTCAGGATCCTGAGGCAGGAGGATCACTTGAGCTCAGGAGTTCAAGGCTACAGTGAGTTATGATCCTGCCACTGTACCCTAGACTAGGCGACAGAGTTAGACACCATCTCTAATTTAAAAAAGAAAAAGGAAAAAATTCCAGCAAGTCTGATCATCAGAAAGGAGTGAGAAGAGAGAAAATAAACAATAATAGGAACAGAAAGGAAATATAACAAATGATAACAGTAGAGATTTTTAATAACATATGAGAACACTGTGAACAACCTTGTCCCAGGACATTTGAAAACCAAGACACGATGGAAAGATTTCAAGAAAAATACAGATTACCAAAATAGGAACTGATAATCAAGTATCTCTCACGATAAGAAATATGAAGCCCACACAGTTTTACTAAAAAGTCTTACCAAACCTTCAAAGGAAAGATAATCTCTCCATATTAAATAATTCTGAAATAACATATTTCAGAAAACAGAAAGAGTGGGAAATTTACTCAGCCCATATTACGAGCTAATACAAACTTAATATCAAATTCACAAAACTGTGTTAAAAAATAATGTTTTAGACCAATCTCACTTATTAACATGCATGCAAAACTTCTAAATAAAATAACAAGCCGGATGCAGTGGTGCGTGCCTGTAGTCCCAGCTAACTGGAGGCTGAGGCAGGAGGATCTCCTAAGCCCAGGAATTTGAGACCAGCCATTGCAACATAGCAAGACCCCAACTCTAATAAAAAAAAAAAAAAACAGTAACAAACCAAATTTTAGCAGACCTCATCTCTAATAAAAATAATATGCCAGGCACGGTGGCTCATGCCTATAATCCCAACAGTTTGGAAGCCTGAGGTAGGTGGATCTCTTGAGCCCAGGAGTTCAAGACCAGCCTGGGCAACATAGTGAGACCTCTCTACAAAACACTTTTTAAAATTAGCCAGCTGTTGTGGCGCACACCTCTAGTCCCAGCTACTTGGGAGGCTGAGGTGGAAGGATCGCTTCAGCCTGGGAGGTGGAGGTTGCAGTGAGCCGAAATTGTGCCACTGCACTCCAGCCTGGGTGACAGAGCAAGACCCTGTCTCAAGAAATAAATAAATAAAAATAAAAAGTAATGTGTTATGACTAAGTAGAATTTTATGAGGAATGCATGAAGAAGGGTTCAACATCGGAAAATCTAGCAAAATATTTTACAGATTAAAGGGAAAATATAATCATTTCGTGACATAAAGAAGAGACAAACACTCATTATTTAAAACAAAACAGGCCGGGCACGGTGGCTCATGCCTGTAATCCCAGTATTTTGGGAGGCCAAGGTGGGCGGATCACCTTGAGGTTAGGAGTTCAAGACCAGCCTGGCCAACATGGTGAAACCCTGTCTCTACTAAAAATACAAAAATTATCTGGGTGTGGTGGCACAAGCCTGCAGTCCCAGCTACTCGGGAGGCTGAGGCACAATAATCACTTGAACCTGGGAGGTGAAGGTTGCAGTGAGCCAAGATCGTGCCATTGCACTCCAGCCTGGGTGACAGAGTGAGACCCTGTCTCAAAAAATAATAATAATTAAGGCCGGGCACAGTGGCTCACACCTGTAATCCCAGCACTTTGGGAAGCCGAGGTGGACGGATCACCTGAGGTCAGAAGTTCGAGACTAGCCTGGCCAACGTGGTGAAACCCTGTCTCTACTAAAAATACAAAAAATTAGCCAGGCATGGTGATGGGTGCCTGTAATACCAGCTACTCAGGAGGCTGATGCGGGAGAATCACTTAAACCCGGGAGGCAGAGGTTGCAGTGAGTCGAGACCATGCCATAGCACTCCAGCCTGGCCAACAAGGGCAAAACTTAGTCTCAATAATAATAATTATTATTATTTAAATGAAAAACTTCTAAGAGAATTAGAATTAAAAGGAAATGTCCTTAATCTGGAAAAAGAAATCTATTTTAAAAACAACACTGTAGTAGAGGCAGGACTTCCAGTGAAGATGGAAGACAAATCCTCTTCCAGAAAAGTAACTATAAAGATGGACAAAATTGACAAAAACAATTGTACAATGATCTGAGAAGTGGTCATGCCTGAAAAATTGCTGAACTTTGTGCAAGAAGAGTGGGAGTCTGCAGTGTTCTTCCCTGGGGCCTCTCCCAGATTCCAGCTCCCTTAGCGTGAAAGTTCTGCTAAGGCTGGGTTGGCTGTGAGGTTGGCAGCTTTGCTGCCATAGTCAAAGTGGTCTCACTCACTTGGGAACAGTGGGTAATGTCCATGCACAGTAGCACAGTCAGAGGAAGTGACGATCTCAGCAAAGGGTGGGAGGGGATGATATACATCTCTCTTAGTCTGGGGTTGCCATTGTGGTTGCAGCAAGCACATTCCTGGCTGAGACTGTGTATACAGCAAAATCAGACAAAATGGTCTTTAAGATAAGAAATATTACTAAAGACAAAGAGGTACATTTCATGTTGATAAAAGGTTCAATACATCAGGAAGATATAACAATTATACACTGATATATACCTAATGAGAGCCTCAGAATACATGAAGCAAAAAGTGAAAGAATTCAAAGGGGAAAGAGACAATCAGCAATAATAGGCAAAGATTACAATACCTCATTCTTGATAACAGAGTGAAAAGAAAACTTTTTGTTTAAGAAGAAAACTTTTTTAAAAGTTTTTTTTAAAAAGACAGAGTTTCAATATGTTGCCCAGGCTGGTCTGAAGCTCCTGGACTCAAGTGATCCTCCCGCTTCAGCGTCCGGAGTAGCTGGGACTACAGGCATGTAACACTGTGCCTGGCATAGAGAGAAAATTTGAACAACACTATTGTAGTAGACATAGTCCCTCCAAAATATCCACATCCTAATCTCCACAACTTGTGAGTACGTTATCTTACATGATAAAAGAGACTTTGCAGATGTGATTAAGTTAAAGATCTCAAGGCGGAAGGATTGTCCTGGATTATCTGGGTGGGCCCAATGTCATCACAAGGGTCCTTAGAAGTGAAAGAGGGAGGCAGAAGAGTGAATGTCGCAGTGATGTAATGTGAGAACGACATAAGCAACCTATTGCTGACTTTGAAGATGGAAGGAGACCATAAGCCAAGGAATTCGGGGCAGCTTGTAGAAGCTGAAATTGCAAGAAAATCCCCTAGAGCACCCAGAAAAGAATGCAGCCTTGTCAACATCTTCCCCTCACCCAGTGAGACCTATTGCAAACTTCTGACCTCCAGAACTATATGATAACAAATATGTGTCGTTTTAAGCCACTAAGTTTGTGGCAACTTGTTACAACAGGAATAAAAAATGAATACTACTATCAACTGACTCCATCTAACTAACAATTTTAGAACAGTCCACTCATCCAGTTCAGAATACACATTCTTTTCAAGTAGACATGAAACATTCTCCAAGATAGAGCATATCAATAGGTATAAAACAAGCCTCAATAAATTTAAAAGAACTGGAATCATACAGAGTGTGTGGTACTCTGACCACAACGGAATCAAACTAGAAATCAAAATCTCGAAACATATGGGAACTAAACACACCGCTAAATAATCCACGAGTCAAAGAGGGAACTTCAAGGGAAACTTTTAAAACACAGTAAATTCAAAAAAGATAAATACTGTGCGGTTCTACTTAAATAAGGTATCTAAATTAGTCAAATTCATAGAAATAAAAAGCAGAATGGTGGTTCCCAGGAGCTAAGAGGAAGGGAGAAGGGTGAGTTGTTTAGTAGGTGTAGGGTTTCAGATCTGCAAGATGAAAAAGTTCCGGAGATCTGTTTCACAGCAACAAGCTGGATGATTAAAATAGCAAATGTTTATATGTTTTTTATCACAGATTAAAAGGTAAACACATTACATATTTTGGGAAAACTGGAAAGAAAAATTAATCACCTTTATCAAAATAAAAATGAATACAGTGAACTGCATGAAAGTGAAAATACATTATCAATTATTTGTAGAACATTAGCTGAAGCAGTATTAAGAGGGGAAGAAATATCTCAAAGCAATAATCTAAGCTCCCAATAGAAGAGCCTAGGAAAATAAGAGTAACATAAACCCAAATAAAGCAGAAAGGAGGAAATAATAAAGATAAGATCAGAAAAAAAAAATAGAGAAAAGTCAACAGAACAAAAAGCTGGGTTCTTGGGAAAAGACCAATAAAATTGACAAACCTCTAGCAAGATAGTTGAGAGAGAGAGGAAGGACATAAACTACCAATATCAGGAATGGAACAGGGGATATCACCGGAGACCTTGTAGACATCAAAGGATAAGGGGATACCACAAACAATTCTACACAGAAAAATTTGTCTTTTTTTCCCCCTTTTTGTGGAGAACAGGGTCTCGCTATATTGCCCAGGCAGGTCTCGAACTCCTAGGCGAAGCTATCCTCCTGCCTCTGCCTCCCTAAATTCTGGGATTTACAGGTGTGAGCCACTGCACTTGGCCAAAACTTTGACAACTAAGATGAAGTGCAGCAATTCACCTAAAGACACAAACTAATAATGCACCCAATATGAAATACATAATTTGAATAGTCCTATATATCTTAAAGAAATTGAATTCTTACTCTTAAAAATCCCATGTAAGAGGCTGGGCGCTCACGCCTGTAATCCCAGCACTTTGAGAGGCTGAGGCAGGCAGATCACCTGAGGTCAGGAGTTTGAGACCAGCCTGGCTAACAAGGCAAAACCCCATCTCTAAAAAAAATACAAAAATTAGCCAGGCGTGGTGGTACATGCCTATAATCCCAGCTACTTGGGAGGCTGAGGGAGGAGAATCACTTGAACCCAGGAGGCGGAGGTTGCAATAAGCCGAGATCACGCCACTGCACTCCAGCCTGGGAAAAAAAAATCCCATGTAAAATGCTGTAGCAGCTTTGGAAAATACTTTGGAAGTTTCTTAAAAAGTTAAAACATATAATTACCACGACCCAGCAATTTTGCTTCTAGGTGTATACCCAAAAGAATTGAAAACAGGTGTTCAAACAAAAACTTGTATAGGAATGTTCATTGCACCACTATTCACAATAGTCAAAACATGGAAACGACCCAAATGTTCAACAACAGATGAATAAATAAACAAAATATGGCATATTATTCAATTGCAAAAAGGAATGATGTACTCACACATGCTACAACATAGATGAACCTTGAAAACATTATGCTAAGTGAAAGAAACCAGACACAAAAGACCACATATTGTATGATTCCATTTATATGAATTACCCAGAGTTGGCAGGCAAATCCATATAAACAGAAAGCAGATTAGTGGTTGCCAATGGCTGAGGGGAATGAGAATGAGGAGTGACTACTCAATGAGTCTAGGGTTTCTTTTTGGGGTGATGAAAATGTGCTGGAATTAGATGGTGGTAATGGTTGTACAACATTGTGAAAGTACTTAATGTCATATTGTACACTTCACATGGCTAAAATTGGACATTTTATGTTATGTGTATTTTACCACAATAAATTTTTTTTTTAAAGAATTACACACCAGCCGGGCATGGTGGCTCATACCTGTAATCCCAGCACTTTAGGAGGCCAAGGTGGGTGGATAACCTGAGGTCAGGAGTTCGAGACCAGCTTGACCATGGTGAAACCCCATCTCTACTAAATACAAAAAATGAGCCAGGCATGGTGGCACATGCCTGTAATCCCAGCTAGTTGGGAGGCTGAGGCAGGAGCTTGAACCCCAGAGGCAGAGGTTGTAGTGAGCCGAGATTGCGCCATTGCACTCCAGCCTGGGCAAAAAGAGTGAGACTCCATCTCAAAAAAAAAGAAAGACAGAAAGAAAAAAAAAAAGGCTCATATACCATGACTAAGTAAGGTTTTTTCCATGGATGAAAATTTGGCTCAATATTCAAAAATCAGTCAAAGTAAGCCACCACATTAACAAGCTAAAGAAGAAAGATCACATAATCATATCGATTGATGCAGAAAAGGCATTTGACAAAATTCAACACCCATTCCTGATAAAAATTCTCTGAAAACTAGGAACAGAGGGTAACTTCTTCAACTTGATAAAGGATATCTACAAGAAAACTTGTAGCTAACATTATATTTACTGGTGAAAGGCTGAATGCTTTACCCCTGAGAACAGGAGCAAAGCAAGGATGTCCCCTCTCATTTACCTTCTTCAACATAATACTGGACATTCTAGCCAATGCAGCAAGATTAAAAAGGAAAAAAAAGGAAATAAAAGCCATCTTAATAGGAAAGAAATAAAACTGTCCTTATTTACAGATGACATAATTATCTATGTAGAAAATCCACAAAAGAACTCCTAGAACTAATAAGTGAGTCCAGCAAGGTCACAGGATATAATATAAACATACAAAATCAATTGCATTACTATATATTAGCAATGAACACATGGACAACAAGATTTAAAGTACAATACCTCTGCTGGGCACAGTGGCTCACACCTGTAATTCCAGCACTTTGGGAGGCCGAGGCAGGTGGATCACTTGAGGTCAGGAGTTCGAGACCAGCCTGGCCAAGATGGTGAAACCCTGCCTCTACTAAAAATACAAAAATTAGCCAGGCATGCTAGTGGGCGCCAGTAATCCCAGCTACTTGGGAGGCTGAGGCAGGAGAATCCCTTGAACCTGGGATGTGGAGGTTGCAGTGAGCTGAGATCACAGCACTGCTCTCCAGCTTGGGCACCAGAATGAGGGCCTGTCTCTCAAACAAAAAACAAAAAAAGAAGAAGAGGAGAGGAGAGGAGAGAAGAGAAGATTATCATTTATAATTGCTCAAAAAAATAAAACAGGTATAAATCTGACAAATCATGTATAGGACTTATATGCTGAAAACTACAAAACACCGATTAAAAAAATAAAAGAGGCTGGGCTTGGTGGCATGTCACGCCTGTAATCCCAGCACTTTGGGAGGCCGAGGCAGGCGGATCACGAGGTCAAGAGATTAAGATCATCCTGGCCAACATGGTGAAACCCCGTCTCTACTAAAAATACAAAAATTAGCTGGGCATGGTGGTGCGCACCTGTAGTCCCAGCTACTCGGGAGGCTGAGGCAGGAGAATCACTTGAACCCGGGAGGCAGAGGTTACAGTGAGCCAAGAACATGCCACTGCACTCCAGCCTGGCAACAGAACAAGACTCTGTCTCAAAAAAAATAAATAAAAGAAATAAATAAAAGAAGATCTAAACAAATGGAGAGATATTTCCATGGATTGGAAAACTCAACATAGAAAATATGTCAATTTTCTTCAAATTGATATACAGGTATAATACAATTCCTATCAAAATCCCAGCAAGATTTTTCTATTGATACCGACAAGCATATTCTAAAATTTACATGGAAAGAAAAAGGAACTAGATTAGCTAAATCAATTTTGAAAAAAATGAATAAAGGGGAAAGAATAAGTCAACCTGATTTCATGCTTTATTATACAGTAATCCAGATTGTGTGATACTGGCAAAGGGACAGACACAGATCAATGGAACAGATTAGAGAACCCAGAAACAGGCCCACATGAATATACTCAACTGATTTTTAACAAAAACCCTTTTCAATAACTGGTGCTACAGAAATTATACATTCATAGGCAAAAATGAGACTCCACCTAACTGCACACCTTATACAAAAACTAACTCAAAATGGGTCATGGTCTTAAATGTAAAACATAAAACTATAAAACTTCAGGGAAAAGAAAACTAGAAAATCTTCAGGATCTAGAGCCAGGCTAAGTGTTCTTAAATTTAACACCCATAGTATCATACAAGGAAAAGTGGGTAAGTTGAACTTCATTGAAATGTAAAATTTTGCTGTAATAGAACCTGTTTAGAGAATAAAAAGTCAGTCTACAGACTGGAAGGAAATATTTGCAAACCACATATTTGACAAAGAATTAGGATCTCAAAACTCAACAGTAAAAAAGTAAATAATCCAATTACAAAATGAGGAAAGGACATGAACAGTCATTTCATCAAAAAGGATATACAGATGGCAAATAAGCCCATGAAAAGACATTCAATATCATAGCCATTACAGAGATGCAAGTTAAAACCACAATGAGATATCACTGCACACCTGCACACCTATCAGAGTGGCCAAAATAAAAGGTAGTGATGGCTGGTGGGAATGTTAAAAAGTACAGCCACTCTGGAAAACAGTTTGGCAGT
The DNA here is from genome assembly GCF_000001405.40 of Homo sapiens. Taxonomy (NCBI): domain Eukaryota; kingdom Metazoa; phylum Chordata; class Mammalia; order Primates; family Hominidae; genus Homo; species Homo sapiens. Next base: position 24,095,057 of record NC_000023.11, on the reverse strand, counting down.
TTCTTTAAAAACTAAACATGTTTAAAAACTAAAACTACCTTTTCTGTGAGTTACCAGGAATAAACAAATAAATGCTAAAACTACCACACAACCCAGGAATTGTACTGCTTGACATTTATTCAGGAGAACTGAAAATTTAAGTTCAAAGACCTGTATATGAATATTTATAGCAGCTTTACTTTTTTATACATGTATTTAATCTTGCTTAATTAAGCTGAATACCGCAGCTTTATTGTAACAGGCAATAAATGGAAACAACCCAGAGGTCCTCCAATAGGTGAATCGTTAAACAAACTATAGTACATCCAGAATACTATTCAGGAAAAAAAAAAAAAAAGGGACAAGCCTGGGCAACATGGCAAGACCCCACCCCTACAAAACTTACAAAAAATTAACCGGGCACAGTGGCATGTGCCTATAGTTCCAGCTACTCTGGGGGGCTGAGGTGGAAGGACCGCTTGAGTCCCAGAGGTAGAGGCTGCGGTAAGCCGAGATTGTACCACTGCACTCCAGCCTGGGGGTCAGAGCAAGACCCTATTTCAAAAAAAAAAAAAAAAAGAACAAACTATTAAACTATTGATACACACAACAATTTGAATGATTCTTCAGAGAACTATGCTGAGTGAAAAAAAAAAGCCAATCCCAAAGTATAGTTCAATTTATATAACATTCTTGGAATGACAAAATTATAGAAATGGAGAACTGAATAGCGGTTGCTAGGAGTGAGGCAGGAAGAAAGCAGACGTGGCTACATGAGGACAACATGAGGGACCCTTGGTGATGCAACAGTCCTGTATCCTGACTGTATCAATGTTAGCATCCTGGTTGTGCTATGGTATTACAGTTTTGTAAGATGTTACCACTGGTGGACACTGTGTAGAAGGTACATGGGATCACTCCTTATGAGCGATACCCAACCTTTTTGGCCCCAGGGACCTGTCTTGTGGAAGCAAATTTTTTCACAGATAGGGGGTGGGTGGTTTCAGGATGAAACTATTCCACCTCAGATCATCAGGCATTAGTTAGATTCTCATAAGGAGTGTGCAACCTCGATTCCTCGCATGCGGAGAGTTCTCCCTTCTATGAGAATCTAATGCTCGCTCGCCTCCTGCTGTGCGGCTGGGTTCCTAACAGGCCAAGGACCGGTAAAGGTCCGCCACTCCGGGGCTGGGGATGCCTGCTGTATATGATTTCTTAGGACAGCATGTGAGTCCACAATTATCTCCTTTAAAACATTTGTTTATTTGTGTTTGTTTGTTTATTTTAGACGGAGTCTCCCTCTGTCGCCCAGGCTGGAGTGCAGTGGTGCGATCTCGGCTCACTGCAAGCTCCGCCTCCCGGGTTCACGCCATTCTCCCGCCTCAGCCTCCCAAGTAGCTGGGACTACAGGTGCCTGCCTACACGCCCGGCTAATTTTTTGTATTGTTAGTAGAGACGGGGTTTCACCGTGTTAGCCAGGATGGTCTCGATCTCCTGACCTCGTGATCTGCCCGCCTCGACCTCCCAAAGTGCTGGGATTACAGGCGTGAGCCACCGCGCCAGGCACTATTTATTTATTTATTTGAGACGGAGTCTCGCTCTGTTGTCCAGGCTGGAGTGCAGTGGCGAGATCTCGGCTCACTGCAACCTCTGCCCCCCGGGTTAAAGCGATTCTCCTGCCTCAGCCTCCCGAGCAGCTAGGACTACAGGCGCCCGCCCCCACGCCCGGCTAATTTTTTGTATTTTTGGTAGAGACGGGGTTTCACCGTGTTAGCAAGGATAGTCTCGATCTCTTGACCTCGTGATTCGCCTGCCTCGGCGTTCCAAAGTGCTGGGATTACAGGCATGAGCCACCGCGCCTGGCGGGGTGATTCAGAAATTATCTCTGCTGGGCCGGGAGCAGTGGCTCAAGCCTGTAATCCCAGCACTTTGGGAGGCCAAGGCAGGCGGATCACGAGGTCAGGAGATCGAGACCATCCTGGCTAACACGGTGAAACCCCGTCTCTACTAAAAATACAAAAAATTAGCCGGGCATGGTGGCGGGCGCCTGTAGTCCCAGCTACTCCGGAGGCTGAGGCAGGAGAATGGCGTGAACCCGGGAGGCGGAGCTTGCAGTGAGCAGAGATTGAGCCACTGAACTCCAGCCTGGGTGACAGAGCGAGACTCTGTCTCAAAAAAAAAAAAAAGTTTAATTTTAAAAATAGGATGGGATACAGAGAAAGTGGTGCTTAGAGAGAAATTTACATCTTTAAATGCCTGTATCAGAAAAGAAGGCATCATATCAATAACCTATACTTCTACCTTAACAAACTAGAAAACAGAAGAGCAAACTACACCAGAAGTGAATATAAGAAAGAAGTAATAAAGAATAATAAATAAAATGTTAAGTAATAAAGTAATAAAGGTGAGAACTGAAACACAGAAAACAGAAAAAAAAAATAGAGAAAATCAAATAAATGAAACGTTGGTTATTTGAAAAGATCCAGAAAATTGACAAACCTTTGCTAGATTGCCACATAAAAAAGCGAGAAGGCCGGGCACGGTGACTCACGCCTGTAATCCCAGCACGTTGGGAGGCTGAGGCGGGCAGATCACGAGGTCAGGAGATGGAGACCATCCTGGCTAACACGGTGAAACTCCGTCTCTACTGAAAATACAAAAAATTAGCCAGGCGATGGGGGGGCAGGCGCCTGTAGTCCCAGCTACTCGGGAGGCCCAGGCAGGGGAATCGCTTGAACCCGAGAGGTGGAGATTGCAGTGAGCCAAGATCGTGCCACTGCACTCCAGCCTGGCAACAGAGCGAGACTCTGCCATGTAAAAAAAAAAAAAAAAATCGAGAAGAGGGCCTGGCTTGGCAGCACACACCTATAGTCCCAGCTGCTTGGGAGGCTGAGGCAGCAGAATTGCTTGAACCCAGGAGTTTGAAGCTGCAGTGAGCTATGATCGTGCCATTGCACTCCAGCCTGACAGGGCGAGACCCTGACTCAGAAAAACAAACAAATCAACCAAAAAAGAGAGAAGACATAAATTACCAAAATCAGGAACAACATCTTACAGCACTACCTACACTTCACATAAAAGGATTAAAAGGCATTCTATGAATAATATTATGCCCACACATTAGAAAACTCAGATGACATGAATAAATTCCTGAAAATATACAAATTACCAAAATTAACTCAACAAGCAATAGAAAATCTAAATTATGCAGAATACATCATTTTATTACACTTTGCTTTATTGCACTTTGCAGATATTGCATTTTTTACAAATGAAAGGTTTGTGGCCACCCTGCGTCAAGCAAGTCTGTCAGTTCCAATGTTTTTAACAGTGTGTGCTCACTTAATGTCTCTGGGTCACATTTTTGGTAATTCTCAAAATATTCCAAGTCTTTTCATTATTATTATATCTGTTATGGTGATCTGTGATCAGTGATTTTTGATGTCACTACTGTAATTGTTTTGGAACACCAGGAACCATGTCTATGTACCCATAAACGTTATGTGTGTTCTGACTGTTCCACCCACTGGCCACCCCTCGCCCTCTCCTGGGGCCTCCTTATTTGCTGAAACACAATAATATTGAAAATAGGCCAATTAATCACCCAACGATGGCCTCTAAATGTTCAAGCGAAAGGTAGAGTCACGTATCTCTCACTTTAAATCAAAAGGTAGAAATGATTAAGCTTAGTGAGGAAGGCATGTGGAGAGCCAAGACAGGCCAAAAGCTAAGCTTCCTGTGCCAAACAGTCAGCCAAGTTGTGAATGCAAAGGAAAACTTCTTGAAGGAAATTAAAAGTGCTACTCCAGCAAACACATGAATGATAAGAAGCAAAACAGCCTTACTGCTAATAAGAAGAAAGTTTGAGTGGTCTGGATACAAGATCAAACCAGTTACAGCATTTCCTTAAATCAAACTCCATTCAATTCTATGAAAGTTGAGAGAAGTGAGGAAACTGCAGAAGGAAAGTTTGAAGCCAGCAGGGATTGGTTTATGAGGATTAAGGAAAGAGGCCATCTCCATAACAAAAAAGTACAAAGTGAACCAGCAAGTGCTGATTTAGAAGCTGCAGCAAGTTATCCAGAAGATCTAGCTAATTGATTAAGGTGGCTACACTAAACAACAGATTTATTTTCAATGTAGACAAAACAGTCTTCTATTTGAAGAAGATACCATCTAGGACGTTTATAGCTAGAGAGACGTCAATGCCTGGCTTCAAAGCTTCAAAGGACAGGCTGACTCTCTTGTCCTAGGGGCTAATGTATTAATAGCTGATGACGTTAACTTGAAGCCAAACTCTGGCCATTTCAAAAATCCTAGGGCCTGGGCCTGGGCCTGGTGTGGTGGCTTATGCTTATAAGCCCAGCACTTTGGGAGGCCAAGGTAGAAGGATCCCTTGAGGCCAGGAGTTTGGAGACCAACCCAGGTAACATAGCAAGACCCCAATTCTACAAAAAATTTAAAAAATTAGGCATGATGGAGCATGCCTGTAGCCTTAGCTACTCAGGAGGCTGAGGCAGGAAGATTCTCTGAGCCCAGGAGTTTCAGGCCGCAGTGAGGTATGATTATGCCACTGCACTCCAGCCTGGGCAACAGAGTAAGACCCTATCTAAAAAAAATAAAATAAAATCCTAGGGCCCTAAGGAATTGTGCTAAATCTACTCTGCCTGTGCTTTATAAATGGAATCACAAAACCTGGATGACAGCACATCTATTAGCAGCATGGTTTACTGAATATTTTAAGCCCAATGTCAAGACCTATTGCTTATTTTTTAAACATCCCTTTCAGCCAGGCGCCGTGGCTCATGCCTGTAATCCCAGCACTTTGGGAGGCCCAGGAGGGCGGATCACCTGAGGTCAGGAGTTCGAGACCAGCCTGGCCAACATGGTGAAAACCTGTCTCTACTAAAAATACAAAAATTAGCCCGGCATGATGGCGTGCACCTGTAGTCCCAACTACTCAGGATGCTGAGGCAGGAGAATCGTTTGAACTCAGGAGGCAGAGGTTGCAGTGAGCCGAGATCGGGCCACTGCACTCCAGCCTGGGTGACAGAGTGAAACTCTGTCTCAAAAAAAAAAAAATCCCTTTCAAAATATTACTGCTCACTGACAATGCACCTAGTCACCCAAGAGCCCTGATGAAGATGTACAAGGAGATTAATCTTTTTTTTTTCAGACAGCATCTCTCTCTGTCACCCAGGCTGGAGTTCAGTGGCACAATTACAGCTCATTACAGCCTTAATCTCCTGTGTTCAAGCCATCCTCTCCCCTCAGGCTCCTGAGTAGCTAGGACTACAGGCCCATGTCACCACACCTGGCTAATTTTTTAATTTTTTGTGGAGATGGAGCCTCCCTACGTTGCCCAGGCTGGTCTCAAACTCCTGGGCTCAAGAGAACCTCCCACCTCAGCCTCCCAAAATGCTGAGATTACAGGTGTGAGCCATCACACCCAGCCCTAATATTGTTTTCATGCCTGCTAACACAGCATCCATTCTGCAGCCCATGGTTCAGGGAGTAATTTCAACTTTCAAGTCTTATTATTTAAGAAATACATTTCGGCCAGGCGTGGTGGCTCACGCCTGTAATCCCAACATTTTGGGAGGCTGAAGCAGGTGGATCACGAGGTCAGGAGTTCGAGACCAGCCTGGCCAACATGGTGAAACCCCATCTCTACTAAAAATACAAAAATTAGCCAGGCACGGTGGTGGGGGCCTGTAATCCCAGCTACCCGGGAGACTGAGGCAGGAGAATTGCTTGAACCCGGGAGGCAGAGGTTGCAGTGAGCCAAGATTGCACCACAGCACTCCAGCTTGGGCAACAGAGCAAGCCTCTGTCTTGGGAAAAAAATAAAGAAATAAATTTCATGGCCTGGAGCGGTGACTCATGCCTGTAATCCCAGCACTTTGGAGGCTGAGGTGGGCAGATCACCTGAGGTCAAGAGTTTGAGACCAGCCTGGCCAACCTGGTGAAACCCGTCTCTACTAAAAGACATCCCATGTTTATGAATTAGAAGAATCAATATTGTCAAGATGGTACTTCCCTCCAAACTGGATCTAGAAATTTAGTGTGATCCCTAACAAAATTCCAGAAGGTTTGGGTTTTTTTTGTTGGGGGGGGGGGGATTTGACAAGCAGATCCTAAAAGTTATATGGGAATTCAAAGGATTTCAAATAGCCAAAACAGTTCTGAACAAAAAAAGAAGACAAAGCTGAAGGATTTACGTTACCCAATTCCAATTTCAAAACTCCCTGTAAAGTCACAATAATCAAGACAGTGTGGCATATAGATCAATAGAGTAGAATTAAAGAAATTAACTTTTATACTTATGTCAACTGATTTTCAATAAAGATGCCAAGATAATCCAGTGGGGAAAGAATAATCTTTTCAACAAATGCTTTGGGAGAATTAGACATCCATTTAAAAATAAAATTAGGCTGGGTGTGATGGCTCATACCTGTAATCCCAGCAGTTTGAGAGGCTGAGACGAGAGGATCACTTGAGGCCAGGAGTTTGAGATTAGCCTGAGCAACATAGTGAGACCACATCTCTACAAAATAAAACAAAATAAATAAAAATTTAAAAATGAACGTAGACCTTTACCCCACACCATTGAAAAATTAACTTACAATAGAACCAAAACTATAAAACTTCCAGAAGTTATATGCTAAGAAGCACATGAAAAGTGCTCAACATCATTAGTCATTAGGAAAATGCAAATTTAAACCACAACAAGATACCACTATATACCCACTAAAATGGTTATACAGGGCTGGGCGTGGTGGCTTACGCCTGTAATCCCAGCACTTTGGGAGGCCGAGGTGGGCAGATCACGAGGTCAGGAGATCGAGACCATCCTGGCTAACACGGTGAAACCCTGTTTCTACTAAAAATACAAAAAATTAGCCGGACGTGGTGGCAGGCACCTGTAATCCCAGCTACTCAGGAGGCTGAGGCAGGAGAATCGCTTGAACCAGGGAGGCAGAGGTTGCAGTGAGCCAAGATCGTGCCACTGCACTCCAGCCTAGGTGACAGAGCGAGACTCAGTCGCAAAAAAAAAAAAAAGGGTTATACAGGCCTGGCATGGTGGCTCACACCTGTAATCCCAGCACTTTGGGAGGCCAAGGCAGGCGGATCACTTGAGGTCAGGAGTTCGAGACCAGCCTGGCCAACATGGTGAAATCCCGTCTCTACTAAAAATACAAAAATTAGCCAGGCGGGGTGGCAGGCGACTGTAATCCCAGCTACTCCAGAGGCTGAAGCAGAATTGCTTGAACCCAGGAGGCGGAGGTAGCAGTGACCCGAGATTGTGCCACTGCACCCCAACACGGGCAACACAGTGAGACCCTGTCTCAAAAAAAAGGGGGGGTTATACAGTAATCCCCCCTTATCTCCAAGGTTTCAGTTACCTGTGGTAAACCAGTCTGAAAATATTAAATTGAAAATTCCAGAAATAAGCAATTCATAAATTTTGAATTGTGTGCTGTTCTGAATAGCATGATAAAATATCATGCCATCTCACTCTGTCTTGCCTAGGGTGTGAACCATCCCCTTGCGCAGCATATCCATGCTGTACATACTATCTGTGCGTTAATCACCTAGTAGCCATCTTGGTTATCAGATCAAAAAATATAGTATATATAGGATTTGGTACTAGCTACTGTTTCAGGGATTCACTGAGGGTCTTGGGATATATGCCCTGCAGGTAAGGGGGGGCAACTGTAATAAAAAAAATTACCAAGTATTAGAGAGGATATTGAGAAACTGGAACCCTGCTCTATTGTTGATAGGAATATAAAATGGCACAGCCTGGCTGGGCATGGTAACTCATGCCTGTAATCCCAGCACTTTGGGAGGCTGAGGTGGGTGGATCATTTGAGGTCAGGAGTTTGAGACCAGCTTGGCCAACACGGTGAAACCCCGCCTCTGCTAAAAATACAAAAATTCGCTGGGCATGGTGGCGGACACCTGTAGTCCCAGCTACTCAGGAGGCTGAGGCAGGAGAATCGCTTGAACCCGGGAGGCAGAGTTTGCAGTAAGCCAAGATCATGCCACTGCACTGCAGCCTGGGTGACAGAACAAGACTCCGTCCCAAATAAAATAAAATAAAATAAAATAGCACAGCCACTTTGCAAACATTTAGCAGTTTCTAAGTTTAACATAGACTTACCACACAACCCAACATTTCACTCCTAGGAATCTACTTAAAGCAATTAAAACATACAGCCGAGCACAGTGGCTCATGCCTGTAATCCCAGCACTTTGGGAGGCCAAGGCAGGCAGATCACCTGAGGTCGGAAGTCCAAGACCAACCTGGCCAGCATGGTGAAACTTCGTCTCTACTAAAAATACAGAAATTTGTTGGGCATGGTGGCATATGTCCGTAATCCCAGCTACTTGGGAGGCTGAGGCAGGAGAATCACTTGAACCCGGGAGGCGGAGGTTGCAGTGAGCCAATATCGCACCACTGCACTCCAGCCCAGGTGACAGAGTCAGACTGTCTCAAAAAAAAAAAATTTTTTTTTAAGTGGAAGAAGCCAGATGCCAAAAGACGACATATTGTAGAAGGATAAGGGAATTCTCTGGGGTGATGGAAATGTTCTGTATCTTGTTTAGGCTGCAGGATACAAGGGTGTATACAATTATCAAAACTCATCGGCTGGGCACAGTGGCTCACGCCTGTAATCCCAGCACTTTGGGAGGCCGAGGCGGGTGGATCACAAGGTCAGGAGTTCAAGACCAGCTTGGCCCAAATGGTGAAACCCTGTCTCTACTAAATATATACAAAAAAATAGCCGGGTGTGGTGGCAGGCGCTGTAATCCCAGCTACTCGGGAGGCTGAGGCAGGAGAATTGATTGAACCTGGGAGGTGGAGGTTGCGGTGAGCCGATATCGTGCCACTGCACTCCAGCCTGGGTTACAGAATAAGACTCCATCTCAAAAAAAAAACAAAAAACAAAAAACAAAAAAAAACTCATCAAAATGAATATTCAAGATTTGTGCATTTTACTGAATATAAATTATACCTAAATAAATAACATCTTATTTGCTCAACTAAGGAAGTACCGAGTGGGAAATGTTTAGCCTTAAATGTTTATACTAGAAAAAGGGCTAAAAGAAAATTAATGGGCTGGGTGCAGCAGCTCCCGCCTGTAATCCCAACACTTTGGGAAGCCAAGGTGGGTGGATCACTTGAGCCCAAGAGTTCGAGACCAGCCTGGGTAACATGGCAAAACCCCGTCTCTACAAGAAATACAAAACTTAGCCGGGCATGGTGGCATGCACCCGTAGTCCCAGCTACTTGGGAGGCTGAGGTGGGAGGATCACCTGGGTCTGGAAAGGTTGAGGCTGCAGTGAGCCTTGGTTGTGCCACTGCACTCCAGCCTGGGCAAAAGAGGGAGACCTGTGTCGTGGGGGGGGGGTGGAAATAAAATAAAATTAGTGAGTTAAGTACTTACAAAAAAAATAGCATGATAAACCCAAGTAAAGTAGAAGAAAGGAAATGAGAAAGTTAAGAAATCAGTGAAGTTAAAAGTACAATGGAGAGGCTTTAACAAATTCAAAAACTGGTTGTCTTTGCTTTCTGTTGCTGCAACAGAATACCACGGTCTGGGTAATTTATAAAGAAAAGAGACTTATTTGGCTCACGGTTCTGGAGGCTAGAAAGTCCAAAAGCATGGTGTCAACATCTAGTGAGGGTCTTCTTGCCTCATGGTAACAGGAACCCACTCTCGTGATAACCAACCCACGCTCGAGATGAAGGCATTAATCCATTTATGAGGGCAGAACCCTCATGACCTAATCACCTCTTAAAGGTCCCACCTCTCAACACTGTTACAATGATGAAATTTCAACATGAGTTTTGGAAGGAACATTCAAGCCACAGCATTGATCTTTTGAAAAGACTAATAAAATTTTTGAAAAATAAGCCATGAGCGCCTGTAATCCCAGCACTCTGGGAGGCTGAGGCAGGCAGATCAGGAGAGGTCAGGAGATCGAGATCATCCTGGCTAACACAGTGAAACCCCGTCTCTACTAAAAATACAAAAAATTAGCCGGGCGTGGTTGTAGGCGCCTGTAGTCCCAGCTACTTGGGAGGCTGAAGCAGGAGAATGGCATGAACCCGGGAGGCGGAGCTTGCAGTGAGCTCAGATCGCGCCACTGCACTCCAGCCTGGGCGAAAGAGCGAGACACCGTCTCAAAAGAAAAAAAGAAAAATAGGCCATGAGTCATATTTGATGAGAAACTTTGAGACAAGCAAAAGACTGTTGGGTTATGCTTTTGAGAATGCAAACCACTGGACTAATGGGTTTTGTTGTAATTGTGCAACCCTTTGGAGAAAGTTGAAGATGATTACAAATCATGACTTAGGAGATTCTGCAATGGACAAAGGTCTTGTTTAAGTTTGAGCTATACATATTCTGCATCTTACTATCACTAGTGTGTTCTTGGCTTGTTGAAGCTCCTACTGTGACATTCTTGGTATACTTTTTTTTTTTTTTTTTTTTTTGAGACGGAGTCTCGCTCTGTCACCCAGTCTGGAGTGCAGTGATGCGATCTTGGCTCACTGCAACCTCCACCTCCCAGGTTCAAGCAATTCTCCTGCCTCAGCCTCCCAAGCTGGGACTACAGGCATGCGCCACCATGCCCGGCTAATTTTTGTATTTAGCAGAGATGGGGTTTCATCATGTTGGCCAGGCTGATCTCGAACTCCTGACCTCAAATGATCCACCCACTTCGGCCTCCCAAAGTGCTGGGTTTACAGGCATGAGCCACCATGCCCAGCCCGGTATACATATTATTATTATTATATTTATTTTTCTTGAAATGGGAGTCTCTCTCTGTTGCCCAGGCTAGAGTGCAGTGGCACAATCTCTGCTCACTGCAACTTCCACCTCCCAGATTCAAGTGATTCTCCTGCCTCAGCCTCCTGAGTAGCTGGAATTACAGGTGCGCACCACCACACCCGGCTAATTTTTGTATTTTTAGTAGAGATGGGGTTTCACTATGTTGGTAAGGCTTGTCTCGAACTCCCGACCTCATGATCTGCCCGCCTCGGCCTCCCAAAGTGCTGGGATTACAGGCGTGAGCCACCGCACCCGGCCCTATCCCAGTATACGTATTATTTTTAAAGGATTTATTGTTATCTCTTTTGGAGTATAATACTCAAAGTTATGATTCCTGCTAAGTTTTGTTTTGTTTTTTGTTTTTTTTTTGGGACGGAATTTCCCTCTTGTCACCCAGGCTGGAGTGCAATGGCGCAATCTCGGCTCACTGCAACCTCCGCCTCCCAGGTTCAAGCGATTCTCCTGCCTCAACCTCCTGAGTAGCTGGGATCACAGGCGCCCACCACCACACCAGGCTAATTTTTGTATTTTTAGTAGAGACGGGGTTTCACCATGTTGGCCTGCTGGTCTCGAACTCCTGACCTCAGGTGATCCACCTGCCTCAGCCTCCCAAAGCGTTGGGATTACAGGCGTGAGCCACCGCGCCTGGCCTCCTGCTAAGTCTTTTTTTTTTTTTTTTTTGTTTTTGAGACGGAGTCTCGCTCTGTCGCCCAGGCTGGAGTGCAGTGGCGCGATCTCGGCTCACTGCAAGCTCCGCCTCCCGGGTTCACGCCATTCTCCTGCCTCAGCCTCCCGAGTAGCTGGGACTACAGGCGCCCGCTACCACGCCCGGCTAATTTTTTGTATTTTTAGTAGAGACGGGGTTTCACCGTGTTAGCCAGAATGGTCTCGATCTCCTGACCTCGTGATCCGCCCGCCTCGGCCTCCCAAAGTGCTGGGATTACAGGCGTGAGCCACCGCGCCCGGCCCTGCTAAGTCTTTTTATATGTTTCTTGTGGAGAATATATTATTCAACATTCACTTGTAATAGGAAATTATATTTAGGCCAGGAACAGTGGCTCGCGCCTGTAATCCCAGCACTTTGGGGGGCAGAGGCAGGCAGATCACCTGAGGTCAGGTGTTTGAGACCAGCCTGGCCAACATGGTGAAATCCCATATCTACTAAAAATACAAAAATTAGCTGGGCGTGGTGGTGCCTGCCTGTAGTCCCAGCTACTCGGGAGACTGAGGCACAAGAATCACTTGAACCCAGGAGGCAGAGGTTGCAGTGAGCCAAGATCGCGCTACTGCACTCCAGCCTGGGTGACCGAGATTCCGTCTCAAAAAAAAAAAAAAAAAAAAAGTAAAAGGAATTTATATTTGATAGAAAGCATGTGTTGTAAGAAAATAAACTGTAATGGACACACCAGCTCAAAAGTGATTAACTGTAACGTATAATTTCACTACTATAGAAGTGGCATAAATCACTTGTTAGTGTTAGATTTCTCCCTATGAGGCTGTATGAGAAAATAAAGTTGTGATTCGAACAGATTCAGTGCTAATACTGATGTGGGGCATGTTCCTTTTACATTCCTCTTCCTTCTTGTTGAGTCAGCAATAATCAATACTGCATTTTGAATTCTCAAATCACCTTAAGTCAAAAATTATTTCCTCTCAGGGATTCCCATGAAATATTTTTGGGACCAGTATTTTCACTTTTTAATTTTAACCAGGCTGAATCAAAGGTAGCTCATAGCTTTACTTCATAATAGAATGAATTCACCACAAAATATTTTAAATCATTCCCTTTGACTAACATTTAGGTGCCTTGCAATAGTTGCTATAATAAACAATGCTGGGGCCCAGCCCTGGTGGCTCGCACCTGTAATCCCAATGCTTTGGGAGGCTGAGGTGGGACGATCACTTGAAGCCAAGAGTTCCAGACCAGCCTGGGCAACATAGGAATAAAATAAAATAAGTAAACAATGCTGGAATGAACATCCTTCTACATATATCTTTATTAACACGAGCAAATATTTATGATTAATTCTCAGATATGAATTCTCGGTCAAAAGGTGAGACATTTTAAAACTTGATAGATATAACGGTAATATATCCTCGCCTACATTGATTATAAATATTTTTTATATTTTTCGAGATAGGTTCTTGCTGTCACTCAGGCTGGGCTGGAGTGCAATGGCGCCATCTAGGCTCGCTGCAAGCGCCACTCCCGGGCTCAAGCCATCCTCCCACCTCAGCCTCCCGAGTAGCTGGGACTACAGGCAGGGTCACCATGCCTGGCTTTTTTTTTTTTTTTGAAATGGGGTTTTGCCATGTTGCCACTGCTGGTCTGGAAGTCATGGCCTGAAGCCATCCACCCTCCTCAGCCTCCCAAAGTGCTGCGATTACAGGCACGAGGCACCACTCCCATCTTTTTTTTTTTTTTTTTTTTGAGACACGGGAGTCTTGCTCTGTCACCCAGGCTGAAGTGCAGTGGCGCCACCTGGGCTCACTGCAACCTCTGTCTCCTGGGTTCAAGCGATCCTCCCACCTCAGTCTTCTGAGTTGCTGGGATTACAGGCACACGCCACAACACCCAGCCAATTTTTTTTTTTTTTTTTTTTTTTTTGAGACCGGGTTTCCCTATGTTGCCCAGGCTAGTTTCAAACTCCTGGGCTCTACCTCGTCTTGTACTACAGTGAGACCCTGTCTCAATAAAAAGAAATTTTTTTTAAGCCTTTCTGGATTAGATTTAATTTGTAGAAAAAAATGGCATGGTCATCTGTACATTGATCCCATCCAATTATATTTTCCTTATAATTCATCTCTTCTTTAGCAAAATGTGTTTTATTCATACATATCTTGAGTATTTCTGTTAAATGTATACCTGGGTAGTTTACATCTATCACATTTTGATTTGTGTGTGTGTGTGGTGAATAAGGAAACTAATATTAAATAATTTTGCATATTTATCTTGAACTTTGTCACCTTACTGAACTCTCCTAGCAGTTTTTCAGTTTCTGGGATGTATTTTCTAGGTGGACTATCTTACACTTTGTGAATAACATTCAATCTCTCCATGAGGTAAACTATCTTACATTCAGTCTCTTCCATTCCCAGTACTTGTATCATTTGCTAAGCCCCAGAGAACAATGTTGTAGAATTGTAGTAGTAGCTGACATTCTTCAGGCCTTAATGAGAACAGAGGTGATGAATTCTGATATAATGCAAATTATTGCTTCTCACGCTCTGAACTGCATCCTAGTTATTTCATCAACCTCACAATAACCCATTTTACCCAAATGAAATATTTACCTCACCTATCACATTATGGCAAGATGTTACCGTGCTCCAATGTCTCATTACTGAAAATGATTCTGAAAGTTCTTTGCTTAGTACTCATTGTTTCCTTTACACCATCTCGCTTTTAAAAATCACTTTGAACTGTATCAAACACATCTCCAAGGTACTTTTTCTTTCAACCTATAATACATCCCTGTATACACATTATTTTTAATACACTGCTGGATTTATTACATTTTAGTATGGACTTTGTATCTTTTTGTGAGAATGGTCTCTGGTTTTTCTGGTGTTTTGTTGTTGTTTTTGTGTAGTATTCTCTCCCAAGTTTGAGTAGTGAGAACAGAATACTTTTTTTTTTTTTGAGTCTCGCTGCAACGCCCAGGCTGGAGTGCAGTGGCACAATCTCGGCTCACTGCAACCTCCACTTCCCAGGTTCAAGCAATTCTCCTGCCTCAGCTTCCTAAATAGCTGAGACTACAGGCATGTGTCACCACAACCGGCTGAGTTTTCTATTTTTAGTAGAGACGGGGTTTTACCATATTGGCCAGGCTGGTCTCAAAACTCCTGATCTCAAGTGATCCACCCACCTTGGCCTCCCAAAGTACTGGGATTACAGGCGTGAGCCTCCACGCCCGGCCAGCAGAGGTAATTTATTATTTTTTTGAGATGGAGTCTCACTCTGTCACTCAGGCTGGAGTGCAGTGGCACAATCTCAGCTCACTGCAACTTCCAACTCCCAGGTTCAAGCGATTCTCCTGCCTCAGCCTCCTGAGTAGCTGGGACTACAGGCGCATGCCACCACACCCAGCTAATTTTTGTATTTTTAGTAAAGACGGCATTTCGCCATGTTGGCCAGGCTGGTCTCAAACTCCTGACCTCAGGTAATCCACCCGCCTCGGCCTCTCAAAGTGCTGGGATTGCACGTGTGAGCCACCGTGCCCGGCCCAGCAGAGGTACTTTCTGAATCACCTGTTTCATGGTTATTAATCTTTTAAGGGTATCTGCTTCATTTTAGGTAATTAAAATTTTTAAAATACTATTTCCAAAAAGTACCCATTTCACTGGAATCATCACCCTATCAAGTTTTTCTAGAAATGGGATTTGTTTTATGAGTGCAGTTATTTGCATATCCTTATTAGAATAAAAGTCACGTTGCCTCTGCAAAAACAAGCACACACAGGCATCCTCTTTGGAAGTCAGATATGAGACCGAGAGCTTTCCAGGTCGGCTTCAAAACCACCTGGAAGATGTCACAGCTAGTCTGTCTTCATGCCCCCCGTTTCTGTGAGGCTAACTTTTACACCTTACTATCACAGAGTTGTATGTAGTATTCTCTAAAAAACAGGGACTCTGGCTATCGTGTTGAGAACAGACTGCAGCAGGGCAAGTGCAGAAGCAGGACAGTTAGAAGGCTAGTCCAGGTGAGAGTCACTGATGGCTTTGACTAAGGTGGTAGCAGTGGAAGTGATCAGAACTAAAAAGATTTTGAAAATATCTTGACAGTAGAGCCAAGAGGATTTACATATGCAATATACTTTTTTTTTTTTTTTTGAGATGGAGTCTTGTTCTTGTCACCCAGGCTGGAGTGCAATGGTGTGACCTCAGCTCACTGCAACCTCCACCTCCTGGGTTCAAGCGATTCCCCTGCCTCAGCCTCCAGAGTAGCTGGGATTACAGGCACCTGCCACCACACCCGGCTAACTTTTGTATTTTTAGTAGAGACAGGGTTTCGCCATGTTGGCCAGGCTGGTCTCGAACTCCTGACCTCATGATCCGCCCACCTCAGCCTCCCAAAGTGCTGGGATTACAGGCGTGAGCCACCACACCTGGCTGTAATGTACTTTCATGAGAAACATTACAGGCACATTCTCAACTAGGTACATCTCTTGCTAAGAATCACTGCTCTGGCTTCAAGTTCTATTAAAATAAGGTCCATTTACTTCCTATCTGTATATGCCCATTACACTCAGTACAGTGCTTTACAAATTTGCTAATTCATGTGGATGTCTGAAATTAATTATAATAGAATTCTGGTTTCAAATCTTACATGAGATTAATTACAATGTCTATATTTTAAGTCTTATTCCAAAATTTCTGGTAGAAGGTACCTACAAAACACATGGGGACATGTTAGATATAAAATTAGTTTGATTTAGAATTGTTTTATTTGTGTTCCTCATGCTACAACACAACCTTCAAAGTCAGCGAAGTTTATAACATTAATATGCTTCCTCAAAACATCAATTTAGGCAACCCATAGCCAGAGCTTCTAAACTTCTACAATGCAACTTCAACATTCACAAGAGCACAATATGCTTCAAATCCCATCTCAATGCAAATTTAAGAAAAGCAAAGCAAATTGTATTATCAGTCTACCAAAACTCAGTAAGATTCTGTAATTTAATATACCTACTTCTCAACTCTCTAAATTTGTTTCTCAACACTGGGGAGTTTTTAAAGATATCAATGCCTGAATTCTACTCCAAGCCAATTAAATCAGAACAATTAAAATCAGAATCTCTGTGGGGCATCTTTTTTTTTTTTAAAGCTTCCCCAGCAACGTCAGCAAGAGTTGCAAATCACTGCTCAACAGAACCTCTTACGAAGCAAAAACATAAAGAAAAATAAGCCGGGCAGAGTGGCTCACGCCTGTAATCCCAGCACTTTGGAAGGCAGAGGCGGGCGGATCACCTGAGGTTAGGAGTTCAAGACCAGCCTGGGCAACATGGTGAAACCCCATCTCTACTAAAAATACAAAAATTAGCCGGGTATGGTGGCAAGTGCCTGTAATATCAGCTACATGGGAGGCTGAAGCACGAGAATCACTTGAATCAGGGAGGCAGAGGTTGCAGCGAGCCAAGATCGTGCCACTGTACTCTAGCCTAGGTGACGGAGTGAGCCTCCGTCTCAAAAAAAAAAAGGAAAAGCACACGAAGTATAGGGACATGGGGAATAAGTTAAAAATCAAAAGGACTCACTCATTGCTTTCTAACATCTTTTACTTCTTGACCTTTTGAAACATCCAAAAATTAGTAGTAGTATAATCTATGTCACAATCATAATATAACAGTTAAGAAAAAACATAAAATGAAGGCCTAAAAAGATCTTTGTTACTCATCTAGAATTATTTGGTATAACAGTATTTTCCCATGGAGGAAGACTTGGATTTCAGGCATTAAACAACGCAGAAAAAAATCTCAAGGCATCACAGGGAGAGGGAGATAACTTTTGACTCTGGTTTCCCGTGTTTCAGGCCAGGAAGAGCAAGGGGAGAAAAATATTTGTCCATGGGAACAAGTAATCATGCTCTAAAGGACAATTTCATTCGAATCCATTCATTTCCTTTTCATGCAAAATTTCAAAGATAAAGCAACATAAAATATGGGGCCACATAAAAGGGAGAAGGTCTTCAAGGAGAATTTGTGCCTTTAAGTTTTTACTGGTACAACAGTCTTTCAGCCTGGAGGTACTCAAAGACGAATCATGAAAAAGAAAAAAAACTTTATTTCAAACAGGTTCAGTGATATATGTGTGTGCTACAGCAAAGGCTGGTTGTGGCAAAGTTTCATTTCAAACTGTATGATGTGGGCTGGGCAAGGTGGCTCACGCCTGTAATCCCAGCACTTTGTGAGGCCGAGGTGGGCTGATCACCCTGAGGTCAGGAGAGACCGGCCTAGCCAACATGCTGAAACCCCGTCTCTACTAATAATACAAAAATTAGCCAAGTGTGGTGGCGCGCACCTGTAATCTCAGCTACTCGGGAGGCTGAGGCAGGAGAATCGCTTGAACCCGGGGGGCAGAGGTTGCAGATCACGCCACTGCACTCCAGCCTGGGTGACAGAGCCAGACTCAAAAACAAAACAAAATAAAACAAACAAAAAAACAGAACTGCATGATGTATAATTTTGACATTATGTGGGAATGTTTAACTTCTGCCAAAATGTAGATTCAATCCAACATTATGCCAATTTTTATATTAATTTTAGTCCCTAAGTTTTCATAACCAAAAAAAAAAAAAAAAAAAAAGAGAATAACCTTACCGTTACCTACTAAGGTAACGAACTGTGAAATCAATTCCCCAATATTGCTTTGAAAATAAACCCCTTGGTTGTTAAGAGGAATTCCAACTTCCAAATCCATCCGAATGTATTATTTAACTGGTATTCTTCAGTCATCATCTACTGTTGGCTTGATTGTCACTCCTCTTCTTATCTGACCCCAACCAATTAAACTGCAAAATGAAAATAAAAGAAATCATAAATCTTACATCCACTTCACTCTCATTACCACACAATCTTGTGATAAATTTTACCTGCTTATCTTCTGAATTCAAATTTGTTCCCAAAGCCTGCTCCTCCATAAAGAAAGCCCACACTATATTCTTAGATTCTTTTTTATTCTTGCTTTTGTGTGTTTTTTCTGAGACAGTCTCACTCTGTCACCCAGTCTGGAGTGCGGTGGTACGATCTCGGCTCACTGCAACCTCTGGCTCCTGGGTTCAAACAATTCTCATGCCTCAGCCTCCCGAGTAGCTGGGACTACAGGCATGCGCCACCATGCCCGGCTGATTTTTTGGTATTTTTAGTAGAGATGGGGTTTCACTATGTCGGCCAGGCTGGTTGCGAACTCCTGGCCTCAAGTGATCCGCCCACCTCGGCCTCACAAAGTGCTGGGCTTACAGGCATGAGCCACCGTGCCTGGACTGAAAGTTTATTGCTTAAATCTATTTCAAAATACACTGGAAGTCGTGTGTCTGTAATAGCAAAAAAATATAATCACAAAAGACAGTAAAATCAAAAGGGCATAAGTCACCACAAATAATTATTTACTTAAGAGACAACAAAAATTTAACTTTCTAAATTACAGGGCAATAATTCAGATAAATCTCCTGGACAAGTGATGAGACCATCGTGGGCACAGTAGCATGGAAGCCTTAATAAAGGAAACAGGGCTGGGCGGGGTGGCTCATGTCTGTAATCCCAACACTTTGAGAGGCTGAGGTGGGAGGATGGCTTGAGGCCAGGAGTTTGAGATCATGCTGGGCAACACAGTGAGACCAAGTGTCTACAAAAAACAAAAAAATTAGCTGATCACGGTGGTGTGAGCCAATAGTCCTAGCTACTTAGACACTGAGGCTGCAGTGAGCTATGATCATGCCACTAAACTCCAGCCTGGTCAACAGAGAGACCCTGCCTCTAAAAAATATAAAATAAATAATTAAGGAAGTAGATAGTGGGTAGGGGTGATGTGAATAATTATGGGGACAGTTAGGGCACAAAACAGTCTAATTTAGAGGGTTTATATAAGACAATGCAGAAGGAAAGCTTAAATGGGTTGAAGCAGGTTTCTAGAAAAGTCCCAAATATCAAAAAGTAGTGAGAAGACTCTAGAAATTATTAAACACAGCATGATGAAAATGTTTTAAGAAGACTAATTTTGACCAAGTTAAGAGGCAAACTAGGAGTCTTTCGCACTAACTGTGAAGTGTAAAGTGATGGTGGTATGGACTGTGATGAGGTGACGAGGAATGGAAAGCAAGGGGCAAACTCAATAACCTGGGAAAGAGCAAAAAGTCAGGAGCCAAAAATGTGTGTATGCTTCCTGGCTCTATGCTCTCAAAAGACCTAGAAGCAACAGCACCCTAAGAGCCATGAGCACACCTGAACACTCAGCTTTTCATTTATAAGAGAAATGGCCAGTTCTAAAACTGGAACAGAGAAGGTACAAGATGAGTCTGGAAGATTTTGTGCCAGAAAATAAGGAAATGTTCCAAAAAAAAGAAGAAAGAGGTCAGGCGTGGTGGCTCATGCCTGTAATCCCAGCACTTTGGGAGGCCAAGGAGGGCGGATCACCTGAGGTCGGGGGTTAAAGACCAGGCTGGCCAACGTGGTGAAACCCCGTCTCTACTGAAAATACAAAAATTAGCCGGGTGTGGTGGCGTGTGCCTGTAGTCCCAGCTACTCGGGAGGCTGAGGCAGGAGAATTGCTTGAACCTGGGAGGCAGAGGTTGCAGTGAGCTGAGATCATGCCACTGCATTCTACCCCGGCGACAAAGCAAGACTCCATCTCAAAAAAAAAAAAAAAAAAAAAGAAGAAGAAAAAAAAATGATGAGTACATGTCAAAAGGACACAAGAGCCAGCCTGAAGGACCTCCACTGGCCAAACGTCGAACAATGCACATCAAAATAAAGGAAGACAGTGATGGATCATAACATGTTGAATAAAATAGGACTCCATGAGTCCATATTATAACTAGATAGGGAAATAAATAATGGCAAAGAAAGAATGCCAAATGATAAATGTGGGGTGGTAGAGTTGAGGGAGGATACTGCAACCCGTAGAGGTGCTATGATTTTGTAATCATTATAGTCAAGTTCGATTCAGGCAAGAATCATCAGTGGATGCTACATCCAGGGGTGTGGGATTCAATGATCAGCAGGCTATTTGTACTGGCTAGAAAGATCTCCCTACAGATTGCTTATTAGTTGCAAGGGTAGAGAGTAACTACACAGCAGAGAAGCTGGACAACATCTTGACTACATAGTCAAAACTAACCTTAACAAAGAGGAGCAGTCAGATATCATGTGCCTCTAGCTGTGATTCCTGAAAAGGAGACTTCACGGTGTATTTAAGTTAAGAATATATAACTGAATCTAATGTTAGGCTTCCGAATGATAAGAAAAACCCAAATTGAGGAATATTCTATAAAGTAACTAGTTTGTATTCTTCAGAACTGTTAATGTCAATTAAGACAAAGGCTGAAAAAGCTCCAGATTAAAGATCAAAGAGACATGAAATTAAATGCAATTCAAGATTCTAAACAGGAGGAACATAAAGTACATTATTGGGACAAGTAATAAAACTGAAACATGCACTGTAGATTTCAGTATTTTGCCAATGTTAAATTTCTAAGTGGTTA
This sequence comes from Homo sapiens, assembly GCF_000001405.40. NCBI lineage: Eukaryota > Metazoa > Chordata > Mammalia > Primates > Hominidae > Homo > Homo sapiens. The sequence goes on along the minus strand of NC_000023.11, from coordinate 24,074,033 downwards.
CATAAGAATATCCTTTTTTGATGGGAAATATACACTGAAGTATTAAGAGATCAAGAAGCATAACATATATAGCCTACACTCAAATGGTTCAGAAAAAAACTTATATATGTAAATAAATCTGTATGTGTGTTTGTCAATCTAGGAAAAAGCTATAGAGGAGTTTTCTGTAAAACTCTTACAATTTTTCTATTAAGTGTGAAATGATTTCCAAAGCCAATGACGATAGAAATACCGAACCCAAATTCATTTGGTTTTGCATAGGTTGTGTCTAACAGGAAGAGAAGCCAATCACAGTATTTGGACTAAAATATGGGACTATAGTCAAGGTTGTAGTTTTTTCTGAGACGGAGTCTCGCTCTGTCGCCCAGGCTGGAGTGCAGTGGCGCCATCTCGGCTCACTGCAAGCTCCGACTCCCAGGTTCACGCCATTCTCCTGCCTCAGCCTCCCGAGTAGCTGGGACTACAGGCGCCCGCCACCACGCCCGGCTAATTTTTTGTATTTTTTAGTAGAGACGGGGTTTCACCATGTTAGCCAGGATGGTCTTGATCTCCTGACCTCATGATCCACCCGCCTAGGCCTCCCAAAGTGCTGGGATTACAGGCGTGAGCCACCGCACCCGGCCGAAGTATAGTTTTCAAAGTCATCCAAATAAATAGTTGAGACTGAAAGCCACAGTAACTGTTGTCCTCAAGGAAGATTGTGTGCTTTTTTTTCTGTACAAGACTGTGTCTTTTTTTAATTAGACAGTGGCAAAGACTAACAAACTTACCGCCAGTGTTTTTCAACTCTTCGGCTAAGGGCAATTTTTTCTCCTACCTCTGTGCACACTGGATTGGTCAAAACAATTTTACCCAAATCGGCCTTGACAGCACTAACTCTCCCTCCTGTTGACAGGGATCCTATGTTCACCATGAGCACTTCATTCTTAGACAGCTTTTGAACCTAGAAAAATAAATTAGGGAAAAATAAACCCCAAAATCAAGAAAATGCTTTCCAAATGTAAGTAAGAATTTACCAAATACTATTGGGAAATATGTCAATCATAAAAAAAATTCTATAGAAATTTCATTGTAAAGGAATTTGAACTATATATAGTATAGTTTATTTGGCACCCACTGAATTTACACAAGATCTACCTTTAAAAAATAGGGTAGTAACCGTACCAGAGTACCTCTTAAAATTCTGAAGCAGTTACCTAGTACAAATGAGGTACAAAATTTCCCAAAGAGGGGAGCATGAAGGACTATGGCTATATAAGAGTTAATATGGGCCAGGCGCAGTGGCACACGCCTGTAATCCCAGCACATTGGGAGGCCGAGGAAGGCAGATCACCTGAGTGGGGGGAAAAAAAAGCATGATAGCTTATTTTCCTCAATCTTTGCCAACACTAGGTGTCAGCAATTTCCCATCTCTGCCAACCTAATCTGGGACATTTTTTAAAAATCATGAAGCTGGGCGCAGTGGATCACACCTGTTAATCCCAGCATTTTCGGAGGCTGGGGTGGGCAGATTGCTCAAGCCCAGGAGTTGGAGATCAGCCTGGGTAATGCGGCAAAACTCCGTCTCTACAAAAAATACAAAATTAGCCAGGCGTGGTGACCCACACCTGTAGTCCCAGCAACTCAGGAGGTTAAGGTGGGAGGATGGCTTGAGCTGGGAGATCGAGGCTGCTGTGAGTCGAGATCGCACCACTGCACTCCAGCCTGGGCAACAGAGCAAGACTCTGTCTCAAAATAAACAACAAAACAAAAATATGGATTTTAGGAATATCATGTCTTTGTCATAAATGGCTAATACTTTTCCCTGTTTATTAAGTTTCTTTCTTAAACTAACTGCCATATAGTTCTCAATTTTGGCCGGACGCAGTGGCTCATGCCTGTAATCTCAGCACTTTGGGAGGCCAAGGCGGGCGGATCACTTGAGGTCAGGAGGTCAAGTCCAGCCTGGCTAACATATAGTGAAACCCCATCTCTACTAAAATATACAAAAATTAGCTGGGCGTGCTGGTGCGTGCCTGTAGTCCCATATACTTGGGAAACCGAGGCAAGAGAATTGCTTGAACCCAGGAGGTGGAGGTTGCCGTGAGCCGAGATCGCGCCACTGCACTCCAGCCTGGGCAACAGAGCGAGAGACTCCATCTCTAAATTAAAAAAAAAAAAACCCTCAATTTTGGGGAGGTCAAATTTATTTACCTTTTCTTTTTTTCTTAATTTCATGTTAACTGTAAAACAATAAAACTCAACACTGGTTTAACACTCCCATTTGTCACTTTTTTAGAAACAGGAATTTTTAAAAAAGCATTTACCTTTGCTGCTTTCTTGTCTCCTTCAGTGCGTACACCTAGAAGCCGTCTAAGCAGGAAATAGGAAATTTCCAATTCTGTGAATATCTCAGGTAAAGCTCCGACTGCACCAAGTACTTGCCCCACCATTCTGTCAGCCCGGCACAAAGTGGGGTCAATTTTTGTTCCAACTCCTATATAAAAATAAGATGTATATAGCTCAATTTTTTATTTCCTAAAACACCTATAAAGTGAATTAGTTGGCCAGGTGCAGTGGCTCACACCTGTAATCCCAGCACTTTGGGAGGCCGAGGCAGGTGGATGCCTGAGCTCAGGAGTTAAAGACCAGCCTGGGCAACACGGTGAAACCCTGTCTCTATTAAAATACAAAAAATTAGCCAGGCGTGGCGGCGTGCACCTGTAGTCTCAGCTACTTGGGAGGCTGAGGCAGGAGAATCACTTGAACCCAGGAGGCAGAGGTTGTAGTGAGCCGAGATCGCACCACTGCACTCCAACCTGGGTGACAGAGTGAGACTCTGTCTCCAAAAAAAAAAAAAGTGAATTAGATACCCCAAAGCCATATAAGCACAGCATATACCTACACACTTTCATACTTTTATTTTTATACTCATATAATAGCTATATAGGTACAAGAAAATACCTGTTTTATCTAGACAAATAGAAATATACACTCATGAGATGACTGGGCAAATGAGAACAGAACGATTCTCTTGATTTAAATTCTAAACAAAGGGTTTAGAAATCTGATTTTCTAGGAATGATGGCTTGGCTGAGAACTTAATGCAGGAGATGGTAAGTATTACTGACCTGGTCTTGAAAACAATAAATTCTAAACAAAGGGCAAATAGAGATAATAAGTGAACTCAAAATGAGTCCGAATATCCTTAACAAAGACCGAAAGAATACAAAATTCAAAATGAGTAGTTTGCAGAATACCTGCATGCCATTTCTCCCCTGAAAGACTGATTGAAAAGATAGTTAAAGACTACATATGGGCCAGGCGCAGTGGCTCACACTTATAATCCCAGCACTTGGGGAGGCCCAAGTTGGAGGATTACCTAAGGTCAGGAGTTCAAGACAAGTCTAGCCAACATGGCAAAACCCAATCTCTACTAAAAATACAATAGCTGGGCATGGTGGCAGACACCTATAATCCCAGCTACTCGAGAGGCTAACGCAGGAGAATCACTTGAACCTGGGAGGCAGAGGTTGCAGTGAGCCGAGATCGTGCCACTGCACTCCAGCCTGGGCGACAGAGTGAGACTCTCAAAAAAAAAAAAAAAAAAAAAAACTACATATGATTCCTGGGATCTACTTCAAAATATTCTAGCTGTGTCTTGAGGGGAGTAGGGGAAAGAAGATATATAGATGGAGCAAGATTGATTGGGAAAACTTTTTTTTGCTGCTGTTGTTGAGACACAGTCTCTGTCGCCCAGGCTGGAGTGCAGTGGTGTGATCTCGGCTCACTGTGACCTGGGATTACAGGCTGGGATTACAGGCATGTGCCACCACACCTGACTAAATTTTTTTTTTTTTTTGTATTTTTAGTAGAGACAGGGTTTTTCGAACTCCTGACCTCAGGTGATCCGTCCACCTCGGCCTCCCGAAGTGCTGGGAATACAGACATGAGCCACCACGCCCAGCCAAGACTGGTAAAACATTAATAATTGCTGAAGCTGAGTGATGGCTCTATGGGGGTTATCATTACAGTATTCTATCCTATGTTTAAAGAGTTCCTTAGGCCAAGTGTGGTGGCTCACGCCTGTAATCCCAGTATTTTGGGAGGCCAAGGAGGGCAGATCACTTAAGACCAGAAGTTCGAGACCAGCCTGGCCAACATGGCGAAACCCCATCTCTACTAAAAATACAAAAATTAGCTGGCTGTGGTGGTATGTGCCTATAGTTCCAGCTACTCGGGAGGCTGAGGCAGGAGAATTAACTGAACCCAGGAGGCAAAGGTTGCAGCGAGCCGAGATAATACTACTGCACTCCAGCCTGGGTGGCAGAATGAGACTCTGCCTCAAAAAAAAAAAAAAAAAAAAAAGAAATTAAAAAAGTTCCTTAAGTTAAATTTTTAAAAAGTTTCCAGATTTCCCTTGTTTACCACACACATGCACACAAAAGATAAAATGATAGATGGAACTACAGGCACACACCACCAAACCCAGCTAATCTTACTATTTTATTGGAGAAATGGCATCTCATGGTTTCCTAGGCTGGTCTCAAACTCCTGGTCTCAAGCAATCTTCCCACCTCAGCTTCCCAAAGCACTGGAATTATGAGCATGAGCCACCATACCCAACCTGGTAAATTCATTTTTTCTTTTCTTTTCTTCTTGTTTTTTTTTTTTTTTTGAGACAGAGTGTCACTCTGTCACCCAGGCTGGAGTGCACTGGTGTGATCTCGGCTCACCCTCCGCCTTCTGGGTTCAAGCGATTCTCATGCCTCAGCCTCCCGAGTAGCCGGGATTACAGGCGTGGGCCACCACACCCAGCTAACTTTTGTATTTTTAGTAGAGACAAGGTTTTACCATGTTGCCCAGGCTGGTCTCAAACTCCTGAGCTCAAGCGATCCACCCACCTCAGCCTCCCAAATTGCTGGGATCACAGGCATGAGACACTGCGCCCAGCCAACCTGGTAAACTCTTTTTCATTTTTTTGTTTTCTTTTATTTCCTTTTTAAAATTTTCAACCAGAGACACAACTTATTGGGTGAAGAATTAACTGTTTCTTTACCAAACATTTTCTTCTTTAATCTAAAGGTACAACACCCCTTCTAATTCTCACTGAATCTTTCATTTTTCTGGGTATTGAGTAATACACTAAGTTGTAAGGGACTAGAAAAGTTTTTAAATCACTTCAGTAATTGCTACACAAAGAAATTTACTTTCTTTTATTTCTACCTCATTGGAAATACGACCTGATATCATTCAACTGACATTTGTAGGTAATTTTCCATTTGCAAAATATACATAAAAGCAACCATGGCCGGGCATGGTGGTTCACGCCTGTAATCCTAGCACTTTGAAAGGCCGAGGCAGGGGGACTGCCTGAGCTCAGGAGTTCAAGACCAGCCTGGGCAACACGGTGAAACCCCGTCTCTACTAAAATACAAAAATCTTAGCTGGGCCTGGCAGCATGTGCCTGTAGTCCCAGCTACTCGGGAGGCTGAGGCATAAGAATTGCTTGAACCTGGGAGGCAGAGGCTGCAGTGAGCCAAGATTGCACCACTGCACTCCAGCCTGGAGGACACAGCGAGACTCCATCTCCCAAAAAAAAAAAAGGCAACCATTATCTAGCACAAAAATCATGTTAACAAAAACATAAGTGTAGGTAAATATCTTACATGATAAGTCATCAAATTTATTTTTTTATATTGCTAAAAAGGAGTTACTCTATATTTGATCAAAATGTATCCTTTGTGTTTAAAAATAATTTTTACAAACCCATGAAACCATCTTATAACCTAAAACAAGAGCTTAACCACATGATTGTTCCCCACCCTACTCTATTATTAAAATACCCAATTAAAAATCTGTAATATGTCCCTTTTGGTAATCCATCCCCCATGAAAAGTACCACAAATAGCCACAAATTAAAAGAGATGAGAAAAAAATCCTTACCAATAAGACCGCCTGGAGCAGCATATTGCAGATCATTATGCTCCGCAAAAAGTGATACAATTTTGGAAAAGATTGGTTTACACATGAGTTTTCCTTCACTATCTTTGGAAACAATACCAGGTCTTACTTCTATCTCCTGGCCCACCTGTAAACATATAATTAGTAATTAGAATTACTGTGTTACGCAAAATTATCATTTACCTATCAAAAGTTCCAACAGGGACTGGGTGCGGTGGCTCACATGTGTAATCCTAGCATTTTGGGAGGCCGAGGCGGGTGGATCACCTGAGGTCAGGAGTTCGAGACCAGCCCAGCCAACATAGTGAAACCCCGTCTCTACTAAAAACACAAAAATTAGCCAGGTGTGGTGGCACGCACCTGTAATCCCTGCTACTCAGGAGGCTGCGGCAGAATTGCTAGAACCTGGGAGGCAGAGGTTGCAGTGAACCGAGATCGCACCACTGCACTCCAGCCTGGGTGACAAAGAGAGACTCTGTCTCAAAAATAAAATAAAATAAAATAATAATAAAGGTCCAACCGGAAGACCATAAAACTGAAAAGGCAATCATTCCTGTATTTCAAAGATCATTATTCTTAAAAAAAAAAAAAAAAAAAGATGTGAACGAGACTGTCAAAACCAGAACCATCCAACTGTTGTTAACTACCCACCACACAAGTCTATTACCACATCAAATGTGCTCCATACTTACAAGTCTATAAATTTTCAAGTCAGACACATTCAAAAGACATAACAGAAAACAAAGAAATATAGCTGGGCGTGGTGGCTTATGCCTGTAATCCCAGCACTTTGGGAGGCTGAGGCAGGCAGATCACCTGAGGTCAGGAGTTAAGAGACCAGCCTGGCCAATATGGCAAAACCCCATCTCTACCAAAAAAATTAGCTGGGCGAGGTTGCGAGTGCCTGTAGCCCCAGCAAGTCGGGAGGCTGTGGCAGGAGAATCATCACCTGAACCCAGGAGGTGGAGGTTGCAGTGAGTCAAGATCATGCCACTGTGCTCAAAAAACAAAACAAAAAAAAAACTATTATCAGAGCATGTAAATTAGTATAGCTACCATGGAGAACAGTATGGAGGTTCCTTGAAAACCTGAAAATACAGCTACCATATGATCCATCAGTTTCACTAGTGGGTATACATTCACCAGAAAGGGAAGCAATATTATCAAAGAGGTATCTGCACTCCCATGTTTATTGTAGCACAGTTCACAATAGCCAAACATGGAATCAACCTAAGTGCCCATGAACAGATGAATGGATAAAGAAAATGCAGTATATAGGCCGGGCAAAGTGGCTCACGCCTATAATCCCAACACTTTGGGAGGCCGAGGCGGGTGGATCACTTGAGGTAAGGAGTTCAAGACCAGCCTGGCCAACATGGTGAAACCCTGTCTTTACTACAAATACAAAAATTAGCTGGGCATGGTGGGGGGTGCTTGTAATCCCAGCTACTTGGGAGGCTGGGGCAGGGAGAATCGCTTGAACCCAGGAGGTGAAGGTTGCAGTGAGCTGAGATCGCTCCAGCTTGGGCGAAACAGCAAGACTCCGCCTCAAGAAAAAAAAAAAAAAGAAAAGAAAAGCAATGGCAGCATATATATATATGCAATGAAGTATTATGCAGCCATAAAAAAAAATTCTGCCATTTGCAGCAGCACATCTAGAATTGGAGGCCATTTTGTTAAGTAAAATAAGCCAGGCACAAAAAGACAAATATCACACATTCTCACTCATCTGTATATGTGGAAGCTAAAAAGGTGGATCTCATGAAGGTAGATTGTGGATTCAGAGGTCTAGAAGGGTGGGAGGAGTGAAGTTTGAAGAGAGAAAAAAAGAATATTAAAAAAGAGAACTCTACATCAAATACCAGAAACCATGGAAAAAATTTTATTTTTCAATTTGGATTGTCCATACTTTTTTTCCTGATTAAGACAAGGATAAAACAAACAAACAAACAACAAAAAAAAAAAACCCAAAATCACAACAACCAAAACCCATTTTACCTTTAATACTCCTTTTAGGATACTACCACCAGCTACACCTCCCTTAAGGTCATCAACTTCACAGCCAGGTTTGTTGACATCAAAAGATCTAATAACTAAAATAAAACAAATTAAAGTCAGTTCTGTTAATCTTAACTTTAGAAGAAATATTATTTTCCATGTTAATGTTTCTAAAATAGTGGCCATTTGAGATTTATACCAAAGGGGTGCCTTTTTAACAAAATCTATTATTATTCCAATGATTAAGCAGTCTTACTTATGATGGAAAAAATGAAAGTAACTTAAGTTTATTAATAAGTGGCATATAGGGTATACCAGTATTATAGAGCATCACGCAGCTATTAACAATGTTAGAGCTATATGTAATGATCTGGAAGGATGACCCTCACATACTGTTAAGAAAAGTTATAAAAATTACACGCATAATATAATCCCACTTCCATAAAGAAAAATAAAATAATCAATGTCTGTATATGGATTTTTTTTTCCCTCTATCATAGAGGCTGGAGTGCAGTGGCACAATCATAGCTCACTGCAGCCTCAAATTCCTGGGCTCAATCTTCCTGCCTCAGCCTACCGAGTAGCTCGGACTACAGGTACACACCACTGCACCCAGCTGTAATATTTTATTTTTTGTAGAAATGGGGTCTTCCCTTAATGCCCAGGATGGTCCTGAACTCCTAGCCTCAAGCAATCCTCTCACCTCAGCGTCAGCCTCCCAAAGTGCTGGGATTACAGGTGAAAGCCACCATGCCCAGCCTGTGTATATGTTTATACACGATGATATGAACAAAGAGAAAAGTGTGGGAATAATGGACACCAAATGTTAACTTTGCTGACTTTAGGGCTAAGGAACTAGAACTTGAAGACAGAGAGATTATGGACATTTTCTTTATAGACCTCTGTAACTCCTGTAAGAACAATTCAGCTTTATAACTATAAAACACTAGGACTACATGACCTGCACTTCGGAGACTATTTCCTACTAAACACCAGAAGCTCGGATGAAAGCCAGAGGAGCTCAAATGTCTGTTTCGAGAAGGCTACTACATCCCCGTGTAGGAACCACAAGCCTAGGTGATCAAATTATACCAGTATCAGTTCTTCGTTAATTGAACAACAAAATCATCTGTAAATGTTTTAGTCAGGAAGTTCTAACACCCTAAAACATTATGATTCCATGGAGAATACTGTATTACTCCATCTTGATCATGTACCATATATTAAGCACAGAAAGGTTAGCAGTTGTTTTTGGGTTTTTTTGAGACGCAGTTTCACTCTTGTTGCCCAGGCTGGAGTACAATGGCGCGATCTCAGCTCATTGCAACCTCCGCTTCCCGGGTTCGCGCCATTCTCCTGCCTCAGCCTCCCGAGTAGCTGGGATTACAGGCACCCGCCACCATGCCCAGTTAATTTTTTATATGTTTAGTAGAGACAGGGTTTCACCATGCTGATCAGGCTGGTCTCAAACTCCTGAACTCAGGTGATCCACCCACCTCGGCCCCCCAAAGTATTGGGATTATAGGCGTGAGCCACTGCGCCCGGCTTAGGTTAACAGTTCTTACTGTGTTCAGGACTCTGTCCCTCATTCAGTAATACAATCTAGCACTGCCAATACAATCTCAGAATTGATTTCAAAAAAATTGTATGAATTATCACCTCTGCAGAAAGAGGAAATATTAATAAACATCCTTGAAGAGGAATCACCAATGTGGAAAAGATCAGATTAAGAGTTAAAGGCAAATCCTATCACTTACCAATAAGCCGGGGCTCTGAAGTAAAGTCTCTTGGGGGTACTGGAATTTTCTTTACTATGTACTCACAAACAACTTCAATATTGTATTTCAGCTGAGCTGAAATTGGAATAATGGGAGCTCCCTCTGCTACTGTACCTATATGACAAAATTTAGAAAGATCAAAATTATACAGTTTTATAAAATTTATTCTATGTATCTGTTACATAAAACAATTAAGATTACTATAATAAAATAGATGCCTAAACCCCATATAAATGTCAGCAACAAGTGGAAAGTGGATAATTCTGTTTAGAAAGATGGCAATATTGTTTGTTTTTACTCCTGAAAATGAATACAAATCCCTGTAAGAGAAAATTTGTTACATTATATTAGTAGACATACTTAATATTAGTACAATGATAAACTTATTTAAATAAAGAAAATACTAACATTCCTGTGAAAGAGCACTCTACTAGTTGAAAAAATTTCTAACAACATGTAATTAATCTCCCAATAAATGTCAAGATAAAATTACAGACTCTGCTAATCAAAGACTGCTGGCATATATACTTTTTTTTTTTGGAGATAGGGTCTCGCTTTGTCACCCAGGCTAGACTGCAGTGGCATAATCACGGCTTGTTGCAACCTCCACTTCCCAGGCCCAAGCGATCCTCCCACTTCAGCCTCCTACATAATAGCTGGGAACACAGGTGTGTGCCACCAAGCCCAGCTAATTTTTTGTATTGACAGAGTTTTACCACGTGGCCCAGGTTGGTCTTGAACCCCTGGACTCAAGTGACCCACCCGCCTCAGCCTCCTAAAGTCTTGGTATTACAAGTGTGAGCTACCACGCCCAACCATATATATTTGCTACGTATTGATTATACGTCAAACAAGCTAGTCAAAGAAATAGACCAAACACAATTAGACTTTAATCAAATTCACTTATTACTTCTCGTGATGACAGAACTGAGTTCATAAGAAATTAACCTTTCTAAAAAGAAAAACAAGACTGAGAGAGAAAATGTCAACAATAAATCACATCTCCTCTGAAATGAAAAACATTATGCTATTAGAGAAGGGACACTCTAGAGATTTATTATTTATTTATTTGAGATGGAGTTTCGCTCTTGTTGCCCAGGCTGGAGTGCAATGGCGTGATCTCGGCTCACCGCAACCTCCGCCCCCCAAGTTCAAGCGATTCTCCTGCCTCAGCCTCCCAAGTAGCTGGGATTACAGGCATGTGCCACCACACCCTGCTAATTTTGTATTTTTAGTAGAGATGGGGTTTCTCCGTGTTGGTCAGGCTGGTCTCGAACTTCCGACCTCAGATGATCCACCTGCCTCAGCCTCCCAAAGTGCTGGGATTACAGGTGTGAGCCACCATGCCCGGCCGACACTCTAGAGATTAAATAATCACTGTCACTTCCAAATCTGAAAGCTGTTCAGTAACAAATACTGTAAGACAAGGTTTTTTAAAATTATTTTATTCATTTTACTGTCACTGAGATTTTTTTTAATCTGATTGATAAAGTTTCCAGAAAACAACCTCAGTTCTAACTTGCTGCCAGCAAAAATATACTTTAGTATATTAAATTCAGAATCACAGGTTTCATTAGTTATATCAGGTTACTAACAAGCAAAAGGTAGGGCGATAAGGCTTAAGACTTGTAAGTTTACCTTGTTTTAGATAATATATTAAAAGTTAATTTAACATCTGGTATCCAGAGTAAATGCCTCTCAAAGTGATTCATAGATTTATTTCATATTATGGCTTCTTACCTTGGACAAATGCAAGGATCTGCTCGTATTGTTCTTTAGCCTGACTTTCTTTTACCAAATCAATTTTATTTTGTAGAATCAAAATATGCTTCAGTTTCATGATCTCTATAGCAGCCAGGTGTTCCGATGTCTGAGGCTGAGGGCAAGATTCATTACCAGCTAGTTGATGAAGAATAAAAAAGATGCATATAAGAATAGCTGGAAATATCCAGAATAGGCGGGCAAATCCATAAAGAGACAAAGCAAATTATGGGTTGCAAGGGGCTGGGGGAGGAAAACATGTGGACTGACGCTTCATGGGCATGGGGTTTCCTTTTGCGGTGATACAAAAGTTCTGATACAAAAGTTCTGGAACTAGATAGTGGTGAAATGACAACCACTATGTTGTAGAAAATTGTCAATGTGCTTAATGCCACTAAATTCTACCCTGTAAATACATAAAATGGTACATTTTATGAGTCTCTTTTGCCACCCACTCCCCGCCCCAAAAAAAGTTGGCATCTAATAAAGGAGACTTCTGAATGTTCTAACCCTAATAAGGAAGATATTATTGCCAGGTATCCACCTTTTGGCCCTGCTTCATCCTCTGTTGCCTGCATTCACTGGAACCTCCCAATTGTGTGGCTCCCAATCCTGGTCCTAAGCAAGAAGCTTAAAATCAGCAAGTTTGGCTTTTCTCAGGGTCTGCACTCAGCTTTTGCTCAGGTATGAGGTATAGCCCTCTAACTCTCTCCAGTTTTAGAAATGTTCTGGCCCAGGCAAGCTCCTGAGAAGTAGAGAGTAATTAAAAGGGAAAAGCACTTAATACTGTCTATGAATTTTTACTAATATCAGAGGCTACTCTTCAACTGAGGGAGGGAAGAATGCTATTGTGAAGATAACCAACAGTGTATTATAAAGAAATAGGCATGTTTTGTTGAGCACTCTAATGATCAACCTCCTCAAGTCGTGATATTCAAGTGTCCTGACTATACCAACATGGCATGCTTTAAAAAAAAAATTTTTTTTTTGAGACTGAGTCTCACTCTGTCTCTGTCACCCAGGCTGGAGTGCAGTGGCGTCACCTCGGCTCACTGCAACCTCCGCCTCCCAAGTTCAAGCGATTCTCCTGCCTCAGCCTCCTGAGTAGCTGTGATTACAGGTGTGCCCCACCACACCCGGCTAATTTTCGTATTTTTAATAGAGGCAGGGTTTCACCATGTTGGCCAGACTGGTCTCAAACTCCTGACACCTCAAGTGATCCACCTGCCTTGGCCTCCCAAAGTGCAGGGATTACAGGTGTGAGCCACCGCACCCAGCTTTTTTTTTTTTTTTTTTTAAGACTGAGTCTCCTTCTGTCGCCCAGGCTGGAGTGCAATGGCTCGATCTCTGCTCACTGCAACCTCTGTCTCCTGGGTTCAAGCGATTCTCGTGCCTCAGCCTCCCAAGTAGCTGGGATTACAGGCACGCACCACCAAGCCTGGCTAATTTTTTGTAGTTTTAGCAGAGACAGGGTTTCGCCCTGTTGGCCAGGCTGGTCTTGAACTCCTGACCTCAAGTGATCCGCCTGCCTCGGCCTCCCAAAGTGCTGGGATTACAGCCATGAGCCACCATGCCCAGTCGCTTTTTTTTTTTTTTTTTTTTTTTGAGATGTAGTTTTACTCTTGTTACCCAGACTGGAGTGCAATGGCGCAATCTTGGCTCACTGCAACCTCTGCCTCCCGGGTTCAAGAGATTCTCCTGAGTAGATGGGATTACAAGCATGCGCCACCACACCCGGCTAATTTTGTATTTTTAGTAGAGAGGGGGTTTCTCCATGTTGGTCAGGCTGGTCTCAAACTCCTGACCTCAGGTGATCCGCCGACCTCAGCCTCCCAAAGTGCTAGGATTACAGGCGTGAGCCACCGCACCAGCAGCTTTTAAAAAATTTTACCCCCTAGTAATGAAATCTCTCAACAGCTAACATAAGAAACAAAGCATACGCTACCCTTCAAAACTCCACTTATTCCTACACTTCAGCACGTATTATGAATATTTGTATCTTAAATACTTCCACAGTAGACAGTTCAGACATACACACACACAAACCATAACACAAATAGTTTTACACATACATTTAAAACTAAATAAATCACCTCATGTGATTTAAATGAGAAAAATGAACTATTGACTTTTTTTCTTTTTCTCAAATGCTACCACAAGAATTCTCGCAAGCTATCAGCCCCAAGTCTATCTTTTTGAGTATTTTGTGATAGCTGATAGGTAGGAAAGTCATCCTGGATGACATGTTAGTTCCCATTCATGTCACCCTTAGGTAATAGATATGATCCTTAAAGGCCTTAGTTCCCCTTTAAATATTTCATCTTGGATTTGTTCCACATTGATTTGTCCAAACCAATTGTGAGGTATTTACCTATCAACAGAAGAGCTGCATCCATCACTGCTGCACCGTTCAGCATAGTAGCCATCAAAATATCGTGGCCAGGACAGTCAACAAAGGAAACATGTCTAATGATTGAGAAATAACAATCAGCCTTAACATAAATCACTACTTACACATGCTAGTTTTAGATTTTTTAAAGTTAAATCAACTTAGGAAATAATCTTATTGCTATAAAATGGTTACAGGGCTTGTCGTTTCTAGAACTTGGAAATAAGTTCACCAGCTGATGAAAACCACTGCAGATTACAAAGCAAATTAAATTAGTTATGTGCAGAATGGAAGATAAACTCCAAAATCCAATGAAAATGAATATGGTATAGAATAATGGTGGAGAGTATATACTGAGAATGTCATTGATTTGAAAGCTAAAACTTATAATGACTTATAAAAACCACGTTAACAGAATGAGAATTTGAAAAAACAATTTTCTGGCTGGGCGCAATGGCTCACACCTGTAATCCCAGCACTTTGGGAGGCCAAGGCAGGTGGATCACCTGAGGTCAGGAGTTTGAGACCAGCCTGACCAACGTGGTGAAACCCGGTCTCTAATAAAAATACAAAATTAGCCACATGTAGCTGGTGCATGCCTGTAATCCCAGCTACTTGGGAGGCTGAGGCAGGAGAATCGCTTGAACCCAGGAGGTGGAGGTTGCAATGCGCCAAGATAGCACCATGGCATTCCAGCCTGGGCAACAAGAGTGAAACTCCGTCTCAAAAAAAAAAGAGAAAAAAAAAAACAATTTTCCAAAAATACCTCTAACACCTTGAAAAACTAGAATTGCCCATTTGAAGCAGAGATGGCAGCACTTTTAACAAAACTATGGTATTCATTCAGAGTCACAATTGTTTTTTTAATCGCATGCTCACATTGTCATGATCTAAAACAGAGGTCAGCCCTTAGGCCAAATCTGGCCCACCACCATACCTATTTACACACGTATTGTCTACGTTTGCTTCTGTAATAGAAGAACAGAATCAACAGAAACTCTATGGCTTGCAAAGCTGAAAATATTTACTACCTAGCCCTTTGTGGAAAAAGTTTGCTGATCCCCTATTAAAGGCCAGGACTACAGTGAGACAAGTGCAAAATTTAAGAGACTGCCAAAAAACTCAGTAATCAAGGAAAATGGCCGGGCATGGAGGCTCATGCCTGTAATCCCAGCACTTTGGGAGGCTGAGGCGGGCAGATCACTTGAGGCCAGGAGTTCGAGACCAGCCTATACAACATGGCAAAAGCCCACCTCTACTAAAAATATAAAAACTAGGCCGGGCACAGTGGCTCACGCCTGTAATCCCAGCACTTTGGGAGGCCGAGGCGGACGGATCACAAGGTCAAGAGATCGAGACCATCCTGGCCAACATGGTAAAACCCCGTCTCTACCACTGCACTCCAGTCTGGCGACACAGAAAGACTCCGTCTCAAAAATAAATAAATAAATAAATAAAAATAAAAACTAGCTGGGCATGGGGGCTCACGCCTGTAATCCCAGCTACTCGGGAGGCTGAGGCAGGAGAATTGCTTGAACCCAGAAGTGGAAGCTGCAGTGAGCCAAGATCGCACCACTGCACTCCAACCTGGGCAACAGAGACTGTCTCAAAAAAAAAAAAAAAAAAAAGAAAGAAAAAAAAATATATGCATTCAGTATTTTTAAAAAGTCGAAATTAATGCAAAAAATCAATCATAAACAAAATACAATGCCATGCTGAGCCAAAGCAAAAGGGGAAAAAAATTTAGTAATAGAGTCTGCCCTTATTTAAAATTCTGATTTATCACATTTTTTGCATTAATTTAAAAAAAACACTGCATTAAAATATTTATCCTAATTACTGAGTTTTCTGGCATACCTGCCACCGCCAGGCCCACTTACATTTTGGGCTTGAGGTGAAGGCCTCACTTGTCCCTCCCTGGTCCCAGCCCTGCCCCAATCTAAACATTCCTTGTAGGGCATCTCCAATCCCCATAAACATCACTAGACAGGTGTCAGTATCCTGATAAAAAAACAGGTATGCAATCATATTCAGAAAACAGATGGGGAACAAGTTCAAGTGTTTTAGAGAAGTAATTAGAAATGGCTCTGTTTCTCTCCTATTTAACATACAGAAACAGCGCTGTTTAAAAGAAATTCAGGAAGCCTAGAAAAAGAATCCCTTCAATCCAATGAGTTGTTTTTCTGTTTTGTTTAAGTGATACTTTTAGTTTGGAGAAATTGCATGTAAGTATTTTAACTTAGGTTTAGATGCTTGACTTTTCAGATTTCCCATAAAAACATAAACAATGGAAAAACAACAAAACCATTTAGCCATTAGGTTCACCGTTTAACACCTCGATATTTCAAAAAGCACAAAACAGAAGACAATAAAATATAAAGTGTAGTGTTTGTAGCAAAAGAGAGGTCACCTGACTAATTTGAAGTTCCCTTTGGTCCCTGGAATGTCCGTAGGAAACTCGTCAGGTGTACTGCTCCCACAAGATCTATAACATTCTGGCCGAGGGCAACTTGGGTCATCAAGCTTATAAATCTAAAATTTCAATAAAAAAAGATTTTGATTTGTTATCTGCACAACAATTAAAGTTAGTTTCTCGTTCCACAGTACACAGCTTACCTTAGCATTAGCATATCCAAGCTTGATTGTAATATTTCTTTCTAGTTCATTTTTGAACCTGACAGTATGAACTCCAGAAATAGCTTTGACGACTGTGGATTTCCCATGAGCTACATGACCAATTGTACCTATGGACAAAGTTCAAAAAATTAATTCATGTGTATTTAATTACATACCAAATATTTTTTCAAATAGTGTTAAGAGTAGAAAACCCAAAGCCAGCTGGACACGGTGGCTCACGCCAGTAATCCCAGCACTTTGGGAGGCCGAGGTGGGTGGATCACAAGGTCAAGAGAGCAAGACCATCCTGGCCAACATGGTGAAACCCCATCTCTACTAAAAATACAAAAATTAGCTGGGCGTGGTGGCGCATGCCTGTAGTCCCAGCTACTGGGGAGGCTGAGGCAAAAGAATCACTTGAACCCAGGAGGTGGAGGCTGCAGTGAGCCGAGATCGTGCCACTGCACTCCAGCCTGGCAACAGAGCGAGACTCCGTCGCAAATAAATAAATAAATAAATAAATACAATTAAAGCCAAAGCCATAACTTGCTGTAAATATCAACATAAAACCAACAGTGACTTCAATTTTTCCTCCTCCATACCCCTTCCTACTAGAAACGTGTTCTCATATAGGACTTAAGAGAAACTTCCATGTAACTAACAGCTTTACTTAAAAAATATACTCTGGGACAGACAGGGTCTCCTGCTGCTGCCCAGGCTGGAATGCAATGCCCTGATCACAGCTCACTGCAACCTCAACCACCTGGGCTTGAGCAATCCTCCGACCTCGGCCTCCTTAGTAGCTGGGACTGCAGGCATGCACCACCACGCACAGCTAATTTTTTGTATTTTTTGTAGAGATGGGGTTTGGCCACGTTGCCCAGGTGGTCTCCAACTCCTGGGCTCAAGCAATCCACCTGCCTTGGCCTCCCAAAGGGCTGGGATTACAAGCATAAGCCACTGCACCCGGCCAGAACTTTATATATTAAGGAACCTTCCAGCATTTCCAGATTAAACAGGTATGATGGGCCCTGACACAACAAAAAGGGATCTGTGAACAAACAAGGAAACAACCTAAGTTTAATTGCAACTTGTTCCGTTGATCAAATTATTGGGTCAATATATGCACAGTAATTTGCTTTAACTGGTATAGTCTTAGCATAGGTTGTTCGGAGGTTAGGTTATGCTCCAAGGTCACCTCAACCAAAATTTTTAATGCAGGGGCAGTAGTTCAAGGCCTGTAGGCTTATTTGGGCTTTGTTTGCATTAATAAATTAAAGCTCCAGACTGTAATACTGTAACTTTAATAGCCTCATGGTGGAGTCTTACTTTTTAACTAGGTTAAAAACTAGTCTTACTTTTTAACTTACTTCTGTACTTTTTAACTTACTTTCGTACAAACTGTGCTGTTTGTACAAACTCAAAATGTCCAAAATTTACACTCAGTCAACGTAACTTCTCCTCTAAAGTTCTAGGTGCCAATTAAGAAAAAAAACCTTCTATTTAATCACAGCTTGTACATCAAATAAAACTTTCATAAATTCTGCCCTTGAAATAATCCTGTGTGTCAAGTACAGCCACATTTTTCACCTCTTCCTTAAACTTCTGCTACATATGACTACATACTGCCTTATGCTATTAAACTTTTCTTATGTCTCCATTTTTTCTTCTTACCGAGTCTGTAAGCTACATGTGGGCAGCATTCTTTGTGCTCCCCCTGCACCGCAAATGTAGCAGATGCTTTATTCACAAGGACTCAGTATCTATTTCTTGAATATCTGAATCCTCATACTATTCAAGTAATCACACAAAAAGTGAGGTTAAAATTAATTGTTGGAGACCAAGGTTAGGTCTCTTAAGTTACTCTTACCTATGTTAATTGTGGCTTGTCTGCTGATAACTTCGTGTGAAAGTGGCGTCAACTTGGTAACATCCTGCAATGAAATATATTTTAAAACACTGCACGTAAAACAAATGAGAACTTTTCCTTTGACTTTACGTTTGCTATCTACATCTTGCCACCATCTGCACAGCTTTCCACTACTTCTAAAGCTCCTTTTCCCTATCAGTAACTTTGTACTCCTATGGCTGGGAAGCTGTTAAGAGCCCTTCATCATTACACAACAGACTACACCTCCACTCAACTATTAGGGGATATCTGGAAGTCAGAGATCCCCCCAATCTTGGGAACATTAGCACTAAAAGTAATGCAGACAGGACACCCCCTTCCCAGACGTTCAGAGGCTGAAACCATGACAATCAACATCAAGACTTTCCAGCCGAACCCTCCAGAAGCTAGAAGTCCCACGACCGTACACGCCTGCGCCCAGATCGTGGACTGGCCTGGGTACAGGCGGCGCGAGCATGGCTTAGGGCGCCCAGTTCCAGGTCTCCCTCCTGACCCAGGCTCCTGACCCATGCTCCCGACACTGACTAGTCCCAATACCACCGGGAGGCTCGGTCACCTCCACTCCTGAGCTCACTCTGCATCCTCCCCAAGCAAAACCTCACCAAGGTGGTGAGATCCTGACGCGAAAGATGCGGCTGCCCTAGAGTCACTCCAGCTTCTCCGCCCGCCATGTTGCCAAAAGAGGAAGGAAATCACCCCGGCTGCCGCCTGATCATCTGCAGGGGTCCTAGTGCGGGGCGGGGAAGCGGAGACGGGAAGGCCGAGTAGGGGCTCAGGATGGCCGGTGCAGCAGCGGCCTCACTGCTTGGACATCTCTCCGCTTGAATCTGCACAGTGCCTGTCGGTAGGCTGAGTGGAAAACACGGTGCGAAGTTGCTGGAGCTATTCGTCGCAGACCTGGTAGATATTTGTGCAGGCAATACTGAGGGCAGCCACCAAACCCCCGCCCCGCCGGCCCGTGCGAGGCGGGTGATGCAACCCGGCGCGCGCGCTGGCCTGGGAGAGACCATTTCCGTTTCCTGTGGAGTTTCCCGAAACCTGGGAATCAGCTAGGGTGTGGGAACAGAGAAGAGGGAGTGTCCTCCCCGCCCTTTTTTTTTTTTTTTTTTGAATACCGATTTCTGTAATTTAATAAAGCGAGATCGGCTCGGGGTCGGCGCCCACCTATGACGGGGCTCTTGGCTGGGAGAAGGCCGCGTGCTGAGCCCCGGCGGGAGGTGGGGCGGGCGCCCCCGCGCGGAAGTTTGGTGAAGGGCTCAGAGGGGCAGGGCTAGCAAAATCAAAGTCCCCAGCTTGTTCCCAGAGAGCGATTTCTAGGGCCCGGGAGGTGGGCCTTGGTGACGTTAGATTGCGTTCCCAGTGAATATAGCTAGGTGTCGTAAGAGCGTCTGAAGTTCGCTGGTTTGTGTGTGTGTGTTTTGTTTTTTTTTTTCTTAAAGAAGCAGATCCAAAAAAACCTCGATTACCGATAAATCGGTATTTTAAAATTTAAAGAATTTTGAGACCTTAACCCACTTTTCGTCGTGTTGAAAAGCAGTTGAGTGATTTGTTTTTCTCCTTGCATTTCTATACAAATTTTATCATAAACAGCTATTTCCTTTTTTGTTTGCAATAAATTTATTTCCATAAAAACTTGTTAGACAGCTATTATGCAAAAGTATAGTAAAGAGAAGTGAAAAGATAATATGAAAGCCACAATGACGAATACTGAGAAGCCAAGCTCACTTTAGAATACTTGTAAGTAGTCATCAAGTTAGCTTATTTAGGAAATAAATATTATGAGGCCGGGCGCGGTGGCTCACGCCTGTAATCCCAGCACTTTGGGAGGCTGAGGCGGGTGGATCACGAGGTCAGGAATTCGAGACCAGCCTGGCCAATATGGTGAAACTCCGTCTCTACTAAAAATACAAAAAAAAAAAAAAATTAGCCGCCCGTGGTGGCGGGCGCCTGTAGTCCCAGCTACTCCGGAGGCTGAGGCAGGAGAATGGCGTGAACCCGGAAGGCGGAGCTTGCCGTGAGCTGAGATCGCGCCAACCGCACTCCAGCCTGGGTGACAGAGCGAGACTCCGTCTCAAAATATATATATATTATAAATGAAAAAAATGAGGGAAATTAGGGAAAATGAGGGGCAATATGAGAAGTGAAGAAAGGAATTCATTAAGGTGATAATTGCTACCTCTCTTTTTTTTCCCCCCGACTTTTAAGTTCAGGGGTGCATGCGCAGGATATGCAGGTTTGTTACATAGGTAAACTGTGTGCCATGGTGGTTTGCTGCGCAGATCATCCCATCACCTAGGTATTAAGCCCAGCATCCATTAGCTGTTCTTCCTGATGCTCTCTCTCCTCCCACCCCCAGCCGTCAGACAGCCCCCAGTGTGTGTTGTTCCCCCGCATGTGTCCATGTGTTCTCACCACTCAGCTCCCACTTATAAGTGGTAACATGCGGTATTTGGTTTTCTGCTCCTGCGTTACTTTGCTGAGAATAATGGCTTTCGGCTCCATCCATGTCCCTGCAAAGGATATGATGTTGTTCCTTTTTATGGCTGCATGGTATTCCATGGTGTGTATGTACCACATTTTGTTTATCCAGTCTATCATTGATGAGCATTTGGGTTGATTCCACGTCTTTGCTATTGTGAATAGTGCTGCAGTGAGCATATGTGTGCATGTATCTTTATAACAGAATGGTTTATATTTTAGAGGCTATATACCCAGTAATGAGATTGCTTGGTCTAATGGTATTTCGGCCTCTAGGGCTTTGAGGAATTGCCACTCTGTCTTCCACAATGGTTGAACTAATTTACACCCCCACAAATAGTGTAAGAGCGTTCCTTTTTCTCCACAACCTCGCCAGCATCTTTTGTTTTTTGACTTTTTAACAATCACCATTCTGACTAGTGTGAGGTGGTATCTCATGTGGTTTTGATTTGCATTTCTCGAATTATCAGTGATATTGAGCTTTTTTCCGTGTTTGTTGGCCGCATGTATGCCTTCTTTTGAGAAGTGTCTGTTCATGTCCTTTCCCCACTTTTTAATGGAGTTGTTTTTTATAAACAGCTATTTTAAACCAGAAAAAAAATGTAAGGAGAGGTGAATAAGAATTTAGGTTTTCTGGGCCGGGTGCGGTGGCTCACGTCTGTAATCCCAGCACTTTGGGAGGCCAAGGTGGGCTGATCACTTGAGATCAGGAGTTCGAGACCAGCCTGACCAAAATCCTGAGCTGGCAAAAACCCTCCTAAAAAATAGAAAAATTACCTGGGCGTGGTGGCACTACCTGTAATCCCAGCTACTCGGGAGGCTGAGGCAGAATTGCTTGAAACTGGGAGGGGGAGGTTGCAGTGAGCTGAGATTGAGACATTGCACTCTAGCCTGGACAACAGAGCCAGACTGTCTCAAAAAAAAAAAAATAGAATTTAGGTTATCTGTGTGTTCATTGAATACTTAAGTAAAATTTATATGAATACGTGTTTTATATCACATAAATTTTTGGTACAACAATTTAGCTAAAATAGGAAGTTATGTTTCAATAAATGCATGCATTAGTTAAGTGATGGTGAAAACTGGAGGTAATCACTTTAATCTTACATTCTTTTTTTTTTTTCTTTTTTTTGAGACAGAGTCGTGCTCTCTCGCTCAGGCTGGAGTGCAGTGGTACAATCTCAGCTCACTGCAACCTCTGCCTCCTGGATTCAAGCAATTCCCGTGCTTCAGCCTGCCAAGTAACTGGGATTACAGGTGTACGCCACCACGCCCAGCTAATTTTTTGGTATTTTTACTAGAGACAAGGTTTCACCTTGTTGGCCAGGTTGGTCTCAAACTCCTGACTTCAAAGTGATCTGCCTTCCAAAGTGCTGGGATTACAGGCCTGAGCCACCACGCCCCGCCTTAATCTTAGATTCTAAATATTTATACCAGCCAATTACAAAAACACACTGAGGTGATTAAAATGCCGGGGTATTATACAGTGGTGATGATTGCACATCTTTGTAAATATGCTAAAAACCAGTGAATTGTACAGTTTAATGTGGTGAATCTTAGGACATGTGAACTTTATCTAAATAAAAAAATCCGGCCGGGCTTGGTGGCTCACGCCTGTAATCCCAGCACTCTGGGAAGCCAAGGCAGGTGGATCATGAGGTTAGGAGTTTGAGACCCGCCTGGCCAACATAGTGAAACCTGTCTACTAAAAATACAAAAAAATTTCCCGGGCGTGGTACTGTGCGCCAGTAATCCCAGCTTCTCGGGAGGTTGAGGCAGGAGAATCTCATGAACCCGGAAGGTGGAGGATGCAGTAAACCCAGATCGTGCCATGGCACTCCAGCCCGGGATACAGTGCGAGACTCCGTCTCAAAAACAAAAACAAACAAAAAAAAACAACTCCAGCGAGATAGCGCCACTGCACTCCAGCCTGGCTGACAGAGTGAGACCCTGTCTCAGAGGAAAAAAAAAAAATACAGGCCAGGCATGGTGGCCTCGTGCCTATAATCCTAGTGTGTCCGGAATTGGTGGGTTCTTGGTCTCACTGACTTCAAGAATGAGGCCGTGGACCCTCGCGGTGAGTGCTACAGCTCTTAAGGTGGCGCATCTGGAGTTTGTTCCTTCTGATGTTTCGGATGTGTCTGGAGTTTCTTCCTTCTGGTGGGTTCGTGGTCTCGCTGGCTCAGGAGTGAAGCTGCAGACCCTCGCGGTGAGTGTTACAGCTCTTAAGGCAGCACGTCTGGAGTTGTTCGTTCCTCCCGGTGGGCTCATGGTCTCGCTGGCTTCAGGAGTGAAGCTGCAGATCTTCGCGGTGAGTGTTACAGCTCATAAAAGCAGCGTGGACCCAGAGTGAGCAGTAGCAACATTTATTGCAAAGAGTGAAAGAACAAAGCTTCCACAGTGTGGAAGCAGACCCAAGCAGGTTGCCAATGCTGGCTCGGGCAGCCTGCTTTTATTCTCTTATCTGGCCCCACCCACATCCTGCTGATTGGTAGAGCCGAGTGCATTTACAATCCCTGAGCTAGATACAAAGGTTCTCCATGTCCCCATCAGATTAGTTAGATACAGAATTTTGACACACAGGTTCTCCAAGGCCCCACCAGAGCAGCTAGATACAGAGTGTCGATTGGTGCACTCACAAACCTTGAGCTAAAGAGAGGGTGCTGATTGGTATGTTTACAAACCTTGAGCTAGATACAGAGTGCCGATTGGTGTATTTACAATCCCTGAGCTAGACATAAAGGTTCTCCAAGGCCCCACCAGAGCAGCTAGATACAGAGTGTCGACTGGTGCACTCACAAACCTTGAGCTAAACACAGGGTGCTGATTGGTGTATTTACAATCCCTGAGCTAGACATAAAGGTTCTCCAAGGCCCCACCAGAGCAGCTAGATACAGAGTGTTGATTGGTGCACTCACAAACCTTGAGGTAAACACAGGGTGCTGATTGGTGTATTTACAATCCCTGAGCTAGACATAAAGACTCTCCACGTCCCCACCAGACTCAGGAGCCCAGCTGGCTCCACCCAGTGGATCCGGCACCGGGGCTGCAGGTGGAGCTGCCTGCCAGTCCTGCGCCGTGCGCTCGCATTCCTCAGCCCTTGGGTGGTCGATGGGACTGGGCGCTGTGGAGCAGGGGGTGGTGCTCCTCGGGGAGGCTGGGGCCGCACAGGAGCCCATGGAGTGGGTGGGAGGCTCAGGCATGGCGGGCTGCAGGTCCCGAGCCCTGTCCTGCGGGAAGGCAGCTAAGGCTCCGTGAGAAATCGAGAGCAGCGCCGGCGGGCTGGCACTGCTGGGGGACCCAGTACACCCTCCGCAGCTGCTGGCCCGGGTGCTAAGTCCCTCATTGCCCGGGGCCAGCAGGGCTGGCTGACTGCTCCGAGTGCAGGGCCCGCCAAGCCCACGCCCACCCGGAACTCCAGCTGGCCCGCAAGCGCCGCATGCAGCCCCGGTTCCCGCTCGGGCCTCTCCCTCCACACCTCCTTGCAAGCTGAGGGAGTGGGCTCCAGCCTTGGCCAGCCCAGAAAGGGGCTCCCACAGTGCAGTGGTGGGCTGAAGGGCTCCTCAAGTGCCGCCAAAGTGGGAGCCCAGGCAGAGGAGGCACCGAGAGCAAGCGAGGGCTGTGAGGACTGCCAGCACGCTGTCACCTCTCACTAGCAATTTGGGAAACCAAAGCTGGAGGATCTCTTGAGCCCAGGAGTTCCAGACCAGCCTGCTCAACATAGGAAGACCCCCATCTCTACAAAAATTAGCTGAACCCAGTGGCTAACACCTGTAGTCCCAGCTACTAGGGAGACTGAGGTGGAAGGATCGCTTGAGCCCAGGTGGTTGAGGCTGCAGTAAGCTGTGATTGAGCCACTGCACTCCAGCCTGGGCAACAGAGGAGACCCTGTCTCAAAAATAAAAATGAATAATAAATCATAAAATCCATTGTTAATTAAAGGCCGGGCGTGGTGGCTCAGGCCTGTAATCCCAACACTTTGGGAGGCCCAGGCGGGCGGATCACCTGAGGTTGGGAGTTCCAGGCCAGCCTGACCGACATGGAGAAATCCCCTCTCTACTAAAAATACAAAATTAGCCAGGTGTGGTGGCACATGCCTGTAATCCCAGCTACTTGGGAAGCTGAGGCAGGAGAATCACTTGAACCCGGGAGGCGGAGGTTGCCATGAGCAAAGATCCCGCCATTGCACTCTAGCCTGGGCAACAAGAGCGAAACTCAAAGAAAAAAAAAGCATCCAAAGTTCGCTGTATTTTTTTTAAAGAAGCAGATCCAAGAAAACCCCGATGGGCGGGCGCGGTGGTTCACGCCTGTCATCCCAGCACTTTGGGAGGCCGAGGCGGGAGGATCCATTGAGCCTAGGAATTCAAGATCAGAAACATTTATTGGAAGTAGAAACGTCACAGGAAATAAAACATTAATAAAAATAATATAGTTAACAATTACTGGCGCCAGCCGAGCAAGTATTAACATTAATTCTCACAAAATCCATTGAGGTAGATACTGTTATTCCCATTTTACAGGTGAGAAAACAGTCCTAGAAAGATTGAATAACGGCTAGGCACAGTGGCTCATGCCTGTATTCCCAGCACTTTGGGAGGCCGAGGAGGGCGGATCACCTGAGATCAGGAGTTCGATAACAGCCTGGCCAAGATGGTGAAACCCCGTTTCTACTAAAAAATACCAAAAAAAAAAAAAAAATTAGCCAGGCATGGTGGTAGGTGCCCGTAATCCCAGCTACTCAGGAGGCTGAGGCGGAGAATCGCTTGAACCCAGGAAGCAGGCAGAGGTTGCAGTGAGCCAGGATCCCACCACTGCACTCTGACCTGGGTGACAAAGTGAGACTCTGTCTCAAAGGAAAAAAATAAAAATAAAAGAAAGATTGAATAACATGCCCAAGATTCTACAGCTAGTAAGCAGCAGACCTGGGATTCATAATCAAGTATGAGTATACTCTTAAAAAAAAAATAGCCGGGCACGGTGGCTCACGCCTGTAATCCCAGCACTTTGGGAGGCCAAGGCGGGTGGATCACGAGGTCAGGAGATCGAGACCATCCTGGCTAACGCAATGAAACCCCATCTCTACTAAAAATACAAAAAATTAGCCAGGCGTGGTGACACACGCCTGTAGTCCCAGCTACTCGGGAGGCTGAGGCAGGAGAATGGCGTGAACCTGGGA
The DNA here is from genome assembly GCF_000001405.40 of Homo sapiens. Classification (NCBI taxonomy): domain Eukaryota; kingdom Metazoa; phylum Chordata; class Mammalia; order Primates; family Hominidae; genus Homo; species Homo sapiens. The sequence goes on along the minus strand of NC_000023.11, from coordinate 24,047,985 downwards.
GGTGGAGCTTGCAGTGAGCCGAGATCGCACAACTACACTCCAGCCTGGGCAGCAGAGCGAGACTCCATCTCAAAAATAAATAAATAAATAAATAAAAAATAAAGCTTTTTGAGATTAAATTTACATATTACAAAATTCACCAATTTTAGGCTGGGCGCGGTGGCTCACTCATGTAATCCCAGCACTTTGGGAGGCTGAGGAGGGTGGATCATCTGAGGTCAAGAGTTTGAGACCAGCCTGACCAACATGTTGAGACCCCTTTTCTACTAAAACACTAAAGAAATTATCCGGGCGTGAGGCGCCCGCCTGTAATCCCAGCTACTCGGGAGGTTGAGGCAGGAGAATTGCTTGAACCCAGGAGGCTGAGGTTGCAGTGAGCCGAGATCGAGCTGTTGCACTCCAGCCTGGGCAACAGAGCGAGACTCCGTCTCAAAAAAAAAAAAAAAACCAGTGGGGTGGCTCAGGCCTGTAATCCCAACACTTTGGGAGGCCCAGGCGGGCGGATCACCTGAGGTTGGGAGTTCCAGGCCAGCCTGACCGACATGGAGAAATCCCCTCTCTACTAAAAATACAAAATTAGCCAGGTGTGGTGGCACATGCCTGTAATCCCAGCTACTTGGGAAGCTGAGGCAGGAGAATCACTTGAACCCGGGAGGCGGAGGTTGCCATGAGCAAAGATCCCGCCATTGCACTCTAGCCTGGGCAACAAGAGCGAAACTCAAAGAAAAAAAAAAGCATCCAAAGTTCGCTGTATTTTTTTTAAAGAAGCAGATCCAAGAAAACCCCGATGGGCAGGCGTGGTGGTTCACGCCTGTAATCCCAGCACTTTGGGAGGCGGAGGCGGGCGGATCACGAGGTCAGGAGATCGAGACCGTCGTGGCTAACACGGTGAAACCCCGTCGCTACTAAAAAATACCAAAAATTAGCCGAGCGTGATGGCGGGTGCCTGTAGTCCCAGCTACTCAGGAGGCTGAGGCAGGAGAATGGCGTGAACCTGGGCGGCGGAGCTTGGAGTGAGCCGAGATCGCACCACTGCACTCCAGCCTGGGCAACAGAGTGAGACTCCGTCTCAAAAAAAAAAAAAACAACAAAAACCAAACCAAACCAAACCAAAATAAAACAAAACAAAATTACTGATCAATCGGTATTTTCAAATTTTTGAGACATTCTTAAACCACTTTTCGTTATGTTAAGAAGCAGTTGAGGCCAGGCTAGGTGACTCACGCATGTAATCGCAGCATTTTGGGAGGCCGAGGCGGGTAGATCACGAGGTCAGGAGTTAAAGACCAGCATGGCCAAGATGGTGAAACCCAGTCTCTGCTAAAAATACACAAATTAGCTGGGCTTGGTGGCCAGCGCCTGTAATCCCAGCTACTCGGGAGGCTGAGGCAGAGGACTGTTTGAACCCGGGAGGGGGAGGTTGCAGTGAGCCAAGATCGCGCCACTGCACTCCAGCCTGGGCGACAGAGCTAGACTCTGTATGAATATATATATGTGTGTATATACATATATGTGTATATATGTGTGTATATACATATATGTGTATATATGTGTGTATATACATATATGTGTATATATGTGTGTGTATACATATGTGTGTATATGTGTGTGTGTACATATGTATGTATGTGTGTGTATACATATGTATGTATATGTGTGTGTATACATATGTGTGTATATGTGTGTGTATACATATGTGTGTATATGTGTGTATACATATGTGTGTATATGTGTGTGTATACATATGTGTGTATATGTGTGTATATACATATGTGTGTATATGTGTGTATATACATATGTGTGTATGTGTGTGTATATACATATATATGTATGTGTGTGTATATACATATATGTATATGTGTGTATATACATATGTGTATATGTGTGTATATACATATATGTGTATATGTGTGTATATACATATATGTGTATATGTGTGTATATACATATATGTGTATGTGTGTATATACATATATGTGTATATGTGTGTATATACATATATGTGTATGTGTGTATATACATATATGTGTATATGTGTGTATATACATATATGTGTATATGTGTGCATTTCCATATTTATGTGTATATGTGTGTATATACATATATATGTATATGTGTGTATATACATATATGTATATGTGTGTGTGTGTATATATATATATATAAAAGCCAGCTTTATTGAGATTAAATTTACATACTATAAAATTCACCAATTTTAGGCTGGACGCAGTGGCTTACGCCTGTAATCCCAACACTTTAGGAGGCCCAGGCGGGCGGATCACCTATGGTTGGGAGTTTGAGACCAGCCTGACCAACTTCGAGAAACCCCATCTCTACTTAAAATACAAAATTAGCTGGGCGTGGTGGCACATACCTGCAATCCCAGCTACTCCAGAGGCTGAGGCAGGAGAATCACTTGAACCCAGGAGGCGGAGGTTGCCGCGAGCCGAGATCCCGCCATTGCACTCCAGCCTGGGCAACAAGAGCGAAATTCCGTCTCAAAAAAAAAAAAAGCGTCCGAAGTTCGCTGTATTTTTTTTAAAAAAAGCAGATCCAAGAAAACCCCGATTACTGATCAATCGGTATTTTCAAATTTAAAGATTTTTGAGACATTCTTAAACTACTTTTCGTCGTGTTAAGAAGTTGAGGCTGGGCTCGGTGACTCACGCTTGTAATCGCAGCACTTTGGGAGGCCAAGGCGGGTGGATCACGAGGTCAGGAGTTAAAGACCAGCCTGGCCAAAATGGTGAAACCCTGTCTCTACTAAAAATACAAAAATTAGCCAGGCGTGGTGGCGGGCACCTGTAATCCCAGCTACTTGGGAGGCTGGGGCAGAGAATTCCTTGAACCCGGGAGGCGGAGCTTGCACTGAACCAAGATTACGCCACTGCACTCCAGCCTGGGCGAGAGAGCAAGACTCCGTATCAAAAAAATAAAAAAATAAAAAATATAATTAAGTAAAATAAAAACAGCTTTATTGATATTAAATTTACATACTATAAAATTCACCAATTTTAGGCCGGACGCGGTGGCTCACGCCTGTAATCACAACACTTTGGGAGGCCCAGGCGGGTGGATCACCTAAGGTTGGGAGTTTGAGACCAGCCTGACCAACATGGAGAAACCCCATCTCTACTAAAAATTCAAAATTAGCTGGGCGTGGTGGCACATACCTGCAATCCCAGCTACTCCAGAGGCTGAGGCAGGAGAATCACTTGAACCAGGGAGGCGGAGGTTGCTGTGAGCCGAGATCCCACTATTGCACTCCAGCCTGGGCAACAAGAGCAAACCTCCATCTCAAAAAAAAAAAAAGGGTCCGAATTTCCCTGTATTTTTTTTTTAAAGACGCAGACCCAAGAAAACCCCGATTACTGATCAATTGGTATTTTCAAATTTAAAGATTTTTGAGACATTCTTAAACCACTTTTCATTGTGTTAAAAAGCAGTTGAGACCGGGCTTGGTGACTCACGCCTGTAATCGCAGCACTTTGGGAGGCTGAGGCGGGTGGATCACGAGGTCAGGAGTTAAAGACCAGCCTGGCCAAGACGGTGAAATCCCGTCTCTACTAAAAATACAAAAATTAGCCAGGCGTGGTGGCGAGCGCCTATAATCCCAGCTACTCGGGAGGCTGAAGCAGGAGAATTGCTTGAACCCGGGAGGCGGCGGTTGCAGTGAGCCGAGATCGCACCACTGCACTCCAGCCTGGGCGACAGAGTGAGACTCCGTCTCAAAAAAAAAAAAAGCAGTTGAGTGATTTTTGTTTGTTTGTTTGTCGCCATGCACTTCTGTACAAATTTTATCATAAAGTGCTATTTCTTTTGTTTGCGATAAATTTATTTCCATAAACACTTATTAGACAACTATTATGCAAAAGTATAGTAAGAAGTGAAAGGATAATATGAAAGCCACAATGACAAATACTGAGAAGCCAAGCTCACTCACTCATAAGTACTCATCAAGGTTGATTATTTAGGAAATAAATATTATAAATGAAAAAACGAGGAAAATTAGGGAAAGTGAGGCACAATATGAGAAGTGAAGAAAGGAATTCATTAAGGTGATAATTGCTACCTCTCTTTTTTTTCCCCCGACTTTTAAGTTCAGGGGTGCATGCGCAGGATATGCAGGTTTGTTACATAGGTAAACTGTGTGCCATGGTGGTTTGCTGCGCAGATCATCCCATCACCTAGGTATTAAGCCCAGCATCCATTAGCTGTTCTTCCTGATGCTCTCTCTCCTCCCACCCCCAGCCGTCAGACAGCCCCCAGTGTGTGTTGTTCCCCCGCATGTGTCCATGTGTTCTCACCACTCAGCTCCCACTTATAAGTGGTAACATGCGGTATTTGGTTTTCTGCTCCTGCGTTACTTTGCTGAGAATAATGGCTTTCGGCTCCATCCATGTCCCTGCAAAGGATATGATGTTGTTCCTTTTTATGGCTGCATGGTATTCCATGGTGTGTATGTACCACATTTTGTTTATCCAGTCTATCATTGATGAGCATTTGGGTTGATTCCACGTCTTTGCTATTGTGAATAGTGCTGCAGTGAGCATATGTGTGCATGTATCTTTATAACAGAATGGTTTATATTTTAGAGGCTATATACCCAGTAATGAGATTGCTTGATCTAATGGTATTTCGGCCTCTAGGGCTTTGAGGAATTGCCACTCTGTCTTCCACAATGGTTGAACTAATTTACACCCCCACGAATGGTGTAAGAGCGTTCCTTTTTCTCCACAACCTCGCCAGCATCTGTTGTTTTTTGACTTTTTCTTTTCTTTTTTTTTTTTGTGACTGAGTCTCGCTCTGTCACCAGGCTGGAGTGCGGTGGCGCCATCTCAGCTCACTGCAACCTCCACCTCCCGGGTTCAAGTGATTCTCCTGCCTCAGCCTCCCAAGTAGCTGGGACAACAGGCACGGGCCACCACGCCCAGCTAATTTTTGTATTTTTAGTAGAGACAGGGTTTCACCATGTTGGCCAGGATGGTCTCCATCTCTTGACCTCGTGATCCGCCCGCCTTGGCCTCCCAAAGTGCTGCGATTATAGGCATAAGCCACCACTCTCAGCTGTTTTTTGACTTTTTAATAATCACCATTCCGACTGGTGTGAGGTGGTATCTCACTGTGGTTTTGATTTGCATTTCTCAAATGATCAGTGATGTTCAGCTTTTTTCCATATGTTTGTTGGCCGCATGTATGTCTTCTTTTGAGAAGTGTCTGTTCATGTTCTGTGCCCACTTTTTAATGGGGTTGTTTGTTTTTTATAAACAGCTATTTCACACCAGAAAAAAAATATAAGGAGAGGTGAATAAATAAGAATTTATGTTGTCTGGGCCGGGTACAGTGGCTCACGCTGTAATCCCAGCAGTTTGGGAGGCCGAGGCTGGCTGATCACTTGAGGTCAGGAGTTTGAGACCAGGCTGGCCAACATGGCAAAATCCCGTCTCTACTAAAAAATACAAAAATTACCTGGGCGTGGTGGCACGTGCCTGTAATCCCAGCTACTCGGGAGGCTGAAGCAGGAGAATCACTTGAACCTGGGAGGCAGAGGTTGCAGTGAGCTGAGATTGTACCACTGCACTCCAGCCTGGGGAACAGAGTGAGACTCCGTCTCAAAAAAAAAAAAAAAGAATTTAGGTTATCTGTGTGTTCATTGAATACTTAAGTAAAATTTAAATGAACATGTGCTTTATATCACGTAAATTTTAGGTACAACAATTTACCTAAAATAGGAAGTTATGTTTCAGTAAATGCATGCATTAGTTAAGTGATGGTGAAAATTGGAGGTATTCCCTGGAATCTTACATTCTTTTTTTTTTTTTTTTTTTTTTTGAGACAGAGTCCTGCTGTGTTGCCCAGGCTGGAGTGCAGTGGCACAATCTCAGCTCACTGCAACCTCTGCCTCCTTGGTTCAAGCAATTCACTTGCCTCAGCCTCCCAAGTAGCTGGGATTACAGATGTGTGCCACCAGGCCCAGCTAATTTTTTTTTTTTATTTTTAGTAGAGACAAGGTTTCACCTTGTTGGCCAGGCTGGTCTCGAACTCCTGACCTCAAGTGATCTGCCTGCCTCAGCCTCGCAAAATGCTGAGATTATAGGCGTGTACCACCGTGCCTGGCCTTAATCTTACATTCTTTTTTTTTTTTTTTTTTTTTTTTTTCTTGAAAGGGAGTCTTGCTTTGTCCCCCAGGCTGGAGTGCAATGGTGCCATCTCGGCTCACTGCAACCTCCGCCTCCAGGGTTCAAGCGATTCTCCTATCTCAGCCTCCCAGGTAGCTGGGACTACAGGCGCGTGCCACCACGCCCGGGTAAATTTTTGTATTTTTAGTAGAGATGGGGTTTCACTGTATTAGCCAGGATGGTCTCGATCTCCTGACCTCGTGATCTGCCTGCCTCGGCCTCCCAAAGTGCTGGGATTACAGGCATGAGCTACCGCGCCCGGCCCCATTCTAAATATACCAGCCAATTACAAAAACCTATTGAGGTGATTAAAATGCTGGGGAATTATATAGTGGCAATGATTGCACATCTTTGTAAATATGCTAAAAACCAGCGAATTGTACAGTTTAACCGGGTGAATCTTAGGACATGTGAATTTTATCTATATATAAAAAAATCTGGCAACACCACGCCAGTGCACTCCAGGCTGGGTGACAGAGTGAGACCCTGTCTCAGAGAGAAAAAAAAAAATCTAGGCCAGGCGTGGTGGCTCATGACTGTAATCCTAGCAATTTGGGAAGCCAAAGCTGGAAGATCGCTTGAGCCCAGGTGTTCCAGACCAGCCTGTGCAACATAGGGAGACCGCCATCTCTACAAAAAATACAAAGATCAGCTGGGCACAGTGGCTCACGCCTGTAGTTCCAGCTACTAGGGAGACTGAGGTGGAAGGATCGCTTGAGCCCAGGTGGTTGAGGCTGCAGTGAGCCATAATCAAGCCACTGCACTCCAGCCTGGGCAACAGAGGAGACCCTGTCTCAAAAATAAAAATGAATAATAAATCATAAAATCCAGCCGGGTGCGGTGGCTCACGCCTGTAATCCTAGCACTTTGGGAGGCTGAGGCAGGCGGATTGCCTGAGCTCAGGAGTTCGAGACGAGCCTGGGCAACACGGTGAAACCCCATCTCTACTAAAATACAAAAGAAATCAGCCGGGCGTGGCGGTGTGCGCCTGTAGTCCCAGCTACTCGGGAGGATAAGGCAGGAGAATTGCTTGAACCCGGGAGGCAGAGGTTGCAGTGAGCCGAGATCGCGCCACTGCACTCCAGCCTGGGGGAGAGAGCGAGACTCCGTCTCTACAAAAATAATAATAATAATAATAATAATAAAATCCATTGTCAATAGGCAGAATAATAATATGCTTCATTGTCAGAAACATTTATTGGAAGTAGAAAAGTCATAGGAAATAAAATGTTTATTAATTTAAAAAATGGTTAACAATTATTGGCACCACCCGAACAAGTATTAACTTTATTTAATTCTCACAAAATCCAATGAGGTAGATCCTGTTATTCCCATTTTACAGGTGAGAAAGCAGTCCTAGAAAGGTTGAATAACATGCCCAAGATTCTACAGCTAGTAAGTAGCAGAGGTGGGATTCATAGTCAAGTATGAGTATACTTTTTTTTTAAAAGCTTTATTTATATTAAATTTACATACTATAAAATGCACCAATTTTAGGCCAGGCGGAGTGGCTCACGCCTGTAATCCCAGCACTCTGGGAGGCCGAGGTGAGTGGATCACTTAAGGTCAGGAGTTGGAGACTAGCCTGGCCAACATGGTGAAACCTTGTCTCTATTAAAAATACAAAAATTATCCAGGCAAAGTGGCGCGGGAGTGTAATCCCAGCTACTTGGGAGGCTGAGGCAGGAGAATCGCTTGAACCTGGGAAGTGGAGGTTGTCGTGAGCTGAGATCGCGCCACTGCACTCCAGCCTGGGCAACAGAGTGAGACTGAGTCTCAAAACATAAATAAAATAAAATTCACCAATTTTGAATACACAATTCCATGATTTTTAGTGAGTTTACAGAGTTGTGCAACCATCGCAACAATCCAGATTTGGAACACTTCCATCACCCCAAATAAATCCTTTGCATCTATGTTCATTCAATCCCTGTTCCCATCTCCAGTCCCAGGCAATTACTAATGGACTTTCTTTCTCTAAAGATTTGCCTTTTCTAGACATTTCGTTTAAATGGAATCATATAATATGTGGTCTTTTGTGTCTGACTTATTTCATTTAGCATAATGATTTCGAGGTTCATCCATGTTATAGCATGTATGAACATGATGTTGAATAAAATTTCATATCACATTTTATTGATCCATCACGAGTTGAATAGATATTTGGATTGTTTTCACTTTTTGGCTATTGTGAATAATTCTGCGAATGAAAATTTGTGTACAAGTTTTTATGACAACATATTGTCATTTCTCTTGGTAAATACCTAGTTGTACAATTGCTGAGTCCTATGGTAAATCTAGGTTTAATAGTTTGAGAAACAGGCCGGGAGCGATGGCTCACCCGTGTAATCCCAGCACTTTGGGAGGCCGAGGCAGGTGGATCACCGGAGGTCAGGAGTTCAAGACCAGCCTGGCCAACATGGTGAAACCCTGTCTCTACTAAAAATGCAAAAATTAGCCAGGTGTGGTGGTGGGCGTCTGTAGTCCCAGCTACTCGGGAGGCTGAGGCGGAAGAATTGCTTGAACCCTGGAGGTGGAGGTTGCAGTGAGACAAGATTGCACCATTGCACTCCTGCCTAGGAGACAGAGTGAGACTCCCTCTCAAAAAAAAAAAAAAAAAAGTTTGAGAAACATTTCAGTTGTTTCCCAAAATGGCTGTATCGTTTTACATTCCCACCAGCAGTATATGAAGAAGGCTCCAGTTTCTCCACATCCTCATCCACCCTTGTTTTTTGTTTCGTTTTGTTTTTCAGACAGAGTCTTGCTCTGTTGCCCAGGCTGGAGTGCAATGGTGCAATCTCAGCATACTCCAACCTCCATCTCCCGGGTTCAAGTGATTCTCCTGCCTCCCGAGTAGCTGGGATTACAGGTGTGCACCACCATTCCCGGCTAATTTTTTTTTTTTGTATTTTTAGTACAGACTTGGTTTCACTATGTGGGCCGGGTTGGTCTCGAACTCCTGACTTCAGTTGATCTGCCTGCTTCGGCCTCCCAAAGTGTTGGGATTACAGGCGTGAGTCACTGCGCCTGGCCCCTCACCAACATTTGTAATTGTCTCTTTGTTTACTATAGTCGTTCTAGTGGCTATGGTTTTTTTTCTTTATTATTATTATTATTATTATTTTTTGAGATGGAGTCTTCGTTCTTTCGCCCACGCTGGAGTGCAGTGGCACGATCTCAGCTCACTGCAAGCTCTGCCTCCCGGGTTCACACCATTCTCCTGCCTCAGCCTCCCGAGTACCTGGGAATACAGGCAGGCGCCCGCCACCATGCCCAGCTAATCTTTTGTATTTTTTAGTGGAGACGGGGTTTCACCATGTTAGCCAGGATGGTCTCGATCTCCTGACCTTGTGATCCACCCGCCTTGGACTCCCAAAGTGCTGGGATTACAGGCGTGAGCCACCGCGCCCGGCTTTTTTTCTTTTTTAAAGGAAAGATGGGGTCTTGCGGTGTTGCCCTGGCTGGTCTCAAAATCCTGGCCTCAAGCAATCCTCCTGCCTTGGCCTCCCACAGTGCTGATATTATAGGCATGAGCCACCATGCCAGTTCGGTGTGGTTTCAATTTGCATTTCTTTAATGACTAATGGATGTTCAGCATCTTTTCATATACTCATTAAGCCATTCATATCTCTTCTTTGGTAAAATGGCTATTCAAATATTTTGCCTACTTTTATTTTTATTTATTTTCTTTTTAGAGAAAGGGCCTTGCTCTGTCATCCAGGCTGGAATGCAGCAATCATAGTTCACTGCAGCCTTGAACCCTTGGGCTCAAATGATCCTCCTACTTCAGCCTCACAAGTAGCTGGGAGTACAGAGGCATGCCACCATGCCCAGGCAATTTTGGATTTTTTTTTTAGAGATGGGATCTTGCTGTATTGCCCAAGCTAGTGCCCTTTTTTTTCTTTCTTTCTTTCTTTTTTTTTCGTTTTTTGGAGACAGAGTTTCGCTCTGTCACCCAGGCTGGAGTGCAGTGGCATAATCATGGCTCACTGCAGCCTCAACCTCCTAGGCTTAAGTGATCCTCCTACCTCAGCCTCTCAAGTAGGGATCTCAACTGGGATCACAGTCGTGTGCCGCCATGCCTGGCTAATTTTTAAATTTTTTGTAGAGACAAGGTCTCAGTATGTTGCCCAGGCTGGTCTCAAACTCCTGGGCTCAAGTGATCCACCCACCTCAGCCTCCCAAAGTGCTGGGATTACAGGTGTGAGCTACTTTACCCAGCTGGGTGCCCATTTTTTTTTTTGAAAAATTTAAATATTTTTTTGAAATAGAAACAGGGTCTCACTCTGTTGCCCGGGCTGATCCTGAACTCTGGAGCTCAAGCAGTCCTCCCACGTCGGCCTCCGAAAGTGTTGGGATTACAGGCATGAACCACCGCACCAAGCCCATTTTTAAATTGGGTTATTTATCTCCTTAATATTGGGTTGCAAGAGGTTTTTTTTTTTTAATATTCTGGATTTTTTTAAATATTCTGGATACAAGTCCTTTATCAGATATTTGATTTGTAAATGTTTTCTCTCAGTCTGTAGTTTGTCTTTTCATTTTCTTACTGGTGTCTTTGAAGAGTAAAAGTTTTTAACTTTCATGAAGTCAATTTATATATTTATTTTCTTTTTTATGGATCATGCTTTTCGTGTCATATATAAAAACACTTTCGGCCAGGCGCAGTGGTTCACACCTGTAATCCCAGCACTTCGGGAGGCTGAGGCGGGCAGATCACGACGTCAGGAGTTTGAGACCAGCCTGGCCAACATAGTGAAACCCAGTCTCTATTAAAAATACAAAAAATTAGCCAGGCATGGTGGCAGGCGCCTGTAATGCCAGCTACTCGAGAGGCTGAGGCAGGAGAACCTCTTGAACCCGGGAGGCGGAGGTTGCAGTGAGCTGAGATTGCGCCACTGCACTCCAGCCTGGACAACAGTGCCAGACTCCATCTCAAAAAAAAAAAACAAAAAAAAACACTTTGCCTAACCCAAGGTCACAAAGATTTACTTTTATATTTTCTTCTTAAAGGTTTGTAGTTTTAGCTCTTACATTTAGGTATGTGATCCATTTTGATTTAATTTTTGTGTATGGTTTGGGGTGAGTTTTGTTTTTTTGGTTTTTTTTTTTTTTGAGATGGAGCCTGGCTCTGTTGCCCAGGCTGCAGTGCAGTGGCGCGACCTCAGCTCACTGCAACCTCCACCTCCCGGGTTCAAGCGATTCTCCTACCTCAGCCTCCTGAGTAGCTGGGATTACAGACGTGCATCATCACGCCCAGCTAATTTTTGTATTTTTTTTAGTAGAGACAGGGTTTCACCATGTTGGCCAGGCTGGTCTGGAACTCCCGACCTCAGGTGATCCGCCCACTTTGGCCTTCCAAAGTGCCGGGATTACAGGTGTGAGCCACTGTACCCGGCCGAGGTGAAGGTTTAAGTCCATCTTTCTTTTTGCCTGTGGATATCCAGTTGTCCCAGCACTATTTGTTGAAAAGACTACCCTTTCCCTATTGAACTGTTTTAGCACCTTTGTCAAAAATAAATGGACCATTAAAAAAAGAGTTTAGTGGCCGGGCGCGGTGGCTCACGCCTGTAATCCCAGCACTTTGGGAGGCCGAGGCGGGCGGATCACGAGGTCAGGAGATCGAGACCAGCCTGGCTAACACGGTGAAACCCTGTCTGTACTAAAAATACAAAAAAATTAGCCAGGCGTGGTGGCGGGCGCCTGTAGTCCCAGCTACTCGGGAGGCTGAGGCAGAATGGCGTGAACCCGGGAGGCGGAGCTTGCAGTGAGCCGAGATCGCGCCGCTGCACTCCGGCCTGGCGACAGAGCGAGACTCTGTCTCAAAAAAATAAATTAAAATAAAATAATAATAAAAAAAGAGTTTACTTCTCCGGGCACGGTGGCTCACGCCTGTAATCCCAACACTTTGGGAGGCTGAGGTGGGTGGATCATGAAGTCAGGAGATCGAGAGCATCCTGGCTAACACGGTGAAACCCCATCTCTACTAAAAATACAAAAAATTAGCCGGGCGTGGTGGCGGGCGCCTGTAGTCCCAGGTACTCGGGAGGCTGAGGCAGGAGAATCGTGTGAACCCGGGAGGCGGAGCTTGCAGTGAACTGAGATCGCGCCACTGCACTCCAGCCTGGGTGACAGAGCGAGACTTCGTTTATTTCTGGACTGTCAATTCTGTTCCATTGATCCATAAGTCTATCCTTATACCAGTATCACACTGTTTTGATTTTTGTAATTTTATACCACATTTTGAAATTGGGAAGTAGTCCTTTAACCATGTTCTTTTTCAAAATTATTTGGCTGTTTTTGGGGCCTTTGCATTTCCATATCTATTTTAGGATCAGCTTGTGAATTTCTATAAAAAAGCCTGCTGGAGGCAGTTGGGACAAAACTATAGAGCCCAGCGGCAGTCCTTGAATGACCAGGCCAGTGTTGCCCCTGGTGTCACTGAGTGGTCCCCTGCTGGTTTGTTGGGAGTGAAGGGAATCCAGGCTGGCAGAGCTGGAGCCAGTTGGGGAGCAGGGTTCTGGGAGCTCTGCAACATCAGTAGCAAGTGCTGGGAAAGGCGCATGCTGGAGACACTCAGAGCTCTGAAGACTTGCTTGAGGCTAGCCCAGTGAAGAAAAACCCAGAGATTCATGTTTCAGAGCTCCCAAGACTTGCTTGAGGCTAGCCCAGTGAAGAAAAACCCAGAGACTCATGTTTCCAGAGGTCAGTCTGTCAGGCAGGAAGGACCCAGGGTTTGAACCCAGCTTCAGTCTGCAGGCTCTGAGGCTGCCCAGGCCGGGAAAGTCCAAGGAAGGGGCCTGGTGGTGCTCCACTTCCAGTTCTTTAAAGAATGCTGCTTTTTATTCTCTTAACCCCTTCAAGTGTGTGCAGACTTCTCATTAGCAGCTGGAAGACATTCCTCCCACACTTTACCCTTCCTGGCCCAAGAGAGCATCCAGAAGGCAGTAGGACCTGGTTTTTCAGGTACTGGGAACAAGGGGCTCACTGCTTGGACTCCGCTTAGAGTAGGGACGGTAAATATCCTGCCTGCATGGCTTTACCCTCCCTCTAATCCCAAAGCAGGTATGTTCTGGTTGTCACAGAGTTTCATTGAGCCCAGCTGCAGCCACGTGGCCATCTGGAGCTGGTGCTGTAGGTGACCATCTGGTACATTGAGGGGACCGGTTTGCCTCCTCCACTCTATAAGCTGTCATCTTGGGAGACAGGGAAGAGAAGGTGGTGGGCCAGTCCTGTGTCCTCCTCCACTTCCCATGCCCCTACGTTACCCATCTGTGTCTCCTCTGCAAAAGGAGAGGAAGAGGCATTAAGGGATGAAGGGTGATTATGTATTACTTATCCATTTCTGAATAAACATTTGTTATTCCAAAAAAAAAGAGAAAAAAGCCTGCTGGATTTTCTTTTATTGTGGTAAAAATTTACCATCATAACCATTTTTAATTGTATGTAGTGTTAGGTTTTTTTTTTTTGTTTGTTTTTTTGTTTTTTTTTTTTTTTTGACGGAGTCTGGCTCTGTCATCCAGGCTGGAGTGCAGTGGCATGATCTCACTGCAACCTCTGCTTCCCAGGTTCAAGTGATTCTCCTGCCTCAGCCTCCCGAGTAGCTGGGATTACAGGCATCTGGCACCATGCCCAGCTAATTTTTGTATTTTTAGTAGAGATAGGGTTTCACTGTGTTGACCAGGCTGGTGTCAAACTCCTGACCTCGTGATCCGCCTGCCTCAGCCTCCCAAAGTGCTGGGATTACAAGCGTGAGCCATGGCGCCCGGCCAGTAGTGTTAGTTATACGTGCATTGTTGTGCAACCGATCTCTAGAACCTTTTCATCTTGCAAAACTGAAACCCTGTACCCATTTAATTTTTAAGACAGGGTCACGCTATGTTCCCCCGAGGCTGGCCTTGAACTCCAGGGTTTAAGGGATCCTCCCGCCTTAGCCTTCTGAGTAGCTGGGACTACAGGCATGTGCCATCACACCAAATTAAGTTTTACCCTGCTCTCCTGCTGGTTTTTTTTTTTTTTTTTTGAGACGGAGTCTCGCTCTGTCGCCCAGGCTGGAGTGCAGTGGTGCGATCTCGGCTCACTGCAAGCTCCGCCTCCCGGGTTCACGCCATTCTCCTGCCTCAGCCTCCCTAGTAGCTGGGACTACAGGCACCAGCCACCACGCCCGGCTAATTTTTTGTATTTTTAGTAGAGACGGAGTTTCACCGTGTTAGCCAGATGTTCCTGATCTCCTGACCTCGTGATCCGCCCGCCTCGGCCTCCCAAAGTGTTGGGATTACAGGCGTGAGCCACCGTGCCCGGCCATCCTGCCCGGCCATCCTGCTGGATTTTTAATAGGAATTGTTTTGAGTCTGTAGATCAATTGGGAAGAACCATCATCTTGACAATATTGACATCTCTGGCCGGGCGCGGTGGCTCACTTCTGTAATCCTAGCACTTTGGGAGGCCCGAGGCGGGTGGATCACGAGGTCAGGAGATAGAGACCATCCTGGCTAACACGGTGAAACCCCGTCTCTACTAAAAATACAAAAAAAAAAAAAAATTAGTCGGGCGCGGTGGCGGGCACCTGTAGTCCCAGCCAGCTACTCGGGAGGCTGAGGCAGGAGAATGGTGTGAACCCGGGAGGCGGAGCTTGCAGTGAGCTGAGATCGCGCCATTGCACTCCAGCCTGGGAAACAGAGACTCGGTCTCAAAAAAAAAAAAAAACCTCCAATCCCAGAGGACTATCCTGCCTCACCTACGCTTAACATTCTCACCTCCCTCACCAAGACAGTGCTGCCTCTTCTTCCAAGTCCCTAAGACAGCATGAAATTCACCCCTCCTTTTGTCCAGGCCTATGCCCAGACATCTATGTGTGAAACTATACCCCTGCTTTCTCTTCCACTACCCACACACAAAGCTGAGGAGGCCAGAATTGACTTACCTAAAGTCCCTCTCTGCCCTGTATCTAGAAAGAAATTCTGTCTTAGAGATAGTTTTGTGATCACTAGGTTATTTATTTGTTTTGTTTTGTTTTGTTTTTTGAGACCGAGTCTCACTCTGTCACCTAGGCTGGAGTACAGTGGTGCAATCACGGCTCACTGCAGCCTTGACCTCCCGGGCTCAAGCAATCCTCCCACTTCAGCCTCCTGGGTAGCTGGAACCACAAGTTCACAGCACCACGCTCGGCTAATTTTTGTATTTCTTGTAGAGATGGGGTCTCCCCATGTTGCCAGGCTTGTCTCAAACTCCTAGGCTCAAGCCATTCGCCCCCCTCGGCCTCCCAAAGTGCTAGGATTACAAGTGTGAGCCACTGCACCCAGCCTGTTTTTTAGTTTTTTTAATTTTAATTTAAATTTTTTTTGAGACGGAGTCTTGCTCTGTCGCCCAGGCTGGAGTGCAATGGTGTGATCTCGATTCACCGCAACCTCCGCTTCCTGGGTTCAAGCAATTCTCCTGCCTCAGCCTCCCGAGTAGCTGGGATTACAGGTGCCTGCCACCACGCCTGGCCAATTTTTTTGTAATTTTAGTAGAAACGGGGTTTCACCATGTTCGCCAGGCTAGTCTTGAACTCCTGACCTCAAGTGATCCGCCCGCCTCTGCCTCCCAAAGTGCTGGGATTACAAGCGTCAGCCACCGCGTTTTTTGTTTTTTGTTTTTTTTTTTAGATGGAGTGTCGCTCTGTCGCCCAGGGTGAAGTGCAATGGCATGATCTCAGCTCACTGCAACCTCTGCCTTGCGTGTTCAAGCGATTCTCCTGCCTCAGCCTCCTGAGTAGCTGGGTTTACTGGTGCCCGCCACCACACCTGGCTAATTTTTGTATTTTTAATAGAGACGGGGTTTCACCATGTTGACCAGGCTGGTCTTGAACTGCTGACCTCATGATCCGCCTGCTTCGGCCTCCCAAACTGCTGGGATTACAGGCGTCAGCCACCGCACCCGGCCATCACTGCATTTTTTAAGAACTTAGTTTTAGAATCAATAAATAACCTCAGAGCCTACATTCAATCTTGTCTCTATCCTTAACCACAGTCCCCAAACCCTGAAGTTGTGCTGCTGGCAACAGTAGTTACTGGAGGTTTTTTTTTCTTTCTTTTTCCACTTCTTTAGTCATACAACACCATGTAGCAGCTCTTTATTCCTGCTACTCACCTCAACTCTGGCACTCACACTTAGAATGTGTGCATGTTTGGGTACACATCTACTGAAATGCAGTACTTAAGAATATGTAGCTTGGGCTGGGTGCGGTGGCTCACGCCTGTAATCCCAGCAGTTTGGGAAGCCAAGGCGGGCGGATCACCTGAGGTCAGGAGTTCGAGACCAGCTTGGCCAACCTGGTGAAACCCTGTCTCTACTAAAAATGCAAAAAATAAGCCGGGCGTGGTGGTGGGTGCCTGTAATCCCAGCTACTTGGGAGGCTGAGGCAAGAGAATCGCTTGAACCCAGGAGGCGGAGGTTGCAGTGAGCCAAGACTACACCATTGCACTCCAGCCTGGGCAACAAGAGCGACACTCCATCTCAAAAAAAAAAAAAAAACAAATATGTGGCTCGTATCTTGAGGCTTCTAAGTATAGTGTTATTTTTCATTGGTTCATAAAGAACTTAAAAGTGATTAATTTTGCTGGGCACAGTGGCTCAAGCCTGTATTTTGAGCTACTCAGGAGACTGAGACAGGAGGATCCCTCGAGCTCAGGAGTTCGAAGCTGCAGTAAGCTATGATCACTATGATCGCACCATTGCACTCCAACCTGGGCTACAGAGGGATACCTCATCTCTTAAAAAAACTTTTTTTTAATGATTAATTTTGGGAAAGGGGGTATGTTACTCCTTTTAACATTTTCATTTACTAAGAGGCACTGTCTACGTTGCATTTCACAGTAAATAGATTTAGTTAAAATGGTGACATTCGTTTCATCTTTCATTGATAGTGGATGTTTAGCAATTACAGTACTTTTCTATCTGGCTTAGCATAGCACACTCTTTGTCTTACTCTTATCTCACTGGCTACTCCTTCTCTGTCTCCTTGACAGTCCTGTATCTTCTCCCGGATGACTCCCTCACATTGCTGCGCCACAAAGCCCAGTCCTCGCTGTACACTCAGCCCCTTGATAATCTCATAACTGAAGCTGAAGCATAATGTTATTTTTCATTGGTTCATAAGGAGCACAAAGATGATAACTTTCTTTTTAAGGTTTTCATCTACAAGGGGGCATTGTCTACACCATGTTTCAAGGTAAATATATTCCATTAAAATGGCAATATTCATTGCATCTTTTATTGATAGTGAATGTTTAGCAACTTCCAGTAACTTTCTCTCTAGCTTGTAGCATTCCACACTCTTGTCTGATCTCCTGGAACCAGTTCCCTCTGTTCTCCAGGATGGCTCCCTGGCCCAGGCACACCTCTGGGCCCAGTCCTTGCAGCTTTTCCTTCCTCCCCACTCCCTTCAAAACTGATCCTCCTGAGGTCTTTGCGATGTCAGGAAATGACAATTCCATCCTTCCAGTTGCTCAGGACAGAAAACCTTGATGTTATCCATGACTCCTCTCTTTTCCTTTATCCCTACCTCCAGGAAATCCTGTTGGCTCTTCCTCCAGAATATTTGCAAAGTCTAAGCACTTCTCACCATCTCCACTGTAGCCTCCATTCCATTCCATTCCATTCCATTCCATTATCGGAATAGTCTCCTAACCCATCTCCCTGCTTCTGCCCTAGTCCACCTAAATTCTGTTACTTACATAGCAGCCTGAGTGTCAAATCATATTGGTCCTCTTCACCAAAGCTTCCAGTGGTTCCCAATTTCTCACAGGCCAAAGACCTTACAATTGCCTACCAGGTTTTATACACTCTGGTCCCTAATTTCATTGAAGGCAAGGCTCAAATGATACCTCCTACTTTGATCATCCCAGTTAAAACTGGAACACCCTTCCCCAGCTCTGTTATTTTCCATAGCATTTATCACATCCCGATTTGGGGAATAGACGCCACAGAATTAGTCCAGGCTGACCACCACACAAACAACAAATCTAAAAATAGCAAACTCTACCACCACCTGGATTGGGAGTGGGTTAATACAGAGTCCAGAGTTGCTACAACATATTATCTAAAAGAAACAGGATGTACAAAGAAACAGCAAAGTGTGACCCATACTCAGGAAAATAAGGAGTCAACAGAAAACTACCTCTGAGGGTTCAGTGTTACTGTGATCAGTGCAATTATAGTTTTTTTTTGTCCTGCATTTTCACATAAGATTATATTAGAAACAATTTCATAAGTCATTAAAACTTCTATGAAAATAATATATATTTTTTTTGAGGCAGAGTCTCCCTCTTTCGCCCAGTCTCCCGGGTTCAAGCACTTCTCCTGCTTCAACCTCCCAAATAGCTGGGATTACAGGCATGTGCCACCACGCCTGGCTAATTTCTTCGTATTTTTAGTAGAGATGGGGTTTCCCGTGTTGGCCAGGCTGGTCTCGAACTCCTGACCTCAAGTAATCCACCCACCTCAGCCTCTCAAAGTGCTGGGATTACAGGCGTGAGCCACCGCACCCGGCCACATTTACCACATTCTAACAGGCCACATAATTTGCTTATTTATTTTATTACCTGACACATGTAATCCGTACAAGGGCTAGAGTTTTCATATGTTTTATTCACTGATGGATCCCCAGTGGGTAGAACAAGACTTGGCATGTACTAGGCACTTACACATACTTATGGAATGAATAAATAAATAGTATAGTAGATTGCAAACCAACAATTTGTGGAATTAAGTAGGAATAAAAATACAACTATGTGAAGATCATTTACTATGTTAATATAATTACATGGTACAGTGGAAAGATCATGGGGTGGCTGGGTGCGGTTGATCACGCCTGTAATCCCAACACTTTGGGAGGCTGAGGTGGATGGATTACTAGAGGTCAGGAGTTCGAGACCAGCCTGGCCAACATGGGAAAACCCATCTCTACTAAAGTTACAAAATTTAGCTGGGCGTGGTGGTGTGTGCCTGTAGTCCCAGCTACTTGGGAGGCTGAGGCAGGAGAATCACTTGAACCTGGGAGGCAGAGGTTGCAGTGAGCCAATCACGCCACTGCACTCCAGCCTGGATGATAGAGGGAGACTCTGTCTCAAAAAAAAGAAAAAAAAAAAAAGTAAAAAGAAAAGTGATTACCAAGACAACTACCACAGACTGGGAATTTCTGAAAAGCCTCAACTTTTCTTTTCTTTTTTTTTTTTTTGAGACAGCGTCTAGTTCCGTTGTCCAGGCTGGAGTGCAGTGGTGCAATCTCGACTCACTGCAACCTCTGCCTCCTGGGCTCAAGCCATACTCCTACCTCAGCCTCCTGAGTAGCTGGGACCGCAGGCCCGCACCACCATGCCAGCTAATTTTTTGTATTTTTAATAGAGACGGGGTTTCACTATGTTCGTCAGGCTGGTTTCCAACTCCTGACCTCTAATGATCCTTCCGCCTCGGCCTCCCAAAGTGCTGGAATTACAGGCGTGAGCCACCACGCCTGGCCTCAATTTCTTAAAAAGCAAAAACAGGAGGGAGGAGGAGGGTATGCAGTATCCTAAATCCTCAGAACCCCTGGGGAAGAACCTCATTCCAACTCCACCAGCACTCCCAGGCCCAGGCTTCTAGCATGCTTCCGACCTCGCTAGCTGCTAAATAAATAGCTATTGAGGAATGTGTATTCTCAAATACTTAGGCTAGAGGGCTAAGAAAAGACAGCTTCCATCTACCTCTGTGGGACTCTACCAGTGTGAAAGGATACTCTCAAGGTATTTAACAACTCCCATTACAGTCCAGAAATTGGTGGGGAAAGTTAAAATATATTTTCTTTTCTTTTTTTTTTTTGAGACGGTGTTTTTGCTCTGTTGCCTGAGCTGGAGTGCAGTGGCTCACGCTTGTAATCCCAGCACTTTGGGAGGCCAAGGCGGGCGATCATGAGGTCGGGGGTTTGAGACCAGCCTAGCCAACACAGTGAAACCCCGTCTCTACTAAAAATACAAAAGTTAGCTGGGCACGGTGGCGAGCGCCTGTAATCCCAGCTACTCGGGAGGCTGAGGCAGGATAATCGCTTGAACCCGGGAGGCGGAGGTTGCAGTCAGCCGAGATCCACTGCACCCCAGCCTGAGCGACAGACTCCATCTCAGAAAAAAACAAGCAAACAAAAACAAAACAAACAAACAAACAAAAACAAGAAAAGAAAAGTTAGCCGAGCATGGTGGGGCACGTCTGTGGTCCTAGCTATTCGGGAGGCTGAGGTGGAAGGATTGCTTGAGCCCGGGAGGTCAAGGCTGCAGTGAGCTGAGATCATGCCTCTGCCCTCCAGCCTGGCCGAGAGTGAGACTGTCTCAAAAAAAAAATAATAATAATAACATAAAAATAAGAAATAAGAGTGAAAGAGGCATCATTGATTGAAGATAACTTGGGGAGGGGTTCATATAGTAAACGTATAGATTGATTGAAAGACACAGCCCAGTTTTAAAACTACATAAATATCCAAAAAAGCACATTTGAAATTCCACGAGACCTTGCAATGTCAAAATAAGGAGGGACGGGAAGCACGGTGATCACACAATGGCTTATGACATACACTCACTACATTTATACCTGGTACAAAGAGCGCAGAAACGTTTCAACTCTTGCTTGAATCAAGAACAGAAGCCTCTCTTTAGACAGGTCAGTGCCACATAGTAATGTATAGCTTAAAATGTTAGTTAATGTACAAAAATCCAAACTCAGCGTTTAGATGTTCGGGAATAATGCATGAACATTTAAATATTCAGAAGTGGAATGTATGCATTTTTAAAGTTTATTTTATGATTTAATTTTAAAAATTTGTTTTAATGTGAAATTCTGGGGTAATTTGTCATGTAGTAATAGATACAAATATGGCAAGCAGGGATTTTTAAATAATGAACAGAAATATCTTAAAGGAGCTATTGGAAAAGATGGAAAGAAAGTGTGAACAACTTGGGAATTTCAGTGTCTTACAGTTTTTTTAAAGCTTGTTATAGTTTAAATCGGAATAAGGAAGCGTATTTCCAAAAGATTGAAGTGATTGTGTTATCTCTCCCACGAAGTAGTCTACTTCAGCAAAACAGTACACCGTGTGCTATTTTGGCCTCTTGGGAAAGATGGTATGTTCAAGTTTGCTAGAAAGAGATAATTATCGCTTTTAGCGACACCTCTCACGGAAAGTTCATCGGGATATTGGTCTAGAGAGAAAATGGCGGCGGGGGGTGGGGGTGGGGGAAGCCGAAATACCTCAGTTTAGGATCTGCTATGGGCAATGGATGCCCTAATTTAAGGTTAATTGTAGATCCACGGGCTTCCAACTGTGTATTTCCGTCATCTACACTTTTCCCAGAAAGAGATGCCATAATAAATTTACAAAACAGTCCTATAGTCTAGTTTTATATTCTTGTCAAGAAAAGGTAATATTTAAAAAGTACTAGCTAGAATTCTATAAAAAACGAACAACAAAAATCACTGCCCTCTGAATGTTCGTTCTTGATTATTTTGACGCAAGTAGAGACAGCTTTTTTAAATCCGGCATTATCTCCGGGTGGTGCAGACATGCAATTTTTTATGAATTTTCCCACCCTTGGGAAATCGATTTCTGAAACGTGTAATTGTTGTGCAGTAAGCCAAGTGGACAGTGACGCAATAGTCCACTGCAAGTTGCCTTACAAAAAATGATGTCATTTGGCGCAGATCTAGTCACTTTTATAACAGGTAGCTATGGAAAAGCTCCCTCCACGTTGTCCCCGATTCCCCCACCCCCACCGTGGCCAAGATGCAAAAAGACACTTTCCTGGCTTCCTAGCCCTCAACTTGTCGAGGGTGGGCGCACCGCAGTGGCTCAGGGCCCATCGCTCGTGCAGGCGGAGAGAGACCGCTGCAAGGGGACGAGGACAGCTGAGTGTCCTCAGCCCCGACGGCGGCGCCGCGGGGGAAGCTGCGTCGGGCCCAGTCCAGGGCCGCGACGCCCGGCCGCCTGTTTTCCTCGGTGGGAAACCGCTGGCGTGGCGGGCCGGCAGCCGGGACGCGGGGCGCCGCGGGCGCGGGACAGCCTTCCCCGCCCCCCCTTCCCCCCCGTTCCCACACCCGCTCCCGCTCCCGTGGCGCCGGAAGTGACGCGTTTTGGGCTGAAAGATGGCGGCATTGGCGCTCGACCAGGGGGAAGGTAAACACCCGCCAGGCCACGGGCTGGCCCCCTCGGGGCGCCAGCAGGGGCCGAGGGGGGGGCCTCCCGGGCCAGCTCCCCGCCCCCAACGGCTTCCCACCCTCCGCCCTCTCTCCCAGCGTGGCGGCCTTCCGCGTCAAGACGACAGCGCACTGGGCCCCCTGCCGGCCAGCCCCGCCTCCCTGGGCGGGCCCCGGGCGGCTCCCGCGGCCCGCAGGGGGCGCGCGGCCCGGAGCGGCCCCCGGCTCGTGGCCCCGCACGCCCCGCCCCTTCCCCGCCCCTTTCCCGCCTTCCTCCACCCCCGGCGTGGGTGATCCCGAGGCTCGGCGCGCTTCGGGGCAGAAGCCCAGAGACGCCGTCCTCGACGCTTCCTCGGCTGGTGCTTCTGTCTCTGCCTGCTGCCCCCCAGCCCTTTTCCCCGCCCGCGGCCCCAGTCGGCCCTCCCGCCGAGCCCCGTCGGGTGCTGCGAGGCCCCCGGCGTTGGCAAGGTCGGTCCGGGCCCCGACGCCGCGCCGCCTCGTGCGGAGCCCGACTGTCTGGTTTCTCGACTCAGCGCTGTCTTCTTTCCCAGGACTTATCCAGAGGGGGCTGCAGGCGAGCACTCTCGTGCCCCGCCGGAGCGACCCGGCTCGTGCCGGGAGCGGCTGCTCGTAGACGTCCGAGGAGCCTGCCGAGTGCCGTCCCGGCGCCCGACCGCCCACCCATCGGCCCGCTGGCCCGGTTCTTCCTGATGCAGACTGCCGTCCACTAGAGGCTGGACAGGACCCCCCGAGGTACGTAGCCGCCCCTGGCCGCCGGCCTGCGGAGCCCGGGCTTCGCCCGCGGCCCCGAGCTAGGCACGAATTCGCCGGCCCTCTCTGCACGGACCCGAGTCAAACATTTGGTAGACGCCGGGACCTCGTTTGTCTTCGAGTTTACTTAAATTGTTTGAAATGTAATTTTTTTTTCCAGAGAGAGCGAGAAAGAAAAAGGAAGAAGCATAATTCAGCCATTTTTTGCAGCACACAGCTGCAGGTACCATGATTATTTTTTGCCTAACCCGTTCCTTCCCTTTAACAATTCAATTTATGCCTGAAATAGAACTATGCAAAATGCGAGGCATAAAACTAGGAATCGGAAGGTCTGGGTTCGACTTGGGTGACTCTGAGAAAAAATCGCGTACCGAGCCTTGGTTTCTTATCTATGAAATATAGTCGGTACTACCAACATCGCAGGGTTGAGAGGACTATATGAGGTCATATATGTGAAAATAATCCTTAACTGTAGAGTGTTGTAAGAATGCAAGGCCGTTTTTTAAGTAACCTTTGGTAGAGTGGTTAATGTAGTGGCTAACTGTTGCTGCCTCTTTATTTCTATATTATAAATATAAGCAAATAAGTACGGAATAATAGTAAAGCAGTGCTGTGAATCCATAGATCTGTAATAGTCACGTTGCTTGGCCTTCCTCCTACGAAGTGCTAACTGCTTATTTAAATAACGGTATTCTTTAATTCAAATGTAACGTTACCGTAGGGGCTTTGCTTTTCATCGTTCTAGGCCGCTTTAGGCCCCTTTTCTTACTCCAAATATTTAACACCTTACATTTGTTAGTCTTTTCTGTTTTCCGAATTTGTTTGCCTTTGTTAATCTGATTAAGTGGTAATTTAGAAAATGCTTTGCAGACATATATGCCCTAATTTTAATGCCTGTTTTTCATATCTAGGGAGCAGGATGCTTGAATACTTCTACTAATTTGAAAATTGGTTTTGAAGAGCTTATCAATGCATTCATGTTTCAGTAATCCTTAATAGATCTAGAAATGTATAGAACATTTCAACTTTTTAGCACTTAATGTAATTATATAATTTTATTCTCATTTTTAATCACAACACGTAGTAGGTGCTTAGAGTCACAGTTTATCAGTGGTAGAGGATGTTAACTTGCACTCTTCATTGCTGATTAATTTGGGGAAAGAATAGGATAGTAAATATTTGTGGTTTGAAAATTGAATTTATTTTGCCAGGATTTATATGTGTAACAGATTAGTATTGATCATTTTTACTTGGCATATCAAAAATATAGTATGGTTTGGCTTAAATGGTCCACAAAAAGTGAAAAGAGAAGCATTTTTGGGTATATTGTTATTTTTAGCTAACAAATGGTTTTGAGTAGTTAGATGTTTTATTAAATTTATAATCCTCTAGTCCAATACCAGTTGTCTTTCAGAGTATGCTTTTGTGTTTTGTAAAAAGGCAAAATAATAGAAGTTGGGCAGGATTTACATAGTAAAAGGAAGAGCCTACTTCAAAGTGGCTGGTTTTATAGATTGGATTTATCACTAATCTTGATAAAATTTTGACAAATCATTGCTTTATTGGGGATTTCAAGGTTTGACCTTCTCTCTACCTCGAGTCGGGTTATCTCAGAAACCTAACCTTGATCAGGGCAGGCTTGGCTTCATGGATGTTCAGAAGGGCCCCACACTTGGTTTAATAATCTGCATGTAAAACTGGGATTGTACAGTATAAGGGTGAATGGTAAAATTCATGCTAATTTAAATTTTTAATTTTCCTTTACTCAGAACGACATTAAACATCAAATTTAAAAAACACTGAGAGCCGGGAGCGGTGGCTCAGGCCTGTAATCCCAGCACTTTGGGAGGCCGAGGCGGGCGGATCACCTGAGGGTCGGGAGTTTGAGACCAGCCTA
This sequence comes from Homo sapiens, assembly GCF_000001405.40. Lineage (NCBI taxonomy): Eukaryota > Metazoa > Chordata > Mammalia > Primates > Hominidae > Homo > Homo sapiens. Next base: position 24,022,941 of record NC_000023.11, on the reverse strand, counting down.
ACCAACGTGGAGAAACCCCGTCTCTACTAAAAACACAAAGTTAGCCTGGCGTGGTGGCGGGCGCCTGTAATCCCAGCTACTCTATTCCCAGCTACTCGGGAGGCTGAGGCGGGAGAATCGCTTGAACCCGGTAGGCAGAAGTTGCGGTAATCCAAGATGGCGGCACTGCACTCCAGCCTGGGCGACGAGAGCAAAACTCCGTCTCAAAAAAAAAAAAAACCGCGAAACAGTTGAGAGATACAGAAGAAAGTTTTGAAAGAGCTTTACATTTTATTACCTTTAACGACTTTTTTTTTTTTTTTAAGACAAGAGTCTTGTTCTGTCGCCCAGGCTGGAGTGGAGTGGTGCGATCCGATCCCCGCTCATTGGAACCTCCACCTCCCGGCCTCAAGCGATTCTTGGGCCTCAGCCTACTAAGTAGCTGGGATTATAGGCGCTCGCCACCACGCCCGGCTAATTTTTGTATTTTTAGTAGAGACGGGGTTTCACCATGTTGGCCAGGCTGGTCTCGAACTCCTGGACTCAAGTGATCTACCCGCCTTGGCTTCCCAAAGCGCAGGCGGGAGCCACCGTGCCCAGCCTTTTTTTTTTTTTTTTTTTATCTTTTGAGACACAGTCTTGCTCTGTCTCCCAGGCCGGAGTGCAGTGGCGCGATCTCGGCTCACTGCAACCTCCGCCTCCCGGGTTCAAGTGATTCTCCTGCCTCAGCCTCCCGAGTAACTGGGATTACAGATGCGCGTCAGCATGCTTGACTAATTTTTGTATTTTTAGTAGACACGGGGTTTCACCATGTTAGCCAGGCTGGTCTCGACTGACTTCAAGTGATCCGCCCGCCTCGGTCTCCCAAAGTGCTGGGATTACAGACATGAGCCACCGCGCCCGGCCATCGCCCAGCCTTTTAACAACATTTTTCCCTGATTTTGAACAAGAGTCCCCGCAAATGATGTAGGTGGCCTGTTGTCAAGCCTGGCCTTTCCCAGTGCAAATGTTTTGAGAGTGAATAATGTTAACTGTGAGGAGAATGAATCTTTAGCTTAGAGGAGGTGGATTACTTTATTAGCATCTATTTTCTCTGAATTGGAGTGCTATAGCTCATGTGGTGCTTTTTTTTTTTTATTGAAGAGAAATGAAAGATGGAGCCATGGGTGAGGCATTGTAGAACAGTGTTTAATAGGGGAGGCTATGAAGTCAGGCAGACCCCAACTTCACAACTTACTAATAATTATAGCCTTGGGCAAGTTACTTAACCTCTGTGAGCTTTGATGTTCTCATCTTTAAGTCGGGGATGGATACAAAACATGGAAGGTTGCGAGAATTAAATTTATCTGTCTTTCCAACAAATATTTATTAAGCACTTATTATGTGCCAAGCACTGTTTTAGGTGCTGGAGATGCAACAGTCAGTGAAGCAAAACCGACAAATTGAAGCAGAAAGGAAACTAAGTAAAATGGATAGCCTGTATTGCCATTTAATATACTGCAGAGAATAATAAAGTGGAGGGGCATGGGGATTGTCAGGTTGATGGGGCAGATGGGGTTTTGCAACTTTAAAAGAGGGTGTTTGAGGAAGGCCTCACTGAAATGACACCAAAGACCCTAAGGGAACCATATATATCTGGGGATAGTGTGATCCAGGCAGAGGGAACAGGGTGTAGAGAGGCCTTAAGTTGGGAGTGTAGCTGGTTTTCAAGGAACAGCGGCACCAAGGGAGATAGTAATATAAGATTATTATTATTGCCATTTTAAGAATCATTGGAAAGGCTCTCATAGTTCATCTCTGCCAAGGGTATATGTTGTATTGCTGCTGGTCCAAAAGTGGAAGACCTTTTCAGAATTTGAAATTTTAACTTTGCAAGTAAGAAATTAGGAAAGACAAAATATGTTGTCAGGTTTTCTGTTTTTAACGTAAGACCCTTAAAGCTCATCAGGCTCAATCACTGAAACATGTAAGAATGGATAGAAAAAAATACCCTTTGTCTCTGATAAGATCTTTGAATTTAGTTAATGATATATATTATAGACTAATGATTTGCAGGAAATCTGTATCATAACAGCAAGACTTTCCAAAATATTTAGTTTGGTTGTATAATTCTTATGAGGAACTGAAAGGCTAACATTACAGTATTTGTGATTTCATGTTAGAATAGAACTTAGAAGATTTGGGGTTTTATTCCCCAATAGAGGCTTTTCCTAGAATTCTCACTGGATCCAATCTCTAAAGGCTAGGGAAGCTGTTTTCCATGACATCACTCTTGGACTACTTCTAGTCATAGTGTGGAATAAGCAGAGAAGCATTAAATTAAAGTCTTCTGATGAAAAATAGCATTCAAGCAGGGTTTTTTTTTTCTTATAAGGCTTCTTGTATTATAGGATGACGAAATGCTAAACATACCTGAAAAGTGAAGTAATTTGGTGCCAGTCTGGAGGCTGGAGGACCCAGGGCCCTCCTAATAGCTTAGTTAAATGGTCATTTGCAATTTGGTCCTGAGTTATAAAAATATTTTGATGACAAGAAAGAATTTCCAGTATTAAACAAATTAAAGTTAACTTACACAACGTCTCCTCCCATATTAAAGTGAGTTTTCAATTTGAGTAGTGTATTGAGAGTAAAGTGACCGCTAATAGAGCTTAAAAGTCTGTCTTTAAATTTGTCTTTTCTTTTATATTGGTATGTTGAGAAGTTGGCTGCTTTGAGATTGTCAAATTTACATTTTTTTACTTTATGGGTTACAGAAGTGAGAAATGTTATGACTCAGAAATTAATTCTGTTTTTATCCGTAGTAAGCCTTTGCATTCTCTTTTCGATATGCAACTGTGGCATTTTCTGCATAGGCATCAATTTTGGTAGGAGAACAGTTTGGGGATGAAGATAGTATGAAATCATTTAAATTTTTCATTGAGGGTAAGTATATTATATCAACCTCTGAGAATCTAGCTTTTGCATTGAATACCTTAAGCTTTTGTATGAATTTTCAAGCAGCTGTGGAAGGAATGTGAAAGCAATAAATTATTGCTTATGGCACAAACATAGAGGTTAATTTTGAAATGTCTTTTAATTGCCTATAATTTTGCCTTCACATCAGAATGGCAGCCTTATAACTGAAAAGGAAGCATTTAATTTCTTTGCCTTTAATTTCCTGTCCAGTTTTACCCCCACCAAACTTCTTTTTTTACTGGTCACTAGAGAGTTTGAAGTGTTCAAAAATTCTGTGATATAAATAGCAGTAATAGTCTTCCAGGGCAGAGGTAGGAAGAGGTTGAGGTTTGTGCGTGCACGTGTGTGTGTGTGTGTGTGTGTTGTCACTTATCTCTTACACTTTCAGTTGTTCTCAAGCCTGTGGTCTCAGGACTTCTTTGTACTTATTTGTACTCTTAAAAATTAGTGGGGGCCGGGCTTGGTGGCTCACACCTGTAATCCCAGCACTTTGAGAGGCCGAGGCGGGTGGATCGCTTGAGGCCAGGAGTTCGAGACCAGCCTGGGCAACATGGTGAAACTCCGTCTCTACTAAAAATAAAAAAATGAGCTGGGCGTGGTGGTGGGCTCCTGTAATCCCAGCTACTCAGGAGGCTGAGGCAGGAGAATCGCTTGAACCCCGGAGCAGAGGTTGCAGAGATCATGCCACTGTACTCCAGCCTGGGTGCAGAGTGAGACTGTCTCAAAAAATAAATAAACAAATAAAAATTAATTCTATTACATGGTAACCTAAATAACATTTTTTTATGAAAAATAACTTTTCTAAAACAGTTAAGAACTTGGTGAAAAGAGTGGCATTGTTTTAAATTTTTGCATATCTCTTTAATATCTGGCTTAATAAAAGCCAATGGGCTTCTCATCAGCTTCTGCATTCAGTCTGTTGCAATATCACATACCATGTGTAAACCTCTAGAAAACAGAATGAAAGTGAAAAAGACAAATAACTATTCTTTATTTATGTATTTATTTTGAGAAGGAGTCTTGCTCTGTCGCCCTGGCTGGAGGTGGCGCAATCTTGGCTCACTGCAACCTCTGCCTCCTGGGTTCAAGCAATTCTCGTGCCTCACCCTCCTGAGTAGCTGGAATCAGACGCACATGCCATCACCCCTGGCTAAGTTTTGTATTTTTTAGTAGAGATAGGGTTTCACCATATTGACCAGGCTGGTTTTGAACTCCTGAGCTCAAGTGATCAGCCCACCTCTACCTCCCAAGGTGCTAGGATCACGGATGTGAGCCACTGTGCCCGGCTGACCAATAACTTTAAAAAAATTATTTGGATAATAATTTTGACATTGGGAAGCCCCTTTAGTGGGGACTGGGATCTTTTAGGACAACTGGATTCACTTGTCCCCAGATCATGCTTTGAGAATCCCTATACTAATCATTCTTAGGCACAAAAATGTGAGGCTTTCTTTTATTTAGTCAGTACCAAGTTTATGAAACAAGACACGTTCTTCAGTATTTCTTTCCTGGTAGTATAAGTATGCCTTGTCATTTGGTCTAATTGGTTTCCCTCTTGAAAAAAAAAAAACCTACTATTTGAAATTCTGAAGGCCATGTATAAAGTGTTGATAAACCTATATATGAAAAGTAAGGATACAGAATTTTTGTACATTGAACATTTTGTCAGTAAATGTTTTTCCTCAAAGCCTCTTAAATTTTTCCTCCAGCACTCATTTAAAGAGTTCTTATTTAAGGTTTTTGTGTTTTACAATGATTCGTTTTTTTCTTTTGGGAGAGTGGGGCTACGCACTTCTTGTTGAGCACGCTACTGCTGCCGCGGCTGTCTCTGCCATTGCAAAGTAGTTCTTATAATAGTTTTCTTCCTTAAATTGATATAATTCTGTACTTAGATTTCTTTTTAGAGACAGGGCCTTGTTCTGTTGCCCAGACTGGAATGCAGTGGCTTCATCGTGGTTCACTGCAGCCTCGACATCCTCACCGCAAGCGATTTTCCTGCCTCAGCCTCCCAAGTAGCTGGGGCCACAGGAGCACGCCACCAAGCTCTGCTATTTAAAAAAATTTTTTTGTAGGGAAGAGGTCTGGCCACATTGCCCAGGCTGGTCTTGAACTGGATCAAGTGATCCTCGTGCCTTGCCTCCCAAAATGTTGGGATTACAGGCATGAGGCCGCTGTAACCAGTTAAAGAATTATGTACACAATTTTTTTTTTTTTTTTTTTTTTTTTTTGGGACATGGTCTCACTCTGTTGCCCAGGCTGAAGTTCAGTGGTGGATTATAGCTCATTGCAGCCTCGGCCTCCCGGGCTCAGTTTATCCTCTGACCTCAGCCTCCTGAGTAGCTGGGACTACAGTCACACACCACCACGTCTGACTAATTTTTATGTTTTTAGTAGAGATGGGGTTTTGCCACGTTGCCCATGCTGGCCTCGAACTCCCGAGCTCAAGCGATATGCCCATCTCGGCCTCCCAAAGTGGTGGGATTATAGACGTGAGCCACTGCGCCTGACTCTGATCTGTTATAAATCTGCATTATGATAAACCCTAGGGAGGCATGGGGTTGGTAGAGAGGGGAGACTGAGGGTTCTCACTTAGGTTAATTCATTTATTCACCACCCTAACTTGATAATAAGATGATGATGATTATTAGTAATGTATGGATGGAAACCAAGATAGGAAGTTAACAAAATTTCTGTAGGTCACACAGTAAGCACTCTGATTTCAGAGGTTTTGCTCTTTCCGACCACACTATTTTGTATTTTTTGCAAATAGAATCTAATTTTTTTTTTTTTTTTTTTGAGACAGGCTCTTAGTTTGTTGCCCAGGCTGGAGTACAATGGCGCCATCTCAGCTCACTGCAACCTCTGCCTCCTGGGCTCAAGCAATCTTCCTGCCTCAGTCTCCCAAGTAGCTGAGACTACAGGCACACACTACCACGCCCAGCTAATTTTTGTAGAGACGGGGTTTTGATATGTTGCGCAGGCTAGAATCTAGTCTTAACTTTATTTCTAGCTACTAGTTCTATGACCTTGAATAAAAAGTCAGTTCACCCGTGGACATTATTACTGTCTTCATCTGTGGAGTTAGAGTTGACCTGGGTCCTGAGTCTTGAGAAACTATACTCAGAAGGTGGGCTGGGGGGTTTCTTCAAAGTTAACTAGATCAGGCTTACTATTTTGGCTGTAGTAGTACCACACGAAGGGGCATGATAATAAGCCTTAATGTTACAGTGTACTTAAGGTCCATGCACTGTACTAAGTGCTTTACATCCATTAACTTACTTTATTATCGCAGCAACCTGTAAGGTAGGTTCTATTAATATTAGTACCCCAATTTTTTTTTTGAGACATGATCTCACTCTTTTGCCCAGGCTGGAGTGCAGTGGTGCCATCTCTGCTCACTGCAATCTCCGCCTCCTGGGTTCAAGCGATTCTCCCACCTCAACCTCCCGACTAGCTGGGATTACAGGCGTGAGCCACAACACCTAGCCAATTTTTTTTTTATTTGTAGTAGAGATGGGGTTTTGCCATGTTGGCCAGCTGGTCTCGAACTCCTGACCTCAAGTGATCCACTTGCCTCGGCCTCCCAATATGCTGGGATTACAGGCATGAGCCACTGCACCTGGCCAAGTATACCCCCCCTTTTTTTTTTTTTTTTTTTTTTTTTTTTTGAGACAGAGTCTTGCTCTGTCGCCCAGGCTGGAGTGCAGTGGCACCATCTCGGCTCACTGCAAGCTCTGCCTTCCAGGTTCACGCCATTCTCCTGCCTCAGCCTCCCAAGTAGCTGGGACTACAGGCTCCTGCCACCATGCCCAGCTAATTTTTTAGTAGAGACGGGGTTTCACCATGTTAGCCAGGATGGTCTCGATCTCCTGACCTCATGATCTGCCCGCCTTGGCCTCCCAAAGTGCTGAGATTACAAGCGTGAGTCACCGTGCCTGGCCTGAAGTACCCCAATTTAAAAGTTTTAGATTTTACACTTTTTAAATTAATTAACTAATTAATTAATTTGAGATGGAGTTTCACTCTTGTTGCCCAGGCTGGAGTGCAGCGGCCCGATCTCGGCTTACTGCAACCTCCGCCTCCCAGGTTCAAGCGATTCTCCTGCCTCAGCCTCCCAAGTAGCTGGGATTACAGGTGCCAGCTACCATGCCCGGCTAATTTTTGTATTTGTAGTAGAGACGGGGTTCCACCACATTGGCCAGGCTGGTCTGGAACTCCTGACCTCAGGTGATCTGCCCACCTCGGCCTCCCAGACTGTTGGGATTATGGGCGTGAGCCACCGTGTCCGGTCCAGATTTTACATTTTAGAGCACAGAGAGGCTGAGTAGCTTGCCCCAATATCACAGAGCTAATAAGAGGTAGAACCACGCTTCAAACCCAGGCATCTGACGCCAGACCTATACCCTTACTTACTACTACCATCTAGAGACTCTATCATGTTGGTCACTTAATCACTGAGTGTTTCACTGTTTTCTACTTAATACACGCTTACCATAAAAGTGTAAAGTACTGCTGCTCCTCTAAAGTTGTAGTCTTATTGATAAATGCACTAAGCTTTTTAGGTAGAAAATAAGTTACTGCATATGTCTCGGCTATCGCAGATGAGTTTTAAAAGTGTTTAGATCAGGTAAACTTCACAAATGCGTTGCTGAGACTTTAAAAGTAGCTATAGTTTATTTAACTGGCATGTGTATTTAGTGTGTTGCATATTTACAAAATCATATAAAAAGAATGAGAATTTTAGGACTAAAAATATTTTAGAGATCATGTCTAGTGCTCTTGTTTTTACAGATGCAGAGAGAAGGCCAAGAAAATTTGAGTAACTTACAGATATTTCTGTTCTAAAATTATTAGTTAGGACCCTTGGTTATAAGTAGGAAAAATCAACCTAAGGTAGTAAAGAGGAAGAATTTATTCTAAGAATGTAAGGTTCTCTCAGAACCCAAGGGCAGACATCGAACTGGGCTTAGCAACTGGGAGAACGAGGCGTTCAGGAGCACTGCCTGTCCTCCTTTTGGCTTTATTCTTTCTCAGTTGACTGCCTTTCTCTGATCTTCAGCCCACATGGCAGACAGAAGTGGGTGCCCACAGTTGCTCTTTGACATGTTCCAGTTCCCGTCATACACAGTCAATACACGTCTCTCTCTTTTTATCTTTGTTTCTCTTTCCCTCGCCTTTGCTAAGTTTCTGTTCATCTTGATTCATATTTCCCACTCCTGTATGACCACGAGTGACTGTGGCCAGGATCACAGAGTGGGAGGCTGCCTGCTAGGAATCCCTCTCAGCAGGCTGGGTGCCCAGAGGAGAGTGCTGTGTACTCAGACAGGAGCTGTCTTTACATATGTCTTTGGGGTCTTCTGACTCACAGTTTACCAATTCTCCTCCTCCTCCTCCTCTTTTTTCCCCCACTGCTTCTCTGCCTTATAATATTTCCATCATAGTAAGTATCTGGAACCTTAATTGTTGTGTTTTTTTTTGTTTTTTTGTTTTTTTGAGAAAGCATAGTTTCTCCTTTTATAAATTTCCTTTAGATGGAGTATTTTTCAGAAACGTGAATATTAGCTGTTTTAGACCTTTTCAGGTAATGATTAACTGTTGAATAGAGAGGGTGACTTTGACATGAAGTGAAGTGTGGTATTTTTAGGCATTGTCAAAATAACAGATTAATGAAACACAAAGCAGTTTACTCTCAAGTATATGAACACTAATTTCCAGCCTTCTATTATTAAATCTTCATTAAATGTGACCAATAAATCTTTTCTTTCAGAGTTGGGGTCTTGTTCTACTGCCCAGGCTGGAGAGCAGTGGCATGATCATGGCTTACTGTAGCCTGAAATTCCTGCCTCAGCCTCCTGAGTAGCTGAGACTGTAGGTGCATGCTACCATGCCCAGCTGATTTTTTTTTTTTTTTTAATTTTGTTAGAGATGGGGTCTATGTTTCTCAGGCTGGTCTTTCAAGTGCTCCTTCTGCCTCAGCCTCCTGAGTTGCTTGGATTACAGGCACAAGCCACTGCTCCCTGCAGACCAATACAGCTTGACAAGGCAGAATGATCGTTGGTGACCATAATGATCCTGAAAAAAAATATATAGTATCAAAATTTTCATCCAGTTTAATTTGTTGTTTTTAATTCTAATTGTTTTTTTCTATTATTACTACTTTTTTTTAGAGATGGGGACTCGCTATGTTGCTTAGGCTTGTCTCAAACTCCTGGGCTCAAGCAATCCTCCCGCCTTGGCCTCCCAAAGTGTGGGATTACAGGTGTGAGCCCCACACCCAGCCCTATTCTAAATATTTTGAAAACTGATAATTAGTGTGATGTTGATAGCCTTCTTAGAATGGTTATTCAAACACTACACTGTACGAGATTCCTTTTGTTCCCAGTATGCATTTGTGTATGTAGGAAAATTCTAAGCTCATTAATTTTACCTTTAAAAATAATTCAAGCCTGGGTGTGGTGGCTTACGCCTGTAATCCCAGCACTTTGGGAGGCCGAGGCAGGCAGATCTCTCGAGGTCAGGAGTTCAAGACCAGCTGGCCAACATGACGAAACTCCTTCTCTACTAAAAATAAAAAAAAATTAGCCGAGTCTGGTGGCGTGTATCTCTAATCCCAGCTACTTGGCAGGCTGAGGTAGGAGAATCACTTGAACCCAGAAGGTGGAGGTTGCAGTGAGTGGAGATCGCACCACTGCATTCCAGCCTGGGCAACAGAGTGAGACTCTGTCTCAAAAAAAAAAATTTTTTTTTAAGCTGGGTGCAGTGGTGTGCCTACTCAGGAGATTGAGGTAGGAGGATTGCTTGAGCCCAGCAGTTCAAGACTGTTGTGTACTATGATCATGCCTATGAATAGCTACTGCACTCCAGCCTGGGGAACATAGCAAGACCCTGTCTCTAAAAACTAAACCAATAATTCAGATGAACAAGACCAAACTTGTAGCTTACTTTTATCTTAAATGTATTAGTAAAGTTGTTTTGCCAAGCATTGATTAGTTTCCAGAATATATTTTTTTTCCAAATTATAGATAGACCTCTTGTGTTCTCCCTTTCCAAATGAAATGATATAGCTTTCGATTAATGGAGTACTAATAAAAATTTGTTATTAATTTCATCTTTTACATACTTTGCTGTCTTAGATAAGTGAACCTTTAATGTGGTAGAATCAATAGGACTTAAAGGTAGGTTAGGGGACAGAAGGGAAGAAAGAGGCACCTCAGATGCCTCTTGAGAAGATAGAGAATGCTGAAAAAGCTGATGTGGGGGCAGAACTGGTTGTTTAGACATGTTGATTTTGAGATGTCAAAATGGGATCATACCAAAATGGAGCACCCAGAATTGTCTCCTAGGCAGTTGATTACACATATATATGGACTGGAGTAAGGATGGAGATCTTGACAGAGATTATCCAGGTATTGGTGAAAGTACATATAAGTAGAAACCATGGATTAGGTGAGCTCATTTAGGGAGACAACAGTGTTTAGATGAGAAAAGAGGCAAGAACAGAATCCTAGGGAATACCGATGTTGAAAGGGTAGCTCAAGAAAAGTGAGCCCATGAAGGAGATTGAGAAATGAGCAGCCCAGGACTAGGAAGAGAATCAGGAGCACAGTGTCATAGAGCTGAGAGTGTGATGAGCTGAGCATAATTTATGCTACAGAAGGATCCAGGGAAATGGGGACTAGGATGTAACCTCTGAATTGGACCAATTAGGGCCTTTTAAAGAGATTTTTATAAACTTTTTTAAAAGCAGTAATACACTTTCATTGGAAATAGATTAGAAAACACAGATTAGCAAATAGGAAGGGATAAAAGTAAAACTACCTGATACTCTACCATTTTTTATTTTTTATTTTTTTGAGACAGGGTCTTCCTCTGTCATCCAGGCTGGAGTGCAGTGGCACGATCTCAGCTCACTGCAACCTCCACCTCCCAGGTTCAAGCAGTTCCCTGCTTCAGCCTCCCCCGACCTGAGTAGCTGGGATTACAGGTACCCGCCATCACACCCAGCTAATTTTTGTATTTTTAGTAGAGACAAGGTTTTGCCATGTTGGCCAGGCTGGTCTTGAACTCTGACCTCAAGCAATCCGCCTACCTTGGTCTCCCAAAATGCTGGGATTACAGGCGTGAGCCACCGCACCTGGCCTACTCTACCGTTTTTAATGTTTTTGGCATTCTATCCTTTTAGACTTTTTCTTTTTTTCTTTTTTTGAGACAGGGTCTCACTGTGTCATCCAGGCTGGAATGCAGTGGCATAATCATGGCTCACTGCAGCCTCAACTTCCTGGGCTCAGGTGATTCTCTCACCTCAGCCTCCCGAGTAGCCAGGACTACAGATGTGAGCCACCATGCCCAGCTGATTTTTTTTTTGAGACAGAGTCTTGCCCTGTTGCCCAGGCTGGAGTGCAGTGGCACAATCTTGGCTCACTGCAACCTCCAGCTCCCAGGTTCAAGCAATTCTCGTGCCTCAGCCTCCCAAGTAGTTAGGGTTACAGGCATGCGCCACCATGCTTGGCTAATTTTTGTATTTTTGGTAGAGATGGGGTTTCACCATGTTGGCCACGCTGGCCTGGAACTCCTGACTTCGTGATCCGCCTACCTTGGTGTCCCAAAGTGCTGGGAGGCTCACAGGCGTGAGCCACGGCGCCTGGCCCTTTTTTTTTTTTTTTTTTAAGAGACAGTGTCTCACTATGTTGCCGAGGCTGGTCCCAAGCTTCTGGCCTCAAGCAGTCCTCCTACCTCAGCCTCCCGAAGTGCTGGGATTATAGGCATGAGCCACCATGCCTGCCTTTTCTTATTTATTAACAAGGGTTTTTCTTTTTTCTTTTTTCTTTTTTTTTTTTTTTGAGATGACTTTGGGCTGGGATAACTATTGAATAAATGGGTTAATCTGTCAGGAAGTTGAATAAAGGGTATCATGGACAACATATTGATGAAACAAAGTAGTAAATCTAGTGATAGTTTATTCATGAGAGTGGAGAAGTGGCGTCTTTTTAGTGTGTACATAGATGCCACCTTTTCCTTCTTGGCAACTGAGGGCTCAGCCAAACCCAGAGTACAGAGGGATTCCCAAATGGCACTCATCTCCATACCTAACACAGTACCTGGCACACACAAGGGCTCTTCCTTTTAGTAAATGAAATGGGAAGGCATTGACAGAGTGGTGACACTGGCAGTGACAGCCTCCCTAAAGAAGGAGGTGTAGAGCAAGTGACAGCAGTTGACTGTAGTGTCCGCTGCTTCTCTGGAGGGCTCGGGGTCCATATAAATACCTAACCAGGGGAAGGACAGAACTTGGGAGATTGGGTCCCAGCAGTGTCACTGGTGGAAATTCAGAGCCGTAGATGTTGGCTGCCACATCCTTAGTGCTCTTTTAGGCTAGTGTGGTTTGTAGGTCATGTTCTAGAAAATAGCTGCAACATATGATTCCAAGTCATGAGATATTCTAGAAAGTGCTTAAAAATGGCTGTAGTATCCCAGAGATTTGTCCATATCTGCTGTCCTTAGTTTGGGAACATCTTTGATAGTGCTTCAGTGTTATACCAGCAGGGAATGCCTCACAACTGTTCGGTGGACGAAACTGCCAAGAGGCACTGAAGATTGGCCCAAGATTAAAGGACCAGTTGGCATAGTTTTTGTTTAGCAGGGCAGGGATGGAGGACAGGCAGAGAGTTAAGGGAAATGAAGGCCCTGGTAAGAAAGTGGTTGCTCTGATATGGTAAGGTCTAAGCTGGAGAAGGACAGAGGTTAAGTTAGGAGATGATAGACCAAGTGAAAAGAGAGTAGGAAGGTTAAGTAGGAAGTTGACAGTTAAGATTTCAGATGTAGACCAGTTTTGGATCAGGAACAGGTCCAAGTGGGGTGGGAGTAGGGTTTGCAATGGAATAAGTGGGGAGGTTGTAGGAGTTGAGATGGTCAGGGAGTTTTGACTTACAGTTTTTGGATGGCTGATCTTATGTGAACATTGAAGAGGTGTGAAAGATGACTTAGCCAGGTGTTGAAGTCTTTTTTTTTTTTTTTTTTTGAGATGGAGTCTTGCTCTGTTGCCCAGGCTGGAGTGCAGTGGTGCGATCTTGGCTCACTGCAGCCTCCGTCTCCCAGGTTCCAGCGATTCTCCTGCCTCAGCCTCCCAAGTAGCTGGGATTACATGTGCCAGCCACCACACCCAGCTAATTTTGGTATTTTTAGTAGAGAGGAGGTTTCTCCATGTTGGCCAGGCTGGTCTTGAACTCCTGACCTCAGGTGATACACCCTCCTCAGCCTCCCAAAGTGTTGGAATTACGGGCGTGAGCCACTGAGCCCGGCTTTTTTTTTTTTTTTTTTTTTTGAAAATGGAACCTCGCTCTGTCGCCCAGGCTGGAGTGCAGTGGTGCAGTCTTGGCTCACTGTGACCTCCACCTGCTGGGTTCAGGAGATTTCTCCTGTCTCAGCCTCCGGAGTAGCTAGGACTACAGGCGCCCGCTACCATGTGCGGCTAATTTTTGTATTTGTTTTGTATTTTATTTTATTTATTTTGAGACGGAGTTTCACTCTTGTCGCCCAGGCTGGAGTGCAGTGGTGCAATCTCAGCTCACTGCAACCTCCGCCTCCCGGGTTCAAGTGATTCTCCTGCCTCAGCCTCCCGAGTAGCTGGGATTACAGATGCCCGCCACCATGCCTGGTTAATTTTTATATTTTTAGTAGAGATGGGGTTTCACCATGTTGGCCAGGCTGGTCTCAAACTCCTGACCTTCAGGTGATCCACCCATCTCGGCCTCCCAAAGTGTTGGGATTACAGGCATGAGCCACCACGCCCGGCCTTTAATTTTTGTATTTTTAGTAGAGACAGGGTTTTACCATGTTGCCCAGGCTGGTCTTGAACTCCTGATCTCAAGTGATCCGCCTGCCTCAGCCTCCCAAAGTGCTGGGATTACAGGTGTGAGCCACCATGCCTGGCCCAGGTGTTGAAGTCTTCATCAAATGTTTGAGAGTGATTGATCAGAAGATGTGTATGGAAGTGACAAGGGGTGACAGAAGATGGATTTTTATCTGAGCAAAAGGCCAAGTTATAGAAAAAGAACAATAGAAAGCTAAGAGAAAGAAGACTTGGAAAGTAGGGCTGTAAGCTCTAAAAGTTTTTTTTTTGTTTTGTTTTTTTTTTTTCTAACACGCGTGGGAGTAGAGCTAGAGGTTGGAGGCAGGAGGCCTGGAAGCTGTGACTTTTAGGAAAACTATGTCTCATTTAAATCAGGTCGAGGAGGGAACTTTCTGTGACCAACCTGAGCATGTAGGGGATTTTGTTTACATTGAAGTAAGGTTCCACAGGGCACAGTGGAAAGGTTTGGGAGAGAATTCAGGGATGGAGGATGGGTCATTGGGGAGGAAGCCGGGAGCTGTGTAAGGATGAGAATTAAGAAGATAGATGGTCTGGGGTGGGGGTATGTGAAAAGGAGAAAATTAATTTGCTTCATAAATAACCCAGTAGACTGAATTAGTGGCCAGGCGCAGTGGCTCACGCCTGTAACCCCACCACTTTGGAAGGCCGAGTCAGACGGATCATCTGAGGTCAGGAGTTTTAGACCAGCCTAGCCAACATGGCGAAACCTGTCTTCACTAAAAATACAAAAATTAGCTGGGCGTGTAGCAGGTGCCTGTAGTCCCAGCTACTCGGGAGGCTGAGGCACAAGAATCGCTTGAACCCGGGAGGCGGAGGTTGTAGTGAGCCGAGATTGTGCCACTGCACTCCAGCCTGGATGACAGAGCAAGACTCCGAAAACAAAAAAATAGACTGAATTAGTTTATTCCGCTGTATTTAAGATATCTAATTATAGTTCTCTATTTTACCTTCATTTCTCTGATATGGAAAGATTTGGTTTAATTTCCTTTAAAATTATATATTTGTATTTTTAAATATATAAGCATTACATCATTATTGTTTTTCAAAGTAAGGGTAATGAGGTAAATGAAAAGAAAGCCTCTCCTGAAAACCTACTACCCAGGGACATTATTTTGGTATATATTTCTCCAGACTTTTTCTCATCTAACAAATATATGCGTATTTAGTTTTCGAAGACGTACTCAGTATACTGCAGTCACTTGTTTTTTTTTTCATACAATATCTGATAAATATTCTTTGTAAAAATAAACTGTTGACATCATTTTAAATTGATAATTTATTGTAGGACTGTATCATGTTTTAATAATTTGTTATTGGACTTTTGAATAGTTTCTGATTTTTAAATAATAAGCCTAGATAGAAAAACCTTATATGTACAACTTGCCTATTTATTTGAATATTTCCTTTAGGTAAATTTCTAGGAGTTTTCAGGTATACTTTTTAGTTTCATTTTTGTCCCTTTTCTCATTATTTAGTATTTGGCTGTGAAATCATTTTTATGTTGCTAATTTTGGAACCTGTTCAAAGTATATTTGATGAACAATATGAAATCAATGGAATAGGCATATATTATTTGTAAGATAACAATTTACCATTGTTTGATATATATATATATATATATATATATATTTTTTTTTTTTTTTTTTGGAAATGGGGTCTTGCTGTCTCCCAGGCTGGCATGTAGTGGCATGATCTTGGCTCACTGCAACCTCCGTCTCCCGAGTTCAAGCGATTCTCCTGTCTTGGCCTCCTGAGTAGCTGGGACTATAGGTGCATGCCACCACACCTGGCTACTTTTTGTATTTTTAGTAGAGTTGGAGTTTCATCGTATTGATCAGGCTGGTCTTGAACTCCTGACCTCAGGTGATCCACCCACTTCGGCCTCCCAAAGTGCTGGGATTACAGGTGTGAGCCACCGCGCCCAGCCGACATATATATTTTTAAGAGATAGGGTCGTGCTCTGTTGCCCAGGCTGGAGTGCAGTGGTGCTATCATAGCTCACTGTAGCCTCAAACTCGTGGGCTGAAGGGAATCTCCCACCTCAGCCTCTGAAGAAGCTGGGGCTGCTGGCAATGTGCCACCATGCCCAGCTACTTTTTTTTTTATTGTTATTATTTTGTAGAGACAGGGATTTGCCATCTTGCCTAGGCTGGTCTCCAACTCCTGGGCTCAAGCGATCTTCCTGCCTTGGCCTCCCAAAGTGCTGGGGTTATAGGCATGAACTATTGATGTATCTTTAATAGATTCTTTTCCTTAGATAGGGAAGCCAGAAATATTAGTCTGCAAACCTTTAGATTGTCTTCTCCCAAAGGACTTGTACATTTTGGACTTAGTCAGTAGAATTGAGATAATAGCAAAAATTGTTAAAACTCTAAGTTAATATTTTCTTCTGAATGCATGGAAGTGTTTAACATTGTTGTCTTTGATTTTTTTCCAGGTGATTCATGGCAGGGGACGTGGAAGGATTCTGTTCCTCCATCCACGACACCAGTGTCTCTGCTGGGTTCAGAGCACTGTATGAGGAGGGATTGCTTCTTGATGTCACTCTGGTTATTGAAGATCATCAGTTCCAGGCCCATAAAGCACTCTTGGCCACCCAGAGTGATTACTTCAGAATTATGTTTACTGCAGACATGAGGGAACGAGATCAGGACAAAATTCATTTAAAAGGTCTAACAGCTACCGGTTTCAGCCATGTCCTGCAATTTATGTACTATGGAACTATAGAGCTGAGTATGAATACCGTTCATGAGATTCTTCAGGCTGCCATGTATGTTCAACTTATAGAAGTGGTGAAGTTCTGCTGCTCTTTTCTCTTAGCGAAGATCTGCCTAGAAAATTGTGCAGAAATTATGAGACTCTTAGATGATTTCGGCGTAAACATCGAGGGAGTCAGGGAGAAGTTAGACACCTTTCTGCTAGACAACTTTGTGCCACTCATGTCTAGGCCTGACTTTCTGTCCTATCTGAGCTTTGAGAAGCTCATGTCTTACTTGGATAATGATCATCTGAGCAGGTTCCCAGAGATAGAGCTGTACGAGGCTGTGCAGTCTTGGCTGCGGCATGATAGAAGACGCTGGAGACATACCGATACCATCATTCAGAATATCCGGTTTTGCTTGATGACCCCAACCAGCGTTTTTGAGAAGGTTAGTGCATTTGAAAGCAATAGACAGTACTCATCATTTAGTTAAGGCAGTGTATGTCTTTATAGATAAGATTCACAGACTTAAGAGCCAAGAATGAATAACTTCATTTTGTTATTTCTTATGTTATTCAAGAATGAATAACATAAGAGTACTTTATGTATAAGAAGCCTGATTTGTTGTGCATTTAGGTTTTGTAAAATACATTTTGTGGGTGAAAGATAAACCACGTAGGTAGTAAAACAGTTTTATTTTAAAAGTACTTTTAAAGTTGAAGCATAATTACTTTATGCAAAATATTACATGTTTGCTGTAGCTTTTCTTTTCATTTCATCAATTAAATCGGAACCGAGTCAGGCTAGATCTCTTTTTAAAAATAAATTTAAGTAATACATGCAGAAATTGGCATTGAGAAGAGTTCTGCATGGTATACATTAATAGAGTTTCTTATTCCTCTAAAATATAGCAAGGACGTACAAAATAGCTCTTGAAAACCAATAGGCCCTAATGGTGATTTTCTTCCCTGCTCTTACCTTCTGGTTTTCCCCGTTTTACTGTGAATACTAACTAAATTTGACAATGAAAACATGTTATATGTCTAAAAACATCATTTTGGCATTTCTAAACAAGTAGACTATAACTCTTCTATCTACATTGATCAACCATCCCTGGGCACATTTTACCATGCAAATAGTTCTCTTAAAAATAGTCTTTCTCTGAAACAGCCTTGGCCTTTTTTTGCATGTAAGCATTTTCATTTTTATATCAGAGTTTCACTTGTGATCCTTTCTTGCCCAAAGGTCATAGAGCACTTTTAGTAATTGCTTAACTTAATTGGTTTCTAATCACATGGTTACCTCTGGGGCTCTGTTTACTTCTTGCATCTTCTCTTTTTTCTAGAAAGCACACTGAAAACTTGGTCGGTCACTTTTCATGTTAAATAGTTCCTCAGCTTTAGTTATTAGACCTGGTTATAAAAATACAGTATCTGCAAAGGAGGGTTGTCTACGCCATTTGAAAAATAAACCCATTTGCGCCTTTGAATAACAGCAGCCTGACATATTTTTTTTTCCTCCAAAATGCTGTGAAACTGAGAATTCAGTTTTGTGGATTTTTGTCTTTTATTCTCAATGTATTGATGTGGCAGAAATAATTGAAACTAAATTATATATATGTATGTATGTATTTTTTTTTTTTTTTTTGAGACAGAGTCTCGCTCTGTCGCCCAGGCTAGAGTACAGTGGCGTGATCTTGGCTCGCTGCAAACTCTGCCTCCCAGGTTCAAGCGATTCTCTTGCCTCAGCCTCCCGAGTAGCTGGGATTACAGGCGTCAGCCACTGTGCCTGGCTAATTTTTGTGTTTTAGTAGAGACAGGGTTTCATCATCTTGGCCAGGCTGGTCTCGAACTCCTGACCTCATGATCCACCCGCCTTGGCCTCCCAAAGTGCTGGGATTACAGGCGTGAGCCACCCCACCCAGCCAATAATGTATTTCTTTTATTTTTTGTTTAGTGATAATCAGCCCCACATCAATTATGTAAATCATTTGTCTCTGATGTTTTGATTTTTTTCCTATTGTTTTTATTGCTCTTTTTCCCTGGGGAATCCTGTTTTGTTTTGTTTTTGTTTGTTTTGTTTTGTTTTGAGAGGAGTCTCACTCTGGCCCTGGAGTGCAGTGCTGCGATCTCAGCTCACTGCAGCCTCCACCTCCTGGGTTCCAGCAATTCTCATGCCTCAGCCTCCCGAGTAGCTGGGATTACAGTTACCCACCACCATGCCTGGCTAATTTTTTGTGTGTGGAGATTCTTAATTCTTCCTTTGGTAGTAACAGATTTGAACAGTGACTTAATAGTGTAGGGAAGGGGGCATTCTGCCTCAACCCAAGGAAAAGCCCCCATTCGTTCTAGGGACACAAGTCATGTCCTCTAGCTGTGCTGAAATCTTTGGGTTTATCCTTCTGCAGTATCTATGTAGTCCTCTACTGGATTTTCTCCTTAGGTGAAGATAAGATTGTCTTAACTTTTTTTTTTTTTTTAGTATACTTTTTTCTTTTTTAATATTTAACTTTTTTTTGTAGAGATAGGGTCTCACTGTTGTCCAGGCTGGTCTTGAGCTGGCCTGAAGTGATCCTCGTGCCTCGGCCTCCCAGAGTGCTGGGATTATAGATGTGAGCCACCGTGCCTGGCCAGATTGTCTTAATTTTTGTACTAAGTATTCTGTGGGACCATCATCGAAGAGGCCAAGGCTTCCAAATTTCCTGAGTTCCTTAGAGGCAGCAATACTGTTTATCTGAACACTGCATGTGCACACGAGCACACACACACACACACACACACACACACACATATATTTATGCTAGGTCATGTACTAAGTGCTCTTACCGTACATATAGGTAGCATCTACATGGTTTTTTTTTGTTTTTTTTTTTTTGGTTTTTTTTGAGACGGAGTCTCACTCTGTTGCCCAGGCTGGAGTGCGGTGGCACGATCTAGGCTCACTGCAAGCTCTGCCTCTCAGGTTCACGCCATTCTCCTGCCTCAGCCTCCTGAGTAGCTGGGACTACAGGCACCCGCCACCACGCCCGGCTAATTTTTTTGCATTTTTTTTTTTTAGTAGAGACGGGGTTTCACTGTGTTAGCCAGGATGGTCTTGATCTCCTGACCTCGTGATCCGCCTGCCTCGGCCTCCCAAAATGCTGGGATTACAGGGGTGAGCCACCGCGCCTGGCCATGCATCTACATGTTATCCCCATTTTATAGATAAGGAAACAGGCACAGAAAGGTTAAGGATCTTATTCCAGACCAAGTGGCACTGTCCAGACTGAAAGCCAGGGCAGCTGCTTCCCAATCTGGGACTTCCTGTTACAGCTAATAGAATAGGGAGAAGACCCTAAAGTGCAGGAAGCATGCTGTTAACCTGTGGCCTAGCTTGGGTCATTCTGAAGTTGTTAAAGAGCTATGAAAATTCTAAGCTGTTTGCATTAACAAAACATAGCCTAAGGGCAAGTGTATGTTACAGAGTTGTAAAAATTCTAAGGTGTTTACATGAGCAAAACATAGCCGAAGGGCTAGGAAGGGTGGTTTACGCCTATAATCCCAGCACTTTGGGAATCCTAGGCAGGAGGATTATTTGAGCCCAGGAGTTGGGGAACAGCCTAGGCAAAGTAGGCAAACCTATCTCTACAAAAAATGTAAAAATTATTTGGGTGTGGGGGCACATGCCTGGAGTCCCAGCTACTGGGGAGTTTGAGGTGGGAGGGATTGCTTGAGCCCAGGAGGTCGAGGTTGCAGTGAGCCACGGTCGTGCCACTGCCTTCCAGCTGGGCGATAAAAGTGAGAACCTGTTCCCCCCAATCCCCTACCCCACCCCATCCAAAAAAAAAAAAAAAACATAGCCTAGGAAATTTAATGGCACTGAAAAATACATATAAAGTGTGGGAAAACTTTGATATGAAAGCACAAATCTTGGGTTTTCACTGAAATAATCAAAGAAATTGAAATTTTAAGGATCTTGTCCTTCTGACATAGTTATTTAAGGATTTTTATGACTCATTTGATCTATAGTGGATTCCTAGTTTTAAAACTAGACTACAGTTTCAGTTTTTACTTATGCAAATGTCTGTGGCATGTATTTTTACTAGCTCTGATGGTCTTTGCACATGTTAACAGATAAGGCCTGACATTTGTCATTCTGAATTTCAGTGATGTGAAGATTTAAATAGTTTCAACTGCTTTCTTTGGTCTTTGATTTTTAAAAAACAATGATTGTTTTATTGAAAACATTTTATGAAGTAAACGTATATTTGGCAAAATGCATATTATACTTTCTTTATTTATTTATTTATTTATTCATTTTCTTTTGAGACAGAGTCTCGCTCTGTTGCCCAGGCTGCAGTACAGTGGCGCGATCTCAGCTCACTGCAAGCTCCACCTGCCGGGTTCACGCCATTCTCCTGCCTCAGCCTCCCGAGTAGCTGGGACTACAGGCGCCCGCCACCACGCCCGGCTAAGTTTTTGTATTTTTAGTAGAGACGGGGTTTCACTGTGTTAGCCAGGATGGTCTCGATCTCCTGACCTTGTGATCCACCCGCCTTGGCCTCCCAAAGTGCTGGGATTACAGGCGTGAGCCACCGCGCCCGACCTATATATATATTTTTTTCTTCTTCTTTTTTTTTTTTTTTTTTTTTTTTTGAGTCAAGTCTCGCTCTGTCTCCTAGGCTGGAGTGCAGTGGGGTGATCTTGGCTCACTGCAACCTCCGCCCCCCGGGTTCAAGCGATTCTCCTGCCTCAGCCTCCCGAGTAGCTGGAATTACAGGTGTGTGCCATCACGCCCTGCTAATTTTTGTGTTTTTAGTAGAGATGGGGTTTTGCCATGTTGGCCAGGCTGGTCTCAAACTCCTGACCTCAAGTGATCTGCCCACCTCGGCCCCCCAAAGTGCTGGGATTACAGGCTTGAGCCACCACGCCCAGCCTATGCTTGACTTTTTTTGTACATAAAAGATTTTTAAAGCAAAATTGTTAAATTATTCATTAAAATACCCATATGTTGATTCTCTAGTACAGTGACATTTTAATATTTTTGAACCCAGGGTATCTTCAGTATTATAAATATGCATAAGGTAAGATTCAGCATCCCAATGATCCCCTTAGAAATTGTATTAATATGTAAAATACAGTATCTTACATAATCATAAAATCTTTTCACTTTCTCAGAGGGAAAGAAATCTATTTTAAATCCGATAAAGAGAAAAAACACATTAGTTCAGCTTTGTATTTAGGATTTTATAGTTCATTTTTCATTGGCTATTAAGGAAGTAGATTATATAGAAGTATTCTGCTTTAAATACAGCCATCATGCTTATTCCAAATATTTTATTTTATAAACTGGCTCATGATAGACCCCCTAATGTACTTTTTTCCCCAGTCTGTTAAATGTAATTCAGTATATCCCCCCAAAATTGGATTTCTGTAACTTACAGAGAATTTATTATAAGAATATTCACAACTTTGGGCCGGGTGAAATTGAGGTACATTTTTAAATGTGTATTTAAAAGCTACATTTTAAAATGGGGGACATTTATTGTCCTTAATATAATCTCATGCTTAGGTGGTAATGCTGTTCTGGTTAATTGAGGCACAACCCATTTGGTAAATGAAATTGCCTGGGCAAAGCCACATCTATGTAAACTGTAGGTGCTGTATGCCCCTCCAGAATTCCTTCACTTAGGCATTGGAACATGTTTTAACTAATCCAGCACTTGACCAATGCAAAATTTCTGTCCAGGAAACC
Organism: Homo sapiens; assembly: GCF_000001405.40. Classification (NCBI taxonomy): domain Eukaryota; kingdom Metazoa; phylum Chordata; class Mammalia; order Primates; family Hominidae; genus Homo; species Homo sapiens. The sequence continues at coordinate 24,000,703 of NC_000023.11, read as the reverse complement.
ATCAACTGCAGTGTTACCATAATTTAGCCAAAAACTCTTTGGAAAAAAACAGTTCATTTATATCTAATGACTTCAGCTAGAGCCAGATAAATCTAGAGAAGTAGAAATTTCCCTCTAACCCTCAGTTTTGGAAGTACATGAGAAATATAAGCCCTCAGTTTTAGAAATATGTGAGAAATATAAGCAGTGCTGTGTTTGACACTAACAAACTTTTTTTATTATTTATTTATTTATTTATTTTGAGATGGAGTCTCACAGGCTGGAGTGCAGTGGCACAATTTCTGCTCACCGCAACCTCCAACTCCCTGGTTCAAGTGATTCTCCTGCCTCAGCCTCCCAAGTAGCTGGGGTTACAGGCACGCACCACCACGCCCAGCTAATTTTTGTATTTTTAGTAGAGACGGGGTTTCACCATGTTTCTCGATCTCCTGACCTCATGATCTGCCTGCCTCAGCCTCCCAAAGTGCTGGGATTACAGGTGTGAGCCACCATACCCGGCCGGGCCAACTTTTTAAAAGATAGTAACCTTTATTTCAAATGTGAAATTTGATTAGAATTTCTAATAAGCTTGAGTTGTTTTTGAAAAAGTTCTAAATCTCCTTCAGATACCAGATAATATGCAGCTAGAACTTGAAATTGCTTAAATTAACAATGAACTCACCTCTTGGAGTGAAAGCATAGAGATGAGCAGGTTTTCTGTTAGAAACTAGGTCAGTGGGTTAAGTGTACTTTCTCAGTTAACTTAATGTCTTTTTCTGCATCGGACTCCTTTTTGCCAACCCTTCCTCCCCAACCCCATGGACTTTGGAAGATTGTAATTAACGCATGTGCAGTTCTTTCGAAATCACGCAAGGTGTTTTTCTCCTCTAAAGTTTTCTGCCTTTTATGTATAGATGTAGAGTGTTCTTATTTTCTACCTTTGACTCGCATTCACTCCAGGTTCACAGATTCCTGAAGAGTGCCTGTAATCTAGGTGTTGACTACTATTAGGGCCTTAGGAAGGAAAGATAGTATCTTGGGGAGTGTATTAGACAGACAGGAACCTATTGAAAATTGGAGTGTAAAAGTTCAATCTTACTTGCTGATTCTCTCTTTTTTTTTTTTTTTTTGAGACGGAGTCTCGCTCTTTCGCCCAGGCAGGACTGCAGTGGCGCTATCTCGGCTCACTGCAAGCTCCGCCTCCCAGGTTCATGCCATTCTCCTGTGTCAGCCTCCCGAGTAGCTGGGATTACAGGCGCCCGCCACCGCGCCCGGCTAATTTCTTGTATTTTTAGTAGAGACGGGGTTTCACCGTGTTAGCCAAGATGGTATCGATCTCCTGACCTCGTGATCCGTCTGCCTCGGCCTCCCAAAGTGCTGGGATTACAGGCATGAGCCACCGCGCCAGGCCTCTCTTTTTAAATTAAAGATGAAAACAAGCATAGGACAATTGGAAATTAAAAAGGAAGACGTGGAACAGGGACAGCTTTCTTGACATTTAAAAGGAGAAAACCGTGGCCAAGCGCAGTGGCTCACGCCTGTAATCCCAGCACTTTGGGAGGCCAAGGTGGGCAGATCACCTGAGGTCAGGCGTTTGAGACCAGCCTGGCCAACATGGTGAAACTCCGTCTCTACTAAAAATACAAATAAATTTGCTGGGCTTGGTGGCAGGCGCCTGTAATCCCAGCTACACGGGAGGCTGAGGCAGGAGAATCCGCTTGAACCCAGGAGGCGGAGGTTGCAGTGAGCCGAGACTGCACCACTGCACTCCAGCCTGGGCAGCAAGAGCGAAACTCCGTCTCAATCAATAAATAAATACATTTAAAAAAATGAGGAAACTCTTAAGAAATTGGAAGAAAAAAACAAATGATAAGCAGAAATTGAAAAGGATCAGAGAGTCTGGAAATGACTGGAGAAAAGGTTTGGAGCAGGAAAGGAAGAAGGGGAAGTACTATGAGTTAAGGCTTTTAAGTTTTAGTTCCAAATTTATTATTCAGAAAATGCCACTTGTGTAATAGGTAAGCATTGTTCATTCAAAAGTTAGTTTTAGGATGAAACCTTTTATTTGGCTTTCCTGTTCTATCATAAATAGGAAAATAAAATCCCTCATAAGTTGTGAATTCTAGAACTTAGTTGTACTATCTAAATATTAATATAACCAGAAAATAAAAAGATGGTCCTAAGTCACACCTGTAATCCCAGCACTTTGGGACGCCGAGGCGGGCAGATCACGAGTTCAGGAGATCGAGACCATCCTGGCTAACACAGTGAAACCCCGTCTCTACTAAAAAATACAAAAAATTAGCCGGGCATGGTGGTGGGCACCTGTAGTCCCAGCTACTCGGGAGGCTGAGGCAGGAGAATGGCATGAACCCAGGAGGTGGAGCATGCAGTGAGCCAAGATCGCGCCACTGCACTCCAGCCTGGGCAACAGCAAGACTCCGTCTCACACACACACAAAAATTGCTGGGCACGGTGGCACACGCCTGTAATCGCAGCACTTTGGGAAGCCAAGGCGGGCGGATCACAAGGTCAGGAGTTCGAGACCAGCCTGACCAACATGGCGAAACCTCATCTCTACTAAAAATACAAAAATTAGCCAGGCCATGGTGGTGCGTGCCTGTAATCCCAGCTACTGAGGAGGCTGAGGCAGGAGAATCACTTGAACCTGGGAGGCGGAGGTTGCAGTGCGCTGAGATTGTGCCACTGCACTCCAGCCTGGGTGACAGAGTGAGACTCCGTCTCAAACATTATTTTCTACCTCGGAGGCTTATTAGGGTTTTTTGTTTGTTTTTTTGGTAGGGATGGGGTTTTGCTGTGTTGTCTTGGCTGGTCTCAACTCCTGGCTGGTCTCCTGGCATCAAGCCGTCCTCCCGCCTCAGCCTCCCAAAGTGCTGGGATTACAGGCATGAGCCATGGCACTTAGCTGAGGCTTGTTAGTTTCTTTTTCTAAAATTTAAAAAAAAAAAATTTTTTTTTTTTTTTTTTTTTTTTGAGACAGAGTCTCACTCTGTTGACCAGGCTGAAGTGGAATGGCACAATCTCAGCTCCCTGCAACCTCCACCTCCCGGGTTCAAGTGATTCTCCTGCCTCAGCCTCCCGAGTAGCTGGGACTACGGGTGCACACCACCACGCCCAGATAATTTTTGTATTTTTAGTAGAGATGTGGTTTTACCATGTTGGCCAGGCTGGTCTTGAACTCCTGAGCTCAGGTGTTCACCTGCCTCCCTAAGTGCTAAGTCTACAGGCGTGAGCCACCCCGCCTGGCCAAAAATTTTATTTTTTTAGAGACGAGGTTTTGCCTTGTTGCCCAGGCTGCAGTGCAGTGGCACCATCATAGCTCACTGCTGCCTTGAATCCCTGGGCTCAAGTGATCCTCCCACCTTGGCCTCCTGAGTAGCTGGGACTACAGGGGCACACCACTATGCCCAGCCTTTTACATTTCTAATAGTGTTCTATTACTATTGCACTGAAATTTGAAGGAAATTAGACTTTGTAAGCACATTTATTCTTTAAGTATTTTTTACTCTCTAAAAGGGTTGAAGGGATAGAGAACTTTACCAAATTGTGCTAAAACTCTCTTGCCCTGAGGGCACCTCTCCCTCACCCCTATTTACCCTGGTCACTTTACTTCTGAAGTTCACTTCTGAAGTTCAGTTCATTTTTGACTTTGCCTGCTTGGAGAGAAGAGGGTGAGTAAATTCTTACTACGATTTATCTTTATTTACCATTTGGTATTGACTATAAATACAGTATGACTGAAAGGATTTATGCTTAGCATGAACTGATTTTTCATAGCTTTATCCTTGGTCATTAACTCAGTTTTTCAGGACAAAGGGATTGATTAAAGGCATATTGCACCTAGCTTTTTTTGTGATGATTTTGTTTTACGTAAATCAATATAAGCTTTAGTTCTGAGCAAGATTTTACAAATAAAGACTTCTCATACCAGGGTACATAGTTTTGCAATATAGCATCTAAAGACTGCTCCATGTTTTACTGAGAATCAAAATTATATCAAATGTAGCTGATACAGGGTTTTTTTGTTTTGTTTTGTTTTTTGAGATGGAGTCTCGCTCTGTCATCCAAGCTGGAGTGCAGCGGTGCGATCTCGGCTCACTGCAACCTCTGCCTCCCGGGATCAAGCGATTCTCCTACCTCAGCCTCCTGAGTAGCTGGAATTACAGGTGCCCCCCACCACGCCCAGCTAATTTTTGTATTTTTAGTAGAGACAGGGTTTCGCCATGTTTGCCAGGCTAGTCTCGAACTCCTGACCTCATGATCCGCTCGCCTGGCCTCCCAAAGTGTTGGGATTACAGGCGTGAGCCACCACGCCCGGCCTGATATGGTTTGTTTCAGCATTAAAGCACCACGATAGTAACTACTTGGGAAGATTGCATCATGGTGGAGAAGAGATGATAAAACTGACAACCAAGACTCAGTCTTGATACCTCCTTGTACTTGTCATTCGAGCGATTAGGTTAGCATTTTTTGGATGTAGAAAGGGCCAGAGAGGTGCCTGTTCACACAGGTAACCTCTTTAATAGGGCCAGGCACCATCTTAAGTTCAGGAATTGCTCCCCCACTTCCACCCCTTCTGATAGATAAACTAATAAAAGGTATTTTGTTTCTTTGATTTAATATAAGCATATTGGATATTTTAAAAATTATTTCGTGGCTGGGTGTGGTGGCTCATGCCTGTAATCCCAGCACTTTGGGAGGCCAAGGCAGGCAGATCACCTGAGGTTAGGAGTTCGAGACCAGCCTTGCTAACATGGTGAAACCCCATTTCTACTAAAAATACAAAAAATTAGCCGGGCATGGTGGCATGTGCCTGTAATCCCAGCTACTCGGGAGACAGGCAGGAGAATCACTTGAACCCAGGAGGTGGAGGTTGCAGTGAGCCAAGATCGCACCATTGTACTCCAGCTTGGGCAACAAGTGAAATCCGTCTCAATTTTTTTTTTCTTTCAAAAAGTGTATCTTAAATTGGCTGGCTAGGCTGGGCACGGTGGCTCATGCCTGTAATCCCAGTACTTCGGAAGGCTGAGGCAGGCAGATCATGATGTCACGAGTTCAAGACCAGCCTGGCCACATGGTATTCAGATTCTTAAGTTTTAAAGGTAATTTGTATATACCGTCTTTAATTTTGAGAGAATTAAAATGTAACTTGCAATATAATTAAAATAGGGATTTCCACAGAGTTTACTACCTTTATTTGATTAAAAAATCTGGAATTAAAAAAAAATGTACTCTAACTGGCTACAGTCTAGAATTATTTTAGGCTTTTAGCCAGCCTTTTTTTTTTTTTTTTTTTTGAGACAGAGTCTCGCTCTGTTGCCCAGGCTGGAGTGCAGTGGCGTGATCTTGGCTCACCACAACCTCCACCTTCCGGGTTCAAGCAATTCTCCTGCCTCAGCCTCCCGAGTAACTGGGACTACAGGCGCACACCAACATGCCCGGATAATTTTTGTATTTTTATTAGAGACTGGGTTTCACTATGATATAACATTTTGACAGTGAATGGAGAAACATGAAATATTTGCCCAGCTGTAATGGCTAGTTATTTCTCCAACTTTATATATTTGTGTGTGTGTATATATGCGTGTGTGTGTGTATGTGTATACATATTTACAGGAACTGTATTCAAAGTTAATCATTTCTCATACTTCATTGTCAGCTATATCATACATGCACACACAATTAAAGTAAAAGATGTTTAGAGGAAATGGACAATTTACATTTTCAGGCTGGGCAAGGTGGCTCATGCTGGTAATCCCAGCACTTTGGGAGGCCGAGGTGGGAAGATCACTTCAGCTCAGGATTTTAAGGCCAGACTGGGTAATATAGTGAGACCCAATCTCTATTTTATTAAATAATCAGTAAATTAAAAAAATTTTTTTTCAGACCACTGAAATTATATATAATTATATGATATATTCAGAATAAGACAAAATGCTTTTCATTATACAGTTTTTTAAAGTATCAAAGCAAGAAAAGTAGTAACATTCTTTCCAAGCTTTAAAACATGACAGCTGTTTAATCCTGTGAAAGGCAAAGGAAAGTAATTCAGAACATGAAAGAAATGTCGTTCTTTCCATACCTCTTTGAGAGTACCTGATACACAGATAAACTGTTATGTGAGAAATGAAGGATGGGAGAAGTGCCTTCTCTATGAAAAGATGAGCCACATACTGTTCTGCAGTTTTCTTATTTAACATTTTGAATATCTGTGTTAGTGCATATGGATCAACCTCACTCTTTTTCACAGCTGCATATGGTATATACCAGAGTGTATCCAACCAATGTCTTATTGATAGGTGATTGGAGTTATCCCAGGTTTTGTGCTCTTACAAACAATAATGCAATGAGCATCCATTCTCTTGACAGTTCTTACTACAGAACTTTTTCTTACACTGGCATAAAATCTCCCTCTTAACTTCCACTTACTGGTCCTGAAAAGAGTTGCCATCTTTCTGAGTCTTCTCTTGTGTTGAAACATTCCTCACCCATTTGACCATTCTCCCTTTGGATCCCTTCACTGTCTTCCAGATGTGGTCCACTTTGTCAGTGTTTAATAGTATAGTGATAATAACTTCACACTGTCTTGGTTGTGGTTTTACCTGAATAGAGAGGGTGGACTTGCCTATTTTCTTTTTTTCTTTTTTTTTTTTTTTTGAGACAAGGTCTCACTCTGTTGCCCAGGCTGGAGTGCAGTGGCACTATCATGGCTCACGCAACCTCAACCTGGGCTCAAGCTATTCGATTCTCCCACTTCATCCTCCCGAGTAGCTGGGACCACAGGTGCATGCCACCACGCCTAGCTATTTTTTGTATTTTTTTAATTATTATTATTTTTGTAGTGACGGGATTTCGCCATGTTGCCCAGGCTGGTCTCAAACTCCTGAGCTCAAGTGATTTGCCCGCCTCGACCTCCCAAAGTGCTGAGATTACAGGTGTGAGCCACCGTGCCCGACCAGGATTGTCTGTCCTTTTAATTTAGTTTACAGTTTTGTTCCTACAGCTGCCATATCACTTTAGTTCATATTGAGGATAGTCAGTCGAAGCTTTACATTTGGAATTCGTGGGTCCCTGGAGCACCTGATAAAAACTGAACTTCCAGTCACCTCACCCTACCCCCCAAATGCATTAACACACAATTATTGCTGCAATTTCAGGTGGTTCATGGGTCCCTGGTGTTTCTCTTTTCTTTATGATTAGACCTTGTTGATTACTTTGCTGAAGTCATAGGTTCTCTCATTCTCTATCAGTGCTGTTACATCATCAAAAATTCAACAGGAAACTGAGTCAGCCTTGGCATTACCCTGTGAGTTCATGCTGCCTCCAAGTGTGGGGCGCTTTTTTGTTTTGGTGGGCTATTTTTCAACAATACAGGATCTACCTCAGGCTAACCAGTCTGTAGTTCAGGAATCTGTCTGGCTTCTAGTCCTGTCCCATTCATCGCAATTCCACACAGATTGCAGAAAGCAATTAAGCAGCCTTATCTATGAAGCCTCAAGGATCCCAGGAAATTAGTTTTGAGATCGAATGACTTGAACTTGCTGAGAATAACTAGCTAGTTTTTCTTTTTGTTCTCAACCATCTTGGATTTAAGTTTCTTCTTAGTAATTGTATTTAATCCTCAGATTAGAAGGCATAAGACATTAGCTAAGAATGGAAATCAAACAGGAGTAGGGTTGTTTCTCTTTGTTATTTGTTAATATTACATTAACCACCCTATGGGATGGGGGTGGGCTTCACTCTTCCTTTAACCTATAAAATGCCATTTATTCCACATCTCTTACTTCGTCAAGTCACAGTTCATCCTGAGGCTTTAGCCTTATTCACTATATTCTTGTAGCTCTATTTCACTCGTTATAATACTTGTTTTATGTGCCCAATTTTTACCATCTGTTGTAAGTGGTTTTTTAACATCTGAATTCCAGAAAGCTCTCTGTGCAGCGCATCAGATTTAGATACGTTCCCCTTTTCTTCTTCTTATCAGTGTATTTTGCAATTATGCAGTCAGCGTTATGCTTTTGAGAGCTTCCAAGCCTTCTTGAGCTTCCTTACACAGTTTCTGATCTTGGAATTGATCCTAATTTTCCTTTGAAAAACTTGAAATCTGCCTATCCAATATGTGCAGCATTCTCCTTCCTTTGTTTTTTGATCTCCAAACAACATGGCTTCTTTCTCTAAAGCTTCCTCCCATTTGCACATTACCAATCATGTTTCACCAGTGAGGATTAGGTCCAAAATAACAGTTTCTCTCATTTCTCCTCAGTCTTCTGAAAGACTAAATTTTTACAGAGACAAAAGCATGTCATGAGATGCACTGATTTAAGCTGAGTGACACTTTTGCAAATGTGCCCTGGTCATTAATAATAGCTAATAATAGCTGATACTTTTTGCACACTGCCACACGACAGGCACCATACTAAATCCTTTTCACGTACTCTCACTTCTATCATAGGGTTATGAATGTGTTATCCCAATAATACAGTTGAGGATATGGGCTTAAAGATATTGAGCTATGTGCCCAAGATTGCCACAGCTCATGAGTGCCAAAGTCAGAAATTTCCTAAATTGGATCCTTAATCACCAGACATGGTGCTTAATTACCATGCTGGACAGGATTCTGTTACTTGAAAACCTGTGTAGCTCTCAGACCACTGGCTGTGCACAGTAGGCACTTAAATATTTAATTTGAGGTTTATGATTCTTGCTGATTTTCAGAGTATTGCCCTTCAGCTCCTACAACTCAATAAGAAAAAGATGAGAAAAATCGGTAAGGCACACTATTAGGCAATTTATAGAAGAAATGAATGGAAAATACTCAGTTTTGTTTTTTGTTTGTTTTTTTCAGGTTTTTGTTGTTGTTTTTTCGAGATGGAGTCTTGCTCTGTCACCCAGGTTGGAATGCAGTGGCATGATCTCAGTTCACTGCAACCTCCGCCTCCCAGGTTCAAGTGATTCTACTACCTCAGCCTCCCAGTAGCCGGGATTACAGGCAGGCACTGCCACGCCTGGCTAATTTTTGTATTTTTAGTAGAGATGGGGTTTCACCATGTTGGCCAGGCTGGTCTCGAACTCCTGACCTTGTGATCCGCCTGCCTCGGCCTGTCAAAGTGCTGGGATCACAGGCATGAGCCACCGCGCCCAGCCTGGTTTTGGTTTGTTTGTTTGTTTGTTTGTTTGTTTTTGGAGATAAGAGTTTCGCTGTTGTTGCCCAGGCTGCAGTGCAATGGCATGATCTTGGCTCACTGTAACCTCCACCTCCCGGGTTCAAGCGATTCTTCTACTTCAGCCTCCCAAGTAGCTGGGGTTACAGGCATGCACCACCACACCTGGGCTTTTTTTTTTTTTTTTTTGAGACAGAGTTTTGTTCTTATTACCCAGGCTGGAGTGCAATGGCGCAATCTCAGCTCACTACAACCTCTGCCTCCCAGGTTCAAGTGATTTTCCTGCCTCAGCCTCTTGAGTAGCTGGAGTTACATGTACCTGCCACCATGTCCAGCTAAATTTTGTATTTTTAGTAGAGACGGGGTTTCACCATGTTGGCTAGGCTGGTCTTGAACTCCTGAGCTCAGGTAATCTGCCCGCCTCAGCCTCCCAAAGTGCTGAGATTACAGGCATGAGCCACCGTGCCTGGCCAATGTTAGTTTTCTCTCTTATGTAGTTGGACGAGGGGTTCTCAGCCTTTTTTGTGCTATTTACCCCTTTGCTGATGTTGTGAAGCCCATGGAAGGACCCCTTCTCAAAATAATGATTTTAATGATAAAATGCCTGACATTACAAAGGAAACCAGTTATACTGAATACAGTTTTCAAAATACTTAAATTTGTGACGTTTTTTGTTTTGACCACTGTTTTGGACTAAGGCAAGGAATTAGTGAATGGGCTAAAGAAAGAAAGATAGGAAGGAGGAAAGGAAAGAGAGGAGAAGGAAGGGGGGGGAGGAAGCTCATAAATATATACACCTGGTTTTGACTTCCCTCCCAAACTGTCATCCCAGATTTCCAACAGGCTCTTAGACATTTCCGCCTCAGAACCCTATCAAGGAAGTTGAATACCTCTCCCAAACCAGCTCATCTTCCCTGCTTTCCCTATTGATATCAACACTCTTTCCATCACCTCAAGTCTAAATGCTCAAATCACATTTGAGTCCTCATTCTTTCACCCTATTTCAAATCAGTCATGGTTGTCTGTAGATGTTATCTCTACGCTATCTAATTCCTGTTACCCAAATTTAAGACCCTCTTATCCTTGTCTTATTATGACAAAGGATTTTTCTGCTTGGTCCCCTACTTCTTATATCTTCCACAAAGTATCTCTTGAATGTCTTGGGCCAGTTTAGTATAATCTTTATCTCTAATTCTGCCACACTCACAGATGTGCTGTTTGGCTTCATACCTAATTGTCACCTGACTCATTTACCTATTGGTAAATTTGTATTTGTTTCCACTTTCCCAAATACATTCTAGGTTCTTTAAGGAAACGGATCACATCTTACGCTTATTTTTGTTTCTCCCTATAGCACTTAGGACAATACTTAAAAGTGCTTTATTTTTATTTTATTTTATTAATTTTGTAGAGATGAGGTCTTGCTTTGTTTGCCCAGGCTGGTCTCAAGTGATCCTCCCACCTTGGCCTCCCTAAGTGCTTGGACAACAGGCATGAGCCACTGCACCTGGCCAAAAATGCTTTATATAAATCTTGGTAGTCATCATAATTAGGTAGCTCCAGCTCCAGAAGCAAAAAGGAAAATGTTTGCCAGGCGCAGTGACTCACACCTGTCATCCCAGCAGCTCAGGAGGCTGAGGCAGGAGGATCGCTTGAGGCCAGGAGTTCAAGACCAGCCTGGGCAACAGAGCAAGACCCCATCTCTAAAAATATATAGTAATAATAATTTTAAAATAAAATTTTAAAAATTAAAGGAAAAAGTTTGACCTGATATCTACTGAATTCTTACAGGAGTTATCAGACCAAGTCTTTATGTCAAAACCCCGAAATTTTACATGTATTTAAATTTTCACTAACTTAACTCCCCAAATGATTCAGTCACAGCTTTATGATGTTACTTGTGGTTAAGAAAACTGTGGATATGGTTTCCTCTACTGTGAAGCCCTGTACTTGTCCTCATACCCGCTACTTGTAGCCCAGGGCTTCACATAATAGGTGCCTAATTATTTGTTTACTCTTAAAAGCTTGGGAATGTACATAGATCATTATAAATTAAGAAAACATAGGAGGCCCAGTGCAGTGGCTCACGCCTGTAATCCCAGCACTTTGGGAGGCTGAGGCGGGTGGATCACAAGGTCAGGAGTTCAAGACCAGCCTGGTCAAGATGATGAAACCTCATCTCTACTAAAAATAAAAAAATTAGCTGGGCGCGTGGTGGCAGGCGCCTCAGGAGGCTGAGGCAGAGAAGTGCTTGAACCTGGGAGGCGGAGCTTGCGGTGAGCTGAGTCCATGCAACTGCACTCCAGCCTGGGCAACAGAGTGAGACTCCATCTCCAAAAAAAAAAAAAAGATTTTTTAAAAGCTTTGTAGAAAACAAAAGAAAGTAGGTGATCTTAGCAGGAAAAGCAGTTTTAGTAAAGTGAGCCTAAGATGATCGTATTAGTCAGCTTTGATAATTTGTTTGCAGCTGATGCTTTTTCCTTTGGTTAAATTCTTTTTCTTGTGTTCTTAGGTTAAGACATCAGAATTTTATAGATACTCCCGACAGCTCCGTTACGAAGTTGACCAAGCATTGAATTACTTTCAGAATGTTCACCAGCAGCCTTTGTTGGATATGAAGTCAAGCCGCATCCGTTCTGCAAAACCGCAAACTACAGTATTTCGAGGAATGATTGGACATAGCATGGTTAACAGTAAAATACTTCTCTTAAAGAAACCAAGAGTCTGGTGGGAGCTAGAAGGCCCACAAGTACCTCTGCGACCTGACTGCCTTGCTATCGTCAATAATTTTGTGTTCCTGTTAGGCGGGGAAGAGCTGGGCCCGGATGGTGAATTCCATGCTTCTTCCAAAGTATTCAGGTATGACCCGAGACAGAACTCCTGGCTGCAGATGGCAGATATGTCTGTACCACGCTCTGAATTTGCTGTAGGTGTTATTGGGAAGTTTATTTACGCCGTAGCAGGCAGAACCAGAGATGAGACTTTCTATTCAACTGAGAGATATGACATCACCAACGATAAATGGGAATTTGTGGATCCTTATCCAGTTAACAAATATGGACATGAGGGGACAGTGCTCAATAACAAATTGTTTATCACCGGTGGAATCACCTCATCTTCCACCTCCAAGCAAGTGTGCGTGTTTGACCCCAGCAAAGAAGGGACCATAGAACAACGGACCAGGAGAACTCAAGTGGTTACCAACTGTTGGGAGAATAAGAGCAAGATGAATTACGCGAGATGCTTTCACAAGATGATTTCTTACAATGGCAAGCTTTATGTCTTCGGTGGTGTCTGTGTGATCTTGAGGGCCTCTTTCGAATCTCAGGGATGCCCTTCTACAGAAGTATACAACCCAGAGACTGATCAGTGGACCATCTTGGCATCCATGCCGATTGGTAGAAGTGGCCATGGTGTGACTGTGCTGGACAAACAAATAATGGTTCTTGGAGGCCTTTGTTATAATGGTCATTACAGCGATTCCATCCTCACTTTTGATCCGGATGAAAACAAGTGGAAGGAAGATGAGTACCCTCGGATGCCCTGCAAGCTGGATGGTTTACAAGTATGCAACCTGCATTTTCCGGACTATGTACTGGATGAGGTCAGGCGTTGCAACTAATGACATCCTCCTCCCTAAAAAAAGAGGCAAACAAAGTATTTGTTTGCACAGAGTAATTAATTAAAACATATAAAGAAAAACCTCACCAGTTTTACTATCAAAGCCATTGGTCTAACATTGTAAGAATTTTTCATTCTGTGCTAGCATCCTTTTTTTCTTTTCAGTGGCCTCAAACTCATGCAATAAGTTAATTCTAAGTGCTAGCTCTTGAAACTACTTCCAGAAGCAGTTGAATAGAATGCTCCACTTATCTGGGATATTGATTTTCTGCTTTAAACATTTCTTTCAGATGTTAGCGTAGGAGTCATGTGTCTTCTAAGAGAAGACCCGATAAGTGTCACTGGATGTGATTTCAGTCTCTGTCTCTATCTGAAACCTTTTTGAAGATTTATTTCAGTGTATTTCAGTCTGTTATACTTTTTAGTTTTATTATTTAAAAGTTTAAAACTCTTGACCTTTTTGCATGGCTTTTTGCTGAAAATGCAAAAATATAAATTTTCTACAAAATTAACTTTTTATATTCAAAACACTATTTCTAAGCTGCCTTCTCTTATCCGCATTGTGTTAGTGAAAGCATATTCATACTCGCATACAACCTATAAATACACAAGGCACATCCCTTTTATGCGTGGTTAGGATTCTATATTTTTAAGCTAGTGCACTTACTTGCACACACAGTTCGCCATACTTGTTGAATTTTAGATGTAACGTCTTTTCACATATTAACATTTTTAGAAAGTTGAAATAACTGGAGTCCTCATTTGCTATCAAAGTAGCCTATCTTCAGTCCATACTGATTCAGTAATATTTGAACTCCTTATATTTCTGAAACATGTATGGTTATGAAAACTAACACTTTATATTTTATTTTCAAAAGTAAATGTTAGTGTTCTTTGTCGATGTATGTCTTTTCTTTTTGAAAATGTTTTTCTTTGCAGTCTGTTTAACGTTACCCTGTTTTTAGTGAGAATCGGAGTGGTATATGACAAGTTCTGGCCCTGCAGCATGCAAGCACTTTTAAAGAGCATTTAGGTAATACCAGACTCCTAAATCAAGGCCCCTTAAAAGTAAGTGCAACTCCCATTTTTTACATTCAGTAAGGCTGCTGCATTTGTTATTGAATGGAAGGTAGAAACTCTTAGAAAATTTGACCTCAGTTTTGACTTAGAGGTAAGAAATAGAATTATAATGTTACTGGTTTTATCTACTTGTTTATTTTGTACAAAATACCCAGCGACACTAGGGATGTAAGCCCTCAGTTTTTGTTTTATTTACTGAAAGCTATTAGCATGAAGGATAGTAACCACAAAGTTCAGAATGGATCAAGAATAGCTGTTTAAAAGCATTTATAATAAGTGTTTTAGGATTAGCTGCACCTTTCAACTCTTTAAATGCAGAGGAAAAAACATAGTTGACAAAGTTAAGCAAGAATAACCTGGGAGTGGATCATTGAAATTGATGCCATTTGCGCATGAGTAGTCTATATCTGATACAGACTAGATCTATACTGGCAAAACTTGCCAGATCTTAGAATATTGGTGCAATATTGCAATGCCTTCTATATGGCTGCTGATGTATAAATTTTCTAGTTTCACTTTGTTTGGTGTTTTTTGTTTTTTTGTTTGTTTGTTTGTTTTTTTGCTGCTGCCACCATTGAACATAAAATGGAAGTGTGAAGTCATGGAAATGTGAAGACTTTGGTTTTTGGGGGTTTTTTGGGCAGTTATTAGACATACTATGAGATTAAACCTGATCTTCAAACTCCAGAATTGGAGGCATTTGGGTTTAAGAAACCAGGTACATAAGTAGCTTTTGAAAAAACCATTGGCATTGATTTCAAAAATCAATAATAATCTTATTTTATATATGAGACTTATATTTTCATTAACTAGTCCTGTCATTTACTTACAGTTTCCAAACATGAAATTTGGTATCTTGTTTCCCATGGTAATATGGGTAAAAGTCTTTTTCTACATTTAAAAAATACATTATTTTATTTTTGAAAGTTAGGAATAAGTTAGCCATTTAATTTTTTTCTACATTAGTTTAGTGGCTTTGTATGTGTGCTATTTTGCTTTAAAGAAAATAACGTCTTCATTATTTTCCTCATTGATGTCTTTTGCTAGAAAAGACCAAGAAAGAGCCATCAGGCCAGGTATCCACATCAAAGCCTTTACACTATAGTGGTGGTTCTCTTTAATTGCTTAGATATGACTTCATGACCCTAGTCAGGGTGACATCTGGGCAAACATTTGAGTATTCTTGGTCTTCCATTTTAAAGACAGAGGCCAAGATCAAAGTTCATGTTTTGTAAAATTCGTAAAATCTTAACTTGAACTAACTCTGGGTTCAGCTTTACGTAAGTCACGTCGGACCTGATGTTAGCTGTAATCAGTTTTGAGCTTTAAGGATAGTTGCTGTTGCTTGGGTTCTGAATGTATGAGAAAACTCCCTGTTTATATGTAGTTCTAATTTAGGTTATTTTAAATCCATGATTAACTTACATTCCCTTTTAAAATTATGGTTTTATTGCTGCAAGAGATTTATTTTTGTTATACTAAACTATGGAAAAGTTTTTCATAGCATTTTTTTCAAGTTTATTTTTTGTGTGCTTCATTTGGAGTTTTTGTTTATATACATTGCGCTCAAAAAAGTAGTTTTTTGAAAAATTCAGTAAGATTTGAATCTATACAGTTTAACTGTTATGACCTTTATGCGTGTTGTTTTCACTTTATATCTCAAATGCCAGAGTTCACAAAAATAGCTGATCTTCATTAATTACATCTTAATTAGAACCATTTGTTCTCTTCCGTGTCTTTGACCTTCTAAGTTTTGATTTTAAAGAAATTCCTTGCACTACAGCCTTTTCTTAAAATGCAAGATTCTCACTTTGAAGGTTTTGTGTTGGAAGAAATGCTACTGGTTTTTAAAAAGCAAAGCTTAACTAATAGAATTATTAGCTTTTCTTGAGACAGCTTTCTGTGTCCTCATTACTCTGCTCTGTGTGAGTGTTACTAGAATTTGTGAAATACTGACTGAGCCCTTCACTTATCTTTTCTAAAGCAGCACCTTTGGACACCTCATTCTGGGAAGCCTGCTCGAGTCATAGTAAAGGACACACGCTTTATGTGGGGAGAAGTGGTAAAAATGGAGTTTTGTCTTAATTACATGAAACTAAGCTTTAAAATATTTTATAACAGATTATTTGAGCTGCATAATCTAAACATGTCAAACGTTCAGTGGGACTATTTTTATATATGTATATGTGGGTGTAGGTCATAACATTTCAGTTTATAATATAAATTGTTATTTCAGTTTATAAGCTATCTCTCAGAGGAGACTAGCTCTTTTGAGAATTCATAATTTAAAGTTTTAGACTGAAGTAAAATGCAACATAGATAATAGTGTAAATCAGATATAATTGAGGGCTATATGGCAGTAAAACTGCTAGTGCCAGTTTTCTTGTTTGCCTGTTATACATTTTTGATTTTTGTTTTTGTATTCTGAACATTTTGAGAGATCATATGTTTGTTCAATTACATTTAGAGTTGGTTTGGGAATAAATATCTTCTAAAAAGAGATTTATCTTAAAAATGGAAGTCCTAAAAATTAGTTTATCCAGAGTTTATAAAGTCAAATATTCAGTAGGCATAGACTGGAATAGATAAATTCATGGAAATCATATCCTTTCAGTACACCGTATAACTTCAATATTACACAAGTAACATTGAGGAGAATGCCATCAGCTTTGTTCTCCCTTAAATTCTTTGGTTTTCTTTTTACATTTTGGGAACAACTGCATTTAAAATGTTATTAGTCAGTATATAGTAAGGATTAGGTGTTTGCTTTCTGAAGGAATGGTCCAGTGAGGTGATTGGGAGAGGTTATTTTCTACCTAACTTGTATATGCCCTATACCTCTTGGGCATACTTTGTCTATAGAAAAATATTTTGACCTTTAGGTACATTTTGGGCCAGTAGTCAAATAATCCTAGGGCCGATATAAAAATCTTAGAATAATTTAAGGTTTGCCTTTTATACCTGTTTTGAAAGCCTTTACATTTTTGTCAGGTAATTTTTCCCAAGCCGTGGATATAATCTATTCAAACATGTTTATGCTATCCATTCTGTTTTTAAATTGAAAAAAATGTTAAAAGTGTTTATGAAGAAAAGTTTAAATAAAATATTTTTAATCTTTAAAATATACTTCTTTATCTCTGATTATTTGCTGTTTTTTGATATAATCCATCACTTTCAAAGTCACTAATGACTTGATTAGCAGAATACATTTTGTTTTCCTTCAACATGCCAAGGAAGTGCCATGAAAATGTGATTTCTGCCAGTGCTTTCAGCCGCAGATTCAAATGAGAGCATTAGAGTGAAATTATTTATACTCTTATATGCAATGGAAATTTTATAATGAAGCCAAGTAATTAAAGTTCTACTAACACAGAGTTTTGCAGTCTTGCAAAATGAAAATATAGAACTGAGAAAAAGCATTTACAAGCCTCAAGCCTTAGTTTGGTGATGTTTAGATTTCCTTAAGCATTTTTGATTCATTGGTCTTCCAGGCATTTCTGAAATTCAGAACTAGGTGGAGGCCTTGGGTACATCAGCACATGTGTGCCATCTTTCAAATGACACCTAAGAAACCTCAACAGCATTCCCAAGCACCTAGATCCTGGCCTCAGGCAACCTTTCCAGCCTCTTTCTCCCCACCACTTCCTACACTCCATTCTGTTGTGATCTTTACATGTGTTCCTTTCCAGCCTAAAATTACTTGCCTTTCTTTCCCCTGCCCTGCTTGTTAAAATCCACTTATTTTTGCAAAGTCCAACTCAAATGTTTCCCTCCCCTCCTGAAAGCTGCATTAGCTCTTCCGTTGAATTAATTGCCTCTTCTACACTCAACACACTTATAGTTTCTATTTAACTTCATTTTGCATAATAATTGGGCATGATTCTTTCTCCACAACTAGATCATAGTCTCCTTGGGTGAAAAGATCTTTCATTCTTTGTACCCTCATATCTAGCATTTGTACACAGTACGCACTGAGCTAAATGTTTATTGCAGCATATGACAAATTCAATATGTAACAGACAAATGGTATAGGTATTCAGATGAGAGAGAGATTACAATGCCCTGGGGTTTTGTCTCTGCTTGCATCTCAGTCTACATACTCTGTACTATCTCATCCATACCTATACCTATGGCTTCATCTACAACTGTTACTCTTTTTTTTTTTTTTTTTTTTTTTTTTTGAGACAAGAGTCTCACTCTGTCCCTCAGGCTGGAGTGCAGTGGTGCAATCTCAGCTCACTGAAACCTCTGCCTCCCAGGTTCAAGCAATTCTCTTGCCTCAGCCTCCCGAGTAGCTGGGATGACACTCCCAGCTAGTTTTTGTGTTTTTAGTAGAGACAGGGTTTCACCATGTTGGCCAGGCTGGTCTCAAACTCCTGACCTCAAGTGATCCACCCGCCTCCGCAGCCTTTTACTGATCTCCCTTCACCCTGAGACTAAGATCCAAATTCCCTAGCGTGCGTGCCACACAAGGCCCTTCATGCGTTGCTCTCTTTGTACCTGTTCAGTCTGTTTTACGTTCTATCCTCTAGCTATGCAAGCTAATTGGAGTTCCTGAATAGACTGTGTTTTCTTAAGCCTGTCTGCCTTTGCACACATGCTTCCCCTCTTCCATTCCTGCCTAACCCTTTCTTGGCCTTCAAGAACCAGCCTGGGCATCATGCCCTCTGTCAGTTTTTGGTTTTTTTTTAACCCCTTGGGACATGTTAACATTGTCCCCTTGGTCTTACCATAACACTTGTGGATACCTAGACCCCATCTCCCTTAACACGTGATTAGAACTGTCTTCTCCATCCCACCCTTAATCGTACTCCTTGAGGGCAAATACTGTGTTTTTATTTTCCAAGAGTCTGACTTAATGTCTGGTACATGGTAAGTCCTCCTTAAAAGAGAACTCAGAAACTTGGAATGTTGCCAATGAAATGCTCTGGGTGAGGGGGTACCTGTATGAGAGAGCTTGATTGTCTGCCAAAGTTGACCTCCCAGAGGAATTTCCCTCCATTTCCACAACCACCACTCCTGTGTCTAGAAGGGTAATGCATACAGCTCTCACAACTGTCAACAAATACTTCTTCCTTGAACATCTCACTATTTGTGATCCAGATTGAAAATATCAAGACAGACCAAAGGGTGTTTTTGCAGAACATTAATCCCATGAAATGCTCTGTTGGGGGAGGTGTTCAGTGGTCACAGTAATCTTGGGAAACACTACACTTCTCTTCTTGGAGAATCTCAACCAACATTAGCCTATTAAAGGCTCCCAGAAGTCCTGCTGTTAACTCATTTTGATTTTGTTTAGCTCAGTATAAACCAAACATTTCACTGTTTGTAAACCAGTCAAAGAGCTGAACTCTTTTTCATGGAGTATATGTGATCCGTGAATGCTCTGGAAAAAGCCTCGCTAAGGATTAACTGAAAGAAAACAATGCAGGTACTTGGGAGCCTGAGGCAGGAGGATAGTTTGAGGCTGCAGTAAGCTATGATCACGCACTCCAGCCCAGGTGACAGTGAGATCCCGTCTCTGAAAAGAAGAAAAAAAAAAAAAAATCTCAAGACTACTAATTCAGGTACTCTGGTCTACAAAACAGGACTTCCTCCTGCAGTTGCAGTTAGTTTCTAGGTGAAGTTAACATTTTGCAAAGATGACATTACCTTAGGGATTTTACTTAGCAAGGAAGGTCCCACTTTATCCTAAGATTAGGATGAATTTGTTTTAATTTTTTTTTTTTGAGAGAGAGTCACCCAGGCTGGAGTGCAGTGGTGCAATCTCAGCTCACTGCAACCTCCACCTCCTGGGTTCAAGCAATTCTTGTGCCTCAGCCTCCCAAGTAGCTGGAATTACAGGCACCCACCACCACGCCTGGCTAATTTTTGTATTTTTAGTAGAGAGGATTTCACCACGTTGGCCAGGCTGGTCTTGAACTTACCTCAAGTGATTCTCCTGCCTCAGCCTCCCAAAGTGCTGGGATTACAGGCATGAGCCACCACGCCCGGCCAGTATAATTAATTTTTACAACTGGTATGGTTTAAGGAGCAGTGCTTCCAAGAAGGCCAAGTAAGGAGCTCAGCAAATCCTCTCCCTAAAAAGCAATGACAAAACTGAACAAACTTGTCACAAAAAAAAAAATTAAGACTGGAAGTTGACCAAAGGCATACAAAAAATTGAGGGGTGTTTATTCAAGAAAATCTACTGAACCCCTCTCTAAGAAAAGTAGGAGTCTGTGATGTTTTAACCTGGGGCTGCTCCCATCCCAACTCCCTTCTCCCCAGGCTCTGTGTCACAGAAGTTCTAGGGCTGTGGGAGGGGGCTGACTTCATTTGGAATAGAGTGTGGAGAATCCCATATTTCAGTGTGGCCAACATTGCAGCTAGCCTGAGGTCTCAATAGTGATTTGGGCTAGCAATAGAGAGGCAGACAGAGCAGCGAGCAGTTTAACAGGGAGGTCTTGGGAATGTAACAGCAAAATACGCATGATAAGATCCCACTTATCCCTAGTGGTCCATAAGGCTGTGCTCTTCATGTGCAGGGCCGTGTGCACCCAAGAAGAGACCTAAAAGGGCCCTAACAAGCTACTTGTCCCTGCCTGCATGTGAAGCCTTGCAAACAGAAAATCAAAACTGGAATAAATAGACTTGGAAACTGCTCTGACTGGAATGCATTCCCCAGGTCACACGCATTCATCAGCAGAGGGTGAGAGCTTTACTGGCTCAAGGTGTTTAAACAACTTCTGACCAATCATTGGCTGACCTATGCCGACTCAGAAGTGATCCCTAGGAATCCAGTCTTAAAAACAAGAATTTTGAAAACAGCAGAGACATCAGTGGCTGTACACTGGAGAGGGGGGAGAGTGAGTGGGGAATAGACGCCACAGAATTAGTCCAGGCAGATCACTAAACAAACAACAAATCTAAAAATAGCAAACCCCACCACCATCTGGATTGGGAGTGGGTTAATACAGAGTCCAGAGTTGCTATAACATATTACCTAAAAGAAACAGGATGTACAAAGAAACAGCAAAGTGTGACCCATACTCAGGAAAATTAGGAGTCACCAGAAAACTGCCTCTCAGGGGGTCAGTGTTATTGCGATCAGTGCAATTATAGTTCTTTATTCTGTATTTTCACATTATATTGGAAACAATTTCATAAGTCATTAAAATTTCTATGAAAATTACATATATATATTATATATATGTATATATATTTTATATATATATATATATATATATATATATATATATATATATATATATTTTTTTTTTTTTTTTTTTTTTTTTTTTTTTTTTTTTTGGAGACAGTCTTGCTCTGTTGCCCAGGCTGGAATGCAGTGGTGTGATCTCGGCTCACTGCAACCTCCACCTCCTGGGTTCAAGCGATTCTCCTGCCTCAGCCTCCAGAGTAGCTAGGACTACAGGCATGTGTCACAACGCCTGGCTAATTTTTGTATTTTTAGTAGAGACAGGGTTTCTCCATGTTGGCCAGGCTGGTCTCGAACTCCTGACCTAAGGTGATCCACCCACCTCGGCCTCCCAGAGTGCTGGGATTACAGGCGTGAGCCACCATGCTTAACCTGAAAATAATATTTTTAGTGATTACTTAGTGTTCCATAATATGGTTATACCATCATTTATCTAACCATGCCCCTATTGTGAGAAATACTTTTTTTTTCTTTTCTTTCTTTCTTTCTTTTTTTCTTTTTTTTTTTTTTGAGATGGGCTCACTCTCTCTCTGTTGCCCAGGCTGAAGTGCAGTGGCACAATCTTGGCTCAGTGTAACCTCCACCTCCTGGACTCAAGCGATCCTCCTGTCTCAGCCTCCCGAGTAGCTGGGATTACAGGCGTGTGCCACCACACCCAGCTAATTTTTGTATTTTTGGTAGAGACAGGGTTTCGCTATGTTGGCTGGGTTGCTCTCGAACTCCTGAGCTTGAGTGATCTGCCTGCCTCCGCCTCCCAAAGTGCTGGGATTACAGGTGTGAGCCACCGTGCCCGGCCAGAGTTGGTAGAATTCGGATTTAAGTGTTTGCACTTAGAAACATGGAGTCACAGTGTAGTGTCCTCAGGCTCCAAACAAGGGGAAGGTCGAAACATCCTGTTCTTGAGTTGCTAGCAGCCAAAAATGAAGAGGATTTGTGCCAGGGGAAATTGCATGGGTAAATGCAGAGTGGAAAAGCATATGGAATGCTTTGGGAATGATGAATTCCTCACTGACAGAGCTATGAGAGCAGATGTCAAGCAAAAACAAAATCATATTCATGAATATTCTGTGGATCTGCAGATTACTTTGTTAAAAGAGGATAAGAAAAAATAGGATTTTACAGCCCCCCATTGAAATGCCTCACAACTTTTCACTAAAATATCCCGTGACCTTATAGGAAAAGAATAAAAACCGATTAAAATAGAGATTGACCGAAACATCATATAAAATGGTGAGCTGCCTTGAAAATAATTTTAAGGCCAGCGGGGTTAGACTGAGAGAAGCAGATCCACAGTTCACCTTATGGAACACCCAGGCTTCTCTTCATGAGAGTAACTGGAGAAATACTTTTTTTTTGGCCAGGTGCAGTGGCTCACGCCTGTAATCCCAGCACTTTGGGAGGTGGGGGCGGGTGGATCACGAGGTCAGGAGTTCGAGACCAGCCTGGCCAACATGGTGAAACCCCCATCTCTACTAAAAATACAAAAAATTAGCTGGGCGTGGTGGCGTGCTTGTAGTCCCAGCTACTCAGGAGTTGAGGTGGGGAAAATCCCTTGAGCCCAGGAGATCGAGGCTGCAGTAAGCTGAGATGGCACCTCGGCACTCCAGCCTGGGTGACAGAGCAAGACCCTGTCTCAAAAAATCTTGGGGCAGCCAAGAGACTGAAAGAGAACCAGGGCATCTGGTTGAGGTAAGGAATGCAGAGAATGTGATGGAAGATGAGATGGGAGAGGAACTAAGGCCAGAACACCCAGGGTCACATAAGGGGCCATGAGGAGTGTGTATTTTATTCTAAGGCAAGTGGGAAGGCATTGAAGGGTTCTAACTAATAGGTGACTGATGCAATTTATACTTTAATTTTATTTATTTATTATTTATTTTATTTATTTTTTTGAGACGGAGTCTTGCTCTGTTGCCCAGACTGGAGTGCAATGGCGCTCCACTGCAACCTCCGCCTCCCGGGTTCAAGCGATTCTCTCTGCCTCAACCTCCCAAGTAACTGGGATTACAGGTGCCCACCACCACGCCCAGCTAATTTTTTGTATTTTTAGTAGAGACGGGGTTTCGCCATGTTGGCCAGGCTGGTCTCGAACTCCTGATCTCAGGTGATCCACCCGCCTCGGCCTCCCAAAGTGCTGGGATTACAGGCGTGAGCCACCATGCCCAGCTTATTATTATTATTTTAGACAGGGTCTCACTCTGTCACCCAGGCTGGAGTGCAATGGTACGATCCTGCCTCACTATAGCCTCGACCTCCTTGGGCTCAGGTGATCTTCCCACCTCACCATCCTGAGTAGCTGGTACTACAGGTTTATACCACCATGCCTGGATAATTTTTTAATTTTTCTGTAGAGATGGGTTTTACCATGTTGCCCAGCCTGGTCTCGAACTGCTGGGCTCAATCGATCCACCCCCCTCCTGCCTCTCTAAGTGCTGAGATTACAGGTGTGAGCCACTAAGCCCAGCTGCAATTTATATTTTAAAAGGTCATCTGGTCCCTGAAGGGAGGTAAGGATAGAATTGGGAAGCTCAATGAGGGGGTCAGGGCAATGTGAAGAGTGATGATGTCTTGGGCTGACACCGCAAAAAGAAGTGAATGGAGTTAGGACATGTTCTGGAGGTTAAGACTGGCAGAACGTGGTGATAGAGTGGATATTGGAGGTGCTAGAGATGAGAGACCCAAAACAACTCCTGGATTTCCAACTTGAGCCCAGGGCATGTGATGATGCTGTTAATTAAAATGGGAAAGATGGGGAGAAGAGCAATTTGGGGAGAAAATAGCAAGAGTATGGGTTTAGGTGTGATATGGTTTGGCTGTGTCCCCACCCAAATCTCATCTTGAATTCCCATGCGTTGAGGCAAGGATCTGGTGGGAGGTAATTGAATCATGGGGACAGGTGTTTCCCATGGGAAATATCTTTCCCATGCTGTTCTTGTGATAGTAAGTCTCACGAGATCTGATGGTTATTATAAGGGGGAGTTTTTCTGCACAAGCTCTCTCTCTCTCTGCCTGCTGCCATCCATGTAAGACGTGACTTGGTCTTCCTTGCCTTCTGCCACGATTGTGAGGCTTCCCCAGCCACGTGGAACTGTAAGTCCAATTAAACCTCTTTCTTTTGTAAATTGCCCAGTCTCAGGTAGGTCTTCATCAGCAGTGTGAAAACGGACTAATACAAGGTGCATTAGGCCTCCAATGCTTGTGAGGTGTACAAGAGTGAGGAGGTCGAAAAAGTCCTAGATCTATAAATCTGGATGAAGCTCAGAAGATAGGTCAGAACAGGAGAGACACATTGGACAGTCGCCCACTATTACAGATAGTGCTTCTTTATTTTGGTTTTATGTACTTTTTCCTTATGGAAATAGTCAAACACAAAAGTAAAATAATATAATGATTCTCCATACACCCATCATGGTACAAGCAATATTTTCCCATGAGAATGATAAAGTCTCCTAAAGAGAAGGAGCCAACTCCCACTTACTATTCCAGCCTGAGTTTCCTCATCTGCAAAAGGAATATTCCCATCTACCTCGTGGAGTTCTGGTGAGGATGAAGTGAGATTAACCATGTCAATGATGTACAGTAACCAATGTTAGCCGGTAATATTTTGTTATTGTTGTGGGGGGGCAATATTGATCCAATATGGGAGAAAGAAAATATATCAAGGTTTGTGGGTACAAACAAAATGAGTTAACTTTTTAAACTTGGAGGAAAGTATTCGAATCAGTGACTCTTAAAGATAGAACAACAAAACAGAAGCTGTTAACACAACTATGTCATGTCTTGGCATTCTCGCAAGGGAGAGGCAAGCCAAAGGACCCAGTAACAGAGACCAAGTAGAATTAAGGTTTCAGTGAAGTCTGAATTGTGCATACATGACTACTAGGTGCCCTGGCAACGAAGCCCCCGCTTCATGGTAATAACATTAGAGTAAGGGAAAATATCACATGAAAATGAAGTAAATGTCAAAGTGCCCTGGCAACAGAGCTCTCACTTTTTGGTGATAACATTATATTGTTCTTAAGAATTTCTGAGTTTTGGCCGGGCGCGGTGGCTCACGCCTGTAATCCCAGCACTTTGGGAGGCCAAGGTGGGGGGATCACGAGGTCAGGAGATCGAGACCATCCTGGCTAACACAGTGAAACCCCGTCTCTACTAAAAACAAAAAAATTTAGCCAGGCGTGGTGGTGGGCACCTGTAGTCCCAGCTACTCGGGAGGCTGAGGCAGGAGAATTGGGTGAACCTGGGAGGCAGAGCTTGCAGTGAGCCAAGATCGCGCCACTGCACTCCAGCCTCGGCAACAGAGCGAGACTGTTTCAAAAAAAATAAAAATAAAAACATTATATTGAGGGAAAATATCACATGAAAATAAAATAGGTATTAATAGTAAAGACAGTATTATGTGATCTGGTCTGGTGAGGAGTTGGGGGTTTTCACTGTGAAGAATGACTTTGAGAGGCTGGGTGCAGTGGCTCACGCATGTAATCTCAGCACTTTGGGAGGCCAAGGCAGGCAGATCACCTGAGGTAAGGAGTTGAAGACCAGCCTGGCCAACATGGTAAAACCCTGTCTCTACTAAAAATACAAAAACTAGCCGGGCATGGTGGCGGGGGCCTGTAATCCCAGCTACTCAGGAGGCTGAGGCAGAACAATCGCTTGAACCTGGGAGGCGGAGGTTGCAGTGAGCTGAGATCGCACCACTGCACTCCAGTCTGGGTGACAGAGCGAGACTCCGTCTCAAAAAAAAAAACTTCGTAGGTAGACAAAAAATGGTTTATGAAAAAGGTTAAACTGAGCCTGCATCCTGGAGCAGAGCTTCGCAAACTTTAATGTGCACACGAATCACCCACGGATGTTGTGGAAATACTCGTTCTGATTCAGGGGTCCAGGATAAGGCACGAGAGTCTGCGTTTCCAACAGGCTCTCAGGTGCGGCCTTTGGAGCTGCTGGGCTGCACAGCAGGGGTCTCTGGGATCCTGCAGAGCTGTTGCATTTCCCACTGGCTTTGCAGAAAGTCTGTGTCACCAAGTCCTATATCACCCACACCTGCCAGCACCACTGCTAGAAAGACAATGGGGGACCCAGACGAGGCAGAAACTCATTTCCCCTGGTGGCCTGTGGGAAGGAGCTGGGCTCGAGGCAGGAGGTGGCTTAAGATTCCTCCTCTGTCCCTTGGACGGCCCTTGGATGGAAGGTTGGGGTGGAACAAGGAGTCAACTGCTCTCATAATTAATACTTTCACCAAGGCCAAGCCCTGAGGAATTCCCACATTCGGAGGTGGAGGAGAGAGAAAATTATGAGAGAGATGACAGATACGGAGAACAGAGAATGCGGCACCAACACACAGATAGTTACCGTTCCTGGCCAAGAGATGCAATCATGAAAGAGCTTTGGAAACAATTTTCCTAAGCTTAAGAAAGATCAGTATCTGCAGACTGAAGGAATTTACCACATTTCAGGAGAATCAGCTACCTACACGTACACACATTTGGCAACAATTTTATTTTTTCTTTTTTTATTTTTGAGCAGAGTCTTGCTCTGTGGCCCAGGCTGGAGTGCATTGGCGCCACCTCGGCTCCCTGCAACCTCCGCCTCCCGGGTTCAAGCAATTCTCCTGCCTCAGCCTCCCAAGTAGCTGGGACTACAGGCACGTGCCACCACGGCTGGCTAATTTTTATACTTTTAGTAAGAGACGGGGTTTCACCATATTGGCCAGTCTGGGTTCGTACTCCTGGCCTCAAGTGATCCTCCCACCTTGGCCTCCCAAAGTGCTGGGATTACAGGCATGAGCCACTGCTCCAGGCCCAACAATTTTTAACTACAAGGAAAAAAACTCCTACACTCATTATGACAGGAGGAGACAGATCATCTTTTCTTGAGGACTTGCCTTGTGTCTGACACATACTTGGCGCTTTACACGAATTCTCTTATTTAAACCACACAGCATCCCAATAAAGTGGCGGCGCCAGCCTGGACGTTGGCTGGATGCAGGAACTCAACCCATGTTGTCGGGGTGCCTCTGCTCTCCAGCTGCTCAGCTCCGGTTGGTTCTTGTGGTAGCCTGAGCCTCTCCTACTGCAGACAGGCTTCCAGGTGAGGCCCAGGCAGCTCCAGGTTCACGTAATCCTAGCTCAGGAACCCCAGAAGGAAGAAAGAGTCTCCCTCCTGGTTTGCCCATAGAAGGACTCCTGTTGTCTTCAGGGTACATGCTCAACACTTAGATCCAGCACAGTGGCCAACAGAATTCAGTGAGATATTGGCAAGGGGGTGAAGCTGCTATGAATGCAAGTCCCACCTGAATCAAAAGGTTGGAGTGAAAAAAACCCAAACAACTAAAAGGGAGGAAGGATGGTTTGGCCAACAAATGCAAAGGGTCCACGAAAGGGAGGGTCTATGAGTTGCCCCACATTACAGGAGAGATCAACTTGTCCAAGGTCACACATCCAGTAAATGGGAGAGCCAGGACTCATACCAAGGCAGTCCAACCCCAGACTCTTAACCACCCTGCTCTAAGGAAACAAAGCCTCTTTGGTTTCAGAATTCTCTGCAACATTAGCTTTCAGAAGAAAATGGAGCAACAGCTGGACTTTCTGGAGAAAAAGATTGTAACTGAAGATTCATACACTCTGCCAAATTGTCTTTCACAATTTCAGGATAGCTAAAAAGCATTTAAACACACACCATGTGACAGGCACTGTTCTAAGTGCTTTATTTATTTATTTATTATTATTATTTTTGAGACGGAGTCTCGCTCTTTCGCCCAGGCCGGACTGCAGTGGCGCGATCTTGGCTCACTGCAAGCTCCGCCTCCCAGGTTCACGCCATTCTCCTGCCTCAGCCTCCCGAGTAGCTGGGACTACAGGCGCCCGCCACCGCGCCCTGCTAATTTATTTATTTTTTTATTTTTTGTATTTTAAGTAGAGACGGGGTTTCACCGTGTTAGCCAGGATGGTCTCGATCTCCTGACCTTGTGATCCGCCCGCCTCGGCCTCCCAAAGTGCTAGAATTACAGGCGTGAGCCACCGCGCCCGGCCTCTAAGTGCTTTATATGTATATTGAGCCATTCACTCCTTGAACAACTCTATAAGACAGGAATTATCCTCATTTTATAGATGAGAAAACCAAAACCCAGGGAAGGAGATAACTTACCTAAGAGTCAGGATTGAGCCCAGGCAGTCTAATCTTCTGAGCCTTCCTGTGAATTGCTATGATGCTAGAATTTAAAAACATATAATCGGCCAGGGGCGGTGTCTCACGCCTGTAATCCCAGCACTTTGGGAGGTCGAAGCGGGCGCATCACGAGGTGAGGAGATCGAGACCATTCTGGCTAACACGGTGAAACCCCGTCTCTACTAAAAATACAAAAACAAAATTAGCCGGGTGTGGAGGCGGGCACCTGTAGTCCCGACTACTCAGGAGGCTGAGGCAGGAGAATGGCGTGAACCCAGAAGGCGGAGCTTGCAGTGAGCCGAGATCGCACCACTGCACTCCAGCCTGGGCGATAGAGCGAGACTCTGCCTCAAAAAAAAAAAAAAAAAAAAAAAATATATATATATATATATATATACACACACACGTGTATATATATATATATATATATATATACACATACACACACATATATATACACGTGTATATATACATATATATAAAATCAATGCCCACTTCGTGAAAAAATCTAGTAAAAACATACACCACAATAACAAGAAATCAAGAAAACTAAGCCGGGTGTGGTGGCGTGCTCCTGTAATCCCAGCTACTCGAAGGGCTGTGGGCTGCAGAATCACTTGAGCCCAGCAGTTCGAGACCAGCCTGGGCAACATGGCAAGACCGCGTCTCTACAAAAAATACAAAAATTAGCTGGGCGTAGTGGTGCACGCCTATAGTCCTAGCTACTCTGGAGGCTGAGATGGCAGTCTGGGCAATAGAATGAGACCTTGTCTCAAGAAAAAAAAAAAAAAAGGAGAGAAACGTGCAAACTTCAAAGGCAAATTTAAAAGTCTAAAAATAATCTGTGTCTAAATCTAAGATTTTATTAACAAAGAATGAGGAAAGTAAAAAGTGAGCTCAACACAGCCAAATGAGAAGGAACTAAAAGGTTACCATTTCATTTTTTAAATTCTGACAATTTAAGAAATATAGGCCACAGAATGCTTTTTAAAAATTATTGTTGTTCTTGTGGAACTGGAGGTTATTATGTTAAGTGAAATAAGCCAGGCACAGAAAGACAAATGTTGCATGTTCTCACTCATATGTGGGAACTAAGAAAGTGAATCTCATGGAGGTTGAGAGTAGAATGGTAGACACTAGAGGATGGGAGGGGTAGTTGTCGGGGGATGAAGAGAGGTTGGTTATTGGGCACAAACATACAATTAGATAGGAGGAATAAGTTCTACTGTTTGATAGCAGAGTAGGCTGACTATAGTTAAACAGTATATTGTATATTTCAAAATAGCTACAGGAGGGGACTTGGAATGTTCCCAACACACAGAATGATAAATACTTCAGGTGATGAATACCCCAAATACCCTGAGTTGATTATTACATATTCTATGCCTGTAACAAAAGATCACATCTACCCCATAAATATGTACAAATATGTCACAATACAAATTATTGTTTTTCTGCTTGAATATTTTTTTCAGCAGTTTTCCAAATAGAGTTAGTGACATAAACTTATCTAAAGGAAACAATATGTTGTTTTACAAAAGGTAAACAATAAGTGTTTCTTTTCTGGTAATATTATGAACTCACAGACTCACACTTACTTGATGTGATTCAATTGACTGCAATTATCTCTTTTTTTGTTTATTTATTTATTTTTTTTGAGCCAGAGTCTCACTCTGTTGCCCAGGCTGGAGTGCAATGGTGCAATCTTGGCTAACTGCAACCTCCACCTCCTGGGTTCAAGCGATCCTCCCGCCTCAGCCTCTGTAGTAGCTGGGACTACAGGCATGGCGCCACCAAGCCCAGCTAAATTTTGTTTTTTTAGTAGAGACGGGGTTTCACCATGTTGGCCCAGCTGGTCTCAAACTCCTGACCTCAGGTGATCCGTCCTCCTTGGCCTCTCAAAGTGCTGGGATTACAGGTGTGAGCCACTGCGCCTGGCTCCCACTGCAATTATCTCTATTGATGCTCAAATTATCCCAAGTGTGGTTAGTGGGAACTTGTTTAAGTTGGCTCTTGAGTCATTTTGCCATGACCTAGTAGTCTTTGATAACTTTCTTGCTCTCAAAACGTCTCGTACGTGTTCTTCCCCAGACTCATAGAACACTTAAAATCACACTTACGGCTGGGCGCGGTGGCTCACGCCTGTAATCCCAGCACTTTGGGAGGCCGAGGCGAGTGGATCATGAGGTCAGGAGATCAAGACCATCCTGGCTAACATGGTGAAACCCCGTCTCTACTAAAAATACAAAAAAATTAGCCGGGCGTGGTGGTGGGCACCTGTAGTCCCAGCTACTCGGGAGGCTGAGGCAGGAGAATGGCATGAACCTGGAAGGCAGAGCTTGCAGTGAGCCGAGATCGCACCACTGCACTCCAGCCTGGGAGACAGGGAGACTCTGTCTCAAAAAGAAAAAAAAAATCATTCTTACTAGTCCTAAAAGGAATATATATGTTCTCCGTAGTAATGAAGAAGATAAAAGCAACGAAAATACTCATAAGAGAAAAAAAGTATAAAACAAAAGAAATGGCAAAGAAGCATTAAAAATACTATTCAAAAGATGAAACATAATAAACTAAATGTAGTAGTTATAATGATAAATACAAATGGAACCTACTCCTGTATTTAAAAATAAACATTTCTAGATCGCATTTTTAAAAATCAATTATATGTTATTTAAAAGAATTGAACAGTGGCAAAAAAAGATCAATCTTAGAGAATAGGAAAAACGTTATATACAAAACAGATCCAAATTAAGAGAAACGAAAGACTAAAACACTTAAATTGGTACAATCTGAGATCAAAAAAACCCTGAATAAAATGGCATTGAAATTTATAAAGCCAAAATATGAAGGATAGAGACTCACTTAGCAGTACGATTAAAAAGGCTTACTTAATAGCTTCCTGGACAGAAGCATGTACAGCAGACAATATAACCTTTTTTTGTCTAGTGCCCTTGCAACAATTATAAAAATAGACTATATAGCTGCACTAATAGTGGCACTTAAAAACAGGGTTCGATTGCTAAAGAAGACTCATAGGACCCGAAATGATAAAGCTTACAAGTCTACGCTTTGTTACAAGGAAAGGACCCACTATAGCAAGAGCATGAAAGTCAAGCTATACACCAAGCAGACGACTCCAAAAGGGGCCTGGAGAAGCCAGGTGCAGGCTCCCATTGTCCTCTCCATAGGGCCAGGCCAGATGTCTCCTGGATCCGGGGCCACTAATGTGTGCACAGAACATTTCAGAACCAGGGAGACTAAAATGATGTCTTTGCGGAGGTGGTTTGTATTTTGCAGGTCTGCCGTATAACCAACAGAACCCTGGGGAGGAGAAGGAGGTTGCGGGGGAGAGGTATCACATCAAGACCAGGTGCTACTCTTCCATCTCATTGTTATCAATAAACAATGCTGACAAGCTCGATCAAACTGCCCTGAAAACTCTTCGGGCTCATGGCTACATAGAGACAATATTAATATGTTTCGACCAGACATGGAAGCTCATGCCTGTAATTCCAGCACTTTGGGAGGCCGAGGAGGGTGGATCACAAGGTCAGGAGTTCAAGACCAGCCTGGCCAATATGGTGAAACCTCGTTTCTACTAAAAATACAAAAGTTAGCTGGGTATGGTGCCAGGCGCCTGTAGTCCCAACTACTTGGGAGGCTAAGGCAGGAGAATCACTTGAACTTGGGAGGCAGAGGTTGCAGTGAGCTGATATCACGCCACTGCACTCCAGCCTGGGCGACAGGCTGAAAAAAAAAAAAATCAGTATGTTTCATGCTTTGACCAGGAGTCAGTGTCAAGCAGGAGCTTTATCCAAATAGCTCACGCTAATTACAGACCTGCTGTGATTAACCCTTACAGCACAAGAGCAAGACACTAAGACTCTCAATAATTTCCAAAAAGCTCAAACTGTATAAACTCCATTTTTGGACTATAATTCAAAATTGAATGAGTATGACGAATAAAAAGTAATCAAAATTGCAAATTAAAACAAGGTACTTTTTTTAGAATCTAAGTCTGATTAAAATAAATGTTAATATCCAGTGTCAGCAAGGATCTAAGGGAAAATAGGCCCCTTTATTTACTGCTCTTGGAAACAAATTTGTAGACTTCTCAAGTACATCTCAGTAATTAGTATCAAAATCCTTAAAAAGGTACATTCTCTCTGCACAGAAATTACATATGTGGCATTTTATCCTGAGGAAATAATTGCAGATATAGGCTGACAAGGATGTTTATTGCAGCATAGTGGATAATAGCAAATGTTGGAAACAAAAATGTCCAGTTACATGGTTTTAGCTGTCTCCCCATCCAAATCTCATCTTGAATTGTAGCTCCCATAATTCCCACGTGTTGTGGGAAGGACCAGGTGGGAGATAACTGAATCATGAGGGTGGTTTCCTTCATACTGTTCTCCTGGTAGTAAATAAGTCTTATGAGATATGACAGTTCTTTCGCTTGGTTCTCATTCTTTCTCGTCTGCCACCATGGAAGATGTGCCTTTCACCTTCCACTATGATTGTGCGGCCTCCCCAGCCACATGGAATTTGTGAGTCCATTAAACCTCTTTTTCTTTATAAATTACATAGTCTTCGAATGTCTTTAGCAGCAGCATGAGAACAGACTAATACAGTAAATTGGTACCAGTAGAGTGGGGCGCTGCTGTAAAGATACTTGTAAATGTGGAAGCGACTTTGGAACTGGGTAACAGGCAGAGGTTGGAGCAGTTTGAAGGGCTCAGAAAAACACAGGAAAATGTGGGAAAGTTTGGACCTTTCTAGAGACTTGTTGAATGGCTTTGACCAAAATGCTGACAATGAAATTCAGGCTGAAGTGGTCTCAGATGGAGATGAGAAACTTGTTGGGAACTGGAGTAAAGGTAACTCTTGCTATGTTTTAGCAAAGAGAATGGCAGCATTTTGCCCCTGCCCTAGAGATCTGTGGAACTTTGAACTTGAGGGAGATGATTTAGTGTATCTGGCAGAGGAAATTTCTAAGCAGCAAAGCATTCAAGAGGTGACTTGGGTGGTGTTAAAAGCATTCAGTTTTAAAGGGAAACAAAGCATAAAAGTTTGAAAAATTTGCAGCCTGAAGATGCGATAGAAAAGAAAAACTCATTTTCTGAGGAGAAATTGAAGCTGGCTGCAGAAATGTGCATAATTAACAAGGAGCCAAAAAATCCCGAAAAAACGATGGGTAAAATGTCTCCAGGACATGTCAGAGACCTTTGTGGCAGCCCCTCCCATCACAGGCCCAGAGGCTTAGGAGGAAAAAAATGGTTTCGTGAGACCAGGGTCCCCTGCCGTGTGCAGCCTAGGGACTTGGTGTCCTGCATCCTAGCTGCTCCAGCTTTGGCTAAAAGGGGCCAAGGTACAGCTCGGGCCATGACTTCAGGGTGCAAGCCCCAAGCCTTGGCAGCTTCCACGTAGTGTTGAGCCGGCAGGTGCACAGAAGTCAAGAACTGAGGTTTGGGAACCTCTGCCTAGACTTCAGAGGATGTATGGAAATGCCTGGCTGTTCAGGCAGAAGTTTGCTGCAGGGGCAGGGACCTCATGGAGAACCTCTGCTAAGGCAGTGTGGAAGGAAAATGAGGGGTTGAAGCCCCCACACAGAGTCCCCAGTGGGGCACTGCCCAGTGGAGCTGTGAGAAGAGGGCCACCCTCCTCCAGACCCCAGAATGGCAGATCCACTGTCAGCTTGCACCATGCACCTGGAAAAGCCACAGACACTCAACAGCAGCCCATGAAGGCAGCCAGGAGCGGGGGCTGTACCCTGCAAAGTCACAGGGGCGGGAGCTGCCCAAGACCATGGGAACTTACCTCTTGCATCAGTGTGACTTGGATGTGAGACATGGAGTCAAAGGAGATCATTTTGGAGCTTTAAGATTTGACTGTAGGCCAGGAGCAGTGGCTCACGCCTGTAACCCCAGCACTTTGGGAGGCCGAGGCAGGTGGATCACAAGGTCAGGAGATGGAGACCATCTTGGCCAACATGGTGAAACCCAGTCTCTACTAAAATACAAAAAATTAGCCGGACGTGGTGGCATGTGCCTGTAATCCCAGCTACTTGGGAGGCTGAGGCAGGGGGAATTGCTTGAACCCAGCAGGCGAAGGTTGCGGTAAGCTGAGATCGCGCCACTGCACTCCAGCCTGGCGACAGAGCAAGACTCCGTCTCAAAAAAAAAAAAAAAAAGATTTGACTGCTGTGCTAGATTTTGGACTTGTATGGAGCCCGTCGCCCCTTTGTTTTGGCCAATTTCTCCCATTTGGAATGGCTGTGTTTACCCAATGCCTGTACCCCCATTGTATCCAGGAAGTAATTAACTTGCTTTTGATTTTAAAGGCTCATAGGCGGGAGGGACTTGCCTTGTCTCAGATGAAACTTTGGAACTGTGGACTTTTGAGTTAATGCTGAAATGAGTTAAGACTTTGGGGGACTGTTGGAAAGGCATGATTGGTTTTGAAATGTGAGGACATGAGATTTGGGAGGGGCCAGGGGTGGAATTTTATGGTTTGACTATTTCCCCACTCAAATCTCATCTTGAATTGTAGCTCCCATAATTCCCACATGTTGTGGGAGGGACCTGGTGGGAGATAATTGAATCATGGGGGCAGTTTCCCTCATACTGTTCTCGTGGTAGTGAGTAAGTCTCACAAATCTGATAATTTGTTTGTTTGTTTTTGAGACGGAGTCTCGCTCTGTCGCCAGCCTGGAGTGCAGTGGTGCAATCTCGGCTCACTGCAACCTCCGCCTCTCAGGTTCAAGTGATTCTCCTGCTTCAGCCTCCTGTAGATCTGATTATTTTATAAGAGGTTTCCCCTTTCGCTTGGTTCTCATTCTCTCTCGTCTCGTAAGACATGCCTTTCGCCTTCCACCATGATTGTGAGGCCTCCCCAGCCATGTAGAACTGTGAGTCCATTAAACCTCTTTTTCTTTATAAATTACCCAGTCTTCGATGTGTCTCTATCAGCAGCATGAGAACAGACTAATACATCCAGCAATATAGGGACTGTTTTAGTAACTTATATCCGTATTCAATTATTCAAAAACATTTGGTAGAGGTCTGTCTTATGGCAGACTCTGTTCATTGCAGGTCTATTATCCTTTCCTCTTTTTTTTTTTTTTTTTTTTTTGAGACGGAGTTCACTCTTGTTGCCCAGGCTAGAGTGCAATGGCACCATCTCAGCTCACCGCAACTTCTACCTCCCGGGTTCAAGAGCTTCTCCTGCCTCAGCCTCCCAAGTAGCTGGGATTACAGGCATGCACCACCATGCCTGGCTAATTTTGTATTTTTAGTAGAGACGGGGTTTCTCCATGTTGGTCAGGCTGGTCTCGAACTCCCGACCTCAGGTGATCTGCCTGCCTCAGCCTCCCAAAGTGCTGGGATTACAGGCGTGAGCCACCGCGCCCGGCCCCTTTCCTCTCTTCTTCTATGCTAATAGCACCCAGATATTGCTCAGGGCAGCAAAGTTCACTGCTCCAGGCACAAAATTAGGACAATCCTGATCCCACTTTCCCAGCTTCTCTTACAGCTAGGAGTGGCCATGTGGTCCAGTTCTAGTTATTGAGATGTATAGAGAAGTCTACTGGGGGCTTTTGAGAAGGATTTTTACTTTCCTAATAAAAGGGACAGATGTTGTTGATGCCAGCAATCATCTACCGCACACTTTATGTTAAATGAGAAAAGTTAAGTATTTGTTAGGAAAGGGGGTCAGTCGTATTTTCTGTTGTTTGGAGCCAAAAGTGTCCCTAACCGTGGTGGATTCTGTGACGTGCTGCCCAGGTCTCCCTTCAAGGCTGCCAGACACTTGGAGTGCTGTGGGCTGTTTTCCTCCGTGAGCTACCTCTAGGAATTGCACTCAGCTGTAGTCCGCTGCCTTGCCCAATGTAACCCCGAATCCCTTCCCGGGAGCATCCCAGCAGGAGTATAAAGGCCCGGCCTTCTTTCTTCAATTCCAGACAACTCTGCAGGGCCCTCCCAGCTCCAGAGCTGGAGCCCTTGTGGCTACTGCACCGATTGTCTAACTTCCCCTCTGCCTAATCCTACTTTATTCCCTTCCTCGGTAGGTGTTGACCTCAAGAGCACACCCTAATAAATTTTGTGTACACAAATCTCTGTCTCAGAGTCTGTTTCCTGGGCAACCCCACCCACAACAGCAGTGACATGTTTATTAATGTAAAAAGATGTTCAAAATATATTGCTAAAGGACACAACAATAGGTTACAAAGTAGTATGCATGGTGTTTTCTTAGTATACAGATTGTATATCTGCACAGAAAAAATTTCTGAAAAAGAATGCACTAATACCTTAACAGCAGGACTTCTGTTTCCAACAAATTGTTGGACTAGATGTTCAGAGAAACTCCTTCTGGTTCAGAACATTAAATACCAAAAAAAAAAAGTTTTTCTGTTTTGTTTTGTTTTGTTTTTGAGACAGAGTCTCACTCTGTTGCCTAGGCTGGAGCACAGTGGCACAATCTTGGCTCACTGCAACCTCCAGTTCTGGGGTTCTAGTGATTCTCCAGCCTTACCCTCCTGAGTAGCTGGGATTACAGGCACGCACCATCACACCTGGCTAATTTTTATATTTTTAGTAGAGACGAGGTTTCACCATGTTGGCCAGGCTGGTCTCAAACTCCTGACCTCAAGTGATCCATCTGCTTCGGCCAACCAAAGTGCTGGGATTACAGGCATGAGCCACTGCGCCCAGACAGAAAAAGTTTTAATATTTTAATATGTAGGGTAGTGGCAAGAAACTATGGACATTCCTGGGAGGCCAGAAATGATAGGAAAGCACAAATCCATGAGAGATGCAGACCATATTTACTCGGGAGCTATCTGCTGATTCCTATGGTTCTAGCCCCAGGTTTTAATGAGTCATTCCTATGGGGGACAGGAGATAAAGCCTAGAGTCCAAGCACTGTACGAGGTCAGACTGGAGATCCCTGCAGGAAGGCAGGAGAGCCAAAGAGCAACACCCTCAAGAAGTTCAACTGGGGCCGGGCACGGTGGCTCACGCCTGTAATCCCAGCACTTTGGGAGGGCAAGGCGGGCGGATCACTTGAGATCTGGAGTCCAAGACCAGCCTGGCTAACGTGAGGAAATCCTGTCTCTACTAAAAATACAAAAATTAGG
Organism: Homo sapiens; assembly: GCF_000001405.40. Classification (NCBI taxonomy): domain Eukaryota; kingdom Metazoa; phylum Chordata; class Mammalia; order Primates; family Hominidae; genus Homo; species Homo sapiens. Next base: position 23,963,340 of record NC_000023.11, on the reverse strand, counting down.
CCAGCTACTTGGCAGGCTGAGGCAAGAGAATGGCTTGAAGCTGGGAGGCAGAGGTTGCAGTCAGCCGAGCTCACGCCACTGCACTCCAGCCTGGGCGACAGATTGCGACTCTGTCTCAAAAAAAAAAAAAAAAAAAGAAGTTCAACTGGAAAGAGCCCATCCTGCTGATGGAAGTGGTGGAAATAAACTCCCCGAGAATAGCCAAGCACAAGCAAACTCACACCAGCATCGGACAGACCTCAACCTGAATTTCTGTGGCCCCAAATAAACACTATGCCAAACATAGGGTTCAAAGTGGTCCTTGGTAGAGAAAACCACCAGAAGAAAACAAACAAATTCTTTGGAGGAATGCACTTTACAGACTTAAAAGAACTGCTGTAAAGTTACAAATTCAGGATTAAAAAAAAATCACTAAACCCATGGGGAAACAAGCCATCATTAGTAAGAATAAGCCGAAATATCAATTTCAGAAAAAAGCACACACAAAAACCTATAGTGAGACTTTCAGATATAGAGTATAAAATAATATTTATAGTGTATAAAGAATTAAAGGGGCCAGGTGCAGTAACTCACGCCTGTAATCTCAGAACTTTGGGAGTCCAAGGTGGGTGGATCACAGGAGGCCAGGAGTTTGAGACCAGCTTGGCCAACATGGTAAAACCCTGTCTCTATTAAAAAGTCCAAAAATTTAGCTGGGCGTGGTGGCACATGCCTGTAATCCCAGCTACTTAGGAGGCTGAGGCAGGAGAATCGCTTGAGCCTGGGAGGCAGAGGTTGCAGTGAGACGAGAGTGCATCACTGCACTGCAGACTGGGTGACACAGCAAGACTCTGTCCCTAAAAAAAAAAATTTAAATTAGAAATTCAAAAGATGATATAAACAGCAGATAGAACTGAAGAGAAAATAAGAGAATTAGAAGATAGATGTAAATAAATTATCAATATAGGACAAAAAAGACAGAATTATAAAAAATATTAATTAGGGGTTAAGAGAAATGGAGCATAGTGTGAGAAGGTCCAATATATGTAACAACTAGAGTTTCAGAAGGAAGGAAGAAAGATAATAGAGGACAAGGTAATATTAAAAAGATAATGTTTCAGAAATTATGGGCCAGGCACGGTGGCTCACACCTGTAATCCCAGCACTTTGGGAGGCCAAGGCAGGAAGAGTCCAGGAGCTCAAGACCAGCTGGGCAACATGGCAAAACCCTGTCTCTACAAAAATAGAAAAATTAGCAGGGCATGGTGGCACCTGCCTGTAGTCCCAGCTACTCCAGAGGCTGAGGTGGGAGGATCACCTGAACCCAGGGAGGTTGAGGCTGCAGTGAGCTATGATTGTGCTACCGCACTCCAACCTGGGTGACAGACTGAGACCCTGTCTCAAAAAAAAAAAAAAACAGAAAAAAGAAATTGTGAAAGACACCCATTTTCAGATGCAGAAACCCAAGAAATTCCAAGCAGGATAATTAAAAATAAATTTACACTTAGACACATAGTAATAAAATGTCAGAATATCAAAGACAAGAAGACATTCCAATAATGGTAGCTGTAACACAATGAAATAGGTCCTTTGAAGTGGCAAGAGAAATAACTGTCAACCTGGAATTTTACACCCGGCAAATAAACTTTTATGAATGAGGGTATAATAAAGATATTTTCAACCATAAACAGACATCATTAAAATAACTTTTAAAGAATATATCCAGGCCAGGCGTGGTGGCTCACGCCTGTAATCCCAGAACTTTGGGAGGCCAAGGCAGGTGGATCACCTGAGGTCAGGAGTTCGAGACCAGCCTGGCCAACATGGTGAAACCCCGTCTCTACTAAAACTACAAAAAATTAGCCAGGCATGGTGGCACGCACCTGTAATCCCAGCTACTTGGGAGGCTGAGACAGGAGAATCGCCTGGACCTGGGAGGCAGAGGTTGCAGTGAGCTGAGATCACACCATTGCACTCTAACCTGGGCAACAAGAGCAAAACTCTGTATCGAAACAAACAAACAAACAAACAAACAAACAAAAAAAACGCCAGGCCTGGTGGCTCAAGCCTGTAATCCCAGCACTTTGGGAGGCCGAGATGGGCAGCTCACCTGAGGTTGGGAGTTCGAGACCAGCCTGACCAACATGGAGAAACCCCATCTCTACTAAAAATATAAAATTAGCCAGGCGTGGTGGTGCATGCCTGTAATCCCAGCTACTCGGGAGGCTGAGGCAGGAGAATCGCTTGAAACTGGGAGGCAGAGGTTGCGGTGAGCTGAGATCATGCCATTGCACTCCAGCCTGGGCAACAACAGCAAAACTCTGACTCAAAAAAAAAAAAAAAAGAAAGAAAGAAATAATATATCCCAAAAGGATAAACATGATTCTAGCTGGAACCTCTGGGATGAAAGAATAGTGATCATTGCCAGGCATGGTGGCTCATGCCCGTAATCCCAAGACTTTGTGAGGCCAAGGCAGGCAGATCACCTGAGGTAAGGAGTTCAAGACCAGCCTGGCCAACATGGCAAAACCCCGTCTCTACTAAAAATACAAAAATTAGCCAGCTGTGGTGGCGGGTGCTTGTAATCCTAGCTACTCAAGAGGCTGAGGCAGGAGAATCACTTGAACCTGGGAGGCAGAGGTTGCAGTGAGCTGAGATCGCGGCACCGCACTCCAGCCTGGGTGACAGTGAGACTCCATCTCAAAAAAAAAAAAAAACAAGTGATCAATATTCAACATTGTATTGGAAGTCCTAGCCAGTAAAATAGGCAAGAAAATGAAACAAAGGGCATACAAATCAGAAAAGAAGAAACAAAACCATTTCTATTAACAACCAGTCTATGTAGAAAAACCCAAAGAGTCTACAAAAAAAGCTACTCAAACCAGTAAGTGGGCTAATCAAGGTCACAGGATATAAAGCCAATATACAAATCAATTGTATTTTTGTATACTCGCAATAAACAATTCGAAATTGAAATTTTAAAGCAGTGCCATTTACAGTAGCACCAGAAATATGAAATCTTTAGGCATAATTCCTATAAAATATGTGCAAGGTGTGTGCACGGAAAACTACAAAACATCAATGAAAAAATCAAAGAAGACCTAAATAAATGATATATTGTGCTCCTAAAGTGGAAGACTCACTGTTAAGATGTCTGCGGCAGGCAGCCTTTAAAATGGTCCCCAGTGATCCCTGCCTTCTGATATTCATGCCCTTGTGTAATCCTCTCCCCATAAGGGTGGCCTGGACCTAGTCATGCACTTGTAACGAACGGAATAGGCAAAAATGATGAAATGTCACTTCCTCGATTAGGTTGCAAAGAGTCTATGGCTTTTGCCTTGAGCACTCTTTCACACTCTTGTTCTGAGGAAAGCTAGCTGCCATGTAGTGAGGTGCTTTACAGAGAGGCCCACAAGTCAAGGAACTGAGGGAGGCCTTCAGCCAATAGTCAGCAAGGAACTGAATCTTGCCAACAACCACATGAGTGAGTTTGGAAGCAGAACCTCCCCCAGTTGAGCCTTCATCTCAGCCCTGGCTGACAACTTGATTGCTTGCAACCTTGTGAGAAACCTTGAGACAGAGGCACTGAGCTAAGCTGCACCCAGATTCCTGACGCACAGGATCTGTGAGATAATAAATATTTGATGTTGTAGGCTGCTAAATTTTGGGCTAATTGGTAATGCAGTGATAGATAATACAATGTTGATTCATCCCAAATTGATTAATAGATTCAATGCAACCCTAACCAAAATCCCAGAGAGATTTTTTTGTAGAAATTGTCAAGGTGGCTTTAAAATTTACATGATAAAGCAAAGGAACTAGAATAGTCAAAACAATTTTGAAAAAGAAGAGCAAAGTTAGAGAACTCACAGTACGTGATTTCAAGATGTACTATAAAACTAGAGTAATTAAGACAGTGTGGTACTGGCAAAAGGACAGACCCATAGATCTGGAACAGAGTCCAGACATAGACCCACACATACATGGTCAATTGATTTTTTGGCAAGAATGCAAAGGCAATTTTTTTTTTTTTTTGAGACGGAGTTTCTTGCTGCCCAGGCTGGAGTGCAGTGGCGCAATCTTGGCTCACCGCAACCTCTGCCTCCTGGGTTCAAGTGATTCTCCTGCCTCAGCTTCCTGAGTAGCTGGGATTACAGGCATGTGCTACCATGCTCGGCTAATTTTGTATTTTTAGTAGAGATGGGGTTTCTCTATGTTGGTCAGGCTGGTCTCGAACCCCCAACCTCAGGTGATCCGCCTGCCTCTGCCTCCCAAAGTGCTGGGATTACAGGCATGAGCCACCGTGCCAGGCCCAAGAAGGCAATTTTTAAAAAGATAATCTCTTCAACAAATGTTGCTGGAGCCACTGAACATCACAGGCAAGCCAAAGGACCTTCTTGCATACCTCACATTATGTACAAAACAGAACTAAAAATGGATTATGAACCTAAATATAAAATTTAAAACAATAAAACTTTTAGAAGAAGACACAGAGGAAAATCTTTTTGATCTGGTTAGACAAAGACTTCTTATTTCTGACACTGAAAGGACAATTTGTAAAAAACTGATAAGTTGGACTTCACCAAAACTAAGAACTGCTGCTTTTTGAAAAAACATTATTGAGAAAAGGAAGAAAAAAAAACACATTGGGAGAAAAATATTTGCAAAACGTATCTCTGATAAAGGAATTGTAAGCAGAATACATATAGAATTCTCAAAAGTCATTAATAACACAAACAACTCAGCCAAAAAAACGTGCAAAATATTTAAAGACACTTCACCAAATAAAATATACAAATGGGAAATAAGCGTATGAAAAGATGCTTATCATCCTTAGTCATTAAGGAAATGAATATTAAACCACAGTGAGATACTACTTCATACCTACTAGAATGGCTAAAATATAAAAGATTGACAATATCAAGAGAAATGAAAGTCTACATCCACACAAAGACTGCTCATAAATGCTCAAAATAGTTTTATTTGCAATAGTCAAAAACTGGAAATAACCCAAATGTCCATTGACAGGTGAATGGATAAACAAATTGTGGTATATTGAAACAATGGAATGCAACCTAGATGAACTTTTGATACATGCAACGATATAGATGGGTCTCAAAATAATTATATTGAATGAAAGAAGCCAGGCCCCCCTGCCAAAAAAGCATATGCTAGTTGATTCCACTTACATAGAACTCTCAAAAATGCAAACTATACTGACAGAAAGATGAGTGGTCACTTGGAGATGGGGGCTGGGAAAGACAGAAGAGAGGGACTAAAGAGGCATGAGAAAACGTATGGGGATCATCATCTTGACTGTGGTGATGGTTTCATATGTCAAAACTTATCAAATTGTCCTCATGCAATATGCATAATATACTGTATGTCAATTCTACCTTAACAAAGCAGTTAACTTTGAAAAATTATTTTATAATTTTCACATTGCATTGAGAATATTTTTCCCTGGCCCAATTTTCCAAGGGAAGATGATATCCATAGTCGCACTTGACTAGGCACTCACCATTTATCAATTATCAGAAACAGAAAAACAGGGATTAAAGGATTAAATTATTTTTTCCTTTTTGAAAATTATTATTATTTTTACTTGCATAATTCAGCTTCTTCAATCAATACACTTCAACATTTGGCTGAAATGTGGAGTGTTTTAGTAAAGGCAGGAAGGAAATAAATGAAAGATAAGAAAACATTACATTTAAAATAACTACCATACTGCTTTGTTCATTATCATTGTTGATCTCTTATCTCAGTCTGACCAAAATACTATTAAATATTATTAATTTCGCTAGTGTGGAACTTCAAGTCTGGAGCCAAATGGTAGAAAAAATGGAGTTCTGTCAGAAAAGAAATGTGACTGTAGTTTAGCCCCTGATCCAGCTTTTTTTTTTTTTTTAAGACGGAGTCTTGCTCTGTTGCCCAGGCTGGAGTGCAGTGGTGTGATCTTGGCTCACTGCAACCTCCGCCCCTGTGTTCAAGCAATTCTTCTGCCTCACCCTCCCGAGTAGCTGGGACTACAGGCGCGTGCCACCCATGCCCGCCTAATTTTTTGCAGTTTTAGTAGAGACAGGGTTTCACTGTGTTAGCCAGGATGGTCTTGATCTCCTGAACTCGTGATCTGCCCACCTCGGCCTCCCAAAGTGCTGGGATTTCAGGCGTGAGCCACTGCGCCTGGCCTTTTTTTTTTTTTTTTTTTTTTTTTTTTTGAGACCAAGGCTCACTCTGTTGCCCTAGGCTGGAATGCAGTGGCACAATCTCGGCTCACTGCAACCTCTGCCTCCCGGGTTCAAGCGATTCTCCTGTTTCAGCCTCCAGAGTAGCTGGGGTTACAGGCTCCTGCCATCACAGCCGGCTAATTTTTGTATTTTTAGTAGAGACGGGGTTTCATCATATTGGCCAGGCTGGTCTCGAACTCCTGAGCTCAAGTGATCCGCCCACCTCGGCCTCCCAAAGTGCTGGGATTACAGGCGTGAGTCACCACGCCCCGCCCTGATCCAGCTATTTTTCATGTGTAAAGGCAAACATTTTCAGACATTTCAGGAGTCATGTCCCTTTCTAAAAAGATAATTGGAAGCAATAACATAATGCCATAAGAAATAATCAGAATGAAGCTCTAGATATGAGAAACATTGGTAAGCAATGAATCCAACAAAAGCAATAAATATACATACCGTTTAATATGATTGTGATAAAAAGCAATTTTGGAAAAAAAGTAAGATATAAAAATTAAAACTCGCTGGGCACGGTGGCTCAAGCCTGGAATCCTAGGACTTTGGGAGGCCGAGGCGGGCGTATCACGAGGTCAGGAGACCGAGACCATCCTTGCTAACATGGTGAAACCCCGTCTCTACTAAAATATATGAAAAATTAGCTGGGCGTGGTGGCGGGCGCCTGTAGTCCCAGCTACTTGGGAGGCTGAGGCAGAAGAATGGTGTGAACCCGGGAGGCGGAGCTTGCAGTGAGCCGAGATCGCGCCACTGCACTCCAGCCTGGGCGAAAGAGCGAGACTCCGTCTCAAAAAAAAAAAAAAAAAAAAATTAAAACACAGATATTTCAACAACATATTTGATATATGGGTAGGGTTAAAGTGTGTTAAATTTCTTGATGGGCATTGGGGGGGTGGATGTAGATAATTTTTACTTCTCGTGATTAATTTAAATAGTAAATAGTTTCAAATATGGAATTAAAATTAGAAATTAAGGAAAATAACAGCAGAATACAAATAATATACAAGTCTTACAAATCCTAGAGGAAAAATAGAGATCAATGGAAACTGAATAATCCTAGCAAAAGTCAGAAAAGGAAAAAAGTGAAACACCAAGAACACATAGGGGCCAGGTGCAATGGCTCATGCCTGTAATCCCAGCACTTTGGGAGGCCGAGGCAGAAGGATAGCTTGAGCTCAGGAGTTCAAGACCAGCCTGGGCAACATAGCAAGACCTTGGCTTTACAAAATATCAAAAAAATTAGCTGGGCATGGTGGTGTTACTTTGGAGGCTGAGGTGGGAGGATCACTGGAGCCTGGGAGATCAGGGCTTCAGTGAGCTGTGATTGCGCCACTGCACTCCAGCCTGGGCAACAGAACAAGACCCTGTCTCAAAAAACAACCCCCGCCCATCACCCGCAAAAAAAAAAGAACACACAGGAAGCAGCAAGCACAAAATAATATAAATAAGACCAAAAGTAAGTTGTCACAGTAAACATAATAGGTTAAATTTCTTCTTTAAAAGACAAAAGACTTTCATATTGAGGAAATAAAAACACAGCTATATGCTGTTTATCAAAGACACAAATGACAAGCACATGTTAAAAATAAAATTTGGGGCTGGGCACGGTGGCTCACGCCTGTAATCCCAGCACTTTGGAAGGCCGAGGCAGGTGGATCACCTGAGGTCAGGAGTTTGAGACCAGGCTGGCCAACATGGTGAAACTCCGTCTCTACTAAAAATACAAAAATTAGCCGGGCATCGTGGCAGGAGCCTGTAATCCTAGCTACTTGGGAGGCTGAGGCAGGAGAATTGCTTGAACCTGGGAGGCAGAGGTTGCAGTGAGCCGAGATCGCACCATTGCACTCCAGCCTGGGCGACGGAGCAAGACTCCGTCTAAAAATAAAAAAAATTGGGCAAAGCTATACCAAACAAATTCTGATGAAAAAGAAAGAGTTGTGCAAATTTTAATAATAGGCAAAGCAGAATTCATGGCAGCAAACATTTGATAAGACAAAGATGGATATTTTATAATTATATAATACATAGTTGATGAACCTTTATGTACCCCCAATAGTGGCAAAATACAGACAGAAAAGCAGGTAGAAACACAAAGAACAGTAGAAAAGGCAGAAAAGGTTGTGCCCTGTGAGAGTATTTCCACCCCAATAGGAAGAACAAAATATTCTCCTTTAAGCTTCAAGAATACTGTTTTATAATGATGTGTAATTCACATTTTAACTCACACTAACGTGCTTACTGTCCTAGGACATTATATTTTAAAGAACACCATTTCTAATTTTGAGTTAAATATATTTTTCTCTAATTAGAGAGCTTTGCCCACGTTAGTGAGTTGGGGAAAGGCTCACTGGGCAAGAATACAGTTTGTCCTGTAAGTATACCTGCTTCAGTCTTATTAGTGTGCCAAGTGAGGCGAGATCAAAAAGGATAGCAAAGTACGTGGGCCAGGCCTCTTTTCCTCCCCATCCCACTCCCATTCCTTTGCAGGAATGATAATGAGGCACTGTGATGTGGTGAAAAAAACCAGTAGACTAGAAGTAACTATTCTAGCCCCAGGCAGGCCTTAATAGTTTTATCGCCCTTGGGCACCTCTTATCAGTCTATATACTTTTATCACCTGTAAAGTGACAGCAGCCAAGAATCTAAAACCAATACCTATCGTGCCTTTTCCCTCTCCTGTTATGATCACATAAACTCAGAATTTTAAAAAAAATTTACTTTGAGGCCCGGTGCGGTGGCTCATGCCTGTAATCCTAGTACTTTGGGAGGCTGAGGCAGGCGGATTGCCTGAGCTCAGGAGTTTGAGACCAGCCTGGGCAACACCGTGAAACCCCATCTCTACTAAAATACAAAAAATTAGCCGGGCGTGGCGGCACATCCCAGCTACTCAGGAGGCTGAGGCAGAAGTGCTTGAACCTGGGAGGTGGAGGTTGCAGTGAGCCGAGATCGTGCCACTGCGCTCCAGCCTGGGCGAGACTCCGTCTCCGAAAAAAAAAAATTTTACTTTGAAATAACTATAGACTTATACGAAGTTGCAAAAATAGTCCAAAGTGCCCCATGTGCCCTTCCCGCAGTTTCCCCCAGTGGTGAGATCTTATATAGCCATAGTATATCAAAACCAGGAAACTGATATTGGTAAATTACTGTTAATTATACTATAGACATTCAGTCTTCACCATTCTTAACCTTCTCATAATACAAGTTGGGAAATATTCCCTCCTCTTCAATTTTCTGGAATAGTTTCTGTAAAATTGGTGCTAAAACTCATAGAATTTTAAAACTGAAAGACACCCTCGAAATCACCCAGTACTGACTGGAACCTTGATTTGACTATAAAGACAACAGAGACCCCATTTTTTCTCTCCAGGTAGCCAAAATCAATGGTAGATTTCTATACGTTGGAGGATTAAAAAAGGAATAAAATGACTATTCTTAACACAGTGTACAAAGAAGGCAGTCTGTTCAGAAATAGCTGAAAAGCCATTTCCTAACAAAGTTGACATTCTCTGTCTTCACTGCACTATAAAAACAAGAAACGACAAATGAATTCAAATGTTGAGGAAAGAATGAACCAGAAACAGGGTCTTCTGGTTTTCCCCAGAAGCCTATCCTGAGGCAAGCATTCCACTCTAAGTACAATAATTATTTAGAAGGTGCAAAACCAAAACAAACCAAAAAGAAACCGCCACAGTAGAATGGGGAAGTTACCGGGGAAGTAAGAAAGGCAAGGCAGCCAATAAAGGATGTATTACTAAGTCAGTTACCGCTGTGGGTTCCTGGAACTTACTGGTGCTGGGGACATTCTGAGAACCAGTACAAAACACACACATACACCTCGGTTATTCCACCCAGGGCAGAAAGAGCTGAGATATTTATACATCAACTTCTCTCAGGCATTGAGTGAGAGCAACCAGAGGGGCATTCATTCCCTGGCACTTCCGGCCTGCTTGCATAAGCACCAGTGGCAGTGGGCTCCAGCAACAGGAGAATGCCCTAAACAAAGAAGTCCATGAGCTGGTAAGTTAGAAGTCAAGCTGTGTGCTCGGAAGTGGTAAAGGTGAGAGGATAAAGGCAGCCCACTTACACACAGTATGTGTCACAGCAGGGTAGGAGAATTACCTTAACACATGAGAGAAATTATCTTCCGAAGGAGGATTTCTATGATTTTAGCAGGAAAATGTGAATGTTGTGATTTATTTCAAGATTACTTAAATTATAGAATATTTCTGGGGGTGTGTTTCTCAAAAATATTCCTTTGAGGTTGTGCCTTCAGAAATAATCTGTGAAGACAAAAGGAGAGTGGCAAGGTACAGTCTTTGCATAGAGTATTTCTATCCACTTTAAATTCATGCAAACTTAAATATCGTCATTTTATTCTATTTATTTTAGCATGTTAAAAGAATTACATTAATTTATTTGTGCTAAATGAGAAGGTACCCTCAATGAGAAAAAAAGGTAATGGGTTGCATGCTGAGAATAACCTATGGATTAATATTTAAAGTTTCTCAAGAGATGATGTAATAATAAAATCCCTGGGACAGATAGTATAATGGCATTAGTCATAGATTTCCGGAAATGCTAATCCAACGTCTTTTAACACTGGAGGTGTTTTATTCATAGAAATCTGTAATAATTATTGATCCAAAATATGCTTAGGTTGTATTTGATTCTTTCTTAATAGCCTATGATGGAACTGTATAATTTTTGGTATTTATTTTTTTCACTCTGGTCCATAACCACCATATCTTGATATTTTTCCCTTTTAGAAGTTTCTCATAGCTCTGCAAATGTTGGAGAATTTTGAAGAATATAATTTGACAGGTTAATTTGAATGCTAAAGATTGTCATAATTTAATATTACCAGGGAGAAATGAATATTCACTTTTCCAAAAATATAGAAGGAAATGACTTACTCTTGGAGAACTTTAAAAAATAATATGCATGAATATTTTAAACTTAATGTGATTTCTATGAATCATAGCCAATATAATACTGTAAATTTATAGATCAGGGTTGAAAATTTTTGGACTTTGGACGATCTTCACTCTTTCACATCTTCCTGGTCCAGAAATCTGAGCAACTCACCTTACTTACAAACAAAGACTTAATAGAGGTGAAGTAAGTTTTCATGTTTCTAAAACTTCATTAATTGTATAAACAGTATATACATTCACCAGTACATTATGAAAATAAGCTACAAAACAATTGTAACTTAAGCCACACTTAAAATACTTTAGCCAAATACTGTTTATGAAAAGGAAGCCTTGATGTTTGCTTTCAAGCAAATCAACATTTCTTCAAGTTGTCAATATTATTCTACAAATAATTAGCATTGGTTAGGGAGACTGTGTTATTGGTCCACCATAGGAAAAAGTGATAGAGAGTATCAGGTTATAGAATCTTATTATTCTGTGTCCTTTTCATTTTATTTTATTTTTATTTTTTTTGAGAGAGTCTCACTCTTGTCACCCAGGCTGGAGTGCTGTGGCACGATCTTGGCTCACTGCAACTTCTGCTTCCTGGGTTCAACCAATTTTCCTGCCTCAGCCTCCCAAGCAGCTGGGATTACAAGCACCCGCCACCATGCCTGGCTAATTTTTTTTTTTTTTTTTTTTTTTGTATTTTTAGTAGAGACAAGGTTTCACCATGTTCGCGAGGCTGGTCTCGATCCGCTGACCTCAGGTGATCCGTCCGCCTCGGCCTCCCAAAGTGTTGGGATTACAGGCTTGAGACACTGCACCCAGCCTTCGGTGTCCTTTTTAAACTTAAGGTTCTGATAATTTAGAAATATGTAGTAAAATTTATTCCTCTTCTTTTTAAAAATCCTTGATTGCTGAATTCCTGCAAATTGTTCCTACAAAATTTGTAATCATTGTCAGTGGTGCTTGGTCAATGCACCATTGTTAAAACCAGCCTTGAAAAATAGACAACCTTTTGTATACAAGTGGTTATGCAGTTAATAATTTCTTCAGAAAGGCACTGCTACACTATTTCTGTGCTATTATGAGGAGTCTCTTTGTCAGTTAATATGTATTTCACCCACACATTTTTTGAGCTATCTCCTGAGTTGATGACCAAGCTAATGGCATAGAGTAAACCGTAACAATTTGTCCCCCGAGAAGATCCTGTCAAGTTGCCTAAAATGATAAATGTCCTTAATAATTACTTCATATTTTTATCCTATTCAGGCATGTAGTAGATATTCAACATATATTTACTGAATTGGTATTTTTGTTGTTGTCACTGTTTTTAATAATAAAGAATTAGTCTCTTAAGGCCAGACACAGTGGCTCACACCTATAATCCCAATACCTTGGGAGGCTGAGGTGGCCCGATCGCTTGAGCTCAGGAGTTCAAGACCAGCCTGGGCAACATGGTGAAACCCTGCCTCTACGAAAAATACAAACATCAGCCGGGCATGGTGGCACAGCCTGTAGTTCCAGCTACTCGGGAGGCTGAGGTGGGAGGATTGCTTGAGCCTGAGAGGTGGAGGTTGCAGTGAGCCGAGATCATGCCACTGCACTCCAGCCTGGGCGACAGAGTGAGAACTTGTCTCAAAAAAAAAAAAAAAAAAGGAAGAAGAAGAAAAGAATGATTCTCTAGATCCAATTTACAGGAAATACAGAGGACAGAGTTACGTGTTAGCTACACCAAGGAATTCAATCAGCAAAGTCTAGATCATGGGAAATGTTACAGAATGAATGATCCAGTTTAATTAACAAATTGTAATGGGGGAGAAAAAAAGAGGTGGATAGGGAACCTACAGATTAAAAAGAAATAAAAACCATATAAAAAAAGAGGCAAAATTAAACTACATTGTGTATGGGTGCATGCTTAGGTGAGGAAACTATAAAAGAATGAGGTGATTACCATAAAAGCCAGGAGAATAGTTACTCTTAAGAGACGAGGTGCAGGGCCAGGTAGAGGGTTTCTGGGGTGGTCAGGTATGACTCTTTCTTCTGACGTGGATGGTAGTTACTAAGGTGTCTTGCCTTACAATAATGCATTCAACTGTAAAATCATTTTATATGATTTTCTATAGATGTGTTATACTTTTAAAAGTTTAATACACAACAAGAAATATATACATATATATGTTTTCAAATTACCAACATGACGTCACAACAGTTGGCAAGAGATGTCTAGTAGCACATCACTCTACAGCATTTCCACCATACAGATACAATAGATATAAATAGAATCGGCCGGGCACAGTGGCTCACACCTGTAATTCCAGCACTTTGGGAGGCCGAGGCAGGCACATCACAAGGTCAGGAGTTCGAGACCAGCCTGGCCGATATAGTGAAACTCCGTCTCTGCTAAAAATACAAAAATTAGCCGGGCGTGGTGGTGGGTGCCTGTAGTCCTAGCTTTTCAGGAGGCTGAGGCAGGAGAATCGCTTGAACCCGAGAGGGGGAGGTTGCAGTGAGGCGAGATCACACCATTGCACTCCAGCCTGGGCAACAAGAGCGAAACTCCATCTCAAAAAAAAAATAGAATCAAGAACTCATATCATAGAATGTAAAATGTAGAATCATTAGAATGATTCTCCTTAAATAATAATTAAAATAATTAGAAGCGATACTTTTTGAGAAGTTTTACCTGTGATTTTAATACAGGTTACCTAAGTAAACTATACAATTACGAGTTTATACAATTCATTTTTTTTTCTTTTTGAGACAGTGTCTGGCTCTGTCACTCAAGCTGGAGTGCAGTGGCACGATCTCAGCTTACTGCAGCCTCTGCCTCCCAGGCTCAAGCGATCCTCCGACTTCAGCCTCCCACGCAGCTGGGACTACAGGCATGTGCCACCATGCCCAGCTAATTTAAAAAAAAATTTTTGTAGAGATGGAGTTTTGCCATGTTGCCCAGGCTGGTCTCAAACTCCTGTGCTCAAGTGATCCACCTGTCTCGGCCTCCCAAAGCACTGGGATTACAGGCATGAGCCACTGTGCCTGACTACAGTTTAATTTTTAATAATGGCTATACTTACCAACCAGCTCACAAAATTCCTGAAAATTTAACAATGAATGTTAAAAATTTAACAACAGCAAGCTAAGTATGAGCCACTTTAGCACGCTCTTGTATTCATCCTAACAATTCCCCGACTTTCTTGTGTTTTTTAAATTTAGTTTTTAAAATCAAATGCATACTTGCAGTTTTAAAAATCAAATAGTTCTCCATTTTCTGATCCTCAGAGGCAACAGTTTCAAATATTTTATCTGATTCTTTTGGTATTGACCTCCATCTCTCAAAATTAGATACTTCTTGATTTTTCAGTTTTGGACATGGCTATAGACTGAATGATTGTGTTCCCACCCCCACCCCAATTCATATGTTGAAATTCTAACCTCCAGTGTGATGGTAGAGATGGGGCCTTTGGAAAGTGATTTAGGTCACTAGGGTAGCACTCTCATGAATGGGATTAGTGCCCTCATAAGAGACCCCACTTGCCCTTTTCTGTCATGGGAAAAGACAGCCACCTATGAGCCAGGAAGCAAGCCCTCACCAGACTCTGAATCTGCCAGTGCCTTGATTTTGGACTTCTCAGCCTCCAGAATTGTGAGAAGTTTCTGTTGTTTATAAACTGCCCCGTTTATGGTAGTCTGTTATAGCAGCCTAAACAGACTAAGACAGACATCATTTACTGACTTTACATTATGAGACGTAAGGATTAAATTCTCTCTCATTCCCTACCCAGCTACACACATACACATTTCCTATCCCTCCAGGTTTCACATATGGTTATATTCTAATTTTAGTTAGATCAGTAAAGGAAAATGCTATTTACTGTTCAAATGTGTAATATACTATGATTATTCTTCCTTTCCAACTTTTTGGTTTTTTTCTGAAGCTAATAACTGTTCTGGGTTTTTTTTTTTTCTCATTTTTTCCCATTTGTTTGGTTTCCTAAGTCCATATCCTCAGACTTTCTCTCACTCGGGTAAATCTTTCATATTCAAACATACTAGGTTTATGAGTTCATCTACCTAAAAAGTCTCTTCTGGAACCATCTGGTCTGCTCCAATCTGGATTTGTTTCTCTAAGTCTGCTCAATGGCTGCTGTTTGGAGACTTTCTCATCAGGGATTCCCTTTACCTCTCTTACGTTGCATCCCCTGTTTCTTGGATCCCATATTCACCTTCTTTCCTTGCTTATACTTTTGTATTGGTGAAATAACATCCTCTAAAGTTTCTTTTTTTTTTTTTTTTTGAGACGGAGTCTTGCTCTGTTGCCCAGGCTGGAGTGCAGTGGCTCGATCTCGGCTCGCTGCATGCTCTGCCTCCCAGGCTCACGCCATTCTCCTGCCTCAGCCTCCGGAGTAGCTGGGACTACAGGCGCCCGCTACCACGCCCAGAGAATTTTTTGTATTTTTAGTGGAGACGGGGTTTCACCGTGTTAGCCAGGATGGTCTCGATCTCCTGACCTCGTGATCCACCTGCCTCGGCCTCCCAAAGTGCTGGGATTACAGGCGTGAGCCACCGCGCCCGGCCTTAAAGTTTCTTGAGAAATGCATATGGGAGGTAAAAATTCCTGTAATCTTGAATATCTGAAAATGTCCTTATTCTGCCCTCAAACTCAATTGAGAGTTTGCCTGGTTTTAGAATTCTGGGTAGGAAATTATTTTCCTCAGAATTATAAAAACATTGATTGCTTCAGTGTTGCTGTTGAGAAGTCTGATCTTGATTCTATATGTAAAATCAGTTTCTCCTCTCTGGAAATTTATGGGACCATTTATTTGTCTTTGTCCCCAGTATTTAAAAATATTACAATGAAACCTTGTGGTTTTGATTTACTCCTGGAAGAGTTTGTTAACTTTATTTTATATATTTTTTTGAGATAGGGTCTTGCTCTGTTGCCCAGGCTGGAGTGCAGTGGTGCAATCTCAGCTCACTGCAACCTCCGCCTCCTGAGCTTAAGCAATCCTCCCACCTCAGCCTCCTGAGTTGCTGGGACCACAGGTGTGTGCCACCACATCTGGCTAATTTTCATAATTAAAAATTAAATATAAAATTAAATTAAACACAGTTTTGCCATGTTGCCTAGGCTGGTCTCGAACCCGGGCTGAAGTGATCCACCTGCCTCGGCCTCCCAAAGTGCTGGGATGACAAGTATGAGCCACCGTGCCCGGCCTTGACTTCCTTAACTTTAAATTCAAACCTTTGAGGCTTTAAAATGCAAAACGATTAGAATCTTCATACACACACATACATATAACCATGCTGTTCTTTTTTCTTTTCTTTTCTTTTCTTTTTTGAGATGGAGTTTTGCTGGTTGACCAGGCTGGAGTGCAATGGAGTGATCTCAGCTCACCGCAACCACCACCTCCCGGGTTCAAGTGATTCTCCTGCCTCAGCCTCCCGAGTAGCTGGGATTACAGGCATGCACCACCATGCCCAGCTAATTTTGTGTTTCTAGTAGAGACGGGGTTTCTCCGTGTTCGTCAGGCTGGTCTCGAACTCCCAACCTCAGGTGATCCACCCGCCTTGGCCTCCCAAAGTGCTGGGATTACAAGTGTGAGCCACCGCGCCTGGCCAACCATGCTGTTCTTATTTCATGAATGCAGTATATTTTCTTATATCTTATTAGTGGTCTGTTTTTTTTTTTTTTTTTGAGGTTTCTATATTTGGATCATTTATTTCCTTCAAGTTTTCTCCTCTGTTTGCTCCTCTGTCTTTCATGCTACAAGCTTTCTTCAGATGTCCAGTGATGGGTGGTTGTCTGTGCTTATTTCTTATTATTTTATTTATTTTTTTGAGATGGAGTCTCACTCTGTCACCCAGGCTGGAGTGCAGTGGCATGATCTCAGCTCACTGCAACCTCCATCTCCCAGGTTCAAGTGATTCTTGTGCCTCAGCCTCCCGAGTAGCTGGGACTACAGGCACGTGCCACCACATCTGGCTAATTTTTTGAATTTTTAGTAGAGACGGGGTTTTACCATGTTGGCCAGGTTGGTCTTGAACTCCTGACCTCAGGTGATCCACCCACCTCGGCCTCCCAAAGTGCTGGGATTACTGGTGTGAGCCACCATGCCCGGCCATCTGTGCTTATTTATGAGTGGGGCGCCAAAAAAACAAGATTGGAGGCTCTGTGTAGTTGGGTGGAACTAGGGGGCTATAAGCTTCCCTGCCTAGTTGGGCCATTAGTTGTAAGACTCCCTTCATACCAGTATTTTGAAGTCTTTTCCCTTGTTGGCCAGACTCTCCAGAGAAGTCTCTTCTAAATTTCATGGAGGGTGTAACCCTAACGGCCAGCATTTTGAGTGCCTGGTGGGAGAAGAAGGCAGGAGTCTCAACATTCAATATGTCAACTTTTGCTTAACCCCTGTTCTCAGGACAGTACCTTGGCCCCTAGCTGTCCCTTATGTTTTCCAGTTCAGAGAACTTTTGTTTTGCTCTCTCTAGACAAAAAAAAAGTCTCCGGTTTTGGCCCGAGTGAAGGAGAAGCAGTTGCCTGACTGCAAGGTGGTTATATTAGTCTCCTAGGTATTTGCAGTAACAAAATACTCCAAAGTGGATGACTTAACACAATAGAAATTCATTGTCTCACAGTTCTGGAGGCTAGAAGTCCAAGATCAAGGTGTCTGCAGGGCCATGCTCCCCCTGAAACCTGCAAAGGAGACTCTTTCCCTGCCTCTGTGTAGTTTGTGGTGGTTTGCTGGCAATCTTTGACATCCCTTGGCTTGCAGCTGCATGACTTCAGTCTCTTCATCATTACATGGTGTTCTCCCTGTGGGTCTTTGTTTTTACATGGCTGTCTTCTTATAAGGACAACAGTCATATTGGATTAGGGGCCCAGCGTATTCTAGTATGACCTCATCTTAATGAATTACATCTGCAACAACCCTATCTCCAAATAAGGTCACATTCTAAAGTACTGGGGGTTAGGACTTCAACATATTTTTTCAGAAGAGGGTTGGGGGGATGAGAGGTGGCGGGGTAGTCACAATTCAACCCATAACAGTGGGGAAGGGATTTGGTGCTGTAACTGCTTCTTAAACAGATTTTCAACCAACTCCTTCTACTTCACCCCTCACTTCCAAAGGTTACCTGCTGTTGCCAATTCCTGAGTCTTCTAGGGGGTTCCCCCAGTGTAAACTGATTTGTTTCTTAGCTTTTTTTCAACACCAGTTTAAAACTCAGTTTTCTCAGATCTGCTATTCAACCAGCACTCATTTGTAAGCTTTCTAACTGACAAAATGTTGCTACTGTTTTCTCTGATTTCTCTTTATCATCAAGGTTTAGGCTCTAAAAAAAAATCTCCTTACTGTTATTGCAGTGGGGTTTGAAGGGGGAAAGAGACTTCGATGCTCAAGCCAGCATTTTTAGCCAGAAGTTCTCCTACATGTATCTTCCTTCTCTCCCTCTCAAATGGCACCTTCTTTCTTAATTCTCTCACATTTCAAACCACAACAAAACGTTTAAGGAAAAAATTTTCTCTAATCTCTAAATATGTAAATAATGGAGGGGTTGAGGGAGAGATGACGATAGGGAGAAAGAGAACCAAATTTGGCAGATTCAAAGCCCATACTCTATCATAGCACTCTGCCTCCATGAAGTATAAACAAACATCAGTATCATACCACTCAAAGAGCAAACGGCTGAAAAGCAATATGACAATGCATATAAACAGCTATAAAAATGTTTAAAGTCTCTGATGTAAGTAGTGCCACTCTCAAGATTTTAGCCTAAGGCTATAATTCAACATAATGAAGTGACAACATGGACTCTGGCTTATGAGAAATCAGTAGACCAAATATCCTGAAAAAAACTAACCCATTGTAAAAACCATAGAAATTCTAGATAAAATGCAAAAACATCTTTTAAAAGGCATAACTGAGCTTGTAAGAAGGAAAAATCCTCAGGAGTGAAAAATAAAGAGAAAGCTACACACTAGCATGGTAAATGACTGAAGCCCTGAGCATGTGTGTCAACACCAGGGACCTGAAGTTTCGGGTTTTTTTTTTTTTAATGCAGTTTCTCTCCTGTTGCCCAGGCTGTGCAATGGCACAATCTCGGCTCACTGCAAACTCTGCCTCCTGGGTTCAAGCGATTCTCCCGCCTCAGCCTCCTGAGTAGGTGGGATTACAGGTGCTCGCCACCACGCCTGGCTAATTTTTGTATTTTAGTAGAGACGGGGTTTCACCATGTTGGTTAGGCTGGTCTCAAACTCCTGACCTCAGGTGATCCACCCGCCTCAGCCTCCCAAAGTGCTGGGATTACAGGCATGAGCCACCACTGCGCCCGGCCGAGTTTTGGATTTTAATGACCTCAGGTGTGTAGAAGACAAGCTCTTGTGCTCAGGGAAGGTAGGGGGTTGAAAATGAGACCTCTACGTAAAGTCAGACACTCAAAGGACAGTAAGGTAAAAAGCAATGGAAATAGAGAAAGCACATGGGAGGGTAAATCTTCTTCACTATAACTGAGAAACACAAAATACAAAGAGAACATCTTCAAAGTTGTCAGAGAAAAAAAAGAGATCATTTAAAAGGAATAACAATTAGACTGGAGGCAGCAGCCAGAAGACAGTGGAACAAGACTTTGCGTTGCTAAGAGAAAACCATAGCCAATGTAGAATTTGATACCTACCTAAATTACATATTTAAGAATAGGGGCAAAATGAGGACATTTTCAGAAAATCAAAAACTGAAAGAGTAATTATTACCAAAAGATGCTCCTTAAAGGAGCTTTTAAGAATATACATCAGGATAAAGAAAAATGATCTCAGAAGGAAAGTCTGAGATTAACAATAATAATATCTAAGTTGGAAGTTAAAAACAAGATAGTGCTAAAATATTAGATATAGCAATAACCTGTAAGACAAAAGGATGGTGATTAGCATTCTTAGTTTGGGAGGAGAGTGGAGCTATTGATTAACTTTAGATTTTAAGTACGCGTGCCATAATTTACACATAATCAGTAAGAATAAAAACAGAGTCGGCCAGGCGCGATGGCTCATGCCTGTAATCCTGGCACTTTGGGAGGTTGAGGCAGGAGGATCGCTTGAGGCCAGGAGATCGAGACCAGCCTGGCCAACATGGTGAAACCCTGCCTCCACTAAAAATATTTTTAAAAATTAGCTGTGCATGGTGGCACATGCCTGTGATCCCAGCTACTCCGGAGGCTAGGAAGGAGAATTGCTCGAACCTGGGAGGCGGAGGTTGCAGTGAGCTGAGATCGAGCCACTACACTCCAGCCTGGGTGACAAAGAGAGACTCCATCTCAAAAACAACAACAACAAACCCAGAGTGTATAACTTCCAAAATAGTAGGGGGAAAAATGTAGAATTGAAATCTGAAAGAAAACAGGAATGGCAGGGGAAAGACAAAGAAAATGCAGGAGAGATAGCACAAAATAAAATGGTAAAAATAATTCCAAATATGTTAGCAATTAATTAAAATTGCAATAAAGTGTAAATGAATTAAACTCACCAGTTAAAGATGTCCTGGGATTGAATTAAAACAAAAACAATCTAGATATTTGCAGTATCCTAGAGAAAACCTAAAACACAAAGACAGTGTATTTGACATTATATCAGAATGATTAATGTTATCTGTTGTAGCAAATAACTCCTAGGATTATTGGGACTTAACACACAAAGTTTATTTCTCACTCACATTACAGTTCAGCAAGTCAGGCTGCTGCTCTGGCTGTCTCTCCTTCAGTGACAGGAATCCGGAATCCTTCAATCCTGCTTCTACCACCATGGAGTTCTTTGCCTCCAGCCACAGGAACGAGAGGGAGGGGAGAGGGAGAATAGAAGACCACGTTTATTTTAGGGGCCAAGGCTAGAAGTGGTATACATCACTTCTGCTCACATTCCTCTAGCCAGAAGTCAGTTCACAGGGTCCCAACATAGCTGCAAAAAATGTTGGGAAATGTGTTCTCAGGAAGAGAAAATGAAGTCAGTGAGCATCTAGCCAGTCTCTGATACATGAAAAGGTTGAACATTTTAAAAGATGGAAAGGGATATGCCAGGCAGACACTAACCAGAAGAACGCTAGAGTAGCTCTGTTCACATGAGACAAAATAGTCTTCCAGCCGGGCGTGGTGGCTCACGCCTGTAATCCCAGCACTCTGGGAGGCTGAGGCAGGTGGATCACCTGAGGTCAGGAGTTCGAGACCAGCCTGGCCAAAATGGTGAAACCCTGCCTCTACTAAAAATATTTTGAAAAATTAGCTGGGTATGGTGGCGCATGCCTGTGATCCCGGCTACTCGGGAGGCTAGCAAGGAGAATCGCTCGAACCCAGGAGGCGGAGGTTGCAGTGAGCTGAGATTGAGCCACTGCTCTCCAGCCTGGGTGACAGAGCAAGACTCCATCTCAAAAAAAAAAAAAAAAAAAAAAAAAAAAAAACAGTCTTCCAAGCAAAATGCATTATTAGGAATAAAGGGACCAGGAGTGGTGGCTCATGCCTATAATTCCAGCACTTTGGGAAGCTGAGGTGGGAGGATCACTTGAGCCACCTCGTCTAGCCGGATGCACATTTTTTCTTAAGAGTACAAGAAACATTTATGAAAATGGACAATGTACTTGGCTATAAAGCAAGTATCAACAAGTTTCCCAGAATCAGTATCATACAAATCATACTCTCCGATTATAGTGCAATTAGGCTAAAAATAAATAACAGAAAAATAACCAAAAGAAGACTATGTATGAAAATGTTCATTCTAATGTTAATTACCTATAGTAGTAAAAAATTAGAAACAACTGAAATATCCAATGATATGAGTATGGCTAGATAAATTATGCTTTATCAATTCAATGGGCTATTGTATACCCATTAAATTATTTTTAAGTGGATCATGTTTAAGATATAAGCGAAAAGTGACCGGGCATGGTGTCTCACCCCTGTAATCCAAGCACTTTGGGAGGCCAAGGCGGGTGATCACCTGAGGTCGGGAGTTCGAGACCAGCCTGACCAACATGGAGAAACCCTGTCTCTACTAAAAATACAAAATTAGCCAGGCGGGTGGCGCATGCCTGTAATCCCAGCTGCTCAGGAGGCTGAGGCAGGAGAATCGCTTGAACTCAGTAGGCGGAGGTTGCAGTGAGCTGTGATCGCACCATTGCACTCCAGCCTGGGCAACAAGAGCATAGCTCCGTCTCAAAAAAAAAAAAACAAACAAAAAAAACATATGTGAAAAGTTTAAATCTATATGTTAGCTATTATTACAACTATGTGAAAAATATGTGTGCATTTAGACAGATTAGAAAGGTATAAGCAAATGAAAACAGTTGTTATATTATGGTGATGGGATTATGTGTAATTTTACTTTTAAAAGGATTTTCGGTGATGTGGTTATATTATTTAATGTGAGTTAAAAGAATTGATAGAAGACATGATCTCTGGGAGCAGAAGCTAGTTGTGCCTTAATATCCACTACCATTTCTTTTATGACAACAGAATTTTAGTTGGGTACATAAATGCCCCAAACAAAAATACATTTCCCAGCCTCTCTTGGAGCTAGGTGTTACGATGAGACAAAGTTATAGCTAATGAAATATGAGAAATGGGAATCCTGAAACATAAAGAGTATGTCCTTCCTTTGTCTTTTCCCTCCATCTTGCTACCTAAAATCTTCCTTTGTTATTACACACACTATAGATAGAGTCTGATATGCATTTGATCAGATGAGAGACTACATCCCAAATTAATGCATGAAAACATGTGTGACTCATGAGGACAAATAGCTGTTTTTCCATTCAACCAGTGTCCAGTACAAGCTCTGAAAACAAGGGGCTTATCATTCCATTTTTGAATATCAAATGACAATGCATTAATATCAAAGAGTGAACATTTATGTTAAATATATTCCAGTGAGAATCATACACATTTACTCCAATATTCTTCATCATGTAAGAGAATATTTTAGCAGAGAATGAGATCCTTTTATAGGTTGCCATGCCTGAATTAGATCAGCAATCAACCTACACGTTTTAAATGTTAAGTAAAATTAAAAATTGGATCTTTAAAGTTCAATAAATTATTGCAGTTTAATTATCATAGCCTCTGTGTAAAGTTTGATATAATCCAACAGCCTGGATCACAAAAGAAATCAATAATTTATACCATATTAGGAATGACAATTTATCAATTGAAAATGAAATTGATAAATATTACTCCAAATAGACTTCATACTTGAAAAATATCCAAAATAGATTAAAGCAGACGCAACATTCTGTCTCAGGTGCTTCCAATGCTCAATAGTGATTAGTTATGCCATGTCATGCCTCCTGTAGCAATAAATCCATTATTACTTTTATTATCATTCAGAATAGGTCATTCACAAGCTGTTCTGTAAAAATGAATTTCAACTTTAAAAAAGACACTAGAAGCTGACTCAAAAGGAGCCTTTCATTCTGTGAATTCTAATATTTATGCTAAGTATGGCCTGTTCAGATATTTGTTTAAATGAAGGAAAATCAAAATCGAATAAAAGTCCCAGGGACTAATCTCTTAAACAAAACTGTATACTGCTAGTTCAAGGGCATCTAATAGAAAAAATTTGTTTAGATTAAAATTCTGTCAGTAAAAGAATTTGTTCCTATGGCAATTCAAAAAGGCTTAAAATATGTCACACATTTAGTTAAGAGAGCATACTCAGGACTTATTCTATGTTATTTTCCTTTATTACACATACTCATTATTTATAGACAGACAAGCAGATTGTTAAACAACTTTGGTTTTCTGTCAATTAACTGTTCATTATCATGATGGAGAATCACCAGCTGCCAAGTTTTGATACCAGGAAAATGAGTCCTTTTTTCTTTTTCCAGCTGACACTCTGACATAGATTCCTTAGTTTTCACAATGTCAAAAGATGGAGTGGAGATGATAGTTATCCTTTGTACCTGATGGGCCCGTTTTTGGTTCCTAGGCAGAATTATCAATAAAAGTAGGAAGTGTTATATATTTGGTTTTTACTACTTTATATTTTAATGTTTGACTATATTTATCCTCATCTCAAAATATTCACAGCGATTTTTTAAATTACAAAGTAATAACATGAATACATGTCTGTTGTAAATTCCTATGATGTAAAAGTATACTGAGGCAGACTTTATAAAGCATAGTTCTTAATAAGTTTAGATAGAAATGACTTCCATTTTGAAAAAACCACCATCAGAGATGTGCTGAATCAACAGTGTCAACATACAGAGAAAATAATTTTTTTGCCAACTCATGCTGATATGGAGCCAAAACAGCTGGTTTTTATCAGAATTGCCACCAATATTAAGAATTTTTTAAAAAATGTTACCAAGATGAAATTCACTTTATACTACCTATGATAAATGTGTCAAATGTGTTTCAGCCTTGAACTTTAGATTAGGAAAATTTCATTTACGTAAGTACAGCTACTTTACAGACAGTTTGAATATTGTCCAAAACAATGAATTCAGTACAAGTTAAACTTACAGTCACCTCAGAAGTATTTTTTTCTTTAGCCAAATAAACTTTTCTCATTTTTTCAACTTTCATTTGAGCTTGCTTGGATCGACGACCCAGAAATTTAACTTGATTTTGCTGTTTGTAGGGCCGATATAGAGGTTGGACAGTTAAGTATGGACCCCTAGAAAATGTTTGTATTAAAAACAGAAAAATCACACAGAATAAAATATAAATGCAAAGCAAGTTCCAAATTTCATTAAAGCTTTCTCTAGCAAATATATCACAGACCTTAGCAACATTGGAGCAGCATTTCATGTAAGCTTTTAGGTTAAAGTTATCATTTCTGCTTGAGTTTACATAGCACAGTTCTTTATCTGGCACTTATGAAGGTGTACAGGTGATGATATTGACAGCAAAGATGATAAAAATTATAAAACCTGTTATCAATTTAAAATTAGCTTTCCTAGAAAATACTGTGTAGTAGCCATTTGAATCTTATTTTTTTACACCATATACTAACACAAAAAAGTATTACATTTCGTCCAGGCGCAGTGGCTCATGCCCGTAATCTCAGCACTTTGGGAGGCCGAGGCAAGCGGATCACCTGAGGTCAGGAGTTCCAGACCAGCCTGGCCAACATGGTGAAACCGTCTCTACTAAAAAAAAATACAAAAATTAGCTGGGTGTGGTGGCGGGTGCCTGTAATCCCAGCTACTCGGGAGGCTGAGGCAGGAGAATTGCTTGAACCCAGGAGGCGGACTTTGCAGTGAGCCAAGATTGTGCCACTGCACTCCAGCCTGGGCAACAGAGCGAGACTCCAGCTCAAAAAAAAAAAAAATTACATTTCATAATGGTTGGAAAAACAAGCTGTTTTTAATCAGTGCTGGGATCAGATGCTATGTCCATAATCCCCTTGTCCTTACCATTATAAGGAACATAGACTCAACTTTCAATGCCAGCATCTGCATCACTCAGTTTGAAAATTTTCTTTGAAAAGAAAAGCCTGCCAGCACGGTGGCTTACACCTGTAATCCCAGCACTTTGGGAGGCCAAGGCGGGTGGATCACCTGAGGTCTGGAGTTCGAGACCAGCCTGACCAGCATGGAGAAACCCTGTCTCTATTAAAAATACAAAATTAGCCAGGCGTGGTGGCACATGCCTGTAATCCCAGCTACTCAGGAAGGCTGAGGCAGGAGAATCGCTTGAACCAGGAAGGTGGAGGTTGTGGGGAGCCGAGATTGTGCCATTGTACTCCAGCCTGGGTGACAAGAGTGAAACTCGGTCTCAAAAAAAAAAAAAAAGAAAAGAAAAAAAAGAAAAGAAAAGCAAGCCCATGTGCAGGGGAGGTCAAAAGTGCCCGAGAATTAATATGTCCCTTCCTAAGCAACCCTTAACCAATGACTGATGGGTGTTGATGTATCAATACTGTAATTCCCCTGCCCCCTGTGGGATAATTCTGAGTTGCATGTTCTACATTGACTCTGACATTCCCGGGGGAGATTAAGCTCCAGTTACCCACAGTGGTAACTTGCTTGCTAACACACACTGTTTTGGCTGCCTTCCACTTTTTTACCCTCTCCCTTCAGTTGTTCCTGGGATCACCTCCTAAATCTCTGTCTCAGGGTTTGCTTCTGGGAGATGCTAAACTACAACTGCATTCAAAGATGGCTTTATGAAAGTATTTTTTCTCTTCAATTGATTAATAATTTGGCTAATTATTTGGCTCTTAAATTACTTATTCTTGGATACTCAGTAGGATAAATCCAAATAGCAGGGAGATCAGGATTATATATGGTGGCAGAGAAAATTACATCATTTATTTGACCTTGGTGGTAATAGGGTTAAATTCTATATTCAGTGCTCATATGGATGAGTTAGAGAAAATCTATTTCATGACAGACTGTGCCCTAAACCAGGCCATCTGTCTGGCAAATGTATAGCCTTGATCATAAAATATATGGGTTAAATTATGTTATTGGGTCAGAATCACTCATCTCTACTCCTGAAAAAAAATCCCCAGCATGTTTGCTTGACAGTGGGTCATCAGTGTCTTCTTCATGTACAAAGGGAGTATTTTTCATTTCAATTATAAGAGTGTGAAAATAGATTACCAGTAGGTCCTCTTACATATTATTATCTCTTTCTTCTTTTAAGAAAGCAGCTTAATTTGTAAATAAGATGGGCTAAGTGAGGCTTAGTAATGGAAAGAGAAAAGGAATATAATTGGAGTTGTTATATTCTGTCCATGTTGTTTCAGATCATAATACATCTATTTTGCTACAACATCCATTTCTACAATGTGAACTGGCTCACATACTATTGGTAAAAAGGGGAATGACGTCACTCTAATTTATATGCAATTTATCTCAGGCAAGGGGAGCCAGAGTAGCAAGAATAGAATTATAACCTTCAGCAAAAAAGGAAAAAGCCCTCAGTTCTGTGCTGCATGGGCAAGGGGAGCCCTTTTGACTGTATTCATGAAAACAAAAATGAGCACCTGCATCAAGTGCTGTCTTCCCAGAGAGGCACACCCCACCCCCAACTCACCCTCACTGCCCTCCACCCTACTCCTCCCCTACCCCCACTCCAGCCTTGGATGGCTCCTGGTTCTCGGCAGATCGCACTGCCTCTCATGTCCACTTAAAAGGCAACCATGCGGCCGGGCATGGTGGCTCACACTTGTAATCCCAGCACTTTGGGAGGCTGAGGTGGCCGGATCACAAGGTCAGGAGTTTGAGACCAGCCTGGCCAATATGGTGAAACTCATTCTCTACTAAAAATACAAAAATTAGCCGGGCATGGTGGTGGGCACCTGTAATCCCAGCTACTCAGGAGGCTGAGGCAGGAGAATCGCTTGAACCCGGGAGGCAGAGGTTGCAGTGAGCCTAGATTGCGCCATTGCACTCCAGCCTGGGCAACAGAGTGAGACTCCGTCTCAAAAAAAAAAAAGGCAACTACGCTGGCCTGGGGTCCCACTTCCATGTGCACTGTCTCCATGCCCACTAACTGCTCTAATGAAAGAGTTGCCAGCATCTCCACTCTATGGTTGTTCATTTTTTTATATTTTCTGTGGCAGCCTCCAGCTACACTGAGCTGCCTGTCTGGTGGTACAAGTTAACTCCCCAAGTACCAATTGTCCTTTTTGTTAGTGCTCTGTTTACAAAATTGCATACGTTTTGAGCAATCTGCCCCAACCCTATTTTCCCCATATATCCTCTTATCTTTAGTGAGCTATCTGGCAGAATGTGAACATTTTCAGATATGCCCCTAGTATTGTAACCCCAGTGAAGAATCTGTTTTACCTAATTTCAGAAACAATCCGTAGCTGGTGCTTATGGATCTCTTGCGTTACTGGTCTCTGTAACAGAAACTTCATTTCATTTCGTAGACGGTTTGAGATCACTCCAGACTCTGAATAATGAACTATGTCATACATTAGCATTGTCCTGGGAATATTTTCAAGATTTAATTTGCGCCAGCTGTTATTTCTGCCGCCAGAAAATGCAGGGGCCTCATCGAAAAAACTGCGATACTGTAGGGAAAAAACAAGAACGATTAAGTTGGCCAGGTGCGGTGGCTCATACCTATAATCCCAGAACTTTGGGAGGCTGATGCGGGTGGATCACCTGAGGTCAGGAGTTCGTAGACCAGCCTGGCCAACATGGTGAAAACCCATCTCTACTAAAAATACAAAAATTAGCCAGGCGTGGTGGCTTGTGCCTGTGGTTCCAGCTACTCGGGAGGCTCAGGCAGGAGAATTGCTTGAACTCGGGAGGCGGAGGTTGCGGTGAGCCAAGATCGCGCCACTGCACTCCAGCCTGGGTGACAGAGTGACTCCATCTCAAAGAGAAAAAAAAAGAAAAGAAAAGAAAAAGAGAAAAAAAACAATTAAGACTGATTAGTTGGCCAGGTGCGGTGGCTCACACCTGTAAGCCCAGCACTTTGGGAGCCTGAGGCAGGTGGGTCACTTGAGGTCGGGAGTTCGAGACCAGCCTGGCCAACATGGTGAAACCTGATAGCATTAGGAGACATACCTAATGTAAATGACGAGTTAATGGGTGCAGCACACCAACACGGCACATGTATACATATGTAACAAACCTGCACGTTGTGCACATGTACCCTAGAACTTAAAGTATAATAATAAAAAAATACAAAAATTAGCTGGGCGTGGTGGCGCACACCTGTAGTCCCAGCTACTTGGGAGGCTGAGGCAGGAGGATCACCTGAGCCCAAGAGGCAGCAGTTGCAGTGAGCCAAGACTGCACCACTGCACTCCAGCCGGGGCAACAGAGTGGGACTCTGTCTCAAAAAAAAAATTGATTGGTTGTGGGTGCTCTAAAATGTTTTTAGACACATTTCTCATGGTTCCACTCAAATGTCACTTCATCCAAAAGGCATTCTTTGATCCCATCTCTGAATTTTATTGGGATCTCTCTCTGACTACTCAATGTTTTAGTTATCTGTGTATGACTTAGCTCCCTTATTGGAAGGCAGGAGCTATGCTACACATTATCATGCACACAGTATCATACTCACTAAATATTTATTTAATGCATCAACATTTTTATGGCAAATATAACTCAGATAAGTTAAACTCAGATGGGCCTAAAAATTAATGATAATAGCTATGTGTTCTGCATACCTAGTAGAGCTTGTTCATGACATGCTTGGGTTGAGAGGACTTTTTTTTTTTTGAGACAGGGTCTCATCCTGTCACCCAGGCTGGAGGGCAGTGACATGATCATGGCTAGCGGCCTCAACCTCCTGGGCTCCAGTGATCCTCCTGAGTAGCTGGGACTACAGGTACATGCCACCACGTCTGGCTATTTTTTTTTTTTTTGGGGGGGACGGAGTTTCACTCCTGTTGCCCAGGCTGCAGTTCAGTGACACGATCTCGGCTCACTGCAACCTCCGCCTCCTGGGTTCAAGCGATTCTCCTGCCTCAGCTGGGATTACAGGTGCATGCCACCATGCCTGGTTAATTTTTTTTGTATTTTTAGTAGAGATGGGGTTTCACCATGTTGGCCAAGCTGGTCTTGAACTCCTGACCTCAGGTAATCCACTTACCTCGGCCTCCCAAAGTGCTGAGATTACAGGCGTGAGCCATCACGCCTGGCCAATTTTTTAATCTTTGTAGAGATAGGGTCTCACTATGTTGCCCAGGCTGTTGAGAGGACTTTTGCACAAACCTTTTTAGAAATATGAGTTCATCTCTAGTATGAAGTGGAGATTTTCACTATTTTCCTTTGGAGTATTTGTAGAAATCCCACTTTTCTTTTTTTCCAATTTAAAATGATATCAAATTAGGAATTAAAAATACAAATATATATCATCACTTTAACATTATAGTCGTGCATTTAAGAGCCAGGGATAGGGCAGGAGGAGCTACAGTGCTAGGAAACAGAATAACAAGAAGGCCTTTAGGGTATATTACACAGTCACATTCATGCTTTCAAACACACACACACAGATGCACATACACACTCTCAACACACACCTTCACACTCACATATACACATACACACTCACACACATACACACACACAGGCAATCCTACCTTTGCACCATTTCATCTTTTTTTTTTTCCTTTTCTGGAGAATGGGGTCTCGCTGTGTTGCCCAGGCAGGTCTCAAACTCCTGGGCTCAAGCAATCCTCCGGCCTCTGCCTCACCAAGTGTTAGGATTACAGACATGAGCCACTGCACCCGGCCTTTTCAAACTTTTTTTTTTGAGATGGAGTCTTGCTTTATCGCCCAGGCTGGAGTGCAGCGGCGCAATCTCGGCTCACTGCAACCTCCACCTCCTGGGTTCAAGCGATTCTCCTGCCTCAGCCTCCCAAGTAGCTGGGATTATAGGCGTGTGCCACCAGGCCCGGCTAATTTTTGTATTTTTAGTAGAGACAGGGTTTCATCATGTTGGCCAGGCTGGTCTCGAACTCCTGACCTCAAGTGATCCACCCACCTTGGCCTCCCAAAGTGCTGGGATTACAGGCATGAGCCACCACGCCCGGCCTCCTGTTGCTAGCTCTTCAGCTCAAAGATCACAATATAAATGACAGATGATCATCATGATTAGTGACAAATCATGTCATACCTTCCAAAGTCAATCAGTGACTGGTCACTGTGAATCTGTTATTCATTTCACACACAAACAGCAACGTATATAGTTGTGTTGCATTTTTGTCTCCCAATGATAAACCCATGTGACATTTTACAAAAATGGAAAATCAAAAGAGGGAATTCCCCGTCAAAGAAACAAAAAGTGGTACCCCTTGAAGTGAAATTGGAATCAATCATACATGGAGTTCTAGAAGAAACAGGTGACTGTGGGAATGCTAACACTGCCATCATTCAAGACGTTGCAGATCTACAGCTAGAGGAACTTGGTGAGGATGAACTTATCAACATAAATGAGGAAAGTGGCTATGATAAAAAGATGAAGCTTTCCCAGTGGAAGTGATGCTGGCCAAAAAAAACTTCATACTGAAGGAACTCTGAGATATTTTGCAACATTTAAAGTGCAAAGAATAAAATGTTGGCAGCTGATCCAAATTTTAAAAGGAATATGACAATACATCAAGACATAGAAAAGATGCTTATAAGTTATACTAGAAGAACAAGAAGGCAAGCACTGTTTAAAGTACTCTTGGTAAGTTATTTTTTCACAGCTTTATTGAGGTTCACATACCATACAATTCACCATTTAAAGTGTACAATTCAATAGTTTCCAGTATATTCACAGTTGGTAAGATATTTTATGAAGAAACTAAACACTTTGTCTATGTTTCTAATGTTTTAAATTATAGTGTACTAAAAGTGTTCTAAATGTGTTGGGTTTTTTTCTTTCATTTTCCTATGTATTTATAACAGACAGCAAAAGAGTTTTTAATGTTTTGACAAAGAAGCTTGTTTTGTTTTGTTTTCAGAGATGGGGTCTCACTATGTTGCCTGGGCTACCCTCAAACTCCTGGGCTTAAGTGATCCTCTTGCCTCAGCCTCCCAAGTAGCTGGGACTACAGACAAAAAGTTTGAAAAGTCACAGGACAATCACAATTTTCCCCACAAATTATTAAGTTTGCTTTGCATGGTTTCAATTTGCTGGTCATTTTTATGGTCCTGCACTGCCATGCAAAGTAAGGCTGGGTATTTTTTTTCCTGAGTGAAGTAGTAAAATGGGTAAATATCATAGATCTGTCAATCATCTGCTCTGCCACTTATCAGATCTGTCTGTGACCTCAGGCAAGTTTTTTTGAGGCTTGTTAAACTTCATTTTTCTCATTTGTAAAAAAGGTCACAGAATTTACAAACTTGAAGATGAAAGAAGATAACACACATGTAAAGTGCTAAAGACAGTGCCACACCCGTATAAGGACTCAAACGTCAACAATGATCTTATCTCTCTCTTCCAGTATGTCTATCTGGGGACTCCTCTCTATGACATTAATCCTTGACATGTTCACAATCTGAAAGTATGTGGTCTTTGTCCTTAGCAAAGATAGTTGGCATTTCCTGGTTCACTTCCCTAAACTCACAGTCTAAGACTCTAAAAGAAAGAAAACATAATTGGGAGTCTCTAAGGCACTGCATTAATTTCATGTTTCACACTGAAGCAAATGAGTGAATAGTTAAGGCTGTATACAGACATATCTCAGAGATATTGTGGGTCTAGTTGCAGACCATGGTAATAAAGTGGATATCACAAATAGAGTCATGCTAATTTTTGGTTTCCCAGTGCATATAAAAGTTATGTTTACATTATACTGTAGTTTAAGTGTGCAACAGCATTATTTAAAAAAAAATGTACATACTTTAATTTAAAAATACTTTGTTATGGCTGGGCATAATGGCTCATGCCTGCAATGCCAGAACTTACGGAGGAAGAGCTGACAGGATCACTTGTGCCCAGAAGTTCGAGACCAGCCTAGGAAACATAGCAAGATCCCATCTCCACAAAAAGAAAAAAAATACTTTATTGCTAAAAAATGCTAATGATCATCTGAGCCTTCAGTGAGTCCTATTCTTTTTGCTGGTAGAGAGTCTTACCTTGATGTGGATGACTGCTGACTGATCAGGGTACTGGTTGCTGAAGACTGGGGTGGCTGTGGCTTTTTTTTTTTTTTTTGAGACAGGGTCTCACTCTGTTGCCCAGGCTGGAGTGCAATCATGGCTAAAGCAATCCTCCCACCTCAGTCTCCTGAGTAGCTGGGACCATAGGGGCATACCATCACACCTGGCTAATTTTGGGGTGGGGGGTAATTTTTGTAGAGACAGGGTCTCCCTATATTGCCCAGGCTGGTCTCAAACTCCATCTTCAAGAGATCCTCCAATCTCAGCCTCCCAAAGTACTGGGATTACAGCCATGAGCCACTGTGCCCAGCTCATGAATGT
This sequence comes from Homo sapiens, assembly GCF_000001405.40. NCBI lineage: Eukaryota > Metazoa > Chordata > Mammalia > Primates > Hominidae > Homo > Homo sapiens. The sequence continues at coordinate 23,930,337 of NC_000023.11, read as the reverse complement.
TCTCAATAGCATCTAGAATGGTGAATCGTTTCTGGATTTTTAAATTTTACTTTACCCAGATCCATCAGGGGAATCATTGTCTATGGCAGCTATAGCCTTATGAAACATATTTCTTTTTTCTTTTTTTTTTTTTTTTTTTTTGAGACAGAGTCTTGCCCTGTCACCCAGGCTGGAGTGCAGTGGTGCAATCTCGGCTCACTGCAAGCTCCGCCTCCTGGGTTCACGCCATTCTCCTGGCTCAGCCTCCCAAGTAGCTGGGACTACAGGCGCCCACCACCACGCCCGGCTAATTTTTGTATTTTTTAGTAGAGACGGGGTTTCACGGTGTTAGCCAGGATGGTCTCGATCTCCTGACCTTGTGATCCACCTGCCTTGGTCTCCCAAAGTGCTGGGATTACAGGCCTGAGCCACTCCGCCCGGATAGATTTAGCATAATTTTTAAGGGCCCTAAAATTTTCAGAATGGTAAATGAGAACTGGCTTTAAGTTAAAGTTACCAGCTGCATTAGCCCCTAACAAGAGACTCAGCCTGTCCTTTGAAGCCAGGCATTGACTTCTCCTCTCTAGCTGTGAAAGCCCTAGAGGGCATCTTCTAACAGTATAAGGCCATTTTGTCTACATTGAAAATCTGTTGTTTAGTGCAGCCACCTTCAACAATTATCTTAGTGAGATCTTCTGGATAACTTGCTGCAGCTTCTCCATCAGCACTTGCTGCTTCACCTTGCACTTTTATGTTATAAAGACGGCTTCTTTCCCTAAACTTCACGAACCAACCTCTGCTAGCTTCCAAAGTTTCTTCTGCAGCTTTCTCACCTCTCTGATCCTTCATAGAATTGAAGAGAGTTAAGGCCTTGCTCTGGATTAGGCTTTGGTTTAAGGGAATATTGTGGCTGGTTTTTCTTTTTTTTTCTTTTTCTTTTTTTTTTTTTTTTTGAGACACAGTCTCACTCTATTGCCCAGACTGGAGTGCAGTGGCGCAATTTCGGCTCACTGCAAGCTCCGCCTCCTGGGTTCACGCCATTCTCCCGCCTCAGCCTCCCTAGTAGCTGGGACTATAGGTGCCCGCCACCATGCCCGGCTAATTTTTTGTATTTTTAGTAGAGACGGGGTTTCACCATGTTAGCCAGGATGGTCTCGATCTCCTGACCTCGTGATCCGCCCACCTCGGCCTCCCAAAGTGCTGGGATTACAGGCGTGAGTGGCTGGTTTAATTTTCTATCCAGACCACTAACACTTTCTCCATATCAGCAATGAGGCTATTTTGCTTTCTTATCATTTGTGTGTTCGCTGGAGTAGCACTTTTAATTTCCTTCATAAATTTTTCCTTTGCATTCACAACACGTTTAACTCTTTGGTGCAAAGGTCTAGCTTTTGGCCTATCTCAGCTTTTGACATGACTTCCTCACTAAGCTTCGTCATTTCTAGCTTTTGATTTAAAGTGAGAGGCGCATGACTCTTTCACTCGAACACTTAGAAGCCACTGTAGGATTATTAATTGGCCTAATTTCAATATTGTTGTGTCTCAGAAAATAGAGAGACCAGAGGGGAAAGAGAGAGATAATGGAATGGCTGGTTGGTGGAGCAGTCAGAACACATACATTTATTGGTTAAGTTTGCCATCTTATATGGGCTCAGTTTGTGGTGCTCCAAAACAATTACAATAGTAACATCAAAGATCACTGATCACAGTTCACCATAACAGATATAATAATAATGAAAAGATTTGAAATATTGCAAGAATGACCAAAACGTGACACAGAGACACAAAGCAAGCACATGCTATTGGAAAAATGGCACTGATAGATTTGCTTGATGCAGGTTTGCCACAAACCTTCCATTTGTGAAAACACAACATCGGCCAGGCGTGGTGGCTCACGCTTGTAATCCCAGTACTTTGGGAGGCCGAGACGGGCAGATCACCTGAGGTCAGGAGTTTGAGACCAGCCTGGCCAATATGGTGAAACCCCGTCTCTACTAAAAATACAAAAAAATTAGCTGGGAGTGGTGGCACATGCCTGTAATCCCAGCTACTCGGGAGGCTGAGGCAGGAGAATCGCTTGAACCCAAGAGGCAGAGGTTGCAGTGAGCTGAGATTGCGCCATTGCACTCCAGCCTGGGCGACAAGAACGAAACTCTGTCTCAAAAAAAAAAAAAGTATGTAACTCAATGGTTTTTAGTATATTCACAATGTTGTGCAACTATCACCACTGCCTATGAATATTTCAGAATATTTCCATCACCCCAAAAGAACCCCCAAATTCCTTAGCTCCCTACATATAAAAAGCCATATATCACATGATTTCCTTTATATGAAATATCCGGATTAGGCAAATCCATAGAGACAATGCAGACTGGTGGTTTATGGGGCTGGAATGATGCAGGAATGGAGAGTGACTGCTTACTGGATGCAGGGTTTCCTTTCGGGGTAATGAAAAGGTTCTGGAACTAGATGGTGGTGATGCTTGCACAACCCTGTGAATGTACTTAATGCCCCTGAATTGTACACTTTAAAATGGTCAATTTTATGATGAGAACACATGGACACATAGAGGGGAACAACACACACTGGGACTTACCAGAGGGTGGAAGGTGGGAGGAGGGAGAGGATCAGGAAACATAACTAATGGATACTAGGCCTAATACTTGGGTGACAAAATAATCTGAACAACAAACCCCCTTGACACGAGTTTACCTATATACAATAACAAACCTCTACATGTACCCCTGAACTTAAAATAAAAGTTAAATTAAAAAAAAATTTTAAAAGAAAGTTCTAGTGCTTGGGCATCCGAAAATAAGTTTCATTCTATAGAATATATTTGAAAAATAAAATAAAATATAATACAATAATAAATTTTATATTGTGTTATATTTTACCATAATAAAAAAGTATGATTCTATCTTCTTGGATGACAGAGTTAGGAAGACTTGCTGGGTTTGTTTGTTTTTCTAAATCTAAATTCCTTACTTGTACATAATCTTGCATGGTGACAACATCCATTATATCAGTTACTTTGGACTTCGGGAAAATACGTTCATCTTCCATAATTATACGGTGAAATTTCCTTTCCCCCATTAGTTTGCAAGCATCATCCACTGCCTGTAAAAAGAATAGAAAATAGACTTTAAAAATAGTAGAATAGCATTAATGATCAGCACGCCCTTTACATATTTCTTCTGACAAATACATCAAATATTGTTCCTTTCTTCTAGCAGCTTGCTATTCAATAGAAAGGCTGCATTTGCAAAGAGATTATATAGGGATTATTAAACCACTTAAAATTGTTTCCATAGCCTTATCTACATAGGTTTTTTTTTTTGAAACGGAGTCTTGCTCTGTCACCTAGGCTGGAGAACAGTGGCGCCATCTCAGCTCACTGCAACCTCCACCTCCTGGGTTCAAGCGATTCTCCTGCCTCAGCCTCCTGAGTAGCTGGGACTACAGGCGCATGCCACCACACCTGGCTAATTTTTTGTATTTTTAGTAGAGACCAGCTTTCGCCGTGTTAGCCAGGATGGTCTCGATCTCCTGGCCTCGTGATCCGCTCACCTCGGCCTCCCAAAGTGCGGGATTATAGGCGTGAGCCACCGCGCCAGGCCATCTACATAGTTTTTAAATGCAGCTAGAGGAATTGCTGAGTCCAGAATCCTCAGAGAACATAGTTTTAAAACAACTGGTTTTTCCCCTTAAAAGACTTTTAATTCTTTTATTTTGAAAAGCAAAACAAACCTGTAATATCATTCGTGCAGTCAATGCAGAGAAAACTTATCTGGTGATTCAACGAGTTACCGTAGGAACTGCAATGAAAGGTGTCACTAGTACCACCTCTCTTTTATGTGTTAATACACTGCTGGTAAGTGGAAACATGTATGTTTCAGACTGTTTAAGCCTCCCTCCCTTCAGACTTCATTCTCAGCAGCTAAAAAGTGGCAAATAGAGGGGTTTTCTTTTCTCTCCCAAATGTCAACATTTTATGCTCAAGGAAAGCACCTGAGAGGTCAGAGACAGAAGAATCACAGAATATATGGAAGCTCAAATCCTGTTGGGCCCTACTTATACCATACCCTTCCACATATAAGTATCCTGTGCTAAGAGCTATACATAGACTGTGAGTAGAGACTTAAGTACTCTGCACCCCCGCCATAAGTATGTGCTGACTCTTCTAACACATATTTATATTACAGATCTGTACTTCTGGCCACAAAGGGTATGTTTATATGAAGGGAAGGATAGCACAAAAGAAAATTCAGGGCGGGCGTGGTGGCTCACTCCTGTAATTCCAGCACTTTGGGAGGCCGATGCAGGTGGATCACCTGAGGTCAGGAGTTCGAGACCAGCCTGGCCAACATGGTGAAACCCCGTCTCTACTAAAAATACAAAAATTAGCCAGGCGTGGTGGCAGGTGCCTGTAATGTCAGCTGCTCGGGAGGCTGAGGCAGGAGAATCGCTTGAACCCAGGAGGCGGAGGTTGCAGTGAGCCGAGATCATGCCACTGTACTCCAGCCTAGGGGACACAGCAAGACTCTGTCTCAAAAAAAAAAAAAAAAAAAAGAAAAGAAAAGAAAAGAAAATTCAAACATCTTTTGATTCCAGTTAAGTTTCTTTCTTCCTTTGTATGTCAGAATGCGGTATTTGTGAAAGTATGGGAACTCTGTTATAATGTTGATACAAGGCCTAAAAGAGTGGTTGAGGCCAGGCACGGTGGTTCACACCTGTAATCTCAGCACTTTGGAAGGCCGAGGCAGGCGGATCGCCTGAGGTCAGGAGTTCGAGATCAGCCTGGCAAACATGGCAAAACCCTTTTTCTACTAAAAATACAAAAATTTGCCTAGCATGGTGGCATGTGCCTGTAAACCCAGCTACTCGGGAGGCTGAGGCAGGAGAAATGCTTGAACCTGAGAGGTGGAGGTTGCAGTGAGCTGAGATCATGCCACTGCACTCCAGTCTGGGTGACAGAGTGAGATGCTGTCTCAAAAAAAAAAAAAAAAAAAGAGAAAAGAAAGAGTGGTTGAGACAGGATCAAAACTGAGAATCACTGTTCTTTTTTCTTAACACACAACAGCAAGCTATAATGCATTTTCTATTCCAATTCTCACTTTTGTTATTCAGACTATTCCTTTATTTATTTTTTTAAATTCCAAAGCTTAGAATATCACAGACACATGTAGAAAATGAAAAAGGAAGAAAACATTCAAATGGTTGAATGGTTGAAGTTTTATTCCTAACGTATAGAACTGAAGAGACAAACAGTTTAGTGAAAATGTGATATGGAGCTTTCCTTTAGGTAGATCATTTTTGCTTTATATTTCATTAATTTCTTCTTTTTTTTCCAGCATGCTATTTTATTGATGTAACAACATTTTCAATAAAGTTGGTAAATTATCACTATATTACTGTCTTATAGCAACATAGTAAGAGCTCTAGAGATTGTATAAGCATAAAATGTGAATTTAAAAAAACAATATGTAGGATTTTTATCAGGGCAAGCATTTCCATAACCATAAATATTTCCCTTTTTTTATTATTACACTTTAAGTTTTAGGGTACATGTGCATAATGTGCAGGTTAGTTACATATGTATACATGTGCCATGTTGGTGTGCTGCACCCATCAACTCGTCATTTAACATTAGGTATATCTCCTAATGCTATCCCTCCCCCCTCCCTCATCCCCACAACAAATTTCTTTATACATTACACAACTAAAGAAAAGATAGGCCGGGTGTAGTAGCTCACACCTGTAATCCCAGCACTCTGGGAGGCCAAAGCAGGTGGATCACCTGAGGTCAGGGGTTCGATTCCAGCCTGGCCAACATGGTGAAACCCCGTCTCTACTAAAAAACACAAAAATTAGCTAGGCAGGGTGGTGAGCACCTGTAATCCCAGCTACTTGGGAGGCTGAGGCAGGAGAATCGCTTGAACCCAGGAGGTGGAGGTTGCACTGAGCCGAGATTGTGCCACTGCACTCCAGCCTGGGCGACAGAGTGAGACTCCACCTCATAAATAAATAAATAAATAAATAAATAAATAAATAAAATAAAGATAGTATTGGCAAATCTCTCCATTATGTTTTCTTGCAATTAATTTCCAACATTTTATGGTTCTAATTAACCAGCCCCACAGTGACACTAAAGGTAAAAACAAGTAATTGTACACTGAACAGGTATGAAGACCATATAATTTCTGCTTTAGGAATTTCTGTAGGCATAACTATAATTTACTTTAGCTGAAGTTACTAAAAAAGGGTTTTTAAAATTTTTATTTTTATTTTTTGAGACGGAGTCTTGCTCTGTCACCCAGGCTGGAGTGCAGAGGTGCCATTTCGGCAGACGGCAACCTCCGCCTTCTGGATTCGAGCGATTCTCCTGCCTCAGCCTCCTGAGTAGCTGGGACTACAGGCGTGCACCACCATGCCCAGCTAATTTTTGTTTTCAATAGAGACGGGGTTTCACTATGTTGGCCAGGCTGGTCTCGAACTCCTGATCTTCTGTTCCACCTGCCTCGGCCTCCCAAAGTGTTGGGGTTACGCCCAGCTAATTTCTGTATTTTCAGTAGAGATGGGGTTTCACCATGTTGGCCAGGCTGGTCTCAAACTCCTGACCTCAGGTGATCTGCCTGCCTTGGCCTCCCAAAGTGCTGGGATTACAGGCGTGAGCCACAGTACAAAAGGTATTTATTTAGGGTTTTTTTTTTTTTTTCTGAGACAGAGTCTCCCTCTATCGCCCAGGCTGGAGTGCAGTGGTGCCATCTTGACTCACTGTAACCTCTGCCTCCCGGGTTCAAGCAATTCTCCTGCCTCAGCCTCCTGAGTAGCTGGGACTACAGGTGCGTGCCACCATGCCTGGCTAATTTTTTTTTTTTGTATTTTTAGTAGAGACAATTTCGCCATTTTGGCCACACTGGTCCTGAAATGACCTCAAGTGATCCGCCCACCTTAGCCTCCCCAAAAAGGTATTTATTGACAGGTCCTCCCTACACTGCCCCACTCAGCCACCACCACCAATCTCTCCAAGACCCAGTTTCCTTATGTGTGCAGTGCCTCAGTTGTGTGCCTCATCTGTGTCTGGCCCATTCTGGTCCCTCAGCCAAAGAAAAACATGCCTGGCAGCATAGGGCAAGCTCTCTGCCCACCTGTGAGAGGGGTTTGAGAAATGTTTGCTGTCCAATGGCCAAGATGTTCTTTCTCAGACATCTGCAGTGTATGGCCAAAGTCAAGAAAGTCCTTCTCCATAGGAAGCAATGGGAAAGAAGAGCCTAGAGCCAGGAGAAAAGCAAGGGCAAAAACTAGGCAAAGATTCCAGGATACCAGCCAATCAGGGTAGGATTCAAGAGGCAGGTTCTGTTCTTAGTGGGTGACTCAAAGCGTCAAAGCGGGCCATCTCTAAATCTGGCACTTATCCTGATACTCAGCATCTCTGTGGCCAGAAGCCCCCACAGCTCTGTGGCTATTTGCTGGCCTAGATCCACACTTGGGCTTGTAAAGCTACTCTAGTATCTCAAGACACTTTCCTGTTTCTACTGGGAACTGTCACTCATGGAAGAGGTAATAACTGGTATCCATGCATTGGAACAGTTTCTTGGTTTGGAACAGTCCAATTACATACAGGTTCAGAATAAACAAAACCACCATAACTGCATGGTTGTTTTAACCTCAAAATGTACATAGTACAGTGGAAACACAGAGAAGTGTTCAAGTCTCAGTTATGCTCCTGGCAAGTCTTTCCAACTTCTAGCTTCCTAATAGGGAAAATGGGAATAATGTGTCCCTAACCAGAGTTATTGCAGGGCCATCTAAGAGAATGTGTATGCTGCTGTTTAGCATAGTTCCTAACTCTCAGGAGTGGTTAAGAACTGGGACTTTGGAGGCAGGCTACTAGGTCTTGATCTCGGTTCCTTCATTTTCCAGGTGTGAGACCTTAGGCAAGTTAGTCTTTTTTGTTTGTTTGTTTTTGTTTTTGTTTTTTTGAGACAGACTCTCACTCTGTCACTCAGGCTGGAGTGCAGTGGTGCAATCTCGGCTCACTGCAACCTCCGCCTCCTGGGTTCAAGCGATCCTCCTGCCTTAGCCTCCCGAGTAGCTGGGATTACAGGCACGTGCCACCGCGCTTGGCTAATATTTGTATTTTTAGTAGAGATGGGTTTCACCATGTTGGCCAGGCTGGTCTCAAACTCCTGACCTCAAGTGATCCGCCTGCCTCGGCCTCCCAAAGTGTTAGGATTACAAGCGTGAGCCACAGCACCCGGCCCTCAGTCTTTTTTAAAATGAGGATAATAACAGAAAATACACTGTAGTGTTTATGATAATTAAATAGAGTAATGTGCATAAAATGTTTAAGATCATATTTGATAGAAAGTGCTCAGTAGGCTCAGCACTTTGGGAGGCGGAAGTGGGCAGATCGCTTGAGGCCAGGAGTTCGAGATCAGCCTGGCCAACATAGCAAAACCTCCTTTCTACTAAAAAAAAATGCAAAAATTAGCCAGGCATGGTGGCACATGTCTGTAATCCCAGCTACTCAGCTGGCTAAGACATGAGAATTGCTTGAGCCTGGGAGGGGGAGGTTGCAGTGAGCCAAGATTGCGAGATGGTGCCACTGCACTCCAGCTTTGGCAACAGATTAAGACCTTGTCTAAAAAACAACAACAACAACAACAAAAAACAAAAACACAAAAAACAAAAACAAACAAAAAACACAAAGAGACAAAGAGCAACAGAGTTGAGTAAGCTTAGAGTGAGAAATATTCCATATTTACAAGTTTTCTATCAACCATGAATCCAAGTGTTACCAGAGTTTGAAGCTGAACTAAAGGGAAAAAGGAACCTTAAACTGTTCAAGTTGGGTATGTTCTGATCATTTAAAACCCGTTATGATGTTTAGTGAAAAATTCAAGGTCAATAATATGACCACACTTTTATAATAAGAACAAAATTTAAAAATCTCTATGTGTGTATTTTCATGGGAAACATGAAGGATACACAGCAAACCATTAACAATGACTACCCCAGGAGAGTGAAAGTTGTAGCACAGAAGATAAAGGCACGGAGGCATATTTTTCTATCTGTGGGCTAATTTAAACAAAAATTTAAGTTATTATACAGCATTATGATGGGTTTTAATGCATAAGCAGTGATTTCCAATCACTGCCTCTAAGGTTCTCATTTGCTCAAGCCTGTGTACAGCAAGGGGGTGGCAGGAGTAGACCCAGGAGGATTTCAGTTCTTGAAAAAGCCTCATTATATAATCCTAGGAAAGAAACAATTGATGATATTTTATAGGGGTAACTACAAGCTTATTCTATACATAAATGTGGCATAAATTTATCCTTCAAGTAGGATAAACATATACTTCCACATTTGAAGTTGATCTATATAAATATTAATGTTCTTGAAACACCATATTCCATAATGAAAACATGTAGCTCATTTTCTAGGTGTTTTTTTTTTTTTTTTGGACGGAGTTTTGCTCTTGTTGCCCAGGCTGGAGTGCAATGGTGCAATCTCAGCTCACTGCAACCTCTGCCTCCTGGGTTCAAGCGATTCTCTTGCCTCAGCCTCCCAAGTAACTGGGATTACAGGCGCCCACCACCACACCCGGCTAATTTTGTATTTTAGGTAGAAACGGGGTTTCACCATGTTGGCCAGGCTGGTCTCGAACTCCTGACCTCAGGTTATCCTCCCGCCTCGGCCTCCCAAAGTGCTGGGATTACAGGCATGAGCCACCGAGCCTGGCTTCATTTGATAATTTTCTGAAATAAAGTTAAATTTTCTCTGATACTACCTGAGAACATGGAGAAAAGTGGTCCCTTTTCCTTTTCTAAAACTCTTCAGAGTCAATGCCGCACATGCAGGATCTGATCAGAAACTGCCAGGCTGTGTGGTCTTCTCTCCTGCATACATGCTAGAACTCATGATTTAAGATGGGCCACAGTTTTTGTGTACATTTCCAGAAGGGGGATCTTGCCAGGGTTACAGAAAAATAACCTTTGATATGTGGTTTATAAATGGCCAAATATGAGAATGTCCATCTTTTTAAAACTTAAATATAGTCATGTATAAGGGTCCAAGGAGTAAAACCTGTACTGTAGAGCCTTGCTATTAAAAGTGTGGTTTACATCACAAGCCTATCCGGATTTGCCACCTGCTGACTGTAGAGCCCTTGGGCCTTGAGTAAATGGTAGCCAGGCAGTGGTCACTGTGGGCCTTGGGAGAGACCCAGTGCTATGCTTGCTTCAGGTCCGACCCAGTGCAGTCCCAGTGGTGGTGGTGGCCACAAGGGTGCTTGTTTTACCCGTCCCCCAGCTCCAGGCTGCTCAGTACAGAAAGAGAGAGATTCCATTTATTGGGGGAAAAGTAGGGAAAGAGAACAAAAGTCTCTGCCTGGTAATCCAGGGAATTCTTCCGGATCTTAGCCAAGAACAACAAGGCAGTACTTCTACAAGTCTGCAAGAGCCACAGTGTTACTGGGCTTGGGGTGCCCCCTAATGCAGATATGGCTGCAGTGACCAAAGATTTAGATCACGACACCTGAGTCCCTTTGAATACTTGGAAAGCCTTTTCACGAAGGACAGGTTACAAACAAGCGCAGACTGTAAAGACTACAGTAAATACTACGATACCTAACTCTTCGATGCCCAGACATTGGCAAACATCCATAAGCATCAGGACCATTCAGGAAAACATGACCTCACCAAAGAAACTAAATAAGGCACCAGTGATCAATCCTAGAGAGACAGAGGTATGTAACCTTTCAGATAGAGAATTCAAAATAGCTGTTTTTGTGTTCATGTTCTGACGTAAAAAAACAAAAAACAAACAAAATAGCTGTTTTGAGAAAGCTCAACAAAATTCAAGATAACACAGAGAAGGAATTCAGAAACCTATCAGATAAATTTAACAAAGAGAATGAAATAATTAAAAATAATCGAGCAGAAAGAAATTCTGGAGCTGAAAAATGCAATGGACACACTGAAGAATGCATCAGAGTCTCCTAACAGAGGAACTGATCATGCAGAAGAATTAGTGAACTTGAAGATAGGCTATTTGAAAATACACAATTAGAGCAGACAAAAGAAAACAAATAAAAAAGAATGACTCATGCCTACAAGATCTAGAAAATAGCCTCAAAAGGGTGAATCTAAGAATTATTGGCCCTAAAAAGGAGGTAGAGAGATAGATCAGGGTAGAAAGTTTATTCAAAGGGATAACAGCAGAGAACTTCCCAAATTCAGAGAAAGATATCAATATCCAAGTAAAGAAGGTTACAGAACACCAAGCAGATTTAACCCAAAGACTACCTCAAGGCATTTAATAATCAAACTCCCAAAGGTCAAGGATAAAGAAAGAATCCTAAAATCAGCAAGAGAAAAGAAACAAACAACATACAAAGGAGTTCCAATACGTCTGGCAGCAGACTTCTCATTGGAAGCCTTACAGGCTGAGAGAGTGATGTAACATATTTAAAGTGCTGAAGGAAAAATAAAAACTTTTATCCTAGAATAGTATATGCAGTGGAAATATCCTTCAAACATGAAGGAGAAATAAAGACTTTCTCAGACAAAAGCTTAGGAATTTTGTCAATAACAGACTTGTCCTACAAGAAATGCTAAAGGGAATTCTTCAATCTGAAAGAAAAGGTCATTAATAAACAATAAGAAATCTGAGAGTACAAAATTCACTGGTAATAGTAAGTACACAGAAAAACAGTATTATAACATTGCAATTGTGGTGTGTAAACTACTCATATGTTGAATAGAAAGACTAGAAGATGAACTGATCAAAAATAATAACTACAATAACTTTTCAAGACATAGACAATACAATAAGATATTAATAGAAAAAACAAAAAGTTAAAAAGTGGGGAGATGAAGTTAAAGTGCAGAGTTTTTATTTGGTTTCTCTTTGCTTGTTTGTTATTTTTTTGTTTGTTGAAGCAATCTGTGTTAATCTGTCACCAGTTTAAAATAATGGGTTATAAGATATTGTTTGCAAGCCTCATGGTAACCTCAAATCCCAAAACATACAACAGATACACAAAAAATAAAAAGCAAGAAATTAAAACATACCACCAGAGAAAATCACCTTCACTAAAAGGAAGGCAGGAAGGAAGGAAAGAAGGAAGAGAAGACCACAAAACAACCAGAACAAATATGAAAATGGCAAAACTAAGTCTGTACTTCTCAGTAATAACATTCATGTAAATGGACTAAACTCTCCAATCAAAAGATATAGAGTGGCTGAATGAATTTTAAAAAAAGTGTGGTTTCGAGGTCAGGAGATTGAGACCATCCTGGCTAACATGGTGAAACCCCATCTCTACTAAAAATACAAAAAAAATTAGCCGGGCGTGGTGGCGGGAGCCTGTAGTCCCAGCTACTCGGGAGGTTGAGGCAGGAGAATGGCGTGAACCTGGGAGGCGGAGCTTGTAGTGAGCCAAGATCATGCCACTGCACTCCAGCCTGGGCGACAGAGCGAGACTCCGTCTCAAAAAAATAAAATAAAATAAAATAAAGTGTGGTTTATGGACCAGCAGCAGCGGCAGCATTTTAACAAGATTCCCAGGTGATTCCTATACTGTAGACACAATTTGTGGTGAATATTCATGAAACTTAAAAGTATGATGAGAGTGCCAGGTGTGGTGGCTCACGCCTGTAATCCCAGCACTTTGGGATGCCGAGGCGGGCGAATCACCTGAGGTCAGGAGTTCGAGACCAGCCTGGCCAACATGTTGAAACCCCGTCTCTACTAAAAATACAAAAATTGGCCAGGTGTGGTGGTGCATGCCTGTAATCCCAGCTACCTGGGAGGCTGAGGCAGGAGAATCACTTGAGCCTGGCAGGTGGAGGTTGTGGTGAGCTGAGATCGCACCATTGCACTCCAGCCTGGGCAACAAGAGCAAAACTCTGTCTCAAAATAAATAAAGAAATAAATAAGTATGATGAGAATTCATGTGAAAAAAGGATAAATATTTGAAAGTTCATTTTCTTTCTTTCTTTTTTTTTTTTTTTTTGAGATAGAATCTCACTCTGTTGCCCAGGCTGGGGTGCAGTGGTGCGATCTCAGCTCCCCACAACCTCTGCCTCCAGGGTTCAAGCAATTCTCCTGCCTCAGCCTCCTGAGTATCTGGGATTACAGGCATGCACCACTACGCTTGGCTAATTTTTGTATTTTTAGTAGAGACGGGGTTTCACCATGTTGGCCAGGCTGGTCTTGAACTCCTGACCTCAGGTGATTCGCCCGCCTTGGCCTCCCAAAGTGCTGGGATTACAGGCATGAGCCACCGTGCCTGGCTGAAAGTTCATTTTCAATAGCATAGTCCAGACCATTTTTTTTCTAAATGTGCTACCAGAATCAAAGAAATAATAACATTCCATTAAAACAAATAAAATGGCATTAAATTAAATGTTCTGCATAATTTAAGAGCCCTGACCAATTTTAGTCTTTTTTTTTTTTTTGAGACAGAGTCTCACTGTGTCGCCCAGGCTGGAGTGCAGTGGTACGATCTTGGCTCACTGCAGCCTCCACCTCCTGGGTTCAAGTGATTCTCCTGCCTCAACCTCCCGAGCAGCTGGGATTACAGGCATGTGCCACCATACCTGGCTAATTTTTATATCTTTAGTAGAGATGGGGTTTCACCATGTTGGCCAGGCTGGTCTCAAACTCTTGACCTCAGGTGATCTGCCCGCCTCGGCCTCCCAAAGTGCTGGCATTACAGGCATGAGTCACTGCGCCTGGCCTAGTCTATTATTAACAAATAAAAATTTTAATACATAAAAATGGATGGATATTTTCTAGAGCCTTAATTAAGTAATTCACTCCAAATGTCTTTTTTTTTTTTTTTTTTAGCTAGTAAGTGGAGACACTTTGAAACATGGTGCTTAAAAAAAAACACACTACCTACCTGGTGGGCTGTTTCATGGTGAAATAACTTATTCTGTATAATTTGAATGCAATTCAGATACTATGTAGATGTTAAAAAGCTAAGTTAACATAAAATGTACATCATGAAACGTCACCTTACTTGACGGCATTAATACATTTTTTCCACTAAAATACTTGTAACCATGGCCATCAGTATGAAGAAAAATTTTAAACACGATGAAAGGTGGAAACGTTTCACCTCTAAATCTGAAATAAAGATAAAAATTTAGTTATTTGGCATCAGGTTTTGGGCTCAGTTGCTTTTCCCCCTTATACTTAAGATAGTTCATATAGTTTCTTGCATACAGGGTAAAGGCTATGTCAGAGCATGTAAAGAATTGGTAATGAAATGGATCACATAGGATGTAAGACCCACACTTTGGTGTACTCACAACTATTCTCATACCTGTGTAAGACTGAATACAGAATGGGAGATGAGAGCTACTCTCATGGCAACTTTTAGCCACAGAGTCATGCCTCGGTTTCTTCACATAACAAATGTAAATAAGAATAACACATTTACTTTGTAATTAAGTTCTGAGAAGTTACAAGAATTTAAAAAATCCATATCTAAGATTTCCTCATATTAACTAAGTACTTCTTGAAATAAATCAGCATAGATACATTACCTGAATCTAATTTTACACTGCATAGTAGGATCCTTAATAAGCTTAGCCTCTAAGGGGGCCACTTTCTTCAGTATTTCATGTGTTACATAGAATTCCTGAAATAAAGGACAGTGCTGTAAAAGGAAAGCAGTATCCCACCCAGACACAATTTATGGACTATAACAGAGGCAACGTGGTAAAGTGAACATTATGCTGGACTTGGAGTTCTGAAGGGGTGGGTTTTTGTTTTGGCACCTCCACTTACTATCTGTGTAGCCTTGAGCCAGTTACTTAATCATTTTGGCCTCCAACTTTGGTTATCTGTCCCTTTTAGAGATCAAAGGCACTATTATTTCCCTATGACAGCACTTTTCACAATATATTATAATTACTTATCAACTTGTCTGTGCCTCCTACTAGACTGTAAGCTTCATGAAGGTAGGGATGGTGGCTTTTCTCTTTACCACTATATTCCTAGCATCTAATACAGTGCCTGGAACACAGCAGATGCTTAAGAAGTATTTGTTGAATGAATCACTGTAAGATGAGGATGATAATAGTAATAAGTTACTAGCTTTTAAGCACCTTTTATGTACCATATACTACTATGTTAGGTGCCTTATATACATTAGCTCATTTAATCCTTACATCAGCAACACTATGAGAATTTTTTGTTTGTTTTGAGACAGAGTCTCGCTCCGTCGCCCAGGCTCGAGTGCGGTGGCATGATCTCGGCTCACTGCAACCTCCGCCTCCCAGGTTCAAGCGATTCTCCTGCCTCAGCCTCCCGAGTAGCTGGGACTACAGGCACCTGCCACCACGCCCGGCTAATTTTGTATTTTTTCAGTAGAGACGGGGTTTCACCATATTGGCCAGGCTGGCCTGGAACTCCTGACCTTGTGAGCCGCACGCCTCAGCCTCCCAAAGTGCTGGGATTACAGGTGTGAGCCACCACTCAGGCTGCAGTGCAATGGCATGATCTCGGCTCACCGCAACCTCCACCTCCCAGGTTCAAGTGATTCTCCTGCTCAGCCTCCTGAGTAGCTGGAATTACAGGCATGCGCCACCATGCCTGGCTAATTTTGTATTTTTAATAGAGATGGGGTTTCTTCATGTTGGTCAGGCTGGTCTCGAGCTCCCGACTTCAGGTGATCCACCCGCCTCAGCCTCCCAAAGTGCTGGGATTACAGGCGTGAGCCACTGCACCTGGCCCATTATGAGAATATTATCACGCCTATTTTACAGATGAGAAGGCTGAGGCTCAGGGAATTTTTGTAATTTATAAAAAGGCATACAGGTAGTGAATGGGGAAGCCAGGATTCATTTAGTTCTGTTTGACTCTAAAGTCCCAACTCTTTCCCCCAAACAACCCCAACCAACCCCGTTATGCCTATGATAATCACATAAAAATGTACACTAAAGAGCTTTTAGGCTGGGCACTGCGGCTCACGCCTATAATCCTGGCACTTTGGGAGGCCAAAGCGGGAGGATCACCTGAGGTCAAGAGTTCGAGACCAACCTGGTCAACATGGTGAAACCCCATCTCTACTAAAAATACAAAAATTAGCCAGGCGTGATGGCAGGCGCCTGTAGTCCAAGCTATTTGGGAGGCTGAAGCAGGAGAATCGCTTGAACCCGGGAGGCAGAGGTTGCAGTGAGCCGAGATCGTGCCACTGCACTCCAGCCTGGGTGACAGAGCAAGACTCTGTCTCAAAATAAATAAATAAATAGCTTTTAAAAGGACAAAGCATTATTAATTTAAGGTATTAAAGTATTACTATAACAGATAAAAAAGAATTTCCTTCTGTTACAAAAGTCTAAAAATACTATGAAACCAGCATTATAAAATTAAATACAAGTTCCATATTCAAAGACAATGGATAATAGACCTGAAATGCCAGGAGTTTACCTGGGTGGGTTTTCTCTGAAGTATTCAGACGGAGTCTTGCTCTGTCGCCCAGGCTGGAGTGCAGTGGCTCAAACTCGGCTCACTATAACCTCCACCTCCCCGGTTCAAGGTAGCTGGGATTACAGGCGCACACCACCATGCCCGGCTAATTTTTTTGTATTTTTAGTAGAGACGGGGTTTCACCATGTTGACCGGACTGGTCTCGAACTCCTGACCTCAGGCAATCCACCCGCCTCGGCCTCCTAAAGATCCCAGCTCACGCTGGGATTACAGGTGTGAGCCACTGTGCCCAGCCGTATTCTGCTTTTACTGACATCAGAAATAGGTCTGTGGGTCAGATGGTGAACGGTGTATACATTGCTCAGACTTTATTATTTTTTTCAGAGCTGCTAAAATTCCCTTAAGAGTATCACTAATTGGCCGGGTGTGGTGGCTCACGCCTGTAATCCCAGCACTTTGGGAGGCCAAGGAGGGTGGATCACCTGAGGTCAGGAGTTTGAGACCAGCCTGGCTAACATGGTGAAACCCTGTCTCTACTAAAAGTACAAAAAAAAAAAAATTAGCTGGGCATGGCGGCACGCACCTGTAGTCCCAGCTACTAGGGAGGCGGAGGCAGGATAATCACTTGAACCTGGGTGGTGGAGGTTGCAGTGAGCCAAGATCATGCCACTGCACTCCAGCCTGGGCAACAGAGTGAGACTTCATCTCAAAAAAGAAAAGAAAAAAAAGAGTATCACTAATAATAGACTACTGGATTTATAGGTTGTTTTATTAGAATATTTGGTACTATGCCAAGGAAGGCTCTGCTAGGGTTGCCAGAGTTGCTTTCTGGAGGAGGGGGGATATGCACCTTTTTTTTTTGGTTTTGGTTTTCACTCAAGTAGGATCATGCTCTTCATACTGTCTGGTGCTTGCTTTTTTAACTGATGAGCTATCTTCATTTCCTTTCTATTGCAGAATCATGTTAAAGCTGCAAAGTTTAACACTATAAAAGCAGCAACACTTATTTAACCAGCATCATATCAATAGATATTATACAGTTTACTCCCTTTGCTGTTACAAACAACGGTGCAATCAAATTGTGTATGTATTGTAGAACAGATTCTTAGAAGTAAAATTGCTGGATAAAAGGTAAGGGAACTTTTAATTCAGAGCTTTTTGAAGGGGGACAGAGTCTCACTGTCGCCCAGGCTGGAATGTAGTGGCGCAATCTCCGCTCACCATAACCTCCACCTCCTGGGTTCAAGCAATTCTCCTGCCTCAGCCTCCCAAGTAGCTGTGACTACAGGCTCATGCCACCACGCCTGGCTATTTTTTTGTATTTTAGTAGAGACAGGGTTTCTCAATGTTGGCCAAACTGGTCTCGAACTCCTGGCCCTCCCTGCCTTGGCCTCCCAAAGTGCTGGGATTACAGGCGTGAGATGCTGCACCTTGCAGATTCGGAGCTTTTTATTGTTGGAAGAGAACTGTCTCACATTTTCAAATAAGGAATCAAATTTAAAAACAAAACAAGGCAAGCAGTATATTAATTTCAGAAAAAAGTAATAGTCATCCACATTTTAAAAAATCCAGAAATACTCATCTAGGGCTAACAGAAGAAACAATTCCAGAACTCCACGTGATATTATTAGATCCAAATAGAAGAGATAAAGAAAGGGCCGGGCGTGGTGGCTCACGCCTGTAATCCCAGCACTTTGGGAGGCCAAGGCAGGCAGATCACGAGGTCAGGAGATCGAGATCATCCTGGCTAACATGGTGAAACCCCATCGCTACTAAAAATACAAAACATTAGCCAGGCATGGTGACAGGTGCCTGTAGTCCCAGCTACTTGGGAGGCTGAAGCAGAAGAATCGCTTGAACCTGGGAGGCAGAGGTTGCAGTGAGCCAAGATTGTGCCACTGCACTCCAGCCTGGGTGAAAGAGCCAGACTCCCTCTCAAAAA
Source organism: Homo sapiens (assembly GCF_000001405.40). Lineage (NCBI taxonomy): Eukaryota > Metazoa > Chordata > Mammalia > Primates > Hominidae > Homo > Homo sapiens. The sequence goes on along the minus strand of NC_000023.11, from coordinate 23,911,964 downwards.
AAAAAAAAAAAGAGGAGATAAAGAAGGTTATCTATTCGATCTTTAATTAATAGATCTTTTAGCTTGATAATTAAATCCCTCAGAGAAAAAAATAAGCAAAATACATACCGCTGCACAAATTGCGTGTTTTAGGAGTCGAAATATCATTTTGTTTGTATGAGATAACCAAGCCCTCTGTATTATTTGAGCTGAAATGTCTTTAAGCATTCTGAGAGAAAAAAAGAGGTTAATATTTATAAAGTAGTTTTCATTTTCCTAAAACCTTAGAGAACTATCAATTTATGCTTCCTCCTCCTGTACCTCCCCATCCCCCACTCTAAGACTGACCTAATGAGGAACATTTGGATGTGGTAATTGGAAGTGGTCATTTGCAGAATCTACTCAGAATGAGGATATGAAATACTTGAGGAGATTTCCCTTGAGATTAAAAAAAAAAGTCCTGGCCAAAACTTTGTCATCAAAAGGCATATAAAATATAAATATATCATTAAGAGGCATGTATATTATAAATAAAAAGTATGAGGAGACAAGCTTACTTCCCAAAAACATTCACGACCTAAAATGAAACGTCCAACTAGTTCAAGTGCTATGAAAATGGAATGGGGAATAGTCAAAGTTACAGGAGGCCCAGTTCTCTTCTGGGGGTGGATGACTATGCCCTAGAAAAAGAAACTTCCTTCTCTGATCTTTGCTTGAACCAGGCTCATCCAGGTCAAGTCGGAATTATTCTACTTTTGATCATATCCCAGCACTGGCAGATTGTAGGGGTCTCCTCCTTCATACCTTCTCACCCCATCATTACCCCTTACAGCGCTATGTACAAAGACAGGTACTCCTGCATAATGCTACCCATTGGCTGGCAAAATGCAGGCTACAAGATATAAAGAAGAAAAGGCTAGGCCAGACACAGTGACTCACGCCTGTAATTCCAGCAGTTTGGGAGGCCGAGGCGGGTGGGATCACCTGAGGCCAGGAGATCGAGACCAGCCTGGCCAATATGGTGAAACCCCGTCTCTACTGAAAATATAAAAATTAGCCAGGCGTGGTGGTGCATGCCTGTAATCCCAGCTACTCGGAAGGCTGAGGCAGGAGAATCGCTTGAACCCAGGAGACAGAGGTTGCAGTGAGCCGAGATCGCACCACTGCACTCCAGCCTGGGTGGCAGAGTGAGACTCTGTCTGAAAAAAAAAAAAAAAAAAAAAAAGAAAGGAAAAAGCCTGAAGTGTGGAAACAAACCTTTGAATCCTATCTGATGCCATTTATTAGCTGATAACTTTCTGCAAGCCACTTACCTTCTCCCGGTTGCTACTACTTCATTTATAAAATGTAAAAATTGTTTCACAAGGTTGTATCAGGATCAAGTAGATGTGTGTTAATATGCTTTGTAAATTAGAAAATGCAATTATAATTACTCAATTTGAAAGTAATTTTAAAACACAAAAACTTTGATTTACAAAACAAGAAGCATTTGAAGTTATCTGAATAAGTACTGTTTGGAAACTGTACAGTTGTGGAAGATAACACAAGGCAAAACACAGGTACTTACGATAGTAATGATCTTGCATTTCGTGCATTTGCGAAATGTACTCTGCGAACTTTTTGTAAGGATCTTGTACCTGATTTCAGAATACCTTTACGTGGTACATTTGAGGAACGATTCATTTTCCCTCCAATGAAGTAATCTGAAAGTACATAAATTAACCCTTTGAGGTCATAATTTATACTATTACACTGTTTGGACAAGACTCAAGTGCCATATGATTGTTGTACTAATTCTGAATCCTTTAAAAAGGAAGGCATTGTGGATCTCTTAAAGTTGCTTACAGTTTACATTCTTTGTGTACTAAAAATATTATATGGTATATGGAAAAGACAAGTAAATCTATCCATAGCCTTCTAACTGGTCTGTCTCCAGTCTTTTTCTCCTCTTATTCATCTTCCACACTACACCTGGAGTTAACTTTTTAACTCAATAATTCAATCTCCTCACTCTCCAGCTGTCTACCAACAAGCTCATTGAGGGCAGGAGGCATCTTGTTAACTACAGAGTCCTCAGTGCCTAGCACAGTGGAGAGTTTTTACATGTTTGTCTAAAAACGTTTTGTCCCAGTTTTATCACCAAATAGCAGTGAGACTTTGGGCAAGTCACTTAACCTCTCAGTGGTTCAGTTCCCTCCTTGGTAAAGTGAGAGGGTATACACTAAATTTCTGATTCCACCTCCAACTTTCTATTCTTTAAAGCAACGAGTTTGGATGCAGTAATGCTCCAATTTGGATGCAGCTCCCAAATTCTTACTCACTGCTTGGTCTCTGTTACTAAACCAGGGGCTCTTTATCATTTCTTTTGGTGCCATGGACCCCTATGGACAGATCTCTTCTAAGAATTGGTTTTAAAACGCATAACATAAAATACATAGGATTACAAGGTGCTCCAATTATATTGAAATCATCAAAATATTTTTTAAAACAAAATTATAGTAAATGTGTCTTCTTAATGCATTAAATGAGCTCTAATAACTACTGTATTTTTGTAGTAACGAGCATAAATATTTCAAGATCCCTGACATGACTGCAATGTAACATGAAAATATCTGTGCTTTCCATTGATGACAAAGTCATCAATGTTAATACTACTGTGGCTTGTTATCTACACTATAATTGAAAGAAACAAAGTTCAGTTAGAGGTTAGTGAAAATGAAGTTGTCATTTTTTCCCCCATACAAGTTCACATACCCCCTGAATTAAGAACTTCTGCCCTAATTTATCAATATGTTTCACATTTTTATGTATGTGTGACGTTACACTGCTGATGCAGAGAGCCTTCTGAGTCTATTCAGTATTTCTCCTTGGGGATGCCTTGGAATATACAATCCTCTTAAGAAAGAGAAAAGCAGCCCTTAACATCTGGGAGCTAAGCTGGGCTTAACTAACACCAAGGCTGGCAGTCACAGCTGGGCCTTGGTGTTACCACTGCTTCCTAACAACACCCGATCCAGAGCAAAGCTCCTGCTTCCTTGAACTCGCCCCAAAATCACCGAACCAAAGCCCAAATCCTATAATAAATCTAACTCTTTTACTGAAATATGTCACTGTGTTCCTACGTGTGCGTTCTCCTTGCAGCAATGAGAAACCCAATTTCTTCAACTACAGGTGTGCCCCTAGTGGTCTTTGGCTGGAGGGCAGTGGCACGTCACTGTACAAATTCTAAATTTTTCCAGATGCTCGCCTGGATGGGGCTTACACTTTTTATAGGATTAGGGCAGAAATACAGAATGAAATAGGAAATACATCCTCATTATGAGACAGTGCAACAATTGTTTTGGCTAGAACACAGGTTTCAAAGGCAGACTAATGGGTTTGGATCCTAGCTTCCCACTTCCTATGTGGTCTTGTACAAATTACTTCTACGTGCCTCAGTTTCTTCATCTATGTATTGGGAATAATAATCATGCCCACCTACTTCCGTTGTTGGAAAGATTAGATGAATGTGAATAAAGAACTTAGATCAGGGCTGCGCATATCAAAGTGCTGTATCAGTGCTTGTTTACTCTTGTTAATAAGATAATTATTGCCATTATCAGTTACTTCTACAAGTATTAAGGGACAAACATTTGATTTCCAGAGAGGAGGCTTACCGCTTGTTTCTTAACGGGAAAAAATAAGGTCAGAGCCTTTTCCGATTAAAGGACACAGCATATTAGTTTAAATTTAAAACCTGAGAAACCTCAAGTCCTTGGTTAAAACCTTTCGTAAGGTAAATCCAGGCCGCCAACCGGCGGCTTCCGGCTGCGAAGCTTTCGAAGCCGCCGGTGGCCCTCCAAGCGCCCCCTCTCGGCAGCCTCTGCTCACAGAAATCCCAGTACACGCCGCTGGGCGCCCAGTCGCCGCTGCAAAGACAGTTTCCCAGCGCCGCGGCAACGCCAGGCGCCTCCCTCCTCGCGCCTCCGCGTACCGTCCACACAGAGCCGGCGCTTTCTTGCCGCCTAGCAACCGCCGGCGCAGGGGCGGAGCCTCCTGGAGGGCGGGGTTTGCGTTCACCCGCTGCCCGGGCGCGACGCGCTGCGGCTCAGCGACGCGGCTTCTAGAACCGGGTGATTGAACTAAACCTTCGCCGCACCGAGTTTGCAGTACGGCCGTCACCCGCACCGCTGCCTGCTTGCGGTTGGAGAAATCAAGGCCCTACCGGGCCTCCGTAGTCACCTCTCTATAGTGGGCGTGGCCGAGGCCGGGGTGACCCTGCCGGAGCCTCCGCTGCCAGCGACATGTTCAAGGTGAGAGCGTGGAGTCGAGTCACAGCTGTCACCGCCCCCTCCCGGCCGCCCGAGCCCTCCCCGCGCTCTCTTGGGGCCTCTCTGCAGCCAGGCCTGGCTCACCCCGAGGCTTTTCCCGCCACTGGGCCGGCTGCGTCCCGGCCCCGCGGTTCATTCACTGGTCTACTGGGGATGAGCGGCTGCCGGGCGGAGGCGGGAGACCCCCGGGTGGGTGGGGGCGGCCCTTTGGGTTGTGCTTTCGTGAATTAAACACTTTGAAAATTTAAAGTGCCTTCCCCCAAAGTACCCATCCCCTCGGCTAGTACCCTCTTGGGATCGTGGGTAGGGTGAGGCCAGCTCAGGGCACTGTGGGGTTCGCGGCTTTAGTTGCCTGGCAGGGTCAGGTTTCAGAACCTGATGTGTGGATGGGGGAGGGTCATTTTAGGAGAAGCTGTGCAGGGTATGGGGGAGGCTGGGGTGGGATGGCTGGGTGACGAGGGAAGCTGGAGCTTTGCTCCACTCCTCAGGGAACATTATTTAATACGGGCCAGTGGACCCCCTTCCCTGCGTTTTGTGAACTCGTGTCCTTTGGAAAAAAATCGACTTTTACGATGAAGACTTAATTTCGAAAATCTGCACTTTAGCATAAAGCCATTATTCTACTTTTTAAAAAGTAAATTATATGTATTTTGTCATAAAAAATCACAGGCTACCAGAAATTAATCTACAAAATTGAGTCTTCAAGAAGCATAGTACCCATAAAATAGTGCTAATGAAATCTCAGAATTGTACTATTCATTTAAAAGTTTTATTGAGCTCTGCAATGTGCTTTGGGTACGTTAATAAAGGCTGTAAAATCAGAACATGCATTCTGCCTTCTAGTCCTGGCATTGCCACTTTCTAGCTGTGTGACCTTGGGCAAGTCACTGTGCCTATCTTCCTTTGGTGAAGTTGGGGTAATAACATCTACCTCATAGGGTTGTTATAAGGAGTAAGTTGGTATGTGTAAAGCACTTGGAAAAGGCCTAGTATTTGCTCTTACTCTGTTTTCAGGCAGCTCACAGTTTAGTCAGGAAGACAGATCCTATAATCAACATTCATTTGATAAATTTGTGTGTTAAACACCTGTTATGTGCTAGGAGCTCAGCTCCATTTCAGGGTTACAACAAGGAAAGATATGCTGTGGCCAGTTTAACTATATGTGTACCAACAGTGTAGTAAAGTAGTAAAAAGGAGAGCAGGATCCACTTGGCTTAACCAGGGGTTCCTAACCTGGGGCCCTCAGCTCCTCAAAGGATCTGCACATAGATTTCAGAGGATCCCTGAACTTTGATGGGGAAAAAACATAACTATTTTTAGCAATCTCCAATTGGAATTGAGCACTTCCTTTAGTTACGCATATGGGTAATGTCTCAGTTATCTATTGTTGGGTAACAAATCACTGCAAACCAGTGCCTTAAAACAAGAATTGTTTCTCAAAATCTGGGTTGGCTGGGCAGTTCTGCTGGTGACTTGACTGAAAGTTGGCTTCACTCCCATGTCTGGGGGCTTGGTGCCCCTCCATGTGCCTAGGTTGGACTTCCTCACTTGGTTACTGACTTCCAAGAGGGCAAGTCCCAAGGCACAAACACAGCATCATGTTTGCTGATGTCAAAACAAGTCACGTAGCCAAGTCCAGAGTTGATATGGTGGGGAACCACACAAGGTCATAGATATGAGTTGGTGCACTTCGCTGGGGGCCATTCATTTTACAAGTTCCTACTGTAACAAATCACAGTAGTATTAGCAGTACCTGTTACCAGTAGAAGTCACAGTACCAGCACAAGTCACAGACATTTTCATATTACATTACAGTTGTTGCAGATGTCAAAATATCACTTATGCTCATTACTACTTCAGAACTATGGTAGTTATAAGACTCACTGCTAGATCTTTTTGTTTAGTGGGCTAGTAAAGAAGCACATACTGCTTATATCAGATATTTGAGTTTAAAAAATAAGATTATTTCAATATAGTTGGGACTTTTTTGTATGCAATTAGAAGCATTATTTTGAGAAGGAGTCTATAGGACTCACTGACGGCCAAAGAGGTCCACGGCAGAAAAAAAGGTAAGGAACCCCTGGGGACTTCAGAGAAGGCTTCACAGACGGGACACTTAAATTTAGTTTTGAGACAGGTAGGAGTTCTTCAGGTAAAAGGGGTGGGGAACATCAGTGGTATTCCATTGGGGGAAGTGCTGGAAGCTCAGTTTTGATGTGTCAAGGGAAAGACATAGTGAGCTGAGATTATTATTATTATTATTATTGTTATCATTATTATTTTTTTCAGACAGAGTCTGGCCCTGTTGTCCGGGCTGGAGTGCAGTGGTGCGATCTTGGCTCACTGCAGCCTCCGCCTCCTGGGTTCAAGTGATTCTCCTGCCTCAGCCTCTGAGTAGCTAGGATTACAGGCGCCCGCCACCACGCCTGGCTAATTTTTTTGTATTTTTAATAAAGACGGAGTTTCACCATGTGTTGGCCAGGCTGGTCTCGAACTCCTGACCTCGTGATTCGCCCGCCTTGGCCTCCCAAAGTGCTGGGATTACAGGTGTGACCCACCGCGCCCGACTGAACTGAGATTATTTCAGGTGAACATGTACTTTGGGTAGAAAAGATCACAACAAACCTTGGAGGACACCAAAATGTAGGAGTAGGCAGAGGAAAGGGGGAGGCCAGACTTGAGAAGCAGAAGTAGGAGCAGAAAAGAGTGATGTTTAGAAAATCGAGGGAGAAAAGTTTCAAGGAGAAATGGCTATGTTAGGATGCTTTCAGCTGGGAAAACCCAACTGCTTAAATAGTAAGGAAAATTCTCTCACAAAGTCCAGAGGAAGAATGGATTCCAGGCTCTGATTCAGTTGGTCAACAGTGTCAGGCCAGGCACGGTGGCTCACGCCTGTAATCCCAGCACTTCGGGAGGCCGAGGCGGGCGGATCACGAGGTCAGGAGATCGAGACCATCCTGGCTAACATGGTGAAACCCTGTCTCTACTAAAAATACAAAAAATTAGCCGGGTGTGTTGGCGGGTGCCTGTAGTCTCAGCTACTCGGGAGGCTGAGGCAGGAGAATGGCAAGAACCCGGGAGGCGGAGGTTGCAGTGAGCTGAGATCGCACCACTGAACTCCAGCCTGGGAGACAGCGAGACTCCGTCCCAAAAAAAAAAAAAAAAAAAAAACCAGTGTCATCAAGGACCCATCTCTTCTTGGGTTTCCACAGTCAGGTTGGTTTCCTTTAGGGTTGCAAGATGACTACTAGTAACATACACACTTTCTCATTCTCTAGAGCAAGAGGAGGAGGAGAGAGAAAAAACTCCCACACTTGGTCCTTCAGTCTGATTGGACCAACTTAGGTCAGTTGTCTGACCCTGTAACAGTTGTCAGAGGAATGCCATGATCTGATTGGCTTAGACTAAACAGGATCAACCCAGGGTGGCGTCACTTAATCACAGGGGAGAGGAATGCATTCATGAACACAATGGAGTTCTTTTAGGAAGGAAGAGGGAGAATAGAGACTGGATATGCAACCAACAATGTCCATGACGGAGATATAAGCTAGATGAGATATGAGTTAGTTACATATCATGAGTCGTGTTCACTGATTTGGGCACTTTGGAAAGCTTTCATGATCCTTATACTTTAGGTTTACTGATGGAAGTGAAGGGTAGATTAACCTGGGTTGGTGACTGAGGGCCAAGTAAGTGGACACTATGATGGTTGATAAGCTTGACTATCAAGGGAAGGAGAGAGAATTTGGTAACTAGAAGGATATGTTCAGTCAAGATTCTAGAGAGAATACCTCAGCTGTGCAAGGGAGAGATATTCCCACCCGAGAGATGGAAGGAAAAGAAAGGTGCGAGAGATTGTAGACCAGTGGTTCTCCATAGAATGGTACGACTCAACAGAATGGTATGTTTTGGAAACTTGTGGGGTTGTTCTTTTTTTCTTTTTTCGTTTTTAACTTTGCAAAAATTATAACTGAAAATGGGGTTGTTCTTTATGTCTTTAGTTGTGTTGAACATTTACATACTGAAATATAATTCACATAAATCTTTCCTTTTTATTCACCTTTATGCTACCATCAGAGTATACTGATTTACTTTTTGGACTTATGCATGTAACTTAGTGATGAATTTTATTTCAGGATACCAGAAGAGTGTCAGAAAATATTTGTCATAAAATGGTGATGTTAGGTCTAGTAGTTGAGAACCAGTGCTTGTCAAACTTTAATGGGCATGTGACTCTTGTTAAAATGGATTCCAATTCAGTAGGTCTGGGATGCGGCCTCAAATGCTCCATTTTTTTTTTTTTTTCTAGATGGAGTCTCGCTCTATCACGCAGGCTTGAGTACAGTGGCGCAGTTTCTGCTCACTGCAACCTCCGCCTCCCGGGCTCAAGCAATTCCTCTGCCTCAGCCTCCTGAGTAGCTGGGATTGACAGGTGCGCGCCACCATGCCCAGCTAATTTTTTGTATCTTTAGTAGAGACGGGGCTTCACCATGCTGGCCAGGCTGGTCTCAAACTCCTGACCTTGTGATCCACCCGCCTCAGCCTCCCAAAGTGCTGGGATTACAGACGTGAGCCGCCGCACCCGGCCAGATTCTCCATTTTTTAACTAGTTCTATAGTTTTCGTTGGTCCCCTTTGACTAGCAAGAATTGAAGCCAATCGGTAGATGAATGGTTCTTGTGTTTTCGAGATGGATGGTCTTATGAACATGGTGGGATTTGGGAGAGGCACTGACCAAGGAACAAAAAGATAGGCCAGACCCTTTGAGGGCTCTGCTGAGAGCACTCCTGTATGTTTGTGCAGAGTGGGGATGGAGTAAACGGTAGGATTGATCGGGGTTTGGGAGTTAACAGCTTGGGTTAACTAGAACTGGAGGGCAAAGGAGTTAATAGTATAGGTGTTGGTAGTAAAAGTACAATGGTAGTAAAAGTGCAGTGTGTCTGACTAGTTATGTGCATATTAAGTACACATTGTACTTAAAATATATACTGCGATGTTTTGATATAGTTATTCATCTTCAGGTCACTAGGGGGCATTGGTGGATTAAAAAACACATTTGAAAAGCTGCCCAGTATTTGCATTCCATTGTAGGAAGCAGCTTTTCCTTGTGCTGCTGCAGGAAGTTTGAATATTGGATACATATACCCAGATTCACGTTATTAGATTTCCTTCATTACACAGATTTTATCCTAGTCCAACTATGGGCTGGGCATCATGCTGGACCCTGGTGGGTACAAGTGAAAAGACCCAGTTCTTATCTAGGAGAGAGGTCCCAAATCTGGCCACAAATCAGAATTATTCAAGGAGACAGTTTCCAAGCCCCTGCGCATGGTTCTGACTGACTTTTTAGTTGGCGTCCAGGAACTGCTAGTTTTGAAAAAGCCCCCCAAGGTGATTATGAAACTTTCATTTCAGAAGCTCACAATGCACTTACCAGCACAGACATTAAAGGTCCGTTAACGATGCAGTGGGTCTCAACCTTGACTGCATGTTAGAGCCACCTGGGGAGCTTTTAAAAGTCCCGATGCCCAGTCTAGAACCTATACCAATGACATCAAGAATCTCTAGGGGTAGGATTAGGCATCTAGTTTTTGGAGCAAGCAGCCAGCCTTGAGATCTACTGACTTAGAGGGAAGAGCAACAGCAGGGGGCATCAGAAGGCTTTATAGAGAAGAACATGCCTATGCTGATCTTTGGAGCTAGGCAGACAAGGTTGAAAGGGCCTTCCAAACAGAGAAGAAAAGCACATGCAAGGACACAGAAGTGTGAGAGTGTTCAGAACAGTGTTAAGACCTTGGGCTTCACTGTGTTCCTTGTGAGAGATACTAAAGTTTTCTGTAGCTGCTTCCTCATTTGTAAAACAAGGATGAGATGCTTACCAACCTCAAATTATTGTGTGGATTAAATTCATTCCTACGCAAAGCTTAGAACAGTGCTTGGCCCAAAGTAAGGGCTGAAGAAATGTGAGCTGTTACTTTTAGTTGGCATCTTGTAAGATGGCATCTTGTAACTACCTGTGTTACGGTGGTGCACGGTCTTGGGGCTCTCCAAAAGTATTTTTTATTTCAAAACTTGGTAGTCAGTTGGATGTGGTAGATGAGGGAGAAGGATAAATTAAGGTTTCTGCCCAGGCTTTTGACTTTTGACTGTGGGATCTATTCATTGAGGTGGGAACTATTCATTGAGGTGGGAAAGTGGAAGAAGGTTGAATTTGGTTTGAGGGGGAGGTGATGGTTTGGTTTTGAACAGGTTGGGCTTGCTGAAATATCTGGGCATTGGAAGGGGGAAATCAGTTGATGTAGAACCCCAGGGTATGGACTTTTCCTGCCACAGACGTGGGCTGGAAATTGGGAAATCATCAGCTGCTAACTGAAGCCTCCAGGGCAAGAAGGTGGCCTAGTGAAAACTGGTCTGTGTCACTTCCTTCCTCAAGGGCAAATAACATGACCTGTACTCAGAGCTCACCACACCAAGGAGCCTGAGTGAACATGTCCATGACTATGAGGTGTTATTACCTCACACATTCTTTGTGGCTTAGTGTAATACTTACATTGCCTGTCTTCCTGAAATTAATTTTCTTACCATGTTACTAGTATGTTACTAGAACTGCGCGGAGAATTACAATGCTAAATGGAAAAGGAAAATCATCTGTAAATTGGAAGAGTAATGTAACTTTTATACTTGAGCATTATTTTAAAAGCCACATATTTGGAAAGATAATGAAGGTTTTTTTTCCCTAACAGTTTAAGCATCTTCAAGGGAATTCTTCTTGAGGAATTATAGTAACTACATTTTTACTCACATAAATACATTTTTTATGTGCAGAATCAATTGGTTGTTTCTTTTTCCTTTCTTACCTTTCGAAGAAGTTAGACAGTGGATCACAGAGACGAAGAAAAAACTGCTCTGTAGCTCTGGATGCAATCTTTTCAGCCTCAGGTTCTAGTTGTGTTTCTGGCTGAGCGACCTTGTTGAGATTTCTTTTTTTTTTTTTTTTTTTTTGAGCCGGAGTCTTGCCCTGTCACCCAGGCTGGAGTGCACTGGCGCAGTCTTGGCTCTCCGCACCCTCCGCCTCCTGGGTTCAAGCCGGTCTCCTCCCTTAGCCTCCCAAGTAGCTGGGACTACAGGCATGCACCAGCACGCCTGGCCTAGTTTTTGTATTTTTATTAGAGATGGGGTTTCACCATGTTGGCCAGACTGGTCTTGAGCTCCTGACCTTAAGTGATCTGCCCTCCTTGGCCTCCCAAAGTGCTGGGATTACAGGCATGAGTCACCATGCCGGGCCAGTTGAGATTTCTTAATCTCTCAGCGTCCTCTGATCATGATCCTGTGGGGATAGTAGTATGTCCCTCTGTATCTCACAGGATTGTTGGGAGATTCAATTGAGATAATATGCGAAAAGAACCGTGAACTACAAAGCACTATATCAATGTAAGGTGTTTTCTGTTCCTCTTGTATCACATTTGTCCACTGAAGTAATCTATGCTTGCAGGTTAGCACTCTGGACTTAACAACTGTAAAACGTGAATTAACTTGGGTTATTTCACTTCTCATTTGGAAATGAATTCTGCTCAGGACACTGTAGCATTCTTCTATCTACTTCTGAAATGCAGATAGCCTCACAGTTGTAACTAACACTGGAAGAGGAGAAAGAAGAAGTAAAACGATACATTAAAAGAACGGAGAGATTAGAGGCACAGTGGAGGAGAAAAGTAGATGATGTACCAGACATTTATGATAAATGAATTGATTACCCCATGAGGCCTGTTGATATTTGTAGACTTTTATGACGTAAAGGTTTAATTTATAATCTATATGTATATGTGTTCCACACCCATGTCCTTTCTAGGCTAGACTGGAACTTCTTAGAGGCTAGGAAACGAACTTGCATATTTGTTTGTATTGTACATTTAAAATTAGATATATAAATGCATGTTATTAGGTGTGTAATAAATCTCAATAGCAAAGATATCTGTTTCAAAAAGTTTAGACTTATTTTTAATATGACAAGAAAGTACTAAGAGATCTTTAAAATAAAGGAATTGAAAGAGTGTATCAGTTGATTTTCCCCAATAATGCTTAAGTGGAATTTTACAGTTAGTTCATACAGCATGAAACTTTATATATTTTCAGGGACAAAAAAATCCTAGTCTAAAGTTATATTTTAGAATTTGGAAGTTATTTATTTTTCACTTTTGCTGAGTTTTTCCTAATTTTTGCATAGCCTCATGCCAGTTTTGTTAGAAAATTTAATCAGTGCCAATTTCTTAATGTGGTAGGTTTTTAAACTTATTTTCAGTGTTCACTAAAACTTGGAGAAGCAGGAATGTAGGGCAAGGGTCGTAGAGTTTTCAGTATGCTGAAAGCCTATGACTTTGATTGTTAAGCTATATTTTCCTGATACAGCTTTATGCATTATGGATAGTATAGTTGAATTTTAAGTGAATATTGTTTTAAAGGCACTTTAAGTGCAGTTATCCTTTGTCTTCCTATTTCTGGCTGTTTGAAGCAATGCAGCGTGTTTTATTCAAAGCCCACACTGGCTCCCGCTTAAGGACTTCTTTGTTTGGTTCCATGAGGATGAGGAGCCCCCTCTGTGGGAGCTAGAGATAGATCCACAAGTGCATGTTCATTGCCTTAGTGTGGAGGAATTCCCAGTAGTTTCTTTTTTCAGATATTCCTGAAAAGAAGTCTATTCCTTCTTCTGAACAGTCTTTTAAAATGGAATATATGAAACTAACTAATAAAGGTTCTTTTTTTCTTTTCCCCCATTCCACAAACTTCAGTCCTTGTGAACTAGCCTGTTTTTGTTTGTGCTTGCTGAAAATGAGTCTCCTCTCCTATTAGAGATGCTGATTCATGTGACATGGGTTAGACTGGTGAGTGAGTAAGTAAGCAAAAAGTGATTATACGGGCTCCAAGAAGTTTCCTACATTGTCTGTTGATGGTTTACCTCACTTGGCAGATAGAACTGAGCCTGTTTGTGGAGTCACACCATTTGGGAGTCCTGTTAAAGTTGCTGGGTATAGTCCAAACATTTACTTTACTTGTTTTTGTTCCTTATTTTTGCACAGATTTTCATTATGAGGTCAGATGGTTATCAACCGAATTGAGTCTTGTACATGATTTTTTTTTTCCAAAAAAGGCTTACAGTTTTCCTTAAAGAAGAAAAACGCACATGAATAACTGAGATGAAGTCAAAGGCAGTTTTCATTAGTGAGTTTAGAGTTCTCTGTGCACATGGTGGTCTGTTAAGATATGAAACCCGGGTCTAGGCCCGACGTGGTGGCTCACACCTGTAATCCCAGCACTTTGGGAGGCTGAGGCAGGAGAATTCCTTGAGTCCAGGAGTTTGAGACCAACCTGGGCAACATGGCGAAACCCCGCCCGTCTCTACAAAAAATGCAAAAATTAGCCAGGTATGGTGGTGCCTGCCTGTAGTCCCAGCTACTTGAGAGGCTGAGATGGGAGGATCACTTGAGCCCAGGAGGTTGAGGCTGCATTGAGCTGTGATTGTGCCACTGCATTCCAGCCTGAGTGACAGAATGAGACCCTATGTCAAAAAAAACAACAACAAAAAAAGAGATATGAAACCCATGTCTAGGTAGATTTTTTTTTTTTGAGACAGAGCCATGTGTCTAGATAGAAACCTGTGTCTAGATAGATTTTTTTTTTTTTTTTTGAGACAGAATCATGCTCTGTCTCCCAGGCTGGAGTGCAGTGGCACAATCTTAGCTCACTGCAACCTCCACCTCCCAGGCTCAAGCGATCCTCCTGCCTCACCCTCCTGGGTAGCTGGGACTATGGGCACGTGCCACCATTCCCAGATAATTTTTTGTATTTTTTGTAGAGAGGGGGTTTCACCTTTAGCCTGTTGCCCAGGCTGGTCTTGAACTCCTGGGCTCAAAGGATCCGCCCACCTCGGCCTCCCAAAGTGCTGGGATTACAGGCATGAGCCAGCATGCCCTGCCCAGATAGATTTTACTTTGACAGACTAGCTCTCCTATTAAATGATGTACATTTTATTAGTTGCTTGGAAACACAGATGCATTTGAAAAGCTAAACTTGAAGTAAATGTTTCCCAACGATTTTTTCCTCCCTATATTTCCTTAATTCAGAAAAGATTGAGTGGGTCCCAGGATGCCATTCTAATAGAGAAAAAAACACATATATATAGGAGTCTTAAGTAGCAGTAAATTTCTGTCTGGATGAGGAAGTTCAAAATAAATTCTGGACTTGATAAATTACATATTATCTGTGTTCCAAGTCTTTAAAACCAGTATAGCCCAACTGGATGACTCAAAACCTGCCTAAATGAACAATTATCTCACTCTTTGGCCCTAAGGTTTTCTTCCTGTTTATCGCACAAGTTTATTATTTTTCTACATGAATTTTATAAAATCTAATCGCTATCTTTAAAGAGTAGAAAATGAAACAATTGCAGATGAGACATTTTGTTTGCTTTGCTGACCTAATTTTGTGGTGAATTCTACCCTCCAAAGATGAAACAGAACTTGGTTTTCTGTGAGAAAAAGATAATATTAGTCTTGAAAACAGCCTCATTTTTTTCTCTGCTTATCTCTTTAGATTGTAGTCTGTTTACAGTGGATGAGAAAGAGCTAGGAAATACCAATTACTGTAGTACAGAACTAAAGAATTAAAAATTTCTCATAAAATAGTTCTATGTTTGTTGTATTAGGAAGAGTTTTTTTAATGTTGTTTGAAGTCTAAACTTTACTGGGCATGGTGGTTCACACCTGTAATCCCAGCGCTTTGGGAGGCCAAGGCAGGAGGATTGCTTGAGACCAGGAGTTTGAGACCAGCCTGGGAAACATAGTGAGACTCCATCTCTACCAAAAAAAAAAAAAAAAATAGCTGAGTGTGCTCCGTCACACCCATAGTCCTAGGTACTTGGGAGGCTGAAGCAGAAGGATTAGGTGAGCCCAGGAGTTCAAGGCCACAGTGAGCTATGATTGTACCACTGCACTCCAGCCTGAGTGACAAAGGGAGATAAATTCTTGGCTTTATATCCTCCTTTGCTGTGAAACAGATCGAAATGATTGTGGGTTTTATTGTTATTGTTAAAGTATGAGTGCTCCCAAATTTTACATTCAAATGAATGCATCAAAACAGTCGTTTTGAGAGGATAGATTTAATTATACTGTCATTATATTTATTCCAAAAATTCTATCACTGATCAAAACATTTTTACTCTTCCTCATTTGGAATTATCTTCAAACTTTGTGGCAAACCTTTATAATATCCTCAGGAGCTAGCCATTTTTGTTCTTTGCATGTTACAAAACAAATCAATGGTTTTTTTGTAAAAACTTCAGGAAATAGAGATAAGAATTACCTTTAATATCACCACCTATAGACAACCACTGTTAACATCATATTTTTTTTTTTTGAGACGGAGTCTTACTCTGTTGCCCAGGCTGGAGTGCAGTGGCGCCATCTTCGTTCACCGCAACCTCCATCTCCCGGGTTCAAGCAATTCTCCTGCCTCAGCCTCCTGAGTAGCTGGGATTACAGGCGTGCACCACCACGTCCGGCTAATTTTTGTGTTTTTAGTAGAGACAGGGTTTCACCGTGTTGGTCATGCTGGTCTCGAACCACTGACCTCGTGGTCTGCCCACCTCAGCCTCCCAAAGTGCTGGGATTACAGGCATGAGCCACTGCGCCCGGCCCTAACATCTTTTTAGACTCCGTTCTGGACATATTCAAATATACCCTTGGTATGACATTTTCAAAAAACTCGGTGGAATCATACTACAAGTCCCCTTCCTCTTTTTTTTTTTTAAAAAAAATGCCATTTTCTTTTCTTCTTCTTCTTTTTTTTTTAGTAGAATGAGATAATCTTATTATTGACCAAGTTTACATAAAGCTTGATTCTTTACCGCCACCACCACCACAACAGAAAGAAAAGTTTATGTTGGACACTACGTTTAATTAGGAGATGTAGAAAAGGTTCCAGTAGAGATTGTTTTAATGAAGACTAATATTGTAATTTTTTTTTCTATTTTACTCTAAGTCCTGGGATACATGTGCGGAACATGAAGGTTTGTTACATAGGTACACATGCCATGTTGGTTTGCTGCACCTATCAACCTGTCATCTAGGTTTTAAGCCCCGCATGCATTAGGTGTTTGTCCTAATGGTCTCCCTCCCCTTGCCCTCCATCCCCTGATAGGCCCCAGTGTGTGATGTTCCCTTCCATGTGTTATCATTGTTCAATCCCACTTATGAGTGAGAACATGTGATGTTTGGTTTTCTATTCCTGTGTTAGTTTGCTGAGAATGATGGTTTCTAGCTTCATCCATGTCCCTATAAAGAACTCATTCTATTTTATGGCTGCATAGCATTCCATGGTGTATATGTGCCACATTTTCTTTATCCAGTCTATCACTGATGGGCATTTGGGTTGCTTCCAAGTCTTTGCTATTGTAAATAGTGCTGCAATAAACATAGGCGTACAGATGCCATTTTCTCATCTTTGTGTGTGTGTGTGTGGAGATAATGAATCTTTTTTTTTTTTTGAGGCGGAGTCTCACTCTGTCACCCAGGCTGGAATGCAGTGGTGCGATCTCGGCCCACTGCAGCCTTTTGCCTCCTGGGTTCGAGCGATTCTCCTGCCTCAGCCTCCTGAGTAGCTGGGGCTACAGGTGCCCACCAGCTAATTATTGTATTTTTAGTAGAGACAGGGTTTCACACTATGTTGGCCAGGCTTGTCTCGAACCCCTGACCTCAAGTGATCTGCCCGCCTCGGCCTCCCAAAGTGCTGGGATTACAGGCTCGAGCCACCGAATCCGGCCCATTCTCTATTCTTTACCACTCTTATTTAAAATATATCGAGACTGATTTTCTTTACTTTTTTTTTTTAAGCGGAGTTTCACTCTTGTTGCCTAAGCTGGAGTGCAGTGGCATGATCTCGGCTCACTGCAACCTCCGCCTCCAGGGTTCAAGCAATTCTCTTGCCTCAGCTTCCTGAGTAGCTGGGATTACAGGCGCACTCCACCATGCCTGGCTAATTTTTTCTATTTTTAGTAGAAACAGAGTTTCACCATGTTAGCCAGGCTGCTCTTGAACTCCTGACCTCAGGTGATCTAACCAACTTGGCTTTCCAAAGTGCTGGATTACAGGCGTGAGCCACGGCGCCTGGCCGAGACTGATTTTCTTTTAGGCTTAAAATGTGATCTGAAGGCATTTAGAAATGGAAGCCATATGATTACATATTAAAAGTAAATTTTGGTTGGGTGTGGTGGCTCATGTCTGTAATCCCAGCACTTTGGGAGGCCTGAGGTCAGGAGTTTGAGACCAGCCTGGCCAACGTGGCAAAACCCCGTCTCTACTAAAAATACAAAAATTAGCCAGGCGTGGTGGTGTGGGCCTGTAATCCCAGCTACTTGGGAGGCTGAGGTAGGAGAATCGCTTAAACCCGGGAGGCGGAGGTTCCAGTGAGCCGAGATCACACCACTGCACTCCAGCCTGGGTGACAGGGCGAGACTCTGTCTCAAAAAATAATAATAATAAAATAAATTTTAAAAAATAAATTTCACTTATGAAATTTATATAAATAGTTGTAGTAAATTCCGACTCCATATATGATTTATCAAGGTAACTGCTTTGAAAAGAAAACATCTATTTAAAAAAAATGTTGTAAGTAATACTGAAATACTTTTCCTTGTAAAAAGTCAAAATAGTACAGTTGGTCAGGTTGCTATTGTCCACCTCCCCCCAGCCCCCTTTCCAGAGAAAGCCTCTGTTCTGTTTGGTGTGTGGCCCTACATGTTAGAAAGGATTGCTGGCCGGGCATGGTGGCTCATGCCTATAATCCCAGCACTTTGGAAGGCCGAGGCAGGCAGATCACCTGAGATCAGGAGTTCGAGACCAGCCTGGCCAACATGGAGAAACCCCATCTCTACTGAAAATACAAAAAAAATTAGCTGGGCGTGGTGGCAGGCACCTATTATTCCAGCTACTCAGGAGGCTGAGGCTGGAGAATCACTTGAACCCAGGAGACGGAGATTGCAGTGAGCCGAGATTGTGGCACTGCACTCCAGCCTGGGTGGCAAGAGTGAAACTCTGTCTCAAAAAATAAAAAATATAAAAATAAAAGATTGCTGTATAAAATGTAGATACTGTCCTGAATGCTCCTTATGGAGGAGAGTATTCTGTATTCTTTTGACGTTTCAAGAATTGTGGACTCATTTCTCTTGATTTTTATTTTTATTTATTTATTTATTTATTTTTCAGACGGAGCCTTGCCCTGTCGCCCAGACTGGAGTGCAGTGGCGTGATGTCGGCTCACTGCAAGCTCCGCCTCCCAGGTTTTCTCCTGCCTCAGCCTCCTGAGTATCTGGGACTACAGGTTCCCACCACCACGCCTGGCTAATGTTTTGTTTTTTTTTTTTTTGTATTTTTAGTAGAGATGGGGTTTCACCATGTTAGCCAAGATGGTCTCGATCTCCTGACCTCGTGATCTGCCCGCTTCGGCCTCCCAAAGTGCTGGGATTACAGGCGTGAGCCACCGCGCCCGGCCTTTCTCTTGATTTTTCATTCAATTTACAACACGTTACTGAGGACAACAGTGTAGCCTGATTTTGACAAAATTTTTTTATTGTCTTCATCATTTTGTTGTATTCTGAGTTCTTTCACATAGTTCTTTTTTTTGTGTTGGTTACTTAGAATAAGAATAATCTCAAAAGTATTGTCAGTGTTCATAGTTTGTTTTTTTTTTTTGTAAAAAACCCATTTCAGATTTTTACCTCCTAAATAATTAGAATCAGATTAAAATAGTTTTGTTTCGAGTGAAAAATGCTGTCAGAATGGAAATTATTGCAGAAAAGGTTGACTGAGGCCAGGCGCGGTGGCTCACGCTTGTAATCCCAGCACTTTTTTTTTTTTTTTGTGACGGAGTCCCGCTCTGTCGCCCAGGTTGGAGTGCAGTGGCGCGATCTTGGCTCACTGCAAGCTCCACCTCCCAGGTTCACGCCATTCTCCTGCCTCTGCCTCCTGAGTAGCTGGGACTACAGGCGCCCGCCACCATGCCCTGCTAATTTTTTGTATTTTTAGTAGAGATGGGGTTTCACTGTGTTTCTAGGATGGTCTCGATTTCCTGACCTCGTGAACTGCCCACCTTGGCCAATTCCAGCAGTATGAGAGGCCAAGGCAGGTGGATCACCTGAGGTAAGGAGTTTGAGACCACCAGCCTAGCCAACATGGTGAAACCCTGTCTCTACTAAAATTCCAAAAAGTAGCTGGGCATGGTAGCGGGCGCCTGTAATGCCAGCTACTTGGGAGGCTGAGGCAGGAGAATCGCTTGAATCCGAGAGACGGCGGAGGTTGCAGTGAGTGGAGATCGCGCCACTGCACTCCAGGCTGGGCGACAGTGCGAGACTCCGTCTCAAAAAAAAAAAAAATAATTAGCTGGGTGTGGTGGTGGCTGCCTGTAATCCCAGCTACTTGAGAGGCTGAGGCAGGAGAATCGTTTGAACCCCAGGGGCACGGAGGTTGTCTTGAGCCGAGATTGCGCCACTTCACTCCAGCCTGGGTGAAAGAGCAAAACTCTGTCTCAAAAAAAAAAAAATTTATTTTCATTCTTTATCATTAAAGAGTTGCTTTTATGTTGTCCTTTGTGTGGCTTGTAGGATCATTAAATAAGGTAGAGAATCTCATAAAAACAGTTTTGGAGAAAGATAGTTGAAAGCATAATGTCATACATTTTAAATATATAAATGTAAACTATATATAGAAATACATAAAGTATTATATATACTTAAACTATATAAACTATATTTTTAAGTATATATAGTATGTATAAGTCTATAAGTATATATATACATATAGTTTATATACATATATATAAACTTGGTAGAAGGGTAAGATACTGTAAGTGTATATATACTTACATAGAGAGAGTTTAAATTATTTACATGGAAAATAGAAATAATATATTCCATCACTCCAAAAAAAAGGTCACCTTTGGATATAGCCTGTTTGAAGTAGCAGTTGAAAAGCCTGGTAACATGTCCCTCAGGGAGTTAGAAACACAGGAAACACACAAGCCTGAGGCTTAGGGAGAGGCCCAGGCTAGGGATACTGATTTGAGCATCAGTAGCATATGAGTGGGAGTTAAAGACTTAGATTTTGGCCAGGTGTGGTGGCTCACGCCTATAATCCCAGCACTTTGGGAGGCTGAGGCAGGTGGATCCCTTGAGCCCAGGAGTTTGAGACCAGCCTGGCCAACATGGCGAAACCCTGTCTCTACTAAAAACACAAAAATTAGCTGAGCGTGGTGGCGGGCGCCTGTAATCCCAGCTACTTGGGAGGCTAAAGCATGAGAATCCCTTGAACCCGGGAGGCGGAGATTGTAGTGAGCCGAGATCAGGCCACTGGACTCCAGTCTGGGTGACAGAGCGAGACTCTGTCTGAAAGAAAAAAAAAAGAAAGAATTAGATTTTAATGAAATTGCCCTGGAGTGAGAAGAGGAGAGAGTTAAAGACTACTCCATGACTCATCAACCTTGAAGAGCTATGCAGAGGAAGAGAAGGCCCAAAAGGGGAGGAGAGAGTACCTAGAAAGCCTCTAGAATGGGGATAGGGTAGAATCCTGTAAGCCAAAGAAAGGGGTTGAAGATGTAGAGTAGTCACCAGTTTCAGGGTGCAACCAAGATGCCAGATGTCCAGTGGGGTTTAGCAACTGGGAGGCTATTGGTGGTCTTGGGAAGAAAGGTTTTAGGTGCATTTAGTAGTAAAGGGAGGAGGAGATAAAATTGAGAAAGCAAACAGAATCTGCCTTTTTGACTTTGTGCTTAAATGCGGATGCTCCTCAGCTTGTGGTGGGGTTGCATTCTGATAAACCTATCATAAGTTGAAAATATCATTAAGTCAAAAATTAACACACCTAACCTACCAAACATCATAATTTAGCCTACCCTCCCTTAAATGTACTCAGAACACTTCCAGTAGCCCACAGTTGGGCAGAATCATCTAACACAAAGCCTATTTTATAATAAACTATTGAATGTTTCATGTACATTATTGAATACTGCACTGAAAGTGAAAAGCAGAATGGTTATATGGGTACTCAAAGTGCGGTTTCTACAGAATGCGTATCGCTTCTGCACCATGTAAGGTTGAACCATTTGTAAGTCTGAGACCATTTGTATAACATACATATAGGAAAGTAAACGGGGCATAAGTGAATTTTTACAAACTAAACATACTAGCACTCTAGAAGCTCTTCTCGTGGCCCTTCTAGTCACTACCCAGCTTGCTAAGGGTATCCACTATTCTGCCTTCTAACCATAGTCTACTTTTAAAATAAATTTGTCAATGGAAGTTGGTAGAAGGGTAAGGTAGTTGTTAGAGAGGGAATTAGGGGTGGAGGGTATTTGTTGTGTTTTGTTTAAGACGGGAGAGATTTTCTTGAATGTAAATAAATGTCATAATTTCTCTAGTGGGTGGCCAGTCACTCTGTTTCTTTTTATATTTAGGACAGTTTTCATTTTATACTTTCAAATGTTTTTAAAAGTATGTTTGAGTGCTTATACAAACTTAAGTTGAATAACTGTTCTCTAAGCATATGTTTGTGGAATGGTGGTTTTCAAAACTTTGCTTATCTTGGGAATAGATTCTTGGGCCCCTCTTAGATTCAGAGTCAGACACTCTGGGGGAAGCTGTTAGAATCTATGCTTTTAAAAAATTCCCCAGGTGGGCCAGGCGCGGTGGCTGACGCCTGTAATCCCAGCACTTTGGGAGGCCGAGGTGGGCGGATCACGAGGTCAGAAGATTGAGACCATCCTGGCTAACACAGTGAAACCCCGTCTCTACTAAAAATACAAAAAATTAGCCAGGCGTGGTGGCTGGTGCCTGTAGTCCCAGCTACCAGGAGGCTGAGGCAGGAGAATGGCATGAACCCAGGAGGCGGAGCTTGCAGTGAGCCAAGATCGCACCACTGCACTCCAGCCTGGGCGACAGAGCGAGGCTCTGTCTTAAAAAAAAAAAAAAAAAAAAAAAACAACTCCCCAGGTGATTCTGAAACCTCTTGTGTACACAGGCCTGCAAAAGCCTTCTATCATGAAGCTGGCATATATTATAAATGGAAGTCTAATAAGATAATAGTTCTGTAATTGTGGGAGAAAAGAGTCACCCTTTTTTTAAATGGGAGAGAGTATTCACTAGATTCTCTATAAAGTTGAAAAAGAAAGCAAGTTGTTAGGTATTTGAGCCCCACCATTCATGAGAGTCTGAATAATTCTGAGGGTGACTTATTTAGCTTAAGGTTTTTATTTGTCTTTAAGGCAGTTTTACTGGAACATAATCACAACATGATCCCAGAGCTATGGAATTCTGGGCAGTCAGTGTACTTTTATTTGCAAAGCAAGAACAGTTTAGCCTTCTGGACACCCATTATGATTTGTTTGTTTACGACCTTACCAGATTCATGTCTTGGTAAACTGTGTCTAAGAATCTACCTTTAAAGCTGAGGGAGCTGACTGATAAACTCAATCTTTTTATTTTATTTTATTTTTTGAGGCAGAGTCTTGCTCAGTCACTCAGGCTGGAATGCAGTGACGCGATTATAGCTCACTGCATCCTTGACCTCCTGGGCTCAAGTAATCCTCCCACCTCAGCCTCCCAAGTAGCTGAGACCATAGGCATGCCCCAAACACCTGGCTAATTTTTTTTTTTTTTTTTGTAGAGATGGAGTCTTGTTATGTTGCCCAGGCTGGTCTTAAACTTCTGGCCTCAAGTGATCCTCCCACTTCAGCCTCCTAATAAACTCAATCTTATGCCTGAATCTTTTTTTTTTTTTTTTTTTTTTGAGATGAAATCTCACTCTGTTGCCCAAGCTGGAGTGCAGAGGTATAATTTTGGCTCACTGCAACCTCCACCTTCCAGGTTCAAACGATTCTCTTGCCTCAGCCTCCCGAGTAGCTGGGACTACAGGCACATGCCACCATGCCTGGCTAATTTTTGTATTTTAGTAGAGATGGAGTTTCAGTGTGTTGGCCAGGCTGGTCTTGAACTCCTGACCTTGTGATCCACCTGCCTCGGCCTCCCAAAGTGGTGGGATTATAGGCGTGAGCCACTGTGCTGGGCCCTGAATCTTTTTTTGAATGTTAATTTATTTTTTAAATTGTGGCCTGAGTCTTTGATTAAATTCATAAGCTTCCTGGAAGCTCTATAAGAGCAGGGACCTTGTCTGCTTATGTGTTTTATCTGTTTAGTACCATGTCTGACATGATGTGGGTGTGCAGTAAATATTTGTTTTTGAAATAAAACCCTGGTTGACCTCTTCTAATTGTTATATATAACCTTGCTTGCCTGACCAGATTTGTTTTGCCAACATCAGTCCTTCGCAAGCTTCAGTGGAGACAGAGTAAGAACCAAATGTCTTTAAGATGATGACAGCCTACCCCTTTACACTTCTTGTTAGGGCCTCATCTAACCCAACACCAATACTGGTTGCTCTGTTTCCATTGACAAGCCCCTTGCGGGCTGTGCGAAACAAAAGTTTTGAGACATAGAGAGTCTAAGGTCCAAGATAGAGTGTACCTTGATACTTTGCTGGGGAGTAGGATCAGACCAGAAAGAAAGAAGAGTTAGCCACAAGAGTGAGAAAACTCAATGACACTCCCTCTGAGGTTTGCAAAGCTAAGGGCCACCAGTTTACCTTTAAGCCAAATTTTCGTTTTCTCTGTGACTATGGGTCTTACAGCTGTATTCAAAACCTCAGAGAAGCCAACACATTAGAGTCCTTACTTTGAGACCCCCAACTAGCTGAATGCCAAGAAAGGCATTTAGTAACTGAAGGGTATACTCCCGAGGGGCTGGATCTAAAGAAATGCCACCTTTGATCTAGCCTGTAACTTAGCACTAATTGGAGATTCAGCTCTTAACAGAGCTTGCTTGACTTTGATTGAGCAAGCCTAACTCATATAATGCAAAGTAGACCATATCTAATCAGTTCTTGGCAGGTGCATATGTACTCATTTTCTGAGCCAACTCATCTGCCCTGACCAGGGAGTGTACCTGGCAACAAGGCTTCTCAAGGACTATCACTTGGGAAAGGGAGTGCTCAGGGCGTGGGTACATGCAGTCTAGAGATTACAGCCCTGCATCAGAAAAAGTTTGGGGGAGGCCGGGCACAGTGGCTCATGCCTGTAATCCCAGCACTTTAGGAGGCCGAGGCGGACGGATCACAAGGTGAAGAGATCAAGACCATCCTGGCCAACATGGTGAAACCCCGTCTCTGCTAAAAATACAAAAATTAGCCGCATGTGGTGGCGCACACCTGTAGTCCCAGCTACTTGGGAGGCTGAGGCAGGAGAATGGCTTGAACCCAGGAGGCGGAGGTTGCAGTGAGCCAAGATCATGCCACTGCACTCCAGCCTGGCGACAGAGGGAGACTCTGTCGCAAAAAAAAAAAAAAAAAAAAAAAGGGAAAAAGAAAAAGTATGGGGGAGATTTCACTTCTTGGGAGGTATATTCAGTCCGATTATATCATAATGGGTCAGGACTCCTCATGGAGAGAGAATACCTTTGTGTTCATGTCTCACAAAGCAACCCATCCAGAGTGCGAACAGGAGGAAAGTTGATAAGGCTAGAGATTTTTTTTTATTATGTCCCAGACCCTGAAAGTTGATTGTGTTTCTTCAAAGAACTGGATTGTTCTTCCTTGGGGAGACAAAAGATTGAAGAAGGTTCATCTCCTCTTTGTGCCCTTACACTGTCCTGGGGTGATTCTACCCATCTTAGCCTTTCCCTTCTTAAATCCTGATTTTGAATAGGTTGGCCTGAATACTCAATATGAGCCCTAACAAATTATGATAACCACCTGGCAGGCACACAGTGTCGAAGATGGCCATTTGTGATGACATCTGGTCTGGCCAGCTTCCTTTTTACTGTTAAGAGGGAAAGGTGGTGAGCATGCTGAGGCAGGGTGGGGTCATCTCGCACCAGGAGGAGCCCCCTTTGAAGCTAAAAAGGAAGATGAATCAGCCAAGATGTTGAGTGCATCAGCTTCAGCCATGTCTACCTGGGGACCTTTTACCAAGGCTCCTCCCATGGGTTTCCATCACACAGATCTATACCAGTTCCTTACCATGGTCAGGTGTGTGGCTGGCTCCTTAGGAATGAGCTTGGCATGGATTAGGTGTGCTAGAGCTGATGGATTTTTTAAAAAGTCTAATTTACATAGAGTGAAATACATAGATTTTTAAGTTGTACAGTCTTAGTTGTACAATTTGAGCTTTGACAAATGTATATACCTTGAATAACCCATACCCCAATCAAGATTGTTTCACCCCAGAAAGTTCACTTGTGCCACTTCTCAGTAAGTCCACTTCCTTCCAACTCCCACCTCCCCGGCCTAGTAGTGATTGTTCTGGTTTCTCACTATGTTTGAGGCCATGGGTTTTAAAACATACAGATTTTCTTCAAGTCTAGATGGTGAGAGATGTCAGAAAGTAATACTTACTCAAGTAAATCAGAGGTTCTCAGTGGGAGAGTTGCTCCCCAGGAGACATTTGGCAGTGTCTGGAGATGTTTTTGACTGTCGTGACTGGGAGGAGGTGCTACTGGCATCTAGTGGGTAGAGGCTAGGGATGCTGCCAAACTTCCTGCAGTGCACAGGACAGCCCCACAAAGAAGGACCCAACCCAAATGTCAGTAGTGCTGAGTTTGAGAAATCCTCGAGTAAATCATGTGTTCTCTGCAAACTAAGAATTATGGTCCTGGGGAGTGTTCATTTGTAGGTCTCCCAGGTCTCCTGGGGTGAGGTTTGCTTTTTCTTTGTTTTGTTTGCTTGTCTGTTGAGAGCCTGCTGGAAGCTGAAAAGGCCGCTGCAGGAGCCAGCTTTCTTTGGTGCTACCACCCTTGTGGCCACAGTTCTTGCTGTGGAATGGGTATCAGGGTAGGCTTAGGGAGGAAAACTAATAGGAGAAGAGGAAGAAGAAGAAAACAGTTTAGGCAGTAAAGGGAGGCAGGCCTAGAATAATATTAAAACTAGAAAAACAAGTAAGATAAGAGGGGAAGGTAAAGTAGAAATTAATAATTAAGAATCCAATAAAATGTTAAAGGAAATGAGTTGAGATTTAAAATCAAAGATAGGCTGAGTGTGTTGGCTCACACCTGTAATCCCAGCACTTTGGGAGGCCAAGGCGGGAGGATTGCTTGAGCTCAGGAGTTCGAGACCAGCTTGAGTAACATGATGAGACCCTGTCTCTGCTATATATATATAGTTATGTATAGATATAGTTATATATTTATATATATATATAATATATATATTTGCCGAGGCTGGAGTGCAGTGGCACGATCTCGGCTCACTGCAACCCCTGCCTCCCAGTTTCAAGCAATTCTCCTGCCTCAGCCTCCCGAGTAGCTGGGATTACAGGCGTCTGCCACCACGCCTGGCTAATTTTTGTGTTTTTTGTAGAGACTGGATTTCATCATGTTGGCCAGGCTGGTGTCGAACTCCCGACCTCAGGTGATCCACCCACCTCGGCCTCCCAAAGTGCTGGGATTACAGACGTGAGCCACCGCACCCGGCCTTACTGTGCTTTATGAGAAATAAATACACCCCTGAAGTGCTGAGGAAGTCCAGACCCAAAAAACATGTTCTTATGGACTTAAAATTTCAGGTCAACTTTTTCTTAATTTCCAAAAGACAACAGTTTCTAAGTTTGCCTACTTTAGCTTTTCAAGTAAAATAAAAGATACATAGATAGATGACTAGACCTCTAGCTGTCTGTCGGTCTCTGGAACATGTCCAAAACCAACTCATCATTTTTCCCTCAGACTTGCCCCTCTTTTTCTACTTCCTCTCTCAGGAATGCTGTGTCACCACCCAACTAGAAAAACCCATCGGAAACCCCAAGGTCACTTAAAATCTACTCTTTTCCTGATTTTCGAAAATCCAATACATTGTTGTTAACTCTAGTCATTATGTTGTACAACAGATCTCTTGAACTACTCCTCCTAACTGAAACTTTGTACTTTTGACCAATATCTCCCCAACTCCCCCCAGCCCTTGCCCTGGTAGCCACCATTGTGCTCTCTACTTCCATTAGTTCAACCTTTTTAGATTCCACAAAAATTAATTTGTGAGGTAGTGCATATGTTAATTAGCTCAATTTAGCCATTCCACAATGTACACATATTTCAAAACAGCATGTTGTACACAATAAATATACACGATTCTTGTCAGTTTAAAAATTAAAATAAATGAAAATAAAAATTAAACCAAGGTCATCGTCACTCTTCCTTTCCCTTTGGTCACTAAGTCCTGCTAATTTTGCCTATTAAACTATCTCAATTCTACTTTCTCCTCTTTCTCCTCTCCTGTGCAATCTTTCCTTGGGCCCTTATTTCTTTCCTTCATTGTTTTAGCAGCACCATAACTGGTCAGCTGGCCCTTTAATGACTTAAAGCGCCACACTGAGAAATAATCGTCTTTCTAAATGGCAAACTCGATTCTATATTCCATCCTTATTTGAGATCTTTTGGTATTTATTACCTAGGACTTTTATGTGAGCCACACGAGTCCCATTATGATCTGGCTACAACCAACTTCTCTGACTCATCTCTCTGTCACTCTGCTCCCTCCCACAAAACTCGAACTCCCTACACTTCTCCCATGCTGTTTCCCAGCTTCGTGGCTTCACACATGCTGATTCCTCTGTCTATAATGTCCTATACTTGTTTTGTCTTTCTGTAGAACTGCCTAAGAGCCGGGAGAATTCATGCTTTTGAAACAAGGGGAATTTCCCTTGTCCCTCTTACAGGGCATGTGATGGGAGTGTGGCCCACTTCTTAGGTGCCCCACTGCTCAAAACCCCTAGGGAAAGCAGGCAGATGGGCAGGTCGTGGGGAGTGTGGGCTCCAACCCCATGGCAGCGTCTAGGGGTGGATGTTTACAGCTTCTGCAGCCCCAGTGGGCGTGTGTTACGTGTGCTCTTTTAGTTTTGCTGTCAGTAGGCAGCTTGTGTTCATCAGCTCAGTTAGACCCTCTGCCTTATTGCAAGGACAGAGGGCTTTCTGTATCCTAGGGTTCTTGCCTGAGTATACCAGAAAAACCGGATCACACGTGGGCTTGGAGGATGAGTGCAAGGTTTTATTGAATGGTGGAAGTAGCACTCAGCAGATGGAAACGGAGCCAGAAGGGGTATGGAGTGGGAAGGTGGTTTTCCCCTGGAGTCAGGCCGCTTAGCAGCCAGGCTCTCCTCTGACCGCCCTCAGCCAAACTCCGCGTTGTCCTGCCGTTCTGCTGTTGGTGGCCTGCCGGAGTCTGTCACTGTGTTCTTCTGCTGGTATGTTGTTCCTTGCCTCTGCTTCTCTTGACGTCCAGCCGCTTGTGTGCCTGCCCGCTAGGGTCTCGGGGTTTTTATAGGCACAAGATGGGAGTGTGGTGGGCCAGGGTGGTCTTGGGAAATACGATATTTGGGCACAAAAACAGAAATGCCTGTCCTCACCTAGGTTGGTGGGCACAGGCCCAGGGGTGGAGCCCTAGCCAGGGACCACGCCCTTCTCTACCCAGCATTTCCCTGCCTGCCCCTCCCGTATCACTTTTCTTTTATTTATTTACTTTTTGAGACAGGGTCTCGCTCTGTTGCCCAGGCTGGAGTGCAGTGGCAGTATCTTGGCTCACTGCAATCTCCACCTCCTGGGTTCAAGCGATTCTTGTGCCTCAGCCTCCCTTATTTTATTTTTTAATCTGTCCCAGGCCAAGTGCAGTGGTTCACACCTATAATCCCAGCACTTTGGGAGGCCGCGGTGGGTGGATCGTTTGAATCCAGGAGTTTGAGACCAGCCTGGGCAACATGGCAAAACCCTGTCTCTACAAAAATTACAAAAATGAGCTGGACATGGTGGTGCATGCCTGTAGTCCCAGCTATTTGGGAGACAAGACAGGAGGAGTGCTTGAACCTGGGATGGGAAGGTTGCAGTGCAGCAGAAATCCTGCTGCTGCACTCCAACCTAGGCAACAGTGTGAGACCCTGTGTAAAAAAAAAAAAAAAAGTTTGTCCATTTATTTACATCTATCAAGTTCTTCCTACCAGAATGGAAGCCCTTTCAGGGTGAGGATATGTCTTACTCCATATTCCTATTTCTATGGCTGTGCCTAACACACAAGGCATGCTCAATAATTGTTTATTTCCTGCTCAAATGAGACAAAAGGAAATGGATGGAGGAGAGGTGGAAAATAAATGAGTGATTGATTTCTCTCTAACTATTTAGGCATGATTTAGCATCTTGGAAATCATATTACTGAGATTTGCAGTGCCTGTAATGTGAAAGATGAGGCTATTCTGTAATACAAAACGTAATGCCAGCTAAAATATAACAAAAATATCTGTTGAAACGTATGGCTGCAAATTCCCATATTTCAGAAGCAAATAAAGAGCTGAAAGCCATTAAGAAAAAAAAGGGTGGTTGTTACTTTAACTGGTTTAAAAACAATTGATACATCTTGAAGTATTAAGTGTGCATCTTGAGGTCTTAATTTCAATGCAGTTTTGCTACAGATTTCTTTTGCTTCCACGATACAGATTAGCCAGCTAGTGCTGACATTAGTTCATGTGGTTTGTGCCCATCACAATTATTAGGCAGAACCAGCAGCACCAGGATACAACCTAAGGAGATCAACGTCCCTCCTAGAAAACTGCCACGGCCTTCGCAGGAGGGGTCTGAATTTTTTTTTTTTTTTTTTTTTTTTTTTTTGAGGTGGAGTCTCGCACTGTCACCCAGGCTGGAGTGCGGTGGCACAATCTTGGTTCACTGCAACCTCCACCTCCCAGGTGCAGGTGATTCTCCTGCTTCAGCCTTCTGTGTAGCTGGGATTACAGGTGCCCGCCACCACGCCCAGCTAATTTTTTTTTTTTTTTTGTAATTTTAGTAGAGACGGGATTTCACTATGTTGGCCAGGCTGGTCTCGAATGCCTGACCTGGTGATCCACCCACCCGCCTCTGCCTTCCAAAGTGCTGGGATTACAGGCGTGAGCCACTGCGTCCAGCACATTTTTTATATTCACAATTAAATTAATAAACCATAACTCTCCTCCTCTCAGCCCATCTTTTTTTTTTTTTTTTTTTTTTTTTTTTTTTAGTGGAGCGATTATTTTGTGTGTGTGAAACAGAGTCTCACTCTATTGCCCAGGCTGGAGTGTAGTGGCATGATCATGGCTCACTGAAGCCTCAAACTCAAGAGTTCTCCCACCTCAGTCTCCTGAGTAGCTGGGACTACAGGCACACACCACCATGCCTGGCTGATTTTTTAAAAAAATATATTTTGTAGGCCAGGTGCACTGGCTCACACCTGTAATCTCAGCACTTTGGGAGGCCGAGGCGGGCGAATTACCTGAAGTCGGGAGTTCGAGACCAGCCTGGCCAACATGGCAAATCCCCATCTCTACTAAAAATACAAAAATTAGCCGGGTGTGGTGGCAGACGCCTGTAATCCCAGCTACTTGGGAGGCTGAGGTAGAAGAATCGCTTGAACCTGGGCGTTGGAGGTTGCAGTGAGCTGAGATCACGCCACTACACCGCAGCCTGGGTAACAGAGCAAGACTCCATCTTGAAAACATAAAAATAAATAAAAATAAAATAAAGCACAGTAAGCCTTTCAGGGTGGGGAGTGGCTGAGGTTATGAATATGCTCATGTTCTGCACATTCGGTCTGTAACATAGAGAGGTTTAAGATTGCTTCTGCATTTCAGGTAATTCAGAGGTCCGTGGGGCCAGCCAGCCTGAGCTTGCTCACCTTCAAAGTCTATGCAGCACCAAAAAAGGACTCACCTCCCAAAAATTCCGTGAAGGTTGATGAGGTAACATGTTGTTCATGTTGCGATATATTTTGAGTGTCTGATTTAGTTACTGTAGGATAATTTTTTACAAATTGTATATCAGGAAGATGTGACTGTTTAAAATACATTTATTTATTTATTTATTTATTTATTTATTTATTTATTTTGAGACGGAGTTTCGCTCTTGTTGCCCAGGCTGGAGTGCAATGGTGCGATCTCGGCTCATTGCAACCTCCTCCTCCTGGTTCAAGCCATTCTCCTGCCTCAGCCTCCCAAGTAGCTGGGATTATAGGCATGTGCCACCACGCCTGGCTAATTTTGTATTTTTAGTAGAGACAAGGTTTCACCATGTTGGCCAGGCTAGTCTCGAACTCCCGACCTCAGGTGATCCACCTGCCTCGGCCTCCCAAAGTGCTGGGATTACAAGCGTGAGCCACCACGCCCAGCCAGAAGACATTTAAACAGAGAAAATATATTTCCTTATAGTTTGTTTAATTTGTGGGAAATATTAAACTATGGCTTTTTCAACAGATAAACTTTAATGATACTTAGGTAAGGGCACAATTAAGGAATACTTTATAAATGTTTACTGGGGAATCCACTGTGTCCCAACAGGTTATAAGCACAACTCACTTTTCTAAGTGGTCTGCCTGATTCTTGGCTTATCTTGATTCTTATCGAGCCAAGAATATATTCACATTTTTTCCTCTCTAAGAAATTAGAGATCTGGATCCTTTCTGTTTCTTGGCTAGAGGAGCCGCTCATAAGTATGTACTTAATAAATACTAAATTTAAAAAAAAAAAAAACAAGAAATCTTCTCTCTACTGTTTACATTCCTTTTTGGTCTGTACTTCCCACTAATTATTTTGGATATTCAGTTTCTGTTGCCTTTGAATAAAGTGAGGTAAGGATCTACCTTCAGTCCTGGGTAGGGTTACTAGATTGGTGTTTACATAAAGCTAATTAGCTTATCTTTTGCCCTTTACTCGCTTCTCAGGCCTTGGCACAGTGGCATTTTTGAGGGTAAAGAAGGCAGCCAGCAGTGGCTGTAAGAAGTTCTCTGGGTGGAGAATAAACCTGCTGTCCTGCTTTGATTAACATCAGACCAATCATTTGAACTGAATGACATGCCCTTTGGTTACTCTCAAGCTTTTTTAACCCCTTCACCCACCCTTTAGAGTAATAAAATCTTTTTTCCAAGCTCAATCTAAGGTGGAATACCAAATACCAGTATATAAAATGGATAAAGAGGAGCTGCTTTGTTTGTAGTCAGTGGGTGGGGAGAAAGTAGGACACCTCATAGCCCTGCCCTTTTGGCCTTGGCCTCGTTGATTATGGAAATAAGGTGCAGAGATAGTTTGAGATAAAGTTCAGGTTGCTTGTAACCCTTAGAGTCACTGGAATTCATGAAGTATTATTATTATTATTTTTGAGATGGAGTCTCACTCTTGCCTAGGCTTGAGTGCACTGGCACAATCTTGGCTTACTGCTACCTCCACCTCCCAGGTTCAAGAGATTCTCCCGCCTCAGCCTCCCAAGTAGCTGGGATTACAGGCGCCTACCGCGACACCTGGCTAAGTTTTGTATTTTTAGTAGAGACTGGGTTTCGCCATGTTGGCTAGGCTGGTCTCGAACTCCTGACCTTAAGTGATCCGCCTGCCCTGGCTTCTCAAAGTGCTGGGATTACAAGCGTGAACCACCACACCCGACCACAGAGTCACTGTAATTCATGAATTACTAGAAATATTATATTAAATACTTACAAATTTGATAAATGTATCCTGTAGACAGTACATCTTTTAAATCTTTGTTTTGTTTTAATGTGCGCAGCTTTCACTCTACTCAGTTCCTGAGGGTCAATCGAAGTATGTGGAGGAGGCAAGGAGCCAGCTTGAAGAAAGCATCTCACAGCTCCGACACTATTGCGAGCCATACACAACCTGGTGTCAGGTACAACTGTTCTGAAAATGGAGTGAACGCATTTCTGTTTAGAGTCCATAGAGGAAAGTCTGTATTGGCTGCATGTTTTTGGAAAAAGGCATGATAAAGGGCCCTGAGATGGTTGACAGAGGCTGGGAAGGGTAGTGGGGGTCTGGGGGAAAGGTGGGGATGGCTAATGGGTGCAAAAAAAAAAAATAGCAAGTAGCAAGAATGAATAAAACCTATTTGATAGCACAACAGGATGACTGTAGTCAACAATAATTTAATTGTACATTTTAAAATAACTTAAAGAGTGTAATTGGATTGTTTTTAACACTAAGGATAAATGCTTGAGCGGATAGATTCCGCATTCTCCATATTGTGCTTATTTCACATTGCATGCCTGTGTCAACACATCTCATGTGCCCCATAAATGTATATACCTACTACGTACCCACAAAAAATGTTGAAATACAAGGCCCCAAGTTAAAAGTGCCTGACTTACAGATGTTCTTCAGTGCCATCTGAGGAGGGGTTGCAGAGATGCCCTAGCTTCCTGGTGACAGCTGTTGCCACAGCTACAGAGAGAATTTCCCTCTCCCTGGGCAGTGCGTAACGCCTTAACTAGAGAGCAGAGGGGCTAGGAACTACCTTGTTGCTTGCAGTTATGAAAACATTGTTGTCTACCAGGGGAGGCTTGTGGGCTGGAACTCTAAACAAAGGAAAAAGATGCAACGTAAACACTTACATAAAAATTGCGAAGTTTTTCTCCCCCCACTATACAAATCAGTGCCACTTAAACCAGGAGGGGATATGGCATTTTGAATGCTATACTAAAATAGGGTAGAATTCCATACTGGATTACTGAACTATTTGTTCTAGTGACCAAAGAACTACATATACAGATTGGTTTCTGTCCCTGCCTGGGTTTTAGGTCAGGCATTTGTCATTACGTAAATGAAAAGTATTTCTGTGATTTTTAACATCAGTAACCAACGTTTACAATCTATAGAATGCTTTTGTAGGCTTTGATACATATGTTTGTTGTACTTGATCTTGATTTTGAAAATTGAAATTAATAAAAACTAATAGATGTAGATATGTGGGAAATTGTCTAGATTTACCTTGCTTGAGATTTATAAATTTAGTCTTTTTGTTTTTTTTTTTTTTTGAGAGGGAGTCTTGCTCTGTCGCCCAGGCTGGAGTGCAGTAGCGTGCTCTCAGCTCACTGCAACCTCCACCTCCCGGGTTCAAGCAGTTCTCCCGCCTCAGCCTCCCAAGTAGCTGGGATTACAGGCACGAGCTACCATGCCTGGCTCATTTTTGTATTTATCGTAGAGGCAGAGTTTCGCCATGTTGGCCAGGCTGATGTCGAACTCCTGACCTCAAGTGATCTGTCCACCTTGGCCTCCCAAAGTGCTGGGATTACAGGCGTGAGCCACCATGCCTGGCCTAAATTCAATTTTGATCCAGAGCTTGTTTAAAAATTTTTAATTTCCGTTGCCTATGCTGCTGTTGAACTTTTGTTCACCAATTTAGAAAGAAAATAGTAAAGCATGGACTCTATCAACAATAAGAATTAGGCCATTATACTTAAGTATCATAACCATATTATTGAGTTAAGTAATACCTAAAGACTTTAAACATAACATGTTGTAAAATGATTAGACTTTATTCTCTTGTTCTAGAAGATTTTTAAACTTCTGGTAGTTAAGATAAAGTCAGCAAATTTGTGTGTATATTTTTGTATCATGTAGGCATGACTACTGTTACTTGTAGTCTGTCTGTTTTTTTTGTTTGTTTGTTTGGTTTTTTTGGCAATAAAAGTACTTTGTACCTTTTAGCCTAAGGTTGCTTTTTGTTTTTTACCTTTTCTTCCATGCGTGATACTCAGTGCAGCAAAATACCTCTCTGGATGATGGATTAGTTATCTATATGTTTATTTCCACTACTACTAAATATAAAAACTTGCTTGTAATTATAATAGTTTTTGTAATTATAATGGTTTTGTTTTCCTGGGTAGAACAAAGCCTTTATGAGTAGAAATATTTCTAATTCCTGGTTCCTTTTTCAGACCAGCAATTTCTAGCCCTTTTCTTGAAGAACCAATTTAATTTTGTTTTTTTGTTCTTTGTTTTTCTTTTTTTGAGACGGAGTCTCGCTCTGTTGCCAGGCTGGAGTGCAGTGGTGCAGTCTCAGCTCACTGCAACCTCCGCCTCCCGGGTTCAGGTGATTCTCCTGCCTCAGCTTCCTGAGTGGCTGGGACTACAGGCGTGTGCTACCAAGCCCAGATAATTTTTGTATTTTTAGTAGAGACGGGGTTTCACCATGTTGGCCAGGATGGTCTTGATCTCTTGACCTTGTGATCCGTCCACCTCGGCCTCCCAAGGTGCTGGGATTACAGGCATGACCCACTGTGCCCGGCCTTAATTTTTTTTAATAGTAAAAATATTAAGCTAGCAAAAGAAGTCGGCAATCATTCTAGATATTGATCTGAAGTTTTTTCTTTTTTTTTTTTTTTTTTGGTAGAGACAAGGTTTCACCATGTTGCCCGGGCTGATCTCGAACTCCTGGGCTCAAGAGATCTGCCCACCTCAGCCTCCCAAGTAGCTCGGACATCATACACATACCACCATGCCCAACTAATATTTTTATTTTTATTTTTATTTTTTTTATTTTTTTGAGACGGAGTCTCGCTCTGTCCCCCAGGCTGGAGTGCAGTGGCGCGATCTCGGCTCACCGCAAGCACCGCCTCTGGGTTCACGCCATTCTCCTGCCTCAGCCTCCCGAGTAGCTGAGACTACAGGTGCCTGCCACCACGCCCGGCTAATTTTTTTGTATTTCTAGTAGAGACCAGGTTTCACTGTGTTAGCCAGGATGGTCTCGATCTCCTGACTTCGTGATCCACCTGCCTTGGCCTCCCAAAGTGCTGGGATTACAGCCGTGAGCCACCGTGCCCAGCCTAATATTTTTATTTTTTTGTAGAGATGGGGTCTCTGCTGTGTTGCCCAAGCTGGTTCTCAAATTCCTGACCTCACGAGATACTCCTGTCTTAGCCTCCCAAAGTGTTGGGATTACAGGCGTGAAATAATGGATTTTAATGAAGCGATACTCAGTTCTTTAGATCTTCTGGCTAATTCGGCATTTATTATTTCAGGTCATTTAAAAGAATGAGGATAGCTTGTTCTGACTTGAACTGAATTACACAAAACAAATCCTTTTCCAGGCCGGGCGCAGTAGCTCACGCCTGTAATCCCAGCAGTTTGGGAGGCCAAGGCAGGTGGATCACCTGAGGTCAGGAGTTTGAGACCAGCCTGGCCAACATAGCGAAACCCTGTCCCTACCAAAAATACAAAAATTAGTTGGGCGTGGTGGCGGGCACCTGTAATCCCAGCTACTCGGGAGGCTGAGGCAGGAGTAATCACTTGAATCCAGGAGGCGGAGGTTGCAGTGAGCCGAGGTCGCGCCACTGCACTCCAGCCTGGGCGACAAAAGCGAAACTCTATCTCAAAAAAAAAAAAATTAATTAATAAAAATAAAAATAAAAAAAAAATCCTTTCCCAAATGGCAACTAGTTTTGATACCTTCTGATACCCATGTATCTCTTCTTGTCTTCACTGTAGACTTCTTGAAGGTGGGTACCTTCTAGCGGGTCCCTCGTTTCCTTTAGGATCATGTGATATTCATGTACAAAGCCTTTTTTTTTTTTGAGACACGCCCAGGCTGGAGTGCAGTGGCGCCATCTCGGCTCACTGCAACCTCCGCCTCCTGGATTGAAGTGATTCTCCTGCCTCAGCCTCCCGAGTAGCTGGGACTACAGGCGCGTGCCACCACGCCCGGCTAATTTTTGTATTTTTAGTAGAGACAGGGTTTCACCATGTTGGTCAGGCTGGTCTCCAACTCCTGACCTCAGGTGATCTGCCCCACTCGGCCTCCCAAAGTGCTGGGATTACAGGAGTGAGCCATCATGCCTGGCCACAAAGCCTTTTTATTGTTTTTAAGAGAATGTTGACACCTCATTTGCTTTGGGCTATAGCCTTTGTCTCATTAAAGCTGGTCATTCTTGCTTCAAATGGGCAGTTTCCAGATGTAGGCTCTAATTAATGGCAGATCAGGAAGTAGTTAATATGAAAGACAGGTTTAATCTCATGGAGAAAAGCTTGCCACTTAAATATCAAGGGGATTGATTTTTAGTCTATTTTTTCCATTTTAATGGAAGAGTGAAATGGCTGGATTGTTGAAACCACTCTGTTTGGAATCTGCTTCCTGTGGCAGTAGTAAGCCATTCTGCTGAGTAATTTGCAGTGAAGGGAAGATTATAATAGGAAAAACAAACAAAAAGACCCAGACAGACAGTGTATCCCTTTGTTCAAAAAGCGTTAATAACATGATAATTTATTCAGTAAAAACAAGTATATTTATTCTGTTAACTTTCTAATCAGCAGATCCTGTGAATAGTTTCATTCAGTTTCTTTTTACCTTTTTAGGAAACGTACTCCCAAACTAAGCCCAAGATGCAAAGTTTGGTTCAATGGGGGTTAGGTAAGTTGATTTTAAATTAGGCATAATCAGCTACTTCATTAACATTGAACTCTTTAATCGGAGTTCCATGAATGAGCTCCAAGAAATCTGTGTATTCCTTAAAATTATATGCAGAATTTTAGAGCTATGTGGATTTTTCTGGGAAGAGGAGCTGTTGTTTTCATCAGATTTCAGGCAACTAGTGTCCCCAAATAGTCAGGTAAGTCTCTTCAAGATCGTTAGGATTCTTGGGCTAGCAAGTACAGATACACTGCTTTAAAAAAAAGAAATCTCATTTCTAGGTGCAGCGTAATACACCATACTAATTCATCAATAGATTTTCTGAATCGGAATAGCTCATTTGCATTGCAATTAATAGATGCTCTAGAAGTTTTGAAGCAGGAAGGAGCTGAGTTGGTACTCCTATAAAAGGTCTTACTGCATAATTGATAGTGTTCTTACTTTTTTTTCATTTGGTTTTATTTTCCTTGATTATTTTTCAGTTGTGGGCCACTTATCACATACACTCACAAACTGGATTCACAGTCCATG
This sequence comes from Homo sapiens, assembly GCF_000001405.40. Classification (NCBI taxonomy): domain Eukaryota; kingdom Metazoa; phylum Chordata; class Mammalia; order Primates; family Hominidae; genus Homo; species Homo sapiens. Next base: position 23,873,871 of record NC_000023.11, on the reverse strand, counting down.
TTCTGACTAATCTTAATCAGAAACTGGTAAATTAATAAAGATACCGATCATATTTCATTCCCCTTATTAGGCATCTCGCAAACAAAATCTTGTTTTTACAAGGGTTTGTTTCCATGATAGAACAAAATAAACATAAGTACAGTTTCTTTGGTAAGATCACCATGGTGTATTGATGTCCTGATATTTCTGAGACTGTCAGATAAATTTATCGTTTGAAGACAAACATAACAATAGCTGCCTACTGGTTTTTTGTTTTTTTTTTTTTGAGACAAAATATCACTCTGTCACCCAGGCTAGAGTGCAGTGGCATAGTCTCAGCTCACTGATACCTTTGTCTCTCAGGTTCAAGCGATTCTCCCACCTTAGCTTCCCGAGTAGCTAGGATTACAAGCGTGTGCCACCACATCCACCTAGTTTTTGTATTTTTAGTAGAGACAGGGTTTCACCTTGTTAGCCGGGCTGGTCTCAAACTCCTGACCTCAAGTGATCTGCCCGCCTCGGCCCAAAATATTGGGATTACAGGCGTGAGCCACCGTACCTGGCCCCCTACTGGTTCTTTAAATTATTAAGGCATGTTAATAAGTAACATCTTAATTTTATTAATTTCATAAACACTTATTTAAGACTTATATGTCAGGTACTATTCTAAGTGCTTTACAAATACCAATTTATTGGGGGTGGAGTGAGGATGGTTAATGAGTACAAAAATATAGTTAGAATGAATAAGACCTAGTATTTGATAGCACAGTAGGGTGACTGCAGTCAATAATACTTTATTATACATTTTATTTTTTATTATTTTATTTATTTTTTATTTTTTTGAGACAGATTCTCACTCTGTTGCCCAGGCTGGAGTGCAGTGGTGCTATCTTGGCTCACTGCAACCTCTGCCTCCCAGGTTCAAGCAATTCTCCTGTCTCAGCCTCCCGAGTAGCTAGGACTGCAGGCACACGCCACCACACCCAGCCTATTTTTTGTATTTTTAGTAGAGACGGGTTTCACCATATTGGTCAGGCTGGTGTAGAACTCCTGACCTCAGGCGATCCACCCACCTCAGCCCCCCAAAGTGCTGGGATTACAGGTGTGAGCCACCGCGCCTAGCTTATTGTACATTTTAAATAACTAAAAAAGCTATACTCTTTTAGGTATTGTAAATAAACTGAAAGAGTATAATTGGGATGCTTGTAACACAAAGAAAAATGATAAATGCTTGAGGTAAAGGATACTTCATTTACCCTGATGTGATTATTATGCATTGTATGCCTGAACCAAAATACCTCATTTACCCCGTAAATATATACACCTACTATGTACCCACAAAAATTTTATATATATATATATATATATATAAATTCTCATAACAAGCTGACAGATACCTTATTATCTTCATTTTTATCCGAGGAAACTAGAGAACTCCTGATATAGTCTTTTATCTGTCCATGTGTGGCTGAGAGGTCTCTTGTTTAAATTTTTCTGAGACAGGATCTTTCTCTGTCATCCAGGCTGGAATCCAGTGGCGTGATCATAGCTCACTGCAGCCTCAACCTCCTGGGCTCAAGCAATCCTTCCAGCTCAGCCTCCCGAGTAGCTAGGATTACAGGCATGTGCCATCACATTTTTTCCACTTTTTGTAGAGGCAGGGTCTCACTTTTTTGCCCAGACTCCGTACAGTCTTAAAACATATCTTCTTTCCCCTTTCTTTGTGATTTACCCACTTTGGCCCAGCTCACCAGAGCCATCTGGGTGTCCCTCTGTCAACTGCTCTGTGTACACATCTAGAATTGAGCAACACTGGGCTAGTAGGCAAAAATAAAGGGAAGTAAAAAATTGCCTCAAATGACCCAGACTAGAGGATGGAAAGTAAAAACTAGGCTAAAGGCAAAATAAGTAACAGGCCAGACAGTAATTAATGCAAACATAATACAAGTCCTATAGTAGTATTTAAAATGATCACATTTCCCAAAGAACCCAGGAAAAGGAAAACTGGCGTGTATCTGGTATTACTTAGGGGACAGAATTGCTGAGTTTTCCAGTTTATTAGTTCAGTTCTGTATATATTTTTTAAGTCACCATTCTGCCAGGCCTCGAAAATTGAGATTGGTTAAGACAGTGGTCACAACCACTGAGATGCGTGTAATATATTATTCAGTACTAGTGCAAATACAGAGATAATCACAGACCATTATTGAAGGTACAGAGGAAGGAGATTAGTTTAATTGAAATCGAGGAGGTGGGAGCAGTCAGGGAAGGACTTCTGAAGTGAATCTTGAAGGAGCAGTGTTAGCCACTCCAAAATGTGGGGGTGGGACTGCTGGAAGCAGGCATTGCACACTGGGCCCAGCATGATCAGGCTTAGAGGTGTGACTTGGTATTGGATGTTTGAGGAACCCTAAGTAGATAGGGAGTGCTGAAGATGAGATTGAGAAGGAGACATGAGGGCTTTGTGTAAGTCATGACCTAGCTAAAATTCATTTGTTAATTCATCCAGTATTTTTTTTTTTTTTTTTTTGAGACGGAGTCTTGCTCTGTCGCACAGGCTGGAGTGCAGTGGCGCGGTCTCGGCTCACTACAAGCTCCGCCTCCTGGGTTTACGCCATTCTCCTGCCTCAGCCTCCCGAGTAGCTGGGACTACAGGCGCCTGCCACCACACCTGGCTAATTTTTTTTTTTTTTTTGGTATTTTTAGTAGAGTTGGGGTTTCACCATGTTAGCCAGGATGGAATACATCCAGTATTTATCAACTCCTGGCAGTGTGATTTTTGTTTTTTTGTTTTTTTGTTTTTTGAGACAGAGTCTCGCTCTGTTGCCCAGGCTGGAGTGCAATGGTGTGATCTCGGCTCACTGCAACCTCTGCCTCCCAGGTTCAAGCGATTCTCCTGCCTCAGCCTCCTGAGTAGCTGGGATTACAGGCACACGCCACCACGCCTGGCTAATTTTTGTATTTTTAGTAGAGACGGGGTTTCACCATGTTGGTCAAGCTGGTCTCGAATTCCTGACCTTGTGATCTGCCTGCATCGGCCTCCCAAAGTGCTGGGATTACAGGCGTGAACCACTGCGCCTGGCCTGTTTTTGTTTTTGTTTGGAGACAGGGTCTCATTCAGTCACCTAGGCTGGAGTGTAGTGGCATGATCATAGCTCATTGCAGTCTTGACTTCCTGGACTCAAGCAATCCTCCCACCTCAGCCTCCCAAGTAGCTGGGACCACAGACATGCATCACCACACCTGGCTAATTTTTTTTTTTAATTTTTTGTAGAGACAGGGTTTCGCCATGTTGCCCAGGCTGTTCTTGAACTCCTGGACTCAAGCAATCCTCCCACCTTGGCCTCCCAAAGTGCTGGGATTACAGGCGTGAACCACTACACCCAGCCATCATTCTTAATAAATATCTATTGAATGAACATCCATTATTACCACTGAGGGAAGATAACACAGAAGTGTAAGCAATCTATCATTAAGGAGCTTACATTCTCCTTGGGGAGACACCAGATATACACCTGAATAATTAAACACAGGGTACTATAGGATTAGGTACCAAGTGATGGTACAGAGAATAAATATGATGGGACTTTAGAGGAGGGAGAGAGGTGTGAACTGATGAGCTTAGGAAAGGCTTTTGTGTGGAAGTAGGACTCAACTTGGCTTTTATGAGGTGGGATTGGCTCAGTGGAGAGGAGACGAGGCATTATGTGAATGAAGTCAGAAGGCATGTTCAGTCATGATGAATAGGTCACATGTTGTATTTATTTTTATTCTATCACCATCAACAGCGATCAACAGTGGCTATTTTCTGAGTGAAATTACAAGTTTCCTTTATTATCCAAATTTATTCTGTTCTTCTGTTCGAGTAATGAGTTCAGATGGCAAAGGATGCTTATTTTTCTGAGTCTAATGTATTTGATTTCTTTCTTTTTTTTTTTTTTGAGAAGGAGTCTCGCTCTGTCACCCATGCTGGAGTGCAGTGGCGCGATCTTGGCTCACTGCAACCTCCACCTCTCGGGTTCAAATGATTCTCCTGCCTCAGCCTCCTGAGTAGCTGGGATTACAGGAGCGTGCCACCACGCCCAGCTAATTTTTTTGTATTTTTAGTAGAGATGGGGTTTTACCATGTTGGTCAGGCTGGTCTCGAACTCCTGACCTCGTGATCCGCCCTCCTCGGCCTCCCAAAGTGCTGGGATTACAGGAGTGAGCCACCGCACCTGGCCTTCCTTTTTTTTTTTTTTTTTTTTTTTTTCTTTTTAAGAGGCTGTGTCTTGCTCTGTGGCTCAGGCTGTCAGGCTGTCAGGCTGGAGTGCAGTGGCTCAATCCTAGCTCACCGCAGCCTTGAACTCCTGGGCTCAAATGATTCTTCTGCCTTAGCCTTGGAAAGTGCTGAGTTTATAGGAATGAGCCACCACTCACAGCTTGTTTTTGGTTCCTGAGTTTCAGAGAGCAAGCAGCAAAGCTTCAGATAGCAATAGATCTATCCAAAGATTTATCCAAATCTATTCTGTTTTTGTGTTTCCATAACAAGAGTTTGAATAGCAAAGGATCCCTGTATTTGTATTCCTCCCTGTGCAAATTGCTGATTCAGATCTGTTGCTTTCAGGAATATGAAAGTAATTTAACATTTACTTCATTGTCAGTAGGTTGTTGGACCAAAGGTACTTGAAAATTGGACACTTGCAGCCGGGCGCAGTGGCTCACACCTGTAATCCCAGCACTTTGGGAGGCTAAGGCGGGTAGATCACCTGAGGTCAGGAGTTCGAGACCAGCCTGGCCAACATGGTGAAACCCCATCTCTACTAAAAATACAAAAGTTAGCTGGGCGTGGTGGCGGGCGCTTGTAATCCCAGCTACTTGGGAGGCTGAGGCAGGAGAATTGCTTGAACCTGGGAGGCAGAGGTTGCAGTGAGCCGAGATCACGCCATTGCACACCAGCCTGGGCGACAAGAGCAAAACTTCATCTCAAAAAAAAAAAAAAAGAAAGAAAAGAAAATTGGACACTTGCTATGTGAATAGTAAATCTTGTTTATATGTCACATAAAAAGAGTATGTTGAAGAGAAGTATAGTAGCAGGATGCAGAGAATATGTGGTTTGAAAAGCACTTGATACTATATATACATATTATATACTGTATAAGACTTTTGTTTTGTTTTTTAATGAGAAATTTATGGAACTGCTTCCTGGTCTAATTCTATTGTAGACAGCTATGACTATCTCCAAAATGCACCTCCTGGATTTTTTCCGAGACTTGGTGTTATTGGTTTTGCTGGCCTTATTGGACTCCTTTTGGCTAGAGGTAGGTGCAATTTTATGGCTTTAACAGTCAGCTCATAAAGCAGAGATAGAATATATGTTTCATTCTTTCCCTTCATTTACCAGGTTTCAGAATAATGAGTTGGTTCCTAAATACGGCTTTCTTAATGTATAATGGATATGGTTATCATATTTGATTTTAAACATAAATAGAAATTGTATACTCTTGGTAAAAAAAAGAAGTTATCCTTTATAGGCACATTTACTTGATCAAATCTCTGTTGTTCTTTGGTACAGAAAGAGCAAAATTTTAAAGTCTTTCACACCTGAGAAATCAACTGTTTCTAAACGTTTCACTATTAAGATCAAGCTATATTAATCACAGTAGATAGAGCAGTGATTTAATAGAGATTTTATTACCTTCTTGATTTGTCATGCCTTCAGTCAGTGATGACAAAAACTTTAAAAATGCTTTAAATACTAACAAATGCCAACTTAAAAATATTACTATACTGCTAGATTATAAAATATCTATAGGAAATAAAGGCTAATAAAATACTTTGCTATGATGAGATGAATTTGTTATCAACTACTTGAAGTTTTGCTAGTTGGAAACTAAATGTTTATGATATAAAATTCTGACATTACCATCATTCCTAATGAAGAAAGTTTATGAATCCTGTAATCAGACCCCTGTAAAAGAGAACCATAGAGACTACTCTGGTCCCTGTATTAGTTTGTTTTGCATTGCTATAAAGGAATATCTGAGGCTGGGTAATTATAAAGAAAAGAGATGCCAGGCGCAGTGGCTCACGCCTGTAATCCCAGCACTTTGGGAGGCCGAGGCAGGTGGATCACAAGGTCAGGAGATCGAGACCATCCTGGCTAACACGGTGAAACCCCGTCTCTACTAAAAATGCAAAAAATTAGCCGGGTGTGGTGGCAGGTGTCTGTAGTCCCAGCTACTCGGGAGGCTGAGGCAGGAGAACGGTGTGAACCTGGGAGACGGGGCTTGCAGTGAGCTGAGTTCGAGCCACTGCACTTCAGCCTGGGCGACAGTGCGAGACTCCGTCTCAAAAGAAAAAAAAAAGAGGTTTATTTGGCTTATGGTTCTGCAAGCTGTACAAGAAGCGTGGCATCAGCATCTATTTCTGTTGAGGGTTTCAGAAAGCTTCCAATCGTGGTGGAAGGCAAAGGGGGAGCAGGCGCATCACATGGTGAGAGAGGGAGCTAGAGAGATGCCAGGCTCTTTTAAACAACCAGCCCTCATGTTAACTAATAGAGTGAGAAATCACTCATTCCCACAGGGAGGGCACCAAGCCATTCATGAGGGATCCACCCCCATGACCCAAACACCTCCCAGCGTGGGGGTTCACATTTCAACATGAGATTTAAAGGGGACAATCATTCAAACTGTATCAGTCCTATTCCTCCAATTTAAAAAATCTTCCCTCTACATGCAATAGCTTTTACTTTAGTTTAGTTTAGTTTCGTTTCGTTTCGTTTCGTTTCGTTTCGTTTCGTTTAGCTTAATTTGAGATAGAGTCTCACTCTGTCGCCCAGGCTGGAGTGCAGTGGCACAATCTCGGCTCACTGCACCCTCCGCCTCCTGGGTTCAAGTGATTCTCCTGCCTCAGCCTCCCAAATAGCTGGGATTATAGATGTGCACCACCACGCCCAACTAATTTTTGTATTTTTAGTAGAGATGGGGTTTCGCCATGTTAGCCAGGCTGGTCTCCAGCTCCTGACCTCAAGTGATCGGCCTGCCTCGGTGTCCCAAAGTGCTGGGATTACAGGTGTGAGCCACTACACCTGGCCTTATTTTTTTTTTAATTGATTTCTTTTTTGAGACAGGGTCTCACTCTGTCACCCAGGCTGGAGTGAAGTGGTGTGATCATAGCTCATTGCAGCCTGGACCTCCTGGGCTCAAGTGATCCTCTCACCTTAGCCTTTCAAGTAGCTGGGATTACAGGCGCCTGCCACCATGCCCAGGTAATTTTTGTATTTTTAGTAGAGACGGAGTTTCGCTATGTTGCTCAGGCTGAACTCCTGAACTCTTGAACTCTTGAACTCCTGAACTCAAGCCATCCACCTCCCTTGGTGTCCCCCAAAGTGCTGGGATTATAGGCATGAGCTGCCGCACCCAGCTAATGGCTGTTATTTTTGAATCTGGAGGGTAGACACTGCCCTGGTGGCACTACCAGCTCACCTGTGGAAGCAACTCATGTCACAGTCTTTGTGCCCTCCTCCCATCTCATGCAGAATATGTCAGAATTAAATTTCCAGCTTATTTTTGTAATCAACTTATGAACCAACATTTTTCCCTAAACTTCTTTCACCTCATTTCTTGCAAAGCTGTTCAGAAGAGCATTCGGTCTTATTTAGATAGCGTTTGAGATTGATGAACATCCCAAGGCCAGGGTGTTGGGATTTCAGCTATCGTTAGGGAGATAGGAATGTAGAAGTGAGTGAGAGGAGCTTCCCCCTCCCTCTCCTGGTTAGAGCATGTGGGAAAATCTTCCAGGTCCAAAGAAAGCACTTTTTCTGTGCTGTGGGTACGTTCCTACAGTGCCGAGAGCTTGTCCCTGGAACATCCACTAGGATGACCATCCTAAGGAGGATTGGAGATGGTGCTCTCCTGGCCAGAGCAGCAGCATGAGGACATCTGCTACAGTGGGTCCTAGTCCTCTGATTTTGTTTGTTCGTTCTGTCTCTTTTCTTCCTTTTCCTGGGGAGAGCTTGGTAGTATTAAAATAATTTGACACCTTAATTCTTTTTCACAAATATTCACACAGGCACGCACACACACATGTGCAATAGCAGGTCTTTTCTCCTGAGCGTTGGGTATAGAAAGACCTGAGGTGAGCAGCATCAGAGGGGTTCACCAAGCAAGATGAGTGGGGTGATAGGGATGTCTGTGGGTAGCCAGAATGGTTTGCAGGCCCCTCCAGGTGAATGGGCCCCTTTGAGGGCAGCAGCAGGGTGGGTGGGTGCAGAAGGTCCCTCCTGATAGGAGTTTCTTTTTTTTTTTTTTGAGACAGTCTTGCTCTGTTGCCGAGACTGGAGTGCAGTGGCGCCATCTCAGCCTCACTGCAACCCTGCCTCCTGGGTTCGGGTGATTCTCCTGCCTCAGCCTCCCGAGTAGCTGGGACTACAGGCGTGCACCACCATGCCCAGCTCATTTTTGTATTTTTAGTAGACACGAGGTTTCACCATGTTGACCAGGCTTGTCTCGAACTCCTGACCTCAAGTGATCCTCCCACCTCAGCCTCCCAAAGTGCTGGGATCATAGTTGTGAGCCACTGTGCCTGGCCTGGTGGGGTTTCTTGAGCGTATCTGCTAAGGTAGTCTGCTTCAGTTGTTGAGGATTGCCACAACTGTGGTGGTGACAAGAGGCTCTCAGAGAGGTGAATGGATGTCCATTCAGAGGAAGTGGGCCCAGCCAGACCACTCCAAGATGACACGTGGTTGTTGACACTATTGTTGCCTTCTGGTGGCTCTCCCCAGCATTGGCCACCAGTGGTTCCCCCCGCCCCTGGCAGTGCTGATAGTGACAACCTGTACCACTGGCCTCTTGGGAGATAGGGCATGGAGGTGGGGGCAGGGGAGTATGATTACACCTCCTTCCTGAAGTTCTTGGGTCTCTGGCTCATTGTGTGAACCAGCAGGAGCTGGAGGCCCGAGAGCTGCCACTTCTCGGCTCTCCCTGGAGGAGTGAGAAATGACTGGGTGGCAGGTTGGCTGCTCTTTCCCTGGTCCTCACTTGGGTGAGCTGCTTCAAGTGGATGGGGGCAGGGGAGGGGCCATATGCAGGGATATCACAGGCTTTTCTCTTCTAGGATAATTATACCCTTTCAATTCATGCAACAGGATCAGGAGAGAAACAGTAAATCATTAATAGTCTAGGTTGATAACATTTGTATTCTCTTCAGCAGTCCCAGTTCCATCGTTGGGGATTTCTCTGTTTAAAGTTTTAAAGCCAATAAACAGTACTTATGTGATTAGAACCGTTTAAGGATTAATGTACACATTCTGTCGGGGTACAGTGGCTCACACCTGTAATCCCAGCACTTCAGAAGTTCAAGGCGGATGTATCACCTGAGGTCAGGAGTTCAAGACTAGCCTAGCCAACATGGTGAAACCCGTCTCTACTAAAAATACAAACATTAGCCAGGCGTGGTGGCGGGTGCCTGTAATCCCAGCTACTTGGGAGGCGAAAGCAGGAGAATCACTTGAACCCGGGAGGCAGAGGTTGCAGCAAGCCGAGATCGCACCACTGCACTCCAGCCTGAGCAACAGAGCGAGACCCCATCTCAAAACAAACAAACAAACAAACAAATCAGCCGGGTATGGTGGCTAACACCTGTAATCCCAGCACTTTGGGAGGCTGAGGTGGGTGGATCACCTGAGGTCAGGAGTTCGAGACCAGACTGACCAACATAGTGAAACCCTGTCTCTACTAAAAATACAAAATTATTTGGGCATGGTGGCGCATACCTGTAATCCCAGATTCTTGGGAGGCTGAGGCAGGAGAATCACTTGAACCCAAGAGGTGGAGATTGCAGTGAGCCGAGATTGCACCATTGCACTCCAGCCTGGGCAGCAAGAGCAAAACTCCATCTCAAAAAAAAAAAAAAAAATCAATAACACACACATTCTGCTAGCATCTATATGGGTCCCACAGCAAAAAACACTATGCCTCTCAGTGGAGTCAAGGCCATGTGTATTCTCTAGTTTCATCCTCTACTGGTTTTTTTAACCTCATTCTCAGGTTTCTCCAGGCTCTGTGTCCTGCTGTCTCTTCTGTCCATTTCCCTTGCTCCACAGCTCTATATCCTCCTACAATCTGGCCTGAGACTTCAACACAGTTCTTGTTTTGGGACTGGTCTTCTTCACACTTTCTTGGGTTTAAGCCCCCTTTTCCTGGGTTCCATGTCATCTTCTCCTTGGTTTACTCTGCCGTGCTGTTGAACTACATGCTTAAGTCACTTTCAAAAAAGCGTATGTTGGAGGTAAACTTCCCAAGACCTTCCATGTCTGAAAATCACTTTCTGCCCTCATACCATGTGACAGTTTGGTTGGGCACTGAATTTTGTTTGCCATCAAAACTTTCAAAGCCATGTATTCTAGCATCTGGCGTTGTAGATGTGAGAGTCAGTAGCCATTCTGGATATTTGCTGCTTCTGAACAGGTGATACATTTTTTTTTTCTTCCTGGAAGCTTTGAAGATCTTCTGTGAATCTTTAGTGTTCTGAATTTCTTTGGTGCTGTGACTAGATAGAAGTCTTTTCTTTTTTTTTGAGACGGAGTCTCACTCTGTCACCCAGGCTGGAGTGCAGTGTCACAATCTCCGCTCACTGCAACCTCCTCCACCTCTGGGTTCAAGTGATTCTCACGCCTCAACCTCCCAGTTAGCTGGGATTACAGGCGTGCACCACCACGCCTGGCTAATTTTTGTGGTTTTAGTAGAGATGGGGTTTCACCATGTTGGCCAGGCTGGTCTTGAACTCCTGACCTCCAGTGATCCACCCGCCTCAGCCTCCCAAAGTGCTGGGATTACAGGCATGAGCCACCATGCCCAGCCTTGGATATAGTGTTTTCATTCTTGCCCAAACAATATGGCGGCTTGCAGCATCCAGCTGAAGGAAAATATCTTCTTTTCCTCCCTCCCTCCCTCCTTCTCCCTTCCCTGCCCTCCCCTCCCTCTCTCCCCTTCCCTCCTTCTCCCTCCCCTTCCCTCCTCCCTCCCCTTCCATCCCCTGCATCCCTCCCTCCCCTCCCTCCTTCTCCCTTCCCTTCCCTCCTTCTTCCTTCCCTTCTCGTCCCGTCCCTTTCTCTTCTCTTCTCTTCTCTTTTCTTTCTGAGAGATGATCTCACTCTGTCACCCAGGTTGTAGTGCAGTGGCATGATCAGGGCTCACTGCAGTCTTGACCTCCTCAGGCTCAAGCAATCCTCCCATCTCAGCCTCCTGAGTAGCTGCGACTATAGGCATGCACCACCACACCTGACTAATTTTTTTTTTTGTGGAGACCGGGTGTCACCATGTTGCCCAGGCTGGTCTCAAACTCCCGAGCTCAAGCAGTCTTCCTTCTTCAGCCTCCCAAAGCGCTAGGATTATAGGCATGAGCCACTGCGCCCAGCCTATCTTGTGTATCTTTGAAAATTTACTCTCATTCTTTTTCCTTCCTCAACGCATTAATTAGCAATTGAGTTATTTAAAAGGACCCTATGTGTCTCTTATATTTTCTTGATTATTTTATTTTGTTCCTTTTGAATTTTTTTTGCTTTGGTCATTTCCAAGAGCTCCTTCCTGTTCTTTGAATGTTCTTTTTTTCATAGAATTATTTTTTTCTTTTAATGTAGTGGCTTTTAAAATTTATTTGATGATACTTAGTAATAGGTTTAGTTTTGTTTTGAAGTTCTTCTGTTTCCTTTGTGCTTGTCTTGGTCTTTCTCCTTTATGTTTCAGGCTTTCCACAAATGACTGGTGATTCTTGGTTATCCAGTCATGTTTCAAAGTGAGGCAGCTGAAATGCTAATAAGAACTCTTTCACCTGTAATCCCAGCACTTTGGGAGGCTGAGGCAGGCGGATCACCTGAGGTCAGGAGTTCAAGACCAGCCTGGCCAACATGGGAAAACCCCATCTCTACTAAAAATACAAAAAATAGCCGGGTGTGGTGGAGGGTGTCTGTAATCCTAGCTACTCAGGAGGCTGAGGCTAGAGAATCACTTGAACCCAGGAGGCAGAGGTTGCAGTGAGCTGAGATCACGCCACTGCACTCCAACCTGAGCAACAGAGCAAGACTCCGTCTCGGGAAAAAAAAAAAAAAAAAAAAAAGAACTCCCTGTCTGTACATGGGGCCCACTGACGGGCAGGTTCTACCTCAGGGGAGCTGGGCAGGAAGTGACCATATACAAGGGTGCACCCAGGGCCAGTGTGAGGAGGGCTTTTCTCTCAGGCACTGACATACTCACCCCTTCCAGCTCTCTTGGTTCTCAGCAGGAAATCCATGGTGTTTCTTTAGTGATACCCTGCCCCCACTGTTTTAACTCTTTTTTTTTTTTTTTTTTTTTTGAGACAGGATCTTGCTTTATCACCCAATGTGTTAGGCCATTCTTGCATTGCTATAACCTAACACTGGGTAATTTATAAAGAAAAGAGGTTTAGTTGGCTCACAGTTCTGCAGGCTGTACAGGAAGCATGGCACCAGCATCTCCTCGGCTTCTGGTGAGGCCTTGGGCTGCTTGCAATCATGGTGGAAGGCAAAGGGGGAGCTGGTGTCTCACATGGCAAGAGTGCGAGCAAGAGAAAGAGGTGGGGGAGGTGTCACACATTTTTAAACAACCAGATCTCAAGAGAACTCACTGTTGCACAAGGACAGCACCAAGGGAATGGTGTTAAACCATCTGTGAGAAATCCACCTTCATGATCAGGTCACGTCCCACCAGGCCCCACCTCCAACATTGGGGATTACAATTTAACATGAGATTCAGAGAGAACAACATCCAAATTATCACCCAGGCTGGAGTGCAGTGGCATAGACACAGCTCACAGTAGCCTTGAACTCCTGGGCTCAAGCAATCCTCCAGCCTCAGCCTCCTGAGTAGCTAGGACCACAGGCACATGCCACCACACCTTACTAATTTTTTAATTTTTTGTAGAGATGTGGTCTCCCTAAGTTGCCCAGGCTGGTCTCAAACTCCTGGGCTCAATCAGTCCTCCCACCTCAGCCTCCCAAAGTGCTGGGATTACAGGTGTGAGCCACTGCATCAGGCTCATTTTTTTTTTTTTTTTAAAGGAATAGAGATGGGGGGCTGGGCGTACTGGCTCATGCCTGTGATCCCAGCACTTTGGGAGGCTGAGGCAGGTGGATTGCTTGAGCTCAGGAGTTCAAGACCAACCTGGGCAACATGAGGAAACCCCGTGTCTACAAAAACTACAGAAAAAAAAAAAATTAGCCAGGCATGATGGCTTGCACCTCTTGTCCCACCTACTTGAGGGGCTGAGGCAGGAAGATAGTTTGAACCTGGGAGGTCGAGGCTGCAGTGAGCCATGATTGTGCCACTGCACTCCAGCCTGGGAGACCGAGTGAGGCCCTCTCTCAACAGAAAAAAAAGAAATGGAGATGGAGTCTCGCTATGTTACTCCAGCTGGTCTCAATTCCTGGCCTCAAGCAATCCTTATGCCTCGACCTCCCCAAGTGCTAGGATTACAGGTGTGAGCCACCACACCCAGTAACCCTGGTTTACTGGGTTTTTTAACATTTTGAACTGGTGTGACTTCCTGGCCAGGGGTAGTTTTGTACTGGGATGGCATAGGGGAAGGAAAGGCCATGCTGGTCCATGCATCGGACTTGCGTTTGTCCTGTGCCCTTGTCTTGCTCCCTGGTTGCCATCTCCACTCCCCATGGTACCTGCCATCTCTGGATCTGGAATCTCCCTGGGGCTGCCTGGGACAGATCTGCTCCCTCTGAGGCTGCACTCCTCCTCAAGATTTCAAGATTTCAAGGCAGTGTGTCCTCTTATTTCCGTTCACTCTCCATTTTCTGAAAATTGATTGACACTTCCTTTCTGCCAGTGGCCCTTCCACACATTTTCTCTTCATTGTGGGTTTATTAATGTTTTTTCTTACTGTTTTTTTAACGGGGTTGCAGAAAGGGGAGAAGAAGAACGCTTGTGTTTAGTATTTATATAGGAAGCCAGATTGCTATAAAAGAACATAAACCCTAGAAACCAAAATACTCATTTGTTTATTTTTAAAATAATCTTTTTTTCTGCTCTCTTAGGGAAAAAAAGGTGTTCTTTTGAAAACACTTGGTGCTGAGTGAAAGAAGCCAGTCACAAAGGACCGTATATTTACTGCATGATTCCATTTATATGAAATACCCAGAGGGCCGGGCGCAGCGGCTTACACCTGTAATCCCAGCACTTTGGGAGGCCGTGGCGGGTGGATCACCTGAGGTCAGGAGTTCGAGACCAGCCTGGCCAGCATGGCGAAACCCCATGCCTACTAAAAATACAAAATTAGCCGGGCATGGTGGCGTGTGCCTGTAACCCCAGCTACTCGAGAGGCTGAGGCAAGAGAATTGCCTGAACCCGAGAGGCAGAGGTTGCAGTGAGCCAAGATTGCGCCATTGCACTCCAGCCTGGGTGACAAGAGCAAAACTCTGTCTCAAAAAAAAAAAAAAGAAATATCCAGAGTAGGCAAACACATAGAGATAGAAAGTAGATCAATGGTTGCCTAGGGCTGGACGGTACGGGGGAGTTGAGGAATGACTGCTAATGGGTTTCTTTTAGTGATTATGAAAAAGCTCTAAAGTTAATTGTAATGATGGTTACACACCTCTGTCAATATACTAAAAGCCATTGAACTGTACTTTAAATGGGTGAATATGAATTTTATCTCAATAAAGCAGTGCAAAAGCGTTTTGGTGCACATGACTTTATTTGGCACATTCTTTCAGTTTAGGACCAAAGAAATCTTATTCAGTGGTGGGGTTATTTTGGTTTTGTTGTTTGGGTTTCTTAAGAGACACGGTCTTGCTCTGTCACCCAGGCTGGAGTTTAGAGGTGTGATCATAGCTCATTGTAACCTCGAACTCCTGGGATCAAGGAATCCTCCCACCTCAGCCTCCCAAGTAGCTAGGACTATAGGCACACACTACCACGCCTGGCTAATTTTTTTATTTTAATCTTTGTAGAGACAGGATCTGACTATGTTGCCCAGGCTGGTGTCAAACTCCTGGCCTCAAGTGATCCTCCCGCCTCGGCCTCCCAGAGCTTTTGGATTATAGGCGTGAGCCACTGTGCCTGGCCTTGTTCCGTATTAAATGGATAAGGTAAATTGTGATGGTGAGGATAATGAATCATCTGATGGCGTGTACAACCTTTTATTTATCAGGTTCAAAAATAAAGAAGCTAGTGTATCCGCCTGGTTTCATGGGATTAGCTGCCTCCCTCTATTATCCACAACAAGCCATCGTGTTTGCCCAGGTAAGAGAAACTCTGTAATCCATGATGTCCCTCATTCTTGTTTGTGTGTGTATGAATCTGATGCTTAATTTTATTTTATTTTGCAGTTCTTATAACACCAGACTAAAATTTGTTTGTACATATAGATGAATACAGAAAATTTAAATGATTTTCTCCACTATATGCCTCAGTTCTGGCCCTTCTTCCAGTAATGCCAGTGTTCACAGAATTTGAACACGAATTTGCGTGATTGTTTGAATGTTCATCAGCAAAAATTTAATATACATTTTTTGTATACTTACATGGAAGTCTAGAGACTCAAATTCCAAAGCTGATAATTATGGGTCACTCAGTTTATGCATGTCCGGTCACAACCTGCTCTCGTTGGTATTGTAGACCCAGACTACTCTGACTTCCACTCCTCCCTAGTACTGGTGCCCTTGCTTTCCTTGCTGGGGACTTTGGGGACTGTAATCCCCTCTGCTTGGAGTGCCCTTTTCGGGGCTTTCAGTTGGCTGCTCCTTTCTTATCCTTGAAGCCTCAGTCTTATGGTACCCTGGCAAGCAGGTCTATCACGGTGGCAGGCAACATGGATAAAGCTGTACCACCGATTCTTAAAATGTGTTACCAGACCAGAAGCAGCAGCATCACCTGAGAACTTGTTAGAAATGCAAACTCTCAGGCCCCACCCCAGACTGACTGAATCAGAAGCTCTGGGAGTAAGGGCCAGCAGTCTGTGTTTTAGCAAGCCCTCCGGTGGTTTGTTATTAATGCCTATGGTGTTTGAGAACCACTGATGGAGACCAGTAGGTAGCCTGAAAAGGGTGATATCTGGAGTGAGTGGGACTCTAGAGATGGTGTCCCTCAGGAACTGGTAAGAACAAGACAGGCTCTAGGTTTTGAGGTCCTGGGCAGATTGTGGACACAGGGACTTTAGCTGCTGGAACTACCACATCACATGGAAACTCAGTTCCAGGAGCAGACAGCAGTGCAGTCACCCAAATTGGACTCTGAGCCAGACTGACCTGAGACTGAGCTTCCTTGGTTGTTCATGACAGTATTGAATCCAGATTCCTTGATTGGGCTACAGTTGTATGTGAGAGTCCAGTGGCCCCAGCTTGGGGAGCTTGATGGCTTTGATGACAAATACCAGTACTTTCCAGCATTTGCTCAACATTGTTTGTAACAGTCCTGGAGGCAGATAGTTAATGCTTCTGTCCCTGCTCCAGCCCCAGGTCAGGAACAGTGAGTAACATCTTCCAGCCCTAGATATAAAAATAATTAAACATTATTTCAGCCTGTTATGGTTTAAGCAGTAAATAGCTAGAGTGGAGAGGGTGAACTTGGTTGCTCGTTGAGAAGCATATGTGGCTGTCCCCAGAGTAGGAGTCTTTTTTTTTTTTTTTTAAATTTCTTTCTTTTTTAACTTTTAGCGTTAGGTGTACATGTGCAGGTTTGTTATTGTAAATCGTGTGTCATGAGGGTTTGGTGTACAGATTATTTTGTTACCCGGGTAATAAGCCTAGTACCTGATGGGTAGTTTTTTGATCCTCGCCCTCTTCTCACCCTCCACCCTCAAGTAGGCCTCGGTCTCTGTTCCCTTCTTTGTGTCCATGTGTTGTCAAGGTTTAGTTCCCAATTACAAGTAAGAACATGTGGTATTTGGTTTTCTGTTCCTATGTTAGTTCACTTAAGATAATGGCCCCCAGCTCCATCCCTGTCCCTGCAAAGGACATGAGCTCATTCTTTTTGGCTGCATAGTATTCTGTGGTGTATAAGTACCACATTTTCTTTATCAAGTCTACCATTGGCTGGGCATGTTGGCCCACGCCTGTAATCCCAGCACTTTGGAAGGCCGAGGTAGGTGGATCACCTGAGGCCAGGAGTTCGAGACCAGCCTGACCAATGTGGTGAAACCCTGTCTCTACTAAATACAAAAAATTAGCTGGGTGTGGTGGCACATGCCTGTAATCCCAACTACTTGGGAGGCTGAGGCAAGAAAATTGCTTGAACCCAGGAGGCAGAGGTTGCAGTGAGCCAAGATTGCGCCATTCCACTCCAGCCTGGGCAACAAGAGCGAAAACTCCATCTCAAAAAAAAAAAAAAAATCTACCATTGATGGGCATTTAGGTTGATTCCATGTTTTGCTATTATGCATAGTGCTATGATGAACATATGCATGCATATATCTTTATAGTAAAATGATTTATATTCCATTATTATTCCCAATAATAGGGATTGCTGGGTCAGATGGTAAGATCTTTTCTATTTTGTTTTAAGGTCAGTGGGGAGAGATTATATGACTGGGGTTTACGAGGATATATAGTCATAGAAGATTTGTGGAAGGAGAACTTTCAAAAGGTGAGGAGCATCTTTTTCATTATCTTCCTTTTGGTTTAAATATGTGGTTTCTCTAGGGTTTTGTAAAATATTTGATAACCCTGTTGATTTATTGCTTTTTCTGTTTGCTTCTAGTTCTGTCTCCAGCTCAGATTTTTCAGGTGACCTTTCTTGGTAGAGCAGTAGAACTTCTGAGTATTTGGTTATTATCAGCAGGGCCAAATAAGTGGTGACCATAAAATGCAATGCATTCCACCGTAGTCTTAGACCATATTTTCCATTATATTGTATTCCTAGTTTCCTCTAAGTGTAGCGTATTATTTAAAAGTCTTATTGAAACTGAATTCAAAGGGAATGTACTATGCTCCCAGGAAAAAGACATAATTGAGAGCCTCTTCCTCTTGGTTTTTCACTTATCATGAGTTCTGTTCTTTCCTTAGCACTGCTGTTTCTGTTTATCCCCCAGGCTTCTCAGCTCAGCTGAGGGTGTGAGCCATCGTATGTTGGGGACTAGCTACCAGCTAAAGGCCACGTTCTCTGTGCTGTCTAGTACATGAGCAACAGAGGGAAGAAGTTGTGTAATTGTAAGAACTTGTCACCTTTCATCTCTTTTAGTGGCCACATAGCCGATTAAATGTTGCCTATGTTCGCTTGGAACATTCCCTTCCTCCCACTGATAAGGAAGAATGAGTAGAGAATAAGGTATCATGTCTCTACTAAGCACTCAGAGGCACAGCCAGCTAAGGAAGAATTAGACTTCTTATATTAATATACCTTCTACATCACAGATTGAAGGAAGTTCATTTTTCAATGAAAATACTTTTTAAAAAAAAATAAATAACTGAGCTTCAAATCATTGACAAGTTAAAAAAATACATATAAATAACTATCTCAGAATTAAAATCCAGAATTTTGAACTGGGATTTGGAAGTAACAGAATAAATTATAAGCCCTCTTTATTATTTACATAAATAATCTTCTAGTGAAATCTTAAGACTCATTTTTTGGCCAGGTGCAGTGACTCACGCCCAGCACATTGGGAGTCCAAGGTGGGAGGATCACTTGAGCTCAGGAGTTTGAGACCAGCCTAGGCAACATAGTGAGACCCTATCTCTCCAAAAAATAAAAAATTTAGCTGGGCATGGTGGCATACTTTGGGAGGCTGAGGTGGGAGGATTGCTTGAGCCCAGAAGGTAAGGGCTAAATAGAGTGAGCCATGATTGCGCCACTGCACTCCAGCTTGAGCAACACAGTGAGGCCCTGTCTCAAAAAAAAAAAAAAAGAAAAAAAGAAAAAAAACCCCACTAATTTTTATACTGGTGGTTTCTAAAGGAATTAGTCCTTCTCGAGCCTATTTAAACTAGCTCTTGAATAGGAAATTCTATACCAATATCAAGAGTCTTTTGGCAATCCCTGTTTTTTTGATTGTTTTTTGTTTTATTTCTCTGATATTTTCTATGGAAGCTTCCTTTCCTTTTTAAAAAATTCCTTAACAAATGCGGCCAGGTGCGGTGGCTCATGCCTGTAATCCCAGCACTTTGGGAGGCCGAGGCGGGTGGAGCACCTGAGGTCGGGAGTTCCAGACCAGCCTGGCCAACATGATGAAACCCTGTCTCTACTAAAAAAATACAAAAATTAGCTGGGCATGGTGATGCACGTCTGTAATCCCGGCTACTCAGGAGGCTGAGGCAGGAGAATTGCTTGAACCCAGGAGGCAGAGGTTGCAGTCAGCCAAGATTGCGCCACTGTACTCTAGCCTGGGCAACAGAGCGAGACTTCATCTCAAAAAAACAAAAACAAACAAGCAAAAAAACAAATGCACACTAAATTTTATATGGGAAAGGAAGTAAAATATCAAGAAATCTCTAAACAGCCCTAGACAGAAATGTGGAAAGTGAGACTAAAAGCCTCAACTGCGAGCCTTCATTGTGGTGTGACTGCAGACTGAAGCACACCAAAGCCAGAGGGAGTCCCCCAGGCTCCCCGGAGTGCTCACTGTGGTGTCTGTGCAGACACACACGCACACCAAAGCTAAAGTGAGGGCTGCGGGAGCCTCTGGCTTGGAAACAGCATTCTCTGACTGTGCTAAGAATTCAGCCCAGTGCAGAAGCAGCTGGACTGTGGTTAGGATACCAGTTAAGCAGGCCAACATTTTCTGGTCATTTGAAGACATTAGATATTAAAGCTACCCAAATTTATATGCAGATCTTTTTAGAGTGAGGTGGTAAAGATTTTTAATTAGCTCATGATTGGTTTGCATTTCTCTCTGTCTTTATACCCTTGCCTTCTTCAGAGTCATTGAGAACTTAAGGCTTTCTCCTGTTTGTTACTCTCCAAGGATAATTTTATTGACAGCTGTCTGTTCTCAATAGAAGGTAATAAAATCAGGGCCAGGCACAGTGGCTCATGCCTGAAATCCCAGCACTTTGGGAGGCTGAGGCAGGCAAATCGCTTTGAGCCTAGGTGTTCGAGACCAGCTTGGGCAATATGGCAAAACCCTGTCTCTACAAAAACTACCAAAAAAAAAATAATAACCAGGTGTGGTGGCATGCACCTGTAGTCCCATCTACTTGGGAGGCTGAGGCAGGAGAATCTCATGAGCCCAGGAGGTAGAGTTTGTGGTGAGCCATGTTCACCCCACTGCACTCCAGCCTGGTGAATGGGAGTGAAACCCTGTATCAAAAACAAACAAACAAACAAACAAAAAAAAAAAACGGTCGGGCTCGGTGGCTCATGCCTGTAATCCTAGAATTTTGGGAGGCCGAGGTGGGCGGATCACGAGGTCAGGAGATCGAGACCATCCTAGCTAACACGGTGAAACCTCATCTCTACTAAAAATACAAAAAATTAATGTTGACTGCATTAAATATTTATTACAAGTTTTAAAGGAAAAATAGCAGAAGGCCCTATTAATTCAAAATTCAATATTCTTAAATTTCAGGAATTACTTGATATAATGAAGTGGCATTGTTTTTTGTTGATCTTGCTTCACCCCCCCCACTTTAGATTTCATGGGCTTCAGGGGGATTTTTGTTTTTTATTTTTTGGTTTATTTATTTATTTTTGAGATGGAATCTTGCTCTGTTGCCCAGGCTGGAGTGCAGTGGCACGATCTCGGCTTACTGCAACCTCCACCTCCCGGGTTCAAGCCATTCTCCTGTCTCAACCTCCTGAGTAGCTGGGACTACAGGCGCACACCACAACACCCAGCTAATTTTTGTATTTTTAGTAGAGACGGGTTTTCACCATGTTGGTCAGGCTGGCCTCGAACTCCTGAACTCAGGTGCTCCACCCATCTCGGCCTCCCAAAGTGCTGGGATTACAGGCGTGAGCCACCACGCCCGGCCTTGTTTTTGTTTTTTTAATGAGAGCTAAGATTTAAGCTACCCTGGAAAATGAATCTTTCTGGGGCCTTGGAGCTGAGTATATTCTCTTCATAGACTATCAAATAATTCAAAATCTAGTAAAGGAGATAAGGAAAGCATATGACCAAAATACAAGATAAAATGTGATAAATGCCAGAAGAAAGGCACACACAAAAATGTATGATTTTTGGATGAAGATATCTTGTCTTCATTGAAGGGAATTAAGGGACGCTTCATGAAGGGGACTTTTTTGTTTCTTAGCTTGTTAGGAAGTTGGTTTTCAAGTCCAGCTTTAATTACCAGTCTCAATTAAGTATCATCTAATTCATATTTTTTTTTTTTTTGAGACAGAGTCTCGCTCTGTGGCCCAGGCTGGAGCGCAGTGGCACGATCTCGGCTCACTGCAACCTCCGCCTCCCGGGTTCAAGCGATTCTCCTGCCTCAGCCTCACGAGTAGCTGGGATTACAGGTACATAGTACCACGCCTGGCTAATTTTTAATAGAGACGGGGTTTAGTATTTTTAGTAGAGATGGGGTTTCACCATGTTGTGCAGGGTGGTCTTGATCTCCTGACCTCGTGATCTGCCCGCCTCGGCCTCCCAAAGTGCTGGGATTACAGGCTTGAGCCACCGTGCCCGGCCAATTGTTTGTATTCTAATCATGTAACAGATGTACTGGCTTTTGGTTGTACATAGTCAGAGAAACTGTGGACACTATGTTTAAAACAGGGTGCTGGCCAGGTGTGGTGGCTCACGCCTGTAATCCCAGCACTTTGGGATGTGGAGACGGGTGGATCACTTGAGCCCAGAAGTTTGAGACCAGCCTGGACAACATGGCGCACCCCCGTCTCTACTGAAAACACAAAAATTAGCCAGGCATGGTGGCACACACCTGTAATCCCACCTACTTGGGAGGCGGAGGCACAAGAATCACTTGAACCTGAGAGGCGGAGGTTACAGTGAGCTGAGATCGTGCCACTGCACTCCAGCCTGGGCGAAAGAGCGAGACTCGGTCTCTAAATACATACATACATACATAAAACAGGGCACTGAAAATTTTTAAATTAGGAATGATGGCACAATTCTTAACGGTATTATTTCCCATGGGGGTATATTACTCTGAAATATCCCAAACAGGTCTGTGGCATTTTGCTGCTCTGCCACATCCCTTTTCCCTCTTACGAAATGATTCTAAATGTTTGTGCTGAGTCTTCTACCAATAAAGTAGTGTTTCAGTCTGTCATCATTGGTTACTTAAGAGGAATTTATCTGCTTCAGTTAAAATGAACTTTTTGTCAGAACTATGAAGCAAAGATAGGTGTGTCCAGAAATATTGTCATCTTGGTACAGTCTAGGGCTTTCTTTTAAGTTACAAGAATATATAACATATGTATAGTTTAAAATCCAACACTATAATGACCATGTACATACCAACCAATTATCTACCTTTAAAACTAGGAAATTACCGTGGGGCGCGGTGGCTCACGCCTGTAATCCCAGCACTGTGGGAGGCCGAGGCAGGTGGATGACGAGGTCAGGAGTTCAAGACCAGCCTGGCCAAGATGGTGAAAACCCGTCTCTACTAAAAATACCAAAAAATTAGCCAGGCATGGTGGCAGGTGCCTGTAATCCCAGCTACTCGGGAGGCTGAGGCAGAGAATTGCTTGAACCTGGGAGGTGGAGGTTACAGTGAGCCAAGATCGCGCCACTGCACTCCAGCCTGCGCGACAGAACAAGACTCCATCTCAAAAAAAAAAAAGGAAATTACCGATGCCTTTCAAGTCTTCCATGGGTCCCCTCACCCCCAAGTCTCCCCAGAGGGAACCATTATCTGGAATTTTATTTCATTCCCTTGTTTTTCTTTAAACTTTTCTTCCAGTTTAACCATATATGTCTGTATTCTGAAATACTATTGTTGAGCCTGCCTGTTTTTGCCTTTATAAAAATATACCAAATTTAAGTCTAAATATACATATTATATATATATAAGTTTATCTAGATGAGTCTTACTACATATTATTTTGCAACTTGTTTTGTTCCCTTAACATTTTGTTTATGGGTTATGTATGGCAGTAGTGTATTCATCTTCACTGCTGTAGACTATTTTCTTTGTGTTGTTGTTGTTGTTTTAATAGACGGAGTCTCACTCTGTTGCTCAGGCTGGAGTGTAGTGGTGCAGTCATGACTCACTGCAACTTCCGCCTGCTGGGTTCAAGCAATTCTCCTGCCTCAGCCTCCAGAGTAGCTAGGACTACAGGCATGCGCCACCATCCCTGGCTAATTTTTGTATTTTTAGTAGAGACAGGGTTTCACCATGTTGGTCAGGCTGGTCTCAAACTCCTGACCTCAGGTGATCCGCCCTCCTCAGCCTCCCAAAGTGTTGGGATTACAGGCATGAGCCACTGCGCCTGGTCATATTTTCTTTATGGGAAAATACCCATGTTGGTGGCTCCTTGGGTGGGTTTCAGTATATTACTATTACAACACAGCATGGCTTCATAATTTGTGAAGAATTTTTCTAGACCAGGGTTCCTGATTCATAGGGTCTGCATATCTTCAGTTTTACTAGATGATGCCAAGTAATTGTTACCATTTTTGCCAGTGTGATGGCTTTAAAAGAGTTTTTCATCATGGAGTATATGTGTATGTGGCTTTACTTTATTTCCCAATTTTCATTTTGAGAAAATTTCAAAACTACAGATCAGGTGCAGGACTAGTACAATGAATATACCCTTCACTTAGATTCACTAACATTTGCTGCATTTGCATAATCTATCTTTTCACCTATGCATGGTGTTCATACACACGAGTATATTTTATTTTCCTGAACCATTTGAGAATTAATTGTAGATATCATTGCATTTTCCATCTGTATCTAATTCAGCATGTATTTCCAAAGAACGTGGACATTCATTTATATGATCACAATACCGTTATTGTACTCAGGAAAGTTGGCATTTCATTATTTACACAAATGTTATCTAATATATAGCCCATGTTCAAATTTCCCTAGTTGCCCCAATAATGTACTTGCCTTAAACAACTTTTGATTTTTTTTTTTTTTTTCGAGATGGAGTGTTACTCTGTCGCCCAGGCTGGAGTGCAGTGGCGTGATGTTGGCTCACTGCAACCTCTGCCTTCTGGGTTCAAGCAATTTTCCTGCCTCAGCCTCGCGAGTAGCTGGGACTGCAGGCGCACGCCACCGCCCCCGCCTAATTTTTGTATTTTTAGTAGAGATGGGGTTTCACCATATTGGACAAGCTGGTCTCAAACTCCTGACCTCAGGCAGTCCACCTGCCTCGGCCTCCCAAAGTGCTGAGATTACAGGTGTGAGCCACCATGCCCGAACTTTTTTTTTTTTTTTTTTTTTTTTTTAAGTCTCTCTTAATCTACAGGCTCCCCTTCCATCTTTTGGAGTTGACTTCCTTACAGTTTATCTGTTAAAACAGTCTGGCACATTTCACCTATAGAGTTTCCAACGGTTTGGGTTTTGCTGATTACACATTTATGCTATAGTTTAACGTGTTCTCTGTACTCCCTGCACATTGGCAGCTGGATGCACGGGCTACTTGAACCAGATCCTGTTTGATCCTTTTGGCAATGCTCTAGATCCACGTAGGCACATAAGTCTGGTTTTTGCTTTGTTTTTATTGGTTTTAGCAGCTGTAGATGCTCAATGCCTAGACCCATTGAATCTTTGGGGGATAGAAATGGTGATATTGGCCGGGCGCAGTGGCTCACACCTGTAATCCCAACACTTTGGGAGGCCGAGGAGGGTAGATCACTTGAGATCAGGAGTTCGAAACCTGCCTGGCCAACATGGTGAAACCCCAGCTCTACTAAAAATACAAAAAAATTAGCCACACATGGTCAGGAGATTGAGACCATCCTGGCTAAGACGGTGAAACCCTGTCTCTACTAAAAATACAAAAAAATTAGCCAGGCGTGGTGGCAGGCGCCTGTAGTCCCAGCTACTCAGGAGGCTGAGGCAGGAGAATGGCGTGAACCCAGGAGGCGGAGCTTGCAGTGAGCTGAGATCCTACCACTGCACTCCAGCCTGGGCGACAGAGTGAGACTCCATCTCAAAAAAAAAAAAAAAAAAAAAATCAGCCGCGCATGGTGGCACGTGCCTGTAGTCCCAGCTACTCAGGAGACTCAGTCAGGAGAATTGCTTGAAGCTGCAAGGCAGAGGTTGCAGTGAGCCAAGATCATGCCACCTCACTCCAGCCTGGTTGACAGAACAAGACTCTGTCTCAAAAAAAAAAAAAAAGAAAAGAAAATGGTGATATTTTGCTTCTATTGTTTCATTTTCTCAAATTAGCTGAAATATTTTGATAAAGAACCCCTTCTCTTATCTACTAGTTACCCAGTTATAGTTTATATAGGAAAAACAAGATAATTACTTGATTTTTTTCTCTTATTTATCCAGTTTCAAAATAATGAATTCATTCCCTTTCCTCAGAAGATCACCTGTTAGTTTTTCTTTAAAAATAATGGCCAGGCACGGTGGCTCACGCCTGTAATCCCAGCACTTTGGCAGGCCGAGGCGGGTGGATCACCTGAGGTCAGGAGTTCGAGACCAGCCTGGCCAACAGGGTGAAACCCCGTCTCTACTAAAAATAAAAAATTAGCCAGGTGTGGTGGCACGCGCCTGTAGTCCCAGCTACTCAGGAGGCTGAGACTGGAGAATCACCTGAACCTGGGCGGTAGAGGTTGCAGTGAGCCATGATCGCGTCACTGCACTCCAGCCTGGGCGACAGAGTGAGATTTTGTCTCAAAAAAATAGGGCCAGACGCGGTGGCTCATGCCTGTAATCTCAGCACTTTGGGGGGCTGAAGTGGGCGGATCACGAGGTCAGGAGATCGAGACCATCCTAGCTAACATGGTGAAACCCCGTCTCTACTAAAAATACAAAAAAATTGGGCGTGGTGGCACATGCCTGTAGTTCCAGCTACTCGGGAAGCTGAGGCAGGAGAATCGCTTGAACCCAGGAGGCGGAGGTTGCAGTGAGCCAAGATCCCGCCGTTGTACTCCAGCCTGGGCAACAAGAGTGAAACTCCATCTCAAAAAAATAATATAAATAAATAAATATATATATATATTTATATAGAGATGGATATATATGTGTGTGTGTGTGTATATATATATATATATAATTATAGGCTGGGCACAATGGCTCACACCTGTAATCCCAGCACTTTGGGAGGCTGAGACAGGAGGATCACTTGAGTCTAGGAGTTTGAGGCTGCAGTGAGCGCTGTGTTCGTACCACTCCACTCCAGCCTGGGTGACAGAGCGAGACCCTGTTTCTTTTCTTTTCTTTTCTTTTTTTTGAGATGGAGTCTCGCACTGTCGCCCAGGCTGGAGTGCAGTGGCATGATCTCGGCTCACTGCTAGCTCTGCCTCCCGGGTTCACACCATTCTCCTGCCTCAGCCTCCCGAGTAGCTGGGACTACAGGCACGCGTCACCACGCCCAGCTAATTTTTTGTATTTTTAATAGAGTCGGGGTTTCACCGTGTTAGCCAGGATGATCTCGATCTCCTGACCTCGTGATCCGCCCGCCTCGGCCTCCCAAAGTGCTGGGATTACAGGTGTGAGCCGCTGCGCCTGGCCAAGACCCTGTTTCTTAAAATAATAAATAAATTAAAAATCATTACGGGTTTATAGATTTAAACATATTTGATAGTTTTGAATGCTTTGTAATTCTTGGTCTTATTAAAGTTCAAACTGTCCCATTTTGCTAGTGGAAGTTGGCTCTGAGTCCTCTTGACATGACCCAAGTAGTCTGTGATAGTTACCTCACTATCTAGCATGTGAAGATGTTCCCAGAATTTCCCATCGTGGTTTTCATTTACATTGCCCTGATTGAGCATCTTTTCACAGGTTTATTGGCTTCTTCTTGAAATGCCTGTTCATGTCTTTTGGCCACTTTTTATATGGGTCATTTGTCCCTTATTGATTTATAAGGGTTCTTTATTTTTTTCCTAGATATTAATAGTTTTGGCCAGATGTTTGCAGATGTCTTTTCTCAATATGGCTTGTCTTTTCAGTTTTGGTGTCTTGATGATCAGAAGAAGTTCTTCATGTAGTTGATTTATTGACCTTTTCCATTATGGTTTTCACTCTTTGACTCTAGGAGCTTAATAAAAGCATGAAATATTTATTGATTGTCCATTGCTAATCCGAAACCCTTTCAGAATAGTCCTAACCCAAGGTCTCAGTATCAGAGATGAAGGCCAGTTGTGGGTGTCAGGAGGTCAGTTGTGGGTGTCAGTCCTCAGGGTCACAGATGGCTCTTTTAGAGTTGTCTTTTTTTTTTTTTTTTTTTTGAGATGGAGTCTTGCTCTGTAGCCCAGGCTGGAGTGCAGTGGTGCAGTGGTGCGATCGCGTTCACTGCAACCTCCACCTCCTGGGTTCAAGCAATTCTCCTACCTCAGGCTCCTGAGTAGCTGGGATTACAGGCGTGCGCCACCACGCCTGGCTAATTTTTGTATTTTTAGTAGAGACAGGGTTTCACCATCTTGGCCAGGCTGGTCCTGAACTCCTGACCTCAAGTGATCCACCCGCCTCAGCCTCCCAAAGTGCTGGGACTACAGGCGTGAGCCACTGCACCCGACTAGAGTTGTCTTTTTTTTTTTTTTTTTTTTGAGATGGAGTCTCGCTCTGTCGCCCAGGCTGGAGTGTAATGGTGCCATCTTGGTTCATTACAACCTCCGCCTTCTGGGTTCAAGCGATTCTTCCGCCTCAGCCTCCCAAGTAGCTGGGATTACAGTCATTCACTACTATGCCTGGCTAATTTTTTTTTTTGTATTTTTAGTAGAGACGGGGTTTCGCCATGTTGGCCAGGCTGGTCTCGAACTCCTGGCCTCAGGTGATCCCCCTGCCTCGGCCTCCCAAAGTGCTGGGATTACAGGCGTGAGCCACCGCACCCAGCTTAGAGTTGTCTTATAATTAGCTAAACACAGCAGTATGTCTCAGTAAATATCATATTTTAGTTTTTCACTAGCTTTTTTTTAATGCAACAAATTACTATCACAGAATTGTACAATGACTGCTGAAGGCCAACACTAATTATTTAAAAGGCAGGAAATTAATAAAGAAGCATAAACCTGTTACCAATGTGAAAACTGAGCAGAACTTCTAAAGCTGAGCTGTTAATAGTTTTATTCAGGCCCTTGCTGGCTCAGCAGGAAAATGAAAGGGAAGCAGCAGCCACCACCCTGAGTAAACATGCCCTGCTTTTTCTTCCTCCATTAGAAGTTCCTCGGCTCTCTAAACATGGCAAAGTTTGGCTGAAAGTAAGTCATGTAGTTTTAAAATGTTCATCTTTGAAGTAAGCTAATCACAGAAGGACAATTACTGCATGATTCTACTTGTATGAGGTATTTAAAATAGTCAAACTCATAGAGGCAGAGAATAGAATGGCGATTGCCAGGGATTGGGGGAGGGAGAGATAGGGAGTTGGTAATCAACAAAGTTTTAGTCAAGCAAAGAGAATAAGTTCTACAGACCCCTTGCACAACACTGTGCCTATAGATAACAGTACCGTATTGTACACTTAAAAATCTGCCAAGAGGGCAGATGTCATGTTAAGTATTCTTACCACTGTATTTTTTTTAAATGACAGCTTGATGGGTTTTCCATAAAGTTATGAGTTTGTGCTTTGTAATTTTTTGCTGTCTAAAATTCTAAGAACTACAGGTATTAGGAAATGATTTTGAAATGATTTTTTCTTTCTTTTTAAAAACACCATTATTTACCAAAATGAAAAGTTAGAAATCCTGAATAATGTCATCTCCTCTTTAGAAAGGAATGCACTCTTGGTATCAGTGGGCAGGATACAGCGTTGTCCAGTGGACTAAGAGGAGCGGGAGCACCAGACTCCTACCCCACCTCTGCCTCTTACTAGCCCTGAAACCTTGGGAAGTTACTCCAGCTCTGTGGGAACTGGCATAGTACCTCCTGGAGCTGTTTTGAGGATTAAATAAGGTTATCTCATGTGAGGAACATATGAAATGGCTGGACTCTAGCCACATGATAGTCATCAACCACCACTCATGTGATACTGCACATTTTCGCTTCTGCCTGAGAAGATAATGTCCACTGATAGAAAATGGAACCATACCCTGTAGTCAGGAATCCTTATGTCATTGTTTTAGTTTTCCATTGCTGCCAAAATAAATGACTGCAAATTTACAGGTTGAAAGTAGTGCAAATGATTATCTTAGTTCTGTGGGTCAGAAGTCCAATTCTAAATCAAGGTGTCAGCAGGGTTGCGTTCCTTTCTAGAGGCCCTAGGGGGGAATTTCTTTCCTGCTCATTTAGATTGTTGACAGAACTCAGTTCCTCGAGGCTGTAGGACCAAGGTCTGTTTTGCTGGCTGAGGGCTGTTTCCAGCTTCCTTCCTCTATTGTCGAAGCCTGCAGCAAGTCGTTTGCAGATCCCCCTTCTGACCTCTTCTTCTGCCTCCCTCTTAGACTGCAGGCACTCTTATGCTTGAATCAAGCCCACCCAGATAATCCAAGATCATCTCCCTATTTTAAGGGCAACTGATTAGTAAACTTAATTCCAATGCAACCTTAATTTCCCTTTGCTGTGTGAGGTAACAGTCACAGGTTCCAGAAATAGAAGACATCTTTGAGGGGCCATTATTCTGCCTACCTCATCAAGTGAACTAGAATTGTGTTGGGGTCTTTAACAGGTCATTTATCCTTACCTTTTATTTTCTTCATCCAAAAAATAAAGTGGCCTGCCATATAGGATAGATAATGTTTATTGAGCACTTACTTGCTGTGAGCTTGGCCCTTGGCGCTAAACTCTTTGCTCAGGAAGAGTCTTTGAGGTGGGTTCTATTATTATCCCCATTTATAAGTGAGGAAACTGCATTTTGGAGAAGTTAAGTAATTGTTGAAAATAATTCAACTGGTGAGGGAGTCAGACATTTCAGTAGGCTGCTGTACCTCAAAGGTTTGGCTGGCTGGCAATCAGCCTTCACATGGCAGGCATACTAATTAGAAATCAGTGTCTTGATTTTCTTAAAAAGTTTTGGTTTTGCTAGCAGAAATTGTCATTTGTGCCCAGGCACGGTGGCTCATGCTTGTAATCCCAGCACTTTGTAGGCCGAGGCAGGCAAATCACCTGTGGTCGGGAGCTTGAGACCAGCCTGGCCAACATGGTGAAACCCTGTCTTCACTAAAAATACAATAATTAGCTGGGTGTAGTAGTGGGCGCCTGTAATCCCAGCTACTCAGGAGGCTGAGGCAGGAGAATCGTTTGAACCCAGGAGGCAGAGGTTACGTGAGCTGAGATTGCGCCACTGCACTCCAGCCTGGGTGACAGAGGGAAACTCCGTCTCAAAAAAAAAAAAAAAAAAAAAAAGAAATTGTCATTTGTGTTCATGGACGTGGTAAGAAAATAAAAACTGAAATCAGATATGTATGAAAATGAGTTACAAAATATTCTAGATAAAACTTTCTCTGTCTGAAAATGCAAAAAAAAATGATTTCTGGCTTGTGCTAAATCACGAACTGTTTTTTGAAGTCAGAATGTTGTTTTGTCTGAGATCCTGGAGTTCTCTGCCAAGAGAGATCTGATTTGTGACAGGGTGGTGGATGGGCTCAATATTTTTTTAATGAGATATTGGACTGTGCTGTTTTGTTATACTATAAGTGATATGTAACCAAACAAGAAAATTTTCCTAGCAACAAAGTTGTTTTCCTGAATCAGAAGAATGCTTTTGTGTGCTCATTTTCTTATTGTCCAAAAGATAAAAAAGCTTGTGAATTTAGCATCTTATTTTTTTGAGATTGAGGTACTGGCGAGTATAGATAGTAGAATATATAAGAATATCATTGGAAGTATTTGGCAAGCAGTATGTTAATTCAGACCTAAACTGTATTTAAGTAGAGAACTAACTTGTTTTTTTGTTTGTTTGTTTTTGTTTGTTTTTGAGATGGAGTTTCACTCTTGTTGCCCAGGCTGGAGTGCAATGGCGTGATCTTGGCTCACTGCAACCTCCGCCTCCTGGGTTCAAGCGATTCTCCTGCTTCAGCCTCCCGAGCAGCTGGGATTACAGGCATGCGCCACCATGCCCTGCTAATTTTGTATTTTTAGTAGAGACGGGGTTTCTCCCTGTTGTTCAGGCTGGTCTCGAACTCCTGACCTCAGGTGATCCACCCACCTTGGCCTCCCAAAGTGCTGGGATTACAGGCGTGAGCCACCACGCCCTGCCGAGAACCACCTTGTTTTTATGCCAGACCCGATTGTTGGACATGATTATCTCACTGGCCCTTATAAGCCTTTTTTTCTCTCTTCTTGTTCTTCATTAGTCTGGTGAGGGACCCAGACATTTCAGTAGGCTGCTATACCTCAAAGGTTTGGCTGGCAATCAGCCTTCACATGGCAGTCATACTAATTAGAAATCAATGTTTTGATTTTTTTTTAAGTTTTAATTTTGCTAACAGAAATTGTTATTCGTGTTCATGGATGTGTTAAGAAAATAGAAACCCAAGCTTTTTTACATTCATCAGATCTCTAAGTTCTACCCCATTCCATTTGTTTGTTTGTTTTGAGACAGGGTCTCACTCTGTTGCCCAAACTGTAGTGCAGTTGTGCAGTCACAGCTTACTGCAGCCTCAACCTCCCTGGCTTAAGTGATCCTCCCACCTCAGCCTCCTGAGTAGGTGGGACCACAGGCATGTGTCATCCCACCTGGCTAATTTTTGTATTTTTTTTAGAGACAGGATTTCAGCATGTTGCCCAGGCTGATCTTGAACTCCTGGGCTCAAGTGATCCACCCGCCTCGGCCTCCTGAAGTGCTGGGATTACAGGTGTGAGCCACTGCCCCTGGCTTTCCATTTGTTTATGCAACAAATATTTGAATAGTGTGTGCTAGGAGGCCCTAGGGATATTGTGCCCTCATGAAGCTTACAGGTTAATGAAAGACTCAAACATGAAAGAAATAATTACACAATCAGGAAGTACATGAGTGCTATGAAAGGGAATAGAAGGTTCTGCTAAATTGAAGGACAGGGTACAAAGAAAGCCTTGATGTAAAGGATGAATAACATTTAGCTAGGCAAAAATTGGGATTGTCTGGTCTCGGTCAGTGGGGTATATTTTGCAAAGGTCTTGTCCCAGTAGGGAGTTTGTCAATTTCGAGCAACAGCAAAAAGGCCTCTGGGTTGTAGGTGGGTGTGTGTTCACATATGGGTATGTGTGTTCGCTTGTGTGCATGCATGTGAGGAGGCAGGGTGGGGAGTGGCTCTGGAGGAGGAGAAGGGCACAGATTCTCAGTCCTGTAGCACTCTTGTTCAGAGCATCAAGTAGACCTGAGAATTGTATGTTGATCATTGGTCCGCCAAGCAGTTCGTATGGCCTTGTTTCCCAGAACTCCATCATCAAGTGGATGTGGTGACCATATACTTTATCATCAAAACCAGGATACTCTTTTTTTTTTTTTTTTTTTTTTTAAACTTCTTTTTCTATGTTGCCCAAGCTGGTCTTGAATTCCCAGGCTCAATGGATCCTCCCGCCTCGGCCTCCCAAAGTGCTGGGATTACAGGCGTGAACCAACATGCCCGGCAAACCAGGATACTCTTGAGAGTGAAAGGGGACACTATTAATTATGTTGGGACAACGGGTATAAAACAGTACTTATAGACCAGTTCTCAGCCACTCCAGGGAGCCCCAAAGTTGCCTAGAAACCATGCTCTGAAATGACAGGGTTAGTCACGTGCTCCTGCTTTCTCACCTTTTCCTCTTCCTTCATCCATGAATAACTCTGAAAGAGGGGCACCAGGAGAAACTGCTCCAAGTCTATACAACAGAATCTTAGCCCCCATGGCCCGCCCAGCTGCAGCCTCCTGTTTTTCAGACTGCCATCTGATCTCTGACTATTAATGTGTTTTCAGAATTAAAGTCTAAAAAACGTATAGAAAAGAAAGTAAGGCCTTAAAAGTTTAGCACGTGAACTTTTCCCACTAGAAGCTTTTCCTACACTGCTTCTTATGGATTACATGGCCTAATTATATGTTCCCGGAGGGCCACTGGGCAGAATGGGTGTGGTCTAACTTCTTTCAGAGTAAACATGTTTTGTGGATTGGCCCCTATGGTGGATAATGGTGAATAATGCATGGAGTAAATACCTACAGGAAGCCTTCCCATAGGTGTAAAACCTTTATTTCAGGAAATAAAAGGAAGATATATTGATTTTTTAATTAGAATCAACTGTTTGGCTGAATCTGCATAATGAGGATTAATGGAGCTTTATTTCCTGCTCTCTCTGCCCAAGTCACTCTACAGTAGGGCCCTCAGAGAGCCCTAGTAACTTCTTCAATTTACTGACAGATGGATCACTTTGCAGTAAAATAATATTTAATGGTCGGTAACTGCGAGAATGTGGGATCTCATTGTCCTCCTCAGCCTTTCTTCAACAACCCCCCAAGTCCTCAATAAAATGGTTTGACCCTGTCCCCCATAATAATTTTTAATGTTCATGTTCAGCCAAATACTCAGGACACTAAGGAGTTGCACTATTTCTTTTCAAACTGCATTCAAGCTCTTTCTTTTGTTTTAAAAGCCAGGAAATGTGAAGAATTCACCTGGAACTAAGTAGAAAACTCCATGCTCTGCCATCTTAATCAGGTAAAAAACAAGAAATTTCTGTGATTATTTTCAGCATTGTAGTGCCAGCTGAAATGACTTGTTTTTAATTAATTTAATTTAATTAATTATAACAGTTTCAATTTGATGTGAAAATATTTTATTCCATCTTTTAGTTTCTGGGCTTAAATGCTGTGACTTACTTATTTGTGTTTGTTCCACTAATGTTACCTGGGTTTTTTAGACAAGCTAGAACCAGACAGTTGGGATTTGTCTACAAATGTATTTCAAACAATTGAAAAGTGTCATTATTCCTTAGGTTTTTTTCAAACAACACTTTATTATAGTAAGTACACTTGTATTTATCTAATACTCAGTGAACACTGGAATGCATGACTGTTACAGAGAGGCTCAAAACACTAGTTATATTGTTTGTGTATATATGAAAAATTGTATAATAGCACTTGTGATTTCCTGGTAATTAGAAGACTGTAATTGAATTTGGAAGCAACCTAGATATTCAACTACAGGAAAATGGCTTAATTATGGTATATCTATAAAGAAGAATATTATTATTCTGTTTCTACAGTATTTAATTGCATGGGAACGTGTGCACAATTATTGTTAAATGAAAAAAAGGTAGTGTGATATGTTTATAGAGGGGATGAAGCCAGGAGATACGACAGAAAGTGTGTATCTTTCAGTGGCATGATGATTTTTATATTTTTTTCTTCTTTATAACTTTCTGTATTTAAAAAATTTTCTGCAATGAGTATGCATTTTATAATCAGAAAATTTTTTGAAAATTGGTGTTACATTTATTGTAAATCATGGCCCTTACTTAAAATTTATGAAAACCCTGAGTTTGAAGGGTCTTTTTTCCTCAAGCTTTCTTTATATTTTTGGAGACCCAAAGAGTCACATAAACTGAGAATTTGAGAGTGGTTATCTGGCCCAACCCCCAGCCTCAAGCAGACTCCCCTGAAACCCTGTATGTTCCTTCTTTTACACCAGCACTGATGGGAAACTCACCCTATGGGGCAGCCATCCTGGGACAATTCTGAGTTTTTGGAAGCTGTTTCCTCTGCTAAGCAAAAATATGTCTCCTTAGTGGTCACAGAAAACAAATCCAGTTCCTCTTTCACAGCATAGCTGTTCATACAGTAACCCAACATCAGTATGTTCTCAGATACAAACTATTACCCGGGGAGCTTGGTAAAAGGCAAAGGGCACCCCAGAATCAGTATCTCTGGTGAATGGGGCCAGATATGCATGGGATGTGCCATTAGAAGGATGACTGGAGGGTGAGCAGCCACAGAGTGACACATGTCCTCTAGAGACTTGACTTTTAATATGGTTATATTTCTCTCTTTTTTTAAATCCCTGTCAGCCAGAATGGATATATTTCTGTACAGGGACAATGAAAAAGACATAGAATAAAGGGAAATTAGGTAAATATCCATTTCAATTTTCAAAGATACTCTGCACCAGAGTTCAGCTTGCTGAAATACACAACCTTGACTTCATTCTTTATTGTTTTTAGATCTTTATTGGAGGAGGTGTAGCTTTTAATTATAAAAGTGATTCGTGTTGGTTGTAAAAAATGTTTTTAGCTAACTGTTTTAAAAGCTTGTCTTGGCCGGGTGTGGTGGCTCACGCCTGTAATCCCAGCACTTTGGGAGGCCAAGGTGGGCAGATCACGAGGTCGAGAGATCGAGACCACCCTGGCCAACATGGTGAAAGCCCGTCTCTACTAAAAATACAAAAAAAAAAAGCCAGGCATGGTGGTAGTTGCCTGTAATCCCAGCTACTTGGGAGGCTGAGGCAGGAGAATCGCTTGAACCCAGGAGGCGGAGGTTGCAGTGAGCCGAGATCGTGCCATTGCACTCTAGCCTGGGCAAAAAGAGTGAAACTCTGTCTCAAAAACAAAACAAAAAAGCTTGTCTTATCCTTTATTCTTTTCTTTTTCTTTCTTTCTTTTTTTTTTTTTTTTTTTTGAGATAGAGTTTCACTCTTGTTGCCCAGGCTGGAGTGCAGTGGAGCAATCTTGCTCACTGCAGCCTCTGAGGCCTCCCGGGTTCAAGTCATTCTCCTGCCTCAGCCTCCCAAGTAGCTGGGATTACAGGCATGCACCACCATGCCCAGCTAATTTTGTATTTTTTAGTAGAGACAGGGTTTTAGCATATTGGTCAGGCTGGTCTCGAACTCCTGACCTCAGGTGATCCACCTGCCTCAGCCTCCCAAAGTACTGGGATTACAGGTGTGAGCCACCACATCTGGCCCCTTTATTCTTTTTTCCAGAGGTAATTTTTGTTAATAGTTTGGTATATCATTCCAGACTTTTAAATATAGATAGATAGATAGATAGATAGATAGATAGATAGATAGATAGATAGGCCGGGTGCAGTGGCTCACACCTGTACTCCTAGCACTTTGGGAGGCTGAGGTAGGTGGATTATATGAGTCTGGCAGTTCGAGAACAGCCTGGGCAATATGGCGAAACCCTGTCTCTACAAAAAATTAAAAAAATTAGCTGAGTGTGATGACGAACACCTGTAGTCCCAGTTACTTGGAGGCTGAGGTGGGAGGATCTCCTGAGCCTGGGAGAAAGAGGTTGCAGTGAGCCATGATCACTCCACTGCACTCCAACCTGGGCAACAGAGTGATACCCTGTCTCAAAAACAAATATATATATTTATTTATATTTAAAATTTATTTATAAATTAAATAAATTTATTTATACATTTATAATATATTCATGCATACATGCATGTTTTTGGTTTTTTGACAAAATGGGATCATATTCCACATATTGTTTTACAAGTTCACAGAAAACTTTCTTTTTACTGTTATTTATCTGGGGGGATGGGATCTTGCTGTGTTACCCAGGCTGGACTTCAACTCCTGGGTTTAGGTGATCCTCCCACTTCACCCTTCTGAGTAGCTGCACAGAAAACTTACTGAAGGCATATAATTGTAATTATATTATCATACATAAAGAAATTAGGCTTTCTTTGCTGCGTCTACTGCGAGAATGAAGACTATTCTCAGCAATCAGACTGTCGACATTCCAGAAAATGTCGACATTACTCTGAAGGGACGCACAGTTATCGTGAAGGGCCCCAGAGGAACCCTGCGGAGGGACTTCAATCACATCAATGTAGAACTCAGCCTTCTTGGAAAGAAAAAAAAGAGGCTCCGGGTTGACAAATGGTGGGGTAACAGAAAGGAACTGGCTACCGTTCGGACTATTTGTAGTCATGTACAGAACATGATCAAGGGTGTTACACTGGGCTTCCGTTACAAGATGAGGTCTGTGTATGCTCACTTCCCCATCAACGTTGTTATCCAGGAGAATGGGTCTCTTGTTGAAATCCGAAATTTTTTGGGTGAAAAATACATCCGCAGGGTTCGGATGAGACCAGGTGTTGCTTGTTCAGTATCTCAAGCCCAGAAAGATGAATTAATCCTTGAAGGAAATGACATTGAGCTTGTTTCAAATTCAGCGGCTTTGATTCAGCAAGCCACAACAGTTAAAAACAAGGATATCAGGAAATTTTTGGATGGTATCTATGTCTCTGAAAAAGGAACTGTTCAGCAGGCTGATGAATAAGATCTAAGAGTTACCTGGCTACAGAAAGAAGATGCCAGATGACACTTAAGACCTACTTGTGATATTTAAATGATGCAATAAAAGACCTATTGATTTGGGGAAAAAAAAAAAAAAAAGAAATTAGGCTGGGGCTGGGCGTGGTGGCTCACGCCTGTGGTCCCAGCACTTTGGGAAGCTGAGGTGGGCGGATCATGAGGTTAGGAGTTTGAGACTAGCCTGGCCAATATGGTGAAACCCTGTCTCTACTAAAAATACAAAAATTAGCCAGACATGGTGGCGTGCGCCTGTAGTCCCAGCTACTCGGGAGGCCGAGGCAGGGGAATCGCTTGAACCCGAAAGGCGGAGGTTGCAGTGAGCCGAGATCACGCCACTGCACTCCAGCCTGGGTGACAGAGTGAGACTCTGTCTCAAAAAAAAAAGAAAAAAGAAAAAAAGGAAATTAAGGCCGGGCATGGTGGCTCATGCCTGTAGTTCAAACTACTCAGGAGGCTGAGGCAGGAGAATTGCTTGAACCCGGGAGGTAGAGGTTGCAGTGAGCCAAGATCGTGCCACTGCACACTCCCAGCCTGGGCAACAGAGAGAGACTCCGTCTCAAAGAAAGAAAGAAATTGCACTAATTCCTTAACATCATCTAATATCCAGTTCAATGTACACATTTTCCTGGTTGTTTCATGAATAACTTTTTACAGTTGGTTCGTTTGAACCAGGATCCAAACAAGATCTGCCTGTTGTGTTTGACTGATAGGTCTCTTAGAACTGTAATAGTTTCCGCTCCCTCATTGTCCCTTGCTATTTATCTGTTGAAAAACCTGGCTTATTTGTCCTTTAGAATTCCTGTTTTCTACAAGGATTGAGCTGGGAGGGGAAAAAAAGAATTTCTCATGTTCTGGCTGTGGCCGAATGTATCCATTTAGTATCATTCTGTTTATCTCTTGGTTTCTTTCTTCTCTATATTTCCCATAAACTTATAGTTGGATCCGAAGGCTTAATTAGACTTAGGTTCATTTTTTTTTTTTGCCATAGACAGTACTATATTAATCTATGCTGATGAATGAATGAACTTGTTTTACATAACATATTGTGTAAGTATTTCCCTGTCAGTACTTAATAGAGCTACGCATTCCTTCTCTAGTTGCTTAATGATTTCCTAGTATGGACTACCATGATCTACTTAATCCTTACCAACATAGGTTGTTTCCAGTTTTTAGTTTTTAACAATGCAATAAATCTATCAAATTCCTGGGGAAGACAAAAGCAGATTAATAAACTGAGATAGAAAAAATAAGCTAGTAGTTTACATGTTTAAGAATTTTTGGTTGTATATTAAAAGATCAAGTGAATAGTCACTGGCCTCTAAAATATTTAGAAATCTCCAATTGTGCCGGGCACGGTGGCTCATACCTGTAATCCCAGCACTTTGGGAGGCTGAGGCGGGTGAATCACCTCAGGTCAGGAGTTCGAGACCAGCCTGCCCAACATGGTGAAACCACATCTCTACTAAAAATACAAAAAATTAGCCGGGCGTGGTGGCGCCTGCCTGTAATCCCAGCTACTCAGGAGGCTGAGGCAGGAGAATTGCTTGAACCCGGGAGATGGAGGTTGCGGTGAACCGAGAGGACGCCACTGTACTCCAGCCTGGGCAACAAGAGTGAAACTCCGTCTCAAAAAAAAAAAAAAATCTCTAATTGCTGAGTATATTCATTACAAATTATGAAAAAAAGCCAGGCGTGGTGGCTCACGGCTGTAATCCCAGCACTTTGGGAAGCTGAGGCAAGCAGATCACTTTAGGTCAGGAGTTCGAGACCAGCCTGGCCAACATGGTGAAACCCTGTCTCTACCAAAAATATAAAAAATTAGCTGGGTGTGGTGGCGGGCACCTGTAATCCCAGCTACTTGGGAGGCTGAGGCAGAATTGCTTGAACCTGGGAGGCAGAGGTTACAGTGAGCCGAGATCACGCCACTGCACTCCAGCTTGGGTGACAGAGCAAGACTCCATCTCAAAAAAAAAAAAAATATGAAAAAAGCAATCTGGAGAAGACTCAGTTTGTCTTTGACATGTCTTTGACTATATGTGTATTTTATTCCAGAAAAGTATGATGGGGGTGATGCGAGGAAAATTACACATCAAACTGAGGGTGATGTAATCATGCTTTCCAGCAGATAGATGGAAATGTAGTTGTTTAATCTTCAGATGTGATGTGTACTGTGCCATTTAGGCATTTGTTTTTTATTTATTCATCCATCTAGTTGGTTAATTACACTCAGATACACAGCCAATTGAGGATCTGAATGTAGTGTATATGTAATGTTGATGGAACACAAAATCTTTTTTTTTTTTTTTTTTTTGAGACAGAGTTTTGCTCTGTTGCCCAGGCTGGAGTGCAGTGGCTCAGTCTTGGTTCACTGCGTCCTCTGCCTCCCGGGTTCAAGCAATTCTACTGCCTCAGCCTCCCGATTAGCTGGGATTACAGGCGCCCGCCACCATGCCCGGCTAATTTTTTGTATTTTTAGTAAAGATGGGATTTCACCATGTTAGCCAGGCTGGTCTCGAACTCCTGACCACAGATGATCCACCTGCCTCGGCCTCCTAAAGTGCTGGGATTACAGGCATGAGCCACCACACTCGACCTTTCTGATTCTTAGTTTAACTGTCTTTAAAATGGGAATAATTACAGTTTTCTCTGGCTCATGTTTCTTATGGTCATATAATGGTGATGTAAATATTTTCTATGGTTTCTCTATTTATTTATTTATTTTGAGATGGAGTTTCATTCTTGTCGCCCAGGCTGGAGTGCAATGGCATGATCTCAGCTCACTGCAGCCTCTGTCTCCTAGGTTCAAGTGATTCTCCTGCCTCAGCCTCCTGCGTAGCTGGGATTACAGGCACTTGCCACCATGCCCAGCCAATCTTTTTGTATTTTTAGTAGAGACGGGGTTTCACCATGTTGGGCAGGCTGGTCTCGAACTTCTGACCTCAGGTGATCCACCCGCCTCGGCTTCCCAAAGTGCTGGGATTACAGGCATGGGCCACCGCGCCTGGCCTGGTTTCTCTATTTAAATCTGAAGAATTTTCATAATGCAAAATTTTTTCTGGCACAGTTACTTATGTTTTTCTTTTCTTTCTTTTAGTTATAGGTAAACATTGGAAACTCCATAGAATAAATCAGTATTTCTACAGAAAAATGGCATAGAAGTCAGTATTGAATGTATTAAATTGGCTTTCTTCTTCAGGAAAAACTAGACCAGACCTCTGTTATCTTCTGTGAAATCATCCTACAAGCAAACTAACCTGGAATCCCTTCACCTAGAGATAATGTACAAGCCTTAGAACTCCTCATTCTCATGTTGCTATTTATGTACCTAATTAAAACCCAAGTTAAAAAAAAAAATCCGATATCACTGAGTGATGGTCTAAGTGTGTATGGTGTGTGTGTATGCATGGTTTGTGTGTGTGGTGCATGTTTGTGTGTGTGTGTGGTATGGATGGTGTATGTGAGTTAAAGACAACAGGTAACTCTTAGGGAAGTATCAGCTCACAGCCTGCTGAGTCTGGGCCCCACAACACATAGTATAGAAGAGTAGCTCTGGAGTCCGAGAGATGCTTCAATAACTAGCACAAGGAACAAAACTTGTAAGTAATACAGTTTCCCTGACGATGATTAGAAGACATATAAAAGGAAACAGTAACAGTGACCCCTTGTTGTGGCTGTCACCTCCTAGTTTGTACAGAACTTGCAATTCTTGAATGCCAGTGGGAGATTCAGAATGAAGAAGTCTCTGTCCTCTGCCAGTGGATGAATGGGGATGTGGTGTGTGTTTGGGTTCTCTGTATGTGTATGGCTTGTATTCTCCTCCTCTGTGGCCCTGAATGCACAGCTCATTGAACTCTGTATTCCCACTGCAGGAGCCTCTTTTGACTTGTCAGCCAGCCAGCCAGTGAGGATGACAGGGGAACAGAATGTCAAAGAGAATTTAGAATTTCCAGATTTCAATTAGATTTGGGAACTCTAAGTCTTCCTTGTATACTTGTATCATCATTGAATTCCTAATCATTGACCTTCCAGAACTGATAGCAGTCAGTAAGATAGCAATACACAGATGGATATGCACATATTCATGTTATATATATTTAAGAGAGCCAAAATGGCAGGAACAGAGGGAGCATTGTTACCAGATTAATGAGCTGAAGCAAATTTGTCCCTAGAATGTTCTCCATAGTCACCCAGAAGTCTTTTATTTCCTTTTATGCCAAAGTACTTTTGTGTTACTATGCCAATCACTCAAATATGTGAAAGCCATGCCTATATCTCATTATAAATATGCTGTTATTTCAGGCTTTCTCCATTTGGCTTGGCCTCCCATGTCACCTCTGGAAAGTAGCGATTCCATGAGTTTCTTCCTTGCAATTGCCTGATCTAGAGAAGATTAAGAAGAAATGGCCTACACGTCAGCATGCTCAGGTCATTAATCAATAATTTGAGTGCCTCCTATCTAAGATATTACCTCCCATTTTTAGTTTTTTACTCAGTATTGAAACATTGCTTTAAAACATTTTAGGCCAGGTGCGGTGGCTCACGCCTGTAATCTTAACACTTTGGGAGGCCGAGGTGGGTGAATCACTTAAGGCCAGGAGTTTGAGACCAGCCTGGACAACATGGTGAAACCCTGTCTCTACTAAAAATACAAAAATTAGCCAGGCGTGGTGGTGCACACCTGTAGTCCCAGCTACTTGGGTGTCTGTGGCACAAAAATTGCCTGAACCCAGGAGGCAGAGTTTGCAGTGAGCCAAGATCAATCCACTGCACTCCAGCCTAGGCAACAGAGTGAGACTTTGTCTCGAAAAAAAAAACAAAAAGAGAAAGAAGGCCAGGCATAGTGGCTCATGCCTGTAACTTTGGGAGGCCAAGACGGGCAGATCGCTTGAAGTCAGGAGTTCAAGGCCAGCCTGGCCAACATAGTGACTGTTGTCTCTACTAAAAATACAAAAATTTGCTGGGCATGATAGCGGGTGCCTGTAATCCCAGCTACTCAGGAGGCTGAGGCAGGAGAATAGCTTGAACCCAGGAGGAGGAGGTTGCATTGAGCCAAGATCACACTGCTGCACTCCAGCCTGGGCGAAAGAGCAAGACCCTGTCTAAAAAAAAAAAAGAAAAAGAAAAAGTTCAAAATGTAGGCAAAATGCCTGTGTTCACATATACAGATGGAAAAATGTGACTTGCTCGAGGTTAAATAGCAAATCAATGACAGGTAAAATTAGGCCATGCAGTGAATATTACTTATTTTTCTTAGTCTAAAGATATAATTCAGAATCCTTGAATTCAGAAAAAGTAATAGATAGGGGTTATATTTTCCTCATCTTATCTCTTTCTTTTTTTTTTTTTCCCCACCCGGGCTGGAGTGCAGTGGCATGCACGGTCACAGCTGCTGCAACCTTGACCTCCTAGGCTCAAGCAGTTCTCCTGCCTCAGTCTGCCGAGTAGCTGGGACTACAGGCATGCACCCCCACACCCAGCTAATTTTTTATTTTTTTGTAGAGACGAGGTTTTGCTATGTTGTCCAGGCTGGTCCCGAACTCCCCAGCTCAAGTGATCCACCGACCTTGGCCTCCCAAAGTGCTGGGATTACGGACGTGAGCCACCACGCCCGTTGGCCTTGTCTTTTTTTTTTTTTTTTTTTTTTTTGAGACGGAGTTTCGCTCTGTTGCCCAGGCTGGAGTGCAGTGGCACGATCTCAGCTCACTGCAACCTCCGCCTCCTGGGTTCAAGCAGTTCTCCTGCCTCAGCCTCCCAAGTAGCTGGGATTACAGGTGCCTGCTACCACACCCGGCTAATTTTTGTATTTTTTAGTAGAGACGAGGTTTCACCACGTTGGCCAGGCTGGTCCCGAACTCCTGCCTCGGCCTCCCAAAGTGCTGGGATTACAGGCGTGAGCCACCGCACCCGGCCTCCACCTTGTCTTATCTTAATGAATGCACTTTGCACTCATCATTTTGGCAGTCTTTTGTTTTGTTTTGTTTTTTCTTTGAGGCAAGGTCTTACTCTCTTGCCCAGGCTGGAGTGCAGTGGCGCGATCACAGCTCACTGCAGCCTTGACCTCCCTGGGTTCAGGTGCTCCTCCCACCTTAGCCTCCTGCATAGCTGGGACCACAGGCACATGCCACCATGCCCCGCTAGTTTTTGTATTTTTTGTAGAGATAAGGTTTGCCATGTTGCCCAGGCTGGTCTCAAATTCCTGAGCTCAGGTGATCCACCTATCTCAGCCTCCCAAAGTTCTGGGATTACAGGCGTGAGCTACCGTGCTCAGCCCAAGTTTTCACTTTTTAATTCAATGTACCAACCCAGTCTAATGCAGAAACCACTGTCAGGGGACCAGTAGTACATTTGTGGGACTAAAGTCTCCTTATGGCTTGATTTTCATTTAAAGTAAGTATTTGAAATCATGGTTTCATTCACCAGAGGTTGAAAGAAACTTGCTTCAGGTTTTGGTTTTCACCCTGTAAACCTTCTCTTGTCTGATGTTTTGTTTCCCTTCTGATATATTCAACTTTCAAGTCAGTACAGATTGAGTATCCCTTATCCAAAATGCTTAGGACCAGAAATATTTTGGATTTTGGAATTTTTTTAGATTTCGGAATATTTGCATATACATACTGAGATATCTTGGGGATGGGACCCAAGTCTAAAAACATGAAATTCATTTGTTTCACTTGCACCTTATACACTTAGGGTGAAGGTAGTTTTATAAAATATTTTTAATACTTTTGTGCATTAAATTTTGAGTGTGTGTGTGTGTGTGTGTGTGTGTGTGTGTGTGTGTAGAGAGAGAGTTTTTGTTTTGTTTTTGAGACAGTCTCACTCTGTTGCCCAGGCTGGAGTAAAGTGGCATGCTCTCTGCTCACTGCAACCTCCACCTCCTGGGTTCAAGCAATTCTTGCGTCTCAGCCTCCCTAGTAGCTGGGATTAAAGGCATGTGTCACCACACCCAGCTAATTTTTTGTGTTTTTAGTAGAGACGAAGTTTCAGTATATTCACCAGGCTGATCCCAAACTCCTGGCCTCAAGTGATGGCCCGCCTCGGCCACCCAAAGTGCTGGGATTACAGGCGTGAGCTACCGCTCCTGGCCAGTTTTCACTATACATATATATATATATATATATATATATATATATTTTTTTTTTTTTTTTTTTTTTTTTTTTTTTTTTTTTTTGAGACAGAGTATCACTCTGTCACCCAGACTGGAGTGCAGTGGCGTGATCTCGGCTCACT
This sequence comes from Homo sapiens, assembly GCF_000001405.40. Lineage (NCBI taxonomy): Eukaryota > Metazoa > Chordata > Mammalia > Primates > Hominidae > Homo > Homo sapiens. The sequence continues at coordinate 23,829,476 of NC_000023.11, read as the reverse complement.
GCAAGCTCCGCCTCCTGGGTTCATGCCATTCTCCTGCCTCAGCCTTCCGAGTAGCTGGGACTGCAGGCGCCCGCCACCACGCCCGGCTAATTTTTTGTATTTTTAGTAGAGACGGGGTTTCACTGTGTTAGGATGGTCTCGAGCTCCTGACCTCGTGATCCGCCCATCTCAGCCTCCCAAAGTGCTGGGATTACATGCGTGAGCCTGCGCCTGGCCAGTTTTCACTATATTTTGACTGTAACCTGTCACACAAGGTAAGATACGGAATTTTCCACTTGTGGCATCATGTCTGTGTTCAAAAAATTTTGGATTTTGGAGTGTTTTGGATTTCAGATTTTTGTACTAGGGTTGCTCAACCTGTAATTAACCAGCACATAACACTAAGGGTATACAGTTAGGTCAAACTCTAGATGTGACCAAAGTTCAGGCTTATTTGTGTTTATGAAATGATAGCCAAGGAAATGCCCGGGTGGAAGAAAAGTTTGTTTTTATAAGCAAGTGTTTCACATTTCATTCACTTAGCAGTGCAGAATAAGTCATCTGTATTTCACATGTAGGGGCCTTTATCTTAACTGACTAGAGAGTTTTGTCGCTGGTCTTTAGCTGTGACTCTGGAAGACAGAAGGACAGCCAAGGAAGTAACTCTTTTTCCTGCCCACCTACAACCTGTGAAATAATCTTAAGACAGGCCAGGCGCAGTGGCTCATGCCTGTAATCCCAGCACTTAGGGAGGCTGAAGCAAGCGGGTCATGAGGTCAAGAGTTCCAGACCAGCCTGGCCAATATGGTGAAACCCCATCTCTACTAAAAATACAAAAATTAGCCAGGCGTGGTGGTGCGCGCCTGTAGTCCCAGCTACTCAGGAGGCTGAGGCAGAAGAATCGCTTTAACCTGGGAGGCGGAGGTTGCAGTGAGCCGAGATCGTGCCACTGCACTCCAGCATGGGCGACAGAGTGAGACTCCATCTCAAAAAAAAAAAAAAAAGTCTTAAGACTCAGTATCCCTATAGTCAGTCTGTAAATTCTCTCCTCTCAGGTATGCCTGGTGAGACTCACTGTTCAATGCTGATTTGTTGATAGGTGTAGAGAACACATAGAAGAACAAGGGAAAGGCAAAGAAGGAGAAAAATAGAGGATTCAAAGACTGCTCTCCACACTCAAAGTCATAGTGAGCCCTTCAAATGCTTAGATGACATAACACTGGGATTTTGTTAGGAGGAACCCCAAATTTGTGTATGGTCAGAGGGTGATTTTAAATGTGTTGTTTACTACAGAAAAAGCATCAGCTTTTTAATATCAGCTGTTTAATTTATCTCCCATATCCCTTCTAAATTATGAGAGAATGGCTTCCAGATAATGGTATGTGTGAATACATACATAACTGTAACTCCTGAAACCCCAGGAAGACAGGAAGAAAGAGATTTTTATGTAGCATTAGCACGTAAGAAAAGGATGGCGGAGGAGTTTGAGACCAGCCTGGGCAATGTAGCGGGAGACTCTATCACTAAAAGAAAGCAAAAGAAAAAAGGATGGAGAGAGGGAGACAATGGGACTTGTTTTTCACAACAGACTCAGCGGAATTGTTTGAAACTCTGTACCCATGTAACATTGACATGAATAAAAATAATGAAAATATTTAGAAGCGAATTCTACAAAAGGCAAGGAAGTTAGTATTAAAACTCTTGAATTTGGCCAGGTGTGGTGGCTCAAGCCTGTAATCTCAGCACTTTGGGAGGCCTAGGCAGGTGGATCACTTGCAGTCAGGAGTTCAACATGGCGAAAACTCGTCTCTACTAAAAAATAGAAAAATTAGCTGGGCATGGTGGTAGGTGCCTATAATGCTACTCAGGAGGCTGAGGCAGGAGAACTGCTTGAACCTGGGAGGAGGAGGTTGCAGTGAGCTGAGATCGCGCCACTGCACTCCAGCCTGGGCCACAGAGCGAGACTCCGTCTCAAAAAAAAAAAAAAAAAAAGTATTGTATTTATTTGGTAAACTTTGATTCTGTGCGTCCACTGGGGCCCTTCCTGTAGTGAAGGCGTATGATAGATTTCTCCCCATTTAAAAAAAAAATTTAGAAGGTTATGGGTGTCTTTGTGTCTGTGGCACTTTGTCAAAGCTCTGATTCAGCCAGGTGCAGTGGCTCATGCCTGTAATCCTAGCACTTTGGGAGGCCAAGATGGGAAGATCGCTTGAGCCCAGCAGTTTGAGACCAGCCTGGGCAACAGAGAGAGACCCCCATCTCTATAAAAAATTAAAAATTAGCTGGGCTTAGTGACATGTGCCTATAGTACCAGCTACTCAGCAGGGTCACTTGAACTCAGGAGATCGAGTCTGCAGTGAGCCATGATTGTGCCACTGCACTCCAGCCTGGGCGACAGTGAGACCCCGTCTCCAAGGGGAATAAAAAAAAAATAACAGGTGTGGTGGCTTATGCCTGTAATTCTAGCACTTTGGGAAGCTGAGATGAGTGGATCACTTGAGCCCAGGAGTTCAAGACACCTCCTGGCCAACATGGTGAAACTCTGTCTCTACAACAAATACAAAAATTAGCCAGTTGTGCTGATGTGTTCCTGTAGTCCCAGCTTCTCAGAAGGCAGAAGTGGGAGGATCACTTGAGCCCCAGAGGTCAAGGCTGTAGTGAGCTGTGATTGCACCACTGCACTCCAGCCTGGGTGACAGTGAGACCCTGTCTCAACAAAATTTTAAAAAGCTGATTCATTTTCTGAATCTTTTGTCAGGAATACAACCCTCAGTTACACCATTGCTCAAGAGGGAAGCTGTGACCTGTTGGTGGACCTGTTTCCCTGGATTGGAAGTTGTGTCATTTTATGAAGAAAAGCAGAGACCACTTAGTGTGTTGTTCCCCTTGCAGGTGCTCTTCAGAACTGGAAGCATCGTGCTCCTGGGAGCCTTTCCTTCCTCATACACCCCACTTGTCTCCTGTTTGTACCTCCTCTCCTTTCCATACTTCCTCTCTATCTTACCAAACAAACATGGTATTGTTTTCCATTCCTCATGTTGTGTTACTGGCTCTTTGTGGTCCTGCTGACCTAAAGATGCTTAACTTACTACTAACAGTCTTCTTTGTGTGATTGCTGTTTTCCCGTTGGGACACGTTCTGTTCTTGTTATTTATGTGCAGGATGTGAGATGTAGGAAAAGCCTGTACCCTTTGATACCCTTTTAAACTTACTTGTACTTCTGTTGAATTCACCATCACTGGTACCTTTCTGAAGAACTGACTTTCCAGACATGAAAACCTTTTCTCTCTGAACTCCTAGATCACATTCTAGATTTCTTATGGCTTCATGCCTGTTCTACCCTTGTTTGTTCATACCTGATCTCCCCTAGTAGGCTATAATCTTCCTGAGGCCAGGACAAATGTCCTTCTTCTTAGTGTTCCCATAGTGCTGATCTAATGCAGTGATATATACATTGTGAATGTGTGAATTCTTGAAAGTTCAAAATTGCATTGATTCTGTTTCAATCAAAACCTCTATAGGATATGCATAGGTATTTGATTTGTTTGTCCTCAACCTCAGAGTACATGTCTCTGTTTCTAACTTCCAAATCTAAAAAAGAGGAACTCTCTAAAGGCCTTCAATCTCTATGGCTTCTCCCCCTTAGATTTATTAAGCACTCACTGAATGCCTGGTGTAGATACTTTGTTATGGTGGGCAGGTAGAGAAATACCTTTTACAATTCAGATTCAAAGACAAAGTAAGTACATGAAACAATCAGAGTAGTTACAGGCAGCATTATCATAATGTACAATCTGTGGTAGATACTGATTTTGTATTTTGGTCTTGTGCAAAGAAGCACCCAAGGATGTTTGTCTAAAATATGAATGTTGCCAGGAGAGGTGGCTCATACCTGTAATCTTAATACTTTGGGAGGCCAAGACAGGAGGATCACTTGAGCCTAGGAGTTTGAGACCAGCCTGGGCAACATAGTGAGACCCCCAACTCTACAAAACAAATTTCAAAATTAGTCAATTGTCCAGGCGCAGTGGCTCATGCCTGTAATCCCAGCACTTTGGGAGGCCGAGGTGGGCCAATCACTTGAAGTCAGGAGTTCGAGACCAGCCTGGCCAACATGGTGAAACCCTGTCTCTACTAAAAATACAAAAATTAGCCGGGCATGGTGGCACGCACCTGTGATCCAAGCCACTCAGGAGGCTGAGGCAGAAGAATCGCTTGAACCTGGGAGGCGGAGGTTGTGGTGAGCTGAGATCGCACCACTGCACTCCAGCCTGGGCAACACAGTGAGACTCCATCTCAAAAAAAAAAAAATTAACTAGGTGTAGTGGTGCACGCCTGTAGTCTCAGCTACTTGGGAGTCTGAGATGGAAGGATCACTTCAGCCTGGGAAGTTGAGGCTTCAGTGAGCCAAGATTGTGCCACTGCATTCCAGCCTGGGTGACAGAGCAAGACCCTGTCTCAAAAAAAAAAAAAAAAAAAAAGTAAAATATGAGTGTACCTAGGCAGTAGTTTAAAATTTTTGTGTACACTAACTCTTTTAGGTAAGGAAGAAAAGTAATCAGAGGAAACAAGCCTGGTAAAACAGGGAATACAGGCTTCAGATGTATGGTTTTACTGTTAGGACTTAGCTCATGCTCTCTTTGTGTGATCACTGTTTTTCGCTTGGAACACCTTCTGTCCCTAGCAAGTCTAGCAAGTATTAGCCCAGAATTGGGCTTTTGAGCAGCCCTTGATGTATCCCTCTAGCTCATTAATGCTATTGTATATGGAAAATAGTTAATGTCTTATTACTTTCACATGTAAACAGGAATTTTTTTTTTTTTTTTTTTTTTTTTTTTTTGGGATGGAGTCTTGCCCTATTGCCTAGGCTGGAGTGCAGTGGTGCAATCTCAGCTCACTGCAACCTCCGCCTCCCAGGTTCAAGCAATTCTCCTGCCTCAGCCTCCCAAGTAGCTGGGATTACAGGCATGCACCATCACCCAGCTAATTTTTTGTATTTTTAGTAGAGACAGGGTTTCACTAAGTTGGCCAGGCTGGTCTCGAAATCCCAAACTCAGTTGATCTGCCCGTCTCAGCCTCCCAAAGTGCTGGGATTATAGGCGTGAGCCCCTATGCCTGGCCATGAATAGGAATTTGAACATCTGGCTAAGAGTAGTGCCAGTCGAGATCCTGCATGTCCTGCTTTAATAGATATGTTTAATGTAGAATTAATAATATCATTTTCATTGGCCAGGCGCAGTGGTTCACACCTGTAATCCCAGCATTTTGGGAGGCTGAGACAGGTGGGTCACCTGAGGTCAGGAGTTTGAGACCAGCCTGACCAACATGGTGAAACCCCATCTCTACTAAAAATACAAAATTAGCCGGGTGTGGTGGCACATGCTTGTAATCCCAGCTACTTGGGAGTCTGAGGCAGGAGAATTGCTTGAACCCAGGAGGTGGAGGTTGCAGTGAGTTGAGATTGCGCCATTGCACTCCAGCCCGGGCAACAAGAGTGAAACTCCATCTCAAAAAAAAATTAATAATGTCATTTTCATAAGTTATGCCACTGTCCTTTAATTAGCTCCTTAGCAGCTTAAACATGCCATTAGACAGTATTTACTATAGTAATATACTTACTTTTTAAAATTCATAGATAGGAATAAACTTCAGCTCACTGAAATAATTACAAATTCAGAATATTAATAAACATTAAGGTGAGTGTTTCCTTAAGTAAACATAAAATTCAAGCTTGCATGAATGACGTGACCTCTACACAGGAGAGAGTTACCATAGCAAGCCTGAGTCTGCTGACTTCAAAAAGACCTGCTTGCAGGGTTGGCCTTTCGGAAACTGGGCTTCCCGAAAGTTCCCTATGCTCATTAAGTCTAGGGCACCAAGCTCTGTTGTATCAGGTCACAGAGACTGTGCAAACGTTGTGAGTTATGGCAAATGCCTGGCTTCCTTCTGTGAATCTGGTGAATTTTGGTCATTGCTAGGCAGAAGATGCCTACATGACCAGACTCCAATAAAACCCTTTGGTGCCGGCTGGGCAAGGTAGCTCATGCCTGTAGTCCCAGCACTTTCCGAGGCAGGTGGATCACTTGAGGCCAGGAGTTTGAGACCAGCCTGACCAACATGGTGAAACCCCATCTCTACTAAAAACACAAAAATTAGCCAGGTGTGGTGGCACGCGCCTGCAGTCTCAGCTACTCAGGAGGCCAAGGCAGGAGAATCACTTGAGCCCAGGAGTTTGAGGCTGTAGTGAGCCGTGATCATGCCACTGCACTTCAGCCTGGGTGACAGAGCGAGATTCTGTCTCAAAACAAAACAAAAAAAGGCTTTGGCGGTGAATCTCTGATAGGCTTCTCTGGGCAGAAGCATTGCACACGTGTGGCTTCAGTTTTGCTGCTGGAGAAGGGAGCATGCTCAACGTGTGCCCTCCCGGGTTGGGAGGGAGAAAGCATGGGAAGCCTGTGTGTGGATTTCTCCAGACTCTGCTGTGTCTTTTTCCTTTGCTGGTCCTGTCATGAATCCTTTGTTAGGATAAACCTAAGGCATGAGAACATGTATGTTGAGTCCTTTGAGTCATTTTAAGCAAATCTTGAGGACCCACCACCGAAAACAGCATGTTAAGATGGTGTTTGTTTTATGTCATGCCATCTTGCCATCAGCTTTAGAAGAACATAAATAAAAGGACCATTATATTTACATTAAATATTTCCAGGTCACAAGACATTAAAAAAACTGTTTTTATTCATCTTCTTCAAGCAAAGAGAAAGTAGTTTTTGAAAGCCACAGAAAACTCTAAGCTCCCTTGTTTAGACCAAATTAGTGATTGGGTTTTTTTCCTGATTCTCACAGTAGAGTCTTTCTTCCTTCCCTCACGCTATGGAGGCAAGCGGTTTGGGCTGGTTCATAAGTAAATAGGTCATAAACTGCACTCCATTCAAAAGTGACGTCTTTATGAAAGCATTTATTTGTCCTACAGAGAGAGCACTGGCTCATTTCAAATATTGTTCTCAGCCTAGATCAGAATGCTAAAGAGCACACATTGCACATTTTGTTTTAAACACAATAGTTTAATTGTTTGTTTCTTAGTGGTGCCATAAATATTTCCCTGGGAAAGCACTACCAAATAGGTGAGACTTTTAGAAGTCTGTGTGGAATCATACACCTAAATGTCGTAACTAAATCTGTTAGACTTTCAGAAGACAGCATAGGAATAAATCTTGGAAAAGGAGTAAATCGTGATCTTGGGTTAGGCAGTGGTTTTTTAGATACAACACCAAAAGCACGGGTGACAAAACAGATAAATTGGACTACCTCAGAATGTAGAAACTTTTGTGCTATAAATTATACCATCAAGAAAATAAAAAGGCAGTTGGGTGTGGTAGCTCATGCCTGTAATCCCAGCACTTAGGGAGGCCAAGGCAGGTGGATCACTTGAGCCCAGGAGTTTGAAACCACCCTGGGCAGCTTAGCAAGACCCTGTCTCTACCAAAAAAATATCAAAATTAGCCAGGCGTGGTAGCACACACCTGTAGTCTCAGCTACTCAGGAGGCTGATGGAGGATTGCTTGAGCCCAGGAGGTTGAGGCTGCAGTGGGCCATGAGCCTGGGTGACAATAAAACCCTTTCTTTAAAAAAACAAGCTGAATGCAGTGGCTCACACCTGTAATCCCAGCACTTTGGGAGGCCGAGGTGGGAGGATTGCTTGAGCCCAGGAGTTCGAGACCCACCTGGGAAACATAGCAAGACCTCATTTCTATTAAAAAAGTAATAAAGAAAAAAACCCATGGAGTACAGGAAAATATTTGTACATAGATCTGATAAGAGGCTCGCATATACAGAATATTTAAAGAACTTTTACAACTCAACAATAAGAAAACAACCCAATTAAAACTGAGCAGAGGGCCAGGCGCGGTGGCACAAGCCTGTAATCCCAGCACTTTGGGAGGCCAAGGCGGGTGGATCATCTGAGGTCAGGAGTTCAAGACCAGCCTGGCCAACATGGTGAAACCCCGTCTCTACTAAAAATACAAAAATTGGCCAGGCGTGGTGGTTCACGCCTGTAATCCCAGCACTTTGGGAGGCCAAGGCGGGTGGATCATTTGAGGTCAGGAGTTCAAGACCAGCCTGACCAACATGGTGAAACCCTGTTCTACAAAAAATGCAAAAATTAGCCAAACGTGGTGGCACACGCCTGTAATCCCAGTTATTGGGGAGACTGAGGCAGTAGAATCCCTGGGAGGTGAAGGTTGCAGTGAGCTGAGATCGTGCCACTGCACTCCAGCCTGGGCAACAGAGCGAAACACTGTCTCAAAAAAAAAATTAGCCGGGTGTGGTGGCATACGCCTGTACTCTCAGCTACTCGGGAGGCTGAGGCAGGAGAATCACTTGAACCCAGGAGGCGGAGGTTGCAGTGAGTCGAGATTACGCCACTGTACTCCAGCCTGGGCGACAGAGTGAGACTCCCTCTCAAAAAATAAAACAAAGGATTTGAACAGACTCTTTTTTTTTTTTTTTGAGATGGAGTCTTGCTCTGTCACCCAGGCTGGAGTGCAGTAGCACGATCTCAGCTCACTGCAACCTCTGCCTCCTGGGTTTAAGCAGTTCTGCCTCAGCCTCTTGAGTAGCTGGGACTACTAGCGCACACCGCCATGCCTGGCTAATTTTTTGTATTTCAGCAGAGGTGGGGTTTCACCGTGTTGCCCAGGCTGGTTGCGAACTCCTGAGCTCAGGCAGTCTGCCCACCTCGGCCTCCCAAAGTGCTGGGATTACAGACATGAGCCACCGTGCCCAGCCTGACAGACATTTTTAAAAAGAAGATATACAAATGGCCAATAAACCCATGAAAAGCTGTTCAGCATCATTAGTCATCAGAAAAATGCGCATGAAAACCACAAGGTGTCATTTCATACCCACTAGGATAAAAAAGATAAGAACAGGTGTTGACAAGGATGTGGAGAAAACAGTTTGGCAGTTCCACAAAATGCTAAACATGTGACCCAGCATTTCTTCTCTACTGCAGTATATACCCAAGAAAAATGAAAACACATGTCCACACAAAAGCTTGTACATAGATAGCCATAGCAGCATTATTTATCATAGTCACAACAGAAACAATCAAATGTCCATCAACTGATAAATGTATAAACAAAATGTATTTCCATACAATGGAATATTATTCAGCCGTAAAAAAGAACGAAGTACTGGTCAAGTGTGGTGTCTCACGCCTGTACCCAACACTTTGGGAGTTAAGACAGGAGGATCACTTGAGGCCAGGAGTTCAAAACTAGCCTGGGCAACATAGTGAGACCTCACCTCTACAAAATTACAATTAGCTGGGTGTGGTGGCACATGCCTGTAGTCCTAGCCAGTCAGGAGGCTGAAACAGTAGGAGCACTTGAACCCAGGAGTTCAAGGTTACAGTGAGCTATGATTGCACCACTGCACTCCAGCTTGGGTGACAGAGCAAAACCCTGTCTCAGAAAAAAGTACTGATCCATGCCACGTCAATGACACTTGAAAACATTATGCTAAAGTGAAAGAAGCCCATCACAAAAGAGCACATAGTGTATGATTCCATTTATCTGGAATGTCTGGAATAGACAAGTACAAAGAAACAGAAAGTAGATTCATAGTTGCTTAAGACTCCAATGATTGGGGGAGGGCGGAGCATATCAATCAGGGTTCAACTAGAGAAACAGAACACGTAGGAGATGTATTTTGAGAGGTTTATTGCAAGGAGTTGGCTTAGCCGACTGTGGGGGCTGGCCAGGCTAGTCTGAAATCCATAGGGCTGGTAAGCAGAAAGGGCAGCTGGAGTTTTCAGGCATGAGTGGAAGCTGTGGTCCATAGATGGAATTTCTTCTTCAGGCAAACCTCAGTTCAGCTCGTAAGGTCTTTCACCTGATTGAATCAGGCCCACTTATATAGAAGTCAACTGATTATGGACTTTTTTTTTTTTTTTTGAGACGTAACCTCACCTATAGCTGGAACTACAGGTGCGTGCCACCACACCCGGCTAATTTTTGTATTTTTTAAATTATTTTTTTGAGATGGAGTCTCCCTCTGCCACCCAGGCTGGGGTGCAGTGGCCCAATCTCGGCTCACTGCACCCTCCGCCTCCCAGGTTCAAGCGATTCTCCTGCCTCAGCCTCCCGAGTAGCTGGGATTACAGGCATGTGCCACGACGCCCGGCTAATTTTTGTATTTTAGGAGACACGGGGTTTCACCATGTTGGCCAGGCTGGTCTTGAACTCCTGACCTCAAGTGATCCACCTGCCTCGGCCTCCCAAAGTGCTGGGAATACAGGTGTGAGCCACAACGCCCAGCCTCATTATGGATTTTTATCACATCTACAGGATAACCTTCACCAAAGCTCCTAGATTAGTATTTGATCACCTGGGGACTGTAGTCAAGTTGACACATAAACTGGCATGGAGGGGTGGGAAGTGACTTCTAATGGTGTTTCTTTTTGGAGTGAGGTTGCACAATTCTGTTGAAAATTATTGAATTGTACACTTTAAATGGGTGAATTATGATATGTGAATTATATCTCAATAAAGATGGTTTTTTGTTGTTTTTTGAGACGGAGTCTTGCTCTGTCGCCAGGCTGGAGTGCAGTGGTGCGATCTCAGCTCACTGCAACCTCCGCCTCCTGGGTGCAAGTGATTCTCCTGCCTCAGCCTCCCGAGTAGCTGGGACTACAGGTGTGCGCCACCATGCCCAGCTAATTTTTGTATTTTTAGTAGAGACGGGTTTTCACCACGTTGGCCGGGATGGTCTCAATCTCTCGACCTCATGATCTGCCTGCCTCGGCCTCCCAAAGTGTTGGGATTACAGGCATGAGTCACTGCGCCCAGCCAAAGATGTTTTTTAAAACTGCGTATTTGCACACCCCTGTTCATAGCAGTACTGTTCACATTAGCAATGAGGTGGAAGCAACCCAAATGTCCATTGACAGATAAATGGATAAACACGTGATATGTGTATACAGTGGAATGTTATTTGGTCTTAAAAAGGAAGGAAATCTTGTCACATGCTACAATATGGATGAAAAAGGAGGACTTGTTGCTAAGTGAAATTAAGCCAGTCACAAGACAAATTATGGGCGGGATGTGGTGGCAAAACTCCATCTCAAAAAAAAAAAAAGCTAAGATGGTAAATTTTGTTTTTTACAATAATAAAATAATGAAAAAAAGACTGTCCTGCGTTGCCCGAGCAGCACCCCTGTTATCTGAACTCTGCCCCAACACCCTTTTCTGTACCATATAGTGTTGCATATAGTCTCTAAATGAGAACATCCTCAAGGTATAATCAAAATATACTTAGAGAGTTCAGGTGGTACTGGCTCAATTGTTTATCTCTTCATGGCTTATTTAATTTCATTACCTATTTCTAGGAAACCAATGATGGAGATAATGAATTGACAGGATATAAATTTGAGTTAGAGTTGTTTGGATTTACTTTTTCCAGTAACTAAGGCAGCTGCTAAAAGCAACTAAAAATCTGGTCTCGGCCAGGTGCAGTGGCTCACGCCTGTAATCCCAGCACTTTGGGAGGTCAAGGCAGGTGGATCATCTGAGGTCAGGAGTTGGAGACCAGCCTGGCCAACATGGTGAAGCCCCATCTCTACTAAAATTATAAAAAGATTAGCCAGGCATGCTGGTGCACGCCTGTAGTTCCAGCTACTCGGGAGGCTGAGGCAGGAGAATCGCTTGAACCTGGGAGGCAGATGGTTGCAGTGAGCAGAGATCATGCCACTGCACTGCAGCCTGGGCAACAGAACAAGATTGTGTCTCAAAAAAAAAGAAAAAATCTGGTCTCAAATGATAGAAAAGTGACTGCCTGGCCCTTCTCTGAGTTCCCTGGGCAGCAAGGAGTCCTCTTCAGGGAAGCAATACATAGCCCAGACTCACCCATGGTACCTACTTGACTGTGTGCCCTGATGTATTCAGAGACTGTCTGGCCTCAGTCTCAGACTGTGAGTGGGGAAGATGAGCAGCCCACAGCTGAAGTGTTGAACCAGGAAGTATTCACCCCCAGTTGGCCAGTCTCACTTCCTGGTTTATTACCCCTCTCCACTCTGAGCATCAGTTGCTACTTTGCCACAGTTGACAGATTCACCTAGCAGGCAGGGCAGCGGGAGCTGGTGAGGCCAGGCAGGCTGGGGCCTTCTTCCTTCCTTGCACTTGCTGGTTTCTCCTGCTGGGAATGCCCTTGCCTTAACCCAGTGGTTCTCAGTCAGGCCATCATGTCCCCTAGGCATTTTGGGTTGTGTCACCTTAGGAGGGGCATGCTACTGGCATCTTGTGGGTAGAGGCCAGAGATGCTGCTGAGCATCTCGCAGTGCACAGGACTGCCCCCACAACTTTGTGAGGCTAGCTCCTTGTCATCCAGGTCTGACCTAAATTGACCTTTGTTTGGGTGTGTCCTGACCAACCAGGAGAAGGTAGTTTTGTTTTCCTTGTTGCACTATCACTCTATTATATTTTATTTGTTAGTCTTTTATCTACCCCATCTTCCCCCTACCTGCCCACACATACAATACACTAATGAGCAGGGCCGGGCACGGTGGCTCACTCCTGTAATCCTAGCATTTTGGGAGGCCGAGGTGGGCGGATCACATGAGGTCAGGAGTTCAAGACCAGCCTGGCCAACAAGGTGAAACCCCGTCTCTACTAAAAATACAAAAAGTAGCTGGGTGTGGTGGCGCACATCTGTAATCCCAGCTACTCAGGAGGCTAAGGCGGGAGAATCGCTTGAACCTGGGAGGCAGAGGTTGTAGTGAGCCAAGATCATGCCATTGCACTCCAGCCTCGGTGGCAGAGCGAGACCCCGTCTCAAAAAAACAAACAAACAAACAAAAACGCTAATGAGCAACATAAATTCCAAAAGTCTACAAGGATTAAGAGACCTGGTTCCTCCTCACTGCTGTGTCCCCAGCTTTTTGCACAGTGCATGGGACCTGGTGAGAGGCAATCAATATTTGTTTCATCAATAAATGAAAGGGATTTAACTTGCTGTAGCAACTCACCTCACCCCTAACCCCAGGGCAGCCCAGCTCCCCGTTCCTTTCAGTCAGGAGGACTCTGGCTCCTTCCTGCCTTCCCAGCTCCTACCTGCAGTTGAAGCAGTGAAACTCCCTGTGGGAAGCAGACCTGCAGGGCTGAGGGAAGTCCTGGAGCATTACGATCCTGAGGAGTTGGGAAGAGGAAGGGCTCATGGGAAATAAATAAGGTAAATGGGGAAGGGTGGGGTGGGGAGAATCCGTGTACGGGAAAGAAAGGAACTAACATGTATTGAGCATCCTTCTAGATTCAGGACATAATAATTTCATTGAATCCTGTTAATCTGAGATGAAGACACTAAAGTCTGGCACAATTAAGTACCGTATCTAAGGCCACATGCCAGAGCAATTTAAATCCCTTGCTCCAAGGAGCCATGTCGTGAAATCCTTTGGGGAAGCCAGATAAGATGGGTCCTGTCCTCAAAAGAGTTTCTAATCTGGGTTGTGAGACAGGCAGACACACAAGTTAGTATATTAAAATTGTAGTAGGTATGACCTCTTGACCAGCTTAAGGTACCAGTGTCACTTTGCTGTAATGAAATTAATTGGTCAAAAACACACATACCCAAATTAGTAGGCAGTCCGGTTTCATATTCTCTCTCTCTCTCTCTGGCTCCCTCTCTTCCCCCCGAGGGGTTTACTAGGTCTGAATGGGTCAGTCCTAAATGAAAGACAGCCATGTGGTCATTACCACCTGATCATCTACTGAAAATTAGTAATCGCAAGGACTGGAGTGGCGGCCAGTCTTTCATACTCCTATAGGTGATTTGTACCCATGGACAAAGCCATTATCCCAGAGGGAGTCCCAGTACACGCCCAGGTGGTTTCAGCCTGAGGCATATACCACCAAACCTGCTGGCCACAGCAATATTTCTAGTTCCACATATTCTTGTAAAACCTTGCCATTCCTCCCACCAAAAGGTAGAGTCTAATTTTCCTCCCTTTGAATATGGGCTGACTTGGCCGGGCGCAGTGGCTCACGCCTGTAATCCTAGTACTCTGGAAAACTGAGACGGGTGGATCACCTGAGGTCAGGAGTTCAAGACCAGCCTGGCCAACATGGTAAAAACCCGTTTCTACTAAAAATACAAAAATTAGCCAGATGTGGTGGCATGCGCCTGTAATCCCAGCTACTCGGGAGGCTGAAGCATGAGAATCGCTTGAACTCGGGAGGTGGAGGTTGCAGTGAGCCAAGATCACGCCACTGCACTCCAGTCTGGGCGACAGAGTGAAACTCTGTCTCAAGAAACAAAAAAAAAGAATATGGGCTGACCTTAGTGACCTCCCCCACAATGACCTGGATGCAGCCAAAGTGATACTGCATGACTTCTGAGGTTAGGTCATAACCTTCCACCCGGTTGTCTCTCGTCATTGTCACCCTCAGAACCCAACCACCATTCTGTGAGGAAATGCAGGCCCCATGGAGAGGAATGGTGCAGGTACCCACTGACAGGCAGCATCACTCAGCAGCTCTGTGACGATGTGAGCCTTCTAGTGATGACAGCCCCCAGCCTTCAAATCTTCCAGCTGAGATGTTATAAGCAGTGAGAACCTGTCCCTGCTGCTGTGCCGTGATGGAATTGCTGACTCACAGAATCTGAGCGTAATAGGTGCTTGTTTTTTGTTTTTTTTTTTAGTTTAGTTTTGTTTTTTTTGTTGTTGTTTTGAGACAGACTCGCACTGTTGCCCAGGCTGGAGTGCAGTGGCGTGATCTTGGCTCACTGCAACCTCTGCCTCCAGGGTTCGAGCGATTGTCCTGCCTCAGCCTCCCAAATAGCTGGGATTACAAGTGTGTGCCACTATGCCCGGCTAATTTTTGTATTTTTAGTAGAGACGAGGTTTCACCATGTTGGCCAGTCTAGTCTCGAACCCCTGAGCTCAGGTGATCCGCCCGCCTCGGCCTCCCAAAGTGCTGGGATTACGGGCGTGAGCCACCACGCCCATCCGGCAAGGGGAGTCTTTAGGAAGCACCATGGCACTGCACTGGCTCCTAGAAGCAGGGAAGAGGAGTCAGGAACTGGGAGGATGCCTTCAGTTACACAAGAAGAGATCATGACAGCAGTCCAAGCTGGGATGCCTTTGGGAGGTAGAGGACTAGTACTCTTCATAGACTGGGTTTCATGCCTTGAGGAGGGGAAGGGGAGAGGGACTGTGGGGTCTGAGACCTCTCCCTTAGTTCTGTATATTTGGAGACCACAGCTGTATCCGTTTGGAATGGGTTCAGATGTGAGTAATAGAGACCTTAAAATTCATGGCAAAAATACAGAATTTATTTCTCAAATAAAAGAAGTTTATACGTAAGCAGTCCAGGACTGGTATGACAGCTCCAGGGACATAAGGGACCCAGGTTTGTTTCAGCTTTTCACATTGCCATTCCTGGGGTATAGTCTTCATCTTTAAGGTCTAAAATGATTGCTGGAGCTCCAGCCATCACATCATAGTTCCAAGAAGCAGAACAGAAGAAGAGAGGAAGGAGTATGTGCCACCTCCCTTCCAAGACTTCCCCAAAGTTCCACCCAATACTTCAGCTTACTCATTGACTGTAACTTAACCTGGCTGCAATGGAGTCTGAAAAATGTAGTCTTTCAGCTGGGAGGCAATATGCTAAGTGAAAAATTGGGATTCTTTTAGTTTGAGAGAGAATTAGAGAGTAGAGATATGGTAGCCAGCTAAAGTCTATACCACAACAGCCTAAAAGCCAGTGTGGGCATGGTCACTAGGAAATCCAGTTCATTCCCTCATTCCCTTTGCATTTAGGGAATGAGCTTGTTTTGATGTGTTCAGTATAAAGATACCAGATATACTTGTCCTATTCATTCAGCAAACACGTACTGAATGTCAGTAAATTGCAGGCATAGAACTGGAGATGAAACGTTAAGACATGGTTTTTAGCCGAGTGCGGTGGCTCATGCTTGTAATCCCAGCACTTTGGGAGGCCAAGGTGGGCAGATCACTAGAGGTCAGGAGTTCAAGACCAGCCTGGCCAACATGGTGAAACCCCGTCTCTACAAAAAAATGCAAAAATTAGCTGAGAAGGTTGTAGTGAGCTGAGATCGCACCATTGCACTCCAGCCTGGGCAACAGAGCAAGACGCCATCTCAAAAAAAAAAAAAAAAAAAAAAGACATAGCTTTTTTTTTTTTTTTTTTGAGACAGTTTCGCTATTGTTGCCCAGGCTGGAGTGCAATGGTGTGATCTTGGCTCACGGTAAACTCCACCTCCCGGGTTCAAGCGATTCTCCTGTCTCAGCCTTCAGAGTAGCTGGGATTACAAGCATGTGCCACCACACCCAGCTAATTTTGTATTTTTAGTAGAGACAAGTTTCTCCATGTTGGCCAGGCTGGTCTCAAACTCCCAACTTCAGGTGATCCGCCCACCTCGGCCTCCCAAAGTGCTAGGATTATAGGCATGAGCCACCTTGCCCAGCCTGACATGGTTTTTAATCTTCAAAATCTCACAGTCTGGTGGATATTTGCTGTTTTTGTCTTCCCAGGACTCATTTCCCCTTCATCTGATAAGCCCTCTTTCCACTGAGAAATATATTCTATGTGCTTTGGATGAGTTTGACTGTATTCCTCCTCCATAATCAAGGGATGGAATGACAAGAGCCTGGTGACTATTTACTCTTGGATCTAGTCATGACTAAAGTCAGATCCGACGACTTTCCAGTTGTTTGGACCAAACACATTCCTTTTTTTTTTTCTGAGACAGAGTTTCGTTCTTGTTGCCCAGGCTGGAGTGCCGTGGTGCGATGTTGGCTCACTGCAACCTCCGCCTCCTAGGTTCAAGTGATTCTCCTGCCTCAGCCTCCTGAGTAGCTGGGATTACAGGCATGCACCACCACGCCCAGCTAATTTTTGTATTTTTAGTAGAGATGGGGTTTCACCATGTTGGTCAGGCTGGTCTCAAACTCCTGACCTCGTGATCTGTCTGCCTTGGCCTCCCAAAGCACTGGGATTGCAGGCTTGAGCCACTGTGCCTGGCTTTATTTATTTATTTATTTATTTTTGCTTAGTTTGAGTTGCTTTCTCTCACTTGCAACCATAGGTCCTGTTTAATCAGTTATTTTCCATAAGATAGAAATTACTGGCCGGGCGCAGTGGCTCACGCCTGTAATCCCAGCACTTTGGGAGGCTGAGGTGGGCAAATCACTTGAGGTCAGGAGTTCAAGACCAGTCTGGCCAACATGGTGAAACCCCATCTCTACTAAAAATGCAAAAAAAAAAAAAATTAGCTGGGCATGGTGGTGTGTGCCTATAATCCCAGCTACTCGAGAGGCTGAGGCAGGAGAATGGCTTGAACCCAGGAGGCAGAGGTTGTAGTGAGCAGAGATTGTGCCACTGCACTCCAGCCTGCGCTATAGAGACTCCGTCTCCAAAAAAAAAAGGAAAATAAAGTACTATACAAAGGAATATAGGTATAGGTGTCATCTCTGCCTTCCGTTGTCATAAATTTTCATTTTAGCCTGCAATTGCGTTAAAACCTGCAAGACTATTTTTACAGGTTTTACCCATTTCCCAAATTTGGGCCTGCCCATGCTATCAGTACTGCTCTTGAGGCCGCTTACTCCAACTCTACACACGCATGTCCTTAAAACAGCTGTGACACCCCTCGAAGAGAGGAAATGTGGGTCATATCTTGTTGGGGGAAGAGAGGAGGTTATGACATTTTAGCCAACACTGAGAACCCATCAAATATGGAATGCAGGGTGAATATCTATTGTTTAAATCTGAAGGGAGCTGTTTCCCTGAAGGGGAAAAAGTTCGATTTAGTACTAAGAATAGAGCAAGAGAAACATCGGCTCAGTGCCTTCAGCTGAGAAATGAATTTCATTAGAGTCACAGTTATTGTCTATTGTTCCCATTGGTTGTTCTGGTTGGGCTGAGATCTGATTTTCACTTCAATTCTCACAGTCGGCATTATTACTTCCCTTTGTGTAACCTTTGGGAAGAAATTCAATATGAATCAGATTTTGTTTTTAGCCCCCGCCAAAGAGGGACTTTTTTTTTTTAATACAATGAGAACAGACTCAGCCTTAGATCAAAATACTTATGTCACAATGGAAGATCTTTTAGGAGTACGATTGCGTCCTCTGCCTTTCATTGTTTCATAATCTGCGATTGCACGTCTCTTCCCGTCCCTAATTTAGAGCGGGTGCGCCTGCTGCTTAAACCCTTTGACTTCTTTCAACTCAGGCTTCCTCTTTTCTAATTTTTTTCTCACCATATTTGCAAACCTGAGATTTATTACTGGCTGCTTCCCAGTCAAGGGAACATGCAAATCTCTCAGACTTCAAGGGAACATCCCAGTTTTTGACTCTCAGCCTTTCTTGTTCTACGGGCTGAGTTTGGATCTTTAGTCTTCCCAGAGATTCTGTGAGTGGTGAGATAGGCTTCCCAAATTTTCTTCCCTCGAGTTACCTAAATTCTGTTTCTGATGTTTGAAACCAAGATTTTTTTTGTGTGTGGTAAAAAACACATAAAATGTACCATCTTAACCATTTTAAGGTATATATTTCAGTAGGGTTAACTATATGCAAATTGTGAGACAGATCTCCAGAACTTTTTCATCTCGCAAAACTGAAACTCCGTACCTATTAAATAACTCCCCATTTCTCCCTCCCTCCAACTCCTGGCGACCACTATTCTAAACTCTGTCTCTACAAATTTGTCTACTCTAGACACCTCATATAAGTGGAATCAGACAGCATTTGTGTTTTTGTGATGAACTTATTTCACTTAGCATAATGTCCTCAAGGTTCATCCATGATTTAGCATGTGACAGGATTTCCTTTTTTATTTTTTGACTTTTTGTAGACATGGGGGTCTCTCCATGTTGCTCAGGCTAGTCTCGAACTCCTGGGCTAAAGCAATCCTCCTACCTTGGCCTCCCAAAGTGTTGGGATTACAGGTGTGAGCCGCCACCATGCCTAGCTAGGATTTCCTTTTTAAGGCAGAATAATATTCCATTGTATGGACAATACCACATTTTGTTTATCCATTCATCCATCAATGGACATTTGGGTTGGTTCTACCTCTTGGCTGTTGTGAATAATGCTGCCATGAAAACCATAGGTGTGCAAATATCTCTTCGAGATCCTGCTTTCAGTTCTTTTGGCTATATACCCAGAAGTGGGATTGCTGGATCAGATGGTAATTCTATTTTATTATTTTGACACAGGGTCTCACTCTGTTGCCCAGGTTGGAGTTCAGTGATGCAATCTTGGATCACTGTAGCATTGAACTCCTGGGCTCAAGTGATCCTCCCACCTTAGCCTCCTGAGTAGCTGCGACCACAGTTGTGCACCACCACACCTGGCTAATTGTTTAATTTTTTTTTTATGAAGATGGAGTCCCACTATGTTGCCTAGGCTGGTCTTGAATCCCTGACCTCAAGCAATCCTCCCACCTTGGCCTTCCAAGGTGTTGGAATTACAGGTGTGAGCCACCACACCCAGCAGGTAGTTCTATTTTTAATTTTTTGAGGAACCACTATACCGTTTTCATCTTTTGGTTTTTAACTCAGATACCTAAGTTTTAATCTGTTTGTTGATTAAGAAGTGTACGTCAGGCCAGGCACCGTGGGTCATGCCTGTAATCCCAGCACTTTGGGAGGCCGAGGCATGCGGATCACCTGAGGTCAGGAGTTTGAGACCAGCCTGACCAACATGGTGAAACCCTGTCTCTACTAAAAATGCAAAAATTAGCCGGGCGTGGTGGTGCGTGCCTGTAGTCCCAGCTACTTGGGAGGCTGAGTCAGGAGAATCGCTTGAACCCAGGAGGCTGAGGTTTCAGTGAGCAAAGATCATGCAACTGCACTCCAGCCTGGGCAACAGAGTGAGACTCTGTCTAAAAAAAAGAAAAAAGAAAAAGAAGTGTATGTCAAGGAAACACCAATATTTTGTCACACAATGAGAAAAAAATGGGTGGAGCAGAATTTATATCAAATTGAAATTACAAAATGAAATTATAGCAACCTTCCAGTAGTGGGCCTTTCATTTTGAGATCAGACTCTTCAAAATTTAGCTTCATTTTCAATCTATGATTTTTCACTTCTTTGTACTGTTTTTGGTCTCGTCTCATCAAACTTCATTTCCTCTACTAGAATGAATTCTCAGAGATAAAGAGGAGTTAGAAATCTACTTTTTTCTCCTTTGGAGCTCTCTTTAATTATTAGGTGAAATAAAACTAGACAAAAAACAAAGCTACTGCATGCCCACCATTACATATTTTTATGGCTAATATTATGTATACTTTTGTTCAGACAGATGGTGCTGTTAAGAAGGAAACTTCTAGCTGGGCACAGTGGCTCATGCCTGTAATCACAGCACTTTGGGAGGCCGAGGCGGGCGGATAACAAGGTCAAGAGTTCGAGACCAGCCTGGCCAAGAGACCAGCCTGGCCAATATGGCAAAACCCCGTCTCTACTAAAAATACAAAAATTAGCTAAGCGTGGTGGCGGGCGCCTGTAATCCCAGCTACTCGGGAGGCTGAGGCAGGAGAATTGCTTGAACCCGGGAGGTGGAGGTTGCAGTGAGCCGAGATCGCGCCATTGCACTCCAGCCTGGGCGACAGAGCGAGACTCCAACTCAAAAAAAAAAAAAAAAAAAAAAGAAGGAAACTTCTTGATCGAGCTCTGCTGTTCTATACCTTTACACCAAAGTACTCTGATTGTTTGTTAAAATACACACACATGGCCGGGCGCGGTGGCTCACACCTGTAATCCCAGCACTTTGGGAGGCCAAGGTGGGCAGATCATGAGGTCAGGAGATCGAGACCATCCTGGCCAACATGGTGAAACCCAGTCTCTACTAAAAATACAAAAATTAGCTGGGCATGGTGGCGGGCGCCTGTAGTCCCAGCTACTCAGGAGGCTGAGGCAGGAGATTTGCTTGAACCTGGGAGGCAGAGGTTGCAGTGAGCTGAGATCGTGCCACTGCAGTCCAGCCTGGTGACAGAGCGAGACTCTGTCTCAAAACACACACACACACACACACAAACACACACGCACACGGTCCAATCTCTTTTTTTGTTTTGTTTCTTGAGACACAGCCTCACTCTGTCACCCAGGCTGGAGTGCAGTGGTGTGATCTCGGCTCACTGCAACCCCCTGCCTCCTGGGTTCAAGCGATTCTCCTGTCTCAGCCTCCCAGTACCTGGGATTGCAAGCATGCACCACCAGGCCCAGCTAATTTTTGTATTTTTAGTAGAGACAACGTTTCACCATTTTGGCCAGGCTGGTCTCGAACTCCTGGCCTCAAGCAGTGACTCGACCTCCCAAAGTGCTGGGATGACAGGATGACAGGCGTAAGCCACTGCGCCCGGCCAGAACTTTGCATGTTTCAAAGAACTCCAGGTAGGCTTTTTTTTTTTTTTTTTTTTTGAGATGGAGTCTCGCTCTGTCACTCAGGCTGGAGTGCAAGTGGTGCGATCTTGGCTCACTGCAACCTCTGCCACCCAGGTGCAAGCGATCCTCCTGCCTCAGCCTCCTGAGTAGCTGGGACTACAGGCACGAGCCACCACACCTGGCCAGGCTGGTCTTGAACTCCTGACCTCGTGATCCGCCTGCCTCGGCTTCTCAAGGTGCTGGGATTACAGCAGTGAGCCACCGTGCCCGGCCTCCAGGTAGGCTCTTACTTGGAGTGTCCACTTGTAGGTTCCCACGCAGTTTTGCTTCTAGTGGTTCTAGTGAGTATTGAAAGCTAATGACTCACCGGAATGTTTACTCTTTTAATTCTTTTAACAGTCCGCCTGCCGGTCTCCTTCTACCTTTGATGTTAACTGGCTAACACTGTGGTTCATTTCCTGTTATTTGCAACTTTGGAATTAAACTCATACATGAAATCAAAGCAAATGAAAGGCGCAGGTCAGCTATCCTGTTAAGGGCTACAGCTGTGGTTCTGGAAGCTTCCAGTCCAACAACTAGCTTGTTTTCCCTCCTCCCCGCCCCCTGTGGAGGCCTCTCTTTCTTAGGCAGGGTAATTAAGGTTGGCCTAAGGCTTTCTAAGCAAATGTGTGTTCTGCACCAGTGGTTAGTTTTTCCTACACTGAGTCACATATCTTGCTGCTAGGGAAATCTATTTGACAAGACTCAAGTGGAGAATTTGTCACAGTTTGTTTAGCATGTAAGGCCTTGTCCTTGAATGCCCTTTACCCCTTAGATTCTGGATATAATGATATGGTGGTACACGTTTGCTTATTAGCTGGTGGGAGGGGGTGAAGAGGAGTCTTTATGGGCAGTCGTTTTCTTTTCTTTTTCTTTTTTTTGGGAGGAGACGGTCTTGCTCTGCCGTCCAGGCTGGAGTGCAGTGGCGCGATCTCGGCTCATTGCAAGCTCCCCCTCCCGGGTTCAAGCAATTCTTCTGCCTCAGCCTCCCAAGTAGCTGGGATTACAGGCATCTGCCACCACGCTTGACTAATGTTTGTATTTTCAGTAGAGACGGGGTTTCGCCATGTTGGCCAGGCTGGTCTCGAACTCCTGAGCTCAGGTGATCCGCCCACCTCGGCCTCCCAAAGTGCTGGGATTACAGGCTTGAGCCACTGTGCCTGGCCATGGGCAGTCGTTTTCTTACACAGAATTTGGAGTCAGAGGTACTTGTTTTCATCTGTTTACAACCGGTTCAACATTCCAAGGTCATAAACTTACACATCTACCTCATAAATTGCTTGTACAGATTAAACAAGATAATGTAAGTTATGTGCAATAAATGTTGTTCCTCGATAGCCGCCTATTTAATCACGTATTAGAAAAACATTCTCAGCCAGGCGCGGTGGCTCATGCCTGTAATCCCAGCACTTTGGGAGCCCGAGGTGGGTGGATCACGAGGTCAGGAGATGGAGACCATCCTGGCCAACATTGTGAAACCCCGTCTCTACTAAAAACGTGGTGGCAGGTGCTTGTAATCCCAGCTACTCGGGGGGCTGAGGCAGGAGAATCACTTGACCCCTGGAGGCGGAACTTGCAGTGAGCCGAGATCGTGCCACTGCACTCCAGACTGGTGACAGAGCAAGACTCCATCTCAAAAAACAAAAAAAGAAAAAAAAAAAAGAAAAAGAAAAAAAGAAAAACATTCTCGCTGTATTATAGTTTCTGTCATAAGAAAAGAATCAAATTGGCCAGGCGTGGTGGCTCACGCCTGTAATCCCAGCACTTTGGGAAGCCAAGGTAGGCAGATCGAGACCATCTGGCTAACACGGTGAAACCCCGTCTCTACTAAAAATACAAAAAATTAGCAGGGTGTGGTGGCGGGCGCCTGTATTCCCAGCTACTCGGGAGGCTGAGGCAGGAAAATGGCGTGAACCCGGGAGGCGGAGCTTGCAGTGAGCCGAGATCGTGACACTGCACTCCAGCCTGGGCGACAGAGGGAGACTCCGTCTCAAAAAAAAAAAAATCAAATTTAGGCTGGGCACGGTGGCTCAAGCCTGTAATCCCCAGCACTTTGGGAGGCCGAGGCAGGTGCATCACGAAGTCAGGAGTTCAAGACCAGCCTGGCCAAAACGGTGAAACCCCCGTCTCTACTAAAAATACAAAAAT
Organism: Homo sapiens; assembly: GCF_000001405.40. Lineage (NCBI taxonomy): Eukaryota > Metazoa > Chordata > Mammalia > Primates > Hominidae > Homo > Homo sapiens. The sequence continues at coordinate 23,805,908 of NC_000023.11, read as the reverse complement.
TAGCCAGGCGTGGTGGCGCACACCTGTAATCCTAGCTACTCAGGAGGCTGAGGCAGAAGAATTGCTTGAACCCGGGAGGTGGAGGTTGCATTGAGCTGAGATTGCACCACTGCACTCCAGCCTGGGCGACAGAGCAAGAATCTGTCTCAGAAAAAAGACAAAAAAAAAAGGATCAAATTTACCAAGTCTTATCTGGTACTCTACTACATGCCAGGCCTGCGGGTGCTGTGAAAGGTAGGAGGCAGAAAAAAGCATAACATGACATGCTGGCAAGCCGTTTAGGACTCAGGCAGGGAGGAAAGCTACGCCATGTGATCTATTAAGCAATACGGGTCAGTCTATAAGTAAGAGGTACAGTTCTGAGTGGGACTGAGCCCTGTGACCTGGGGTGGAGTCTTGCGCTGGGAGTTCAAGGACTGAGAACGGAATAGGAATTCCCGAAAAAAGAAATCGGTCAGGCTTGGTGGCTCACACCTATAGTCCCAGCACTTTGGGGGACCTAGGTGGGCAGATCACTTGAAGTCAGGAGTTCAAGACCAGCCTGGGCAACACAGGGAGACCCTGTCTCTACAAAAAATAAAAAAAATTAGCCGGGCATAGTGGTGCGCACCTGCAGTTGCAGCTACTTGGGAGGCTGAGGTGGGAGGATCATTTGAGCCCAAGAGGTCGAGGTTGCAGTAAGCCGATATCACACCACTGCCCTCCAGCCTGGGCAACAGAGCGAGACCCTGTCAAAAAAAAAGAAAGAAAGGGCCGAGCACAGTAGCTCACGCCTGTAATCCCAGCACTTTGGGAGGCCAAGGCAGGTGAATCACACGAGGTCAGGAGTTCAAGACCAGCCTGGCCAACATGGTGAGACCCTGTCTCTACTAAAAATACGAAAATTGGCTGGGCATGGTGGCGGGTGCCTGTAATCCCAGCTACTCAGGAGGCTGAGGCAGGAGAATCGCTTGAACCCAGGAGGCAAAGATTGCAGTGAGCCAAGATTGCCAACTGCACTCCATCCTGGGCAACAAGAGCGAAACTCTGTATCAAAAAAAAAAAGAAAGGAGGGAGGGAGGGAGAAAGGAAAGAGGAAGGAAGGAAAGAAGGAAGGAAGGAAGGAGAGAGAGAGAGAAAGAGAAAGAAGGAAAGAAAGAAAGAAAAAGAGAGAAAGAAAGAAAAGGAAAGGGGAAAGGAAAAAGGAAAGGAAAGGAAGAGAGAGATCATAAACTGCTGCTGCGCTGTTATGTCAATGCTTGGCTCAGATTCCCACAGGTCTTGAATGTGCAGGAGAGTCAAAACTCTCTTCTCTTAGTGTCCTGGCTGAGCCTGAGAATTAAATTGACATAAAGTATATTAACAGGAGAAAAGCGTACTAATTTAATGTAAGTTTTATGTGACTCAGGAGCCCTGGGAAGGAAATGAAGACCCAAAGAAGTGACAAAACCAACAGGCTTTTGTATTAGGTTGAACAAAGAGAGGCAGTTGTGGAAAAGTAACTAAATTATGTGGGGAGTTTGTTAAAGGAAGGTAAGAATTAGTTTCACAAAGTATGTTTGTACAGGATTCTCAGAGCTGTGACTCCCCGGGGAAGAATGTTACTTTTTTCCTGGTACAGGGAGGGCATGTTCACATGGGAGTTTCTCTCTCCTGTTTGCAGGAAGCAAAGGGGAGATTAGAATGCCCTTCTTGTATCTGCTGTTTTTCAAGTGCCTTTAGCTTGAAGTAATCCTTACGTCATGGTGGCATATTTTGGCATAGAGTATTCTGCCACCCTTCAGCTGCATTTTGTAGCAGGCGCACCCTCAAGGCAAGGAAGATGACAGCCAACAGTCCCAGGCTACAGCCTCCAGCTTGCGAACTATTGCGAAATAGTGTTAGCCATGAAATCCTGGCTTGGCCCAGTTTGCCCAGCCCTGAGCCAACTCTTTGGGATGGTCTTGGAGAGGGGCAGGGCATCATGACTGATCATTGTACCAGGTAACCATGCAAGCAGTAGAGGAGTTCTCCAAACGAATGAAAGGAAATGGGGGCACTTTGGGAGGCCGAGGCGGGTGGATCACCTGACGTCAGGAGTTCCTGGCCAACATGGTGAAACCGTCTCTACTAAAAATACAAAAAATTAGCCGGGCATGGTGGCGGGTGCCTGTAATCTCAGCTACTCAGAAGGCTGAGGCAGGAGCTTCACTTGAACCCAAGAGATGGAGGTTGCAGTAAGCTGAGATGTCGGCACTGCACTCCAGCCTGGGCAACAGCAGTGAGACTCCATCTCAAAAAAAAAAAAAAAAAAAAAAAGTTTAATATGTTGCTCATTTCTCAGCCCTTGCTGTTCAGCACATTTTCCCCACAGGTTCTGACAACTCTGTTTTTTTTCCTGCTCGCTTTCCTTGTCCTACTTGCAAATCATGTGATTCTACTTTTCAGTGCTTTCTCTTTCTCTTCATCTTCCTTATCCTTTGGACTCTTCATTAGGGCTTGTTTTGGACTTTTTCTAAAACAAAGCACTAATAATGAAAACCTTTCCTAAAAGTTGTTAGGGTACTGTATGCAATGTATACTGGGATAATTGGGCCTGTTACCCTAGGAACCACCCCAGACTGCCCCCTAAGAGTATAGGTGGGAGTGTACAGATTGTGATGATGATATGATTCTGTTTTATAAAATGAAAGAAGTTAGACATGAATCCAACAGCATCAGCCACAACAGCTTCAAAAAGAAGTCTTCCATATAAATAATTCATATTAAAAGATTTTTTTTTCAGTTAGAATAAATAATCCCCTTCTAAACCTTTAAATCATCCAGAAAACATATTTGATGTTTCTGTCCCCAAGTATATACGTGTGTTTTATTTTTTATTTTATTTTATTTTTTGAGACGGACTCTCGCTCTGTCACCCAGGCTGGAGTGCAGTGGCATGATTTTGGCTCACTGCTACTTCTGCCTCCTGGGCTCAAGTGATTCCCCTGCCTCAGCCTCCCAAGTAAGTGGGATTACAAGTATGTGCCACCATGCCTGGCTAATTTTTATATTTTTAGTAGAGATGGGGTTTTACCATGTTGGCCGGACTGGTCTCAAACTCCTGGCCTCAAGTGATCCGCCTGCCTTGGCCTCCCAAAGTGCTGGGATTACACGTGTGAGCCACCGCACCCAGCCTATATGTGAGTTTTATATTCTTTGTTTATTTTCAGTACTCAAATAGTAAAGGCAAAGGTTTATCTGAGTTCTGATGATAGCTTCCTTAACAGGAAATGAAACTGCCAATGTTCCACAAAGCAGACAAAGTACCTAATTTGTTGAAAAAAATCATGCTGAATCACCAGAATAAAACTGTCTTAAGCGTAATCAACTGAACATTTGTGTGTAACTATTTTTAAAATTAACTTGCCTTCAAAATTAAATGGCTCTATAGACAGTCATGTAATGGTGTGATCCACAATTTAAAATGTATTTTTAGAATTTCCGACTTACGTGCTGATTAGAAAACCTGCAAGTCACAATCATTTGACATTCTGGAATAGGGCAGTTGGAGTTGGAAGTGGGAAGAAAAGTCACTGGAAAATTTTAAGAACAAAGTAATGTTAGGCCATATATACTACTTTTTATTTCTGTATAGTCTGAATTGTTTGTGAACTGCTTTTACTTTAACACGATTAGAAAATTGCATAGCTTTACACACTGTCAAAGGTTTTTGGAGGGCTTGTTTTTATTTATATTTATATTTATATTTATTTATTTATTTATTTTTGTAGAGACAGGGTCCCACTGTGTTGTGCAGGCTGGTCTTGAACTCCTGGCCTCAAGCAATCCTCCTGCTTTGACCACCCAAAGTGCTGGGATTACTGGCGTGAGCCACTGAGCCTAGCCTTGTTTTGTTTTTTAATTTTATTTATTTTTATTTTTATTTTTGAGATGGTGTCTCGCTCTGTCGCCCAGGCTGGAGCACAGTGGCACGATCTCGGCTCACTGCAACCTCCACCTCTCGGGTTCAAGCGATTCTTCTGCCTCAGCCTCCCGAGTAGCTGGGACTACACGTGTGCGCCACCATGCCCAGCTAATTTTTGTATTTTTAGTAGAGACGAGGCTTCACCATATTGGCCAGGCTGGTCTCGAACTCTTGACCTCGTGATCCGCCTGCCTCAGCCTCCCAAAGTGCTGGGATTAGAGGCATGAGCCACCACGCCCAGCTTGTTTTGTTTTTTTAAGTAACTACTTTGTTAGTTGATTATTTGGTTTACCTCACAGTCTTCCAAATTACTTTTTAGTTTTATTGGTTTTTAAAATTTTAAATTGAGACGGGGTCTTGCCATGTTGCCAAAGCTGGTCTCGAACTCCTGGGCTCAAGCGATCCTCCCACCTTGGCCACCCAAAGTGCTGGGATTACAGGCATGCGCTGCTGCACCTGGCCTACTTTTTATTTTTATTTTCATTTATTTATTTAGTTTTTTTAAAGACAGGGTCTTGCTCTGTCACCCAGGTTGGAGTGCAGTGGGGCAACAATAGTAGCCTCAAACTCCTGGGTGCAAGGAATCTTCCTGCCTCAGCCTCCCAAGTAGCTAGGACTACAGGCATGTGCCACCATGCCCAGCTATTTTCTTAATTTTTTGTAGAGACAGAGTCTTACTATGTTGCCCAGACTAGTCTCAAATTCCTGGCCTCAAGCAGCCCTCTCACCTTGACCTCCCAAAGTGCTAGGATTACAGGGAAGAGCCGCTGCACCCAGCCCCAAATTACTTTTTAGAATATATGCTTTATCACTTTGCTCACTTTACACACATGAGAAACACTTTTTACTAGAGAAACACACTTTTCTACTAGAGAAACTGGAAAGCAAAATACTAGAATTCCCAGACTCCCTTACAGCTAAGGGTTGCCAGGTGACACATTGCAGCCAATGAAATGTAGGTGGAAGTGCTTGGAGATGGCTTTCTTCAGAATTTAAAAAACAAAAAAAGGCCAAGCAGTATGAGGAAAGGCTGTGATTTTTTTTACCTGCTGCCTTCCGCCATTTCCCTGTGTAGAATGGACACATTGCAGGAAGCGACATTGAGCTGAGAGCTGAGGGGTCGGGCACGGTGGTTCACACCTGTAATCCCAGCGCTTTGGGAGGCGGAGGCGGGAGGATCACCTGAGGTCTGGAGTTCGAGACCAGCCTGGCCAACATGGTGAAACCCCCGTCTCTACTAAAAATACAAAAAATTAGCTGGGTGTGGTGGCAGGCACCTGTAATCCCAGCTATTTGGGAGGCTGAGGCGGGAGAATCGCTTGAACCCAGGAGGCGGAGGTTGCAGTGAGCCGAGATCACACCACTGCACTCCAGCCTGGGTGACAGAGTGAAACTCCGTCTCAAAAAAAAAAAAAAAAGGTGCAAAGAATGTGATTTCTGGTGTACTATACATTATGCACATGGCTTACATCTATTTTTTTCTTTTTTTGAGACAGTCTTGCTCTGTCGCCCAGGCTGGAGTGCAGTGGCATGATCTCGGCTCACTGCAACCTCTGCCTCCTGGGTTCAAGCGATTCTGCTGCCTCAGCTTCCTGAGTAGCTGGGATTACAGGTGCCCCCCCCCCCACCACGCCCTGGTAATTTAAATCTATTTTTATTGCTTCAGAATCTTGGCACAGCTCATTTAGCTTGTTCGGTTAATGGAAAGTGCCTGTTCTATAACTTAATGACAAAGCCATTCCTTACTATCAAACCAATCAGCCAAATCAGACTAACTTGTAAACGATTGTGCAGACCAGACATGGTGGGTCATGCCTGTAATCTTAGCACTTTGGGAGCCTAGGTGGGCAGATAGCTTGAGGCCAGGGGTTCAAGACCAGCCATGAGCAAGATGGCGAAACCCCGTCTCTACAAAAAAAAAAAAAATTAGAATAAAAATATTAGCCAGGCATGGCGGCGTGCACCTGTAGTGCCAGCTACTCGGGAGACTAAAGTGGAGGATCACTTGAGCCTGGAAGGTTGAGGCTGCAGTGAGCCATGATCTCGCCACTGCACTCCAGCCTGAGTGACAGAGTGAGACCCTGTCTCAAAAAAAAAAAAAAAAGCAATTTGTCATCTGGATTAAACAGCTGCCATTTTTTTTTCTTTTCTTTTTCTTTCTTCTTTTTTTTTTTTTTAACCAAAGCTCTCTTTTTTCAGGTCTTGAGAAAGCAAATTGTCCCAAACTTAATCTGGAAGAGAACTTTTAGGGCTGAGGTAGTTTACAGTCTGTTCCGGGACGTAATCAGCAATCCTGATGTAATGTTTGAGTAATCTTTTTCTGGAAAGTTATGGTTTCCCCCCAGCTGCCTGGCTGCTGAGACTCTGTAACCCATAGTTCATTGTATCACTTTTATCTCTACCAAGAAAGCAGTCTTCAAACTGACTTGCTGAGGAGCTTCTTTCTTTGTGAAACTTGAAATAAAACCCCAGTACATGCTCCTACCTAAGTAATCTGAGAAGGGGTCTCAACTCTCTGGGAACTCTTCCCTTGAGAGCTGTACATTCCTGAATTATTCTTTGGTTTGGTGCCCAGAGGTTTTTACACCTTGGGGGTAGCACCCTCTGCTAAGATTCAGGGTAGGTTAGGGGTACACCTTTCTTTAGTAAGGTGGGAGAAGGGCATTCATTTATTTATTTTAGGGACAGGGGTTTCACTGTGTTGCCCAGGCTGGTCTCAAACTCCTGGGCTCAAGCAATCCACCCACCTCCTCCTCCCAAAGTGTTAAGAGTACAGCCGAGGCCAGGCACGGTGGCTCACCCCTATAATCCCAGCAGTTTGGGAGGCCAAGGCAGGTGGATCACCTGAGGTCAGGAGTTCGAGACCAGCCTGGCCAACATGGTGAAACCTCATCTCTACCAAAAATACAAAAATCAGCAGGTGGTGGTGGCAAGCACCTGTAATCCCAGCTACTCAGGAGGCTGAGGTAGGAGAATCACTTGAACCTGGGAAGTGAAGGTTGTAGTGAGTCGAGATTGCACCACTGCACTCCAGGCTGGGCAACAGAGCGGGACTCTGTCTCAAAAATAAATAAATAAAAAGAGTGCAGCTGTGAACCACCCCATCTTGCCAGGAAGGGCATTTATGAAAGAGGAGAGAGGCAAGAGGAGCCAAGTGTGACCTCCTATTATTATTATTTTAATTTTTTTTCTTTTTTAGAGACAAGCTCTCACTCTATTGCCCAGGCTGGTCTCAAACTCCTGGGTTCAAGGGATCCTCCCGCCTTGGCCTCCCCAAGTGCTGGGATTACAGGTATAAGCCACTGCGCCCAGCCCAAGTGTGACCTCTTAACCTCAGGAGCATTTTCAGGTAGACCATTTCTGGAAAGAGTATATATAGAAGTTGAGGTTTGGAACCCAAGTTCCTTAAAACTCAGTACCTTGGAATCCTCTTGTATACCTCAAGCAACAAATGTTTCCCAGTTTGATGGCCCTAAACTAGATGTCTCTCTCCTATATGCTTGGGGCAGAGGCTTATATAAATGACCTAGAGAGTAACTTATCAGAGATGATGTCAAGTGATTATTCTGAAGGCCCTTGGAGCAGCATCCTTCTACATCTTTTCTAATTTCCCCAAAGTCCGCTCTTCTCAGTTCCAGAGAGATCATATGGTGCCCATTAAAAATAGTCTTTAGAGACTGGGCGCGGTGGCTCATGCCTGTAATCCCAGCACTTTGGGAGGCCGAGGGGTGGGGGCGTGGATCACCTCAGGTCGGGAGTTCGAGACCAGCCTGGCCAACATGGAGAAACCCCGTCTTTACTAAAAATAGAAAATTAGCCAGGTGTGGTGGCGCATGCCTGTAATCCCAGCTACTTGGGAGGCTGAGGCAGGAGAATCGCTTGAACCCAGGAGGCGGAGGTTGCGGTGCGCTGAGATTGCGCCACTGCACTCCAGCCTGGGCAACAAGAGCGAAATGCCATCTCAAAAAAAAAAAAAAAAAAGAAAAGTCTCTAGAAGGCAGGCCTTGATTGAGTAGACTTGAAAGAAACAAGCTGTTCTGAATCTGTCCCCTAGGGGTTGGAGCATAAGAAACCTAAGGGTTTGTTTTCAAAGGTAATTCTAGAAAAGTTATCATCTGAATCAAGACTTGTGTATATTTCATTAGAAGAAAGGCATATTCTTTAAAAGAATACTTTTGGTTTTGGCTTTTATCACTTGCAAATGTCAACTTTAAATTCTCACTTCTTCTCTTGGTCCAAATGTTATGGAAATGTCATTCTTTCCTACAAGTCATTACCAGGAAATACTTAGGTCTTAAAAGGTACCTTGGGCTTTTCCCCACTGAGTTGTAGTTAGAAAGAATAATAAACATCATGAAATTCAAACCTAGGACAATATACCCGGAAAAATACTAACACAATAACCTGGGCTGCAAAACTTGTTTAGCAAGTTTCAACTGGAGGTTAATTAAAATCGGCTTGGAAACCTCTTAAAATACAGACTGGCATGTAAACCACACACACGCAGCACCACCTAGATTCTTCCCTCAGGAGCTTTCTCCTCTCCACTTCCCTGGATTTCTGTGGGAACGTTTCCCCAGAATTCCATCCGGTCTGGCGGAGACCATGGTGCCCCTGAGCATAACACAAGCCTTTTTCTCCCATCTCAGGGGAGGACCAAGAGGACGGTGGATAGACAGGCCCCTCCTTCGCAGTTCTAACAAACAGTACCCCGACATTCAGCTCCTTAAGCCTTTGAGCCCTTTTGGAAAGTGGGGTGGTATTGGAGTGGGGGGGTCAGGGCGAATGGAGGATTGAAAGAATTTCCCCCAGTGTTACATGTTTTTGGCCAGGCACAGTGGCTCATGCCTGTAATCCCAGCACCTTGGGAGGCTGAGGCAGGTGGATCACTTGAGGCCAGGAGTTTGAGACCATCCTGGCCAACATGGTGAGACTTAGACTTCATCTTTACAAAAATTAGTCAGGTGTGGTAGCATGTGCCTGTAATCCCAGCTACTCCAGAGGCTGAGGTGGGAGGATCACTTGAGCCTGGGAGCTCAAGGCTGCAGTAACCTGTGATTGTGCCACTGCACTCTAGCCTGGGCGACAGAACAAGACCCTGTCTCAAAAAAAAAGAAAAAAAAAACAGAGGAGTTTAAGTGACAGTGTTCTGGACAGGACAAGAGAGCGTGAAGAGGTCAAAGGCAGAACAGGAGAAGGTAGAAATGCCGCCTGACATTGGACTTGCCCGTAAGAGGCTATTGAACTGGCCAAACATTCTCAGACCTTAGCTGTGTATTTCTTCCGAAGTTCCTCAGGTTACCGCTATTATTCCTTTTGTCTGGGCTTGTTTGGAATGATTGTCAGCTAACACTCCGTTGGTGGATAAGCATCTGTGAGATGTGCAGGAAACAAGGCCGAGTATAATTATAACATAATTCTATAACAACATTGCCCAAGACTGCCTCAGTACTATATGCCAGAGTACATCATGACTATCTTGCTGACAGGCATTTGGATGGCGATTAGTGTTGGATCCCGTCTGGGAATCAGGCTTGAAGCCAGAGAAACTGGAAAATGATTTTTGTCTTTTAACTCCTTGGAGGCCTGTGTGGAAAATTCAGGAGAGCACATTTTTGTTTCTAGCAACAGAACTCAAACGTAATTTGGCCAGGCATGGTGGCTCATGCCTGTAATCCCAGCATTTTGGGAGGCCAAGGCAGGTTGGGTCACTTGAGGCCAGGAGTTCGAGACCAGCCTGACCAACATGGAGAAACCCCATCTCTACTAAAAATACAAAATTAGCCGGGCGAGGTGGTGCATGCCTGTAATCCCAGCTACTCCGGAGGCTGAGGCAGGAGAATGGCTTGAACCCGGGAGGCGGAGGTTGCCATGAGCCGAGATTGCGCCATTGCACTCCAGCCTGGGCAACAAGAGCGAAACTCCGTCTCAAACACTTGCCTTGCCTCAAATCTGCTGTGGAGGCCAAGGGAAATCTTTCCCTTCGCCTTCTGACGGTTCACTGGAATATCAACTGACAAAAGGCAGATTAGTAGAAGAAATGGCATACAAATTTATCAATGTTCACGGAGGGAAATCACAGAGTGATTACTGCAACCCATCCTCCAGGGGGTACAGAGGTTTATATACCATCTTGAGGTTACAGAAAGAATGGGGCTTGGTAGCTGGGTGTGGTGGCGGGCACCTGTAATCCCAGCTACTCGGGAGACTGAGGCAGGAGAATCGCTTGAACCTGGGAGGTGGAGGCTGCAGTGAGCCGAGATCACGCCACTGCACTCCAGCCTGGCGACAGAGCTAGACTCCGTCTCAAAATAAAATTAATAAATAAAAATAAAAGAATGGGGCTTGGATCCTGGCAAAACAGGTTGGAGGAGAAGTCCTCTTCTAACCTGTTTAGGGGGAGAAGAGGAGGCCTGGCTAGCAAAGTGGGTCTTGTTATGTAGATCAAACCTCACAAGTGGTAGCCCTTTTTCAGGCCTCCAAAGGCCTCCAAAGGCGTCAGACTCTCAGTCAATCTTTCCTAGATCCGGACAAGGGAGGGCCTCCGAGAAAGCAGGGCTGCATCAATGCGGATTTTCTCTACACATACAAAGCTCCACAAAAGGCAGCTTTGCAGCTATTCTCGTATTTCCAGCCCTTCTGAATAGCCATCTTGAAATACGTCAAAGAAGTATGTTTTGGGGTGAAACATGTTGGCTTCCTTCACTGGTCTTTTGTGGAAGTGTCGAATTTTCTTGCAGAGCTGGCAGAGACGTGTTGAGACAGGGAACAGTGGACAGGAAGACTGCATTCTCCCTGTTCCTCGACACCGAATCTAAGCACAGGCAAGACCTTTTCCAGGTTTCAAAGAAACAGTCTTAGCCCTAAAGCACCACCAGTGTTTAATGAGGAAACACTACCATGAATGGTTAGTGAGACTAGACCATGAGTTGTAGTTCGTGAGGTATATGTGCAACCCGGCTACCCAGTTCAGATCTCAATCCTGTTGCCTCCTGGTTGTATGACATAAAATAAATTGATTTGTGCTGGGCATGGTGGCTCACGCCCTTAATCCCAGCACTTTGGGAGGCCGAGGCCAGTGGATCACTTGAGCCCAGGAGTTTAAGACCAGCCTGGGCAACATGGCAAGACCCGTCTCTGCCAAAAAAATACAAAAATTAGCCAGGAGTTTGGTGGCATGCACTTGTGGTTTCAGCTACTCAGGAGACTAAGGTGAGAAGATTAATTGAGCCTGGGAGGTTGAGGCTGCAGTGAGCTGCGATCACACCACTGCATTGCAGCCTGGGTGAGAGAACAAGACCCTGTCTCAATAAAATAAAATGCAATAAAATAAGATGGGCCTGATCCAGTGGTGTGCTGCAACCTGCTCCTTCTGGCTTGGGAGAACCTATTGTTAAATATTCAGGAATTTTGTCAGCCAGTTGCTAAAACCTTTGGTACACCCTTAGCGGATGTATTCACACCATGGAAATCAGCCAGTTCTACAAATCAAGGATACCCCACCTCCAGCTGACTTACTAGCATACCACTGGAATACCCTACAATATTGTTATGGGCATTCATGAAATAAAACCACAATGTCTGGCACATAGTAGATGCTCAGTGTAGTGTTACTATAAATATGTCACATAGAATATATTAATAATGTATATCTGCCAGGCACAGTGGCTCACGCCTGTAATCCCAGCACTTTGGGAGGCCGAGGTGGGTGGATCACCTGAGGTCAGGAGTTTGAGACCAGTCTGGCCAACATGGCGAAACCCTGTCTTTACTAAAAATACAAAAAAAGTAGTTAGGCATGGTGGCACATGTCTGTAATCCCAGCTACTCAGGAGGCTGAGACAGGAGAATCGCTTGAACCCAGGAGGCAGAGGTTACAGTGAGCCGAGATCACGCCATTGCACTCCATCCTGGGTGACAGAGTGAGACTCTGTCTCAAAAAAAAAAAAAAAAAAAAAAATCCCAGCACTTTGGGAGGCTGAGGCGGGCACATCACGAGGTCAGGAGATCGAGACCATCCTGGCTAACACAGTGAAACCCCATCCCTACTAAAACTACAAAACATTAGCCGGGTGTGGTGGCGGGCGCATGTAGTCCCAGCTACTTGGGAGGCTGAGGCAGGAGAATGGCGTGAACCCGGGAGGTGGAGCTTGCAGTGAGCCGAGATCGCGCCACTGCACTCCAGCCTGGGCGACAGAGTGAGACTCCGTCTCAAAAAATAAAAAATAAATTAAAAAAAAGATGAAGTTTGTTTTTATTCTCATAAATGAAGAAAAGCCAGAATCTAATTCAATTTCCTCTGACTCCAAGTCAAGTGTTCACCAGACCCAAACTGCCTCTGGACCACGTCTCTGCAAACAGATTTGTTGTTGTGGATGTAGCTGTTTTGAAGCCATTTTTATTGTTGCTGTTGTTATTGATTCACTGGATAAAAGAAAGCAGTATAAACAAACACTGAGGTGGAAGAAGACAGTGTTGGCCCACAGCTGGTGGAACACTTCCTCAGGAAAGCCTGGAGTGAATGCCGCCACTCTCAAGCCCCACTTTTAAAAGGATCTCCCTGCTGTGCCTGTGTTATTATCAAAACAGAGAACTGTGAACACCACCTGCTCCCAATAAATGTTGTTTCCCCTGGGAACCGCTGAAGCTCAGAATTACCTAGCCATTGATGTCAGGTCTGGGGGAGGAAATGTACTAGATGAGCCTGGGACAACTTAAAAGGGAAGAAGTTAACAAAGGCTTCTGGGGTCGAGTCCAAAGGACTCAATTCTGGAGCCAACTTGAAGAAGCTTTCACTGGACAATTAGGGAAATCTGAGCTTCAATAAGAAAAAAATGGCAAGTAATTAAGACACAGGAAATGCTAAGAGTCCTTGAGTTAATAATGATACTTCAGGCTGGGCGCGGTGGCTCATGCCTGGAATCCCAGCACTTTGGGAGGCTGAGGCGAGAGAATTGCTTGAGCTCAGGAGTCCAAGACCAGCATAGGCAACTTGGTGAAACCCCATCTGTATATTATTTTAAAACATAATAATGCTACTTGAAAGGAAAAAAGCCTAATTGGAAGATGCTGGGGGGCACTAAATTCATTCTTTTGAAAACTAGTAAATAAAAGGGAGTAATTAAGCATTTATTCTGCCTCTTCTGGGTGAACTGTGTACCTCAAGGTAACAAAATGTAAGATGGGGGAAAGTTATCTTATTTTAATAATAATAATTATTTTTTATAGAGACGGGGTCTCATTATGTTGCTCAGGCCGGTCTTGAACTCCTGGGCTCAAATGACCCTCCCACCTCGGCCTCCCAAAGTGCTAGGATTACAGGTGTGAGCCACAGCACCTGGGTGGAAGTTCTCTTTATAGAAGTATTCTAGGTGATAAATAAAGAAGGAATGATAGAATGTCACCATTTTGCAAGTCCTAATGAATCAGCAGACCTGAGTATTGCTATTAACAACGGCTAGCAGCACAGAGAAGACCAGGCATTATTTGCTTCTTGAGGGGAAAAACATCACCTATGAAATATTCTTGCCCAAAACTCAAACTTGAATCTGATCAAGTCTTATCTCTAATGCCTTTGGCACTTTTTTTTTAACCTAACAAAAGCAGGCAGTATTGTATACTGGTCATAGCAGGATTTTTCAAACTTGAGTAACACAGACTCCTTTTAAAAGAAAAAGAATTATCCGGCCGGGCACGGTGGCTCACGCCTGTAATCCCAGCACTTTGGGAGGCTGAGGCGGGCAGATTGCCTGAGGTCAGGAGTTTGAGACTAGTCTGGCCAACATGGTGAAACCCCATCTCTACTAAAAATACAAAAAAATTAGCCAGGCGTGGTGGCGTATGCCTGTAATCCCAGCTACTCGGGAGGCTGAGGCAGGGGAATCGCTTGAACCAGGGAGTTGGAGGTTGCAGTGAGCGGAGATCGCACCACTGCACTCCAGCCTGGGCGACAGAGCAAGACTCTGTCTCAAAAAAATAGAAAAAAAAAAAATTCTCACAGACCCTCAGTGGTGTTTGAAATTATTTTTATTACTATAATTATACACTAGATGTGAATATTTTGTGTTTACTGCTCCTCTATAACTGTAAAACCAGTATCCATTTATAAATATAATACAAACAAAATTACCAAACTAATAACATTCACATGAACAATGCTGATTTAATGCGATGGAAGATGTTTTTCTGTAATGAAGTTGCTGCTTGCAAAGGAACATGGTACTGACTGCTTGGGTGGATATTCTTTGATTTCAGCACTGTATGGAGTGAGATGACAATTCTGCCTTGTTTTCCAAAAACTTTTGAGAAGGTTCGTCTTTAGGCACTGTGATATGACTTCACTTGGTTTTGCTTGGCAAGAGCCAAGGTGAACAGCATAAACACAAACTGAAATGGTTGTACTAACAATTGTGACTAAGATTCAGTTATAAGCTGCAAGCTGCTTATCCAGATATCAGTGGGTCTCAACCCTGACATCACTTTTTTTTTTTTTTTTTTTTGGAGACAGAGTCTCACTCTGTTGCCCAGGCTGGGAGTGCGTGGTGTGATCTCGGCTCACTGCAAATTCCACCTCCCAGGTTCAAGCGATTCTCATGTCTCAGCCTCCCAAGTAGCTGGGTTTACAGGTGCATGCCACCACGCCTGGCTAATTTTTGTATTTTTTGTAGAGGCAGGATTTCACCATGTTGGCCAGGCTGGTCTTGAACTCCCAACCTCAAGTGATCTATCTGTCTCGGCCTCCCAAAGTGCTGGGATGACAGGCGTGAGCTGCTGCACTGGGCCCCTGGCATCACTTTGGTATATGCATAAAAACAGAAGTAAATTAGAAATCTCTTGGGCCGGGCGCGGTGGCTCATGCCTGTAATCTCAGCACTTTGGGAGGCCGAGACGGGCGGATCACGAGGTCAGGAGATCAAGACCATCCTGGCTAACACGGTGAAACCTCGTCTCTACTAAAAATACAAAAAATTAGCCAGGTGTGGTGGTGGGCGCCTGTAGTCCCAGCTACTCGGGAGGCTGAGGCAGGAGAATGGCGTGAACCCGGGAGGCGGAGCTTGCAGTGAGCCAAGATCACGCCACTACACTCCAGCCTGGGGGACAGAGTGAGACTCCATCTCAAAAAAAAAAAAAAAAGAAATCTCTCTCAGGATGGGGCATTAGTATTTTTACAGTGCTTTCTAGGCCATTCTAATGTGTAGCCCATACTGAGAATCACTGCTTTTGATTATCCAGAAAATGCTTATACTGATTATTCTTTGCAGTAGAATCACACAGAAACACCATATTCAATCATTCTTATAGAAACTGTGAGGTCCTGTGAGACTATGGCAGGAAGCCCCAGGGGTTTGAGAAATTGGTTTGGAGCTTGATTCCCAGGTCTAGTTGTGTGGCCTTGGGCAACTTAACTTCTCTTAGGTTTAGTTTCTCATTGTAAAAAGAAACTTATAATTGTACCAATCTCATACAGTCGTTGTGAGAATTAGATGAGATAATAATGTATACAAAGTGCTAAACTGAAAGCCTGGTTCCTGATTAGTGCTTAATAAATGTTAGCTCTTATCACTAGTTTTTTTCTTTTTCTTTTTTTTTTTTTTTTTTGAGACGTAATCTTGCCCTGTCGCTCAGGCTGGAATGCAGTGGCGTGATCGCGGCTCACTGCAACCTCCACCTCCCGGGTTCACGTGAGCCGAGATCGCGCCACTGCACTCCAGCCTGAGCAACAAAAGCGAAACTCTGTCTCAAAACAAACAAACAAACAAACAAACATGGCACCAGTCAAGGAAATAGAATTCTAGGAGCAGACATGGTCACCTGCAGACTCAGAGGAAGGCCATGGCTGTCACAGTCAGTGAGGAAGTTGCTTCACTCCTAGCAGGAGAAGGTGGCTGGTTTCCCAGGGCCTGGCAGTTCCATCAGTTGCTGGTGAGCAGCCACCTGCTTCAGTGAACCGTGATGAGCATCATCCATTCTAGGCCCTGCTGGGTCCCCAGTGGAAAGGAGACTCACAGGAAGGGGTAGAGTGGGTCGAAGGCATTAATAAATCATTAGGTTTCTTCTGAATTGCTTCTTCAGCATTTCTGTAAAAAAGACTCTACTTTCTTTCCCTAGAAAGACTACTGTGTGGAATCTAAGCGGTTGATGATCTTGGACTCTGGTTTTCCATGTTTATCATTGTTTGTTGTTTCTTTTCAGATAATTTCCCCGTAACATGTTTTCTTACTTGCCTGGTGACTTCAAACTTTATAGATTTGCTTTATAGTTCAGTTTTTAAAGAGGTCTCTTTGTAATTGAGTTGAGCTAGTAGTGGGCTAATGCTGTGGTGTTTCAGCTTCTTCTTTTTTTTTTTTTTTTTGAGACAGAGTCTCACACTGTTGCCCAGGCTGGAGTGCAATGGTGCAATCTCTGCTAACTGCAACCTCCACCTCCTGGGTTCAAGTGATTCTCCTGCCTCAGCCTCCTGAGTAGCTGGGATTACAGGGGCCTGCCACCACCCCGGGCTAATTTTTTGTATTTTTAGTAGAGACAGGGTTTCACTATATTGGCCATGCTGGTCTCGAACTCCTGACCTCGTGATCTGCCCGCCTTGGCCTCCCAAAGTGTTGGGATTACAGGCGTGAGCCACTGCTCCCAGTTGGCGTTTCAGCTTCTAAATTTTACAGCTGGCTGGGCGCAGGCTCATGCCTGTAATCCCAGCTCTTTGGGAGGCTGAGGGGGGAGGATCATTTGAGGCCAGGAGTTGGAGACCAGCCTGGGTGATGTAGCAAGACCTCATCTCTACAAAAAATTAAAAAAAAAAAAAAGAAAAGCTGGGCGTGGTGGTGCGTTCCTGTGGTCTAGCTACTTGGGATGCTGAGGTGGGAGGATTGCTGGAGCCCAGAAGGTCGAGGTTGCAGTAAATTGTGATTGCACCACTGCACTCCAGCCTGGGCAATGGAGTGAGAACCTGTCTCAAGAAAAAAAAAAAAAAGAAAACAACTAAAAACAAATAAAAATTAAAATAAATAAAATTTACACTTAAGGGGCTTCTTTAAAGTGGATACAAAACTTCATAAAAGCCTTCATCTTCACAACACTGGGCCTTTAAGGCTAAGTTCTAAGAAAGATGAGGAAACAAAGAGTTATATTGTAACTTGGTGGTTAATTTAATTTATTCCTATATTTAACCACAGTCAGCATGTAGTTGTTTTCCTCTAAGAGGCTCACTTTCCAAAACACAATTTGCAAAATATCTTACTTCTCCACAAGGCTCTTTGTGTTTAGTTACCCTTTCATTTTTGCCAGAGTTTCTCTTATGTAGTTACTTGCCTGCCTAATAGGGCCCCTGGTTGATCATTGACTCTGTAAGCCCATTTTCATGGCATGCTCTCTGAGCCACCAATAAATCCCAAAGCCCTCCTGTATTAAATATAATACAGGGCTACATTTTTATATGTGGCTGCCTTCTAATCTAGGAAGCCATAACAGACACTGATACAAAGGCTTGCAGGACAACATTACCTTTGACTGAGGAGCTCAGTACTGATTTGCTGGAGAACTCAGAGAGATACAGAGCATTGTTTTCAGGTATCTGACTTCTTTTGGAAAACATTTATCTTGGACATTAGTCTACAGTGGTTCTTATCAACTACTGTTTTCATTATTGTGGAAATTAGTCGGTTTAGGAATTTGGGCCAATGTCATGAATAATGAAAGGAGTTCACATATCTAGGGGGAAATGGTCTTTTTCTTTTTCATTTCAGTCCTTAAGAAAGCACTTGTTTACTTCTTTACCCCCTGGCAGTTTTAAGGGCTATTGTTTCTCTGCTCTAAAAATCCGTTGTATTAACACAGGACTACAAATTCACCCTCCAAATGAGATGTTAATTTATCTGATTTATGCTTGTGTCCAACTGGAGCTTTTCTGTTTGCAAATTTCCTGTAAAAAAATGTGTACTTTTTCAGTACACATAGGAGACCCTAATTTCAGTGATCCGCTTTACCTTCAAAATTATCTTGGTCAGGTGCCATGGCTCACACCTGTAATCCCAACACTTTGGGAGGCCAAGGCAGGAGGACCTGAGACCAGCCTGGGCAACTTAGCAAGACCCTGTCTCTACTAAAAATAAAAAAAATTAGCTGGGCATGGTGGCATGCAGCTGTAGTCCCAGTTACTTTTGGGAGGCTGAGGTGGGAAAATTGCTTGAACCCGGGAGGATAAGGCTGCAGTGAGCTGTGATCACACCACTGCACTGCAGCCTGGGCGAAAGAGTAAGACCTTGGCTCTATTAAAAAAAAAAAAAGTCTTGGCTGGGCACGGTGGCTCACGCCTGTAATCCCAGCACTTTGGGAGGCCGAGGCAGGCGGATCACGAGGTCAGGAGATCAAGACCATCCTGGCTAACACGGTGAAACCCCGTCTCCTCTAAAAAAAAAAAAAAAAAAAAAAAAATTAGCCAGGCGTGGTGGCGGGTGCCTGTAGTCCCAGCTACTCGGGAGGCTGAGGCAGGGGAATGGCGTGAACCCGGGAGGCGGAGCTTGCAGTGAGCCAAGATCGTGCCACCGCACTCCAGCCTGGGTGACAGAGCAAGACTCTTCCTCAAAAAAAAAAAAAAAAAAAAAGTCTTGTGTGGCATGAGGTTTTGGGGGACAAGATGTTCTTTCTTGATTTTCAGTGTTTCATAATCCCACCTCCACATTTTACTTGTGTAATGATGAGTTTATTCATTGAATGAGACCTTGGCTCTGTTAAAAAAAAAAATCTTATGTGGCATGAGGTTTTTAGGGACAAGATGTTTTTTCTTGATTTTCAATGTTTCATAATCCCATCTCCACATTTTACTTGTGTAATGATGGGTTTATTCATTGTGGGCCTCAGTTTCTAACTTGGTTTTCAGCTCTTGAAAATTCCGTCAGGCCAGGCGCAGTGGCTCATGCCTGTAATCCCAGCACTTTGGGAGGCCGAGGCAGGCGGATTATGAGGTCAAGAGATCGAGACCATCCTGGCTAACACAGTGAAACCCCGTCTCTACTAAAAAATACAAAAAATTAGCCGGGCATGGTGGCGGGCGCCTGTAGTCCCAGCTATTCAGGAGGCTGAGGCAGGAGAATGGTGTGAACCCAGGAGGAGGAGCTTGCAGTGAGCCGAGATCGTGCCACTGCACTCCACACTGCCCAGGCTGGGTGACAAAGCGAGACTGTCTCAAAAAAAAAAAAAAAAAAATCCATCAGATGCAGTGTATAGTGTCATCAACATAAAAAGCCGTTTTGCCGGGTGCTGTGGCTGACCCTTGTCATCCCAGCACTTCGGTAGGCTGAGGTGGGTGGATCACTTGAGGTCAGGAGTTCAAGACCAGCGTGGCCAACATGGCAAAGCCCCGTCTTTACTAAAAATACAAAAATCAGCTGGGTACGGTGGCACATGCCTATAGTCCCAGCTATTCAGGAGGCTGAGGCATGAGAATTGCTTGAACCCGGGAGGCAGACGTTGCAGTGAGCTGAGATCGTACTACTGCGCTCCAGCCTGAGCAACAGAATGAGACTGTGTCTCAAAAAAAAAAAAAAGTCATGTTTTACATGTTGCTATGTATAAAACCTTGATAGCCAACTGGTAAACTGGCTTCTATCCAGACTTTGTTAATACTAACATAACACATGACCATAAAAACTTTAAATTGGGTTAAAAACTATTTTGAGCAATTCTGTTCATCCAATGATGTTTGCGGGTCATTTTTGTCTTCAACAGCAAGAAAGATGTGTAAGAAATAAAGAACTAGTAAAAATGCTTACACCAAACAATTAAATCAAAGAGTAGTTTATTAAAAAAGAATCAAACAGAAACTCTAAGTACCAGTGTGTACATTGTACACATTTAAATGACTCACGAGAATGAAGTTTTTTTCAAATATATTAAGATCACACCACCTTGTTGTTTATCGAAAGATATTCAAGGAGAAAGATCTGACTCTCCAAACTGCATCTGAGATTGCCACTTTAAACAGACCTCATTTCAAACATGCAACAACGCCACTGGTAATAAAGCTTTGGAATGGGTGCTCATTCTATTATTTCACTACAAACAGCATAGAAAGCAAGAGAAGTTGGGAATTTATTCTAAAATAGAATGGAGGTTGTCATCTACAGCAGCACTCCTCACTCCTCTGTTGCCATTTTTAGCAAGTACTCCTTGTCGATCTTGAACAGTCTCCAACCCTCTTCACTGGACAGATCAGAAGCACCTCTTCTTTTATAGAAGTTGATGGATGGTTCATTCCATTCTGCTACCAAGAAGTGCATGCTGCTGCAGCGACACCTCATTGCAACCTATTATGAGAGAGTAAAACACACACTCAGTGACATTTCAGCCTGCTCTCAAGACCCAATTTTTATTCCATCATTAAAATAATCCAGTAAACTTACAAATTTGGAAACCAAAAACTAAGACATACCTGGCTTAGATTCTTCAGAATTTCTGATCCTATGCCAAAGCCTAAAAAGAAAGAGTACAATTTAAAAAGTCATTGTAAGCATTTATAACTCTGAACTCTCTTCAGACCCTCTGCTCCGAACTCAATCGTACCTCTATAATCACTCATCACGAAGAAGTCCTCAAGATACAATAACTTGCCAATCCACGGGTCATAGGTAAAATAGTACATGGCAAAACCAACAATGCTGTGTCCTGTAATAAGAGCATCACATGAGATGTGGAGAAGGAAAACATTCCATAAAAGTTGCAGCTGCAGAATCAGAGGCCTATCATAGGTTTTAAAAAACACACATGCATGTATTACAGAAACAAGTAGCCATGGCTGTCTCATGATTTTTATGTGAGTGCAGTCCAGGCCACTGCTGGATGATCTCACTGTTCTGAGAACATGTATTTGCAAAAAGCACACATCAGAACTCACTGAAGTCAGGCTACAACTGTGGACTGGCCACTCTGCAGTCTGCTGGAGCTCACACTCAGGAAGCGAGAACGCTTTCATTACTTGCCAGAGCAAAACTGCTATGGTTTTAAACTCAACACACACATTATTCACATCCTATTGGTATACTGGTATGTTGACTTGGGAATACGTCAGGTTTACACGGCAGTTCAGAATAGTAAATATTTGGAAGTTTACAAACTCTTGCTTCCTTAAAGGTCAGAACATCAGGCCAAAGTACAACGTTTAATTTCAGAACTTGCCTTCCAATTTACGCATTTTCAATTTGCTCTCCCCATTTGTTGAGTCAGAAGAAGCAGCATTGCCCAGAAACAGGTATTACGTAACATGCACATACTCTAAAAAGTACTCATCCCTTGTTTTCTGCTCATTTCTTCCAGCCTGAGGAACAGACGTCAGAAAAAAAGCAACCACCCAGACAACTTCCCCTTTTAGCTGAGCTGTCTTCTGACCAATCAACAGGGACCAGCCAAAAAAAAAAAAAAAAAAAAGGCATCTGACACCCTCTTAACTGGTGTCTACTATTCCAAATGGAGGCAAAGGTTTCAAATTAAACTTTCTAGCCATTTTATATTCCTTAGCAAACAGACAGGAAGCGAGTATCATAGTGGGTTTCTGATCTACCGTGTTTGAAGTGTGTGATAATAGGACCTTACCTCATTTATCATGATCATCTACTTTATTGTGTAAAGGATCTTTTAGTTACCTCCCCGCCCATCCATGTACACGGAAGGGCCATGTACATGGCGAAGCTAGAGACTGTAACCTGAAGATTGGGACAAATTAAAGAAAAAAATGTGATTTAACACAATTACAAAAACTGTTACGTTAGGGTCAAACAAGAACCATTTTATGAAACTGAATTACAACAAATGACATTATATCTAACTCTTCCGGGTCTCCACAGCACTTATACTTACTTAAGCAGCTTAAACACTTCCGAGTCTCCACAGCACTCTGATACTTACTTAAACAGCTCTTTTAACCTGCCCTAGTATTCTTAAGTGCAGCATATCTAATTTTTTTTTTTCCTCAGTAGTTTGAACACTTGCTGGCTATTTTTTCTGTCCAAGTTCTCAGTAACTTCGGCCTGTGTAGTCAGTGGTTCTACACAGCCGACACTACTTCTTACATAACACTTGGTCTCTCTGGCTTCTGGAAAGGGCGAGGGGTTACCTTCCGGAGTCCAGTGCTCTTTCGGCACTTCTGCAACCAGGCAGTGGTAAAAGGGGTGCTCTCCAAAACCATCTTCTAGCAGATCTGCAAGAAGGGGGAGCAGGGGCGGTAATGGCCTTGGCGAAGGTGACAGGCACCGAACGCTTGTCCCCCGTCCCGCCACTGTTGAATTACCTTTTTCAGTTAAGATTACTTGTTCTTCCATGTATTCATATTTAGCCAGCTCCTGGGGGGATGCACATAGGAGAGAAAAAAGTAGAAAACAAAATGAGGCTCCGGCCCGGCCAGCTCAGGGGAACGGAATGGGGCGGGCGGGCGGGGTGGCGGCCGAGCCGGGGATGGGCGCAGAAAGGGGAACAGGCTGGGCTCTCACACCGGCCGAGACCTCAAGACGTGAATCACCCCACTCTGGGAAACGGAGCCACCTCCACCCCACGCCCCGGGAGGAGCTCTGGCTCTCCGCTACCTTGATCAGCCGCAGTATGTCACTGCAGTCGGCGGCAGTGGCTGGGCGGATCACGAATTTAGCCATTTTCGTCTTTTGCTTTTCTTCCCTTTGCGGACCAGGCCCCTGTACTTGAACAGTAGGAGGAGGTGGTTCCTCATTCGTCTCCCGGGAGCGTCCTCTTCTCAGTCAGGCTGGCACCATGACCCAAGGAACCTCGGCGAGTGACGGATAAACACCAGTCGGCCCGCGACTAAGAGCTGCGCATTTGAACATTGGCCCGGCTCGGCTTTTAAGCGCAAAGAAGCCCCGCCTCGGGCCGTGAGGTGGGACCTCTCATCCAATGAGGCCGCGGCCCCGGGGCGCATCGTTTCCTCTCCCAGGCACCACCCTCTCTTCCGGGCGCCCGTGTGAACCCGGAGGACAAAAGTGGGGGCAGCGGGGCGCGCTGTGGGATTCGCTAGCGGCGCCCTCTAGTGGCGTTTCGCGGAGCCTTGGCGGAAACCCTACTGGGAGCCGGTGTGTCCCCCAGTAACATTTGCAAATGAAAGAAGGTAATTCCCTCTGCAGCCCCCCGACAAGTGACCTTGCTCTTTTCTCCTTGGCCAGTGGGAAGCAAACTCAGGAGCTCTGGCCTTAGGAGATGGGAGGAAGACTAAAGCAGCAGTTCTCAAAGTGTGATCCGGGAGACCCTGCAGATCCCAAGATCCTTTCTAGAGTTTCGGTGGGAGAACTAGTTTTAGAATTATAGACGTCATTTGCCTTTTAAACTCACAATGGAATTTTCCAGAGGCGACCTGATGTCTAATGATGACACTGCTCTTATGACCAAAGGAATGTGAGCTCGTATATTCTTTTAGAATTTCCTAAGGTAGGTTATTTGGATTTCCCAATAATCTTTTTTCTTTATACTTGTAGTTTTTAGAGTTGACGGCATATTTTTTTCTTACTTTTCTAACCTTCTTATACCTTCTTAAATCTCTAATCTTCCTTGACACTTGATCTTGACACTTTTCCTTCTGCCCGAGGTACATTCTTCATAATTTCCTTTAGTAAAGATCTGCTTTTGCCAAACGTTCTCAGTTTTGCTTATCTGAACGTGTCTTTAATTCATCTTATAATTCTTTTTTTAGACTAGTCAAGTGCAGTAGTCAGAGTAAAATAAGGAGTTTGATGTGTAACTGATTGTGAACAATCAACTGAGATAACTCACTACCTTTGGACCAGCCCATCTTAAAATTCTTGAAGGGTTTATTTCATAGTTTATAGATTTTGAGGTTCAGAAGTTTTCCTCTTTCAGCACATTGATGGTATCTGTCTTCTGACTTCGGTTGCTGTTGAAAGTTGTTGTAATCCCTACTTGATTCATCTTCTGTGCTTCATTTCCTTTAACTTTTTTTTGAAATAATTATACATTTACAGAATATGTGATGATGTCATTGCTCTGGTGACTAAAAGAATATGTGCTTGTGTATTACTGTTTTTTACAATTTTCGAAGGTAAGGTCTTTGGATTCTTTGATAAGTTTTTTTTTTTTTTTTTTTTTTTTTTTTTTTTTTTTTTTGGTAGAGATAGGGCCTCACCATCTTGCCCAGGCTGGTCTCGAACTCCTGGGCTCAAGTGCTCCTCCCACCTCGGCCTCCCAAAGTGCTGGGATTACAGGCGTGAGCCACCGTGCCCGGCCAAAACAATCACTATTCTATTAAACTAAGCAACCCAAACAGAAGATGGCTTTGGTTTTGCTTTAGCTACGCAGCTGTCACTAGCGCTTAGTCATAGCGGTCTAATTTACTGTTACCAGGAAATGTATAACAAGCTCTCCTAAGTCCTGACATTTTAGACAGAAGCAGAGGAGGAAAAGGCCTTCTGGTCATCCATGAGGTCTAGCCAACACTATCAGGAAAGACTAGTAGCTGTAATTTGGCAGTTGAGAATCAGTGGTTTTTAAAGATCTTTGAGAAAGACCTTTGAGTTTCATAATCTCCCAGGGTGACTCAGGATCCGTGGAATCCCCCTAGGGCAGGAAGGGTAACAGAGAATCTACTTCTGCTTTCTTTTCTACATACAGGATATTGCTAGCAAAGGCAGAGAATCACTTGTTGAATGTGAGGGGTGGTCTTTTGGGGATAGTCTGATCCCTCCTTCTACAGAGGCAGGTGGATCACGAGGTCAGGAGTTCGAGACCAACCTGGCCAACATGGTAAAACGCCGTGTCTACTAAAAATAATTTAAAAAAAAATTGGGCATGGTGACGAGTGCCTGTAATCCCAGCTACTCAGGAGGCGGAGGCAGGAGATTCGTTTGAACCCAGGAGGCGGAGGTTGCAGTGAGCCGAGATGGCGCCATTGCACTCCAGCCTGGGCAACAGGGCAAGACTCCGTCTCAAAAAAAAAAAAAAGAAAAAACATTGTTTCATGATCTTTTGCTTTGCTTTGTCCTTATGACAAGAAGAACCTATTCTGAAAAACAGATGGTGGCCAGGTGTGGTGTCTCATGCCTGTAAACCCAGCACTTTGGGAGGCTGAGGTGGATGAATCGCTTGAGCCCAGGAGTTTGAGACCATCCTGGGTAACATAGGGAAACTCCGTCTGTACAAAAAAAATACAAGAATTAGCTGGGTGTGGTGGCGTGTGCCTGTATCCCAGCTATTATACTTGGGAGGCTGAGGTGGGAGGATCACTTGAGCCCAGGAGGTCGAGGCTGCAGTGAGCCATGATTGCGCCACTGCACTCCAGCCTGGGTGACAGAGCGAGACCCTCTCTCAAAAAAACCGAAACAAAACAGACGGCTAAAAAAGCCCACTGTGACTGTGATTGTGGACATGAAGAAGCCTAGAACCCTAAGAAGTTTGAATGTTTTTCATGGCAGTGAATCACATTATGCTTTTCCATTGTCATGAATGGATAGATGCAACCAACATTACATATATATATATATATTATATATATATATATATATATATTTTTTTTTTTTTTTAAACAGAGTCTCACTCTATTGCCCAGGCTGGAGTGCAATGGCACAATCTCGGCTCACTGCAACCTCCGCCTCCTGGGTTCAAGTGATTCTCCTGCCTCAGCCTCCCACCTGCCACCACGCCCAGCTAATTTTATACTTTTGGTAGAGACGGGGTTTCACCATGTGGGCCAGGCTGGTCTTGAACTCCTGACTTCAGGTGATTCACCCGCTTTGGCCTCCCAAAGTGCTGGGATTGCAGGTGTGAGCCACCACGTTCAGCCATATATATATACACACACATACATATATATACACATATATAGGTATATATATATACATATATATACACATATATATGTGTGTATATATACGTATATATACAAGTATATATATATAACACAAAAATTATTATTTTTTGAGACGGAGTTTTGCTCTTGTTGCCCAGGCTGGAGTGCAATGGTGTGATCTCAGCTCACTGTAGCCTCCACCTCCTAGGTTCAAGCAATTCTCCTGCCTCAGCTTCCTGAGTAGCTGGGATTGCAGGCATGTGCCACCACGCCCTGCTAATTTTGTATTTTTAGTAGAGGTGGGGTTTCTCCATGTTGGTCAGGCTGGTCTCAAACTCCTGACCTCAGGTGATCCGCCCGCCTCGGTCTCCCAAAGTGCTGGGATTACAGATGTGAACCACTGCGCCTGGCCTATTTTTTTTTTTTTTTTTAAGAGACAGGGTCTTGCTCTGTCGCCCAGGCAGGAGTGCAGTGGCATGATTATAGCTCACTGCAGCCTTGAACTCCTGGGTTTAAGCGATCCTCCCACCTCAACCTCCTGAGTAACTCGGACCACAGGTATGTGCCACCATGCCCGGCTAATCTTTAAAATTTTTTGTAGAGATGGGAGTCTTTCTTTTCTTTCTTTCTTTCTTTTTTTGAGACAGTCTTTCTCTGTCACCCAGGCAAGCTCTACCTCCCAGGGTCAAGGGACTCTCCCACCTCAGCCTCCCAAGTAGCTAGGATTATAGGTGTGTGCCACAATACCTGGCTAATGAGATACGAGTCCTTCTGTGTTGCCCAGACTGGTTTTGAACTCCTGGCTTCAAGGGATTCTCACGCCTTAGCCTCCCAAAGTGCTGGGATTACAGGCATGAGAAATCTCATGTCCAGCATGGAATTTATATTTAAAATGGCATATACAGCTCCTGAACAGCAGGGGAAAAAATGGCGTGAGAAAAGGGATTAACTGTCTAGCATTTGGAAAACTTTTATTTGGTTAGTGAGTCGGCAGATGAACACGTCCTTACTGAGTCTTGTGCTAGGTACTTGGAGGTTTTAAAGGATGACCAAGTTTTGAAACCAGCCCTCAGGGTATACACATTACTTTTGGAGATGTGTGTGTGTGGTTTTTACAGCAGAATTTAATCTTTGTGAGAAAGAGAATCCCTGTAACTGAGGAGGACTGAGTAGGGGAAGAGTACTGGGAAGGGAATCAGCCAAGGCATTGTCTTAGGTGGTTTGCTTTAATTGTCTCATTTGATTCTTACAACTATTTTTTTTTTTTTGAGACGGAGTCTCGCTCTGTTGCCCAGGCTGGAGTGCAGTGGCATGATCTCAGCTCACTGCAACCTCTGCCTCCTGGGTTCAAGTGATTCTCCTGCCTCAGCCTCCCAAGCACCTGGGATTACAGGAATGAGCCACCACACCCAGCTAATTTTTGTATTTTTAGTAGAGATGGGGTTTCACCATATTGGCCAAGGTGGTATTGAACTCCTGACCTCAAGTGATCCACCAGCCTCGGCCTGCCAAAGTGCTAGGATTACAGGCGTCAGCCACCATGCCCAGCCTAAATTTTTTTTTTTTTTTTGAGAGGGAGTGTTGCTTTGTCACCCATGCTGAAGTGCAGTGGTGTGATCTTGGCTTACTGCAACCTCCGCCCTCTGGGTTCAAGTGATTCTCCTGCCTCACCCTCCTGAGTAGCTGGGATTACAGGCATGTGCCACCACACCCAGCTAATTATTTTTTTATTTTTTATTTTTTAGACAGTTTCACTCTTGTTGCCCAGGCTGGAGTGTAATGGCGCAATCTCGGCTCACCGTAACCTCCGCCTCCCAGGTTCGGGCAATTCTCCTGCCTCAGCCTCCCAAGTAACTGGGATTACAGGCATGTGCCACCACGCCCGGCTAATTTTGCATTCTTAGTAGAGACGGGCATTCTCCATGTCAGTCAGGCTAGTCTCAAACTCCCGACCTCAGGTGATCCACCTGCCTCGGCCTCTGAATGTGCTGGGATTACAGGTGTGAGCCACCGCACCCGGCCAATTTTTTTTTCTTTAAAATTTTAGTAGAGACGGGGTTTCGTCCTGTTGGCCAGGCTGATCTCGAACTCCTGACCTCAGGGGATCCTCCTGCCTCGGCCTCCCAAAGTGCTAGGATAACAGGCGTGAGCCACCACACCAGGCCCTATTTTTTTTTTAAACAGGGTCTTGCTCTGTTGCCCAAGCTGGAGGGCAATAATGCAAGCATGGCTCACTGCAACCACAACTCCTGGACTCAAGCAATCCTCCCATCTCAACCTCCCGAGTGGCTAGGACCACAGGCACATGCCGCCATGCCTGGCTAATCTTTAAAATTTTTTTGTAGGGATGGGATCTTGCTAAGTTGCCTAGGCTAGCCTCGAACTCCTGGCTTCAAGCACTCCTCCTGCCTCAGCCTCCCAAAGTGCTGGGATGACAGGTGTGAGCTGCCATGCCTGGCCGTTACAACTGTCTTGTGAAGTAAGTAATAGCACTGTCTTTACAGCTGGCAAAACCTGAGGCTCAACAGGGGTTACAAAATTGTTAAAGCTGGGACATGATAGAGTTATGAATGTTTATGATTTAAGACTGGCTTTGTTGGACCAAGGGCCACTGCTCTCTACCATTCTACCATGAACACTTTTTTTTTTTTTGACATAGTCTCATTCTGTCACCCAGGCTGGAGTGCAGTGGTGCGATCTTGGCTCACTGCAACCTCCGCTTCCCAGGTTCAAGCGATTCTCGTGCCTCAGCCTCCCAAGTAGCTGGATTACAGGCATGTGCCACCAGGCCCGGTTAATTTTTGTATTTTTAGTAGAGATGGGGTTTCACCATGTTGGCCCGGCTGGTCTCCAACTCCTGACCTCATGTGATCTGCCTGCCTCGGCCTCCTAAAGTGCTGGGATTACAGGCGTGAGCTACCGCGCCTGGCCCTATTTTCATTTTTTTTTTTTTTTTGGATATATACCCAGAAGTGGGATTGCTGGATCATGTTACTTAAATTTTTAACTTTTTGAGGAATCTCCCTGCTGTTTTCCATAGCAGCCGCACTGTTTTACATTCCCAACAGTGCATAAAGGTTCCAATTTCTCTACATCTACACCAGCAGTTGTCATTTTGTTTTCTGGTTATTTTTATTTTTTATTATTTTTTTTCAAGTGACAGGGTCTTGGTTTGTCATCCAGGCTAGATGGAGTGCAGTGGCATGATCCTAGCTCATTGAACCCTGAACTCCAGGGCTCAGGCAATCCTCCCACTTCAGCCTCCCAAAGCACTGGAATTACAGGTGTGAGCTACCATGCCTGGCCTTTCTTTAATTTAAAAAAATTTAAAAGTATTTTTATGTAGAGATGGGGGTCTCACTATCTTGGCCAGGCTGGTCTTGAACTCCTAGGCTCAAGTAATCCTCCTACATAGGCCTCCCAAAGTGTTGAGATTACAGGCGTGAGCCACCACACCTGGCCACCTTTCAAAAAATAGTGGCAGTTAAAATAGATGTGAGGTGATATTGTGGTTTTAATTTGCATTTCTCTGATGATTAGTGATGCTGAATGTCTTTTATATGCTTGTTGTCCGTTTATACATTTTCTTTGGAGATCTGTCTATTTAAGTCTTTCATCCATTTTTTTTTTCTTTTTGGAGACAGGGTCTTGCTCTGTCTGGAGTGCAGTGGTGCGATCTTGGCTCACTGCAGCCTCTGCCTCCCAGGTACAAGCAATTCTTCTACCTCTGCCTCCCAATTAGCTAGGATTATAGGTGCATGCCACAATGCCTGGCTAACTTTTTGTATTTTTTAAAAAGAAGGGGGTTTAGCTATGTTGGCCAGGCTGGTCTCAAACTTCTGGCCTCAAGTGATCCACCTGCCTCGGCCTCCCAAAGTGCTGGGATTATAGGTGTGAGCCACTGTGCCCAGCCTCCTTCATCCATTTTTAAATTGTGTTATTTGTTGTTTTGGGTGCTTTTTTTTTTTTTTTTTTTTGGAGATGGAGTCTAGCTCTGTTGCCCAGGCTGGAGTGCAGTGGTGCGATCTTAGCTCACTGCAACCTCTGCCTCTCAGGCTCAAGCAATTCTCCTGCCGCAGCCTCCTGAGTAGCCAGGATTATAGGCGCATGCCACCATGCCTGGCTAGTTTTTGTATTTTAGTAGAGATGGGGTTTCACCTTGTTGGCCAGCCTGGTCTTGAACTCCTGACCTCAGGTGATCCACCTGCCTCGGCCTCCCAAAGTGCTGGGATTACAGGCGTGAGCCACCGCTTCTGGCATAGCCAAAACTTATTAAGGCCTGTTTCCTACCAAGCATTGTACTTGGGGAGTGCCAAAATAAATATGGCATAGTACCTGCCCTCTGGGGACTCACAGTTCAATATTACAAGCCCTTAAGGTACTGGTTCTGGTAAGAAAGGATCCAGCCTTCTGGAGAAAAAGGACAGGTACAATTAGAACTGAGGGCAGATACACGATTCGTAACCCATTCTGTGTGACCTACCTCCTCCGGGCAGCCCTTCCTCTCTCCCCTCCTGAGACTGTGTCTAAAAGGAAGACTACTGCCTATCACTCAGCTCAGAGATCAAGCCTTTAACTCCTTATAAATACTTGGGATATCTGAAAAGTGCAGTCAACCATCCTTAGGCCTCCTAAAGTGTCAGCTCTTGGTGGGCGCCATGGCTCACACCTGTAATCCCAGCATTTTGGGAGGTCGAGTTGGGTGGATTGCTTGAGCCCAGGAGTTTGAGACCAGCCTGGTCAACATGGCAAAACCCCACCTCTACAAAAAACACAAAAATTAGCTGGACATGGTGGTACATATCTGTAGTCCCAGCTACTTGGGAGGCTGAGGTAGGAGGATCACATGACCCCTAGAACTTAGCTTCTGAAATGCCACTCCTGCACATCTTGGGTTTGGGTTTACTCCTTTTTTTTTTTTTTTTTTTTTTTTTTGAGTCAGGGTCTCACTCTGTCTCCAAGGCTGGAGTGCAGAGGTGCAATCATAGCTCGCTGCAGCCTTGAACTCCTGGACTCAAACAATCTTCTCAACTCAGCCTCCCATGTAGCTGAGACTGTAAGTATGTGCCACCTGGCTGGGCGCAGTGGCTCACACCTGTAATCCCAGCACTTTAAGAGGCTGAGGCGGGCAGATCACAAGGTCAAGAGATGGAGACCATCCTGGCCAACATGGTGAAACCCCATCTCTACTAAAAACACAAAAATTAGCCAGGCGTGATGGTGCACACCTGTCGTCCCAGCTACTTGGGAGGCTGAGGCAGGAGAAGAGCTTGAACCTGGGAGGTGGAGGTTGTAGTGAGCCAAGACTATGCCACTACACTCCAGCCTGGAGACAGAGCGAGAGTTCGTCTCAAAAAAAAAGAAAAAGTATCTGCCACCATACCCAGCTAATATTTTACTTTTTGAAGAGATAGGGTCTCACTATGTTGCCCAAGCTGGTCTCAAATTCCTGGGCTCAAGCGTTCCTCCCACCTTGGCCTCCAAAAGTGCTGGGATTACAGGTGTGGGCCACCATGCCTGGTCCACGTCTTGCGTTTATATACCTAGATTGTCCTCAGGTTTATGATTCTACACCTGATCTTATTAGAATTCCGTTGAATTTGTCTTTAATTCTCCATTTTCTCTTTGAATTCTGACCCTATCCCACAAGGATTTTTTTTCCTCCCTAATCCCTCTCCTCTCAGCCTCTTTTCAGAATCATCTGCAAACCAGTTCCATAAATGGCTTTTATTTGGCCAAGAGGCTCATATAGTCTGAGCAACAGAAAGTAAAGATAATGAATATAGAATTTTTTCTGATGCACTCTATCTTCAATTCTTTGAAAATAATCAGGCCGGGTGCAGTGGCTCATGCCTGTAATCCCAGCACTTTGGGAGGCTAAGTTGGGCAGATCACTTAAGGCCAGGGGTTTGAGACCAGCCTGGCCAACATGGTGAAAACTCGTCTTCACCAAAAATACAAAAATTAGCCAGGCATGGTGGCGCATCCCTGTAATCTCACCTACTTGGGAGGCTGAGGCACAAGAATTGCTTGAAGCCAGGAGGTGGAGGTTGCAGTGAGCTGAGATCGTGCCACTGCACTCCAGCCTGGGTGATGGAACAATTGAGAATAAAAAAAAAAAAAAAAGAAAGAAAGAATCATTAAAGGGGGGAGGGGACTAAAACAAACAAAATAATAAGTAAAGCCAATATACTAATTCAATTCCATTTAATTCATTTATTGAGCATCTACTATATGTCAGGTATTATGCTGGGTCCTGACACTACAAAGATCAAACAGGGAGAGTTTCTGACTTCTGAGAATTTGCCACCTAGAGAGAAAAAAAAACAGAAATGTAATCAAATACATTGTGATAACTGCTTCAGTGAATAATGTGCCACATGATCTACAGGAAGCAGTAAACAATTAATTCTGCCAGGATGGAGTGCTAGCGAAGTCTTGGTGACGAGGCAGCATAGTGGCCTGGAAAGCTACAGAGAGGAAGTGACATTTGTGTAAAGAGAAATGAAACTAAATTAGAGAAAAAGAAACTAAGTTATCCAAATTGAATTTTCTAGTTTCATACTAAACCTTTTATAAGGGGCTAATAAAATTTCCAAAAAATTAAAGGAAAACATGTTTATTTGTCTTTCTGTCTCACTTTATCATATATCTAAATCCAAATTAAAATGTCATTTTAATTACAGGCACTCATGAAAGGTGGCCGGGTACCACTGTATCAATGGCCCAGTTGCCCATCTCCTGGCGAGAGATTTCCCTAAGTGACCTGGAAGTGTCACTATTACCACCGCCCCACATGAATCTTGTGCTGGAGGCGACTAGAGCTGTGTGTCCCTCAGCAGAAGCAGGTGGCATAAGCAAGAGTTCCATTTTGGTTTCATTTTCAGAGGACCCCAATTGCGCAGTCTGCAAGAAATAATGTGCCTCTCAGGATGGTTCCAAGCTGAGCCCAAATCACTGAGGGAGATTCACTGCTTGCTAACATGAACTTTATTCCTGGATAAACAAGTCCCAAACCGTCTTGTCCATATGCCACCACGGTCAGGTCAAAACACACATTATCAGCTGGGTGCGGTGGCTCACGCTTGTAATCCCAGCACTTCGGGAGGCCGAGGTGGGCGGATCACTTGAGGTCAGGAGTTGGAGATCAGCCTGGCCAACATGGTGAAACCCCGTCTCTACTAAAAATACAAAAATTAGCCGGGCGTGGTGGTACGTGTCTGTAGTCCCAGGTACTCAGAAGGCTGAAGACATGAGAATCGCTTGAACCCAGGGGGCGGAGGTTGCTGAGCTGAGATCATGCCACTGCACTCGAGCCTGGACAACAGAGTGAGATCCTATGCCAAAAACAAACAATAAAAACCAACAACAAAAAAGTGCTTTAACAAGTGCGACTCTGTGAGAGACACTCTGCTAGATGCTGGGGCCATAAGAGTGAAAATAATAGTCTCTGCCCCAGAGGGGCTCAGGTCTGGCTCCTTGATACATTTCACAGATGAGGAAACTGAGGCACTGAACTTTCTGGTTTCTTTCTCTGGGCTGGTTATGCTGTACTCCCTTCACTGAGTATTTTCCTCCCTTCATGAATTTTCAAGAGTTTCACTCTTGTTGCCCAGGCTGGAGTGCAATGGCGTGATCTCGGCTCACTGCAACCTCCAACTCCCAGGTTCAAGCGATTCTCCTGCCTCAGCCTCCCGAGTAGCTGGGATTACAGGTGCCCGCCACAATGCCTGGCTAACTTTTTGTATTTTTTGTACAGACAGGGTTTCACCATGTTGGCAGGTTTGTCTCCAACTCCCGACCTCAGGTGATCCACCTACCTTGGCCTCCCAAAGTGCTGGGATTACAGGCGTGAGCCACCGCGCCCAGCTGCACAAAAGTTTTTAAGTTTGATGTAGACCCACTTGTCTATTTTTTGCTTTTGTTTCCTGCCAAGAGAGAATCTTACATCATGTGACATAATCATGGGAGTAACATCCTATCACTTATACCATATCGGTCAGAATCAAGTCACAGGTCCTGTCACCACTCGAGGGGAAGGTATCACACAAAGGCATGAACACCAGGAGGCAGGATCATGAAGGCCACCATGGAGTCTGTCAGCCACACATTTATTTATTTATTTATTTATTTATTTATTTATTTATTTATTTTTTCCTGGCTCCCAGAACTGATGCCAAACATTTAAAGGGCAGTAAAAGCCTACTTTTAATTCAACCTTTAACCAATACTTCTTTTCTTTTTGAGACAGGGCTCTCGCTCTGTCGCCCAGGCTGGAGTTCAGTGACGCGGATCTCAGCTCACTGCAACCTCTGCCTCCCGGGTTCAAGCAAGTCTCCTGCCTCAGCCTCCTGAGTACCTGGGCTGAGACTACAGGCATGCGCTACCACACCTGGATAATTTTTGTATTTTTTGGTAGAGACAGGATTTCTTTTTTTTTTTTTTTTTTGAGATGGAGTTTCGCTCTTGTTGCCCAGGCTGGAGTGCAGTGGCGTGATCTTGGCTCACTGCAACCTCCACCTCCCAGGTTCCAGCGATTCTCCTGCCTCAGCTGCCTGAGTAGCTGGGATTACAGGCACCTGCCACCACGCCCGGCTAATTTTTTGTATTTTTAGTAGAGGTGGGGTTTCACCATGTTGGCCAGGCTGGTCGCACACTCCTGACCTCAGGTGATATACCTGCTTTGGCCTCCCAGAGTGCTGGGATTACAGGCGTGAGCCACCGTACCCGGCTGAGACAGGATTTCTCTGTGTTGGCCAGGATGTTCTCAAACTCCTGGCCTCACGTGATCCGCCCATCTTGGCCCCCAAAAATGCTGGGATTACAGGCCTGAGCCACCACGTCTGGCACAGCCAAAACTTATTAAGGTCTGTTTCCTACCAAGCATTGTGCTTGGGGAGTGCCAAAATAAATATGGCATAGTACCTGCCCTCTGGGGACTCACAGTTCAATATTACAAGCCCTTAAGGTACTGGTTCTGGTAGGAAAGGATCCAGCCTTCTGGAGAAAAAGGACAGGTACAATTAGAACTGAGGGCAGATACATGATTTGTAACCCATTCTGTGTGACCTACCTCCTCCGGGCAGCCCTTCCTCTCTCCCCTCCTGAGACTGTGTCTAAAAGGAAGACTACTGCCTATCACTCAGCTCAGAGATCAAACCTTTAACTCCTTATAAATACTTAGGATATCTGAAAAGTGCAGTCAACCATCCTTAGGCCTCCTAAAGTATCAACTTTTGAGTGGGCGCCATGGCTCACGCCTTTAATCCCAGCACTTTGGGAGGCCCAGGTTGGTGGATCACTTGAGGTCAGTTGGAGACAAGCCTGGCCAACATGGCGAAACCCTGTAACCACTATAAACACAAAAATTAGCTGGGTGTAGTGGTGCATACCTGTAATCCCAGCTACTAGGGAGGCTGATAATCACTTCAACCTGGGAGGAGGAGCTTGCAGTGAGCCGAGACCATGGCTCTCCAGCCTGGGTGACAGAGCGAGACTCCATCTCAAAAAAAAAAAAAAAAAAAAAAACCCACCAAAATTTAGCTGAGCATGGTAGCAGGCACCTGTAATTCTAGCTACTCGGGAGGCTGAGGCAGGAGAATTGCTTGAACCCAGCAGGTGGAGGTTGCAGTCAGCCGAGATCTTGCCACTGCACTCCAGCCTAGGAGACTCCATCTCAAAACAACAACAACAACAACAAACAAGTATCAGCTCTTTGAATCTAGGTATAGAGGTTACTCAGTAAGAAGATCATAGTAAATAATTGCCTGTTAGTGCACAAAGCATAAGACACCCCCTCTTTTCTCTGTGGCCTCTGGGTACATGCAGTAGATTTTAAAGTTCAAAATCCAGCTTACCAACCTTTGTACCATTTGTCAACTGGCAACTAAATGTTAACAGTGAATCCAGGAAAATAGAGGATGCTTCAAAGAAGGAAACGCGAGAGTACCCTGCACCCAAACAGCCTCTGGCCTGAGGAACAAGGAACAGACCAATGTTCTGGCCCTGGTGCAAGTGAATGTTTGGCATAGTCTGCTGGCAACAACAGAAGTTATTACCTGAAAACTCATTCTGAAGGTGGAGGATGTTGGGGTGAGTCATTCCTTTTGGGAGGATGATGGAGGTAGGGGAAGGGTGCAAGAAGATCAAAAGGGGACCCAGAGCCATAGGACTGAGAGAAGTGTAGTACATTTTAGGGTCTCCTTATGAGATTAATTATAGGAGGGTACTACAGCAGAGGGAAAACAAAATATGCAACCAGCATTTCTTCCATTTCTTTGTGCCTATTGTGAGTGGTATTCCTTGTTTGGCATTTTACAAATGTGATTTCATTTAGTTTTTTTTTTTTTTTTTTTTTTTTTTTGAGATGGAGTCTCGCTCTGTTGCCCAGGCTAGAGTGCAGTGGCACGATCTCGGCTCACTGCAACCTCCGCCTCCCAGGTTCAAGCGATTCTCCTGCTTCAGCTTCCTGAGTAGCTGGGATTACAGGCGCGCACCACCACAGCTGGCTGATTTTTGTATTTTTAGTAGAGACGGGGTTTCACCAAGTTGGCCAGTATGGTCTCGAACTGCTGACCCCAAGTGATCCTCCCGCCTCGGTGTCCCAAAGTGCTGGGATTACAGGTGTGAGCCACCGCGCCCGGCCCTGGCCTCATTTAATCTTAATTACCATGTGTTGTTACTTATTTTTTATGTGTGTCCTGCTTTCTTATCTGGAGTCTATTAAATTAGAAAATATTTGTTGTACTCCAAAAAGGAGAGATTAATTGTACATTTCCATTCTAGAGCGTCAGGGAAAACTAGGAATAAAACCAGCCGTTTAAATAAAACTGGTCTGGATGAATATGATCTAGAAGTATAAGGGTTTTCTTCAAAGCCTTACATCCTCTATTGTTGAGATTTCTGTCATCTTAGAAGCATAGAAAGTAATTCTGTATTCCACATTCCTCATCTAAAAGCTAAGAAAACTGAAGCCCAGAGAAGGTAAAGTAATTGTCCCAGGTCACCCAGCTAGAAAGTGGCAGATAGTTGACTAGAAACCTCATTAAAAAGGCCAGGCGCAGTGGCTCATGCCTATAATCCCAGCACTGTGGGAGACCGAGGCGGACGAATCACCCGAGGTCGGGAGTTCGAGACCAGGCTGACCAACATGGAAAAACCCCGTCTCTACTAAAAATACAAAAAATTAGCCGGACATAGTGGCACATGCCTGTAATCCCAGCTACTTAGGAGGCTGAGGTAGGAGAATCGCTTGAACCCGGGAGGTGGAGGTTGCGGTGAGCCGAGATCGCGCCATTGCACTCCAGCCTGGGCAATAGGATCGGAACTCCGTCTCAAAAAAAAAAAAAGAAAAGAAAAGAAAAGAAAAGAAAAGAAAAAAGAAACCTCATTAAAAAAGAAAGAGAGTCAGAAATACAGCTGAGATTTACTGACTTTTTTTTTTTTTTGAGATGGAGTCTTGCTCTGTCCGCCAGGCTGGAGTGTGGTGGCGCGATCTCAGCTCACTGCAACCTCTGTCTCCCGGGTTCAAGCAATTCTCCTGCCTCAGCCTCCTTAGTAGCTGGGATTACAGGCACGTGCCACCATCCCCAGGTAATTTTTTGTGTGTTTAGTAGAGATGGGTTTTCGCCATGTTGGCCAGGCTGGTCCCAAACTCCTGACCTCAAGTGATCTGCCTGCCTCTGCCTGCCAAAGTGCTGGGATTACAGGCGTGAGCCACCATGCCTGGCTGGTTTACTGACTTTGAAGTCAAGAAATCTTTTACTGTACTACTGTGCAATTATGACCCTCATAGATTTTCTGGCAGAAATGGTAAATAAAAAAAACAGACGTGGCCGGGTGCGGTGGCTCACGCCTGTAGTCCCAGCACTTTGGGAGGCGAGGTGGGCAGATCATGAGGTCAGGAGTTCAAGACCAATATAGTGCCAACATAGTGAAATCCCATCTCTACTAAAAATACAAAAAATTAGCCGGGCATGGTGGCGGCGCCTGTAATCCCAGCTACTCGGGAGGCTGAGGCAGGAGAATGGCTTGAACCCAGGAGGCAGAGGTTGCAGTGAGCTGAGATCGCGCCATTGCACTCCAGCCTGGGCGACAGAGCAAGACTCCGTCTCAAAAAAACAAAACAAAACAAAACAAAACAAAACAAAACAAAAAGAGATCGAGACCATCATGGCCAACATGGTGAAACCCCATCTCTACTAAAAATACAAAAAAAATTAGCTGGGTGTCGTAGCATGCTCCTGTAGTCCCAGCTACTCGGGAGGCTGAGGCGGGAGAATCGCTTGAACCCAGGAGGCGGAGGTTGCAGTGAGCCGAGATCGCGCCACTGCACTCCAGCTTGGGCGACAAAGCGAGACTCCGTCTCAAAAAAAAAATTTGTTCTCTCTAAAAAAACAGATGTCATATGAAATATTCTCCTAGGGCTGGAACTTGGGCAAAAATCTGTAAACAAAACACTTGAGTCCACTTCTTACAAATTAAGTTTCACTAGCACACGTCTTGTTTTAATTACCACAGGGAGTGCTCTTGACAGTTCCAGTCTCCTCAACCTCTTCCTCTTCGTAAGCCTTTCTCCTCTGCTTTGCATCCCTGTCCCCAATCACAAGAATAGGACTGATAAGTAGAGCTCTGCAATATGGGTTATGAACACCTGCAGTTTAAGACAAGTAAACAATTGATGGCAGCAGTGGCCTGTCTGGAGCGGCTACTGTGAAGATGCCAGCTGTAGTGTGGGAGGCACGGTGGGGGCTGCGTGCTCCGTGGAGCTGGCCGGAGCCCCACCCTCTTCTGAGTTGGCCGGGTGGGAGCCCCACGCTTTCCGGCACAGCTGCAACCACCCAGCCACAGCTGCAGACCTGGACATCCCTGTGCTCTCGGGGGCTGGGAAGACCCCCTGACCCGCAGGCTTGGAAGTGCCTGCTCCTGCTGCCTGGCCTCTCCTTGCTCCTGGAGCCCACTCTGGGGTGGAGCAAAGTTGTGGCTGAGGCCAAGCGCTGTCTAGACCCAGCTGGGTGTGCGTGCGCCTGGGGCGCCGCTGACATGCCAGCCCCCTGCCACCCTGGCCCCCTCTAGGCTTTGGGCACTGAGAAGCACAGGAGAGAGGCTGGCGGCGTGGGGTGGGGGAGCTGAGGGCACTCGGTGCGGGCTGCCGGTACTCCTCTGCAGGAACAGCCTGGGCGCTGTGGATGACATGATTGATGGTGGCAGGAGGCAGACAGGCTCCTGGGCGGAAAGAGGTGGGTCCCCGGTAAAGCCCCACCATCAAGCCAGGGAGGCCTGAAGCCCAGGGGCTAGGCTGTCAGTCCCGGGTGAAGTCTGTGGCCCGGAGTGAGAACTTATGGTGATTTTTCCGGGTCAGCCCATGGCCACCCATGGGCCAATCAGCATGCACTTCCTCCCTTCTGAGCCTAGCCAGACTCACACAGACGCTGGGACTACCAGCTGTGGGAAGGAGCTACCCAATTCAGGTCTCCTCGACTCATCAAGACAACCTGCCTGAAGAAGGGAGCTACCCACTCTGGGTCTCTTCTCCACTGAGAGCTGGACACTTACTGGGACAACCTGCCTGCGGAAAGGAGCTACCCACTTCAAGTTTCCCGAGAGCTGTTCTGTCACTCGATAAGGCTCCTCTCCGCCTTGCTCACCCTCTAGTTGTCCGCGTACCTCATTCTTCCTGGATGTGGGACGAGAACTCAGGACCCACTGAATGGCGGGACTGAAAGAGCAGTAACACAAACAGGGCTGAAACACGCCCTCCTCCCGTCCCCACACCCCCGCGACTTGCCATGTTGCGGGTGATGTGAAGGAGAGAAGTGCTGTGGCCCTTCAGGGAGCACAGACCTAGGGGCTCCCTGAGCCAGGGCTGTGACACCCTCTTTGGGGCTCTGCGGTTTCTGGTATCTTCAAACTTCCGGGCACCACTGCATTCCCCTTGTCCAGACACAGGTGCCCACAGCAGAAGCCGCTTGTGGTTCATCAGATCCAGCTGCAGACTTGCATAGAACCGGCACCTTTGCCGGCGCCTGGAGCTGCCTGCCCAGCTGCAGCAGCTGGTGTGTCCGGCTCTGCGCAGTGGCCAGACCCTGCGTTCGCTCGCCTGCACACCCCTCGCTGTTCCGTGCCTGGCTCACCCTCGGCAGGCGTGGAATCCTGGCTGGTAGCATGAGCTGAGCACAGCCTGCCAGGCCACGTCAGTGGAACAAGTCTGGCGGGCCTGATCAAAACTCAGGCAAAGGCACCACTGGTCACAGAGCTTTCTAGCTGGAAAAGCAACACCTGAAGGATCCCGTGACACAATCAACCTGCTAGGAGATCCCTGCCACCCTGAGAGGCTGCAGGAAGCTGCCTCCATCCAGGCCTCTTCACAGAAGGAGAATTGCAGAGACCGTAGGATTTTTCTACTCACAGGAACAGATGGTGTCCGGTCAGGAAGGTAAAATGCTTCAAGAAAAGTGCAATAGGGATTATAATACTGATGATCTGAGACTCTGATAATGACTCTGAGATGATTCCCAATTCTATGATGAATCATCTCAGAATGACTCCGAGATGATGATTCCTGATTCTACGATGATTGAGGCAGAGCTCACTGGTTGGTGAATCTAGTTGGTAGAGCTGAGGCACCGCAATACCATCATTTCTTTCTGAGGTGAGAGCTGTCCCAATGCTTTGAAAATGGTCTACTGGCTGCTCTACCTGTGGAGTAGCCATTCTTTATTCCTTTACTTTCCTAATAGACTTGCTTTCACGGCTGGGTGTGGTGACTCATGCCTGTAATCCCAACACTTCGGGAGGTGGAGGTGGGCAGATCACTTGAGGTCAGGAGTTCAAGACCAGCCTGGTCAACATGGTGAAATGCCATCTCTACTAAAAATACAAAAATTCGCCGGGTGTGGTGGCACATGCCTGTAATCCCAGCTACTCAGGAGGCTGAGGCAGGAGAATGGCTTGAACCCGGGAGGTGAAGGTTGCAGTGAACCGAGATTGTGCCACTGTACCCCAGCCTGGGTGACAGAGTGAGACTCTGTCTAAAAAACAAAATAAAACAAAAACAAAAACAAACAAACTAAACTTGCCTTCATTTTAAAAAAATGGTCCACATCTCTTCATTTATGTTCTTGCCTCATAGATAGAATACACACTTATCCTCAGACAGGGATTATGGATTTTCCCATCCATGCAAGTGACTTAGAGAATGCCAGCCTTTTGCCATGGTGCCAAAGGGTAGTTGACTCAGTGAGTCCTTTTAGGAAAGTGGAGCTAAGTGTACTTGTGTGGTGGAAAAAGCAGGGTTTTTTTGTTTTTTTGGCCAGGCACATTTAGATGCAAATGTCCGTGCTGCCCAGTTACCAGCTGTGTGAGTTTAGACAAGGTACTTGAATTTGAGTGTGATTATGTGTAAAATGAAGTGAATAATAATAGCTTCCTCCTCCTAGGGTTGTAAATACTAAATGATGTTGTAAAGCCCTTTGTAGAGTGCCTAGAATATAACAGGCACCCTCTAAATGTTTGTTCCTTTCTGGCTACCTGGCGATATAAGGATCCCAACTATTTTTGGGTTAGGAAGAACAGCTGCGAATGGCCTAATGGTGCCCTAAAGTTGTTTTATCCTGCCCTTACACAGGACCATTCTCTTATTCATTGACCTTTGGCATGAAGCATTGACCTTCCTCACGAATAATAAATGTGTAATGATTCTTGTTTGCCAACCAATGAGGTATGGCTCAATAGTCATAGAATCAGGAATCATTAGAGTATGGATAATCAGTATTGTAAACCCCACTGCACTTTGCTTGGAGCATTTTATCTGCCTGGCCAGACACCTTGTGAACAGGGTTCAATCCAGAACACATCATCTGGGTAAATTATTTACAAGTCTGTCTCACTTTAGAAGTGGACCTTATTCAGGACCTAAATAGCATTCAACTATAATCTACACTTGGAGATTTTTTTTTAAAGAAGCAAACTTACAGAAAAGATGAAAGTAGGAGAAAATTTTCAAAAGGCCATGATTCAGAATATATCAATTCACACAACTTTTCTTCCTTGTTCTTTTTTTTTTTTTTTTTTGAGACAGAGTCTTGCTCTGTCACCCAGGCTGGAGCACAGTGGCACGATCTTGTGTCACTATAAACTCCACCTCCCGGGTTCAAGCAATTCTCCTGCCTCAGCCTCCCAGGTAGCTGGGATTACAGGTGTGCACCACCACGCCTGCCTAATTTTTGTATTTTTAGTAGAGACAGGGTTTTACCATGTTGGCCAGGCTGGTCTCGAACTCCTGACCTCAAGTGATCCGCCTGCCTTGGCCTCCCAAAGTGCTGAGATTACAGGCGTGAGCCACTGTACCTGGCCCTTTGTTCTTTTTATAGATATTTTACAGATACCGGATAGGAGGAGATTATGCAGTTATAATACTTAGAATCTGGACAGGACAGCAGACATAACCATTTCCCAGACTTTCTATTTTTTTTCCTTTTTTAAAAAAAATGTCAGAAACCTATTTGTTGCTAAATTTTCCCAAACTTTCTTTCAGTACCTAGTCTCTGAAGCCATGGTTAAAAACAAAAATAGGGCTGGGCGCGGTGGCTCATGCCTGTAATCCCAGCACTTTGGGAGGCCGAGGCGGTCGGATCATGAGGTCAGGAGATCGAGACCATCCTGGCTAACACGTTGAAACCCCGTCTCTACTAAAAAATACAAAAAAAATTAGCCCGGTGTGGTGGCGGGCACCTGCAGTCCTAGCTACTCAGGAGGCTGAGACAGGAGAATGGCATGAACCCTGGAGGTGGAGCTTGCAATGAGCCAAGATCATGCCACTGCACTCCAGCCTGGGCAACAGAGCAAGATTCCATCTCAAAAAAAAACCAAAAACCAAAAAACAAAAAACAAATTTAAGGACCTGTGAATAGTAGTTAAGCACTCTTTATTTACCTTCTGTAATATATATTAGTGCAACACAATTCTCAATTTTGTAATTCTTATTCTACATTTGGAATGTGCCAAATTTATTGAAGACTATAAATTAACACATTTAAGAATTCCAGTGAATCCCAAGCTGCATAAACACAAAGGAAACTACAAGGCATTTCAGAATCAAATTTCTGAAAACCAGTGATTCTTTTTCTTTTTCTTTTTCTTTTTTTTGAGATGGAGTCTTGCTTTGTCACCCAGGCTGGAGTGCAGTGGTGCAATCTTGGCTCACTGCAACCTCTGCCTCCCAGGCTCAAGCGATTCTCCTGCCTCGGCCTCCTGAGGAGCTGGGACTACAGGCATGTGCCACCATCACCGGCTAATTTTTGTATTTTTAGTGGAGACAGGGTTTCACCATGTTGGCCAGGCTGGTCTTGGACTCCTGACCTCAAGTGATCCACCCACCCTAGCCTCCCAAAGTGTTGGGATTACGGGCGTGAGCCATCACACCTGGCCTGATTGAGAGAAAATTTTAAAGATGAGACTGATGACTGGTTTCTCATTAAAAACAATGCAAACCAGAGATGGTGGAATGACATCTTTAATGAGCTAAAAGAAAAAAACTGCCAGCCTAGAATTTTATATCCAGTGAAAATGTTCTCCAAAAATGAAGGCATAACCCAAAAATGGATTTATATTTCAGGAAATCTAAAGATGAAAGAATTCATCACTAAAACTGTACTACGAGAAATGCTAAAGGAAGTTGTTCAAACTGATGGAAAATTATACCAGATGGACACTTGAATTTGCCCAAAGGAATGAAGAGCACCAGAAATGGCAAATGTGTGGGTAAATAGAAAATATATTTTTCTTGTTTTTAACATCTATAAAAGATATTTAACTATCTAGGGTGAAAGTAATGGACATGTATTATGGGCTTTATAACTTTTGTAGAAGTGGCCGGGCACAGTGGCTCACACCTGTAATCCTAGCACTTTGGGAGGCTGAGGCGAGTGGATCACTTGAGGTCAGGAGTTCAAAATTAGCCTGGCCAACATGGTGAAACCTCGTCTATACTAAAAATACAAAAAATTAGTGGGGCAGCCGGGCGTGGTGGCTCATGCCTGTAATCCCAGGACTTTGGGAGGCTGAGGCAGGTGGATCACCTGAGGTCAGGAGTTTGAGACCAGCCTGGCCAACATGGTGAAACCCCGTCTCTACTAAAAATACAAAAATTTTAGCCAGGCATGGTGGTGTATGCCTGTAATCCTAGCTACTCAAGAGGCTGAGGCAAGAGAATCACTTGAACCCGGGAAGCGGAGGTTGCAGAGAGCCGAGATTGCGCCATTGTACTCCAGCCTGGGCAACAGAGTGAAACTCAGTCTCAAAAAAAAAAAAAAAAAAAAAAAAAAAAAAAAAAAAAAAAAAGAAGGGAATGGCTTAGGGTAGGCAACTAAAGGTTTTATTAGGTTCAGTCCTGGACACACAGAAAAAGAAGAACCTCAAAGGCCAAAATTAGCAAATTGGCACCACTCAAGCTGGTACTGCAGTGGGCACAAGAATACCCTGATGCAAGAACTTTAGTGGCTGAATCTTGAGACAGGGATCTGTATATATATATATATTTATATTTATTTATTTATTTTGAGACAGAGTCTCACTCTTTCACCAGGCTGGAGTGCAGTGGCGCGATCTTGGCTCACTGCAACCTCTGACTCCCTGGTTCAAGCAATTCTCCTGCCTCAGCCTCCCAAGTAGCTGGGATTATA
Organism: Homo sapiens; assembly: GCF_000001405.40. NCBI lineage: Eukaryota > Metazoa > Chordata > Mammalia > Primates > Hominidae > Homo > Homo sapiens. The sequence goes on along the minus strand of NC_000023.11, from coordinate 23,761,516 downwards.
GATGGGGTTTCACCATGTTGGCCAGGATGGTCTCCATCTTTTGCCCTCATGATCCGCCCACCTCGGCCTCTCAAAGTGCTGGGATTACAGGTGTGAGCCAATGCGCCCGGTCAGGTATCTGTATATTGTGGAGATAGATACATCAGTCTGTCTTTATTCATTCATTTGTTTAACAGATTTTTTTTACTGTGTCAGGTACTATTAAAATCTCTGGAATTATAACAGTAGAAAAATCAGACAAATCTTTACCATCATGGTGTTTACATTCTTGTGAATGTATCTTAGCTGAATGCAACTGATTTCATGTTCATCAATAAATCTTCTAGTTATAATTGGGCTTCTCATGACCCTCAAGCAGACCCACATCTCATTATAAATTAAAAAATTGAGGCCAGGCCGGGTGTGGTGGCTCATGTCTGTAATCCCAGCACTTTGGGAGGCCGAGGCGGGTGGATCATTTGAGGTCAGAAGTTCGAGACCAGCCTGGTCAACATGGTGAAACCCCGTCTCTACTAAAAATACAAAAACTAGCCGGGTAGTGGTGATATGTGCCTGTAATCCCAGCTACTTGGGAGGCTGAGGCAGGAGAATCTCTTGAGCCTAGGAAGTGGAGGTTGTGGTGAGCCAAGATTGCACCACTGCACTCCAGTCTGGGCGAGAGAGTGAGACCCTGTCTCAAAAAAAAAAAAAAAAAAAAAAAGGCTGGGTGTGGTGGCTCACGCCTGTAATGCCAGCACTTAGGGAGGCTGAGGCGGGTGGATCACAAGGATAGGAGTTTGAGACCAGCCTGACCAACATGGTGAAACCCCGTCTCTACTAAAAAATATAAAAATTAGCCGAGCATGGTGGTGTGCACCTATAATCCCAGCTACTCCGGAAGCTGAGGCAGGAGAATCACTTGAACCCAGGAGGTGGAGGTTGCAGTGAGCTGAGATTGCGCCATTGCACTCCAGCCTGGGTGACAGAGTGAGACTCCGTCTCAAAAAAAAAAAAAAATGAGGCCAGATGTGGTGGCTCAGGCCTGTAATCCCAGGAGGCTGAGGTGTGAGGATCACTTGAGCACAGGAGTTCGAGACCAGCCTGGACCACATAGGGAGACCTCGCCTCTACAAAAAAAAAATTAAAAAGTTAGCTGGGCATGGTGGTGTGCACCTGTGGTCCCAGCTACTTGGGAGGCTAAAGTGGGAGGATTGCTTGAGCTTGGGAGGTTGAGGCTGCAGTGAGCCATGACTGCACCACTGTACTTGAGCCTGGGTGACCAAGTGAGAGACCCTGTCTCAAAAAAAAAAATTGATATTCTAATTTCATGTATCAGTCTCTTGGCAAATGTGAGTCCTCCTACACACACAGATTTACCTTTAGTGAAGTGACAAATCAAGTTTCAGACTAGCATATCGGAGGGCCAGTATCTGAACCATGGTAAACTCAACAAGGCATTTCAATCCTGTGAGCCACTGTGGGAGACAAAGAGCCACACAGCTTTTTCCAGTTAATGACACCAACTGCTCAGGGTAGCCTTTCCCTTATTTAGAGTGTTTACACGTATTCATATATGTGAAAGGGATACAAGATGCAAATATTAAATTACAAGCATTTGAAATCTATCCAAGGAAGGAGTACTGACCTTGAAACTGATTTGGCAATGCATTATGAATTAATTGGATTAAAAATCATTCCTTGGAGCATTCAAAGTTAAAAAAAATTCCTGTTGACGGACATTTAGATTTGTTTTCTCTTTCTTTCTCCTCCCTCCCTCCCTCCCTCTTTCTTTCTCTCTCTCTTTCTTTCTCTCTTTCTTTCTTTCTTTCTTTCTTTCTTTCTTTTTTTCTTTCTACTTTCTTTCTTTCCTTCCCTCTTTCTTTCTTCTTTCTTTCTTGATGGAGTCTCGCTCTGTTGCCCAGGCTGGAATGCAGTGGCATGATCTCAGCTCACTGCAACCTCCACCTCCCGGGTTCAAGTGATTCTCCTGCCTCAGCCTCCCAAGTAGCTGGGATTACAGGCGTCTGCCACCAGGCCCGGCTAAATTTTTGTATTTTTAGTAGAGATGGGGTTTCACCATGTTGCTCAGGCTGGTTTCGAACTCCTGAGCTCAGGCAATCTGCCTGCCTCGGCCTCCCAAAGGGCTGGGATTCCAGGCGTGAGCCACTGCGCCTGGCCTTGTTTTTCTTTTCTTTGGCCATTTCAAACAATGTTGTTTGAAACAACATTCTTGTGTATGTCCTTGTGTATGGGGGCAAGAATTTATAGGGTATTTACCTAAGACTGGAGTGCTGGGTCACAGGGTATACACGTATTCAACTTTGTGAAATGGTGCTAACTTGCTCTCCAAAGTGATCATACCAATTTACAACCTGTACTAGCAGTGAATGAGAATTCTTGGTGCTCTTTGTTATCACCAACAGTTGATATTTTCAGACCTTTTGGTTTTGCTTATCTGATGGGTATGAAATGGCATCTTATCATGGTTTAAATTTGATTAATGTGATAGTGATCTTTTCATATGTTTATTGGCCATATATTTTTCTTCTTCTGTAAAATGCTAACTTATAACTTTTGTCCTTTTTTTCTTTGAGACAGTCTTCCTCTGTTGCCCAGGCTGGAGTGTAGTGGCGTGATCTCAGCTCCCTGCGACCTCTGCCTCCCGGGTTCAAGTGATTCTCCTGCCTCAGCCTCCCCAGTAGCTGGGATTACAGGCACCCGCCACCACGCCTGGCTAATTTTTTTGTATTTTTAGTAGAGATGGGGTTTCACCAAGTTGACCAGGCTCGTCTTGAACTCCTGAGCTCAGGTGATCTGCCTGCTTTGGCCTCCCAAAGTGCTGGGATTACAGATGTGAGCCACCATGCTGGGCTGACTTTTGTCCATTTTTGATTGACTTGTTTTTCTTTTTCTTATGCATTTGTAGTAGCCCTTTTATATAATTCATTATTCTAATCCCTCCCCTTTTGCTATTTTTGTTACAGACATGTACTGAATCTGTGGCTAGGATACTTTTTTGTCAATAGTGTCTTTGGTCACATGGAAGTCTTTCAATTTAAAGTAGTCAAGTTTGGCCAGGTGCAGTGGCTCATGCCTGTAATCGCAGCACTTGGAAGGCCGAGGTGGGAGGATCCCTTGAGTCCAGGAGTTTGAGACCAGCCTGGGCAACATGGCAGATCCTATCTCTACTAAAAATTAAAAAAATTAGTTGGGCACGGTGGTGCACACATGTGGTCCCAGCTACTCAGCAGGCTGAGGTGGGAGGATTCCTTGAGTCCAGTAAGTTGAGGATGCAGTGAGCTGTGATAGTGCCACTGCACTCCAACCTGGGCAATAGAGTGAGACCCTGTCTCAAAAAAAAAAAGTCAAATTTATCAATGCATTTTTAACTGAGACTATGTTATTGGGTACAAGCAAGTTCAAAGTTTTTATACTAATATTTTCATGGTGAATTTTTCCTTTTATCATGTTTGTGCCTCTTTATCTTTAGAGTGGTTTTTTATATTATTTATTTTTTATTTATTTTGTTCTATTTTATTTATGTATTTTTTTTTTTGAGATGGAGTTTTGCTCTTTTTGCCCTGGCTGGAGTGCAATGGCACGATCTCAGCTCACTGCAACCTCCACCTCCCTGGTTCAAGCGATTCTCCTGCCTCAGCCTCTCAAGTAGCTGAGATTACAGGCACATGCCACCATGCCTGGCTTATTTTGTATTTTTAGTAGAGATGGGGTTTCACCATGTTGGCCAGGCTGGTCTTGAACTCCTGACCTCAGGTGATCTCATCTTGGCCTCCTAAAGTGCTGGGATTACAGGCGTGAGCCACCGCGCCCAGCCAGTTTTATATTTTTAAATTTTATATGTTATTGTTTATTTATTTATTTATTTTTTTGAGAAAGGGTCTTGCTCTGTCACCCAGGCTGGAGTGCAGTGGTGTGATCACAGCTCACTGCAGCCTTGATCTCCTGGGCACAAGTGATCCTCTGCCTTAGCCTCCCGAGTAGCTGGGACTACAGGCGCATACCATCACCCTGGCTAATTAATACAGCTTTATTTATTTATTTATTTATTTATTTATTTATTTATTGAGGTGGAGTCTCACACTGTTGCCCAGACTGGAGTGTAGTGCTGCCATCTCCGCTCACTGCAACCTCCGCCTCCCGGGTTCCAGCGATTCTCCTGCCTCAGCCTCTTGAGTAGCTGGGATTACAGGCGCCCGCCACTACGCCCGACTAAGTTTTTGTATTTTTAGTAGAGATGGGGTTTCACTATGTTGGCCAGGCTGGTCTTGAATTCCTGACCTCGTGATCTTCCTGCCTCGGCCTCCCAAAGTGCTGGGATTACAGGAGTGAGCCACCGTGCCCAGCCAATACAGCTTTATTTTTGTAAGTATTTACCTGATAAGCGTTTTTCCTAATCTTTACTTTCAGTCTTACTGTATCTTCATGTCAGTGTCATATCAAGGACAAGACAGCAGAAATGGTCCACTCCAGTTGCAGATAGTAAAGACCCTGTAGCTCCAGCATCAGCTCACCTTTCTGGTTTTGAATTTCATGCTTATTACCATCCTGTCATCACCTACTGTTTCCATGGTAGACGGGACTAAGAGATGGGTAAGAATGATACATGTGTAAGGATGTAACCAATAAATGACACAGACTCACATCCACCTGAAAGGGCACAATGAAATAGTAGTAAGAAGTCCAGAATCTATTTTTGCCAAAGTACAGTGGAAAGAAGTGGAAATACAGTTTCCTTATTTATTGGCTTTAGGTGGAAAAGAGTCCTAGATTACAAAAATTAAATGCAGACATAGGCTTCTGAGATGACAATTTTCAAGTCATTTTATTTGCAATATGGTGGGGAGCCCGTCAATTAAGTTAGAACTATCTGTCATTCATTACTTTATAATTTACCAGAGTAAAAATAAATTAGAATACATTTGTCCCCATGGGGAGACAAACCAAAAGGGAGAAATCTTGTCTGAAGGCTTGGAAAATGCTGAATATGTACATGAAAGGGGAACTTGAATACTACAATTTGAGGCCCTGTGATCATCTAGGTTTCTAGATGATGTCTCATTTCCAAGTTTGAGTCCTGTGACTGCAGAGTCCCCTGATTCCACCAGTGACTGCTGTTATCAATGACTGGGGTCATGAACCTACTTTCAGATCTACCCCATTATCGGGTTTTCGTGACAAGTCTCGGGTGCAGGACTGCGCCCTCTGGTGGAGAAGGACACAACTAATTACACATCTGATAATAGCCAGTACTTCCTTTTTTTTTTTTTTTTGCCATTACTTTCAGTGGCAAAAACTGCAATTACTTTTGCACCAACCTAATGTTTGGTAAATGTGTGCTAGCCATCAATTGCTGGCCATTTGACTTTTTGGAGAGTTACTTAATGTCTCTAAACCACAATTTCCTTATCTATAAGATGGTAATACTGACCTCATACAGTTGTTGTGAGTATTAAATAAGATTAGTGCTTATTTAAGGAATTAGTGCTCAATAAACCATACTATCCATACTATTATTTGGTCACTTTTTTTTTTTGGACGGAATCTTGCTCTGTCACCTAGGCTGGAGTGCAGTGGCACAATCTCGGCTCACTGCAACCTCTACCTCTCAGGTTCAAGCAATTCTCATGCCTCAGCCTCCCAAATAGCTGGGACTACAGGCGTGTGCCACCACACTTAGCTAAGTTTTGTATTTTTAGTAGAGATGGGGTTTCATCCTGTTGGCCAGGCTGGTCTCGAACTCCTGACCTCAAGTGATCTGCCCACCTCGGCCCCCCAAAGTGCTGGGATTACAGGCATAAGATACTGTGCCTGGCCCAATCCTGTAATTTTTACCCTGGCAGATTTTTACTAATTATGTTAAACAACAATACAGAAATTCAATAGGAACCCCTTTTAAAAATACCAACTAGTGCCTGGGCGCGCATGGTGGCTGATACCTGTAATCCCAGCACTTTGGGAGTTTGAGGCGTGTGGATCACTTGAGGTCAGGAGTTCGAGACCAGCCTGACCAATATGGTAAAACCCCATCTCTACTAAAAATACAAAAATTAGCTGGGCTTGGTGGCAGGCGCCTGCAATTCCCAGCTACTTGGGAGGCCGAAGCAGGAGAATCGCTTGAACTCAGGAGCCGGAGGTTGCAGTGAGCCGAGATTGTGCCATTCCACTCCAGCCTGGGCAACAAGAGCGCAACTCCGTCTCAAAACAACAACAACAACAACAACAACAAAACAAACCGACTAGTGAGGGTTGCTTCTGGTGATATTCTTTTATGACTTTGCTGAACCCAAATGTAACCAGCCCTATTACCTTTCACTTGAAAAATTCATTACTTTTAACCAAAAGGCCTTGGGACTAACCCACTCATCAGCAATGGAGGATTCCAACATTGGTGCCTTCAACTGTCAGTATTTTTCTTGTATTCTGACTTCTTCTTGCCTAGTGGTTCACGAGTTAGATATCTAAGTCCTGGAACAGGACAGAAAGGTACATCAGGGGCTGGCACTCTGGTGGGAGGTGATATATGGACCTATGGTCCCTGCTCTGATGAAATCCAACAATTTCTTTGTGTGTGGGAGGGGTAAGGGAAATCAGATAAATCTGTCTTCTAGCTGAATAGGAGGGCTATCACTCAAAATGAACTCTGACCTCTTCGTTAGTCCAAGCTCTTGGCTCTTGATCTCACTGGTCAATCCAACCATGAATCAGGGCCAAGATTAAGAATAGGCAAGTGAGACACTCACCTGTGCAGAATTTAAAGGGGTGAAAACCCCAATAATCAAGATAAATAATATTTCAATGGAATATTAGAAAAATCAAATTTGCATTCAAGGCAAATGCCTCACTTGCCACACCCTGGTCCTGACCCTGGCCCTGCTTGATATAACTGCTTCTATAATTAGTCACAAGTGAAGGGAAGTAAGTAGTGAGGTCAGTTATAGGCTGGGCATCAGACATCAGTAACAATCAGGGATTGATCAATCCTCAATCTCCCAAGTGCCATGGGAGGCAAGGAGTTGAGATGACCGTGGAATAGAGGATTGGGGTGGGAGGGTATGGAATAATATGCACCTGTTCTGCACATCTGCTAACATTTACCCAATGTCTGGACTGAGAAGCGGAGTTATTTTTTCTCATTACAATGTTGGGGTGGACATCCTCCCCCAGGCACGTGGAATGGCATATGGCAGCATCCTGCATTCGTGTTTGCAGAATACATGTCTGAAACAGCCTTGGAGGACTACTACTCTGGTTTAGGGCTGCAAACCACACTGTGTCATTGAATGAACAAGCAACATTTAACCTGAACTCAAGAAAATGGAAGGAAAGGAGTAAAATGGCAAATAGTTAAACTTGAAGGCTTGCACAAGAAAGTGGGACTAGGCCGGGCATGGTGGCTCACACCTGTAATCCCAGCACTTTGGGAGGCCGAGGCGGGTGGATCACGAGGTCAGGAGATGGAGACCATCTTGGCTAGCACAGTGAAACCCCATCTCTACTGAGAAATACAAAAAATTAGCTGGGCATGGTGGCATGCACTTGTAGTCCCAGCTACTCGGGAGGCTGAGGCAGGAGAATCGCTTGAACCCAGGAGGCGGAGGTTGCAGTGAGCCGAGATCGCACCACTGCACTCCAGCCTGGGCAACAGAGCAAGACTCCATTTAAAAGAAAGAAAGAAAGAAAGAAAGAAAGTGGGACTAGACTTAGACTTATTCTGTGTCATATCAGGGGCAGTTCCAGGAAGCAGATATTAGCTCCATGTGAAGAAAAATGTTTAATAACAAGAATACCCCTAGAGAACTGCCCTAAAGAATGGGGAGCTTCTGGAAAAAGGGTTACAAAAGGGCATTTCTACTTTATGGGGCAGGTTTGCTGAACCTGTTCTTTTTTTTTTTTTTTTTTTTGACACAGTCTCGCTCTGTTGCCCAGGCTGGAGTGCAGTGGTGTGATCACAGATCACTGCAGCCTCAACCTTCTGGGCTCAAGTGATCCTCCCACCTCAGCCTTTCAAGTAGTTGGGACCCCAGGTATGCGCCACCACACCCAGCTATTTTATTTTATTTTGTATAGACAGGGTCTCACTATATTACCCAGGCTGGTCTCAAACTCCTAGGCTCCAGTGATCATCCCACTTTGGCCTCCCAAAGTGCTGGGATTATAGGCATGAGCCACCACGCCCAGCCTGAACCTGTTCTTATAGGGTTGTTGCCAATTCCTATATTCTATTCTTTTTTCTAGATTGGCTGCCAGGAAACATTTGACTCTTATTATATTACTATAAGCATCTTAGGTCACTTCCATAAAAATAGCACTCAGAGTCAGTGGGGAGACCAGTGTGGAATTTTCTGATTCATCTCTGCCTCAAATCATAAAAAAACTTGCTTAACTGATTATTGTAAAAAGTTTGATTCCTTTTTCTTTCTTTTTGTACTGTATCTTTCTTTTCTAAAAGTTGCAGCTTGATTTACCAATTGGAAAATATGTCCTCTTTTCTCATAACATGTGCTTAGCCATGCAAATTGCTGTTGTGTACACTCATAGTCCTTGAGAGATGATGTAGGGGGTTGAAAAATGTCTTGGCTGGCTTTTAGGAGCCTTGGATTATAGTTCTGCTCTTCCGCTATGGCCTTAGGCAAGTCTTTTAAGTTCACTAAGTCATATTTTCCTTGTTAAAAACATTGTTTGGCTTTTGAGATGCAGGCTGGAATGCTATCACAGTTCACTGCAGCTTGGACCTCCTGGGCTCAAGTGATCCTCCTATCTCAGCCTCTGAAGTAGCTGGGACCACAGGCGTGCACCACCATGCCTGGCTAATTTTTGTATTTTTTGTAGAGACGAGGTCTCATTATGTGGCCCAGGCTGGTCTCGAACTCCTGGGCTCAAGTGATCCTCCCGCCTTGGCCTTCCACATTATTGGGATTATAGGTATGAGCCACCATGCCCAGCCTCATTGTTAAAAAAGTTGTAAAAAAATTGATAAAAACATTTGTATATGAGGAGAGGAGAGAAGGAATAGGATAGTTTTCCAGGTCTCTTAGAGCTCTGAAATGTAAAGTTTGTATCATCTCTGAGCTGAGTCTAGCGAAGTTGTTTCATGTCTTGATCCCATTTCTTTCCTCACCTCCACCCCCAATCAAATGATAATAGAAGGTGCGGGGTCAGATAATCAGGTAATGTTACATGACATTTCAGAAAACCACTTTTTTTTTTTTTTTCTGAGAAGGAGTCTCACTCTGTCGCCCAGGCTGGAGTGCAGTGGCACAATCTAGGCTCACTGCAACCTCTGCCTCCTGGATTCAAGCAGTTTTCATGCCTCAGCCTCCCGAGTAGCTGGGATTACCAGCGTGCACCACCATGCCTGGCTAATTTTTTGTTGTTGTTGTATTTTTGGTAGAGATGGGGTTTCGCCATGTTGGTCAGGCTGGTCTTGACCTCCTGGCCTCAGGTGATCCACCCACCTCAGCCTCTCAAAGTTCTGGAATTATAAGCATCAGCTACTGCGCCTGCCTGAGAAAACCACATTTTAAAAATGGACTTGATGGTAGTCTGAGCTACTAGGCGCAACTGTTTATGGAGCAATATTTTTTTATTTCTTATTTTTTTGAGACTGAGTTTTGCTCTTGTTGCCCAGGCTGGAGTGCAATGGTGCGATCTTGGCTCACTGCAACCTCCGCCTCCTGGGTTTAAGTGATTCACCTGCCTCAGCCTCTCTAGTAGCTGGGATTACAGGCATGTGACACCACACCCGGCTAATTTGGTATTTTTAGTAGAGATGGGGTTTCTCCATGTTGGTCAGGCTGGTCTTGAACTCCCGACCTCAGGTAATCCACTCGCCTTGGCCTCCCAAAGTGTTGGGATTACAGGCATGAGCCACTGTGCCTGGCCAGCAATATTGTTTTTAACTGGGTTTTTAATCCAGTAGACATTTACATTAATTGCTAACTTGCTGTCCTTTTTCTGAACTGGCAGTCTGCATGTTGACTTGGTGATTGGCCCCCAAGCACAGAGCTTCAGTGTATCTGGTTGAGCAGTAATGCCTGCTGTGTTTGCAATTAGATGTTAGGGACACTCACAGCTCCAGGGACTTGCACCAGTGCTTTCCCCAGGTTCTCAGGCCTCATGGGCTCAACAGCATGGACTCCCACTTACTGAGCTTCACCTGGCTACTGCCACCTTTGAATGTCCAACCTGCCATCAGAGACCAATGCCAAGTCCCCTGACATGGCACTCTTCTTCAAGGAGACTCACAAGCTACTTGGCAAGTTGATGACATTGGACCCCTATTACTTTAGAAGGGTCAGCGATTTTTTAAAAAATATTTATTTATTTATTTATTTATTGAGATGGAATCTCCTCTACCACCCAGACTGGAGTACAGCGGCCCGATCTTGCTTCACTGCAACCTCCACCTCCTGGGTTCAAGCAATTCTCCTGGCTTAGCCTCCTGAGTAGCTGGGATTACAGGCACACGCTACCACGCCCAGCTAATTTTTGTATTTTTATAGAGATGGGGTTTCACCATGTTGGCCAAACTGGTCTTGAACTCCTGGCCTCAACTGATCCGCCTGCCTTGGCCTCCCAAATTGCTGGGATTACAGACGTGAGCCACCGCACCAGAGGAGGGCCAGAGATTTGCTCTCACAGGAATCAGTATTTTCTCTGAGTATGACTGCCTTTCCTACCTGTAGGGCTTCATTTACCATCATTATCCTGGGGCTTTTGGAATGCCTGATCCACAGGCCTGGATTCTCACACAAGATGGCATCTGAGGAGACCTGCTTCATCATGAAGGAGGTGTGGGAGCAGGTCCTGACCAGTAGGATTCATCGTTCATATCATATACCACAGCATTCACAAGTAGCCATCCTAACAGAGCATCTGAATGATCTGCTGAAGGTGTAATTGAAGTGCCAACTTGGAGACAAGACTCTGCAAGCATGGGGTACCATCTTCCAGGATGAAATATAGGCACTGTATTCATGTTCTATTGCTAGGTAACAAATTAACACAAATTTAGTGGCATAAACAACACATGTTTATTACCTTACAGTTTCTGTGGGTCAAGAGTCTGGGCATAGCTTAGCCGAGTCCTCTGTTCAGGGTCTCCAAGGCTGGAATCGATGTGTCAGCTGGGGCTGGGGTCTCTCTTCTAAGTTCACTTGGTTGTTGGCAGAATTCATTTTCTTGCAGTTGTATAACTTCTTTTTTCTTCAAGGCCAGCAAGAGAATTCTTTTTTTTTTTTTTTTTTTTTTTTGAGACAGAGTCTCACTCTGTCGCCCAGTCTGGAGTGCAGTGGTATGATTTCGGCTCACTGCAACCTCTGCCTCCCGAGTTCAAGTGATTCTCATGCCTCAGCTTCCCGAGTGGCTGGGACTACAGGCGGGTGCCACCATGCCTGGCTAATTTTTGTATTTTTAGTAGAGACGGGGTTTCGCCACTTTGGCCTGGCTACTCTTGAACTCCTGGCCTCAAGTGATCCGCCTGCCTCAGCCTCCCAAAGTGCTGCGATTACAGGCTTGAGCCACCGCACCCGGCCTCCAATTACTATCATTTCTAATGGCCCACAGGGGCACTCATGTTTCCTGAATTTGCAACTGTGGGCTCTGCAGAGTTCAAGGTTCTGTTCTGCAAAGGGGCACATTCTTGCCAGTGGACACAAGTGTGGGTATGGCCAGGCCTTTGGACTTCTTGTGGCCAAGGAGTCAGCACCTTGGCAGGGATACTTGCTCTCAATCAGCAGGAAGAGGCTGCTGTTGTACAACGTGGCAGAGAGGAATGTGTGTGAAACTTGGGTGATCAATCTAGTTGGGCACTTCTTGGTATTCCCTTGCCTGGTTGTGACTGCGAATGGACAAGTGCAGCAACTCTGGTGTGAAATGGATATGATTACCAGGGGCTCAGATCTCACAGGAATGAGGGTTTGGGTTACACCATTGGGAAAGCTAGAGGTGAGGGGAATTTAGAATACATGGTAGAGGAAAGACAGGATGAGAACCAGCTGTGACTCCAATACCAACTGTAGTGACAGGGACTGTAGTTAGTCCTACTAACCTACCTCTTCTAAGTTTCCCTTCAGGAAGAGAGACCCATGGGAACCATGGAGGAGTTCCCTGAATGTGTATGGGGAAATCGATCTGTGCAGTGCAGGGGGTGACCCGTGGTAGCCATGGAGGTGTCCCACTCAGATCTCCCTACAGCAGACCTGCCACAAGGGGTGGAGTTAGCGGACAGCTGTCAAGATCTGCCTCAGCTTTCAAGCTGAGGCTACATGCTTCCCAGACAGCCTCTAAGCAAAGGCCAGGCACTGCCATGGTACAAGGGCTCACCATTTCTGGCCAGTATGGGACTCTTCGGGAGGGCAATCTTTGCACCAGCACTCCCTGTTTTGCAGGCCTAGGCTTTCTCAGAGCTGCACTGCAGTCCAAGGCTCCTCCTACCCAAATATCTTTCCTGGCCCCTCTCCTTTCTCAGGTTTTAGTCCTACATCACGAACTAAAGGTGTTCCTTGTCTGGTCCTGTTCCCTCTCCCTTTTATGTTTTATAGGCGTTGCCCCTAATAAACCTTTTGTATATCTGACTCTGTACCCCTATATTATTGAAAGAGACAGATTTATTGAAGGTGATACCCTGAAATGAAGATGTCCTGTTCTTACAGATGCCCTCTGATCCTATGTTAATAATAGTATTATATGTTTTAAATGTTTGCCTTCTTCTTTCTTTCTTTTTTTTGGAGATGGAGTTTTGCTTCATCCCCCAGGTTGGAGTGCAGTGGTGCGATCTCAGCTTACTGCAACCTCTGCCTCCCAGATTCAACCAATTCTCCTGCCTCAGCCGCCCGAGCAGGTGGGACTACAGGCATGAGCCACCACACCCGGCTAATTTTTGTATTTTTAGCAGACACGGGGTTTCACCACGTTGACCAGGCTGGTCTTGAACTCCGGACCTCAGGTGATCTGCCCTCCTTGGCCTCCCAAAGTGCTGGAATGACAGGCGTGAGCCACCGTGCCTGGCCATGTTTGCCATTTTTAAGCAAGAGAAAATTGTTAGAGGGAAAAGCATTTCTTTTGTTTGTTTGTTTTTTGAGACTGAGTTTTGCTCTGGTTGCCTGGGCTGGAGTGCAAATGGCGTGGTCTCGGCTCACTGCAAACTCTGCCACCCGGGTTCAAGCAATTCTCCTGCCTCAGCCTCCTGAGTAGCTGGGATTACAGTTGTGCACCACCGTGCCCGGCTAATTTTTGGATTTTTGGTAGAGACAGGGTTTCACCATGTTGGTCAGGCTGGTCTTGAACTCCTGACCTCAAGTGATCCACCTGCTGCAGCCTCCCAAAGTGTTAGGATTAAAGGTGTGAGCCACCGTGCCCGGCCTGGAAAAGCATTTCTAAAGACACGAACCTTTCTCTCGCTCTCTCTTTTTTTTTTTTTTTTTGAGATGAAGTCTCTGTTGCCCAGGCTGGAGTGCAATGGCGCGATCTCACCTCACTGCAACCTCTGCCTCCTTGGGTTCAAGTGATTCTCCCGCCTCAGCCTCGTGGACGAGAACCTTTCAACACTTGGATTTGAAGAGCAGTCATAAAAGTGGAGCTGGGGGCCACAAAATTACAAAAATTAGCCAGGCATGGTGGCAGGCACCTGTAGTCCCCGCTACTCAGGAGGCTGAGGCAGTAGAATAGCTTGAACTCAGGAGGTGGAGGTTGCAGTGAGCCGAGATTGGGCCACTGCACTCCAGCCTGGGCAACAAGAGCGAGACTCTGTCTCAAAAAAAAAACAAAAAACAAAAACAAACAAAAAACTAAGCACATTCACGTAACAGCCCACTAGTCTTTCTGTTTTTTTCTTTAACGTTAGGGTGAAAAATACTTTTTTTTATTATTTTTTTTTTGGGACGGAGTCTCACTCTGTCACCCAGGCTGGAGTGCAGTGACACGATCTCGGCTCGCTGCAATCTCCGCTTCCTGGGTTCGAGCGATTCTCCTGCCTCAGCCTCCTGAGCAGCTGGTACTGCATGTGTGCGCCACCACGGCCAGCTAATTTTGAATTTTTTATAGAGACAGGGTTTCACCATATTGGCCAGGCTGGTCTCGAACTCCTGACCTCGTGATCCATCCGCCTCGGCCTCCCAAAGTGCTGGGATTACAGGCGTAAGCCACTGTGCCCAGCTGGAAAATACTTTTACATTGTTTCCTTCTCCCTTCCTGACTTTATTATTACTATTATTATTTATATTCTGAGATGGAGTCTCCCTCTGTCGCTCAGGCTTTGAGTGCAGTGGCACCATCTCGGCTCACTGCAACCTCCGCCTCCCAGGTTCAAGCAATTCTCCTGACTCAGCCTCCCAAGTAGCAGGGAGTACAGACGCGCGACAGCATGCCCTGCTCATTTTTTTTACCTTTAGTAGAGATGGGGGTTTTGCCATGTTGGCCAGGCTGGTCTTGAACTCCTGACCTCAGGTGATCTGCCTGCCTCGAGCTTCAAAGTGCCAGGATTACAGGCGTGAGCCACCGTGCCTGGCCCTCCCCTCCTAACTTTATTGTGGATCCTTTTGTATAATCTGAATAATTGAGGAAATAAGATATATTTTTAAAAAGTTTCTGTGTCCTAATGAAATCGTAGTTCGAATCACTTTGTTTGAAAGTTGATGACAGTTTTCCAGGAACATTTTCTACCTAAATCAGATATCCAAAAGTATATATTATTCAGCAGCCCAAGGAAAGATGGTAACTGGATATTTTTCACTCATAATACTAGATTGAACTAACAATGCCTTTGGCCGGGCGCGGTGGCTCACGCCTGTAATCCCAGCACTTTGGAAGGCCAAGGTGGGAGGATCACGAGGTCAGGAGTTCAAGACCAGCCTGGCTAACATGGTGAAACCCCATATCTACTAAAAATACAAAAATTAGCCGGGTGTGGTGGCACGTGCCTGTAATCCCAGCTACTTGGGAGGCTGAGGCAGGAGAATCGCTTGAACCCAGGAGGCGGAGGTTGCAGTGAGCTGAGACCGCACCACCGCACTCCAGCCTGGTAACAGAGCGAGACTCTGTCTCAAAAAAAAAAAAAAAAAAAAAAAAAGAAGAAGACCTGACAATGCCTTGTTAGGTTTTGTTGTTTGATTTAAACAATTTTTTTTTTTTTTTGTAGAGATGGGGTCTTGCTCTGTTGACCAGGCTGGTCTTGAGCTCCTGTTCTTAAGCAATCCACCCACCTCAGCCTCCCAAAGTGCTGGGATACTGCTTTCCAGCCTTGTTATTTGATTTTATTGTTTTACTTGTAATAACGACATTAATATCTTATGTATCTGTCAGTGCATGATTAAGTAACTTTTAATTACACAATTGATACCATCTCTGTTATCCTGAGACCATATTAAAATAGAACTAATAGAACATAACAGGAAACAAAAAGGTTGGGTAGAGAACCTGTTACTTAAGGACGGTGATTCTCACCACTATACAATTGTTGTATGTTTCCTGTTTTGATTTTGTGACCATTTCCCCTTCCTTCTCTGCTATCCAAAATGTGGTATAGCATATATGCTTGATAATAATGACGACAACAACAACACACACAGAAATCAGAGTTGCTAAGCTGTTTTAAGAATTTTATGCATGCTGCCAATTGAGGTAGTTAGAGACTCGTGGATGAATGCTGGGCAGGCTAGGTCTAGCAGGGGTTCCCTGAAGTTACAACTAAGGTAGGTGGGCTAAGTGATGTGATCATTTTTTTCCCTCTTTAACCTTCTAGTGGACATCTATGTGGTTGGCTGCTCCATACTCCTCTTCTTTTCTTTCTTTCTTTTTTTTTTTTTTTTTTTTTGAGATGGAGTCTCTTGCCCAGGCTGGAGTGCAGTGGCGCGATCTCAGCTCAGTGCAACCTTCGCCTCCCAGGTTCAAGCGATTCTCCTGCCTCAGCCTCCCGAGTAGCTGGGATTACAGGCGCCCACCACCACAGCCAGCTAATTTTTGTATCTTTAGTAGAGGCAGGGGTCTCACCATGTTGGCCAGCCCAGTATTGAATTCCTGACATCAGTTGATCCACTCGCCTCAGCCTCCCAAAGTTCTGGGATTACAGACGTGAGCCACCGCACCCGGCCTCGGTACTCCTTTTCTAAGAAGGTGCTCCGTATCCCCATCTGTACAGTTACTTACAGAAATAACCATGTTAGTAGATTGTGACCCAGTACCTGGCCATGAGTCTGGGTGAGGGGGTTCCTGGTAAGTCAGGGCAAGGGTTCCTTACCCTGATGCCACAGTTGGCTAGTCCAGGAGTGTGTACCTGATCCAAATTGGACCAATGAATCTCTTCTCAGAACTTTTTTGTATTTGGGCCGTAGAAATTTCAGTCAGTCTGTATGTGTGTGGCTGTGGTTGTAAGATGTAAAGTTCAGGAGCTTCTATTGCCATATGGAGAATGTCATTACATAGAGAGAAAAAAGAATGAAGCCAGTATGCAAAGGAAAGCAAAGATAAGCAATAGAGAGAAGGCATCTGCATGGCATTAAGTCCCTGGTTTCAGCTGTTCCAGCCAAAATCGATGGTGTTTATTATATTGATGAGAATGTGTCTTTATAATTTGGAAATTGACGGAAGGCGACTTGATTGCGGGAAAAACTATAAACTGTACCTACCTATTATACCATTTACAAAAAATTCTCTCTTGTACTTATTTTTTCTCCCTGAGCCTCCTATTGCTTCAAAGAAAAGTTCAAGTAAAAAGAAGAACAAAAATAGCATAATTCAATACAATATTTATTGCCCTCTGTGTTAGGTGTGGTAGAGTATAAAGAAATATGGCTGACCCAAAACCAACAAGACAATCACTGAAAAGTGACTTGTGAACAATGTGAACAATGTGACAAAAATGAAAAGACAATGTGAACAAAAATGAAGGAGAGATCCTTGTAGGCTAAAAGGGGAGTCTTCCAGATGTGAGATTGATAAAAGCAGGGAAAATTCAGTAGAAAGAGAAAGCCGAAGACCATGCTCCATGTGTAACTCATGAAGTGATTCAAAACAGAAAGCTAGCTTAATTCAAATCAATACATTTTTACTAAGTATGGGGTATTGCGAAAAAGCATATGGCCCTTGCCTTTTAGGAAATTGCCGTATTTAGAGGCAAAGCAAGACTTGCTTATATTCTCAAAAGATCCCCACTCGTTACCTTATTTCCCCTTTAAACCGCTTTACCATATTTGAGATCATGTTATTTGCTAACTTGTTTGTTGATTTGTTTTCCTTCCTTATCAAGAGGCAAGCCCCTTAAGGGCGGGGATTTTTGTCCTTTTTTCTTTTTGCAACCCCAACCTCTGCAATAGTGCCTGGCACAATGCAAACAGCTCAATAATAATTCGTTGAAAGAAATGGAGAATTAGATCGTAGGGTGAAATAATCTTAAACTCTCTGGCCTTGAATCTCTCTAGCTCGCCCAAGATATCAAACATTGGGGGTCAGGCCGAGAAGAGGAGAGGAACAATTTTTTCCTGTTAGGTCAGTGGTTTTTAGCCTTTGGTTACATTAGCATCACCTGGGGGCATCTTTAGACATCATCCCGAAGCCCAGACCGCACCCAGGACTAAACTAGAATCTCCAGCCAGTGGGTCTCAAGCATCAGTTTTTTGTTGTTTTTTTTTTGAGACATTGTCTCCTTCTGTCGCCCAAGCTGAAGTGTAGTGGTGCGATCTCGGCTCACCGCAACCTCCGCCTCCCAGGTTCAAGCGATACTCGTGCCTGTCCCCCGAGTAGCTGGGATTACAGGCGTCTGCCACCACGCCTGGCTAATTTTTGAATTTTTAGTAGAGACAGGGTTTCGCCATGTTGGCCAGGCTGGTCTTGAACTCCTGACCTCAGGTGATCTGCCCGCCTAGGCCTTCCAAAGTGCTGGAATTACAGGCGTGAGCCACCGCGCCCGGCCAAGTATCAGTATTTTGGAAAGTTGCCCAGGAGATTCCAATGTGCAGCCAAGGGGAAGAACAGACGGAGCCAAGGCGCGGGGATCAAGGATAAAGGAGACAAGCTCCACTAGGCAGAGCCGGGCCTCTTCTCGACGTCACGCCCTGGCGTTGCTGCGTGGTTCGTTTACTCAACCGAGAATAGGCCGGTCCTCGCTGTAGCAACACGACCCGCACAACTGATTGAGTGGGAAGCTCCGCAGAGGCGGACTCCAGCCTCCCGCCAATGAACGGGTAGGGTCCGCCCGGCACAGCGCGGCCACGCCCCCTGGACGCCGCGGTCCCGCCCCCGGACACCGCTGTCCGGCTCCCGGGCTGTCCTCAGCAAGGGCGCGGTCTGGTACTCGTGCGTCTTTTATCGCCTCAGTTTCCCTCCGCCGACTAGCGCGCGGGGCCCGGTTCTCCATCGCGCGCACGGCAGCCTAGCGCAATGAGGCGGGCAGCACTGCGGTAGGTGGCGGGGCGTGGAAGGGGCTGGCAGGGCGGTAGCCTGGGGTGCCATCGTCTTCCCCTAGAGCTTCGGGCTGGCCCCGGCGGAAGAAGTGGGCCACGCATGGGCATTTGGGCTCTATGATAAGGGGCGCTCGCCCACTGTACCTCCGACCGGACATAAGCCCGCCGGCCTTTGGTTGGGAGAACCTCGCCCCCACTTTGGCGACTTCTAGCACTGAGTTTGATATTAAAAGCAAAGCAGCACTTTTAAGGGAGGAAGTTGGGTGTTCCCTAAAATTCCTTTGGCCTTGCTCATCCGGGGTGTGGTTGGTAGCCGCGTCGGGGTAGCCCCTTGTCAGAAAGATAATATTTGGAGTTCTATGTTACCTCTAGCCCTTCATCTTCCTTTGGAGAACATTTTTAGGATTAAATGCTTGACCTACTTCGGCTCTTACTTAAGTTTGTTGTAACATTGGCAGAGATTACAGGGTACCTTTTGGCTCCCAGGACCCTAGGACTGTGCGTCTAGGACCCTGGTGCCAATTTGAACTTAACTTTAATGAGCCGCAAAGCCCTTATAAGAGGCTGGGTGCTTTGATTGGGCCACGTGGGTAAGGGAGGATGCCTTTTTGTATATGTAATCTTCCCAGCTGGCACAGTTAAGGCCTGAGGGCCTTAGACTCCAGAGCGTGTCTAGCTCTCCCTAATCCCTTTCACCCGAGCATGCCACCCTTTCCAAGTTTTCTGCCTGGCTGCATCCCAGGGGGCTCACACCTGCTCCAGTTTCTGAAGTTATCTCGCTGCCAGTGGGCCTGTCCCCCTGATGTGACTCATAGTGCTTTTGACTCACATTAACCCCATCAATTCTCTTGGGGGTCCTGGATATCTCTCTCTCTCTCTCTCTCCCTCTCTCTCTCTCTCTCTCTCTCACTCACTCACTGTTCCTGGGGACTTTGTTATCAGTTGTAAGGGTTCTGTCTTGTTTATAGTACTTAAAAACAAACAAAAAACCTTTGTTAAACTATTTGAAGGCAGACTGAAAGTCATTATGAGAGGGGCCACAGTTGACTTTAGCTTGCAATGTGAAAGGTCTTCTACAAAAGCTCCATGGTCTTGTTCAGGTGCTTTCTCTTATAACCCTGTGTTCCTTTCTTGAAAATTCTATTGAGGCCGGGTGTGGTGGTGCACGACTGCAGTCCCAGCGTTTTGGGATGCTGAGGTGGATGGATCACTTGAGGCCAGGAGTTCGAGACCAGCCTGGCCAACATGGTGAAACCCCGTCTCTATTAAAAATACAAAAATTAGCCGGGAGTGGTGGTGCATGTCTGTAGTCACAGCTACTTTTGGAGGCTGAGGCAGGAGAATCGCCTGAACCGGAAGGCAGAGGTTGCAGTGAGCTGAGATCGCGCCCCTGCACTCCAGCCTGGGCAACACAGTGAGATTCTGTCTCAAACAAAAAACTATTGAACCTTAAGCGGATAATCTCTTAGTGTCTAGTGAGAGGAGGAGTTCACAAATGAATATAGACTGAGATGATTAGGTTCTTTGACTGGTGGGCAACCTTTGTAGCTTCTTTTCTTTTTTAGACTTGCAAGAGGCACCTTTGTTTAGTCTCTAAATAGAGGTTATTTCCTCAGAGTGGAGGGCATATGAGTGGTATTGCCTGTTATTGCACTGAACACTCTTCCTTGCCAACTGCTGTAAGCTTGGGACCCAGGGCTGAGCCAGGGTGAGTTATGTGACTCCCCAGGTAGGCCATGGAGGCCTTGAGTTTTCTTTTTTTTTTTTCTCTTTGAAATACTTTTTTTATTTCTTTGGGATATATGTCCAGAAGAGAAATTGCTGGATCATATGGTAGTTATATTTTTAATTTTTGGAGGAACTGCCTCATTATTTTTCAAAATGGCTGTACCAGTTTACATTTTCACCAATAGTGTACGAGGGTTCCCTTTTCTCTACATCCTCACCAACACTTGTTATCTTTTGTCTTTTTGTAATAATCATCTTTTTATTATTATTATTATTATACTTTAAGTTTAGGGTACATGTGCACAATGTGCAGGTTAGTTACATATGTATACATGTGCCATGCTGGTGTGCTGCACCCATTAACTCGTCATTTAGCATTAGGTATATCTCCTAATGCTGTCCCTCCCCACTCCCCCCGCCTTGAGTTTCTTGATCTCCTTTGATTGGAAAGGTTCAGTTACAAGGTCCTGGGATTTGAGTGTTGCAAAGGCCTCTCCACAGTAAAGGCCTAGAGGTTTTGCTATAAGTAAGACTCCTGAGGGCTTATCAGGAGATAAGCCAGTAACCCTGAGGTACTGAAGTGTTGAGTATTGATTAAAACCATTCTCCCACCTCCTCCACCTCAGTGCGGTGTGTGTGTGTGTGTGTGTGTGTGTGTGTGTGTGTGTGTGTGTGTATGTATTGGGGGAGATCGGAAGAACTGGGCTCTATCTGGACTCTGCTGGTGTGCCTGTTGACTGGCACTGGGGGAAAGTCGTCTGAAACTGGGGCCTCAGTTTCTTAAGGAGGTTGGTTTGAATCAGAATCTTCAAATATAGGGGGATCTGAGGGTACAAAAAGGGTCTGTGCACCTCCTGAAATAGTATATACCATTGTGTGTGTGAGCAAAAATGTATTCCAACCCTTCCCACGCCCGCTCGAGGTCCACAGTTTCCATCAGATTATCAGTAAATAGGATACCAAATGTAGTGAAAAGTTACCATTACATGCCAGGCGCGGTGGCTCACGCCTATAATCCCAGCACTTTGGGATACTGAGGCGGGCAGATCACTTGAGGTCAGGAGTTCAAAACCAGCCTGGTCAACATGGTGAAGCCCTGTCTGTACTAAAAACACAAAAACTAGCTGGGCATGGTGGTGCACAGCTGTAATCCCAGCTGCTCGGGAGGCTGAGGCTGGAGAATCGCTTGAACTCGGGAGGTGGAGGTTGCAGTGAGCCAAGATGTTGCCACTGCACTCCAGCCTGGGTGACAGTGAGACTGTCTCAAAAAAAAAAAAAGTTACCATTACCCGAATACTCTTGAATGCTATGTTGACAGTATGATATAGATTTATTATTACCAATATGCTATTGGTATAAGCAACATTTTTTTAAAAAGTGTTCCAATTATGCCTTTGTTGTGCCACAGGAATGTATTTCCAAATTTTTTAAGGCAGCATGCAAAGCAATGGGGCTCTAGGACTACAATTTTCCAAATAAATTGGCCCAAGTGTTTCTCTGTATTCATTAACTCCCTTCTTTTCTCTCCTCATTTGATTCTATGTTTGGCAGTGGTCCGTGATAGTGCCTGGCTTAGGCTATCTTTCCTTTTTTTTTGGAGACAGAGTCTTGCTCTTTTACCCAGGCTGGAGTGCAGTGGTGCGATCATGGCTCACTGCAGCCTCGACCTCCCCGGGGCTCAAGTGATCCTCCCACCTCAGCCTCCTGAGTAGCTGTGACCACAAGTGTGCACCACTACGCCTGACTAATATTTTAAAATTTTTTTGTAGAAACGGGATCTCCCTATGTTGCCCACACTGGTCTCAAGTGATCCTCCCGCGTTGGCCTCTCAAAGTGCTGGGATTACAGGCGTGAGCCATTGTGCCCAGCCTGGTTCTTTTTGATCTTTAGGGGAGACTTTGGAGAAGCATGACTTTCTGGAATAATGATAGCTAGAGATTTTTGAGGACTTGTCAGTATATTAGACATGCTCTTCTAGACGTGCCCTTCAGGGTTTAATATGTGTTAATTCCTTTATCCTTTTGACAATCCTATGGGATAGGTAGTATTATTATCCCCATTTTACAGATGAGGAAACTGAGGATCAGGGAGGTTAGGTAACTTGTCTAAGGTAACTCAGCTAACAAGCAGCATGATTGGGCTCTTTTTTTTTTGAGACAGAGTCTCGCTGTGCAGTGGCACGATCTCGGCTCACCGCAGCTTCCGCCTCCTGGGTTGAAGCAATACTCCTGCCTCAGACTCCCGAGTAGCTGGGACTGCAGGTGCCCGCCAGCATGCCCAGCTAATTTTCATATTTTTAGTAGAGACGGGGTTTCACCATATTGGCCAGGCTGGTCTCAAACTCCTAACCTCAAGTGATACGCCTGCCTCGGCCTCCCAAAGTGTTGGCATTACAGGCATGAGCCACTGCGCCCAGCCTTTGGGTTAACCCCTATACTGTATTGCCTCTCACACAAACAGGATGGAATGATTTTCATCCCTCTTCAGAAAATGCTGCTTCTTAGTGTAACAAAACAATTTCTGTGTATATGTGTATTTATTCAGGTATGTGAGACTGGTTATATAGCTCCTGTTAGTGATGCGTATTCAGGGTATTTAGCCATTCAGAATCAGATCCCATTTCTTATGTTGGATACATTTAACGTGTCTATTATAGTTCCTATTAATGTGTTGGGGGTCATGATTTTTTTGCTCTTTCAGCTAATGGTAGCAATAGAAAGGATTAGCTTTTTCCAGTGTGTTCTTTAAAACCAGATATATTCAGTTGTAGAATGCTAGTTTCTTTTTTGAGATGGAGTCTTGCTCTGTTGCTCAGGCTGGAATGCAATGGGGCCATTTCAGCTCACTGCAACCTCTGCCTCCTGGGTTCAAGTGATTCTGCCTCAGCCTCCAGAGTAGCTGGGACTACAGGTGTGCGCCACCATGCCTGGTTAATTTTTATGTTTTTAATAGAGATAGGGTTTCACCATGTTGGCCAGGCTGGTCTCGGACTCCTGACCTCAGGTGATCTACCCACCTCAGCCTCCCAAAGTGTTAGGATTACAGGCATGAGCCACCATGCCTGGCTGCTTGTTTCTGAGATGGAAGAATGAAGGAATACTTACTCTGTTTCCTTCAGTAAGGCATATGAACCTATAGAAGATACATAAAACAAAATAATGAAAAAAATGGAAAATTCAAATCACGTTCTGAGAAAATGCAGATTAGATGGTCAAAAACAAAAAGACGGCCAGGTGCGGTGGCTCATGCCTGTAATCCCAGCACTTTGGGAGGCCAAGGTGGGCAGATCACAGGGTCAGGAGTTTGAGACCATCCTGGCTAACATGATGAAACCCCGTCTCTACTAAAAATACAAAAAATTAGCCGGGCGCGGTGGCGGCGCCTGTAGTCCCAGCTACTCGGGAGGTTGAGGCAGGAGAATGGCGTGAACCCGGGAGGCAGAGCTTGCAGTGAGCCGAGATCGCACCACTGCACTCCAGCCTGGGCGACAGAGCGAGACTCTGTCTAAAAAAAAAAAAAAAGACAAATATTAATCTGTATACGAAAGTACAGGAATTGAATATTTATCGTGAAAAAGTGAAGCTAAAATATTTAAGAGAGAGGCTTGTTAGCTGTGTGATTGAAGAATAAACAGATCCAAAACCCCAAACCCTCCAGCAAGAATTTTGGTCTTAGTGGACCAGCAGGGATTGTATTGCAACCAAATAAGATGACTGGTGACTAAGAAGTTCAATTAGCCAATGAGTATGTGCTCATATTTCTGTGTTCTGTGCAATTAGATGATTTGACTTGGTGAAAGGATAAGGATTTGTTCTAACAGCACAGTGTCAAAACTGCATGTAGATTTTACAGAATACTGTAAATACTGAGAGGCTTTCTCTGAATGCTGTCATTCAGAAGAGAAACCTATAGTAGCTTGGTCTGTAAAGAAAACTAAAAATATCTCTTTTTTTTGTTGTTAGTCATTGCTTATTCCCACATTAGGTGGTGAGAATTTACTAGTAAATTGAACTGGAATGAGTGACAGTATCTGGGGTTCTGGGTTTTTTTTGTTTGTTTGTTTTATTTTTGTTTTTGTTTTGAGACAGAGTCTTGCTCTGTTGCCCAGGCTGGAGTATAGTGGTGTGTTCTCGGCTCACTGCAACCTCCATCTCCTGGGTTCAAGCGATTCTCCTGCCTCAGCCTCACAAGTAGCTGGGATTACAGGTGCCTGCCACCACACCCGGCTAATTTTTGGATTTTTAGTACAGACAGTGTTTCACCATGTTGGCCAGGCTGGTCTCGAACTCCTGACCTCAAGTGATCCACCTGCCTTGGCTTCTCAAAGTGCTGGGATTACAGGCATGAGCCACCACGCCTGGCCTGCGGGGTTCTTAACCTATTCAGTGCCTTGCCTTCTTCAACTGTGCTCTCACAGATCAGTTTATTAATCTGTGATATTGCCTGTGTGCTACCCCTGACATAATATTGTGTGATTAGGAGTCAATGCTTAAGCAATAATGAACCAAAATCAACTTATTTTGGGAGAGTAGGTTAGGCACATTTAGGTAGACAGCTTTTATTTTTTATTTTTTTGAAGCAGGGTCTCACTCTGTTGCCTAGGCTGGAGTGCAGTGGTACAATCTTGGCTCACTGCAGCCTCGACCTCCTGGGTTCAAGTGATCCTCCCATCTGAGCCTCTTGAGTAGCTGGGACCACAGGTGCATGCCACCACGCCCGGCTAATTTTTGTATTTTTTGTAGAGATGGGGTTTTGCCATGTTGCCCAGGCTGGTCTTGAACTCCTGGGCTCAACCTGTCTACCTGCCTCAGCCTCCCAAAGTGCTGGGATTACAGGCCTGTGCCACCGTGGCCAGTAGATAGCTTTTATTTTATTGTGTTGGGACTCTAGAAAATTTCTGCGTAAGTTAAATAAATACTTTCTTTGCATCTGGAAAGGGCTAATTCAATTTTCAAAGTTTACTTTATAATTGGGTTTATCTTATTTATTGAGGAAATATGGTGCGATAATAAAGAACAGAATAAATTGTTCATAATGAGTTTGCTCAGTTGTTTACTAAATCGATTATGGACTTCTGAAACTAATAAAATAGAAAGACCAATAATAAATGCATTAAACCTAGTTGCCGTCTTTTATTTATTTTGTAGATAATTACCTAATTGGTCTCTGCTCTCAAGAAATGTTTACTCTAGTGGGAGAGATGATTTATGGAATAGCCTCATGAAAACATACATATACTTGTGAAACAGCTACAGACTCCTACAAGACAATATATACTAAGGGTGATATGGCCAGATACTCTGGGAGGAGGGTAGGTCTTTAGGGTTGCCAGGGAAGAAGCTGTGGGATCTGCTCTGTGTTTTATCTTGTTTTATAGGCTTTGTGCCTTGGGCAAAGGGCAGCTTACTCCTGGAAGAGGACTGACTCAAGGACCCCAGAACCCCAAGAAACAGGGAATCTTCCACATTCATGAAGGCAAGCATGGTGTCTCTGTTTGATGCCTATGTGGTGAAAAACCTTGTTTTACTTTTATTTGAAAGGTATATAGAGTGATAGTTTAGAGCAAATGAGGCATATTAAAGGTAGATCTTTCATAAACATTTCATTGACAAAATGACCAGGATAGCTGCATAATATTAATAGCTTCAGATAGAAGTCACATTCAGATTTTGAACTATTGTTCCTGGGAGCCTTGAGGACTGAGCTCTTTTAGTTAGGTGATTTCCACTTCCTGTGTGTAGGTTCTGAAGGCATGGAAAAAAAGAGATGGGCCCATTAGTTGTATCAAGTAAACACTCCTAGTCCATAGTTATGTTCGAGGGATCCTGTTAGTCCATGCTTAATTAAAGTTAATTTCAATTACCAATATGATACGTAAACTATGGATTGTCTTTATTAAACTAGGAGTATTCGTTATAATTAAAATTGCGGCTTCTTTAAAGGGTCCAAATAAATTTATATTATGTGTGTATATAAATATATATGTAAGTAAAATTAAAAAGTTTTTCCTTCTTGGCCCTCAATACTTGCCTCTCTTCTTACACTGATTAAGCTAGTAGTAATTATTTTATGTCAGTGAGCATCAGTAGTCCATGTACTATTTGAGGTACTTTCTGTCCATTCTTTTTTTTTTTTTTTTTTTTTTTTTTTTTTGGGATGGAGTCTTGCTCTGTCACCCAGGCTGGAGTGCAGTGGCAGGATCTCGGCTCACTGCAACCTCTGCCTCCCTAGTAGCTAGGATTACAGGCATGCTCCACCACGCCCAACTAATTTTTGTATTTTTAGGAGAGATGGAGTTTCGCCACGTTGGCCAGGCTGGTCTTGAACTCCTGGCCTCAAGTAATCTGCCTGTCTTGGCCTCCCAAAGTGCTGGGATTACAGGTGTGAGCCTTTTTTTTTTTTTTTTTTTTTTGAGATGAAGTCTCACTCTGTCGCATAGGCTGGAGTGCAGTGGTGGGATCTTGGCTCACTGCAACCTCCGCCTCCCAGGTTCAAGTGATTCTCTGCCTCAGCCTCCTGAGTAGCTGGGATTACAGGTGCCCACCATGCCAGGCTAATCTTTGTATTTTTAGTAGAGACGGGGTTTCACCATCTTGGCCAGGCTGGTCTTGAACTCCTGACCTCATGATTCACCCACCTCGGCCCCATCCATTCTTTTATTCAAGGAACTTAGGAGGAAAAAATCAGAAATAAGACTAAGTTACTAATGGTTGTTGTTTGCAGTTCTCTAACATTTAGTTGTAATTATACATCAAATTTATGGTGTATCCAAAATTGTTTGATAGAAAAATCAACCATTTTTCATGAAAGTTAAAATGCATGTTCATATAAATTATATTTGGTTTTGATCAGTTAGTTATTGAAGGACTGAGGATTGCTATAGTTAATTTCCTATAACTGGAATGTATATTTTGAAGTGCTAGGAAAAACACATAAACTCAACACAGTATTTGAAATACTACAGATTTATCTTTTAGTTTTGAATTATTGCTGGTTCTCTAATTGATTTTCCCTTTATTCATATAGCATGTTCATCTATACATGTGAATCATGGTGTGTGTGGTAATTAGTATCAGCTTTTCTTTTAAGAGCTTAAATTTTGTAAGCACTAATATACGCTTGCACTTTTGGGCAGTGGCATTAACTAAAATTGCATTCTTTGCCTTAGCTTGATGTAAGTCTTTGCTTCATTTTTCTGGCTTAAACTTTTCTAACAACCAGGAGACTATAAATATATGAGAAATTAATTATAATGAGACTCAGATTTGGATATTAGTATTAGTCTCTGAACTAAGTAATTTGATCTATTACTGCGTATAAGAAGATAGGTGGGGGCCAGGCGCAGTGGCTCACACCTGTAATCCCAGCACTTTGGGAGGCCGAGGCAGGCGGATCACCTGAGGTCAGGAGTTCAAGACCAGCCTGACCAACATAGTGAAACCCCATCTCTACTAAAAATACAAAATTAGCAGGGCATGGTGATGCCTGCCTGCAATCCCAGCTACTCGGGAGGCTGAGGCAGGAGAATCACTTGAACCCGGGAGGCGGAGGTTGCAGTGAGCTGAGATCGTGCTATTGCACTCCAGGCTGGGCAACAAGAGCGAAACTCTGTCTCAAACAAAACAAAACAAAACAAAACTACAAAAATTAGCCGGGTGTGGTGGCACAGCGCCTGTAATCCCAGCTACTTGGGAGACTGAGGCAGGAGAATCGCCTGAACCCGGGAGGTGGAGGATGCAGTGAGCCGAGATTGTGCCACCGAACTCTAGCCTGGGTGACAGAGTGAGACCATCTCAAAAAAAACAACAAAAAAGAAGATAGGTGGGAATCCTGTTCATATCTCCATCATAATGGCTCTTACTGGCTAACACTGATACAGCCCCATTAAGTGAATAATTGAAGTTATCCTTTTTTGTTTGTTTATATAAACCCTAGTGATTGGCACAAAGGTATTCATTTGTGCACCTTTAAAGAGACAGTATAGTTCTTTCAGGTTTTTAGGGAGCAGAGGCTTGATCCTGTCCCTGAGCTGTTTGTTGTGGCATTAAATGGAAATCTATGGATCTTTAAATCTTTTGAGTGCATGAATTGCTTTTTGTAGTTCTTGAGCTCATTGCCATAATCCGTTTCTCATATTTCTTTGTTTCATGGAATGACCTCTTTATTTTTGTTTCAGTTCGAGATAAGTTGCGGGAGATAGT
Organism: Homo sapiens; assembly: GCF_000001405.40. Lineage (NCBI taxonomy): Eukaryota > Metazoa > Chordata > Mammalia > Primates > Hominidae > Homo > Homo sapiens. The sequence continues at coordinate 23,733,192 of NC_000023.11, read as the reverse complement.
AGGAGCATCCACAAACTGGAGGTATGCATCTTTGTTTTCATTCATTCTTTTCATCCCCAAGGTATTATACTACACTGTATTTAGGCTCAGTTGATGGTCTCACAGTGGGGATGGGGAGCCCTATGTTCAGAGATAGGTTGAGAAGTATTTTGCTTGGGGGAGAAGGTCAACATTTCAACATACTCATCAGATGACACCTCATTGTCATGAAAGAAGATGATTTACGTATATTCTGCATTTTCAAAGTGCATTTAGGTGTATATTACTTCACTGATTCTCATAACAAAACTTGTGACGTGCTTACGACATATGTTCCTGTTCCTTTTTTTACACATGAAACTGAAACTCAGAGATTGAATGATTAAATGTCAGGGTTTGGGACTTGAACCCAAGTCGCTAAGTTTCTCTGTTTCATGCAACTTGACTCCTTTATTGCTTCTTGTCAGTTCAAAATTAGTCAGGCCTCCCATATTGTCTTTCTCTTTCTCGCAGTATTTCCTTGTTGTAAAGTAGGATCATATCCCTCTTGGTGTACATAATTTTGAGGCTAAAATGAGATAGAAAAAACACGAGTGATCACTAGATATATAATAATCTATTGTTGGTATAGAAATTATCTAATGACTTATTTTTAAATTCTTTATATGAAAAATTTCACTTTACTAAAAGGTAGAAAGAATGAATACCTGTGTACCCACCACCTGGATTCCATACTTATTAATATTTTGCCAAATTTTCCAATATACACATATTGCCTGAACCATTTCTAAGTAAATTATAGACACCATGACACTTCAGCGTGCATCTTCAGTAAACATTTTATAAAACCAGCCTTCGCTTATCTCCAACAAATAAGACATTCTCTCATGTAATCAAATTGACAGCAATTCCTTGCTAGTATATTACTCATCCATAGTCACATTTCCTCAACTGTTACCATTTTGTGTAATAGATTACTCCTTTTAACAAAAATGTTTTTATAGCTGTTTAAAAAACATCAAGATCCAATAAAGGATTGCATGTTGCATCTGGTGGTTATGACTCTTTAGTCTTCCCTAATCTAGAGTAATGGACAGTCGTCCTTCCCCTATTCTTCCCCCATGAGCTTGACTTTAAGGAGGCCAAGCCATTTGTCTTGAGAATGTTCCACATTCTGGATTTACTGGTGTCATTTAACTCATTCCTCTATCTCCTGTAGTTTTTGTAGGGTAAACATTTCTGGAAATAATACTTTATAAGTTAAGCTTAGAAAGACATCTTAGCTAATGTTCTTATCAACATTGTCGTTCCGTATCCCCTTGTCTTTCTTTTCTCTTTCACCTTAATCTTCTCTTCTTTTTCTTCCCTTTCTGTCTCCTTTTCATGTTATGTTCTTCTTTACCTTTTGTTCTGCCTTCCATACTTCCTTTGGATATAGTCCATTTTCCCTCCTCTGTCTCTCTTTCCTGAAATTGAAGGCAGAGAGAGAGAGAGAACTGGGGCTCAAAGAATCCGAGAACTGTCAGGTGAGAAATGGGAATATAAAGTAGAGTGGCCAAGCCATTCTTTAGCATATATATTTATATGTATATATATATACTATTTTGTCCATCTCTCTAAATTTTTAATTTAATTTCAAATATTCTGGTCTTTGAGTAAACTTTTTGATAAGGGTGAATATATGGCTCATTTGGGTATATCTATATCAGTTTTAAGTTTTCTTTTTTTTTTTTTTTTTTGAGACAGTCTTGCTCTGTTGCCCAGGCTGGAGTGCAGTGGTGTGATCTTGGCTCATTGCAACCTCCGCCTCCCACGTTCAAGCAATTCTCCTGCCTCAGCCTACCAAGTAGCTGGGATTACAGGTGCCCACCACCACACCTGGCTAATTTTTTGTATTTTTAGTAGAGACGGAGTTTTGCCATGTTGGCCAGGCTGGTCTTGAACCCCTGACCTCGTGTGATCCACCCGCCTTGGCCTCCCAAAATGCTGGGATTACAGGCGTGAGACACTGCACCTGGCCTTAAGAATGTTTTTAAGCTTGAGAAATGATACCGGAAATGATCAATTTCACCAAGTGGCAGGTGGGAAGGGAGGGAAGGAAGAGAAGGTGAAAGTAGGCCCAGACCTTCTTTTTCCTCCTTTGATGGTATCTTACTGGCCTGTGTACCACTGGAATTGTGGGCTAGAACTGCTCTTGTTTTATGAATCCTGCATCCTTTCTTCTCAGAGACCATGTGAAGGCAATGGAAGAAAGGAAATTACTTCATAGTTTCTTGGCTAAATCACAGGATGGACTGCCTCCTAGGAGAATGAAGGACAGTTATATTGAAGTTCTCTTGCCTTTGGGCAGTGAGCCTGAATTACGAGAGAAATATTTGACTGTTCAAAACACCGTAAGGTAACACAGTGCTATTTTTATGTATTTGTTTTTATTTCCTTGTTTTATAACAATTTTGAAATATAATTCACACACCATACAATTCGCCTGTTTAAAGTGTACAGTTCCATGGTTTTGATATATTTAGAGAGTTGTGCATCCATCACCACAGTCAATTTTAGAACATTTTCATCACCCTGAAGTGTGTTATTTATTTTTAAAGGGAGACCAACATGATTTGCATTTAATTCACTGTTTGCTTTATTTCACAGATTTGGCAGGATTCTTGAGGATCTTGACAGCTTGGGAGGTACTGGTATTATTTTAGTCTTTCTAATAGATACCTACAGATATACATTGAATTCTGTGACTGGAAAGGGCTCTTTTATTCTTTAACCTGCACAGATGATGATATTCTAAAGTGCACAAAAAAAGAAGGACATCGGCCGGGCGTGGTGGCTCATGCCTGTAATCCCAGCACTTTGGGAGGCTGAGGCGGGCGGATCACTTGAGGTTGGGAGTTTGAGACCAGCCTGACCAACATGGAGAAACCCCGTCTCTACTAAAAATACAAAATTAGCCAGTTGTGTTGGTGGGCGCCGTAATCCCAGCTACTTGGGAGGCTGAGGCAAGAGAATCACTTGAACCTGGGAGGCAGAGGTTGCGGTGAGCTGAGATCGTGCCATTGCACTACAGCCTGGGTAACAAGAGTGAAACTCCATCTCCAAAAAAAAAAAAAAAAAATGGCATCTACTACTTCTGAATTGTCATAATTTTTTTCTTATAAATGTAGATTCCTATTTAATGGAGGTATAGTCTGAATAATCTTTCTTACTAGTAACTTTAAAAAAAGAAAGTCTTAAACTTACAGAAAAGTTGCAAATACAGTATAAAGAATTTTTCTGTGGCCAGGCGCGGTGGCTCACGCCTATAATCCCAGCACTTTGGGAGGCTGAGGCAGGCAGATCACAAGGTCAGGAGATCGAGACCATCCTGGCTAACATGGTGAAACCCCATCTCTACTAAAAATACAAAAAATTAGCCAGGCGTGGTGGCATACGCCTGTAGTCCCAGCTATTCAGGAGGCTGAGGCAGGAGAATCACTTGAACCTGGGAGGTGGAGGTTGCATTGAGCCGAGATCGCGCCACTGCACTCCAGCCTGGGCGACAGAGTGAGACTCCGTCTCAAAAATAAAAAAGAAAAAAATTTTTTGTCCCTGAATTATGTGAGAATAAGTGGCTGACATGATGCCACATCACCCCCAAATATTTGAATATGTCTTTCCTACAAACAAGGACATTCTTCTACATAACTACAAAACAACCATAAAAAATCAGGAAATTAACACTGATGTGTCATACTGTCTAATCCTCAGGTCCCATTCAACTTTTGCCAGTGGTCCTTCATAGCAGAAGGATCCAGTTCTGAATCATATGTTGATTTAATTGTCATGTCAGGACTAGTTCCTTAATCTTTCTTTGACTTTCGTGACTTTGACATGGTTCTTTTGTGTATTGTCCCTCAATTTGGGTCTGTGTGGTGCTTCCTCATGATTAGCTTTGGGTTATGCATCTCTGGCAGGAATGTCACAGAAGGGATGCTCTGTTCTTATTGTATCCTATCAAGTGGTGCATGGTTTTGATTTGTCTCATTACTGATGATATCAGCTTTGCTTACTGGATGACGATGATGTCTGCCACTGTTCTTCACTGTAAAGTTACTCTTTTCCCCTTTGTAATTAATAAGTACCTTATGTGGGGGGGGGTGGCAGGTAACTTTGAGACCTTCATCAGACTTTCAATTCATTATTTTTAAATCAGTATGGACTCAGGAATTCCTATGTTACTGAATGGACTATAATATGTTACTATCATCTATTTGATGTTCACATGATCCCAGGAGTGTCCCAGTCCCTTCAGGCTAGCTTCTGTGTGGTTTTCTTTGATGTGTCCCCATTATTCTTTGAGCACTTTCTCACTTTCTGGCACAATAAAATATTCTAGGCTCATCTTATGCTTTTCCCTGCCCCAGTCCTAGAATCACCCACATCTCCAAGGAGCCCTTTTTTGAAATGGAGAATGATATTTTGAAGTGGAGGATGATATTTTGAAATGGAGATATGTGCGTTGGGAGTGGTCATTATTCCTGGGTATCACTGCTCCCATACCCTCTTAGTGGAGGAGCTGGGAAATATATGTGCATATACGTACATATATGTTATTTCTAAATCTTTGTACAGATGTATGTATGAAAACCATGGGATCGCACTGATAGCTCCAATTCCAGTTCAGCCACCACGGGGTTCATTCTCATTTCCTTCCTTTCCATATTTGTAATTCCCTTCTCCAACTGGCTCCATTCTCCTTAATATATTGACTTATTTAATCAGTTCCGCTGTATGTGACCAATTTCCTATGGCTGCCACCCCTCATGCATCATGGATGCTCCCCTCACCTTACCTGGGCTCTGGTACCCCACACCAGGTCCCCCTCTGCAGGCTCACCCTCTTCATTGTGCTCAAGCTGTGACATGCTCTGCCATCACTCTTGCAGCCTCTCTGCAAGGATGTCCTCCTCACCGTGCTTGGATGCCAGCACCCTACTCTAGGTTACCTTACTTGCTCCCACCTAATGATATTTGGGCTGAATGGTTGGGAAAGGGTCTGAAAAAGGGTTCTAATATATTGTTTAAAAAACTATTTTTTTATAGAGATGGGGTCTCCCTGTGTTGCCCAGGTTTTTCGTGAACTCCTGGGCTCAAAGGATCTTCCTGCCTCAGCCTCCTAAAGTTCTGATTACAGGTGTGAGCCGCCGTGCCTGGCCTTTTTTTTTTTTTTTGAGACAGAGTCTCACTCTTGTTGCCCGGCCTGGAGTAGAGTGGTCCGATCTTGGCTCATTGCATCTTCTGCCTCTGGGTTCAGGCGATTCTCCTGCCTCAGCCTCCTGAACAGCTGGGATTACAGGCACCCGCCATCACATCTGGCTAATTTTTGTATTTTTAGTAGAGACGGGGTTTCACCATGTTGGCCAGTCTGGTCTCAAACTCCTGACCTCAGGTGATCTGCCTGCCTCGGCCTCCCAAAGTGCTGGGATTACAGGTGTGAGCCACCATGCCAGGCCCTAACTTTTAAAATATAGATACAAGCTTGTTGTTAAGCTTACGCCTAGCAACTACTTTTCTCTAGATTAAATAAACCCAGTTAAAAATTCTTGGCTGGGCACAGTGGCTCACACCTGTAATCCTTGCACTTTGGGAGATCGAGGCAGGAGGATCGCTTGAGGCCAAGACTTTGAGACCAGCCTGGGAAACATAGTGAGTCCCCATCTCTACAAAACCCAAAAAATTAGCTGGGCATGGTGGCATGCACTAGTAGTTCCAGCTACTCAGAAGACTGAGGTGGGAGGATTGCTTCAGCCCAGGAAGTCGAGGCTGCAGTGAGCTGTGGTGACACCACTGCACTACAGCCTGATTGACTTTGGTTTGCTTAGGTGTCCTTATATATACAAACTCCCCTGCCACTACCCTCTTTCTTGCTCATTAACTTCTGTTGATGGCCAGTCCCTTTAACCTGTTCACTTGATTCTATTCCTTCTATTTCTTCAAGGAACTGCCTTATCACTTGGCTTTCTCCCTCATTTCCTGAGCCTTTTCTCAACTTCACTTTTCCCTCAAGTTATAAACATATTCAAGGTTCTTCCATCTTAAAATGAAAAATAGGCCGGGCAGGGTGGCTTACGCCTGTAATCCCAGTAGTTTGGGAGGCCGAGGCGGGTGGATCACTTGAGGCCAGGAGTTCGAGACCAGCCTGGGCAATATGGTGAAACCCCGTCTCTACTAAAACTACAAAAAGTAGCCGGGCGTGGTGGTGCGTGCCTGTAATCCCAGCTACTCGGGAGGCTGAGGCACGAGAATCGCTTGAGCCTGGGAGGCAGAGGTTGCAGTGAGCTGAGATAGACTCCAGCCTGGACAACAGAGCGAGACTCTGTCTCAAAAACACAAAAATTAGCCGGGTGTAGTGGCATGTGCCTGTAGTCCCAACTACTCAGGAGGTTGAGGCAGGAGAATGGCTTGAACCCGGGAGGTGGAGGCTGCAGTGAGCTGAGATCGCACCACTGCATTCCAGCCTGGGTGACAGAGTGAGGCTCTGAGTCAAAAAAAAAAAAAAAGATAAGTAAAAAATCCTCTTTCCTTATAACACCTCACACTTTCTTCCTTACTTCATAGCTCACTTTCTGAAAAGAACCTAGAAAATCACCTGCTCTCATTGCCTCTTTATGCTAACTTCCTGTTAATTAAACATTTCCCGGTCGGCTGTGTTCCGGCTTCTGCTCCTCCACGCCATTGAATCTGCTCTTGCCAAGCTCGCCATTGGCCCCTTTACTGCACAGTTGAATGGATACTTTTCAGGGCTGACCTGACCCCTTTGTGGCTTCTTATATCGTCCAGCCCATCCTTGGGCTTTGGTGACATTTCCTTCTGCTTCTCTGGCTGCTCTTTTGTAGTCCCCTTTGTAGGTTCCTCTTTTTCTGTTGATCCCTTAAATGTAGGTTATCCCCAGGGTTTTGTCTTCTGCCCTTTCAAAAACTGATTATTTTTTGAATTTATTTTATTTTATTTTGTTTATTTATTTTTTTTGAGCTGTAGTTTCGCTCTTGTTGCCCAGGCTGGAGTGCAATGGCGCTATCTCAGCTCACTGCATCCTCCATCTCCCGGGTTCAAGGGATTCTCCTGCCTCAGCCTCCCATGTAGCTGGGATAACAGGCACACACCACCACGCCCGGCTAATTTTTTGTATCTTTAGTAGAGACGGGGTTTCACCATGTTGGCCGGGCTGGTCTCGAACTTCTGACCTCAGGTGATCCACTCGCCTCGGCCTCCCAAAGTGCTGGGATTACAGACGTGAGCCACTGCGCCCGGCCTTTTGAATTTTATAATTTGTTCATATTAATTAAATTTTAAGGCATTTTAAAATTTAACAATAAAATTGTTAAATCTTTTAAAATTATTTATTTAGTTTTTGAGACAGGGTCTCACTCTGTCACCCAGGCTGGAGTGCAGTGGCGTGATCACAGCTCACTGTAGCCTTGACCTCCTGGCTCAAGCAGTCCTCCTGCCTTAGCCTCCTGAGTAGCTGGGACTACGGGTGCACACCACCATGCCCAGCTAATTTTTTTGATTTTTAGTAGAGACAAGGTCTGCCATGTTGCCCAGGCTGGTCCCAAACTGCTGGACTCAAGGGATCCCCCCACCTCGGCCTCCCAAAGTGTTGGGATTACAGGTGTGAGCCACTGCGCCCAGCCCTATTTTTTCAGTTGAGGTTAAAATATAAAATTTACCATCTTTATCTTTTTTTTTTTTTTTTTTTGAGACAGAGTCTCACTCTGTCACCTAGACTGGAGTGCAGTGGCACCATCTCGGCTCACTGTAACCTCTGCCTCTCGAGTTCGAGCAGTTCTCCTGCCTCAGCTTTCGACGTAGCTGGGATTACAGGCATCTACCACAACGCCCAGCTAATTTTTGTATCTTTAGTAGAGATGGGGTTTTGCCATGTTGGTCAGGCTGGTCTCAAACTCGTGACTTCAGGTGATCCCCCCACCTCGGCCTCCCAAAGTGCTGGGATTACAGGTGTGAGCCACCGCGCCTGGCTCATCTTTATCATTTTTAAGTGTACTGATCAGTGGTAAAAACTACATTTATATTACATTTTCCTCCGTCTCTTCTCTACCCTTCCCTTCTGCCCTTTTTTGGGTTGACGTTGCAGATTCTCTATAAACTCATCTACTCCCAGTGTTTCAGTTGCTATCAGTATGCTGAATACTTACAAAGCTACATTTTCTGGCCTGCTTTTCTGAGTTTCAATCAATTTTTCCTCTTAGCTACTAGATTTATTTTTCTTTTTTAGAGACAGTCTCACTCTGTTGCCCGGGCTGTAGTGCAGTGGTAAAATCATAGCCTACTGCAACCTTAAACTTGCGGGCTCAAGTGTTCCTTCTGCCTCAGCCTCCTGAGTAGCTGGGACTATAGGCACACTGCACCATGCCTGGCTAATTTGTTTTGTTTTTTTGGAATAGGGTCTTGCTCTGTCACCCAGGGTGGAGTCCAGTGGTGCGATCACCACTCACTGTATCCTCGACATCTCGGGCTCAAGCATCCTCCCATCTTAGCCTCTCAAGTAGCTGGGACCACAGGCACACGCCACCATGCCTGGCTAATTTTTGTATTTTACTGTAGAGACGGGATCTCACCATGTTGCCTGGGCTGGTCTGGAACTCCTGGGCTCAAGTGATCCATCTGCCTCTGTCTTCCAAAGTGCTGGGATTACAGGCTTGATCCACCATGCCTGGCCTAATTTTTAAAGTTTTTTGTAGAGACAGGGGTCTCACTCTGTTGCCCAGGCTAGTCTCAAGCTCTGGGCTCACGTGATCCTCCTGCTATGGCCTTGCAAAGCCCTAGGATTACAGGTGTGAACAACTGTGCCCTCCCCAATACCTTCATTTGGATGTGCCATAGGCTCTTCAAATTCAACGCATTGAAAATGGCCCATTCTTTTCTTCCTATATTCTCTTTTTATTTTGAGACAGAGTCTTACTCTGTTGTTCAGGCTGGAGTGTAGCGGCATGATCATGGCTAACTACAGTCTTGACCTCCTGGGTTCAAGCAATCCTCCTACCTATCTCCCGAGTAGCTGGGACTACAGGCATGTGCCACCACACCTGGCTAACTTTTGTGTTTTTGGTAGAGATGGAGTCTCTGCTGTGTTGCCTGGGCTGGTCTTGAACTCCTAGGCTCAAGTGATCTTCCTGCCTTCGCCTCTAAAAGTGTTGGGATTACAGGCATGAGCCACTGTGCCCAGTCTCTCTTCTCTTTTTCAGTGACTAGTACACCACGCTTACCTATGCAAGCTAGAAAACTGAATTTATTCAAGTCTTCTCAGGTTTACCTTCTTCTTAACTCATAGTCTTTTCATTTCTACTCCTGTTGCCATAGGTTGGAGCCATCTGATTTCTTTGCTGGACAAAGACTTTTAAATGGAGTTTATTGCCTTTAGCCTATCATTCCCCCAGTGTGTCCTTTAGCAGGTGCATAGATGGAAGGATTTACACTTACTCAACAAGTATTTATTGAGCCACATATCTTGTCTGAGAGTTTGTGATACAAATTTGAATGGATCATGGGGGAAGCAGGGAGCCAATCAACATATAATCATACAACTTTTTTTTTTTTTTTTTTTTTTTTGAGACAGTCTTGCTCTGTTGCCAGGCTGGAGTGCAGTGGTACGATCTCGGCTCACTGCAACCTCTGCCTCCTGGGTTCAATTGATTCTCCTGCCTCAGCCTCCTGAGTAACTGGGACGCCACCACGCCCGGCTAATTTTTGTATTTTTAGTAGACATGGGGTTTCACCATGTCAGCCAGGATGGTCTCGATCTCTCGACCTCGTGATCCGCCTGCCTTGGCCTCCCAAAGTGCTGGGATTACAGGCTGAGCCGCCGCGCCCGGCCCAACGTATAATTATACGACTTTAAATGAGTTGATATCTGTAAGGTGCATGAACCATGCATGGCACATATAAATGCTTGTTAAAATATGGAAAGTATACAGATAACCACAGGGTGGTATAGGAGTCAAGGGTGTTATGGGGAAGGAGGGATAACTGAGTGAAATAATTGTTTCATGATTAATTAGGACAAAGCCAGGAGGAAAACAGGTAGCCAAGTCCTTGTGCTTTGTTTCTCTTTCCTGAAGATGTTTGATACTGTCAGACTCATGTGCTGAGTTCTTACTCTGATTTGGGCACTGAGTCTCTGTGGAGTGGTAACAAGCTGTCTGGTGGGTCTGGGCTTGCTTCGGGCTTTGATTTCTTCACCAAATCTTAAAATTGAGGGGGCAGTCAGATTGGAGGATCTCCCAAATCCTTCAATTTATAAAAGTGTTTGATCCTAGGATAAGATGATCAATGGAATATTAGGGGCTGGATCTTCCAAGCGAGACAAGGCTTTTCATGGATCTCAGGGAGGAAATTTTAAATGTTGGGAAATAATTCTGCCTTTTTAAAATTTGGTACACTCCTGTTTCCCTGCAGTTCTTATTTGTTACATGCACAACAAAATCCACTCCGCCAAGATGTCTCCTTTATCGATAGTTACAGCCCTGGTGGATAAGATTGGTAAGTGATATCATTTTCTATGCATACTTAGAATTCTTAGTAATTTCAAGATATTATTGAGATTACAGGACGTACTCTCCTTTTATGGGAATTTTTTTTTTTTTTGAGACGGAGTTTTGCTCTTGTCACCCAGGCCGGAGTGTAATGGCACGATCTTGGCTCACTGCAACCTTCGCCTCCCAGGTTCAAGCAATTCTCCTGCCTCAGCCTCCCGAGTAGCTGAGATTACAGGCATGTGCCACCACGCCCGGCTAATTTTTGTATTTTTAGTAGAGATGGGATTACACCATGTCGGCCAGGCTGGTCTCAAACTCCTGACCTCAGGTGATCCACCTGCCTCGGCCTCCCAAAGTGCTGGGATTACAGGCATGAGCCACCGTGCCTAGCCCTTTATGGGGAATTTTAATGTATATATGCATATGAAAATGTCTAGAATGCTGTATACCAAGATATTTATTATAATTAGGTGGGTTTTGCATGATTCCAGTTTTATTTTTTATATTCTTTGCTTTTTCTACATTTTTCAAAAACACATGTAGATTTCTTCTGCGTGTCAAAAAAGTTATTTTAGTTTTGAAGACAAAAAAGAAATGTAGTGGAATTTGCCATAATTTCTAATTGTTCATATTTACAGAACAGAAAATTTTTGGTATGACTTGGACCCTGATTGACTTCTGTTTTGCAGATATGTGTAAGAAGAGCTTGAGCCCAGAACAGGACATTAAGTTCAGTGGCCATGTTAGCTGGGTCGGGAAGACATCCATGGAAGTGAAGATGCAAATGTTCCAGGTAAATATGCGCCTGAAGATTGTCCACTGTTTAAGTAAAACCAGCTAGTCTCCATGCAAGAAAAGCTTATTTACCTATGTATCTGTAGACAGGTATGTTGCTCACTGCTTCTAGAAAAACAGTTGAAAGCTCATGTCATATGGATGGTGGGTTATTAATATCCTCCTTGTGGACAAAGCCTGACGTACTATTTGGTGTTTATATTTAATATTTATTTCTAATCATATACAAGTCCATGTTAAGGTGTTTGTTTCTGGTTCTGCCTAGGAGAATTTCACAGAAGTCTGTGTTATGGTAGGAGTGAATGGAATTGATTACTGTATTCATTTCCCAGGACTGCTGTACAGTTGGCCCTCTGTGTCTGTAGATTTCACATCCACAGATTCAACCAACCATGGATTGAAAATGTTTGGAAAAAAACAGTGAAAAATAATATAAATAAAACACAATACAGTATAACAACCATTTTTTTAAAAAAATAGAGATGGGGCTGGGTGCAGTGGCTCACGCCTGTAATCCCACCACGTTGGGAGGCTGAGGTGGGCAGATCACTTGAGGCCAGGAGTTTGAGACCAGCCTGGCCAATATGGTGAAACCCTGTCTCTATTTAAAAAATACAAAAATTAGCCAGGCTTGGTGGTGCACGCCTGTAATCTCAGCTACTTAGGAGGCTGAGGGTTGGGAACCGCTTGAACCCAGGAGGTGGAGGTTGCAGTGAGCTGAGATTGCGCCACTGCACTCCAGCCTGGGCAACAGAGTGAGACTCGTCTCAAAAAATAAATAAATAAATAAATAAAAATAGAGAAATGGATATGGAGTTTCACCATGTTGCCCAGGCTGGTCTTGAACTTCTGGCCTCATGTGGTCCTCCCACCTTAGCCTCCCCAAATGCTGGGATTACAGGCATGGCTGGCCTTAAAACAACTATTTATATGGCATTTATATTGTATTAGGTATTATAAGTAATCCAGAGATAATTTAAAGTACACAGGAGGAGGTGCATAGGTTTTATGTAAATATGACCCCATTTTATATAGGGGAGTTGAGCATCTGTGGATTTTGGTATTGGCGGGTGGTGGTAGGGAGTTCTGGAACCAATCCTGCGTGGATTCCAAGGGGCAGCGGTACCACAAAGTACCATAAACTGGTGGCATAAAAACAGAAAATGTATTGACTCACAGTTTGGAGGCTACGAATCCAAAATCAAGGTGTCAGCAGAGGCATGTTCCCTCTAAAACCTGTAAGAGAGAAGCCTTCCTTGTCTGTTTCTTGCTTCTGGTGGTTTGCTGGCAATCCCTAGCGTTCCTTGGCTTCCAGCTGTAGCACTTCATTCAGTCTCTGCCTCCGTCATCACATGGTGTTCTCTCATGTGTCTCTGTCTCTCTGGTGTCTCTTGTCAGGATGCTGCTAATCATACTGGATTAAGGGCCCACGCTACTCCGGCATGACCTCATCTTAACTAATTATGTCTGCAACGACTCTATTTCCAAATACAGTCACGTTCACAGTTATGGGGGTTAGGATTTCCACATGTCTTTTTGGGGGACACAGTTGGGCCCTTAACAGTCATTTGAGCTATTACAGTAGTTAGGAACAGCTAATCTGATGAGTAAAACTCAGAATAGCTATTACAAACAATTGAAGAAATTTGACAAGAAAAAGTACCTCAAAGAGGATAACAACACAGAAATAAAATGATTCAGTGTATGTCCAAGATTTCATTGTGGAAAACTTATTTAAGAATGACTGGCTGGGCGCGGTGGCTCACGCCTGTAATCCCAGCACTTTGGGAGGCCAAGGCGGGCAGATCACCAGGTCAGGAGATCGAGACCATCCTGGCTAACACGGTGAAACCCTGTCTCTACTAAAAATAAAAAAATTAGCCGGGCGTGGTGGCGGGTGCCTGTAATCCCAGCTATGGGAGGCTGAGGCAGGAGAATGGCGTGAACCCAGGAGGCGGAGCTTGCAGTGAGCCGAGATCACACCACTGCTCTCCAGCCTGGGCGACAGAGCGAGACTCCGTCTCAAAAAAAAAAAAATGACTTATTCATTTATGCCAGGGTATTGAGTAGACCAGGGGTCCCCAACCCCCGGGCCATGGGCTACATAGCAGGAGGTGAGCTGTGGGCAAGAGAGAATTACCACCTGAGCTCCGCCTCCTGTCAGATCAGCAGCGGCATTAGATTCTCATAGGAGCACGAACCCTATCGTGAGCTGCGCATGTGAGGGATCTAGGTTGCACACTCCTTAGGAGAATCTAGTGCCCGATGATCTGAGGCGGAGCAGTTTCATCCCAAAACCATCCCCCCCAGCCCACCCCATTCCGTGGAAAAATTGTATACCACAAAACTGGTCCCTGGTGCAAAAAAGGTTGGGGGCCACTGCAGTAGACCTATTATTCAGATGCATTTTTTCCTGCTATGGAATGATGAAGCATTTCACCTTTTGGTGAAATAAACTTTCACACTTTCAGAAAAAGCCTGAAGCTAGCTCTGTAGTAGTTATTTGTCAAAATAAGTATTTTTTTTATTCAGTACTATATGCAAGTGATTGAATCTTTCAATTCCCATGTTTGATGTAACTGACAGTAATACTGTTTTATTTTGTTTGTTTGAGACAGTGTCACTCTGTCTCCCAGGCTGGAGTGTAGTGGCGCGATCTCAGCTTTCTGCTACCTCTGCCCCTCGGGTTCCAGTGATTCTCATGCCTCAGCCTCCCAAGTAGCTGGGACTACAGATGTGTGTCACCATGCCTGGCTAATTTTTGTATTTTTAGTAGAGACGGGGTTTTACCATGTTGCCCAGGCTGGTCTTGAACTCTTGGACTCAAGCCATCCACCCGCCCTCGCCTCCCAAAGTGCTGGGATTTCAGGCGTGAGCCACCGTGCCCAGCCAGTAATACTGTTTTAAAAACAAAACATTGCTGGGTTGCTGCTATGATCTGCCTACAGTCTTTTTTTTTTTTTTTTTTTTTTTGAGACGGAGTCTTGCTCTGTCACCCAGGCTGGAGTGCAGTGGTGCGATCTCGGCTCACTGCAAGCTCCGTCTCCTGGGTTCATGCCATTCTCCTGCCTCAGCCTCCCAAGTAGCTGGGACTACAGGTGCCTACCACCATGCCCGGCTAATTTTTTTGTATTTTTAGTGCAGACGGGGTTTCACCGTGTTAGCCAGGATGATCTCGATCTCCTGACCTCATGATCCGCCTGCCTCGGCCTCCCAAAGTGCTGGGATTACAGGCGTGAGCCACCGTGCCCGGCCTGTTCTGCCTACAGTCTTTTAAAAAATATTCTTGGTTAATTCCTAGTCTGCTCAGTGCCATGCACAGCAGATTCCTGGCACAGGACCTGCCTTTTAGGGCATCTTGACAATTTGCCTCTTGGACAAATAGGTTGAAAAAGAGATACAGGAATTATTGAGAGAGAACCAGTGGAACTCAGTGTCAGACAAGTAAACACTTTTGTTTTAAATTTGCATTCTTCACTGGCTATTTGACTAATAACTCATGACTCGAGTGATCCTTTTTATTCCAGAGAAGTGGTGTGGGGATAAGCACTCTGCCTCTGGTTTGCATAGATTTAGGTTCTAATCCCAGCACTGCTGCTTCCTAGTCATGTGGCTGTGGATAAACCACTTGTCTGAGCCTCTGTGTTCTCAAATGTAACATGAAAATAGTAACAGAGTACCATGTTATATGGTTGTGGTAAGGGAAATTTGAAAAAAACCCATTCATGTGAAGTACTTTGGTACAGTGCCTATCACACAGTAACCACTGTTGGAAATTTTTTTTTTTTTTTGAGACAGGGTCTTGTTCTGTCACCCAGGCTGGAGTGCAGTGGCATGATCTCGGCTCACTGCAGCCTCTGCCTCCTGGGTTCAAGCAATTCTCCTGTCTCAGCCTCCCTAGTAGCTGAGATTACAAGTGCACACCACCATGCGTGGCTAGTTTTTGTATTTTTTATACAGACCGGGTTTCACCATCTTGGCCAGGCTGGTCTCGAACTCCTGACCTCAAGTGATCCGCCTGCCTCGGCCTCCCAAAGTGCTGGAATTATAGGCGTGGGCCGCCGCCCCCAGCCTGGCAATAATATTAATTTATTATAAATACTGTTGAGGTGGCCTCAAATTTCTATTTTGGGCTTGACCTTCATACCCACTTTCCTGAGTGCTCCTTATATTTCTCCACCTAGACGTGCTGTTGCTACCTCAAGTTCCAATAAACAGTATGTTCCAAACTGATTGGCCCCAATTCTCATCCTCCTCCAGTCTTCCCTTTGCCAGCCTCCTGCTTCCTTTCCCATGCAGCCTTTTGCCAGGTCTTGCAAATTCATCACCCACAGCAACTCACCAGAATTCTTTCTCCCCATATCCTTTTGGCCCTGTGTTTTATTCAAGTCCTCACTGCCTCTTGTGTGAGTGCCTTAACCGTCTTTTAATTAACCTGACTTTCTCTAGCCGGACCTCTCTCTTTTAATTTTATGCATTTTTACCACATAAGTCTTCCAAAGCTGATCTTGAATCAGGTCACTTCCCTTCTCAGAAACCTTCAGTGACCATTCATTATCTCTGGATTAAAGTCTAAACTCCTTTGACTAGCCCAGGTGCAGTGGCTCACGGCTCCAATCTCAGGACTTTGGGAGGCCGAGGCAGGTGGATCTCCTGAGCTCAGGAGTTCAAGACCAGCCTGAGCAACATGGTGAAACCCCGTCTCTACAAAAAGTACAAAAAACTGGCTGGGCGTGGTGGCCATGTCTGTAATCCCAACACTTTGGGAGGCCGAGGCAGGCGAATCATGAGTTCAGGAGTTTGAGACCAGCCTGGCCAATATGGTGAAATATCCCATCTCTACTAAAAATACAAAAATTAGCTGGGGGTGGTGCCACGTGCCCGTAGTCCCAGCTACTGCGGAGGCTGAGGCAGAAGAATCGCTTGAACCTGGGAGATGGAGTTTTCAGTGAGCCGAGATAGCGCCACTGCACCCCAGCCTCGGCGACAGAGTGAGACTCGGTCTCAAAAAAAAAAGTACAAAAAATTAGCTGGTGTGGTGGCGTGCGCCTGTGATCCCAGCCACTCGGGAGGCTGAGGTGGGAGGATCGCTTGAGGCAGGGGGGTGGAGGTTACAGTGAGCCGAGATTGCGCCACTGTACTCCAACCTGGGTGACAGAGTGAGACCCCATCTCAAACAAAAAACAAAACTCCTTTGATTAATTAGGGCCCAAGGGGCTTCATAAACTAGCCCCAGCCTACCTTTCCAACTATATTCCCTTTGACTTGTCATTTATATACCTTCTTAATGCTCACCACTGGCCTTCAAGCATCGTAAGAATAGGGAGTTATTCATGTTTGCGTTCTAGTGCTTGGCACTAGTGGGTATTCATGATAGTAAACCATAACTTACATAGGTTGAGCATTGCAACTCTGAAATCTGAAATGCTCCAAAATCTGACTTTGAGCACTGACATGATGCCCAAAGGAAATGCTCATTGGGTTTGGAATGTTCAACCTGTAAGTATTGAATGCAAACATTCCAAATCCAAAAATCGAAAATCCAAAATAGTCTGGAATACAGAACACTTCTGGTCCCAAGCATTTTGGATAAGGGATATTCAACTGGGAGTGAGTGAATGAGTATAATTGCTGATGCTTTTTCTTTTGCCTGAAATTCTCGTGCTCTGGCTCTGTATCCACATTCTTTCTCCCTGTGCTCCAGGATAACTTCATGCTCAATCCTTTCCTTATTCTCCCAGCATGTAACACCTGTTCCTCAGGCCTCCTCCCTCAATACCGTCTCTTTGACTTGCTCTCCTGGCACCTGCTAGTCTCCTACAGAGCTGTGCATGAATATGTCTTTTCTCTTCCACTGCGGACTCTACTCCTCAACGATAGGACCTGGGTTTGAGTCACCTAGCTCACTTCCTGACATCCATTCATTTAACATTCATTTAGCAATCATTTATTGAGTGCCTGTCCTGTGCCAGGCATACAGCAGTGAGCAAAACAGATAAAGTTCCATTCTCTTGGAGTTGACATTCTAGTAGTGCCTAGAACCTGCCTCCTTCATTCATTGGCAAATATTGATCAGGTATCTGCTATTTGCTGGTCTTTGTGCTAAATACTAGGGATATAACTGGGGGAAAATGGTCTTTGTCCTACAGGAGCTCACGGTGCAGTAGGGAGACAGTCACATAAACAAATGGTTATGATATAGTATATCGTTATGCAGTATTTTTCAACAGGGACACTGTTGGCATTTCTGGTGGGAGCATTCATTGTTCTGCAGGTCTATCCCCTGCATTGTGAGGGATTTAGCTCCTTGGTTACCCCCCTCCATAGTAATGCCCCCCAAGTTATGTGACAACAAAAACCACTCTGTATTTTTCAAATGCCCGCCTATTAGAGTGACATCTACTTCTCTTACATTGAGAACCACTGTCAAGAGAGGACTGTTTCTATTAAGGGGGCTGAATGAAGGAGGCAAAGATAAACTTGGTCTGGGGAATAGGGATGGGGGAGGGGAGGAATGTCGTGAAGAATGAGGCTGCTGAGGAAGGCATCAGGTAAAGATATAGACAGGAGGCAGTCAACAGCCTGTTCTATCCCAGGACCTCTCAGTTGTTAGTTAGCTATGGCTAGAGAAAAAGGTGCAGGTATGAGCACAGTATTTGGTGAACAACTGGGGAGCAATCGTGGGCTCTGTTGTGGAGGGCTTTATATGCCACGCTAACAGGATTAGCCCAGGTGCTGGTGGAAGAAAGGAGGAACTATTGAAAGGTTTGAATAGGGCAGAGGCATAATGAGATTGGTGAGACTGTTCCTGCAATTGAGGGGGAGGGCAGTAGTGATGAGGCTTGTATCATTTATTGAGGAGGGAACCCAATATACTCTCAGGTTATAAATAACTTCTGTCATTACTTTATGGTATGACTTTCCTGGAAGTACAGACTTCTAGGGGATAAAGAAACATCTTAAGGCCCAGGCATGGTGGCTCATGCCTGTAATCCCAGCATTTTGGGAGGCTGAGGCTGGTAGATTCCTTGAGCTCAGGAGGTCAAGACCAGCCTGGGTAACATGGAAAACCCCATCTCTACAAAAATTAGCTGGGTGTGGTGGTGCATGCCTATGGTGTCAGCTAGTCAGGAGGCTGAGGTGGGAGGATTGCTTGAGCCCATGAGGTCGAGACTGCAGTGAGACATGATCATGCCACTGTACTCCAACCTGGGTGATAGAGTGAGACCCTCTTCCTGGGGAGAGAAAAAAAGAAACATCTTAAAACCTCAGAGGCCTATGCATTGTAAATACAGGTTGAGTATTCCTTACCTGAAATGCCTGGGACCAGAAGTGTTTCTGATTTCAGAATATTTATATTTACTGGTTGAGCATTCCTAATCCCAGAGTTCAAAATCTTGAAATGCTCCAATGAGCATTTCCTTGAGTGTCATGTCAGTGCTTGAAAAGTTTTGGATTTTGGAGTATTTTTTATTTTTGGATTAGAGATGCTCAACCTGTATTTAACTTAACCCACATAATCATCTTTGATTTTACCTCTTCTTGGGAGCTCCTGTGCCCAGCTATGAAGGCATAAACTGTGCTAGTGGTTGGCACACTACAGTTCCCTGAAACATACTAGTGTTTGTGAGCATGATGGGAGGTCCGTCTGGGTAGGTGTGCCATCAGGAGGACAGGCACGCCCTGCAAGAAGCTCAGATTCTGAGGAAAGCAGGCAAATTAAACGCTGATGATACTCTCTGTGACCCTTGCCTTTGGGTCCCAGTCTTGCACAGTTCCAAACTCCATGCCAGCAGCCCATCTCATGCAGTATACTATTTGCGTTTTGTTTGTTTTGTTTTGGAGATGGGATGTTTTCTGTCATCCAGGCTACAGTGCAGGGTCGTGATCATAGCTCAGTGCATCCTTGAACTCCTGGGCTCAAGGGATCCTCCTGCCTCAGCTTCCCACTAGCTGGTACTACAGGCATGCACCACCATGCCTGGCTAATTTTTTAATTTTTATTTGTAGTTAGAGACCAGGTCTCGCTATGTTGCCTAGGCTGATCTCGCTTTCCTGGTCTCAGGCAATCCTCTCATCTAGGCCTCTCAAAATGCTGGGATTATAGGCATGAGGTACCATGCCCAGCCCCCGATTGGACTTTGAGGTATTTTTCTCCTCTGCTAGGCCACGGGCTCCTTTGTCATCCTGCCATTCTGAGAGCCTAGTGCTGTGCCTGGCTCAGGGTAGGCCCTTAGCAGACGGTGGTTAATGAGAGTGCTTCTCTTCTTTTTCCAGTTGCAGGCTTTCTCTCTCTCTCTCTCTCTTTTTTTTTTTTCTTTTTTTTTTTTTAGACAGGGGCCTGCAATCTCGGCTCACTGCAACCTTGGCCTCCTGGGTTCAAGCAATTCTCATGCCTCAGTCTACTGAGTAGCTGAGGTTAGAGGCATGCGCCACCACACCCTGCTAATTTTTGTATTATTTAGTAGAGACAGGGTTTTGCCATATTGGCCAGGCTGGTCTCAAACTCCTGGCCTCAAGTGATCCTCCCACCTTGGCCTCTCAAAGTGCTGGGATTATAGGCGTGAGCGACTGCACCTGGCCAGCATACATACCGTCTGTTAGAATCGTGGTAGGTCTTCCCGATAAATCCATTTCTCATATGTACATTTTCTTTCCTTTGTTCTTCAGTTACATGGTGATGAATTTTGTCCTGTTTTGGATGCAACATTTGTAATGGTGGCTCGTGATTCTGAAAATAAAGGGTAATTGCTATTTTTTCATAATTCTTTATTTTGAAGAATTTCAAAGATACATAAGACTGGAGAGAAAACTATAATGAATGTCCATATACCTATCACTTGGACGTAACAGTTTTAATTGCAATTTCTTGGCCATTTTTATTTTAAGGCAAATCCCAGACATGACATTTCACTCTTAAATACTTCGGGCATCTTTTAAAAAATGAGAATATTCTCAGGCCGGGAGAGGTGGCTCACGCCTGTAATCCCAGCACTTTGGGAGGCCAAGGCTGGTGGATCACTTAAGGTCAGGAGTTGAAGACCAGCCTGGCCGGCATGGTGAAACCCCATCTCTACTAAAAACACAAAAATTAGCTGGGCGTGGTGGCACGCGCCTATGGTCCCAGCTACTGGGGAGGCTGAGGCACGAGAATTACTTGACTCTGGGAGGTGGAAGTTGCAGTGTGCCGAGATTGCGCCATTGCACTCCAGCCTGGGCGACAGAGCGAGACTCCATCTCAAAACAACAACAACAAAAAGAGATGTTGCACAATTCTGTGAATACACTAAAAGCCGTTAAATTGTACACTTTCAATGGGTGAATTGTGTGGTATGCGAATTATACCTTAATAAAGCTGTTATCAAAAAAAAACAGACTTACAGACATAAAAATCAAATGTAATTTTTTGTTAGGCATGACAATAGTAATGTAGTTACTTAAGAGAATATTATCCTTTTTTTTTTTTTTTTTTTAAGATGGAGTTTTGCTCTTGTTGCCCAGGCTGGAGTGCAATGGTGGGATCTCGGTTCACTGCAACCTCCGCCTCCTGGGTTTGAGCGATTCTCCTGCCTCAGCCTCCTGAGTAACTGGGATTACAGGCATGTGCCACCATGCCTGGCTAATTTTTGTATTTTTAGTAGAGATGGGGGGGTGTTTCACTATGTTGCCCAGGCTGGTCTCGAACTCCTGACCTCAAGTGATCCACCCACCTCAGCCTCCCAAAGTGTTGAGATTACAGGCGTGAGCCACCATGCCCAGCTGAGTTGTGCAATCTCTTAAATCTGTTTTAATCCAGAACAGTTGTGTCTTCCCCTATTGTTTCTTATTCACTCGTTGAGAGGCTGGATCATTTGTTCTAAATAGTGTCCCACTTTCTGGATTTGTTCTATTGCTTTCTCATGGTGGTTTGTTTGTTTGTTTTTTGATCTTGTTTCTCTATCCCTAGTAATTTCTCTAAACTGAAGTTAGATCTAAAGCCTTGTATTAGATTTAGGTTGAGCATATTTGGTGAGAGTACTACATAGATGATGTTGTATATCTCGTATTTCATATTGCATCGTATCAGGAGGTACAGGTTGTCCCACTCACAGTGATGCTAAGATTAGTGTGTGGGTTCAAGCAGTTACAGCCTAATCTCTCCTTTGTGAAGTTCAGTTTTTCCTCTTCTGATCAGCAACAATCTACAGGGGTGTACTTTGTCATCCTGCAAATAGCTGAGTTTCCCATCAGTCTTTTTCCAGTGCTTTCAATGTCCACTGCTGATCATTGCTTTAATTAGTATCATTAGGCAGTTTAGAGTAATTCTCAAATTTTGTCATTCCTTCTATGTTTGTTAGCTGGAATTCTGTAAAGAAGAGCGTTCCCTTAACAACTAGGGCGATTGGGTTTGAAATGGAGTTAGGATCAATGCTTCATTCTTGTCTTTTATTTACATGTTTTCAGAATAAGGAGTTGGTTCACTAGCTAGTGATGACATGCTTTTCCCAGTTTTTTAGCTTTTTAGAAAAGTATCATGTTTTTAAATTTCTTTTTTTTTTTCTGTGTGTGTGTGTTTTTGAGATGGAGTCTCGCTCAGTCACCCACACTGGACTGCAGTGGCGCAATCTCGGCTCACTGCAGCCTCTGTCTCCTGGGTTGAAGAGATTCTCCTGCCTCTGCCTCCCAAGTAGCTGGGACTACAGGCATGCCCCATTATGCTTGGCTAATTTGTTTTGTATTTATAGTAGAGACGGGGTTTCACCATGTTGGCCAGGCTGGCCTCGATCTCCTGACCTCAAGTGATCTGCCCACCTAGGGATTCCAAAGTGCTGAGATAACAGGCGTGAGTCATTTCGCCCAGCCCGTTTTTTTTTTGTTTTTTTATTTTTTTTGAGATGAAGTTTTGCTCTTCTCTCCAGGTTGGAGTGCATTGTCATGTGTCATGAGCATGGCTCACTGCAGCCTGGGCCTCCTGTGCTCAAGCAATCCTTCCGCCTCAGCCTCCTGAGTAGCTGGGACCACAGGCACATACCACCATGCCGAGCTAATTTTTTTTCTTTCTTTCTTTTTGAGATGGAGTTTTACTCTTGTTGCCCCGGCTGGGGTGCAGTGGCGCAATCTCGGCTCACTGCAACCTCCACCTCCTGGTTCAAGTGATTCTCTGGCCTCAGCCTCCTGAGTAGCTGCCCAGCTAATTTTTAAATTTTTTGTAGAGATGGGGTTTTGCCATGTTGGCCAAACTGATCTCAAAATCCTGGGCTCAAGTGATCCTCTCACCTCGGCCTCCCAAAGTGCTAGGATTACAGGTGTGAGCCACTGTCCTGCCAGAAAAGCATCATTATGAATTCATGGTTGTAATATATTACATGTATTTCAATAAATTGCAGCCATTGTTTCTCTTGATGCTCCAAGTGTGCCTTCTTTGGGCGGTGGGAGTTCCTCTAAGCTGGCTCCTTTCCACCTGTCTGTTTGATAGCTTCCTGCTGTCTGACACAAGATGTCTTGGGCTCATCTTACGTATTTCCTGCCCCAGGCCTGGAGTCAGCCATTTCTCCAAGTAGTCCTGGGGTTCCTTTTAGTGGGAACTGGTATTTAGACATCAAAATCTGGGCACTAGAACTGTACATTGTTACTAGTTTGTTATTGTTTCCAGGCCTTTTTAGTGGACAGAGCTAGGATATATTTTAAACAAACAAAAAACCTCATGAGAGCTGGGTGTGGTGGCTCACGCCTGTAATCCCAGCACTTTGGGAGGCCGAGGTGGGCAGATCACTTGAGCCCAGGAGTTTGAGACCAGCCTGGCCAACATGGCGAATCCCCATCTCTACTAAAAGTACAAAAAAATTAGCCAGGTATGGTAGCATGTGTCTGTAGTCCCAGACGATGTGGGAGGCTGAGGTGGGAGGATTGCTTTAACCCGGGAAGCAGAGGTTGCAGTGAGCCAAGGTCGCACCACTGCACGCCAGCCTGGGCGACAGGGCAAGACCCTACCTCAAAAAAAGAGCCTCATGAGTTTATATGGTCATTTTCAAGTCATTTAACCATATAGACTTCAACTTACTTTACGTCATCTTTTTTCTCTGAAATTGAATTCTTGGTTTCTAACAACAGTTACACCCAAACTGAGAAAAACTAATTGTGGGGGTAGAGCTGGGGTGGGAGGGATTGCTCTTTGCACAGGACAGAGTCCAGTGGCCTGTGGGAAATCTCATTTGTATTAGAAACTTGATTTAGGAGTCTGCAGTGAAAAATCTTTGCTGCTGCGTGGAAAGCTGACTTGGAAAGCCAAATTAAGATAGAAAAATATGTTGGTCCCTTAGTGATCTGAGGGAAGAATAACACCCATCTACTCTGGCCCTTCCTGCCAGCCCCAGCTGACCTGCTGTGGCCAGTGACTGGCCTGGGGCTTGTATTCAAGCACTGAGGCCACTGCTGCAAGTTTCACTCCCAGCTGATGCATGTCACTTTCCCAAGCTGTTGTTTCAATTCTTTTGTTTTTTGTTTTCAAGACAGAGGTTGGCTCTTGTCACCCAGGCTGGAGTGCAGTGGTGCTATCTCGGCTCACTGCAACCTCTACCTCCTGGGTTCAAGTGATTCTCCTGCCTCAGCCTCCTGAGTAGCTGGGATTACAGGCACCTACCACCACACCCGGCTGACTTTTGTATTTTTAGTAGAGACGGGGTTTCACCATGTTGACCAGGCTGGTCTCGAACTCCTGACCTTAGGTGATCCACCTGCCTTGGCCTCCCGAAGTGCTGGGATTACGAGCGTGAACCACTGCCCCCGGCCTGTTTTAATTCTTTTGTTTCCATTGTTGTTTCATCAAATCTTTTGATTCTACCACAGTGAAATATTATCCCTTTTCCCTTATTTTTTATTTCAAAAAATTTGATGCTTACAGAAAAGTAGATAGAATAATGCAACAAACGTATGCCTTTCACGTAAATTGTATTACATTTGCGTAATTCTCTTACCCTCTCTCTACAAATACACACATTTACATATTTTTTCCCATGAATCATTGGAAAGTAAGTTTGAGACTGCTTCACCCATTCAGGAGTTCAGCATGTATTTCCTAAGAACCAGGTATTTCTCCATAACCTCAATGCCTTTATTATATCTGAGAAATTCAACAGTGATACAGTTATTTAATATGTGATCCGTATTCAGATTTCACCAGTTGTCCCTAAAATGTCCTTTATAGCTATCTTCCTGATTCAGGACCCAATCCATCAAGGATTGTATATTGCATTTGGTTATCCTGTTTCTTTAGAATAGTCTCTCTGCCATTTGCTGTCTTTCAAAAATTGATATTTTTAAAGAGTTCAAGCCAGTTTTCTTTTTCTTTTTTTTTTTTTTTTCTTTTTTTGAGACAGAGTTTCGCTCTTGTTGCCCAGGCTGGAGTGCACTGGCACGATCTCGGCTCACCGCAACCTCCACCTCCTGGGTTCAAGCAATTCTCCTGCCTCAGCCTCCCGAGTAGCTGGGATTACAGGCATGTGCCACCACGCCCGGCTAATTTTGTATTTTTAGTAGAAACGAGGTTTCTCCTTGTTGGTCAGGCTGGTCTCAAACTCCCAACTTCAGGTGATCCCCACCCGGCTTGGCCTCTCAAAGTGCTGGGATTACAGGCGTGAGCCACCACGCCCGGCCTAAAGCCAGTTTTCTTGTAGAGTGTTCTACAACCTATATTTGACTGTTTCCTCATGATTAGAATCAGGTTAAACATTTAGCAGATGCCAGTATCCTTTTTATAATGTTAAGTTTCTAGTGTGCAATTAAGGCTGTAACTGTAAGGCTTCCCTAATTGTTCCAGCGTTCACATGTAAGGCAAGCAGTAAGCACTACCCAAAATGAAAAGCAGATTCTTTAAAAGTAGTAGGTGATTGTTCATCTTCAAGTTTTATTAGATAATGGCATATCTTAAATTATATTCTTTTTTTTCTTCTTTTTAGGCCGGCATTTGTAAATCCACTCATCCCTGAAAGCCCAGAGGAAGAGGAGCTCTTTAGACAAGGGGAATGTACATTAATTTGTTTATAATAAAATAAATTTGAAAAGCACATTAATTACGCTGCAGAAGAGATTATTTAAGATTTTATATGGGCTCTTCATACCAGTCAAATGTCTTTTTTTTGTTTGTTTTTTTGTTTGTTTTTTTTGAAATGGAGTCTCTCTGTCTCTTGCCAGGCTGGAGTGCAGTGGTGCCATCTCGGCTCACTGCAACCTCTGCCTCCTGGGTTCAAGTGATTCTTCTGCCCCAGCCTCCTGAGTAGCTGGGACTACAGGTGCGCGCCACCACACCCAGCTAATTTTTGTACTTTTAGTAGAGATGGGGTTTCACCATTTTGGCCAGGATGGTCTCGATCTCCTGAACTCGTGATCCGCCTGCCTTGGCCTCCCAAAGTGCTGGGATTACAGGCGTGAGCCATTGTGCCTGGCCCAAATGTCTTATTCATACCAATAATTTATTGAAATTAAAAATATGCTATTCTTTTTTCTTTGGAGTCCATACTTTGAATGATTTTATTGATCAGACAATATTTATTAAGTGAAGTAATTTGTTATCTCCGTTTTTTTTTTTTAGACAGTTCTTGCTCTGTTGCCCAGGCTGGAGTTGGGCTTGGGTCCAGGAGTTTGAGGCTACAATGAACAATATTGTAGTCTCGATCTCCTGGGCCCAAGCTATCCACCCACCTCAGCCTCCTGAGTAGCTAGGACTATAGGCACGTGCCACCATGCCTGGCTAATTAAAATTTTTCTTTGTAGAGACAGGGGTCTCACTATGTTGCCCAGGCTGGTCTTGAACTCCTGGACTCAAGCAATCCTCCTGCCTCCGCCTCCCAAAGTGTTGGGATTACAGGCATGAGCCACTGCACCTGGCCTGTTTTCTCCGTTTTAATGAAGTGAGAAATGCATCTCAATGGGATAACTGCAGGTCAGGGCTCTGGATCAGGATGATATCAAGTGATCTCACACTGAACCAATATAATTTCCATGTGGAACCAAAGACTCACTGGGAGTTTTATGTGGCCTCTGCAGTTTTCTCTTGGATACGTGTATAATTTTCAGTGAGATTTTGAAAGGCATCCCAGGTCAGAATACCGTGTGCTGTAGTGCGACCGTCCTGATCATTGCTCCTTATTCTCCCTTGTTCCAGTGAACAAGGGGAGAAGAATTGCCTTCAGCTCCACGTCGTTACTGAAAATGGCCCCCAGCGCTGAGGAGAGGACCACCATACATGAGATGTTTCTCAGCACACTGGATCCAAAGTAAGGATGGTGAGATTCCACGTTGGGAAAACATTTAAACCTTGGCCTTTTTTTTTTTTTTTTTTTTTTGAGACGGAGTTTCGCTCTTGTTACCCAGGCTGGAGTGCAATGGCACGATCTTGGCTCACTGCAACCTCTGCCTCCCGGGTTCAAGTGATTCTCCTGCCTCAGCCTCCGAGTAGCTGGGATTATAGGCATGCACCTCCACGCCTGGTTAATTTTGTATTTTTAGTAGAGACGGGGTTTCTCCATGTTGGTCAGGCTTGTCTTGAACTCCTGACCTCAGGTGATCTGCCTGTCTCCACCTCCCAAAGTGCTGGGATTACAGGCGTGAGCCACCACACCCGACCTTTTTTGTTTTTGAGATGGAGTCTTACCCTGTTGCCCAGGCTGGAATGCAGTGGCGTGATCTTGGCTCACTACAACCTCTGCCTCCCGGGTTCAAGCAATTCTCCTGTCTCAGCCTCCCAAGTAGCTGGGATTACAGGCGCCCGCCACCACGCCTGCTAATTATTTTGTATTTTTAGTAGAGACGGGGTTTCACCACGTTGGCCAGGCTGGTCTCAAGCTCCTGACCTCATGTGATCTGCCTGCCTCGGCCTCCCAAAGTGTTGGGATTACAGGCGTGAGCCACCGCGCCTGGCCTAAACCTTGGCCTTCTCCAGAGCCACAGTTGTCTGAGTGTATTGGGAGTGACTTGCAAATGTTTTTACTTTTCAACAAGAGAACCATGGCATTAACAGGGTTTAATAAATATTCATTTGTACAGGACTATAAGTTTTCGGAGTCGAGTTTTACCCTCTAATGCAGTGTGGATGGAGAATTCAAAACTGAAGAGTTTGGAAATTTGCCACCCTCAGGTATTATAATTTAGTGAGAAATCCGAATAGGATAGCTTCCGTTCATGATATTTGTCCAAGATTTGACACACCTTTAAACTGGCCTTTGTCCTGTGGCATTGTTAATTCCTCTGTTCTGTATACAAAGGTGGCCATAAGTTTTGTATTTATTGATATTTATTTATGTCCTGTAGGAGCGGAACATTTTCAATCGGATCTTTGGTGGTTTCCTTATGAGGAAGGCATATGAACTTGCGTGGGCTACTGCTTGTAGCTTTGGGTGAGTTACATGTAAGGCAGCCTTAACTTCTGAGAAGCAATTTATATCACCCCACTGAAATGAAACATTTCGGACCAGTCTGGGTGTGTGTGGGAATATGTTATGTTTTTGAATGAATACCACACTGATACCAGCTGAATTTGATCTTCATTTTAGAAGGTTGTTTCTCTGACTTTGTAAGTTCATACATTAAAAAAACTACTGAGAAAATACAGTGATGATATGTAGAAAGGAAAAGATATAGTTATTTTGGCCCTAATCTGCTCACGATGGCGTCTCTTACCATTTCTCACTGGTAGGATCTTTTCCCCCTTCTCTAACTTTATTCTTCGTTCATTTTTATTTTGCTTCAGCTAGTTGTTAGAGGAAACAATTGAGATCATCTGAATTTTGCAATATACCCCAAATTCTGTCCTTTCCCCCAACAGTGGTTCTCGACCGTTTGTGGTAGCAGTAGATGACATCATGTTTCAGAAACCTGTTGAGGTTGGCTCATTGCTCTTTCTTTCTTCACAGGTAGGTGTGTGATGAGAGATGACATACAACTTTTTTTTTTCATTTGAGCCTAGAAGTTTCTATATCAAAAAGCCACTGTTTTCTCTTATGACTGCCTTTTTCCCCTTCCTAATGCAGTTGACTGATTATAGTGTCTATAATCTGTTAGGTATGCTTTACTCAGAATAATTATATTCAAGTCAGAGTACACAGTGAAGTGGCCTCCCTGCAGGAGAAGCAGCATACAACCACCAATGTCTTTCATTTCACGTTCATGTCGGAAAAAGAAGTGCCATTGGTTTTCCCAAAAACATATGGAGGTAAGTAGTGATTATTGCTTGTCCCTAACAAAGGGAAGAACTTCTAAGGACATTTTTCTCCTTTTGAATTGGAGGAAGTGTATTGATGCCTGTCAGCACAAGAGCATGTCTTCAGGAGATTTTGCTTTTGAGATTTGGCAGCCCTGAAGGCCAAAGATGCCTGTGGCCCCCAGGCGGGCAAGCAACCACTGGTAGTCAAAAACTGATCCAGCCAGGCTGGGCGTGGTGGCTCATGCCTGTAATCCCAGCACTTTGGGAGGCCGAGACGGGCAGATCACGAGTTCAGGAGATCGAGACCATCCTGGCTAACACGGTGAAACCCCGTCTCTACTAGAAAAAAAAAAAAAAAAAAAAAATTAGCCGGGCACGGTGGCGGGCACCTGTAGTCCCAGCTACTCGGGAGGCTGAGGCAGGAGAATGGCGTGAACCTGGGAGGCGGAGCTTGCAGTGAGCTGAGATTGTGCCACTGCACTCCAGTCTGGGCAACAGAGCGAGACTCCGTCTCAAAAAAAAAAAAAAAAAAAAAACTGATCCAGCCAAAGGAAGGGGACAGGAGTCATGGCCTGCTCCTTTGGGAATGTGGCACACCCCGGCCCAACAGTGTATCTTGTTCTGTCCCAGTGTTCCCAAGTAGTCTTGTGTTTGTATGATGATATGATGGTTTTCTACGGTATTACAAGTTTCTCCAAGGTTCTCTTTCTTGTGTTTCAGAGTCCATGTTGTACTTAGATGGGCAGCGGCATTTCAACTCCATGAGTGGCCCAGCGACCTTGAGAAAGGACTACCTTGTGGAGCCCTAAGAACACCACATTTGTTGAAAACTAGCACTCTACCCACAGTGACGTGGTATCTGATGAAGACCTGATCGAGTGTATTGATTTTAGTATTGCTTCGTGTCCTCCACACAGGAGGAGGATGTATTCAGCCTTTAGGATGATCAGAAAAGCAGAAAGAGAGAGTGGCCGGATGGGGCTGAGGGGAGAAAGAATTATTAAACAATAAATACTTTCAAGACAATTTTAATTGTGAACCTACCATGTTGCCTCCCATCTTCTGAAAAAACAAAAAAATTGAGAGGCTGGGCGTGGTGGCTCATGCCTATAATCCCAGCACTTTGGGAGGCTGAGGCGGGCGGATCATGAAGTCAGGAGATCAAGACCATCCTGGCCAACATGGTGAAACCCTGTCTCTACTAAAAATACAGAAAATTAGCCGTGGTGGCATGTGCCTGTAGTCCCAGCTACTTGGGAGGCTGAGGCAGGAGAATTGCTTGAACCCAGGAGGTGGAGGTTGCAGTGAGCTGAGATTGCACCATTGCACTCCAGCCTGGGCGACAGAGAGAGACTGTCTCAAAAATTAATTAATTAATTAATTAATTGAGGATACCATTGGATGCATTCTTTTCTTACACATATTGCAACTGTCAGTATACAAGGTTTCCTGCCAGGGTATTTGGATGACGTTCTTTAAACCTAACCACTTGCTCTGTGCTGTCTAAATCCCATCAGCCGTACATGATTCCTTTGCTTCCCTCTATTTCCCAGCTTTTGTTGTCAGAGGGTAGATGAAAAGTTGGGGCGAAGGGATTTAACAAAAGTTACTGCATCCGTAAAGATTTGTGGGAAGATTTAGGTCTGAAACCATACCATTAGAAGGTGTTTAGAGATGATCTAGATAAGGAAATACAGGACCATTTGGTCATTCTTTCATTCACCAGACAGCTATTTAGCACATTCTGCTAGTGGCTCCGCAGGATATATCTGATTTAAAAAATAGGAACCACAATAATAATAGCTGCTTATGCTTATGGAGCATTGCCATGTGCTAGATAGGCACCATCCTCAGCCCTTGGCAGGTCTGAGCTCCTTTATTTCTTCCAATCAACACTATGAGGCAGGTTCTGTAACCCCCCTTAGGGTTAGGCCACTCGGGAAACTGAAGCACAGAGAGTTTAAGTAACTTCCTGGAGGTCCGACGCGTAACATGTGGAGGTGCTGGGATTCAAAACCAGGCAATGTGGGTCCCGGGCACTCTTGACCAGTGCCTGTACTTCTTCCAAGGAATAGAGCAAGGGAGGTCATACCGAATATCACAGTGTCACCTAGGAAGCCCAAGGGAGGTATTCCCGTTAATCTGCAGCCAAGGCCGGGCGCGGTAGCTCATGCCTGTAATCCCAGCACTTTGGGAGGCCAAGGCGGATGGATCATGAGGTCAGGAGTTCAAGACCAGCCTGGCCGAGATGGTGAAACCCCGTTTCTACTAAAAATACAAAAATTAGCCGGGCGTGGTGGCGGACGCCTGTAATCCCAGCTACTCGGGAGGCTGAGGCAGAGAACTGCTTGAACCTGGGAGGCAGAGGTTGCAGTGAGCTGTGATCATGCCACTGCACTCCAGCCTGGGTGACAGAACGAGACTCCATCTCAAAAAAAAAAAAAAAAAAAAATCTGTAGCCAAGACCGTTCCTTTTTTGACAGGAAGGTAACTTAGAAGAAAAAATAATCTCTGAAAAAAGTCCTCCCAAGAAGGAAGCAATATTTATTGTGGGTTCTACATTAGTGTTCACAAACTTGGCTCTGCCTCAGAATTAGGTGGAAAGTATTTTTGTGTGTGTGTGTGTGTGTGAGACAGAGTTTCACTCTGTCGCTCCAGCTGGAGTGCAGTGGCATGATCTTGGCTCACTGCAACCTCTACCTCCCGGGTTCAAGCGATTCTCCTGCCTCAGCCTCCTGAGTAGCTAGGATTACAGGTGTCAGCCCCCATGCCTGGCTAGTTTTTGTATTTTTAGTAGAAAGGCGGTTTCACCATGTTGGCCAGCTGGTCTCAAATTCCTGACCTCAGGTGATCCACCTACCTTGGCCTCCCAAAGTGCTGGGATTATAGGCATGAGCCACTGCACCCGGCCGGTGGAAAGCATTTTTAACAAAAAATTTTTAGGCCAGGCACAGTGGTGGCTCATGCCTGTAATCCCAGCACTTTGGGAGACTGAGATGGGAGGATCGCTTGAGACCAGCCTGGGAAACATAGTGAGACCCTTTCTCTACAAAAAGTTAAAAAATTATCTGAGCATGGTGGTGTGCACCTGTAGTCCCAGTTAGGAGGCTGAGGTGAGTGGATTGCTTGAGTCCAGGAGTTTGAGTCTGCAGTGAGCTATGATCATGCCACTGCACTCCAGTCTGGGTGACAGCAAGACCCTGTCTCAAGCAATTTTTTTATATTAGTTTATGTAATGTTTATTGAAATCACAGTGTCAACAAGCACCTCTGGCATGAAATAGTCACAGGAGCGAACACAACTATCTCTTGGAAGCATGCAGTTTGACTCATGGAATCAAGCATGTGCTGTACTATAATAACTTGTCTCTCCATGCCGTAATGCCATCCTGACTGAGATTTACCTGGCCCTTCAATATAGCATTTTGCATATCTACCTATGACATGATGGGAGGTGGCTAATGGGGAGGGATGCGCCCTGGGGAGTTTTGTGAATGTGTTAAGTGGAGTTAAGAGACCTACTGCATGCTATTGTATAGATTATACATTATATATTTAACCATTTGTTGCTGTACAGTGAAGCTTTTTCTAGTATTTCTTTTTTGCTATTATAAACAATGTTGCAGTAAATATCCTAAATACTCTAAAACATTTGACCCTTAAATTATTTTCTTTGGAAAAATATTAAATGAGATATTTAGGTCAAATAGTAGGCACACGTTGAAGGCTTTGAATATGTATTTCATGTAACCCTTCAGAACAGTTTCACACAATCACTTACACATCAGCAATTTCCCTGAACTTTGCCAATTTTTATCTTTTCTTTTTAAAATATCTTTGCCATTTTGATAGGTGAAGAATGACCTTCTGCTGGATGTGGTGGCTCACACCTGTAATCCCAGCACTTTGGGAGGCCAAGGCAGATTGCTTGAGGTCAGGAGTTCAAGACCAGCCTGGGCAACACGGTGAAAACCTGTTTCTACAAAAATACAAAAATTAGCAAGGTGTTGTAGTCTCACCAGTGCGCCAAAATGTAGCAGTCTTTGGTTGTCTGAGATAGTATCCGGAGTTCTTTGTGTCACAGAGCACGAACACAAGGGTGAGGTTGGAGCAAAAGTTTAGTAAGCAAAACAAGAAAGCTCTCGGCTGGATTCGGTGGCTCACACCTGTAATCCCAGCACTTTGGGAGGCCGAGGTCCGGAGTTCAAGACCAGCCTGACCAACATGGAGAAACCCTGTCTTTACTAAAAATACAAAATTAACTGGGCGTGGTGGCACACGCCTGTAGTCCCAGCTACTTGGGAGGCTGAGGCAGGAGAATCGCTTGAAGCCGGGAGGCAGACGTTGCGGTGAGTTGAGGATCGCGCCGTTGCACTTCAGCCTGGGCAACAAGAGCAAAATTCCGTCTCAAAAAAAAAAAAAAAAGCTCTCCGCAGCGGAGAGTGGGGGCCTGAACGGGTTGCCCACTATGAGGTTGGGGTCGGGGGTTTTTGCGGACTGGGAAGGGGAAGGAATTTGCTTAGTCTGTGAGCTGTCTTGGAGAAAGCTAGATTCAGCTTGGCCCGGGACCAATCAGGAGCTGAATTGATGATTCATTGAGACCACTCAGCTTGGCCCGGGACCTATCAGGAGCTGAAGTGAAAGCTTGGCCCGGGGACCAATCGTGCTGAAGTAATTCTTAGAGGCCGGGCTCACAGTCGAAAGAGGAAAGGAAAGTGCCCATCGGAGTCGTCGGAGCCCACAGTATTAATGCCCACGAAAGGAGAAGAAACTTTTTCCCGGGAACCTGCTGATTATACAAAAGACAAAGACATTTCTATGTCAGGTCTTGTTCCCTTATCTGAGTGAGCTGGAGGTTTGTGCAAGTTTTTATCTAAGTGGGCTGGAGGTTCTCGGATCTGTGCAGCCGCGGGCTTGTCTCCAGGCACACCACCACCCTGTGCTACTTCCCTTATCGGTGCCTGCAGCTTGATTTTTATCCCCAGGCTGCTTTCTCTGTTCTGTGGGGATGAGGCACTGACCCGTGGGTTGGGGGCTCTTTGGGGACCCTTCCCTTGCTGTCTACCTAAGGAAAGCTAGCTAACTCCTCTCAGAGTGATGGTGCACACCTGTAGTCCCAGCTACCCAGGAGGCTGAACTGGGAGCATTGCTTGAGTCCAGGAGTTTGAGGCTGTAGTAAGCCAAGATCACGCCACTGCACTCCAGCCTGGGCAACAAGTGAAACCCTGTCCCCCCCCACCCCCCCAAAAAAAGAAAACTGACATTTGTTAATTGCCTTTCTCTGAATTCTACTGAGATTGAAATTAAATTGCTTATTGTTTTTGTTGTCTTTTTGTTAAATTGCTCACGTAATTTTGGATACCAGAATCTTCACCCCAAATCTGTCCTCTACCAATACAGATATAAAAGCTAGAGGTTTTGGTTTTTAATACAGGACTTTTAAGAAGATGAGGTGAAGCAAACTAACGGATATACACTAGGTTCTGGATTATTAGTGTTATGTCCCTCTCAAAGAATAAAGGAGAATTTTTGACCGGGAGCGGTGGCTTACGCCTGTAATCCCAGCACTTTGGGAGGCCGAGGCGGACGGATCACCTGAGGTCAGGAGTTCAAGACCAGCCTGGCCAACATGGTGAAACCCCGTCTCTACTAAAAATACAAAAATTAGCTGGGCATGATGGCAGGTGCCTGTAATCCCAGCTACTCAGGTGGCTGAGGCAGGAAAATCGCTTGAACCTGGGAGGCAGAGATTGCAGTGAGCCGACATGGCGCCATTGCACTCCAGCCTGGGCGACAGAGCGAGACTGCGTCTGAAAAAAAAGTTAAAGGAGAATTTTTACCCAGCACCAGCACTGCTAAGTTCTAGCATACATCTTCCTCATGTGAGTTGGACATTGTTTTATATTAAATAGTCTGTGCTGAGATCCCAGTTTTACTTCAGGCATTTATTACCAAGTTCTTAGTTTTTGCCTCCATGCTTCTTCAATGTGTAGTCTTTGAGGATGCTGTCTTTTTCACTGGTTTCTTTAGGAGAGTTTACTTCATTCTAGTATGCTTTGCACTGTGTTGGGCATGTCCATGTGATTCTGTGGTAACCCAAATCTTCTGTCAACGTGTTCCATCTGATACCTGTGTTTGCTCTGATCCAATCTGCTTTCTTGCACCTTTTTGAATAGAGCCAAGCACTTGACTCCTAGAGAACTGAAGTTGCACCCAACTCCCCTGGGGTTTCAACATTTTTCTTTTTCTTTTCAATTAGTTTGTGCAGTTTATCTTTCTAAAGATATACTTGATTCTGTGGGATGGCTGGGCTCACCTGGGAGGTTCTTCTGTTCCATGTAGCATTGGCTAAGGTCACTCAGTCAGCTCTGTTCATCTGGGAGTTCATCTGGGGCTGGGACATCTGGTGCCTCAGCTGGGGTGGCTGAGGTGGCTGGCTACCAGCCTGGTTGGATTTCTTTCTTTTTTTTTTTTTTTGAGTCAGAGTCTTGCTTTGTCACCCAGGCAGGAGTGCATTGGCACTATCTTGGCTCACTGCAACCTCCGGCTCCCGGGTTCAAGCGATTCTCCTGCCTCAGCCTCCTGAGTAGCTGGGATTACAGGCGCCCACCACCGCGCCCAGCTAATTTTTATTTTTTTAGTAGAGATGGGGTTTCACCATGTTGGCCAGGCTGGTCTCGAACTCCTGACCTCAAGTGATCTGCCTGCCTCGGCCTCCCAAAGTGCTGGGATTACAGGCGTGAGCCACTGTGCCCGGCCTTGGATTTCTTTTTTTTTTTTTTCTTTTTTTCTTTTTTTTTTTTTTCTTTTTGAGGTGGAGTCTCGCTCTGTCACCCAGGCTGGAGCGCAATGGCAAGATCTCAGCTCACTGAAACCTCCGCCTCCCAGGTTAAAGTGATTCTCCTGCCTCAGTCTACTGAGTAGCTGGGATTACAGGCACGTGCCACCATGCCCAGCTAATTTTTGTATTTTTAGTAGAAACAGGGTTTCACCATGTTGGCCAGGCTGGTCCAGAACTCCTGACCTAATGATCTGCCCGCCTCAGCCTCCCAAAGTGCTAGGATTACAGGCATGAGCCACCGTGCCCACCCGGCCTTGGATTTCTTAAATGGTGGCTTGAGGGCTCTAAGAGCAGCCAGATTCCCGGGTCTTAACCACAGCACCCTCCTTCCTCTCAAAGCCATTTTCTTGGAGGGATCAGTGGTGTCACTGAAGGTGGTAAGGATGAATACTGGGAAAAGGCCACTGATTGGATGATTAAGAGGTCCCTATTAAAAAGAAAGTTTCAGCCAGGCACAGTAGCTCATACCTGAAATCCCAGCTGAGGCAGGAGGATTGCTTGAGGCCAGGAGTTCAAAACCAGCCTGGCAACATAGTGAGACCCTATCTCTACAGAAAATAAAAAAATTAGCCGGTCGTGGTGGCACGTGCCTGTAGTCCCAGCTACTTGGAAGGCTGAGGCGGGATGATTGTTTGAGCCCAGGAGTTTGAGGCTGCAATGAGCTGTGATAGTGCCACTGCACTCCAGAGTGAGACAACAGAGTGAGACCCTGTCTCTAAAAAAATAATAAGTGCCGGGCGCAGTGGCTCACGCCTGTAATCCCAGCACTGTGGGAGGCCAAGGCAGGTGGATAACTTTAGGTCAGGAGTTCGAGACCAGCCTGGCCAGCATGGTGAAACGCCTATAGTCTCAGTACTTGGAGAGGCCAAGGTTGGTGGATTGCTTGAGTCCAGGAGTTTGAAACCAGCCTGGGCAACATGGTGAAACCCTGTATCTACAAAAAATAGAAAAATCAGCTGGGCCTGGTGGTGTGTCCCTGTAGTCTCAGCTACTTGGGAGGCTGAGGTGGGAGAATTGCTTGGGCCCAGAGGCAGAGGCTGTAGTGAGCCAAGATCGTGCCACTGAACTCCAGCCTGGGCAACAGAAGGAGACCCTGTCTCAAAAAAAAAAAAAAAAAAAAGATGTAATCATATAATTTTTATATGTGGCTAACACATATGTGTCAGGCACTGTACTAGTGACATTAAAATGTATACTCTCATTTAATCCTTACAGTAATTCTTTGAGATCAGTACTATTATTACCCACATTTTGCAGATGAGGAAACAGGCTTAGAGAGGGAAGGTAACTTCCTGAAGCCTAACTTGTAACTATATAAGTGGGAGAGGCGAGACTAGGTCTAGAATTTTGGTCCTTTGCCACATTTCTGACATATTTTCTCAGCTATTATAGTAAAGGGTTAACTAATGCCATCTATATATGGATCAGAATGCAGTCAAGTCTCAACCATAAGAATGAATTATGGCTGAAATGTTCTGGGCATTTGGTTTATTTCCTCTTAGAATAAAACTTTTGCGACAATTGTGATTGACTCTCTAAATTGACTTGTGGTTTTTTTTTTCTTTTGAGATGGAGTCTTACTCTGTCGCCCAGGCTGGAGTGCAGTGGCACGATCTCAGCTCACTGCAACCTCTGTCTCCCGGGTTCAAACAATTCTTCTACCTCAGCCTCCCGGGTAGCTGGGAGTACAGGCACCCGCCACCACGCCCAACTCATTTTTGTATTTTTAGTAGAGACTGGGGTTTCACCATGTCAGCCAGGCTGGTCTCAAACTCCTGAACTCGGGTAATCCGACCTCCTCTGCCTCGCCTCCCAAAGTGCTGAGATTACAGGTGTGAGCTACCGCGCCCAGCTGAGTTGTGTTTTCTTTCCCTTCTGTTGGCAGCAAGTAATGAATTTACTATAAAATAGGAAACAGAAAAGAGGAGTTAAAAGAAGGGATTAGGGCCAGACGTGGTGGCTCATGCCTGTAATCCTAGCACTTTGGGAGGCTGAGGCGAGCGGATATCTGGAGCCCAGGAGTTCAAGACCTCCTGGCCAACATGGCAAAGCCCCATCTCCACAAACAAATGAAAAAACTATCCAGGCATGGTGGCACGCATATGTAGTCCCAGCTACTTGGGAGGCTGAGGCAGGATAATCACTTGAACCCGCGAGGCGAAGGCTGCAGTGAGCCCAGATCGCGCCACTGCACTCCAGCCTGGGCGACAGAGCGAGACTCTGTCTCAAAAAAAATTATATATATATATATCCGCCAGGCACGGTGGCTCACGTCTGTAATCCCAGCACTTTGGGAGGCCGAGGCGGGTGGATCACGAGGTTAGGAGTTCGAGACTAGCCTGACCAACATGGTGAAACCCCGTCTCTACTAAAAATACAAAAATTAGCCAGGCGTGATGGCGGGCGCCTGTAGTCCCAGCTACTCAGGAGGCTGAGGCAGGAGAATCGCTTGAACCTGGGAGGCGGAGGTTGCAGTGAGCTGAGATTGCGCCACTGCACTCTAGCCTGGGCAACAGAGCGAGACTTTGTCTAAATATATATATATATATATATATATATATATATATATATATATATATATATATATATATATATAAAATATATATTTTTAGACAGTTTATATATATATAAAATATATATATATATTTCTAACTATGGGCTTGAAATTAGTAGGACATAAAAATGAGTGGGCTTGAATATTTAAAAAAAGAAAAAACATCAGAATGCATCATGCATAGTAATGTTAAGTGTTGTGTGACACGTTATGTATGCACATGGTACACACATCTACGTGAGTACTAGGTCACAATGTAAAATGTACTTCTACATGGATTATGGTTAAAAAGTTTGACCTTCCATCATGGATGGAAGGAGTATACTTAGTAAAGTTCACATACCTATTTAAGTTGTGCTTAGTTTTAAATTGTTCTGAATTTCTAAGTTATTTTCCTGTTTTTTAATAAATTAAATTTGTAAAAACATTAGTTTGACAGTTAATTGTTGCTCTTTTAGTTTAGGGTAACGCTCCCCCGCGTTACCCCCCACCCCCGGCGCACCCCCCCGCCCCCACCCCCATCCCCACCCGCCCCGGCTTCACAAGTGGCTGTTTGCTTTCTGTGGGCTGGGTGCCATCTTGTGGCCTTTGTGTTACAGTGCAGTGTATTCCCTTTAACACAACTTGGAAATCCTGTTTCTGATGTCCAGAGTGAACTGTACAAATAGCCAGAGCTTGAAGTAATGAAATCAAGACTACAGATTCCATTCTTTTTTTATTATTATTATTTGAGACAGGGTCTTGCTCTGTCACCCAGGCTGGAGTGCAGTGGCTTGATCACGGCTCACTGCAGCCTGGACCTCCTGGGCTCAAGTGATCCTCCCACCTCAGCCTCCCAAATAGCTGGGACCACAGGCGCACACCACCAGGCCTGGCTATTTTTAACAATTTTTTTATAGAGTTGGGGTCTCACTCTGTTGCCCAGGCTGGTCTCAAACTCCTGAGCTCCAGTGATCCTTCTGCCTCAGCCTCCCAAAGTGCTGGGATTACAGACATGAGCCACTGCCCCCAGCCTTGATTCAATTCTTAAAATTTCCATCTGGCCTTGGCCCCACATTTGACCCCTAACCCTAGCCAATCAACTCTAAAATATGTGCCATTTCCCAGTAGATAATCATCAAAGAGGAAAACCAGTCAGTCCTTGGTTCTCTTGACGTTGGGTGATAAGTACTGTCTTCTTCTGTAAGGGCTACTTGCAGATGATATGGCCTTCAGTGGAGAAATGGGAAATGGGTGTACACCTCTTCTTCCCTGTGAAACCTTCCCTCATTCCATCCCTGATTTTTCTTGTGGTTGTTTGTGCTCACCATGGAACCTCCACAGGAGCTGGTGTTTTTAGCACTTATTCCAAGGTATTGCAATTCCATTTTTAAATATTTATTTATTTATTTATTTGAGACAGGGTCTTACTCTGTCACCCAGGCTGGAGTGCAGTGGTATGATCATGGCTCACTG
Organism: Homo sapiens; assembly: GCF_000001405.40. Lineage (NCBI taxonomy): Eukaryota > Metazoa > Chordata > Mammalia > Primates > Hominidae > Homo > Homo sapiens. Next base: position 23,693,853 of record NC_000023.11, on the reverse strand, counting down.
CAGCCTCAACTACCCCAGGGCTCCAGTGATCCTCCTGCCTCAGCCTCCCGAGTATCTGGGACTACAGGCGTGCACCATCACATCTGGCTAATTTTTAAATGTTTTGTGGAGACAGAGTTTCACTATGTTGCCCAGGCTGATCTTGAACTCCTGGGCTCAAGTGATCCGCCTGCCTTGGCCTCCCAAAGTGTTGGGATTACAGGCGTGAGCCTCTGTGCTTGGCCATAATTCCTTTTCTTACATGCTTATTTCACTTATGAGACTGTGGGCTTCTTGAGGGAAGGAATTGTATCAGATCTTTTTATTCCTATTGTCTAGCAAAGTCCCTTGCACATATTTAGGTAATAAATGTTTTTTGTGTGAACAAATATACGATTTAGGTGAATTTGGGTGTTCGAGTTGGCTTTTGAATTTGTTAATTAAAAAAAATTGTAAGTTTAAGACTCAGGAAGGAGGCTCTTTTAAAATATATTTTTGGGCTGGGCACGGTGGCTCATGCCTGTAATCCCAGCACTTTGGGAGGCTGAGGCGGGCCATTCACTTGAGGTCAGCCTGGCCAACATGGTGAAACCCTGCCTCTACTAAACATACAAAAATTAGCCAGACATGGTAGTGCTTGCCTGTAATCCCAGCTACTTGGGAGGCTGAGGCAGAATTACTTGAACCTGGGAAGCAGAGGCTGCAGTGAGCCGAGATTGTGCTGCTGCACTCCAGCCCCTCTCAAAATAAATAAATAAAATATATTTTTAGCATTTTACATAAATGTACAATATTATGCTAAAATTGTTATTTAGTAATAGGATTGGTAAAAATTACTTTGCTATATGAAACTAAATACATAGTAACTATGATAAACATTTTCTTTTCTGTTGAAAAGCTAGGTAAAAAATATGAGTTTATAGAAGCATCTGTGTGTGTATATATACATATGTATATCTATGTGATATCATTATATATATGTGATATCATTATATATATATAGCTTTTTGTCCATGGTTCCTGGCTCATAACTCCCATAGCCCTTATTATTTCCCAAGTGATTAAGCAATAAGCATATCTTTTGTTAAAGTGTTCGTCCTTTAGTCCTTGGTTCCTGAAGCAGCTTTGGAAGTGCTTCAGAGCGATCAAAGGAAAAGACCATCTTTGGTTTTAATGTGCGGGTGCTGTAGGCCTCAGAAGCAGGGCTCAGAAAACAGCCTCTCCCGCTGACCTTCTCATACTCTCCTTTTTCACCTGCTCCTTTGTCTCTCCAAGGCAGGCCATAGAAACTGAAAATATAATCTGCCCCCACCTTTGTATTTGGAGCCGGTCATAAAGAAATTCTCTGACCTACCTTGTCTGATTGTAGGTCATAAGATCCTCATTTTAGAAAGGGTCCTGCCCTCAACCCAGGAGGAAGGAGTGCCGTGCAGAGAGGCCAACAGGAATCTGGACAGGCCTTGCTAGGATTCCCCACTCCGTCTATTAGCATTAGATCATGCCCTTTTTGCCCAATCACGTTTTGCACTTGATCTTAGCCAAAAGGCCGAGAAGCGATCCAATCACATTTTGACACGGTTGTCCATGCTTCAGTCATGCCTATCCAATGAAGTCTCCATAAAAGGCCCAAGAGGACCAGGTACGCAGAACTTCTGGACAGCTGAGCTGGTGAAGGCTTGCAGGAAGGTGAACAAGAATTCACCCATGTGTTGGGATGATGGTGCACCCCAACTCCACGGGAATAGAAGCTCCCGTGCTCAGGACCCTTCCAGACCTCGCCCTATGTGCCTCTTCATCTGGGTGTTTATTCGTATCCTTCAAAATATCCTTCATAAGAAACTGGTAAGTGTAAGTGGGCGTTTCCCGGAGTTTTGCAAGCTGCTCTAACAATTGAGCCTAAAGAGGGGGTCATGGGAACCCCAACTTGAAGTCAGTCAGTCAGAAGTTCCAGAGGCCTGTACTTGGGAGCTGGTGTCTGAAGTGGGGGCAGTCCTGTGGGTCTGAGCCCTCAACCTGTGGTATCTGATGCTATATCCAGGTGGACAGCATCAGAATTGAATTGGATCAGAAGATTCCTGGCTGGTGTCCACTGCAGAATTGCTTGCCTGTTGGTGGGGAAAATCCCTACACCCTACACATTTGGTCACAGAAGTCTTCTGTATTGATTGTTGTCATGTGAGAACAGAGGAAAAACAGTTTTTCTTTTTCTTTTCTTTTCTTTTTTTCTTTTTTTTTGAGACAGGGTCTTGCTCTCTTGCCCAGGCTGGAGTGCAGTGGTGTGATCACAGCTCACTGAGGGCTTGACCTTTTGGGCTTAAATGATCCTCCTGCCTTAGGCTCAGGAACAGCTGGGACTACAAGTACAAGACACCACGCCTGGATAATTTTTATACTTTTTGTAGAGATGAGGTCTCACCATATCGTCCAGGCGGGTCTCAAATTCCTGGGCTCAAGTGACCTTCCTGCCTCGGCCTCCCAAAGTGCTGGGATTATAGGCATGAGCCACTGCACCCAGCTGTAAAAGTTTTTTGACCCTATATATATGTATGAATATATATAGACACACAAATACATAGATATGTGTATATATATTCCCCTCCACTGCAGACACTTTTATGAAACTTTTTTTTTTGAGAGAGAGTCTTGTTCTGTCACCAAGGTTGGAGTGCAGTGACACGACCTTGGCTCACTGCAACCTCCGCCTCCTGGGTTTAAGCGAGCACGTCCAGCTAATTTTTGTATTTTTAGTAGAGACGAGGTTTCACCATGTTGGCCAGGCTGGTCTTGAGCTCCTGACCTCAAGTGATTCGCCCGCCTCGGCCTCCCAAAGTGCTAGGATTACAGGTGTGAACCACTACGCCCGGTCTATGAAATTATTTACCTGAAACACATATTTTGTTACATCTTATATATTAATAACCTTGTATTCAAAGATTTCTCAGTGACATAGTGTTGTCACAAAGTTCATAGGGGGGTTAGGATACCAAAATATCATTAAATAATAAAATAGTAGTTAATGTGTTTGAGAACAAAATATACAACCTGGAAACCTAGTGACAGATGGGAAGTTTAGGATGTAGGGTTAGATGAGCTCTTGGACAGAGAAGAGACAATGGGGATGTGGTGGGGAGGGCGTGAGGAATGATCTCTTGTGTGAGATTCTAGGGACTAAGAAATCCCTGAAAGAGCTGTCCACCATGATCACTGGAAACCTCAGAACACTGGCCAGGCTTAAATGTGAAATATTCAACAGAAGACTAGAAATTATAGGGAGAAGCAGGGAATAATAGATGTCATTCATATATTAGTGCACTGGAAAGATATTGCCTGGTGTGTTTCATAGAAACTTCAGGTCACTTCCGTTTATTTGAGATGGAGTCTCATTCTGTCGCCCAGGCTGGAGTGCAGTGGCACGATCTCGGCTCACTGCAACCTCTGCCTCCCAGGTTCAAGCCATTCTCCTGCCTCAGCCTCCCAAGTAGCTGGGATTACAGGTGTCCACTACGAAGCCAAGCTAATTTTTTGTACTTACTAGAGATGGGGTTTCATCATGTTAGTCAGGCTGGTCTTGAACTCCTGATCTGAGGTGATCCACCCGCCTAGGCCTCCCATAGTGCTGGGATTACAGGTGTGTGCCACCGCGGCCAGTCAGTCACCTATTTATTTACATTTTTTTTTTGAGATGGAGTTTCGCTCTTTTTACCCAGGCTGGAGTGCAATGGCCTGATCTCGGCTCACCACAACCTCCGCCTCCCAGGTTCAATGGATTCTCCTGCCTTAGCCTCCTGAGTAGCTGGGATTACAGGTGTCTGCCACCATGCCCGGCTAATTTTTGTATTTTTAGTAGAGACAGGATTTCTCCATGTTGGTCAGGCTGGTCTTGAACTCCCGACCTCAGGTGATCTGCCCACTTTGGCCTCCCAAAGTGCTGGGATTATAGGCGTGAGCCACTGCTCCTGGCCTCCTATTTATTTACTAATTTTTTTTTTTTTTTGAGACAGAGTCTCGCTCTGTCGCCAAGGCTGGAGTACAGTGGCGTGATCTCGGCTCACTGCAACCTCCGCCTCCCGGGTTCAAGCGATTCTCTTGCCTCAGCCTCCCCGGTAGCTGGGATTACAGGCATCCACCACCATGCCTGGCTAATTTTTGTGTTTTTAGTAGAGACGGGGTTTCCCCATGTTGGCCAGGATGGTCACAAACTCCTGACCTCAGGTGATCTGCCCGCCTCAGCCTCCCAAAGTGCTGGGATTACAGGCGTGAGCTACCATGTCCGGCCTTATTTACTATTTTTTAAATGTTTGTGGGCAGGTCATCTCTTGATCTATTATTTTGGGTAAGCTCCTACTGTTGTGGCATTGTTCTGACCTCCTGCTGTACAGGCAGCTACTAAATGATACTGGTCTCCTCCTTTCCTTAGTCTCTAGAGCGGGTTTTCTCAACATTGCCACAGTTAACATCTTGAAGCAGAAAAGTCTTTGCTGTGGGACTGTCCTGTGCATTGTAGGATGTTTAGCAGCACCCTTGGCCTCTACCCACCAGATGCCAGTAGTAGTTTCAGTTTTTTTTTTTTTTTTTGAGGCGGAGTCTCACTCTGTTGCCCAGGTTGGAGTGCAGTGGCGTGATCTCGGCTCACTGCAAGCTCCGCCTCCTGGGTTCACGCCTTTCTCCTGCCTCAGACTCCCGAGTAGCTGGGACTACAGGCGCCTGCCACCACGCCTGGCTAATTTTTTTTGTATTTTTTTTAGTAGAGACGGGGTTTCACCGTGTTAGCTAGGATGGTCTCGATCTCCTGACCTCGTGATCCACCCGCCTCAGCCTCCCAAAGTGCTGGGATTACAGGCGTGAGCCACCGCGCCCGGCTGTATTTTCAGTTTTGACAATAAAAACATCCCAGATATTGCCATGTCTCCTGGGGGCAAAATCTCCATCCCTCCCCATTGAGAAGCACTGCTCCAGATTATGGTAGGTCAGCATCTTCTGGGAATAGGTCTCTAGTAGCTGCATCCTGGTTAGGCCCAGGGTCCATCGTCTCCAGTAGGGCAGGGGACTATCCTTTCTCAACTCTTTTTCCAGTCTTGTAAATGGCCACGAGACCATCTTTTAAGATGTAAGCTTGGATTTATGGACTTTCAGAAGTCAGCTCTTTGAAGGGATAGTTTATAAAAGGCACTGACAAAAGGGGTGCATTTAGTGCTATTTTATTCGGAAGCTATGTATATCACTCAGTTAATACGAAAAGTGGTGAGAGGCCAGGCGCTGTGGCCCACACCTGTAATCCCAGCACTTTGGGATGCCGAGGCAGGCAGATCACTTGAGTTCAGGAGTTCGACACCAGCCTGAGCAACATGGCGAAACCCCGTCTCTACTAAAAATACAAAAATTGGCCAGGCATGGAGGCACACGCATGTAATCCTAGATACTCGGGAGGCTGAGACAGGAGAATCGCTGGAACCCAGGAGGTAGAGGTTGCAGTCAGCTGAAATCGTGCCACTGCACTCCAGCTTGGGTGACAGAGCGAGACGCCATCTCAAAAAAAAAAAAAAAGTGGCAAGTCAGGGTATGTATCTTCACTTACTTGTGAGTACCAAGAAATTACTATTCTATCAGCACCCGCTTCAGTAATCAAATACTGAGCTCCTTGAGGGCAGAAATTTGTTATTTGGTCATTGATGTACGCCAAGTGTTTAGGTGGTCAATAGTTGCTGAATGTTGAATGAAACATTAATGACTGGTTTTTCTGGGTGGACCTACAAATAGTTCTCCTTGTAAACCATACTAAAATGAACAGGAGGCTAGAAAAGCTCCAAAGAATGGAAACTATTAATCAAGAAGATGCTGCTGGTGCATGCTTGTAGTCCCAGAGACTTGGGAGGCTGAGGTAGGAGGATCGCTTGAGGCCAGGAGTTTGACGCTGCAGTGAGCCATTATTATGCCACTGCACTCCAGCTTGGAGTGTACGTGTATGAATATATACAGACACATAAATACATTGATGTCAGAGTGAGACCCTGACTCTTAAAAAAAGGGATACCAGCTTATTTCATGAGTAAAACATTTGTACTTTTTAGATTGGAAGGAGGAAATCTGCATATAGAATTCCCATTGTATTGGACCTATTGACAAGGTTATCACAAACCTGTTTAGATATCAAAGTACTAGCAGTCTTCAACTTTACTAATAGATTGGTTTATAAAACTTCAACTGTAAACTAGCATTAGAACATACTCTGCTATAGAAAAAGGTTATAAATGGCAGCTGGATTCCTGTGTATCTACAAATCACCCGCCATTTGCGACAGACCTCAATTTCAGCCAGAAGCCCAGTAATCCCCCCACCACTTCTAGTGATGGCCTTTCCCCAGGAGAAGGGCTTTTTGTATTAAGAGAGGGGATGGCTAGGCACAGGGGCTCATGCATCTTCCCACACTTTGGGAGGCCAAGGCGGGTGGATTGCTTAGGCTCAGGAGTTCAAGACCAGCCTGGGCCACATGGTGAAACCCCATGTCTGCAAAAAACATAAAAATTAGCCGGGCATGGTGGTGCATGCCTATAGTCCCAGCTACCTGGGGGGCTGAGGTGGGAGGATTGCCTGAGCCCGTGAGGTTGAGGCTGCAGTAAGACCATACCACTGCACTCCAGCCTGGGTGACAGAGTGAGACCCTGTCTCAGAAACAAAACGGACAGAGATTAGCAGATTAGCATGGAAGACAGGATGAAGTTAATTCTCCTGGGTACCTGGTCTCTTAACTACATGGCATGTCTACAGATAATGACAATAAAGTAATTGCCATATTGGGGTGGCAAATGGGATGATGAAATAGCACTGGAGTTCAGCTTTGTATATGGTCATTTGTTAAGAGCTAGTTATATGTATTTAAGGATTCAAATTTTGTTAAACTAAATATCTAACTTATAAATTTGGTACAAGCTGAAGATGTAAATTTAGAGATGGCGGCGGGGGCAAAAGGCTTTATGTTATTACAGAGCAGTGGGCCATGGGGCCAGCTATTCCTATTACTGTGGAAGGTGAGTGTGCTCACAACCCGTTCTTTACCGCTACCCTCAAAGGTATGGAGAGGTGAGCCACAGTGGAGTGTTAAGAGCTCAGAAACTAGAATTAGCCTGTCTGGGTGCAAGGTCGGATTTTGCCTTTGCTAGCTAGCTATGTGACTTTGGGTAAGTAAGTAATCTACCTGCACTTCAGTTTCCTCATCTGTAAAATAAAGAACTCAATGAGTTGCTGTGAGGATTAAATAATGCCCCTAACCTGCTTAACACAAGGCCTGGCACATGGCATGTACCCCGTAAATGTCATTATTGCTATTACTCAGTTTGATTCAATCTCCCATTTCTTCCTTTGGAAAGACAGAGAATAACTGCTTGTCTTTTGGCATCAGTGTCTAACGCTAACGCTAAATATCTTTGGACTTTGATGTGGATTTTTATATTCTCCAAGAAATTACTACTGCAACACAATGTGGTAATGAAACCGTGAACTTTATTGAGAACTTTCAAGCATCATAACTTGAAGAAGTATTTCTCAATTCAGTTTATCGAAATACTTCAGCTTTCCAGCTGGATCTGGGATTATCTGTTAAAACAAAACGAAGAAAGGAAATTATTCATTTTAAAGCCAAAGTACATAATGAGTAGTCTGACATTAGTTGCCCATGCCTTGACTAAAAATTATTTTTGTATATCAGATTGTATATTTAGAAAAAAATGAGATTTGTCCTGCCTACTAATTTCGGCTATTCCAAAAGACAAATATTTTTATTTTGTGTGAATAAATTAACATCTGTACTCAAGCACCCCAAAACTTACTTACAGCTCTCTCTTGGCCACCAGGCTTTCATGGTATCTTCAGGTTTGATCTAATTAAGTCAAACACATTTAGAGAGCATGGCTACAGATGTTAATGTACTTTTAAAATCATGCTGCTAAAATGATGGTATGTCACAATTATCTGAAAAGGAGGCAGGTGTTCACTAAGGGCTCACTAAAGTCCAGAATACACCTTTTAAATCTCAAGCTGCAAAGTAAAAAAAAAAAAACAAAAAAAAAACCCAAACTCAAATACATCAAGCACTACTGTCAATAGTTAATGAATACTGTTGTGTTCCCTCTAAGAGCATCACAGCCTTAGAATCCTGTTAGACTTAAAAAAAATTTCCAATATAATTTGGCCTCACATTATGTTATTTGCTAGTTATAGGTAAAGTACATCTATCTTTATATATATAAAAATAACTTATTGTAACTTTTGTAATTGACTGATTCTGAATCAATTTCTGATGGGTTTGCAAAACAGTTTTGCTTTGAGGTCAAAGTTAATGTTACAATAGCAAACTTACTCATCTCTATGTTAATCTGATGGATCTCAAAGGGGATTTGAAATTACACATTAAAGGTACTTTGACCACTAGGTACCTTAAAGTATAAATCAGTCACATTAGTTTACATTTGTTGATTATGAGGCTTATAGAAAGAAATATGAATCAGAAGCTGCTGGCTTAAGCAGCAGCTTAAGAAGCCTTAAAAAGCATTTCAGACACATCTTCAAGGTAGGGGGCACTTCCCCCTGGAGGTGCAGCAAAACCCTCTGTGACTGATGAAAACATCATCTCCAATCACAGGCATGTGCTAGGTGTCCAAGTTCCCAGAGATCAGTGAGAGCTCCCAAGAAGTACAATTTCACTCTGAAAGGTATTATAGGATGAGTACCGGACATTTCGGAAAACATGTTGACTATTTACATGATTAACTTTTGGGGGCCACAAATCTCTGAGAATCTGGTGAAAACTATGGATTCTCCCTCCAGAAAAATGCATACGTGTTATCACATACTGTGGTGGTCATTCTTTTTAATTTTTGATTGATTGACAAATAATAGTTGTATATATTTATGTGTTTGGACGTTCTTTCAACAGACTCACTATATGGAAACTATTCAAGGTATTATGATAGGCAGTATTTATTAGTGAACAACACAGCCAAAGTCCCTGCCCTTGGAGTTATATCCTAATTCTAATTTTAGGTTGTGGTAATAAATGCTTTCATAAATAGGTTGGTTGGGCCAGGAGCGGTGCCTCATGCCTGTAATCCCAGCACTTTGGGAGGCTGAGGTGGGTGGATCGCTTGAGGTCAGGAGTTTGAGACCAGCCTGGCCAACATGGTGAAACCCTGTCTCTACCAAAAAATACAAAAATTAGCTGGGTGTGGTGGTGCAGGCTTGTAGTCCCAGCTACTTAGGGGGCTGAGGCATGAGAATTGCATGAACCCTGGAGGCGGAGGTTGCAGTGAGCCCAGATCATGCCACTGCACTCCAGTCTGGGCGACAGAGCAAGACTCCGTCTCAAAAAAGAAAAAAAAATTATACAGCCTCCTAAATGAAAGAATATACGTGTTTCAATCTTTTCTTTCTTCATGACAAGGAGAGAATCATTATCTTCAGTATTAATTGAGCTAGATTTTCTCAAAACCTCTTACTATGCATAGAAAGGTTTTGCTTGTGACTGTTTTCTTTGTCCCAATACAGGAAGAAATTCGATACATGACCTATAAGACCTCTGAATTATTCTACCAAGTCTCCACTCTGCCCTACTTTTTTTTTTCGAACGGTGTATTTATCTGTATACCTGGCTTTAAAATTCACAGCATCACGCCCCATATTCTGCTTTCTCCGGTTTCAGCTACTCTTCCTACAGGCCAAAGAATGTCTGTACTCTGATTTCTGCTTAGCAATGTTTACTTCATTTACAAAATCAAGACAGTTCTAGTAACAAGGGAAGATTATTCTAAGGTTAGCATTTTTTTTTTTTTTTTTTTGAGAAGGAGTCTTGCTCTGTCGCCCAGCATGGAGTGCAGTGGCATGATCTCGGCTCACTGCAACCTCCACCTCCCGGGTTCATGCCATTCTCCTGCCTCAGCCTCCCGAGTAGCTGGGACTACAGGCACCCACCACCATGCCCGGCTAATTTTTTTTTTTTGTATTTTAGTAGAGACGGATTTCACCATGTTAGCCAGGATGGTCTCCATCTCCTGACCTCGTGATCTGCCCGCCTCAGCCTCCCAAAGTGCTGGGATTACAGGCGTGAGCCACTGCGCCCGGCCAGCATTTTTTTCAACTCTAACCATCAACTCAACATAAAAACATATATATATACTTACTGTTTCACTACCAGGTTTCCAGCCAGCAGGGCAGACTAAAAGAAACAAAAAGAGGCAGAAGACATTTTAAAAACAGAATTCAGTTACCTTCAGCAACTGACTTTTTCTGTTTCTATATGAAACTGAATAGAATATACTAATAAGAACATTTCCAGACCACCGAGCACATGACTTCTATTAGCTGCCTGTTGACACCAAGGAATTTTAGTCATGGAGCTCATAAGCAGGCAGCTAATCTATTTTCATTTTTACCAATTATGTTTAGTTACATTTAAAATATAAGAAATCAAATTGATTGCCCCTCTAATACAGTTGGAAAGTTTGGGAATCTGGTGAGCTGAAAGGCCTGGGCATGGCAAAAATTCCTCCAAATTTACATAAACTTCCAGTACGCTTGTTTGCCATGTATACTTCAGTACTTTGTACTGATGACATGATTCACTGTTTGTCAAAAGAGACATTAGAATGCATCCTGACTCAGTGACATTTTTAAAAGGAATATATAATGTGTTCTATTTTAGCAAAATGATGAACTTGTAGATTACAAATGTGATACTGAATAAGCCCAGAGATTACATTACTATACTTCATCTTAGCTGAAAGGCAGAGAAGTGATCAAGGATTATTTAAAAGGCTAAATTCAATAATGCAAAGAGGCAAATGAAAACTACATCACTAAATGTTGCCAGATTGACACATTCTAAGCTTGCAGAAACATAATTTTAAAAATTGCAGTAGCAGAAACTTTTGTCTTTGAGTTTATCAAAAAGGACTATGCAAATAGTGAATATTTTTGCATCTCATTTAGTAAGCAGAATATATTAGTTTATATATATATATATATATATATATTTTTTTTTTTTTTTTTTTTTTTTTTTTTGATTTTTAGTAGAGGTGAGGTTTCACTGGGTTGCCCAGGCTGGTCTTGAATTCCTGAGCTCAAGCAATCCTCCTACCTTGGCCTCCCAAAATGCTGGGATTTCAGGCATGAGCCACCATGCCTGGCCTGATATTTTGTTAAAGCACTGTAAATTATAATTTGGTCTGTTAAAAGGATCTGCTAATAATTTGTAAATAATCAGAAAACTTTGGAAATATCGATTACTTTTACGATAAGAAACCTAACTAATTATGCTATCTTTCAAACTAAAAAATCAAAAGGTTAGAAGGGAGAGGTACCTTCTCCGTGTTTGTCAGTGTACTGGAATGCTTGAACCAAACGTAGTGTCTCATCCACTGATCTACCCACAGGAAGATCATTCAGAGTAATTTGTCTTAGGATTCCTTTGTCATCAATAATGAAGAGACCTCTGTAAAACAGAAGAATGGTAGAGATGAGGTCATTTCTTCTCATTTATGTATTGTGAATTCCTATACCATCCACACAAAAGGATGCTATACAGAACAAACACCACACTACCTACCTACTCCAATGGTATACACACACACACACACACACACGTACACACACCTGTGGACATCCCTCCCTCAATCTAATGTATAATTTGGAATTATCACTGTAAAACTGCAGCTTTAAAAATTTGTTTTTGGCTAAGAAATGTACCAGAGTATTTACAGTTGTTGAAGATAATCTGACCTTTAAAAACTATGTGCATATGTACATGTATTATTTTGAAAATAAATAATAAATTTTTTATTTGTTTTCAAACAGGATCTCACTCTGTTGCCCAGGCTGAAGTGCAGTGGCATGATCTCGGCTCACTGCAGCCTCAACCTCTTGGGCTCAAGTGATCCTCTCGCCACAGCCTACTGAGTAGCTGGGACTACAGGTGTGTGCCACCACGCCCAGCTAATTTTTGTATTTTTTGTACAAACAGGGTTTCGCCATGTTGCCCAGGCTAGTCTCAAACTGCTGGACTTGAGCAATCTACCTGCCTCGGCCTCCCAAAGTGCTGGGATTACAGGCGTGAGCCACCATGCCCGGCCTTAACAAAAAAATTTTAAAAAGAAACTACTGGCTCAGGTCAAATAATATAGCTAACGTTAGATAATTTTACTTGGTTAATGTTCAAATGATTCCACATTTTAAAACTGCCTCAGTCGTTTTTGGGGCATATTTATTCTTGGAAATTAACTTAGTAACAGATTTTATGAAAGCAGAAAACATTAAATACTTAGCAAGTACAAAAGAGGGGAAACTACTGGTAGCAATACATGATACAATACAATGAACCTTGAGAACATTATGCTGCGTGAAAGAGGCTAGTCATAAAAGCACATATTGTAGGATTCCATTTATATGAAATGTCCAGAATAGGCAACTATAGAGACATAAAGTAGATTTGTGGTTGCCTAAAGCCAGGGGAAGTGGGTTAGGGGAAACATGGAGTGACTGCTAATGGGTATGGGGTTTTTTGGAGCATGAAAACATTCTAAAATTGTGGTGATGGTTGCACAACTCTGTGAATACACAAAAACCACTGAAATGTATTCTTTATTTATTTATTTTTTTTTGAGACGGAGTCTCGCTGTCGCCCAGGCTGAAGTGCAGTGGCGCGATCTCGGCTCACTGCAGACTCCGCCCCCCAGGGTTCACGCCATTCTCCTGCCTCAGCTTCCCGAGTAGCTGGGACTACAGGCACCCGCCACCACGCCCGGCTAATTTTTTCTATTTTTTTTAGTAGAGATGGGGTTTCACCGTGTTAGCCAGGATGGTCTCGATCTCCTGACCTCGTGATCCGCCTGCCTTGGCCTCCCAAAGTGCTGGGATTACAGGCGTGAGCCACTGCGCCCGGCTATGTATTCTTTATTTTTAATTTTAATTATTTTTTTAGAGACAGGGTCTCACTCTTGTTACCCAGGCGAGAGTGCAGTGGTGTGATCATAGATCATTGCAACCTTGAACTTCCAGGCTCTAGCGATCCTCTTATCTCAGCCTCTTGAGTAGGCTGGGACTACAGGAATGTGCCACCACAATGGCCTAATTTAACAAAAAAAAATTATTTTTTTTTTTTTGTAGAAGACAAGGGTCTTGTTATGTTGCCCAGACTAGTCTCAAACTCCTGGGCTCAAGGGATCCTCCCACCTAGGTCTCCCAAAGAGCTGGGATTACAGGCATGAACTACCATGCCCAGCTGAATTGTATTCTTTAAATGGGTATTGTATTATATGTGAACTATATTCCAATAAAGTTGTTATAAAAAAACACAGGATTATAAAATACTGACACTTTCACATAAAACATTCAAGAAAAACTATTGGCACTACAAAGCAAATCAATACAACCAAATTACAACTGTTCCACACTAAAATTGCCCCCTTTTCAAAGAATTCTATTAATGTTTGTTAGCTCAAGTAACCCAGTGAGAGCGTCTGGGTAAAATATTTCCTTAATTTTTCCTACTCCAAAGACACAGGTTTGCTAAGTAGTATGACACTTGTATTTAGAAAAAAACATTACTGGAGTCAGGTTGCAAAAAAGGAAAAAGAAATGGACAAGGAGTTGGGGGACCTGGATTTAAGTCTGGGCTCTGCAATTAAATTATTATATAACTTTGGCTAAGATCACGGAACTCTATGAATCTGTCTCTTTTATCTGTAAGATGACAGGGTGGGTGAAAGACCTCTAAATAATCTTCCAGCTCTAAAAGTCTATGATGCTAACATAGTTTAATCAGGGTAATATAAACTAACGGTTTAAGTTTAGTAGTTTAAAGACTAATAGAACAAAGTAACATTTTTCTTTCTTTCTTTTTTTCTTTTTGAGACGGAGTCTTGCTCTGTCGCCTGGGCTGGAGTGCGGTGGCGTGATCTCGCCTCACCGCAACCTCCGCCTCCTGGGTTCGAGCGATTCTCCTGCCTCAGCCTCCCGAGTAGCTGGGACTACAAGCGTATGCCACTATGCCCAGCTAATTTTTGTATTTTTTAGTAAAGATGGGGTTTCACCATGTTGGTTGGCCAGGATAGTCTCGATATCTTGACATCATGATCTGCCCCCCTCGGCCTCCCAAAGTGCTGGGATTATAGGCGTGAGCCACCATGCCCAGCCAATTATTTCTTTTTTTTTTTTTTCACTCTGTCGCCCAGGCTGGAGTGCAGTGGCATGATCTGGGCTCACTGAAACCTCCGCCTCCCAGGTTCAAGCAATTCTCCCACCTCAGCCTCCCGAGTAGCTGGGACTACAGGCATACGCCACCATGCCTGGGTAATTTTTATATTTTTTGGTAGAGACAGGGTTTCACCATGTTGGCCAGGCTGGTCTCAAACTCCTGACCTCAAGTAATCTGCCCACCGTGGCCTCCCAAAGTGCCAGGATTACAGGCTTGAGCTACCGTGCCTGGCCTCAAAATTATATTTCTTGATCAAAATTTGTTCTTCTATTTCATAAATAACATCTATTTCAAGGAGGATTATAAACACGCTTGGATTTGTCATAATATAAAACCACTGAAAGGTACCTAAGAGTGTGGCCTGAGTCCTCTAGGTATACACCATAGTCCTTTGAGATCTGATGGGTCAAATCTGAAAGAAGTGGAATCCTTATTGGCCCAAGTCCTCCTTGTCTTCGAGGGGTATTAATCCTGTAACAAACAGAACGCTTACCTCTCAGAGCTAAGTAAACGGCATATATTAAAACAGCACTCTTTCTCTATACATGCACACGCACACACATGAAATACACACATTCTTTCACTAACAAAAACAGGCTAATATACTTTCTATTTTCTTGCTTTTCCCATTTAATATATTCATATCCTTTAAACATTAAAAATATATATACACAACACATTTTTATTTTATGTTTTTGAGACAGGGTCTTGCTCTGTCTCCCAGGCTGCAGGGCAGTGACGTGATCATAGCTCAGCGTAGCCTAAAACTTCTAGGCTCAAGCGATCCTCTTGCCTCAGCCCCCTGAGAAGCTGGGACTACAGGTGTGCACCATCCCACTGGGCTAATGTTTTAAACACTTTTTTGTAGAGATGGGGTGTGGCTTTGTTACCCAGGCTGGTCTCGAACTCCTGGCTTCAAGCAATCCTCCTGCTTCACCCTCCCAAAGTGCTGGGATTATAGCCGTGAGCCATTGTGCTCAGCCTACAACACATTTTTGTTTTTTCTGAGACGGAGTCTTGCTCTGTCGCCCAGGCTGGAGTGCAGCAGCGTGATCTCGGTTCACTGCAACCTCTGCCTCCCAGGTTCAAGCGATTCTCCTGCCTCAGCTTCCCAAGTAGCTGGGATTACAGGCATGTGCCACCACACCTGGCTGATTTTTGCATTTTTAGTAGAGTCAGGGATTTACCATGTTGGCCAGGCTGGTCTCGAACTCCTGACCTCAGGTGATCCACCCGGCTTGGCCTCCCAAAGTACTGGGATTACAGGCGTGAGCCACCGCGCCTGGCCTATAACACATTTTTAATGTATGGATACACAGATACTCCTTGACTTAAGATGGGGTTGTTTCTTTCTTTCTTTTTTTTTTTTGAGATGGAGTCTTGCTCTGTCACCCAGGCTGGAGTGCAATGGCACGATCTTGGCTTACTGCAACCTCTGCCTCCCAGGTTCAAGTGATTCTGCTGCCTCAACCTTGTAAGTAGCTGGGATTACAGGCACCCGCCACCACGCCCAGCTATTTTTCGTATTTTTAATAGAGATGGGGTTTCGCCACGTTGGCCAGGCTGGTCTCAAACACTTGACCTCAGGTGATCCGCCCACCTTGGCCTCCCAAAGTGCTGGGATTACAGGCCACTGTGCCCGGCTGGGGCTGTGTCTTGATAAACACATCATAAATTGAAAATATCATTAGCTAAAAATGTATTTACTATCCCATAAACCCACTGTAAAGTTGAAAAATTATACGTCAAACCATCGTAAGTCAGGAACATCTTTACTGTATTTTACTTAATTCCATGATGAAGATTTAAACCATTTACCTTTTTTTTTTGCTTTATAAACACTGCTGAAAACATCCTTGTATTCTTACTTTTATACACTTGTCTAATTGATTTCTGAAAGTGAAACTGATAGATCAAAAGATACGTAGTATCAAAAGCATAACCTTAGTAGTGTGATCATAAGATAAAGCCTTGAACAGACAGGCAGGATACAAATGGATGACATTTTAATATTCTGAGAGACAAATGCAAAGTCCACTTGAAGCAGTGAAGGAAGTGAGTTATAATATCAGATGCCTCAGTCTTCACTACAGGTTGAGTATCCCTTATCGGAAGTGCTTGGGACCAGAAGTGTTTTGGATTTAGGATTTTTTCCGATTTTGGTATATCTGCATACTTACTGGTTGAACATCCCTAATCTGAACTCTGAAATGCTTCACTAAGCATTTCCTTTGAGCATCATGTCAGCACTCAAATTTTGAATTTTGGAACACTGTGGATTTCAGGTTAGGGACGCTCAATCTGTATTCTGTAACTTGAAACCAGGAGACATGGGCTGATGCTCTAACAGGAGGGTACTGACACAGCAGATAGAAAACAAAACGACATTGCTCTAGATATCTGGAGCCCCAGTTCTGACACCCAAGTAGAAATTTCTGGTTGATGTGAACCCTATCAGGCTGAGAATGTATCCCCAAATTTCCTTGGGAAAGCAATCCCAAATTATTTGGGATGCCATAACTTTTTCCTTAGTGGATATGCATTTTAATCCTCGGAAGATTTATAATTACTACAGAAGTGATGAAGCACAGCCCGGGCAACATGGCAAGACTCCATCTCTACAAAAATAAAAATTAAAATAGGTATGGTGGTGCAAGCTTGCAGTCCCAACTATTTGGGGAGGTAGAAGGATTGTTGGAGCCCAGGAGTTCAAGGCTGCAGGGAGCTATGATTGATTGTGCCACTGCACTCCAGCCTGGGCAACATAGTAAGACCCTGTCTTTCTTTTTTTAAAGGAAATGATGAAGCAAATTAAGCCTATATTTTAATTTTTTTTTTTTTTTTGAGACAGGATCTCACTCTATTGCCCAGGCTGAAGTGCAGTGGTATGATCTTGGCTCACTACAGCCTCGACCACCTAGGCTCAGGTCATCCTTCCATCTCAGGCTCCCGAGTAGCTGGGACCACAGGCATGCACCACCAGACCTGGCTAATTTTTTTTATTTTTTGTATAGATGGGGTCTCACTATGTTGCCCAGGCTGGTCTTGAACTCCTGGGTTGAAATGATTCTCCTGCTTTGACCTCCCAAAGTGCTGGGATTATAGGCGTGAGCCACCATGCCAGGCTATTTTAATATTTTTACATTAAGAAATAATCAGTACATATTTATATGTTAAGTTATTTATAATGTTTAAGAGAATTTGGCATATTAGAACTACTTAAGTATTTGGGAAGGTTTGTCTGAAAATTGAGATACTTAAGGAATTCAAATATATTAAATATATAACTGCATTTAAAAATACTTATGGGAATTAATTTCTTAGGGAAATGTAATTAATTAAATTGTAGCTCACCAAGCAATGAAAATTTGTTATACACACACAGATTATAAATGAGAAAAGCTTGTGTTTCAAATTTGTAACTTTAATAAATTGAATATTATGTTTTAAAACCAATAGTTCTGAATCTTTTTTTTTTTTTTTTTTTTTTTTTTTTTTTGAGATGGAGTTTCACTCTCATTGCCCAGTTGCCCAGGCTGGAGTGCAATGGCGTGACCTCGGCTCACTGCAACCTCCACCTCCTGGGTTCAAGTGATTCTCCTGCCTCAGCCTCCTGAGTTGCTGGGATTACAGGCACCTGCTACCACGCCTGGCTAATTTTGTATTTTTAGTAGAGACGGGGTTTCTCCATGTTGGTCAGGCTGGTCTCGAACTCCCGACCTCAGGTGATCTGCCTGCCTCGGCCTCCCAAAGTGCTGGGATTAGAGGCATGAGCCACTGTGCCCAGCCCAATTCTGAATGGTCTTTATTGTGCACAAAGTTTTCTGCACAAGACTGTGGACACTATAAAAACTCATATTAACATGTAAATTTCCAATTTTGAGACATGTTGCCCAACTGCTCTCCAGAAATGCTAAACAGCTGTGTGTGAGTGCCGTTTCTTCAATTTTTGTCCACAGTGGATACATTTTTTCAATCTTTTAAATCTTGGCCAACCAGACAGGGAAAATTGGCATCTCGTCATTTTAATTTGCAATTCTTTATAACGAATTTAGGTAAAACATCTTTTTATGATTAATGAATTTTTAAACATTTTTTAAAATTCATTTTTAAAAAGTATTGTTTCTTCAAAATTGTAAAAGCTGAGTTTGACTATATAACTGTGTAACAGAGAAATGGCATATTTTAAAGATTTTTTTCCTCCAGATTATGGTAACCCAATTTATCATAAGCATATAATTCAGTGGTTTTCGCTATAGAAATCACATCTATTGCATTTAACTTTTCCCCTTATTTTGAAATGTCCTATAAAATCCTTAAGCATTTTTATTATAGCAGCTGATTATATTACTCTTCTCTCTTTTTTTAACCTGGAAAATGTGTAGTTACATGTATTACTCTTAGATAAAGCTATTCCTGAATTGTCTGATAAATGACTATATTCTTATATCATATCAAGAGTTATCTGTCCATGCTTTAAGAGTAAATCCATTCTTTTTTTTCTACGAATATAAGTGTAAGATACTGACCAGGCCAAATGGGTAAACTGTGAATCAACAGAGCATGCTACCACTTCAGTATTTATAGATCTGAATTCTTCAAGTCTGTCGCCAAAAGCGATAATTTCAGTTGGACACACAAATGTGCTGAAAGGTAAAAAAAAAAAAATATTCAGTATTCTCCAAATAAGCATATACCTAAACTTTCAAATGACAATTTTTACAAATACCTTTAATAATAAAAATGCACATTAAGAACAATTTTATATTTGAACCTTTTCAAAATGGAGTAGTCTAAAAGACTGTCATTTAATCAAATATTTAAGACAGAAACATATTACAGAGTTCCCAACTACATCTCAATAAACTTTCTTATTACAACTTAATAGATCAGTAGTCAACCAATGTTCCCTTCTCCCTTATAGCAATAGCCACCCCTCATTTTATTACTTTTATTTAATAATACCTTTTATTTATATAGTATTTTATAGCTTTCAAAGGATCTATACAAATTTTATGTCATTTCACTATTTTTTTTTTAATATTCCTATACCAACCCTATGAATTAGATGCATCTATGTGTATTTTGGAGAGGAGGCAATGTTTTCCAGTACCCCCACCCCTCCTTTCTTGATAAGGTCCTCTTCCACCTTGTCTACCAGTCCTGTGCAGCCAGGGATTTTATACCTTAATACCCTCATGTTGTCAGGCCATGTTTACAGAATATTACTAGGGTGGCATTTTTTCAAACCGTGGTAGGGACTCCTTAAATTAACTGAGTTCTAAAAAATATTTTTAAAAAGTGAAATCGAATAGAAAACAGGAGACTCTATCATACATACTAAGGGTAAATTATGAAACACATATTTATATATACAAATATATATGTTTGTCTTCAACAGTGATGATATTCAAAATATTTAACAATCTTAACTCAAAGCTGGCTTTAGTTCTGGAGGTTTCTGAAAGGGATCAGGCAGGAGGACTAACTAGTTGGTGAGGAAAGGGAAGTGGCTATTTACCACATGATATGAGGGTTTTTCAGTATTTTAAGGAGCATGGCTGTGCTGGTGCATCCAGATGGAATGTTACCGTATATATATGTGCCTGTGTACTGGCTGACAACGAAAAATGTATTTCCTACTGTGAGACATGGTCAAGAAAGTTTGAAAAACATAGACTTAGTTAGGGCACAAGTTCCTACCAGATACCAATACAGGATTTTAACATGTTTCAGGTATTCAGGTACAGCACTGTCATGTCCAAGTAGACAGTTCTAATCTCGGATGATGTCCCTGGAAACCTGGGCTATAAAATGTATTTTTAATATTTTCTAAAGGGTAGGAATGGTCAGCCTCAGCCTTCCTTTTTTTTTTTTTTTGTGGCAGGGTCTCACTCTGTCACCCAGGCTGGAGTGCAGTGGCGCGATCTCAGCTCACTGCAACCTCCGCCTCCCGGGTTCAAGCAATTCTCCTGCCTCAGCCTGCTGAGTAACTGGGACTACAAACGCCCACCACCACGCCCGGGTAATTTTGTTTGTATTTTCAGTAGAGACGGGGTTTCACCTTGTTGGCCAGGCTGGTCTAGAACTCCTGACCTCAGGTGATCCGCCCATGTTGGCCTCCCAAAGTGCTGGGATTACAGGCGTGAGCCACTGCACCCAGCCTCTGCCTTTCTTCTTATTTCAAGGAATGCTACCTAGAGATACATTTGACCAACTTCTTAGTGAAGACAGAAAAAGTTTTGGCAGGAAACTGAAGGGTTACGTTTGTAACTTTCCTCCTTGTAGACTGTGGCAAATGCCCCAGAATTCTTCCTTCTCTAACCAGGCACAGTCCAGCATTACATGAAAACAGGAAGAGGCTATCTTAGCTCCTTGTCCCAGAAGACCATTGCTAACAACATGCTCCAATTAACTATCTCTTACCCATTATGGAGTTATGAATAACAATGGAGAAACACAGAACATATTTTTCTGCTACATTAGACTAACTTCCAAATTCAGGGTGTTAGTCGTATATATTTAACATACATGTTAACCTTCTGGTTTTATAACAACATGAATTTAGAAGGCCTGTCATTTTTTATGTCTACTGAAATTTCTACTTCTGGTTTCTATTAGAAATTAAGCTATACTTAAAAAAATCAAGTCACAATATGAGTTGATTAGAAAGAAGCAAGTTCTTATAATTTAAAAGATTATATATTATGCAGACTCATAACTTTAGTCTCAATGTAATAATTTTCATGAGAATTCTTCCTTTGTGGCTTAGAGCAGGGGTTGGCAAATAGGTCAATAGGCCAAATCCAGCAGAAAAAATTTGTTAATCCCTGGCCTAGAAACAACCTATAGCAATGAGCTTAAGTATACCCTCCCTGCAAGTTTAAATTTGATCTATGTAGTTCCAGATTAGTCCTAATGGAAAAAGGCACAGTGGCAAAGATAGAGGAGGAAACTTCTAGTTATTTGTTGTAACCAAAAAGTAAGTTCCAAGAGAATAAAAGATAAAAATTGACATAACTCTTTTTGGTCTCTTCTCACTTTCATGAATTTTGAAAAACACTCAAAATAGTGTTTTGTAAAATAAAATTAAATCCTCAACGTGAATAAAGCTGTAAGGGTATTTACTTTTAGTCAACTTTCTGACCATATACAAAAACGCTCACTGTCACAGAGTTAAAAAAAGACGAGAAACCCCACAATAACCATAACATATACACAGGTGTTATTCCTTATTCCTTAAGCAGTATATAATATTTTCAGCAAAATGTTCAAATCCCAGAAAAGCAACAGATGCAGCAAAGAATAAAAATGGAAAAACCACAGTTACATGGTATCACTAGAGAAAATGGCTTAATTTTCTTTTTCTTTTCTTTTTGAGATGGAGTCTCGCTGTCGCCAGGCTGGAGTGCAGTGGCACTATCTCAGCTTACTGCAACCTCCGCCTCCAGGGTTCAAGCAATTCTCCTGCCTCAGCCTCCCGAGTAGCTGGGACTACAGGCGCGTACCACCACGCCCAGCTAATTTTTGCATTTTTAGTAGAGATGGGGTTTTACCATGTTGGCCAGGATGGTCTCGATCTCTTGACCTTGTAATCCACCTGCCTTGGCCTCCCAAAGTGCTGGGATTACAGAATTAATTTTCTAATCAAGAGAGATACAGTAAAAAGAATTATGGCATAGGTCTTGCTATTAAATGCTTTCTAATATATTATCAGTCCATTTTCTTGCCTTAGTAGGTATAGCTTAATGAATATATTGTAGCTTTCCTCTAATTATTCCATTATAACATAATCATGTAGACATAAGTATTGAGGTCGGTGTGTTATGACTCTGAAATATATGGTAGATGTTACCTTTTTAAATACATTTCTTTACTTCAGCTTGCCTTTTTAAAAACCAAGAGCTGAACAAAATAATTTGTTTGATACTCCTGAAAAATAATTGATAAAGACTGAGATTTTACTAGCTATTTACATGTATTACTTACAAATCAAGTGGGTAGAAGAAGAAAACCAAGTATTTCCCACGATAATCAGTTAACTTCAGCTCCTTAAATTCTCCATCGATCACAGCTGTTCCTTCCCAGTAGGGCGCTGGCTTGGAAACTAAGAAAATAAAATACATGATGTTCTGTAACACTGAGAAAGTTGGTGGAATGGTAGAAGGACATCTTTAGAAAATCACTAAAAATCAGGGCTACCTTTAGATCTCTTTGGCAGTCTGGTGAAGCTTACAGACTTCTTAAAAGAGTGTTATTGAATGCAAAAAGGAAAATACATAGAATTACAAAAGAAACCAATTGTATTTAAATGCAATTATAAAAATATTAAAAAAAATTGGTGATATCATAATACATGTGCTCTATAACACTTCAAAACTGCAAGATCTAGTTGTAATCTGACAACTACGTAAGATAATGATGAGTGAAAATGGTGTTTCAGGATACCTGCGATAACCATATGTAGCAAGAAAATAAGTGATTCTATTGGTGAAAGGTACAAGCAAGTGCTGCTGAAGATAGTGTAGTTTGTTGCTGACATTCATAATAGAAGGAAACACTAAATTTCAGATGGGGATTAGTGAAAATAAATACTTTTTTCCCCTATTCATGCTCACAGACCCCTTAAATTCTACCCTGCACTAAACCCTCCTGGATACTTCACTATAGTCCCGCTTCAAGTTGTCAACTTCCTACATTTCAAATAATTAGATTTTCCTTTCTCTAATGGCAGTCTTCCAGATGTACTAGTTTGTCCAGCTTCTGACATACACATGGAGGACCTGCTGCAGATGAGGCTACACAAAATGAGGAGGGAATGTACAAATATGTCAGGCCAGAAGTGTAAAATCCCAGACCATGGGATCATTTTCCTAGAGGGCTTTGAAAGAAGACTCCCTTGAACAGGTTTCAAGTGACCCAATGGAAACTGAACAGTTCATGCTGCTCTCTTGTAAGGGCGTACAGTAATTTTAGCCAACACACTTAGATACTAATGCACCTTCATGCTCTGTTAACACATTCAGATAGCACTTATACTTTCAGACCCCTTACAAACACTGAAGTCAATGCTTGCTTCTAAGTTTGGCTAAGGGTCCTAGAAAGTAAGGCTTATACTTCTCTGTAACAGCCACCATTTATGGTCACTCCAAAATAGAGACAAACAACATGAATTTCTCTTAAAAATTAATATATAACATATGATTACTTATCTTGAGCCAGCATCCTACCTCATATATATAATCCTGATCTGATTAGGTAAAGGCCAGGAGGGAGAAATAGACAGCAGAAGAGTATTCAATTATATATACTTTAAATAAATTACTTAAAATGCTACTCAAGTGAGAGGTTATAATAATTGTAATGATCTATTACAATGACACGCCTTAATGATTTTAGCATACTGGGAAAACCATATTTGAAAAATAAATTTTGTTCTGAAAATTGATTTTGGAAATATTTGGTTAAGAATGGTAGTTACTTTGCTAAGATCTATAAATGGAATTCCCAAAGCAATCCCTTGCATTTATTAAAAAAACAAAAATTGTCTTGAATATAAATTATGTAATTAACATAAAGATTCTGGTAAATGCAGAGAAGTACAAAGAATACTTAAATCCTCTCTCTCCATAACTCCCATCAACTACTGTTAACATTCTGATGTCTGTCTTTCTAGTCTTATTTTTTTTAATTTTAGTTATTTACTTTTTTTTTTTTTGAGACAAGAGTCTCAGTCTGTCGCCCAGGCTGGAGTGCAGTGGTGTGATCTGGGCTCACTGCAACTTCCGCCTCCCGGGTTCAAGGGATTCTCTTGCCTCAGCCTGCCCAGTAGCTGGGATTACAGGTATGCGCCATCACACCCGGCTAATTTTTGTATTTTTAGTAGACACAGGGTTTCACCATGCTGGCCAGTCTGGTCTCGAACTCCCGACCTCAGGTGATCGGATGGCCTCGGCCTCCCAAAGTGCTGAAATTATAGACGTGAGCCACCACACCTGGCCTTTCCGTTCTTTTTTAAACACAAATTTGCCACGTGTTGCATCCCGCCTTTTTTTTCTCCTTAAAGGAAACAGTAAATTAATTATGAACAGTTTTTGATATTACTAAAAATTATTTGAAAATATGGCCTTAATGGCTCCATAATAGTCTTTACTAACAAAAGTCTTTGTATCTTTAATTATAGATAAGCCTACATGTGACAGAGAAATGTAGTAAACAACTAAAATGTTAAGTTTTGCTGGTAAAGGGAAAGCTTTGAAGTAGATTTGTTTCCTATGGAAAATATATGTAATGTAAGTAAACACTTAACTGGCTGACATATTTAAAATACTTTCCCAGGCAAGTAAAACCAGTGGGACTTGGAAATACTGATTTTAAAATTTAAGACTGGTTTTGTTAAAAATCTCAAAGTAGGCTGGGCACCGTGGCTCACGCCTGTAATCTCAGCACTTTGGGAGGCCAAGGCAGGCGGATCATGAGGTCAGGAGTTCCAGACCAGCCTGGCCAATATAGTGAAACCCCGTCTCTACTAAAAATACAAAAAATAGCCGGGTGTGGTGGTGCGCGCCTGTAGTCCCAGCTACCTGGGAGGCTGAGGCAGAAGAATCGCTTGAACCCGGGCGGCGGAGGTTGCAGTGAGCCGAGATCGCGCGACCGCACTCCAGCCTGGGTGCCTGGGTGACAGAGCAAGACTTCATCTCAAATAAAAAAAAAAAAAAAGTCCCAAAGTGGTTAACTGAAAGTACTTACTTTCAGCAAGTAAGAACTGTAAATGTTTAAGAGGACAAAACAGTTTTTCTCATTTATCACTCCCAACCAACCCATCCTAAGTCATAACAACATTCCATTTAACTCTAGGGATTCAGAATTTGAAGCATTACTTTTTTCACTGAATACTGGCATGGAACATGCTGTAACTGAACCATAAAAACCAACTACACACCTACAGAATGTCAAATGATCTGCAGGAAAAGCAGGTTACTGAATAGCAAGCAAGAGACAGCCTTTATCTATAGCCACTGTTCACTTTTGGTTAATTTTAACATCCAGATGTAGCAGGCTACAACTTTCACAGTATCTACTTCGTCTGACGTGTCATTCCTGAAAGTGGCCATTAGCTTTGTACACTGGACAGAAATGCAAATAATCAAAAACCAAATTGGCAGGACACAAATTTGCCACGAGGTTTATCATCAACCCAAATGCATACTTCTAACCTTTTCCCCCATTTCCCTCAAAAGTACACTCTGTAATAGGTTCTTCATGTCTGAGAAACATAAGGAATATCCATTAACTACACAGGCTTTGGGGAAGGTGGCTTTCAGTAATAATCTTTGTAAGATGCAAACAAAAAGGAAGAAAGAAAAATGAAATGTTTGACCTCCCGAGCACTGTGTTTAGCAACTTTTCTGTTTAATCAAACTTTTTGTGAATCATTATTCAACCTATCAATGTCTTCCTTCGCTGAAATAGTACCTGAAAAAGACAGGATGTGCTGAAGGCACTTTGAGATGTTTCAGGAACTGTTTCAGTTTGCCCAACATCCTCGATGCAAACTCGGGACTAGGGCCACCCACTTTCCCTCAGCTGCGGCTTTTGGGGTAACCACTACCTCTTCTAAAATCTGATCAGTGGAAACCATACCTTTCTTCACAGCTAGAACTCCCCTTTATTCCCCTCCCCGCCCTCCTAGGTGAGAACCAGGCCCGCCCAGGGCCCGGAGGCAGCCCAGGGGGTGCCGCCCAAGCCCAGATTCCGGGGGTGTAACCGGGGTACACGTGTCTCCGGAATCTCCCCTCCCACCCTTTGGCGGGACACCACCTACTCTTCGCTTTGCTTAGGTGCAGGGAGTGGTCGGCGACCGATACCCGGGATGCCTCTCCCGGGTACACTTGTCCACCCGCGTAGAAGTGGCACTCCTCTTCGCGAGTCCGGGGCCTCTCCTCTGTCTCCCAGCCCTGCACAGCTCCAGCCGGCAGCAGGAACAGCAGTAGCGGCAGCAGAAGCAGCCTTCGGTGGCGGCCGTGGTCCGGAGTTGTCGCGGCTAGCAGCGGCAGCGCCTCCATGACCACGCGAGCGCAGAAACACGTCCCTTGGCGCGAGCGCCGCTTCTGCCGCCGCCGGGCAGCTACAACCGCGTGCACGACGCCCGCGCGAACCGGGGCGCGGCCTCGCGAGACCAGCTCCTCCCCCTACCCCCCCTATCTGCTCCCCGCCCCGCCACGTGGGCGCCGGCCGCACCTCCCCCATCCCAAGCCTGCATTTGCGCCTGCGTCCCGCGGCTGACCAGGACCGGGAGCGTTGCCCAACTCTGTGAAGGCAGCGACAAGGTCTCCTGACCTCCGCGCTGTTTTAGACATCTTTCCACGTCCATCTCTTCCACAAAGCCTCACCACTGCACACAAGCCCCTCACAAGCGGAATCTAACCTATATGCTTGTGAATGGCTTGCATTTTATACTTCTAATAAGCTTTTTAAAAAGTCACTTAACGTTTTTAAAAATTATATTTACTTGACAAATCATAATTGTATACATTCGTGGGATGCAATGTGATTTTTTGAAATATGTATCCAATGTGGGATGATTACATCACATTAACTTATCCATCGCCTTGTTTACCTATGACTTTTATGGTGAGACATTTCAAATTTACTCTTATTCATTTTGAAATATACATTATTATTGACTGTATTTACCCTGCTGCTTACCAGAGGTTGGGAAGTAGGGAAGGCGAGGCGAGAGGGAAGGAATGGGGAGTTAGTTGTTGGTCAGAGGTTACCAAGTTCCAGATAGACAGGAATAAGTTTCAAGATCTAATAGACATTTACTAATTTTTTTTCTTGAAGTGATTTGTGTGAACGGGGCCATGATCTGCACTACTTGCAGCTCTTTTAAGTCCTGGAAAAACTTAGGGAGGGTAGGTCTAACCATTTACTTTCCTCCAGCATGCAAGGGCGTACAGGCAGTTTTTAGTGACCTAATCTATTGTTTCAAAGACAGCTTTTTTTTTTTTTAATTTAAATGAAGACTTGAAAAGTTACCAGAAAACTCTCCCAGCAGTGTTGTTCCTTTTTCTGACAATTACCCCATCACCCAACCCCTGGCCTTTTCCCTGCCCTCCCCACCCATCTCCCCGCCGTGGGCACCGCCCCGCTTGCCGCTGCAACCTGCCGTGTGCGTCTGCGCACTGGGGGCAGGCCCAGGCCACCGAGCGTCCACCAACTGGACTAAGACCACCTTGTGTCGTCACTTGTGACCGATCTTCTGCACTCCCACCCTCAGCACTGTTTTAGACCCTGTTCATCCTTCTGGGCCCATCTTGTACACAAAACTTCGCAGGTGACTGGCCTCGCGCCCTCAGCACTGTTGTAGGCCTTCTCATCCTTCACACCTATTTCTTCCACAAAGCTTCGCCCATGGCTGTCTTCCCACCATTGAAGTGCCAACGACCCTCGCCGCCAGCACTTGTTAGACATCCTTCCACGCCCATCTCTCCCAAAAAGCCTCCTCATCCCACGCCACCCCCGCCCCTCAAAGGGAAACTGACCTTTCTGCCTCTGAATAGCTCGCGTTTTATCCCTCTAACAGACATTTCTTATTCTTTTCCTTGCAGTGATCTTTGTGAACAGCCATGACTCCTCTCTCAAGTCGGAGCCCTTTTCAGGTCCCCAGAAAACTTGGAGAAGAAAAGTCTAACCTGAAAAGCCATATCCCTAGACCATTTCTTCTCTTCCAGCTGGAAAGGAACTATGGGGCAAACAGGCAATGTTGCAACTTAACCCTGTGTTAGGTTGTTTTTTTTTTTTTTTTTTTTTTTAGACAGAGTCTCGCTCTGTCGCACAGGCTGGAGTGCAGTGGCAATCTCGGCTCACTGCAACCTCCACCTCCCAGGTTCAAGTAATTCTCCTGCCTCGGCCTGCCGAGTAGCTGGGATTACAGGTGCGCGCCACCATGCCCAGCTAATTGTGATCCGCCCACCTTGGCCTCCCAAAGTGCTGGGATTACAGGCATGAGCCTGTATGATCCCAGGGTGCCCTCTGTCCTCCTGCAAGTGCTTGTTATCTTTCTTTTTAAATTAAAAAAAATTTTTTGTGGCTACATAGTAGGTATATGTATATATATATGTATATGTATATATATATATTTATGGGGTATATGGGATATTTTGATTCAGGCACACAGTGTGTAACAATCACATCATGGCAAATGGGTTATCCATCACCTCAAGCATTTATCATTTGTGTTACAAACAATCCAATTATACTCTTTTAGTTATTTTAGGGTATACAATTAAATTGTTATTGACTATAGTCACCCTGTTGTGCTATCAAATACTAGGTCTTATTCATTCTATATTTCTGTACCCACTAACCATCCCCACTTTCCTCCCCAGCCCCCCACTACCCTTCCCAGCCTCTAGTAACCATTCTTCTACTCTCTATCTCTATGAGTTCAATTGTTTTAATTTTTAGCTCCCACAATTAAGTGAGAACATGTTAAGTTTGTTTTCTGTAAGCACCTGTTATCTTTCTGAATCCTGCAGAAACCATCCTAAGTTTGTCTTTCCTCTACTAGACTGTGGGCTGTCTGGGGCTGAAATCAATGTGTAATAGGTCTTTGTTTCCCAAAGAACCTGGCCCACAGTAAGCAACTGACATTGCAAACACCTGATTTTATAAATAACACCTAATATTGCAGACAGCCTCAGTTTCAAGTTGCTTTCACATATTTTATCCTTACTCCTTGTGAAACAATCTTTTGTGGCAGATAGAAAATTTCCCCTTTCCAAACTCATCCCTCACCCTAGTTCTGCCCACTGTATACTCTGCTTTCTGCCTCCCGGCCCCTGCTTCCTGGAGGTAAAGGATGAAAAAGATGATGCCAGCCTCCTTCTGCTGAGGGAGGGTGTGTCCTTACCCATAACATTATCTGGCAGCTCTTCACTTTCTGGTGGCTCATAGATAGGAGGCCTCTGACGAGGTGGCTCTCGCTCCCAGTCTTCTCCTTCCCTGGCCTCCTGTTGCACGTGGAAGGGGAGTGGGACTCGGGGGGCTCGGGACTGAGTCCCAGGGATTCGGTTCAGGCCTGTGCCCCGTAGTCGGCTTCGGTGATCCATGGTGACTGTTGGACAAACAGCCACAAACCTCAGTGAATTCTAGGCCCAAAACTGGGCCTCTAAGTTTGGACCTGGGAAAGGAAGCTTGAGGAAAGCGTTATGTCCCTACACGTCTTTGCTCTGGGCTGAGCTGAGATGCCCTAGCTGGCAGCAGAGACTGCCCACCAAGTGGGCCCCTGTGGCCCACTGGAGAGAGTGACCAGATCGGCCAGCTCTCAGGCACCTACTGTTCGTCCCTCAGTTCTGTTGGAGCTCCCTGGCAACTGACATTCTGGGTGGCAGTTGCTCTGAATCCTTTCATCCAATGATATTTGTGCAGACATTGTGATATCACAGTGACATCAACAAGGAAGCTTGAGGTGGGGGCCCTGCCCTCAAGATACTTACCATCCAGCTGGAGTCAGTAGCCCATATTAATAATACAAAACCATCAGAGACAGGGGGCAGGTTCCAAATCCAGGATGCACCTCAGAAACACTTGGGGAGCTTAAAAACATTCTGTCTGGGCGCGGTGGCTCACGCCTGTAATCCTAACACTGTGGGAGGCCAAGAAAGGCGGATCACTAGAGGTCAGGAGTTCAAGACCACCCTGACCAACATGGTGAAACCCGGTCTCTACTAAAAATACAAAAATTAGCCGGGCGTGGTGGTGCACACCTGTAATCCCAGCTACTCAGGAGGCTGAGGCAGGAGAATTGATGGAGCCTGGAAGGCGGAGATTACAGTGAGCCAAGATTGCGTCACTGCACTCCAGCCTGGGCAACAGAGTGAGACTCCGTCTCAAACAAACAAAAAAACAAAACCAACCAACCAACCAACAAAACCATTCAAGTGCTGTGATTACAGGCCCAGAAGTGATGTTTCCTTCTTTTTTTTGAGATGGAGTCTCGCTGTGTTACCCAGGCTGGAGTGTAGTGGCATGATCTCAGCTTGCTGCAACCTCCGCCTACCGGGTTCAAGCAATTCTCCTACCTCGGTCTCCCGAGTAGGTGGGATTACAGGCACACACCACCATGCCTGGCTAATTTTTTGTATTTTTTTAGTAGAGATGGGGTTTCACTGTGCTGGCCAGGCTGGTCTCGAACTCCTGACCTCGTGATCCGCCCGCCTCGGCCTCCCAAAGTGCTGGGATTACAGGCATGAGCCACCGTGCCTGGCTTAGAAATGATGTTTCAATAGGTTTTTGGGAGGCCCCAAGCATTTTTGGTTTCACAAATGGGCACAAATAGGTTTCACAAATGGGCAAATTAAGAACCACCACTGATGGTAGTTAAAAGCACAGGTTGTGGAGTCAGGTATTTTTAAATTCAAATAGGAGCTCTGCCATCTATTGGCCTTGTGGCCTTGGTAAGTTTATTCAACCTCTCTGAGCCTCAGTGTGTTTATCTGCACATGGAAGACAGTAATAGTTTCCCTATGTTGTGAAACTGAAATGATAGGGTAAATGTTAAGCCTCACTTTGAATGTGGGCCAGACTTAGGTACTCACTTCTGATGAATATGGCAGAAGTAATGCTTTGTTGCTTCTGAGGCTGCGTCATAAAAAGATACTTTCTGTCTGTCTTGTGCTTAGATTACTCATTCTGGGGGAAGACTATCTGCCCAATTTTTAAATTGAGACAAAATTCACAAAACATGATTTTTTCATTTTTAAGAATAAAATATAAAGTGGTTGTTAGTATAGTCACAATGCTGTGCTTTGTGCTCACCACTATTTGATTCCAGAACACTTATATATACACCCCTAAAAGAAGCCTCCTACCTATTAATCACTCTCAATTTCTCCCTTCCTCCTATCCAACAAGCAACATCCCTCCATACAACAGCTAATTTACTTTTTCTCTCTCTAGATTTGCTTATTCTGGACATTTTATTTAAATGGAATCATTTGTGTCTTCTTTTACTTAAGCATAATGTTTTCAAGATTCATCCAAGTTGTATCATGTTAGTACTTCATTCCTTTTTTATTGTGGTAAAATATACATAATGTAAAATTTACCATTTTAACCATTTTTAAGTATTTTTACCATTTTTGCAGTTCAGTGACATAAAGTACATTCACACTGTTGTGCACTCATCACCACATCCTCCGGAATTTTTTCATCTTCCGAAACTGAAACTGTAACCAATTAGCAATAAATCTCTGTCTCCCTTTCCCCCTATGCACTGGAAACCAATATTCTACTTTCTGTCTCCATGAATTTGAATACTTCTAGACACCCCATATAAGTAAGATCATACAATATTTGTCCGTTTGTGCCTGGCTTCTTAATGTTTTCAAAGTTTATCCATGTTGTAGTGTGTATTGGTACTTCATTGCTTTTTATGGCTTAATAATATTCCATTGTTGATATACCAATTTTGTTTATCCATTGATAAATTGATGGATATTTGTGTTGCTTACACTTTTAGGCTATTTTGAACAATGATGCTATGAACATTCTCATACAAGTTTTTGTGTTAACATGTAGTTTTAGTTCTGTTGGGTATATACCTAGAGTGGAATTGTTGGACCATATGGTAACTCTATGTTTAACTTTTTGAAGACCTGCCAAAGCGTTTTCCACAGCAGCTGCACCATTTTTCATTCACACCAGCAATGTTTGAGGGTTCCAATTTCTCTACAGCCTCTTCAACACTTGTTATTGCCCATTTTTTTTTTTTTTTGGTTATAGTCATCCTAATGGTGTGAGATTGTATCTCTTTGTGGTTTTGATTTGCATTTCTTAAATGACTAATGATGTTGAGCATCTTTTTATGTGTTCTTTGGCCATTTGTATATCATCTTTGGAGAAATGTCCACTTAAATCTTTTGCCTATGTAATAATTGGGTTATTTTCCTTTTGTCATTGAGTTATACAAATTCTTTTTATATTCTGGATACTAAACCTTTATCAGATGTATGATTTACAAATATTTTCTCCTATTCTGTGGATTGTCTTTTAACTTTCTTGCTAGGGTCTTTGATGTAAAACAGTTTAATTTTGTTGAAGTACAAGTTGTCTCTGTTTTTTGGTTGCTTGTATGTTTGGTGCCATTTTTAAGAAGCCATTGCTTAATCTAAGGTCATGAAGATAAAAACCTCTCTTCTTCTTCTAAGAGTTTTATAGTTATCGTTTTTATATTTAGGTATTTGGTCCATTTGAGTTAATTTTGTGTAACATGTGAGGTAGGGATCAGGAATAGTTTTTGAGCACTTACTATGTGCCAGACACTGTCACTGGGAGGCAGCAGTAACAAAATAGACATGTTCCTGCTATTATCAAGCTAAAATTCCACTGATGCTCACAAATATTAGTCAATGGTCACGTAAATGTTCATATGTAAACTTGATTTCACCACACACTGTTTCTGATCTACAGCGGGGGCCCGGAAAGTAGCAGGCTTGTGGGAGAAGGGCATACCCTTGCATGGTTCGCAAAGTTGCAATATAGCCTTAGGGCTTGGTGATATGGAGGAAATCCTTGTCTGACACAGTAAATGGGGATATTTGCAGGTTCCTTGAGGGACCTCAGAGTACATGACCCTGCCACATCCAGTGTCTTTCCTCTGGCCACTTAGGCTTCCCCTCAGTCCCTAGGCCTTTTGTAGCCCATCCCTGTGTTGGGGTCCTTCCACCCCAGTGGGTGGCCCACTTAGCTATTTTTCCTTTTAAGGTAATCTCAGGCCACTCCCTTTTGTGGGATCCTGTGGGGAAAAGAGAGAGAGATCAGACTGGTACTGTGTCTATGTAGAAAGAAGTAGACGTAAGAGACTCCATTTTGTTCTGTACTAAGAAAAATTCTTCTGCCTTGAGATGCTGTTAATCTGTAACCCTACCCCCAACCCTGTGCTCACAGAAACCTGTGCTGTGTCAACTCAGGGTTAAATGGATTTAGGGCTATGCAGGATGTGCTTTGTTAAACAAATGCTTGAAGGCAGCATGCTTGTTAAAAGTCACCACCACTCCCTACTCTCAAGTACCCAGGGACACAAAACAGTACGGAAGGCCGCAGGGACCTCTACCTAGGAAAACCAGGTATTGTCCAAGGTTTCTCCCCATGTGATAGTCTGAAATGTGGCCTCGTGGGAAGGGAAAGACCTGACCGTCCCCCAGCCCGACACCCGTAAAGGGTCTGTGCTGAGGAGGATTAGTAAAAGAGGAAGGCCTCTTTGCTGTTGAGATAAGAGGAAGGCATCTGTCTCCTGCTCGTCCCTGGGCAATGGAATGCCTCGGTGTAAAACCCCATTGTATATTCCATCTACTGTGATAGGAGAAAACAGCCTTAGGGCTGGAGGTGAGACATGCTGGAGGCAATACTGCTGTTTATGTATATGCACATCAAAAGCACAGCACTTTTTTCTTTAACCTTGTTTATGATGCAGAGACATTTGTTCACATGTTTTCCTGCTCACCCTCTCCCCACTATTACTCTATTGTGCTGCCACATCCCCCTCTCTGAAATGGTAGAGATAATGATCAATAAATACCGAGGGAACTCAGAGACTGGTGCCGGCGTGGGTCCTCGGTATGCTGAGTGCCGGTCCCCTGGGCTCACTTTTCTTTCTCTATAGTTTGTCTCTGTGTCTCTTTTCTCAGTCTCTCATCCCACCCGACGAGAAACACCCACAGGTGTGGAGGGGCAGGCCACCCCTTCAGGATCCATATTTGTTCCTTGGAAACACAGATTTTTCTGCATTTGCTGGTAGTTCAGGTTATGTCCAAGCATCCCATTTTTATTGTTCCTTCTGCCAGGAACTGCTCTAGCCCCAGCCTCTAGACTTTACTTGTATGAGTCAAATACTATTTCCTGCAATCCTTAACCTGCAGGAGATAAAAGCCAAGCTTTCTGAAGTTTTTTGTCATTTGCTTGAGGTAATGGGGAAGCAATATTTGTTCCTCTCTCATTCTAGAAGAAGTCATCTACCAGGTTGTGAGGACATACAAACAGCCTTTGGAGAGGCCCACGTGGGAAGAAACAGATCTCTCATTAACTACCAGCACCACCTTGCCAGCCTTGTGACTGTATCTCCTTGAAAGTAGACCTTCCACCTGCAGTCAATTTTGATGTTGCAGCCCCAGCTGACATCTTGACTACAGCCTCACGAGATGCACTGGGCCAGAACCTCCCAGCTCCGCCATTCCAGAATTCATGATCTACACAAACCGTGAGTTTGAGAAATGTTTGTTATTGTTTAATTTTGCAGTTTTGGGGAAATATAATTAATATACATACATTTTGCTATTTTAAAGTGTATAGTTCAGTGATTTTTAGTTTATTCATTATTATTCGACAATTACCACGATCTCATTCCAGAACATTTCCATTAACCCAAAATGATACCCCATACCTCTTAGCAGTTACTGTCGGTTCTCCCTACTTCGTGTTACCTGACAACCATTAATCTACTATCTGACTCTATGGATTTGCCTATTGTGGATATTTCTTATAGATGGAATCATGCTGCTGTGAACATTTGAGAGTAAGTTTCCATGTTCAATTCTATTCCAGTCCTAGGTAAATACACAATAGAATTGAACATAGGTTCACATGGAAACTTACTCTCAAATGTTCGTAGCAGCATTATTTATATGCAGATCCCCCATATATGTGACTGTCTTTAGGTGTCTCTGGATTCAAATCCACCTCGTTATTCTCAGAGAGTTTTCATACTGGACAATCTCCAGTGTGATATCGTCCACACACTTTTAAGCCTGGGTGTTTAGTCTTGTGGGTTTTCTCAGGGAGCCTGTTTTGTAAACTTAAATACTCACTTAGAAACGTCTTGGTATTTGTTGGATATTGATTTCACTACAGCTTCATGAATCTAGGCAATGTGACTGATCAGTACAGGTAGCGCTTCATTTTGGTGATCACCAGTTTCTCGTGTTATATTCATTTTGCTATTCATATAGCAACATGTCCGTCCTCTAGGCTCTATGCGTGGCATGGACTGGCTCCATGCCAGTCCAGAAAGCCTGAGCCCAAGTTTGTGTGTTAGGCAGTAGAAGCACCTTGAGTGGTTTGTTTTTATGTAGGCCCCCGGCCTGAGCTGATGAGCTTTCACAGGGACTGGGTGGTCACTGGTCCAGAGCTTTTGACTCCATGGGATTTTAACTCCTTCCTCCTGGAGGCTGCTAAGGCCATAATGTTCTATTGGAAAAATACAGGCGAGACCCTGTAGGCTGAAATGGGATGCTCTCATTTGAGCATCATAGCTGTGAAGTGAGACATTATCATCTCCTGTCTCAGATGTTATCTGTTCACATTTGTCCGGGCTTTTCTAGGAATGGTTTCTTCTTTGAGATACATTTTTGATATTGCCATCCCACAATTGTTAGAGGGAAGGTAGACCCTTTTCTAAACGGTGGACTTTCTTCCAGAACATGTCTTCATCAGCAGTTTGTTGAGAAGCCTTTGATGGTAATAAAGAGATGGTAATAAAGAGGTGGTAATAAAGAGAAGGAAACTGCCTTGGGGATCGGTTTTTCCCATGTCTAGGAGGAAATCTCTGGAAGATCCCATAGACATCTGTTGACTTTTAAATAACCAACCATCCTGTTGTCACTTCTAACCAGTTAGAAGCCCAATGTACTATATCAATCAAAACCCTATGCTCCTAAAGACTGAGGCGTTTCAGCCTACTCTATTTTTATTTATTTATATTTAGTAATTTTTTTATTTTTATTTTTATTTTTTTGTAGAGGCAAGGTGTCACTATGTTGCTCAGGCTGGTCTTGAACTTTTGGCCTCAAGCTATCCTCTCACCTTGGCTTCCCAAAGTGCTGGGATTATAGGAGTGAGCCACTGCACCCAGCCCATTTCCATGAACTCTTAACTGGAGCATTCATGGGTTTTGTCATCCTGTCAGTGATGTGTATATATATGTAACAGGATGGATATAGTAACTCTTTTTTTTTTTTTTTTTTTTTTTTTTTTTGAGATGGAGTCTCACTCTGTCGCCCAGGCTGGAGTGCAGTGGCGCGATCTTGGCTCACTGCAAGCTCCGCCTCCCGGGTTAAAGCCATTCTCCTGCCTCAGCCTCCTGAGTAGCTGGGACTACAGGCGCCCGCCACCACGCCCGGCTTATTTTTGTATTTTTGGTAGAGACGGGGTTTCACCGTAGTCTCGATCTCCTGACCTCGTGATCTGTCTGCCTCGGCCTCCCAAAGTGCTGGGATTACAGGCGTGAGGATATAGTAACTCTTTTTGCCTTTCCTGTCTTCATCTCCTCTCCCCTTGACCACCACTCTTTTTTTTTTTTTTTTTTTGAGACAGGGTCTCGATCTGTCACCCAGACTGGAGTGCAGTGGCACAATCGTTGTTCACTGCAATCTCCACCTCCCAGGCTCAGGTGATCCTCCTGCCTCAGCCTCCCAAGTAGTTGGGACTACAGATGTGTGCCACTACACCTGGCTAGTTTTTGTATTTTTAGTAGAGATGGGGTTTTACCATGTTGTCCAGGCTGGTCTTAAACTCCTGACCTCAAGTGATTCACCCGCCTTGGCCTCCCAAAGTACTGGGATTACAGGCGTGAGCCACTGCAGCCGGCTGTAAAAGTGTGTTTTTAGAGTTTTTAGTGGAATAATAATTTGGGCCTTGTCCTTGGCCTTGCATGTCTCTGTGCATGAGATGACATATCTGGTCTGGAATGTGTGGCTGAAAAAGTTGGCCCTTTTATTAGACAAGACAGCACACTAGTTAGGTTGGTTTCTAAGACACATCTTCTCACCTAAGTGGTAGGCAAGAGGGGCAATAAAGTTCCTCCACTAGGAGATTGTAAATTCCATGTTAGGATGGATAAGGCACCAGGGATCCATGGCACTGGACTTACTGTGGTCAAGCCATTGAATGAGATGAGATTCTTATGACTGTGTAACACAGATAGGGTGGATTAGGAGAGATCAAGGCTCCCTGGAATCCTTGTCTACACGATGGGTGAGTGGGAGTGTAGGGGTCCTCCCACTGTCCAACAGTGGGCCAAGGTAGGGGTAAATGGGCCTGCTGTGTGTGGGCCAAGTTAGGGGGAAGATAAGATAGTTTCTTTGGGGTCCAATAGTGTATGTCACCTGTTGAAAAAGTTTGGAAGGTTAGGCAGCAAGAGGTAAGATTGAAATCATCTGTTTAATTGGTGCCTAATTATTGTTAAAGGTACCTTTTTTGTAACCCCAGAGGATGGCTGAAAGCAAGTACAAACTCGTGCTTACTGGTGCCAGTTGTTCTCGTGGTGTGTCTCGCACCTCTTTATTTTCTGGGCTTCCAGCCAAGGAGAGTAGATGGTCTCCTGGAAGCCGGTATTGTAGTGTCTGTGTAAAAATTATTTATAGTCTTTGTTTCTATAAAAATTGTCTGAATGCAGCTGGTAGAACTTGTAGCGAAAAGATAAAAAAGTTAAAAGTGATCTTATCATTGAGAGGCCTGTGAGCTGATTCATTGTATGCACTGTTTACTAATGTGTAATTAATTTTGAAATGTGTTATATGTTGAATTGTGAATGCTCAAATCTTATCGGTGAAAAATTATTATTATTTATTTTTTTGAGATGGAGTATTGCTCTGTCACCCAGGCTGGAGTGCGGTGACGTGATCTTGGCTCACTGCAACCTCTGCCTCCTGGGTTCAAGCAACTCTCCTGCCTCAGCATCCCGTGTAGCTGGGAATATAGGCATGCACCACCATGCCCAGCTAATTTTTGTATTTTTAGTAGAGACAGGATTTCACCATGTTGGCCAGACTGTTCTCAAACTCTTGACCTTGTGATCCACCCACCTCGTCCTTCCAAAGTGGTGGGATTACAGGCGTGAGCCACCGTGCCCGGCCTGAAAAATTCCTCTTATGCCTAATGCTTTCACTGTGTTATAATCTCTCAACTGGCAAACTGAAGGTGTCAACCCTATGGCCTCGGATGCACACCAGCAAGGGAAACTTAAGATCCCCAACAAAATCCGGGGCTTACCTACCAGTTATGATACTTGAAATAATGTAAGTGGTTTCCCTCACTGAATCCCATTTGTAGTCAAAGAACAACTATTGTCTTTCACCAAATAAAGTATTCTGTGTTCCTGAGAGAACAGTTATTGCTACAAAATGGCTGCAAAAGTTGGCCTGTTTATTTTAAAGTAAAAGAGGGAAAACTACATGGGGCTCTGCCACACCTGGTTTTTCACAGATTGGTTCCATCATATTTTTAATTCCCTTTTCCTGGAGGCTGATAAGGTCATAGTGCCCTTTTGGAAAAAATACAAGTGAGATCCCACAGGTTGATTGGACAAGTATGGAACAGGACTTGAGGAGCAGTAGCAGACCTCATTGATAAAGTGGTGGCAGGGACAGTCTATTATACAGAAATGTACTGAGGTCCGCTCCTACAGTCAGTAGGAAAGAAGTGATATTGAGGATGGGCAAATGCCCAGTGAGGCAATATGTGTTGGGCTCCTTGGTTAGCAGATGAGGGAGTCCTGTCAGTTGTGCTGGAGGACAAGGGGTGAAGATCACCCCATCATCTATGATCCACCCTATGTTCCAAGCCAGTCTGGCCATGACCACATTGCTAATCACAGGAGGACTGAGAGGCTTATCCTCCCTTGCTGAGATATGTACTCTTCAGACTGACATTTATCACATTTAGTACATTTTATACCACCTTTCTACCTAGATCTTTCTCCTGTTTTTTTTTTTTTTTGAGACAGAGTTTTGCTCTTGTTGCCCAGGATGGAGTGCAATGGCCCGATCTCGGCTCACTGCACCCTCCACCTCCTGGGTTCAAGCAATTCTCCTGCCTCAGCCTCCTGAGTAGCTGGTATTACAGGCGTGAGCTACCACGCCCAGCTAATTTTTGTATTTTTAGTAGAGCTGATGTTTCACCATGTTGAAACAGGCTGGTCTCGAACTCCTGACCTCAGGTGATCCACCCACTTTGGCCTCCCAAAGTGCTGGGATTACAAGCAAGAGCCACCGCACCTGGCCCAGATCTTTCTCCTTTTAAGAACATACAAGTCTAGGGTAGAGGATGTGGCCCTTCCTTCTCTAAATGGAACTGGAGGCTTTATGCACCAATCAAGGTATGTTGGGAACTTGATGTAGTCAAGGGTTGAGGACTTAAAGTAGTCAAGCCTTTTCAGTCCTTATGGGCATGGGGACACAAGTCACTTTGGCTCTAAGAAGTCCCAAAGGGCACGGTCAAAAATTTACTTTGGATGTGGGAATAGCTGTCAGATTGGACTATGGACTGATGTGAGTTTACGGGTGGGCCTTTTTGGGTTAATACATAGGCAATATATTATAATTGATACTGCTGAGTGTTTTGTGGAAAGAGTTGTGTTAAGTATATGTAATTCTTCTCTTGATTGTAAGGGCTATTTCCAGTGGGGGAAATGCCATGATAGAGTAGTGGTAGTTGGTCGAATAGGTAACCCAGAGCCTGCCAGCCTTCTCCAACCCAGCCGTGGGGCATAAGTAAAGCAGTATAGGGTTCCATGTTGGGGGCTGGTGAAAGGAGTTCCTTTAGTTGATCAAAAAACCCTGTAGTATTTGATGCTTCCCTGTACCATATCACAAGCTCAATATGGCAACAGTCCTCATTTTTGCTCCACTTGCAGATATCAAAGTGATCACAGAGTTCATTGTTGAGAAAGAATGGCCTGGTTTGTGGTGGTGGACATGCTACTGCTTTCTTCAGCACCCCTGCATTATTTTTTCAGAGGCTTTTTGGCTTCATAGATTATAATATATGTTCACCTGCTGCCTCATAATAACCAAAACATTGTGATTTCTCATCAGTGGATAGGATGAAACCTACAAAAGACTGAAATCTAACCGGAGCTGTCCTGGTGTCTTTAAATGATGACATTATTCTGATTGTAAGGGCTATGGACACAGTATTGTCTGTGTTTAATAGTCCAATATCTGAGTGACCAGCACTGGAAGATTAATCCTGACAAGAATCAACAGCCAGTCATTTAGCTATAGTTCTGGTGAACCATGTGGGTTGGTGCCCAGAGTATAATCTTTGAGCCTGTTCAGGAAAAACTGATGGTCTTAAAACTGCCCTAAAACCAAATTTGGCACAGAACATTATAAGCTTGTTTAGTATTGGATATATTTCATGCACATAACATAGAGATTCTGTCAGCTCATTACATAAGATTGCTTGAAAGGCATTCAGCTTGACCAACAGCCTGCCTTAGAAACTCTCCAACAAGTTGTCTAGATCACCTTGCCACTGAGGCAAGTCACCCAGAGGCATTTTGAAAGAAAGTGTCAGTAACTGCTATTAATGCAGACAAAAACTTACAGCAAAAGACGTGGCTCTTTCGTTAAAGGTAATAGCACATTTTGGGATTCATTTGTGGTCCTTGTCTGAAACTATCACTTGATATATGTCACTTTAGAGGCTTTTGATGGCTTGTTAGTTGGTGTTGGTGGACATCAACAGAGTAACAAGACAAGAGCAGGTCTTGATACACCCTGAATTCTTTATTATGGGATGAATCCCAAATGAGAATGCTATTAAAGTGAGTTTTGGCTAAGAAACATTCATTTTAAAGGGAAAAGGGTATTTCTAGAGAAGAAGTACATCAGATAGTAAAGGTATCTTGGAGGTGTAGGAAAAAGTGTCCAGTCACCCTCTAGCTGTGGCTGTGTCAGATGCAGGGACTGTGCCACCTTGTTGTTCCTGGTGGCTTTGGTGCATCCAGGTTCCTGAGTGTTCCTGAGTCTTGTTCATGGATGCATCCACTAAGTTGAAGGCAGATGGGGTGTAGTAGGCTGCAGAAATTGTACATTCTGTACACAACCTGCTTGCTTCTGTGCATGAAAAGGAAATTCTGATGTATTGGTTTAGATATAGGCTGCAGTGCTTGCCTTAGAAATGGCCCCCCAATTCACCTTGTTATATTTTGAATCACTCCTGGGAAGGTGCCCATGGGCTGACAGTGTGGACTAATGCCTGGCAGGGGGCCGACTATATGATCAAGTCTCAGCCTCAGAGGTGGCAGCTATAATCAGGTAATTGCATAAAATACATACTTCCTATTTATGCCCCATGTAAATCCTTGTGGATAAAAT
Organism: Homo sapiens; assembly: GCF_000001405.40. Classification (NCBI taxonomy): domain Eukaryota; kingdom Metazoa; phylum Chordata; class Mammalia; order Primates; family Hominidae; genus Homo; species Homo sapiens. Next base: position 23,652,474 of record NC_000023.11, on the reverse strand, counting down.
CCATTTGGGGATGAAAATTAGTGGAATTAATAAGCTCATCAGACATGTCCTGCCCATGTTGAGATAATGGCTACCTTGATAGACTATGTAACAAGGCATGGTAGTCCATCTGCAATGCAGGATCTGGCCCCAAATTAAGACTTACTGTTTCCAGCATATGAGACCAAGGGAGTCTGGCAAATGTGTCCAGGGTGCCAGCTGTCTAGTCGAGTAGAAAGATCTCTGGATCCCACATGCAGATAGTTCAGACCTGGCGCTGTACCCTTTCTCAAGGTTACCACTGTTCATGGGCTGCAGTAGATCCCTTTTCTGTGTATGGCCTTGTCAATCCTGTGCACACAGCAGATGTGGAATTCTTTGAAATAACTGTTAGTTGGACTGGTTTAATATTTGGATTCACCAACCACATGCAGTTACACATTGGTGCAACCTTTACAGCAAACAGTACTCCCTGCAATGAACTATTTAATTCACATACTATCCCCAGACAGCAGGTGCCATTGAAAAATGACTCAAATTCTCAAAGAAAATGGGTCATTACACATTACATACATATATCAAAATATCGCATGTACCCTCAAACTATGTACAACTGTTATATATTGATAAAAAATAAAACAACAACAAAAAACCTTAGCAGAGGGGATGGTTCCAAGATGGCTGAATAGAAACAGCTCCATTCTACGGCTCCCAGCGTGAGCGACACAGAAGACGGGTGATTTCTGCATTTCCAGCTGAGGTACTGGGTTCATCTCACTGGAGCTCATTGGACAGTGGGGGCAGGAAAGTGGGTGCAGCCCACCGAGTGTCAGCCGAAGCTGGGCGAGGCAGGAAGCGCAAGGGGTCAGGGAATTCCCTTTCCTAGAAAAGGCAAGGGGTGACAGATGGCACCTGGAAAATCGGGTCACTCCCACCCTAATACTGCGCTTTTCCAACAGTCTTAGCAAACGGCACACCAGGAGATTATATCCCACGGATGGCTTGGAGGGTCCCAAGCCCACGGAGCCTCGCTCATTGCTAGCACAGCAGTCTGAGATTGAACTGCAAGGCGGCAGCGAGGCTGGGGGAGGGGCGCCCACCATTGCTGAGGTTTGAGTAGGTAAACAAAGCTGCTGGGAAGCTCGAACTGGGTGGAGCCCACTGCAGCTCAAGGAGGCCTGCCTGCCTCTGTAGACCCCACCTCTGGGGGCAGGGCATAGCGAAACAAAAGGCAGCAGAAATCTCTGCAAACTTAAATGTCCCTGTCTGACCACTTTGAAGACAGTATTGATTCTCCTAGCACAGAGTTTGAGATCTGGGAACAGACAGACTGCCTCCTCAAGTGGGTCCCTGACCTTCGAGTAGCCTAACTGGGAGGCACCCCCCAGTAGGGGCAGACTGACACCTCACATGGCCGGGAACCCCTCTGAGACGAAGCTTCCAGAGGAAAGATCAGGCAGAAACATTTGCTGTTCAGCAATATTCGCTGTTCTGCAGCCTCTGCTGCTGATACCCAGGCAAACAGGGTCTGGAGTGGACCTCCAGCAAACTCCAACAGACCTGCAGCTGAGGGTCCTGACTGTTAGAAGGAAAACTAACAAACAGAAAGGACATCCACACCAAAACCCCATCTGTACGTCACCATCATCGAAGACCAAAGGTAGATAAAACCACAAAGATGGGGAAAAAACAGAACAGAAAAGCTGAAAGTTCTAAAAATCAGAGCACTTCTCCCCCTCCAAAGGAATGCAGCTCCTCACCAGCAACGGAACAAAGCTAGACAGAGAATGACTTTGACGAGTTGAGAGAAGAAGGCTTCAGACGATCAAACTTCTCCGAGCTAAAGGAGAAAGTTCGAACCCAACGCAAAGAAGTTAAAAACCTTGAAAAAAGATTAGACGAATGGGTAACTAGAATAACCAGTGCAGAGAAGTCCTTAAATGACCTGATTGAGCTGAAAACCATGGCACGAGAACTACGTGATGAATGCACAAGCTTCAGTAGCCAATTTGATCAACTGGAAGAAAGGGTATCAGTGCTGGAAGATCAAATGAATGAAATGAAGTGAGAACAGAAGTTTAGAGAAAAAAGAGTAAAAAGAAACGAACAAAGCCTCCAAGAAATATGGGACTATGTGAAAAGACCAAATCTACGTCTGATTGGTGTACCTGAAAGTGACGGGGAGAATGGAACCAAGTTGGAAAACACTCTGCAGGATATTATCCAGGAGAACTTCCCCAACCTAGCAAGGCAGGCCAACATTTAAATTCAGGAAATACAGAGAACGCCACAAAGATACTCCTTGAGAAGAGCAACTCCAAGACACTTAATTGTTAGATTCACCAAAGTTGAAATGAGGGAAAAAATGTTAAGGGCAGCCAGAGAGAAAGGTCGGGTTACCCACAAAGGGAAACCCATCAGACTAACAGCAGATCTCTCAGCAGAAACTCTACAAGCCAGAAGAGAGTGGGGGCCAACATTCAACATTCTTAAAGAAAAGAATTTTCAACCCAGAATTTCATCTCCAGCCAAACTAATCTTCATAAGTGAAGGAGAAATAAAATCCTTTACAGAAAAGCAAATGATGAGAGACTTTGTCAGCACCAGGCCTGCCCTACAAGAGCTCCTGAAGGAAGCACTAACATGGAAAGGAACAACTGATACCAGCCACTGTAAAAACATGCCAAATTGTAAAGACCTTCCATGCTAGGAAGAAACTGCATCAACTAACGAGCAAAATAACCAGCTAACATCATAATGACAGGATCAAATTCACACATAACAATATTAACCTTAAATGTAAATGGGCTAAATGTTCCAATTAAAAGACACAGACTGGCAAATTGGATAAAGAGTCAAGACCCATCAGTGTGCTGTATTCAGGAAACCCATCTCACGTGCACGGACACACATAGGCTCAAAATAAAGGGATGGAGGAAGATCTACCAAACAAATGGAAAACAAAAAAAGTCAGGGGTTGCAATCCTAGTCTGTGATAAAACAGACTTTAAACCAACAAAGATCAAAAGAGACAAAGAAGGCCATTACATAATGGTAAAGGGATCAATTCAACAAGAAGAGCAAACTATCTTAAATATATATGCACCCAATACAGGAGCACCCAGATTCATAAAGCAAGTCCTTAGAGACCTACAAAGAGACTTAGACTCCCACACAATAATAATGGGAGACTTTACCACCCCACTGTCAACATTAGACATATCAATGAGACAGAAAGTTAACAAGGATATCCAGGAATTGAACTCAGCTCTGCACCAAGTGGACCTAATAGACATCTACAGAACTCTCCATCTGCTCCTGAATGACTACTTGGTACATAACGAAATGAATGCAGAAATAAAGATGTTCTTTGAAACCAAGGAGAACAAAGACACAACATACCAGAATCTCTGGGACACATTTAAAGCAGTGTGTAGAGGGAAATTTATAGCACTAAATGCCCACAAGAGAAAGCAGGAAAGATCTAAAATTGACACCCTAACATCAGAATTAAAAGAACTAGAGAAGCAAGAGCAAACACATTCAAAAGCTAGCAGAAGGCAAGAAATAACTAAGATCAGAGTAGGACTGAAGGAGATAGAGACACAAAAAAACCCTTCAAAAAATCAATGAATCCAGGAGCTGGTTTTTGGAAAAGATCAACAAAATTGATAGACCACTAGCAAGACTAATAAAGAAGAAAAGAGAGAAGAATCAAATAAATGCAATAAAAAATGATAAAGGGGATATCACCACTGATCCCACAGAAATACAAACTACCATCAGAGAATACTATAAACACCTCTATGCAAATAAACTAGAAAATCTAGAAGAAATGGATAAATTATTCGACACATACACCCTCCCAAAACTAAACCAGGAAGAAGTTGAATCTCTGAATAGACCAATAACAGGCTCTGAAATTGAGGCAATGATTAATAGCCTACCAACCAAAAAAAGTCCAGGACCAGACGGATTCACAGCCGAATTCTACCAGAGGTACAAGGAGGAGCTGGTACCATTCCTTCTGTAACTATTCCAATCAATAGAAAAAGAGGGAATCCTCCCTAACTCATTTTATGAGGCCAGCAGCATCCTGATACCAAAGCCTGGCAGAGACACAACAAAAAAAGAGAATTTTAAATAAATATCCCTGATGAACATTGATGCAAAAATCCTCAATAAAATACTGGCAAACCAAATCCAGCAGCACATCAAAAAGCTTATCCACCATGATCAAGTGGGCTTCATCCCTGGGATGCAAGGCTGGTTCAACATATGCAAATCAATAAATGTAATCCAGCATATAAACAGAACCAAAGGCGAAAACCACATGATTATCTCAATAGATGCAGAAAAGGCCTTTGACAAAATTCAACAGCCTTTCATGCTAAAAACTCTCAATAAATTAGGTATTGATAGGATGTATCTCAAAATAATGAGAGCTATCTATGACAACCCCACAGCCAATATCATACTGAATGGGCAAAAACTGGAAGCATTCCCTTTGAAAACTGGCACAAGACAGGGATGTCCTCTCTCACCACTCCTATTCAACATAGTGTTGTAAATTCTGGCCAGGGCAATCAGGCAGGAGAAAGAAATAAAGGGTATTCAACTAGGAAAAGAGGAAGTCAAATTGTCCCTGTTTGCAGATGACATGATTGTATATTTAGAAAACACCACCGTCTCAGCCCAAAATCTCCTTAACCTGAAAACTTCAGCAAAGTCTCAGGATACAAAATAAATGTGCAAAAATCACAAGCATTCTTATACACCAATAACAGACAAACAGAAAGCCAAATCATGAGTGAACTCCCATTCACAATTGCTTCAAAAAGAATAAAATACCTAGGAATCCAACTTACAAGGGATGTGAAGGACCTCTTCAAGGAGAACTACAAACCACTGCTAAACGAAACAAAAGAGAATACAAACAAATGGAAGAACATTCCATGCTCATGGATAGGAAGAATCAATATCGTGAAAATGGCCATACTGCCCAAGGTAATTTATAGATTCAATGCTATCCCCATCAAGCTGCCAATGACTTTCTTCACAGAATTGGAAAAAACTACTTTAAAGTTCATATGGAACCAAAAAAGAGCCTGTATTTCCAAGACAATCCTAAGCCAAAAGAACAAAGCTGGAGGCATCACGCTACCTGACTTCAAACTATACTACAAGGCTACAGTAACCAAAACAGCATGGTACTGGTACCAAAACAGAGATATAGACCAATTGAACAGAACAGAGCCCTCAGAAATAACACCACACGTGTACAACCATCTGATCTTTGACAAACCTGACAAAAACAAGCAATGGGGAAAGGATTCCCTATTTAATAAATGGTCCTGGGAAAACTGGGTAGCCATATGGAGAAAGCTGAAACTGGACCCCTTCCTTACACCTTATACAAAAATTAATTCAAGATGGATTAAAGACTTAAATGTTAGACCAAAAACCATAAAAACCCTAGAAGAAAACCTAGGCAATACCATTCAGGACATAGGCATGGGCAAGGACTTCATGTCTAAAACACCAAAAGCAATGGCAACAAAAGCCAAAATTGACAAATGGGATCTAATTAAACTAAAGAGCTTCTGCACAGGAAAAGAAACTACCATCAGAGTGAACAGGCAACCTACAGAATGGGAGAAAATGTTTGCAATCTACTCATCTGACAAAGGGCTAATATCCAGAATCTACATAGAACTCAAACAAATTTACAAGAAAAAATCAAACAACCCCATCAACAAGTGGGCAAAGGATATGAACAAACACTTCTCAAAAGAAGACATTTATGCGGCCAACAGACACATGAAAAAATGCTCGTCATCACTGGCCATCAGAGAAATGCAAATCAAAACCACAAAGAGATACCATCTCACACCAGTTAGAATGGCGATCATTCAAAAAGTCAGGAAACAACAGGTGCTGGAGAGGACGTGGAGAAATAGGAACACTTTTACCCTGTTGGTGGGACTGTAAACTATTTCAACCATTGTGGAAGACAGTGTGGTGATTCCTTAGGGATCTAGAACTAGAAATACCATTTGACCCAGCCATCCCATTACTGGGTATATACCCAAAGGACTATAAATCATGCTGCTATAAAGGCACATGCACACGTATGTTTATTGCGGCACAATTCACAATAGCAAAGACTTGGAACCACCTGAAATATCCATCGATGTTAGACTGGATTAAGAAAATGTGGCATATATACACCATGGAATACTATGCAGCCATAAAAAAGGATGAGTTCATTTCCTTTGTAGGGACATGGATGAAGCTGGAAACCATCATTCTCAGCAAACTATCGCAAGGACAAAAAACCAAACACCACATGTTCTCACTCATAGGTGGGAATTGAACAATGAGAACACTTGGACACAGGAAGGGGAACATCACACACTGGGGCCTGTTGTGGGGTGGGGGAATGGGGGAGGGAAAGCATTAGGAGATATACCTAATGTAAATGATGAGGTAATGTGTGCAGCACACCAACATGGCACATATATACATTTGTAACAAACCTGCACATTGTGCACATGTACCCTAGAACTTAAAGTACAATAAAAAAACCAAACCAAACAAAAAAACCTTAGCGGAATGGACAGCTGATGCTCAGCTTGCAGTGGAGCACAGGCTTAAGAAAGTCAGTTTCGATTCTAAATGTGACATTTTCCCAGCAGATTTCCTCCATTTACATTAAATGTTTGTTTATGAGATTAGGGAAAGCAAGTGAAGGCTTTTATTCAGGACACAGGAGAAAATGCCTACCACAGTGACAATTCCCTCTAACATTTCTTTCCTCCTTCTTCCACCTCAATATTCACATCTTTAAGGTTGGAAATGGACTAATGTCGGCTGACCCAGTTTTGCTCAGGGTTTTGGCAAGATAGTATGGTACCTCAACTTAGGATATGGGGTCCTAGACATTTATTGTTTTGACCTTCGGAGCCTGTGCCAAAATACTTACATCCAAAAGCGTATTGCTTTCAATATTGTTCAAGACAGACTTTCAGGAACTTGTCTGACCCACACCATCTTGCCTCAATGCAGCCTTAATTGTGGGTCTGAGGATACATTTAGTTATCTAGTTTACGTATTTCAAAAGTGAATGTAAGCCAGTATTCCTTCTTTCTGTCATTCTGTGAGATGTCAGCATGTATGCAGACCCTGTCACAGGTTGACTTCCTTCTGCTCTCTAGACTTGAAGCCTTCTGGTTGTTCTTAGAGATAAGTTTTATATTGGATTATCTTTATATCTTTAAGTGGGGGTATTTAGACTAATGGTTATTCTCTGGGAAACTGTTTTGTATTTTTAAAGGTACTCTGAAAGGACTTGGTGATTGTTGGCTTTCGAATTCACTGTACCTTCTGGCGCCTAGTAAATCCACATGTGTAGTCCTGTAATTTTGCAAAAATCATTTCCTCCTATTTGTATTCTTTCTGCCTTTTGGATCATGACATGTTGTGTATCCAGTTGTTAGGCTAGGAACTGCAATCCCAAGTTTGCAATGAGGTGGTTGGCAGCCCTCAGGGGGCCTTATCTCCATGTTGGCCTTGGGCCTCAGCTCCCGCACAGAGTGGATTTTCAAGGCCCCAGCTGCTTTTGACAAATGAACTTGATAGAATTTTTTTTTTTTTTTTTTGAGACGGAATTTCGCTCTTGTTGCCCAGGCTGGAGTGCAATGGCGCGATCTCGGCTCACTGCAACCTCTGCCTCCTGGGTTCAAGCGATTCTCCTGCTTTAGCCTCCTGAGTAGCTGGGATTACAGGCATGTGCCACCATGCCCAGCTAATTTTTTTTTTGTATTTTTAGTAGAGATGGGGTTTCTCCCTGTTGATCAGGCTGGTCTTGAACTCCCGACCTCAGGTGATCCACCTGCCTTGGCTTCCCAAAGTGCTGGGATTACAGGCATGAGCCACCGTGCCCGGCTGGAATTTTTAACCTACCTTCTAATTCCAGAGGCACCTAAGGTCACAATGCACTTTTAGAAAAATGCAGTTGGTAGTGAAAAGGGTAGGAGGAGAATCTGGATGTGTTCCATGGTCGTTGGAGAACAAATCTCATTTAGGAAACCACATATATGGGAGATGAGTATGTGGAAATAAATCTTATTAGGATGCTCCCTGCTCAGCTATGGCTAGGAAAGCATCCTTGAATGATTGGGGTCCAGTCTTCATTGTGAGTATCATTGCATTTTTTTTTCATAGATAGCACTCAGCTTAATAAGAACATGGGAAACATGGGAAAAAGTAGAGAAAGAGCACAAAGGGGAACAAAAGGATAAAAGGGGGTTGAATGGGGAGAAATTCAGGAAGACAAGGCAGGTATAATGTGTGTGTAACCCAATGTCCCTTTATCCCATCTTTCTGTGAGATGTCAGGGTACATGCAGACTGCCACATGTGTGACTGCCATCAGCTCTTTTTGGGTTAGTAGCCCCTTTTTATTCCCAGAGGATCATCTCCTGTATGAAATCCTCCTTTAAGCAGGGGAATTTATACTAGTTGGTTTTCTCAGGGGGGCCTTTTTATTTTTTCATATTTTCAATATCCACTGAAAAATGCTAGAACAGTAGGATTGTGCATAGCTGAGAAGTTGCTATGTATCTCCTACCTTAGGGCTACCAAACATTCCAGAGAGGAGTGCCATCCTGAAGTCCTCATTATAATTTCTTGGCTGTCCGATTTCTCTGGAGCATATTCAGTTAGAAATTCGTTCACTGTGTCCACAACTGTGTTGTTGTTGAGCTGCCTTCATGGAAACAAAAAGAAAGTAACTTTCTTTTTATGTGAAACAACTGGCTTGAGAATGTTCTTTCCTTGTATGGGAAGGAATCTCAGGAAGTTCCCATAGTCATCTGGCTGCTCTTAACGAACTGTCCTGCGGTCACTTCTAAGCAGGTAGAAACCCAATCTAGAATAATACATTAACTATAATCATCATGCTGTACATTAGATCTCCAGAACTTACTCATGTTATAACTGAAAGTTTGTACCCTTTGACTAGCATCTTCCCATTAACTTCATCCTGGTAACCACCCTTCTCCTGTCTTTCTATGAGTTCAACTTATTGAGATTCCACATATAAGTGAAGTGACAAGTAATGCCAGCAGATCCTGTATGTTTCCATTTCTTCGCAAGGTGTCCTAGTGCCTCACTTTAGATTATGGCAGTATTTGACATTTATTATGTTGGCCTTTGGAGACCAAGGCCAAGTCTGATAAGGCTGGCTTTATCAGATTAGTCGGATAAGGCTGCCACAACAAAGTAGCACCAACTCAGTGTTTAAACAACAGAAATTTGTCTCACAGTTCTGGAGGCTATAAGTCAGAAATCAATGTGTTGGCAGTTGGTTCCTTCCAAGGGCTGCAAGAGAAGGCTCTGTTCTAGGCCTCTGTCTTTGGCTTATAGATGACTGTCTTCCTATTCACATGGCATTCTCTCTGTATATGTCTGTGTCCAAATTTTTTTCTTCTTAAAGGACACCCGTCATATTGGAACAGGGCCACCTAATGTTTTTGTTTTAACTTGATTACCTCTGTAAAGTCCCTATCTCCAAATAGTGTCACATTCTGAGATACTGGGTGTTAGGACTTCACATATAAATGTTCTGGAGGACACACTTCAATCCATAACAGAGCCTCTGCCAAATCTCTTACCTGAGATAGTGTGCGTTCGACTTCCCATTCAATGCAGGCTTTTAGGATGTGCCTTTTCTGGGTCTGGGCATCTTAGTCCCTAGGATTTTGCCACTCACCCCTCTGTTGTGCTCCTTCTTTTCTTTCCAAGTGTTCCTCTTGGATGCTTTGATTTTAATACGATCTCAGGCCACTCAACATTATAGCCTCCACATGTAGACACTGGAAAGCGCAGTTCTTTCTTGTGCATGTGATAGACGTGTGGTTCACTCACAAGTCAGTGTCTTATTGTATCTTCCAGCAAGAGCATTCCAGCCACAGGTCCTGGACTTCATTTGTGTGAGTCTGATATTAATCCCTGTTTTTGCTAATTCCAGGAGGATATAAGACAGACTTTAAAAAAATGGCCTTGTTGAAATATCACTGATATATTAAAATTAGGTATATTTAAGGTATACAACTTGTTTTGATATACATATATATCATGAAATGATCACCACAATAAAGCTAATTAACATATTCATTACCTCTACAGAGTTACCTTTGTGTGTGTGTATGTGTGTGTGTGTGTGTTGAGAAGATTTGATTTAAGAGATATCCTCTTAGCAAATTACAAGTATAGAGTACAGTACTGTTAACTATTGTTGACTATGCTGTAAATTAGATCTCCAGAAATTATTCATCTTGGAAAACTAAAAGTTTGTACCTCTTGACCAACATCATCCCCTTTCCCCTACCTTCCATCCCTTGATAACCATACTTCTCTTCTCTGTTTCTGTGAGTTTGACTTTTTTAGATTCCACACATAAGTGAGATCATGCTGTAGTTGTCCCTCTGTGTCTGGCTTATTTCACTTAGCATAATGTCCTCCAGGTTCATCCAAGTTGTCACAAATGGCAGCATTTCCTTCCTTTTTTGAGGCTGAATAATATTACACACACAGACACACCACATTTTCTTTATCTATTCATCCATCCACCAACAATGAGGTTGTTTTCATATTTTGGCTATTGTGAAAAATGCTGCAGTAAACATGGGAGTGCAGATATGCAGATATCTCTTTTAATTCTAATTTTAATTCCTTTGGATATATACCCAGAAGTGGGATTGCTGGGCCATATGGTAATTCTATTTTTAATATTTTGAGGAACCTCCATACTGCTTTCCATAATGACTCTGCTGATTTACATTCCCATCAACAGTGTATAACATCCTTGACGACACATATCTTTTGACTCTTTGATAATAGCCCTCCTAACAGTTGTGAGGTGATATCCCATTGTGGTTTTGATTTGCACTTCTCTGATGATTAGGGGTGTTGAGCACCTTTTCATATACCTGTTGTATTGTCTTCTTTGGAAAAAAGGTCTATTTAGGTTGTTTGCCCATTTTTAAACTGAGTTATTTGGGTTTTTCTTTTCCTGTTAAGGTGTAAGAGTGGCTTATATATTTTAGATATTAACACCTTATCATATATGGTTTGTAAATATTTTCTACCAGTCTCTAGGTTGCCTTCTCATTTTGTTGATTGTTTCTTTTGTTGTGCAGAAACTTTTTAGTTGGACATAGTCCCATTTGTTTACTTTTGCTTTCGTTGCCTGTGTTTTTGGTGTCATATGCAAGAAATCATTGCCAAAACCAATGTCAAAGAGTTTTTCCCCTGTTTTCTTCTACGAGTTTTATAGTTGTAGATGTTATGTTTAAGTCTTTAATCTGTTTTGTGTTGGTTTTTGTTTATGGTGTAAGATAAGGGTCCGATTTCATTATTTTGCATGTGGATATCCAGTTTTCCCAACACCATTTATTGAAGTGACTATCCTTTCCCTATTGTGTATTCTTGATGCTTTTGTTGAAGATTAGGTGAGCATATATGCATGGGTTTATTTCTTGGGTCTCTTGTTGTGTTCCATTGGTCTATACATCTGTTTTTATGCCAGTACCCTACCATTTTGATTATTATAGCTTTGTAATAGAATTTGAAGTCAGGAAGTGACTCCAGCTTTGTTCTTCTTGTTCAATATTACTTTGGCTATTCAGTTTCTTTTATGGTTCCATATACATTTGTTTTTTCTGTTTCTGTAAAGATGCCATTGTGATTTTGATAGGGATTGCGCTGAGTCTGTAGATTGCTTTGTATAGTATGAACATTTTAACAGTATTAATTCTTCCAATCCATGAACATGGGATGTCTTTGTATTCTTTGTCTTTTACAATTTCTTTTATCAGTGTTTTCTAATTTTCACTGTACAAGTCTTTAATCTCTTTGGTTAATTTCTAAGTATTTTTTTTTTTGCTAATGTAAATGGGATTGTTTTCCTAATTTCCCTTTTGGATAGTTTGTTGTTAGTGTATGGAAACACCACTGATTTTTTAATGTTGATTTTGTATACTACAACTTTACTGAATTTGTTTTTTAGTTCTAAGAGTTTTTTTTGTGTGTGTGTATGTATGTGTGTGTGGAGTCTTTAGGGTTTTCTAGGTGTATGGTCATGTCATCTGCAGACAGAGATAATTTTACTTCTTTCTTTCTGATTTGGATGCCTTTTATTTCTTTTTCTTGCCTGATTGCTCTGGCTAAGACTTCCAGTACTTTGTCAAGTAGCAGTGGCAGGAATTGTCATCTTTGCTTTGTTCTGGATCTTAGATGAAAAGCTGTCAGTTTTTCCTCATTGAAAATGATTTTAGCTGTGGGTTTTTCATAATGGTCTTTATTGTGTTGAGGTAAGTCCTTCTACACCTATTTTGTTGAGATTTTTTATCATGAAAGAATGCTGGATTTTGTCAAATGCTCTTTCTGCATCTGTGGAGATGATTATGTGGTTTTATCTTTCATTCTGTTAATGTGGTATATCACATTAAATTTTGCATATTGAACCAAGGGACAAATCTCACTTGGTTGTGGTATATAATCCTTTTGATGTGCTGTTGAATTTGGTTTTATAGTGTTTTATTCAAGATGTTTTGCATCTATGTTTCAGGAATATTGGCCTACAGTTTTTTTTTTTCTCTCTTCTGCTATCTTTGGCTGGCTTTGAAATTAGGATGATGCTGGCCTCATACAATGAGTTTGGAAGTGTTCCCTCTTCTTTTACTTTTTGGAAGAGTTTAAGAAGGGTTGGCATTTTTTCTTTGAGTAGTTGGTAGAATTCACTCATGAAACCATGTGGTCTTGGCCTTTTCTTTGTTGGGAGGTTTTTGATTATGGATTCAGTCTCCTTATGTGATACTGATCTTTTCAGGCTTTTTGTTTCTTCTTGATTTGGTTTTGCTAGGTTGTGTATTTTTCAGAATTCATTTCTTCTAGGTTATCCAAGTTGTTGGTGTATAATTGTTCATAATAATCCCTTATAATCCTTTTTATTTCTGCATCATTTATTGTATTGTACTTCTTTCATTTCTAATTTCATCTGAGTCTTCTCCCTTTTTTCTTAGTCCAGCTAAGGGTTTGTCAATTTTGTTTATCTTTTCAGAATACCAACTCTTAATTTTATTGATTTTTAAAATTGTTTTTCTATTTCATTTATTGCTGCTGTAATCTTTATTATTTCCTTCCTTCTGCTGACTTTGGGTTTAATTTTTTCTTTTTCTAGTTCCTTGAGTTATAAAATTAGCTTGTTTAACATCTTTCTTCTTTTTGATGTAGATGTTTCTTGCTATAAACTTCCCTTATTACGTTTTTGCTTCATCTCATAAGTTTTTGTAAATTGTATTTTCATTTTCATTTGTATCCAGGTAGTTTTAAAGTTCCCTTTTGATTTCCTCTTTTGTCTAATGGTTGTTCAAGAGTGTGTTATTTAGTTTCCATGTGTTTGTGAAATTTCCTATTTTTAAAAAAAATTGAATTATTTGGCTGGGCGTGGTGGCTCACGCCTGTAACCCCAGCACACTGGGAGGCTGAGGTGGGCAGATTACCTAAGGTCAGGAGTTTGAGACCAGCCTGGCCAACATGGTGAAATCCCATCTCTACTAAAAATACAAAAATTAGCCAGGCATGGTGGCACACGCCTGTAATCCTAGCTACTCAGGAGGCTAAGGCAGGAGAATTGCTTGAGCCTGGGAGACGGAGGTTTCCGTGAGCCGAGATCATGCCACTGCATTCCAACCTAGCTGACAAAGCAAGACTCTGTCTCAAAAAAAAAAAAAAAAAGAAAATTAAATTATTTTTTATTTTTTTAAAAAATATATTTTTAGAGATGGGGGGTCTCACTATGTTCTCACTGTGTTGCTCAGGCTGGTCTTGAACTCCTGGCCTCAAGTCATCCTCCCACCTCAGCCTCCCAAAGTTCAGGGATTACAGGCATGAGCCACCATGCCTGGCCTGTTTTCTTTTTGTTATTAATTTCTTGTTTTATTCCACTGTGATCTGAGAAGGTACTTGGTGTGATTTCAATCTTCTTAAATTTTTTAAGAGTTGTTTTGTGACCTAACACGTGATCTATCCTGGAGAATGTTCTGTGCGCCCTTGAGAAGAATGTGTATTCTTCTGCTGTTCAGTGGAAAGTTCTGTGTATGTCTGTTAGGTCATTTGGTCTATAAAGTTGTTCAAGTCAGCGGTTTCCTTATTGATTTTCTGCTTGGATGTTCTATCCATGACTGAACATGAGATAAGAAAAGCTTTCTAAAACTCTGCCATTTGCTTGAAGGTAGGGGGAAGTTCTCTATGCCTTTTCTCCTCTAGATGGAGAAAAAGTCTGTCATTCTTTCTCAGGGTCCACATGTCCACATGGAGATCACAAGCCTTTTTTCTGTAGGAGATAGAGGTGCAGGTCACTGTCTAGCTAGCCCCTTTTTGCATATTCTGGCAGAGGCATCTCCAGCCCCAGATTCTCTTCATACATGTGTCAGACACTAGTCTCTCTATCTAACTCAGGGCCATGAGTGAAGCTTGTGGGACCTGTTACATTTGTATCATCCATCCCATAATCCATCATAAATCTTCAGTCATGCAAATCAGAGTTCTACAGAGAAACACATGGTGGATGATAGATAGCACCAGCTTCCTCCAACAATGAGGGACCTTTTGACTTATGCATATCCTAGGAGGAGGGCATTGCATGTGCGTTTTGTCTTGGTGACCTTCACATATCTATATAGGCCATGTAGGGACAATCTTCTAGCATGGCTCATTTGAGTGTGGTGAAATGCCTAGAGACCATTCTGGAACATGAGCAAATGTGAGACCTATGAGAAACTGCTCAGAGGCCATGTCCCACTCATTTTCCCAATCATTGTGTGGCGTGGATGGTGGCTATAGCAGTGGTGGGACAACCCTTGGGCTCCTGGGTGGCAAACGCTTGTGATAGTGGTGCCTATGGCAGGCTGGGTGGGCCATTCCCCAGCCCCCTTGTTGGTGTGTGCAGGTAGGTGCCGGCTATGATGGTAGTAGTAGGCTGGGTGGGCCTGTCCTCATGTATCCAAGAGGAGTGCACAGATGCCAACAGTAGTGGAAGGAGCATGCCCCTAGGTGGCATGTTTGGGTACTGAAGGGGGTGGTACCAGGCTGGGCAGGCCTGCCTTCAGGCCCTCCCCAGTGGTCCATATGGGCACAGGCTGTGGTGGGCAGGGCAGGGTGATTCCCTAGGCTCCCCAGCAGTGTGCTTGGGTGGTGGCACAGCAGTGGCAGCGAGCGGGGATAGTCCATCTTCAGGGTATGTGCAAATGCACTGTGGCCCTGCTGCTTGTGGGGAGGATGGGTTTGCTGTCAGTGGCAGCAGCTGTAGGCAGGCAGCTCTTAGGCTCTGGGGAGCCTGTGCTTCAGCTCTGGTAGTGGCTGCCATGGTGGTGGCAGCAGCAGCAGCTGGGGGAGCCAGTCCTCAGGGTACATGCAAGTGTGTGTTGGCCCTGTTGCTGATGGCGGAGGGGGGAAGAGGGGGCCAAGTCACTGTCAATGGTACCTGCTTTTGTCCTTAGTGGTGGCAGCAGCAATGGCTGCTTTGGGGGAGAATCTGGCCTCAGGGTGCATTTAATTGTCCTGCAGTCCTGCTGGTGATGGGAGCAGGGTTGCTGTCAATGGCTGTGGCTCCAGGCAGGCGAGTTTCAGGCTCTGAGGAGCATGTGACTTGGCTCCCTTTGTCTTTGGGGCAGCCTCCTGGGTACACTGCACTGCCCATTCCTGGGGTGCAGGGCAGTGTGTGTGCCAGAGTGCTGGGGAGCCTGCTGCTTTGCTGTGTCTAGCTGGTGTCATATTGCTGCAGACCTCTGGGTGGATGTGAGGGGATGTTAGTGGGGCTCCAGGGATGTACAGATGCAGGGGCTGTTGGGTCCCGGGGCAGAATGCAGTATGGTGGGGGTTGGGCTCTCAAAATGGTGTCATGCTACAGCTGCTTAGGACTTGGGGAGTGTGTGGGACCCAGTGTGAGCAACTTCTCTAGAGCAATGCCATCGCATGGTCTCCAGGCAGCTCCCCATGCTAGTCTTAGGGCCTGTGAGGGTTGAGGGGCTTTATTGTGGCTAGCATTATAGGAGTCTGTAGAGGGAATGTGGACCACTGGGGATCTCTCACTTACCCTTTCCCCACACTGGGGAGCCTCTGGGCTCCCATCTGATCCTGGCTGAGCTGATTTGTGTGCCTCTCCTCTCCTTCCATGCCTTGGATATTTCCTTTCACTTCTCTGTTGAATTCCAGTGTTCTCTCTTAGATGCTCTATTCATAGTGTAGCTGGATTACTTTTTATTTCACCTTGCCATGCTTGTTGGCTGTGGGCAGTTATGGAGCATTGTGATAATGATGGTGACTATAAGGTGATAACTAATAATGTGTTCCTGGTGTGGCCAGGATGTCTGAGGGTGGGAGATGTTCTAGGATGGTACAAGGTATATATGGAAGGAATCAGTGAGCCACATAAGGATGATCTGGGCATACTGTGTAGGTAAGGTAATGGGAGGATTATAAAAGGCGGATAGCTCCAGGGAGTGGTCATACTGACATCCCACGGTTATTATATATAAATCCATAAGTCTTTTCTCAAGCCTTTTTTTACAGTAAGACTGATGGTCCCTGTACCCCTGTGACTTTGGTGCTCCTCTGTTGTTCATCTTGTTGCTCTGATTGTTTCTTCTATGACTAGTCTTTCTCTTTCTAACCTCTCAGTTTTGGTGTTTTCCAAGGACATGTCTTTAAACTCCTCGTCTCAGGCTCCTCCTTTGCCAAATCTCACAAGTGTGAAGATGTCTCCATACATATCTTCTCTCTTGACCTCTCCCATTGCTTCCAGCTTTCTGCCCTAACCTCTCCACTTGTTCCTTTCTCTCTCATGTAAAATTCTGGTTGGGAACTCCAGACTGGCATCAGGCTGCTATCTTGTTACGCTGCCATCTTAAACTCTTGCCTGGCCAGGGATTGCTCACCACCATGTGTAGCCCCTAGAAGGAAAGGCAAGGGCAAGGGGCTAAAGTCTGTAGCAGGGGGCCTGGACATTTCCTCAGGTAAAACTTGCAATTCTGTAAAAGAAGGAGAGTATGAATGTTGATCAATAACTAGCCTTCTCTTTCCCGGATAGCTTTACTATTCATCATGTAGCAATTTAGTACTGTAACCAAATTTGGAGTGGATTAGTGTAGAGGATTATTGGAGCTGCCCTCTCTCCATTAGCTGATATCATGTCCTTAGGACAGAGAAGTCTGAAAGGTCACCACATTGCAATGCTAGCTTTCTTGTAGTTCCTTTTGGCCTTTCTGTCATTCTCTACTAGTGACTTTACGTATCCCAGTTATTTTTATAGATTTCTAAACTTAATGCTGCTTGTTTATTGTAAGCTCAGTTCAAAGCTACTGTGGAGGTGGGAGGGGGTGGATGATGATAGATTATTTAATGGGTACAGTGTATGTTATTTGGGTGATGGGTGCTGTAAAAGCCCTGACTTCACCACTATGCAATCTATTCATGTAACAAAATTACACTTGTACCCCTTAAATTTATACAAAAAAGCTATATGGGCCAGGCGCTGTGGCTCACGTCTGTAATCCCAGCACTTCGGGAGGCCAAGGCGGGTGGATCACGAGGTCAGGAGATCCGAGACCATCCTGGCTAACACAGTGAAACTCTATCTCTACTAAAAAAATACAAAAAAATTAGCCAGGCGTGGTGGTGGGCACCTGTAGTTCCAGCTACTCGGGAGGCTGAGGCAGGAGAATGGCGTGAACCCGGGAGGCGGAGCTTGCAGTGAGCCGAGGTTGCGCCACTGCACTCCAATCTGGGTGACAAGAGCAAGATTCAGTCTCAAAAAAAAAAAAAAAGTCATTGAATAAATATTTATTGTGATTTTTTTCAAAAAAAAAAAGCTATATGGAGGTGGTGTTCATTGAAGAGCACCAAAGGGGATAAGGCACTGGGGACCTATCTTGCTGTTTTTGTTAGGGGTGTTTCTTGGTGTTGGGTAAAGGTAATGAAGTAGTAGAATGACTGTATTAAAGCAAAAA
Source organism: Homo sapiens (assembly GCF_000001405.40). Classification (NCBI taxonomy): domain Eukaryota; kingdom Metazoa; phylum Chordata; class Mammalia; order Primates; family Hominidae; genus Homo; species Homo sapiens. Next base: position 23,634,422 of record NC_000023.11, on the reverse strand, counting down.
TGTTTCAGTGTAAAGTTCAGTAATTCCACTAGATGGTAGCAAAAGGTTACATGTTGTACCCTCACAGTGACTGGGTTATTGATAACATCTTTAGTAAAACGATTCTGGAAAAGTGAAAATTACATCTGAAATATTGGTTCCTTTGGAGAGGGTAAACACACTGGGTTCAAACTTCTAAAAGAAAGTGCTGAAAAAAGTTGTTTTCTCAATAGAATAGTCTCTGTTCAAATGGTAAGAAAACACCAGTCTCAGGTCTGGAAAAACACTTTATTTGAGCAGTCAACAACTTACATGTGTTGGTTGTGTAAGGACCCCTTCACTTTCAGTTGTCCTAGTGCCTTCTTCCAGGAGGAGCCAATGATCTGGCACCCCTCCCAGTCAAGGGGCTAAGACTTCAGGTAGAAATATTCATTGCTGATAAAGTTTCTCATTCTAGGTCTTAAGTCCGAAGTGCATTACTCTGTACACATCTTTGTACAGAGGCTTCGGAAGAGCACCTGCATGGCTGCTATGGAACATACAACACCAAAGGGGGTTAGCTATTAGTGTACATTTTGAAACTCTTTGATATTCTTTGGGTATCATGAGGATTTGGTTGTGTAGGGGGCCTCAAATCACTCCCAGACAAAGACCCACTTGAGAGTTGCGAGAGAAAATTTGTGCTGAGCATTATTTTCTGACACCCTTTTGCTCTGAGTTGGATTGAGATGCCCCTGACTGTGGCAGGCACTGACCCCAAGTGGGCCCTAGTGAATCTCCTGCCTACTGGAGAGTATCCATGTTGGCCATCTCTCATGAATACTTCAGTTCACTTGGAACCTCCTAGAAACTCTCTTCCTGGGTGGCGGTTGCTCAGAATCCTTCTAGTGCTTGCTTCCTTTGGGCAGATATTGTACTGTCACAGTAGGTTCCACAGGGAAGGTTGAGGTGGGAACTCTGTCCTCAAGGCACATACCATCCAGCTGGAGTCAGCTACCCATATTAATAATAGAAACCCATCAGGCTCAGAGGGGGTAGTTCTAAACCCAAGATGCACCTCAGCAACACCTAGGGATCTTAAAAACCATTCAGGCGCTTGGTCTCCAGCCCCAAAGATGAGTATTTAACTGGTCCTTTGGGCCACATGCATCATCTTGCTTTTGCATATAGCATGTCCGGTTAAGAAACACCAATGGTGGAGGTTAAGAGCACAGGTTTTGAGTCAGCAGTTTGTACGTTCAAAAACGAGTTCTGCATATGTTTATTGCAGCACTATTGACGACAGCAAAGATATGGAATCAACCTAAGTGTCCATCAATGGATGGTTGGATAAAGGAAATGTGGTATGTATATATCATGGAATACTAGTCAGCCATAAAAAGAATGAAAGAAATCATGTCTTCTGCAGCAACATAGATATAACTGGAGGCCATTATCCTAAGGGAAATAATTCCTGAAACACAAAGTCAAATATCTCATATTCTCACTTTTTTTTTTTTTTGAGGTGGAATCTTGCCCTGTCACCCAGGCTGGAGTGCAATGGCGCAATCTTGGCTCACTGCATCCTCTGCCTCCTGGGTTCAAATGAGTCTCCTGACTCAGCCTCCTAAGTAGCTGGGATAACAGGCACCCACCACCATGTCTGGCTAATTTTTGTATTTTTAGTAGAGACAGGGTTTCACCACGTTGGCCAGGCTGGTCTCGAACTCCTGACCTCATGATCCACCCACCTCGGCCTCCCAAAGTGCCGGGATTACAGGCGTGAGCCACTGCACCTGGCCAGCCATATTCTCACTTTTAAGTGGGAGCTAAACAAAGAGTACACATAAATATATAGAGTGGAATAAAAGACATTGGAGACTACAGAAGATAGGAGGGTGGGAGAGGGTGAGGGCTGAAAAATTACTTGTTGGATACAATATTCACTATTTGGGTGATGGGTACACTAAGAGCCCAGATTCTACTACCATGCAATATATGCATGTAAGAACTCTGCACTTATACCCCCTTGATATGATTTGAATCTCTGTCCCCACCCAAATCTCATGTCAAATTGTAATTCCTAATGTTGGAAGTGAGGCCTGGTGGGAGGCGATTGGATCATGGGGACAGTTTCTCGTTAATGGTTTAGCACTATCCTCCTAGTGCTGTTCTCGTGATAGTGAGTGAGTTCTTGGGACATCTGGTCGCTTAAAAGTGTGCGGCACCTTCCCCTTCTTTCTCTCTTGCTCCTGCTCCCACCATGTGAGATGCCTCACTCCTGCTTTGCCTTCCGCTATGATTATAAGTTTCCTGAGGCCTCCCCAGAAGCTGAGCAGAATGCCAGATCATGCTTCTTGTATAGCCTGTGGAACTGTGAGCCAATTAAACGTTTTTCTTTTTTCGAGTCTCACTCTGTCACCCAGGCTGGAGTGCAGTGGTGCGATCTCAGCTCGCTGCAACCTCCACCTCGCCTCCTGGGTTCAAGCGATTCTTCTGCCTCAGCCTCCCAAGTAGCTGGGATTGCAGGCATGCACTACCATGCCTGGCTGATTTTTGTATTTTTAGTAGAGACGGGATTTCACCATGTTGGCCAGGCTGGTCTCAAGCTCCTGACCTCAGGTGATCCACCCGCTTCGGCCTCCCAAAGTGTTAGGATTACAGGCATGAGCCACCACTCCTGGCCATTAAACCTTTTTCCTTTATAAATTACCCAGTCTCAGGTATTTCTTTACAGAGTGTGACAGCTCATACACCCCTAAATCTATAAGAATAAAAAAAATACATTAAGAACAAAAACAAAAATGACTTCTGGCAGCTATTGGCCTTGGGAAATTTATTTGATCTCTCTGAGCCTCAGTTTCCTCATCCGTAGATGAGAGAGAATAATACCTTCCCTATGTGATCAAGTTGAAATGATAGGATAAATATGATTTACCTTGAGTGTGGGCCAGACTTAGGGACTCACTTCTCTTAAATATATAAGATGGAAGTAATGTTTTGTGACTACTGAGGCTTCTCTCTGTCTCTCACTGGGATTACTCATTCTGGGGAAAATCATCTACCGAGTCATTGAAGATACTCCAGCAGCCCCCAGAGAGGCTCATGTGGGAGGAATCTGAGGTCTCCCACAACCTACCAGCACTACCTTCCCAGCCTTGTGACTGTACCATTTTGGAAGCAGATTTTCCAGCTCTAATCAATTCAGATCACTGCAGCCCTGGTTGAATTCTTGACTGTAATCGCATGAGATGCCCTGTGCCAGAAACACCCAGCTCAGCCGTTCCTGAATTCGTGATCCACACATAAACTATGAGTTTGATAAATATTTATTGTTTTATTTTACAGTTTTCTTGAGATACAATTCACCATTTTAAAGCATATAGTTCAGTGGTTTTTAGTATAATCACAGTGTTATGGAACAATTGCCACTGTCTCATTCAAGAACATTTCCATTATTCCAGAAATGATACCCTATATGTATTAGCAGTCACTCTCAGTGCCCCTACTTCCCATTACCTCACAACCACTAATCTTCTATCTGACTCTATGGATTTGCCTATTGTGGATATTTCCTATACATGGAATCATGCAATATGTTACCTTTTGTGAATGGCTTTTTTCATGTAGCATAATTGTTTTCTAGGTTCATCCATGTTGCAGCATGTGTCAATCCTTCATTCCTTTTTATGGGTGAATAATATTTCATTGTATAAACATTTTCTCTATACATTTATCAGTTAATGGACATTAGTTTGTTTCCACTTTTGGCTATTGTGGATAATGCTGCTATGAACATTTGAGAATAAGTTTTTCTATGAACATATGTTCAATTCTATTGTGTATTTACCTAGGATTGGAATTGTAGGATATGGTAACTCTGACTTTGTGAAGGCCTGCCAAAGTGTTTTCTGCAGTGGCTGCACTATTTCATGTCAGCAATGTATGAGGCTTTCAATTTCTCCAAATCCTTGCCAACATTTGTTATTGTCCCTGTTTTTTGATTATAGCCATTCTAGTAGATGTGAAGTGGTATCTACTGTGATTTTGATTTATATTTCCCTAATGACAAATGATGTTGAACATCTTTTCATTTGCTTTTTAGGACTTTGTATATCCTTTCGGGAGAAATGTGTATTCATATGCTTGCCCATTTTAAAATTGGGTTGTCCTTTATTGTAGAGTTTTAAGAGTATTTTGTTTATTCTGGTTACTACAACCTTATCACATATATAATTTGCAATTATTTTCTCCGATTTCGTGGATTGTCTTAACTTTCTTGATAATGTCCTTTGGCGCAAAAGATTTTAATTATGATGATTTCCAATTCACATATTTTTTATGGTTTATCCTGCGCCTGCTGTTTTACTTATGAAACTCTTATGTAACACACTATTGCAGATATTTACAAATATTTTTCTGTCTAAGAGGTTTATGGTTGGTAAATAGGAGAAGTGAAAAGGGAGATTATGAGAAGCAAGAGAGGAGAAACTGGTTGAGGCTCAGGTTCTTTATAGGTGGATATTATTTAGGAACACATACATATGGAAGATAGGAATGACAAAATGGATTATTTTAGAATCTCTGTACCCAGGTACTCCTAAGAAGCCTCCCGTAGCATTGGGGACCTAACCTGAGAACCACTGCATTCTTTATAAATACCACTAGCGGAATGAGTGAGAATGGGAGAGATGTGGGGAAAGTAGACAACGAGGGGAAAACTGAGGAAGGAGCAGAGAAAAGAGGACACTGAGAGAATACTGGGAAATTGAGGTTGAGTAAAGTGGGGTAAAACCTGTGTTTCTTTATCCTATCCTTGTAGGAGTAGTCAGAGATCAAGCAGACCCTCCACATATGTGACTACATTTAACTCTCTCTGGGCCTGAGTTATCTTGGTTATTCTAGAGAGAATTTATATATTGGATTATCTCCAGTGTGATTATGTCCCCATATATATTTTTTGAGACAGAGTCTCACTCTGTTGCCCAGGCTGCAGTGCAGTGGCGTGATATCTGCTCACTATAACCTCCACCTCCTGGGTTCAAGTGATTCTCCTGCCTCAGTCTCCCGAGTAGCTGGGATTATAGGTGCGTGCCACAATGCCTGGCTAATTTTTTTTTTTTTTGTATTTTTTTAGTAGAGGCAGGGGTTTCACTATGTTGGCCAGGCTGGTCTTGAACTCCTGACGTCCAGTGATCCGCCTGCCTCGGCCTCCCAAAGTGCTGGGATTACCCATGTGAGTCACCGCGCCTGGCCGTCCCCATACTTTTAAGCCTAGTTCAGACACTAGTTACTGTCCCCCTCAACCTTCATGGGCATCAGCCAACTTTTCTGAATCTCTTTGTCAATGGTTTGCATCAAGGGGAAAGCAATCATTGTTCCTCTCTCATGAATGTGGAGAAAATGTGATGTTTGGACTTGAGGGTTTTGGGACGCAGCCTGTTTTGTATATTTAAATGTCTCTTTAAAAGACTTAGTATTTGTTGGCTGTTGATTTCACTGCAGTTTCAGGCATCTAGTCAAACTGGGCTGGCTACTGTGGGGATCCCTTCATTTTATAGAACACCAGTTTCTGCATTTTTTTTAAATTATTTTTTTATTTTTTTGAGACGGAGTCTTGCTCTGTCACCCAGGCTGGAGTGCAGTGGTGCAATCTCGGCTCACTGCAAGCTCTGCCTCCCGGGTTCATGCCATTCTCCTGCCTCAGCCTCCCGAGTAGCTGGGTCTGCAGGTGCCCGCCACCACGCCCGGCTAATTTTTTGTATTTTTAGTAGAGACAGGGTTTCACTATGTTAGCCAGGATGGTCTCGATCTCCTGACCTCGTGATCCGCCCGCCTCGGCCTCCCAGAGTGCTGGGATTACAGGCGTGAGCCACCGCGCCCAGCCAGTTTCTGCATTTTTACTCCATTTTCCTGTTGTAATGTGACACTTCAGGGTACTAGGTGATTTCTTTTGTAATTTTAAAGGTCCCTTAGAAAGTAATAGAAAAATATATTTGTGGATGGTTGAAAGGTCGCAGTGTGTCGTTATCTCTGGCATTGTGCTATCAAATAGTGACAATGTGGATGACTCTCCTGCAGTCCTTAATATGACTTCTAGGTTGTCATATAACTTTGGAGCATAGTCAAATTGGACTTTGATCACTGTTTCTTCATTCAAGTCCTGTTGAACTGATGTGAATAAAGTCTAACAAAAAGAAAGCAACTTCATTCTTTTTCCTATGAAAACCACGTTGCCTACCTGTTCTTCTCATGTCTGGGAAAAAAGCCCAGGATGTTCTCATAGCTTTTCTGGTTACTGTCATAAAGCTGAATGTCCTGTGGCTACTTCCATCTTGTAAGAAGCTTATTCTAGTGTAATAATCAATACATCATTTCCTGAATCTTGGGCAAGATCTTCTACTCCCAGATGAGGCTTGCTTGAGTATTGGAATCCTGCGGGTGACGTGCATATATGGGTTGGGAGTGGAAATGGCACCCATTTTTTGGCCTTTATTTTCTCCATCTATACCCCAGTTGAGTATTTGCTTATTTTTATCCCCCTGATGAGACCTTGAGAGAGCAAGAGAAGGGCTCAGGGAGAAAATCACACTCTTGCATGATTCGCTTTGTAATGCAGGTATGGGGTTCTGAGATAAGAAATCCTGAGTGGAAGATCTCATGGGGACTTCAGACATCATGCCCCTGCCCGATGCGGGGCCTTTCTTCTGATTGGTCACTTAAACTGCATGCCCCCCCCACCCCATAGTTCCTTGGCCTTTTGTGGTATCTACCAGTACTGAGCTCTTTTTGTACCTCCATGTGGTTCTCTTGGCTGATATTCCTTTAAAGGTATTCTCAGGCTCTTTTCTTCCCCCAGGTCCACAAATGGATTCTGGAAATCAAGTATTTTTCTTTTGTAAATGGTAGAATTGCTGTTCACTTACCAGGCAAGCTTTTGCTGTGCTCCAGGGGCACCCCCAGTCTCAGCTTTCTGTTTTTCCTTGTACAAGTCAGTTGCTAGTTCCTGTGTCCCTCAACCTTTATGGGCATCAGTCAACTTGTCTGAATCTCATTGTCAGTGGTTTACATCAAGTGAGAAGCAATCATTGTTCCTCTCTTACAAATGTGGAGAAAATGCCCACCATACCAACAACTCTTTCTAAGAATTCTTTTCTCTCTCTACCTCAAATATTATGTGTGTGTGTTGATTAGAAGTTGAAATTCAAGGTATTGGCTGGGTTTATTTTTTCTGAGGGCTGTGAGGGAACAATCTGGTCCAGCCATCTCATTTTGGCTTGTAGATGGCTGTCTTCATGTTCAAATGGCATTCTCCTGTATTTGTGTCTATGTCTAAATCTCCTCTTATAAGGACACTATTCATATTAGAATAGGACCACTATAAGAACTTTATTTTATCTTTATTAGTATTGTAACCCCCCGGTTTCCAAATAAATTTGTGCTTTGAAATACTAGATGTTAGGTATTCAACATCTGAATTTTTGAAATACATGATTCAATCAATAACAGAGCATCTGAAAAATCTCTTAAATGAGAGGGCTTGTGTTCAACCTCCTATTTAAGGTAGGCTTTCAGGAATGTTTTTCCTCTGCCTGGCCACTAGATGTGCCCTAGCCCCTGGGAACTTTTGGCCCACTTTTCTGTAGGGCTTCCTCTTTTATTTCCAAGGGTTCTTCTTGGGTACTTTAGTTTTAATACAGTTTGAAGCCATTCAATATTGTAGCCTCCACATGTGACACTGGAAATTACAGCCTTTTCTTCTGCATATGGCAAAAGTGCAGTTTGCTCTCAAGCCAGCTTCTTATTGTATCTTCTGGCAGAGAAGCTTAAACTCCAGGTTCTTGACTTCGCTTATATGAACTTATTACTAACCCTTGTGTTTCAACACTCCAGGGGTGTAAGACAAGGCTTCAGATGCTCTTTGCCATTTGTTTGAAGCAAGGAGGAAGTTCTTTTCATCCTTTCCTCTTGATGGTGGAGAAAATCCCATCACACTCCCTTTCTTATTGTCCATATTTCCACATGGAGAACATAAGCTTTTCTTCTACAGGAGATAGAAGTCACTACCCAATGAGCCCCCTTTTGTAAATTCTGGAAAGGATAGATACAGCCTCAGATTTTTTTTCTAATGAGTCAGACACTAATCTCATATTCCTATAACTTAGGGCTGTGAGTGAAGTTTACTGATGCTGTTTCACTAGTGTCATTCAAACCATCCCTCTTCCCCTCTTTCATCGTGGTGCGTCTCCAGTTATACAACTTAGAGTTCTATAGAGTAACACATGGTGGGTAATGGACAGCATCAGCTTCCACCATGAATGGGAAGATATTTTGACTTACAGATGTTCCAGGAGGAGGAACTCCCAGGTGTTATCCATGTGTAGGGCACTGCATCTACATTTTGTCCTGGTCACCCTACAGATACCCATATAGGCCACATAGGGCAGAGCTTGAGCATGGTTTATCTAAATGTGGCAGAATGCCTTGCAGTCTTCTCAGAATGCAAGAGGATAGGAAGCTTGTGAGGTATTGCTCTGAGGCCATCTTCCACTCACCTACGTATCCTCCTTGAAAAGTTTTTATGAGGCAGTTTTTCATCTTCTCCGTGGTCTTTTGGGATGGGGGCTTTGTGCTGCCCATCCACCACCAGAATAGTGCTGCAGAATAGAAAACACCTTAATGTTCACAACACTGGTACTCATAAACAGACCACATTGATAAATTATTTGATGATAAGGGCCATGTGATCTTTCACCTTTGTCTCTGAGACACGTGCTGTCTTGAGTTGATAGTTCATGTTAGACATAAATCTAAGAAATGCAATTCCTCTTTGTTGAGTATCCATCTGTGTTACTGGGAAATTGAAACAGTTTTCCCCTGGCCATTACCTATGACCACAAGGAAAACAGTAGCTGCTGGTAGAGTGCAGTCACTTATATAGAGATATTCTGAAGTCTACTTCTACAATGAACAGAATGGAAGGAACATGAAGGATAGGTTTGAGTAAAAGCCCGATGAGTCTATAGAGGTTTCCTCCTCCACAAACAGATGAGGGAGCACTGGCAGTCGTGTTGGAGGGAGTGAGCGGAGATCATTGTTTTGCCTAATCACCTACCCAGTGTTGTAAGGAGATCACCATTTTGCCTAAAAATCTACCTGATGTTTTAAGCCTGCCTGGCCATGACTACATTGCTGATGATATGAGGGAGACCAAGAAGACCTAGAAAACCTTGCTAATGTCTGTGCTGTTTGGAATGTTGTTGATCTAACACCTTCAACACCACATTTCTACCCAGACTTCTCCTCTTTCAAGAGGAAATAGCCGGGTGCGGTGGCTCACACTTGTAATCCCAGCACTTTGGGAGGCCGAGGCGGGCAAATTGCTTGAGGTCAGGAGTTCGAGACCAGCCTCGCTAACATGGTGAAATCCCATCTTTACTAAAAATACAAAAATTAGCCGAGTGTGGTGGCACATGCCTGCAATCCCAGCTACTCGCAAGGCTGAGGCAGGAGGACTGCTGGAACCCGGGAGGCGGAGGTTGCAGTGAGTCAAGATCGCGCCATTGCACTCCAGCCTGGGAGACAAGAGTGAGACTCCATCTCAAAAAAAAAAAAAAAAGAACAAATAGGTCTAGGGTAAAGGTGAGGTCCATTCTTCTCTAATAGCAACTAGAGGCTTTATCCACTTGTCAAAGTGTGTTGGAGGCTTGGCATCACTTTCCAAACTTTTTCAGTCCTTATGGATGCTGAGGCACAAGTCCCTGTAATGCCTTGAAGCCTCCATGGGCATGGTACAATTTTTACTTTGGATGTGGAAATAAGTCTCAAATTAGACTGATGTAAGTTTATGCGTGGGCTCTTATGGAACAGTACACGCAAGATGTTGTAACTGATACTATTGAGTGGATTGTGGGAAGAGCTGTGTTAAGTATTTGTGATTCTTCTCTTGATTATAAATGATGTTTCCAATGGGGAAATGCCATGATTGGAACAGTGGTGTTATAGAACCAAATTGGGGTCTGCTTGCCTGATGTAGTAAAACCAGATATCCACACTGAGGTTTCTGCAGCAATAGAAAAGAAGGTGTTTATTTGCAGAATGCCAAGCAAGGAGAACTAGGCAGCTATTGCTCAAATACTGACCTCTTTGGTGGCTGCAGGTAAGGCTTTTTAAAGGCAGGGTTAAATTTCAAGAAAGCAGAAGCTACAGGCAAAATCATAAATCAATGCGTCGAGGTTACACATTGGGTTTGGCCTAAAAGGGTAGGATATGTTGAAGCGGGGCTTACAAGTTGTAAGTAGATTCAGAGGTTTTCTGATTTGCAATTGGTTAAGGAAGGAAAGCTTTGTTTAAAAATTTTGGGTCAGCAGAAAAAAATGTTAATTGGCTTTGGAGTGTGACTCCAAGGCCCTCAGGAAGAAATTTAGAACAGAGAACAGTGGTCAGAGTTCACCACTGAACAGTCTTCAGTTCCCCTTTATTTGAAGTCTACGTGCCAGTGGATCCATTTCGTGGGGGTCCTCAGTATGTGTGTGTGGGGGTCCAAGTTTCTGAAAGATAACTCGGGACATATGTTAAGACATTATCTTTATTTTATTTTATTTTATTTTATTTTATTTTATTTTTGAGATGGAGTCTCTCTCTGTCACACAGGCTGGAGTGCAGTGGCACGATCTTGGCTCACTGCAGCCTCCACTGCCCAAGCTCAAGTGACCCTCCCATCTCAGCCTCCCGAGTAGCTGGGAGTACAGACAAGTGCCACCATGCCCAGCTAATTTTTTGTATTTTTGATAGAGAGAGGATTTTGCCATGTTGTCCAGGCTGGTCTCGAGCTCCTGAGATCAAGCAATCCTCCCGCGTTGGCCTCCCAAAGTACTGGGATTACAGGCGTGAGCCACCATGCCTGGCCAAGACGTTATCTTTAATTTCTATAGGGGAACCAACATCTCTGGACTCTAACTTCCTTGGCTATTGTTTTAGGCTACTGTTACCCTTTTCCTAAACAAGTTGCTTATTTACTTCTCAGGGCTAGCTGGGTGCCTGGAATTTCCCTTGAAGGGAACTCAGGATTTTCCTTTATTTCCATGCTCAGGGAAATAGTCCCTAAAAACAGAGTCACTACTCCATCTCAGTGGTAGTGAGTTGAGTGGACAACCGGGAGCCCACCAGGCTTCCACAGCTCAGCCATGAGGTATAAATAAAGCAGTGTAGGATACTACGTTGTGGCGAGGGACAACGAGGGGAGGAGGGTGAAAGGAGGAGGTTCCTACCCTGATCAAGGATGTAATAGAGGCAGAGGTGCTTAATGAGACTGTATGACTTTAGAATAGCCCTGTTATGTCCCTGAAAAAGCCAAGGATTCTTCACATCTCACTGTGCTGTATCATCAGTTTAATTTGACAGTATTTGACAGTAGTCTTTTTTGCACTTGCAGTTCCTGATATCAAGATGCTCTCTCATCCATTGCAAAGACTGGGATCGCTGGTTAATGGTGGTGGACACGTTAATGCTTTATTCAAGTAACCACTGCATCCATGGGATCAGAGTCCATTTGCCTTCATGGGCCTTCATAGCAGGTGCCATTGAAACATGGCTTGGATTCTTAGAGATGAGACTGAATAAGACAAGTGGAAAAGAGAAACTCAGGTCCCAGAGGAGCACGTACTTATGAAAGCAAGTTTGGGTTCTAAATGTGGCATTACATATATGTTTACCATGCTGCCACAGAGAATCTATACTCTCCAAGATTTTTCACAAGTGGACATAGTCTAGACGTGGAAAAGATTGAAACCTTACCAGCGCTGTCTTGATACTACTACATGGATGACATGATTCTAAATGGAAGTTTTAAGGATAGAGTACAATTTGCTGAAGGGTAGATGGTCAGATATCTGAGTGACTAGGGCTGGAAGATTAAACCCTGAAAAGAATTGGGAACTAGACACTGACATAAAGTTTTGTGAACAATGTGGGCTGATGCTCAGAGTGCAATCCTTGAGTCTTTAAAGAGAATCCGATGGACTAAAAAAACTCCAGCTAATCTAGTTTTGAACAGCATATGATAAAAAAGCCCACCTTATGATAGGCTTGTTAAGTATTGGATATACTTCATTTCTCACATAGGAACTTGCTTAACTAATGACATAAAATTACTAGAATGGCATTCAGTTTTACCAAAAACATGCCTTAGAAACTCTCCTGAAGGATGTACAGAACACATTTCCACATGAACCAAGTCTTGAGGGAAAGTGGCACCGATTGGCATTTATGCAGATAGGAACTTGTAGCAAAAAGATGTGGCCATTAGATGAAGGCAGGCTTTGGGATTTGTTTGTGGCCTTTGCCTGAAACTGCTACCTGATATACCCCATTTGAGAGGCTATTTCTGGCTTGTTAGTTGTTGCTGGTGAACATCGTGAGAGTAACAAAGCAAGAACAGGTGTTTTCTCCTGACTTTCTCTATCATGAATTTGGTGTCAAATGAGAACACCATCAAAGTGAATATTTCCCAAGAAGCATCCATTTTTAAGTAAAAGTGGGATATCAAGGGAAGATGTGAAACAGGAATTAATAGTGTCTCAGAGGTACAGGAAAAAGTGTCCAGTCACCCTCTAGATGTGGCTGTCTCAGATGCAGGGACTATGCCAGCATCTCAGGTTTCTGGTGGCTTTGGAACACTCAGGTTCCTGGGATACCTGGGTCTGGTTTATGGACGCATCCATAAGTTAAAGGCAGACAGTTTCTACTCACAGCAGAAGCTGTGCAACCCCCAAGAAATCTGCTTGGACCTGTGCATGGAAAAGGGAATTCTGCTTAATGGGTGGCGATATGGGCTGCGGTGCTTGTGCTGGAAAGCCTCCCTGTAAATGCACCTTATTACATTTTGGCTCACATCTGGCCAGGTGCCCATGGGCTGACAGGGTAGATGATTGGTGCCTGGTAGCATGACAAATGGTTGGTCAAGTTTCAGCCTTATGTATACAAAAAATACCAGCAGATTTCTCAAGTAACATTTCTCCTGTTCATGCCCATGTGGATGCCTATGGATAATGACCCTTTGAGGATGGGAACTAATAAAGTTAATAAGGTAAACAGGTCTGCGCTGCCCAAGTTAGGACAATTGTACAGGGCATGATAATCCATCAGGATCTGGCTCAAAAACAACCAAGTGATTCCAATTCCAGCACGTGAAGACAAGAAATCCTGGGAAATGTTCCCAGAGTGGCAGCTAAACATGAATATAAAAGGGATCTTTGTGTCTCCTAGTGAGAAGTACTAGACCTGATCCTAAGTTTCTCTATGTGTAGATGGGAGATATTTCTTGACCCTTTCTATGTGGTGATGCTGAAGTGAGACGTTAAATATAAAGCCTTAGCACAGCTTTTTATACTTTAATACTGTAAAACTTCTGCAATATATCAATCAAATACCAGATTCTGGCCAGGTGAAGTGGCTCATGCCTGTAATCCCAGCACTTTGGGAGGCTGAGGTGGGTGGATCATGAGGTCAAGAGATAGACCATCCTGGCCAATATGGTAAAACCCTGTCTCTCCTAAAAATACAAAAATTACCTGGGCATGGTGGTGCAGGCCTTTAGTCCCAGCTATTTGGGAGGCTGAGGCAGGAGAATCGCTTGAACCTGGGAGGTGGAGGTTGCAGTGCGCTGAGATCACACCACTGCACTCTGGCTTGGCAATAGAGCGAGACTCCGTCTAAAATAAATAAATAAATAAATGAATGAATGAATGAATGAATGAATGAATAAAATATCAGATTCAGTATAAAACGTACAAGTTCAAAGGAGTGTGAGCTAAGGTTCCTAAAGCTGAAAGTCACAAATGGTTGTCCTACACCTTGGTATTAGGACATTTGAACTTTGAATGTAGCCCCTAGACAAATATGAGTAAGTTAATAGTTCATCATTTGTATGTGTAGTCAAGGTTGTATAATAGGAAGAACAGATTTCAAACATGATTTCCGTTTTAATTTACATTTTGGAGAATGAGCAAGAGAGAACGTTCTAATTCCTGGGACACCTCTCTGAGTATTCCTCATGGCTTGGCACTTGTGTTTTTCTTTGATTGTCTTTAAAAAATCAAGGTAGCACTGATTGGTATTGGCTTGTGGAGCAGGCCTTATCCATATGTAGAAAGTCACTCACTGAATGTGATTCCATGATCCCGTGAAAAGCACGTGCATCTCCAAATGTCTCCCTCAGCTTGTGCCACTGACTGAAGTCTTCTCATTGAATCATTTATGTTTTGTATTGAGGAAAGTCCCATTCTTGCTGAGTCCTGATAATGCTTATAGAGGGAAAACTGCAAAAAATATATCTTCATGACATAATTTCAGGAATACTTTTGAGTACCTCCAGTGGCATTCACAGACTGTAAACCAATGTTGTATAAGTGTTTAGATGTTAAGCAATAACTGCTACAATGATAACATACTTTTCTTTATACTGCTTTCATCTTTCCTTGGTGACCTACAGGATAGGATGCAGATGTTAGCTTGGACAGCTGTAACATAGTGCTATACAGAGAGTGAGTGGTCAGAAATGGTTTTATGAGGAAGTGATATTTGAACACCTGAGGACAAGGAGGGTGAAACTAGGTGAAGAAATGGCCTGGGTAGAGGAGGGTGGTTTAAGAAAGGGCATCCCAGGGACCCAGAAAACAATATGGAAGTCTTGACACTGGAAGGCATATAGTGACTCCAGGAACTGCATGAAATGCAGGGACTGTGTAACATAAAGCACTCAGCTTAATTTAGAGAGGAGGAAAGTGAGCCTAGGAAAGGACACCGAGCTAGAAACTGACAGAGACTGGCTTTGAATTCAGATCTATGGCATCCACATTTTGAGAAACGCACCTTTTAAGAACTGGGTGGGTGAGCCTTTTCACATTGCTTTCCTAAAATGGGAGAAATTGATTGCGAGAAGGAAGAGAGGAAACCTTATGGAGGCTGATATGGTTTGGCTGTGTCCCCACCCAAATCTCATCTTGAATTCCCATGTGTTGTGGGAGGGACGCGGTGTGAGGTAATTGAATCATGGGGGCAAGTCTTTCCTGTGCTGTTCTCGTGATAGTGAATAAGTCTCATGAGATCTGATGGTTTTAGAAAGAGGAGTTCCCCTGTACAAGCTCTCTCTTTGCCTGCTGCCATCCATGTAAGACATGACTTGCTATTCCTTGCCTTCTGCCATGATTGTGAGGCTTCCCCAGCCACATGGAACTGTAAGTCCAATCAAACCTCTTTCTTTTGTAAATTGCCCAGTCTTGGGTATATCTTTATCAGCAGTGTGAAAAAAAAAAAAAACAGACTAATACAGAGGCCCAGGATGTTTTGTAGGTAGATATACTTTAAGAAAACCTACATATGGAAGATGAGAAGGGAAATGTGTTTCATTAGGACTCTGTGCCCATGTAGCTTTAGGAAAGTGTCCTTGCAGGATTGGGATCCTGATCTAAGTCAGAGAACCACTGTACTCTTTACAGCTATCCTTTGGCATAGTGTGGGAGAATAGGAGAGACTAGGAGAAATCAGAGAAATAGGGGAATGTAGGAGAGAAGGGGAGGAAGAGTGGACAAAGGTGAATACTGGAAAGTGGTGATGGATAAAGTGAGGGAAAGCCACTGTTCCTTTGCCTCCCATTGTAGGAATTGCCAATGTGCATGCAGACCCTTCCACATATATGACTGCTTTCAGATCACTCTGAGCCTGAATGCTCCTGGTTATTGTCAGAGAGAAATTTTACTGGGTCACCTCCAGTGTGAAGTTGTCCCTGAGTTTTCAAGCCTGGGTACTTTTTATTGTGAGTTTTCTCAAGGAGTCTGTTTTGTATATTTAAAGGTCCCTTAAGAAGACTTGGTGTTTATATACCTTTGATTTTACCACAGCTTCTGGAATCATGTCAATTGGAACTCACTATACTGGGGAGCCCTGCAGATTGATGGACACCAGTTTTTGCATTTGTACTCGATTTTTCCATCGTAATGTGACATGGTGGGATTTAGATGTTTTCTTTCATAATTTTGAAGGCCTTATAAAATACTAGAAATATATGTTTGTGGATAGCTGAGAAGTCATAATGTTTCATAATCTCTTGCCTCATGGTATCCTTAGTACACACCTATATGACTCTCCTGCGGTCCTCACTATGACTTCTGGGTTATCATAAACCTTGGAGCATAGTCAGATTGGAATTTTATCACTGTTTGTTCATTAGAATTCCTGTTGAAATATGTCAACTGGGTCAAAAGAAAGTAGTTTATTATTTTTCTTTTTCCCTGTGAAAACTGGCTTAGAGACCTGTTCTTTCCATGTTTGGGAAGAAAGCTAAGGTGGGTCCCATAGTTTTTCTGGTTATTCTTACATAGCGAAGTGTCCTGAGCCACTTTCAACTGTAAGAAACCTGCCTATTTCAGTATAATAATCAAAACCTCAATTCATGAATCTTGGGGACTGATCTTTCAGCCCCAGGTGCATATGTTCTTTCTGCATCTGCACCCCAGTTGACTGCTCATTCTCTTTCCCCTGATGAGATCCCCACAGTGGGAAAGACTTAGGGAGAAGAACACACACTGGCATATTTGGCAAAGACATAGTATGATCTGGGGGCTCTGAGATATGGAGGAAATCACGAACTGATGATGTTAGGAAGCACTTTTCCTTTCTTCAGATACCTCAGATTTTATATTCCTGCCACATGCAATGCCTTCACTGTGACTTATCACTTAGAGTCCTTCTCAATCCCAAGGACTTTGTGAGCTCTAATTCTGTTGGGGTCTTTCTTCCTCTGCAGGCAGTTCTCTTGAGTGGCTTCCTTATGAAGTACTTATCAGGCCTCTCTTTTTCCCAGGATGACATGTTGACCCTGGAAATCAACATCCTTCTTTTGTAATTGGTGGAATTGCTTGTTCTCTCACAAGTCGTACTCTTAGTGTCCCCTTTCCAGGAATATCTCCAGCCACAGCCTCTTGATTTTCACTGTGTGAGTCAGACACTAGTTCCTGTGTCTCTCAACCTTCATGGGCATCAGTCAGGCTTTCTGAAGCTCTTTGTCAATGGTTTGTGGCAAAGGGGCACAAACCATTGACCCTCCCTCATGAATATAGGCAGAATGTCCAGCACACTGACAAAACTCTAAAAATTCTTTTTCTCTCTCTTCTACCTCAACTATTTTATATTTCTGACATGGCTTAATGGGCTAATGCTGGCAGAAACTCGTTCTATTTATTTGCTAGGTGGTCGGCAGCTCACTTTAGAATACAGGAGTTTTTTTTTTTTGAGACAGAGTCTCAGATTGTTACCCAGGCTGGAGTGCAGTGGCAAGAATATGGGAATATTTGATATGTCTTGCCCTTTGGAAACTGTATTGATTTTCTAGAGTTGCCATAAGAAAGTACCAAAATGTGGAGGCTTAAACAACAGAAATTTTTTGTTTCACACATCTAGGCCTAGAAATCCCCTGAAATTCAATGAAAATGTTGGCAATATTGGTTGTAAGGGAATTCAGGGAAGGTTGTGAGGGAATAATCTGTTCCAGGCCTCTTTCCTTGGCTTGTAGTTGACTGTCTATATGTTCACATGTGTTTTCCATATATATGTGCCTGTGTCCAGATTGATTCTTCTTATAAGGACACTGGTCATGTTGGATTAGGGCTACTTTAGTGACCTCATTTTAACTTGACTACATCTTTAAAACCCTTTCTCCAAATAAGGATACATTCTGAGGAACTGGTTGCTAAGGATGAACATATGAGCTTCTTCTTTTTGGTAGGGGGTACATAATTCAATCCATAACAGAGCTTCTGCCGAGTTTCTTTCCTGAGAGGGTATGTATTCAACATCTTATTTATTAGTGCAGGCTTTCAGGAACGTGCCTTTACTCTGAGTGGCCACAAGAGGGATCCTAGTCCCTAGGATTTTGTAATGTATCCCTCCGTTGTGTGCTCCCTTTTCTTAAAAGAACCCCTCTTAAAAAAAAAATACAACTTTATTTATTTTATTTTTAAAATATAATTTTAACTTTTATTTTAGATTTAGGGGGTACATGTGCAGGTTTCTTACATGGATATATTGCGTGATGCCGAGGTTTGAGGTATGATTGATCCTGTCACCCAGGTAGTGAGCATGGTACCCAATAATTAGTTTTTAAACCCTTGCCCTGCTTCCCTACTTCTAATAGTCCCCATTGTCTATTGTTGTCATCTTTATGTCCGTGTATACCCAATGTTTAGCTCCCAATTATAAGTGAGAACATGTGGTATTTGGGTTTCCATTTCTACGTTAATTCACTTAGGATAATGGCCTCCAGCTACATCCATGTTGTTGCAAAAGACATGATTTTGTTATTTTTTATGGCTGCATAGTATTCCATGTGTATGTATACCACATTTTCTTTTTCCAGTCTACTGTTGATGGGCACAGAGGTTGATTCCATGTTTTTGCTGTTGTGAATAGTGCTGTGATGATCATGCAAGTGCCCTTGTCTTTTTAGTAGAATGATTTATTTTCCTTTGGATATATACCCAGTAATTGGATTGCTGGGTCAAATGGTAGCCCTGTTTTAAGTTCTTTGAGAAATCTTCAAGCCTCTTTTCTTTGGATTGTTTGTAACTGAAAGAATAAATGCTTGAGGGGGTGAAGAAAAAAGAATACTCTTAGACTTTGCTTCATGTTTGGATTCACTGACAGTGATACCAGGTTTACAGGAAAAAAGTACTCATCTTGGGAAGCTACCTGGGATGTCTGCTGGACCATTTATGCCCTGTATAATAGGTAGCAGGTACTATTGAAAGATGGCTTGGATTCTTAAATAATATATTGAAAAAGAGGTATAGACTACTAATGATCAGCTCCCAGTGGAACACCTGGTTAAGAAAGTCAGATTGGGCTTGAGTTCCTTCTGGTAATTTGCTAGAAGGTTACCTTCCATTTAATTAGAATGTTTGATTATGTATTTTTGGAAGAAGGGAGAACCAGACTCATGATGAGAACCAGATTCATGATGGTAGAGAATATGCATACCACATTGACAATTATCACTTAAACATTTTATATTCTTTCCAATGAAACTTTTTTTTTTTTAACCTTTGGCCATAAGATAATGCCAGCAGAACCAGTTATGGTCTTTTTCTTTGCAAGATGGCCTGTCTCCTCAATGTACAATATAGTTATACTGGGCATTTAATGATTCACCCTTTGGATCTTTGTCATATCTCTTGCATGACAGGATATGTTGCTTTCAACATCCTGTTCAATGCAGATGTTTAAGAAGGTGTCTGACTAACTGAATCTTCAGTCACTACTCTTTTTAAATTTGTGCAAATTTATGGGATACATGGGAAATTTAACCATTATATATTATGCATACTAATAAAGTCAGGGTATTTAAGGTGTCCATCACTCAAGTACAATACATTTTGTAAAGTATAGTTATCCTACTTTGCTACCAAGCACTGAATTTATTCCTTCTATCTTTTTTTTTTTTTTTTTTGAGGTGGAGTCTCGCTTTGTAGCCCAGGCTGGAGTGCAATGGCGCGACTTGGCTCACTGCAACCTCGGCCTCCCGGGTTCAAGCAATTCTCCTGCCTCAGCCTCCCGAGTAGCTGAGATTACAGGCATGCGCCACCACACCTGGCCAATTTTGTATTTTTAGTAGAGACGGGTTTTCACCATATTGGCCAGGCTGGTCTCAAACTCCTGACCTTGTGATCTGACTGCTTCGGCCTCCCAAAGTGCTGGGATTACAGGTGTGAGCCACTGCACCTGGCCTCCTTCCATCTTATTGTATGTTTGTACCCTTTAACCCAATTCTCTTCATCCTCCTCTCTTCCCTCCATTCATCCTTCTTAGTCTCTGTTATCTATTTTTCCACTCTATACCTCCATGTATTCAAATTTTTTAGCTCCCACATGTAAATGAGAACATGTGATATTTGGCTTTTTTCCCCTGGCTTATTTCACTTAAGATAATGACCTCTAGTTCCATCCGTGTTGCTACAAATGACATAATTTAATTTTTTAATGACTGAATAATATTCCATTGTGTATATATAACACATTTTATTTATCAGTTTATCCACCGGTGGACACTTAAGGTGATTCCATATCTTTGCTATTGGATAGTGCTACGATAAACATGCACATACAGGTATGTACACGTATCTCTTTGATACATTGATTTCTTTTCCTTTGGGTAGATATGCAGTAGTGGGATTGTTGGATTAAATGGTAATTCTATCATTAGTTTTTTTGAGAAATCTGCATACTGTTTTCCACAGTGGCTGTACTAGTTTACATTCCCACCAAAAGCATATAAGTGTTCCATTTTCTCTGCATCTTTGCCAACATCTGTTTTTTTGTATGTGTCTTTTTATTAATGGCCACTCCGACTGGGATAAGATAATCTCTCATTGTAGTTTTGTGATATGGTTTGGCTGTGTACCCCACCCAAATCTCATCTTGAATTCCCACATGTTGTGGGATGGACCTGGTGGGAGGTAATTGAATCATGGGGACAGATCTTTCCTGTGCTGTTCTCATGATAGTGTATAAGTCTCACAAGATCTGATGGTTTTGAAAAACGGAAGTCTCCCTGCACAAGCTCTCTCTTTGCCTGCTGCCACCTATGTAAGACGGGACTTGCTCCTCCTTGCCTTCCACCACGATTATGAGGCTTTCCAGCCACTTGGAACTGCCTCAACCACGCGGAACAATTTACAAAATTTACGTGGCTTCCCCAGCCATGTGGAACTTTCCCAGCCACATGGAACAATTTACAAAAGAGGTTTAAGTCCAAGTAAACCTCTTTTGTAAATTGCCCAGTCTTTGGTATGTCTTCTTTTTTTTTTGAGATGGAATCTCATTGTGTCGCCTAGGCTGAAGTTCAGTGGCCCGATCTCAGCTCACTTGCAACCTCTGTCTCCCGGGTTCAAATGATTCTCCTGCCTCAGCCTCCCGAGTAGCGGGGATTACAGGCATGCACCACCACATCTGGCCAATTTTTGTATTTTTAGTGGACACGGGGTTTCGCCGTGTTGGCCAGGCTGGTCTCGAATTCCTGACCTCAGGTGATCCGCCCATCTCGGCCTCCCAAAGTGTTGGGATTATAGGCATGAGCCACCGCGCCCAGCTGGGTATGTTTTTATCAGCAGTGTGAAAACAGACTAATACATTTTGATTTGCATTTCTCTGATGATTAGTGATGTTGAGCATTTTTTCATATGCCTGTTGGCTATTGGTGTGTCATCTTTTGAGAAACGTCTATTCATGTCCTTTGCCCACTTTTTAAGATTTTTTTTTTCCTGTTGAGTTGTTAGAATTTCTTATATATTCTGGATATTAGTCCCATGTAAGATGAATAGTTTGGAAATATTTCCTCTCATTCAACAGGTTGTCTTTTCTCTCTGTTGGTTATTTCTTTTCTGTCTAGGACCTTTTTAGTGTAATTAAGTCCCACTTGTCTATTTTTGTTTTTGTTGCATTTGCTTTTGAGGTGTTAGTCATAAATTCTTTGCCTACATCAATGTCCAGGAGAGTTTTCCTTATATTTCCTTATACAGTTTATACATTTCAAATATTCTTCTGTTCTAGGACATAGCTTTATGATCCTATCAAGTGATAGTGATTGTATACTGCTGTGGCCTTACAGTTACCCTAAAAGAGGAGGTTTGCCTGCGCAGAAGGACATGGGGTGGTATATCCATCTGGTGTGGGGCTTCCTCATTCTCTTGCCTAAACACATAGGTTTTGAGTCAGTCATTTTTGGTTACAATCTGAGCTCTACCACTTATTGGCCTTGTGGTGTTGGGAGAGGCATTTTAAATCTCTGAGCCTTATTATCTTCACCTTTCCATGGGAGATACGTCATGATTCTCCTTATGTGTTAAAGATGATATTAGATGCTAAGTATATAATCTTAGTACAGGTCCTGATACTCAGTGTTGTAGGTCCTCTTATTAATCATTGAAATGAAATGTTAGATTCGGTGAAAAATGTAGGAGTTCAAGGCAAGGACAGTAAACTAAGGCTCATCAATTGAGAGTCACAAATGATTGTCTTAGACTTTTATGTTAGACCATTTCAACTTTGAGGGTAGCCTCTAGTCGAATATTGTCAGGTTTTAATTATCCAACATGTGTACCAGTAGTCAAAGTTAGGAGGAAAGGACATGTGAATGGAAGATTTCAAAATGTTTTTCATTTACATTTTGGAGGAAGAGAAAAAGAGAGCACACTAATTCCTGGAAATCCCCTCTTGTATTCCCCACTGGCCAGGCACATGCATCTTTCTATGCTATTCTTAAAATATCAAGTTTGTGGGAGTTGATATTTGGCTCATGGAGCAGATTGTATCCACATGTATACAGTCACTTAGGTGATGTGATTCCAGGAGCCCCTAGAAGTCTATCCATCTCCAACTGTCTTCCTCCATTATCTGTACCATTGTGGGCTATTCTGTCATTGACATTTATTCTTGCTCTGTCTTGGTTATACAAATTAATCTATTAAAACATGACATTATATTAACTACTAATTTCTGGAATAATTCTGAATGCATATCACAGTATGGAATAGGTACTAACCAAAAGGACATGTTTATGCCCTTAAAGTACTAAAAGACTAGGGGAGTTATCAGTAATTTACAGTTTGGTTGTATAACTGTAAAACTGTAATGTGATAAGTACTCTGTTGATTCTCTTGGGAAGAAAAACGGGCTACCATGAGAGCCCATTATATAGAACACAGAATTTATTCCTGAGTGGGGTCAGAATGGGTGACTGAGTGATGAGGGCAAACTTTCCTCAGAATGTTACATTTGAGTACCTGAAGACAAGATGGTTGTAACTAAGACAAGATGGTTGTAACTAAGTGTAGAAATCACCTGGGTAGAGTGGCAGGGTTAAGAATCAGGAATGAACATCTCAGGCATCCAGAAAACAACAATATGGAACTTTGGCACTAGAAGGGATAATGTAAAACCCAGGACCTGGGAGAAATCCAGAAAATATGTAATGTGACTTACCCATCTTAATTTGGAGTTGTGAAAACTGAGCTTAGAGAAGGGGACTAAGTTAGAAATGTCAGAGATAGACTCTGAGTATGGGTTTTCTGAATCCTGATCAAGTACTGTGTTCCGTATTTTGAACAACTCTCTTTAAAAATTCTTTCCTCCTTCTTCCACCTCAACTCTTTTATATCTCTGTGGTGGATGATGGTTTAATACCAGCAGAACCTGTTTACGTCCATTTGTTTTTAAGTTGGCCTAGCAACTCACCTTAGAATATGGAAGTAGGCTGGGCGCAGTGGCTCACCGCCTGTAATCCTAGCACTTTGGGAGGCTGAAGCAGGCGGATTGCTTGAGGTCAGGAGTTTGAGACCAGTCTGGCCAACATGGTGAAACCCCATCTCTACTAAAAATACAAAAATTATCTGGGCGTGGTGGCGGGCGCCTGTAATCCCAGCTACTCAGGAGGCTGAGGCAGGAGAATCGCTTGAACCTGGGAGGCTGAGGTTGCAGTGAGCTGGAATTGTGCCACTGTACTCCAACTGGGTGACAGATCTAGACTCTGTCTCAAAAAACAAACAAACAAACAAACAAAAAAATAATATGGAAGTATTTGGCATTTATTGTCTTGGCCTTTGGAGCCTTTGGCAAGGTTCTTTTCTGAGAGGGTGTGGGTTGACATCCCATTCAATGCAGGCTTTCAAGAATGTGCTTTTCCTCTGACTGGTCATCAGATGCACCCTAGCTCCTGTGATTTTGTGACTCATCCTTCAGCTGGGATACTTCTTTTCTTCCCATGTGCTTTTCTTTGATCCTTTCCTTTTAATATGATCTCAGGCTATTCATCCTCCTAGTGTCCATATGTGGATATTAAAAAACACTGTTCTTTCTTCTGCATGTGGTGGAAATGCAGTTTACGTCCAAGCTAGCCTTATTGTACTTTCTAGTCATGGCATCTTCAGCCCCTGGTTCTTGACTTCACTTATTTTGCAAACTTAAGGGAATACAAGGCTGGCTTTCTTTCTTTCTTTCTTTCTTTCTTTCTTTCTTTCTTTCTTTCTTTCTTTCTTTCTTTCTTTTTCCTTCCTTCCTTCCTTCCTCTTTCTCTCTTTCTGTTTGGCTTAGAGCAACACAATTTTATTATCTTAACAATTCTGAAGGTTAGAATTCTGGCATGGTTTTTATTGGGTTAAAATCAAAGTGTCAGGCTGCTGTAACAAATTGCCAAAAACTAAATGGCTTAGAACAACACAAATGTATTATCTTAACAATTCTAGGGGTTAGAAGTCTGGCACTTACTGGGTTAAAATCAAAGTGACAGGATGGGTGCAGTGGCTCATGCCTGTAATCCCAGCACTTTGGGAGGCTGAGGTGGGTGGATCACCTGAGGTCAGAAGTTTGAGACCAGCCTGGCCAACACGGTGAAACCCGACAACAAAATGCTGCAAATGAGGACAAAGGTTTTTCAGAAAGTGCCTGTGTTGGAAAGGCTAGATCGTAAAGCGTTAAATACAACTGTGTATCCAAGACCCAGTTTGGGTTAATATATGGGATAACCAGGTAGTTTTAACCTCTATGGCTAACCCCATTTCTCTATTTATATAAACAGAGCTAGCACTGCTATATTGACAACTACCAATATACTGCTTTGTCCTTTAAGATCTAACTGCCACACAAGGCTTAAACCACTAAACCAAGTTTTTCTACCAAGGTACAAGGCTAGCTTTCTGAAGCTGTTGGTCATTCGCTTGAAGAAAGGGGGAAGTGATCTCTGTCTCTCTTCAGCATATAGAAAATCCCTTTTGCGGGATCCATGTATCCACATGGAGAAAACAAACCTGTCTTCTGAAGGAGGTGGTAGTGCATGTCACGCCCCAGTTAGTTCTTTTTTGTACCTTCTGGCAGGAGCAGTTCCAGCCCCAGATTCTCTTCATATGTGAGTGAGACATTAATGTCTTTGTCCCTCTGACTCCAAGGTTTTGAGTGAAGGTTATTGAAGCTGCTGCACTTGTACCAGTCATGCTCTCCTTCATCTTCTGTCATGGGTCTCTAGTCATATGGTTAGCGTTCTAAGGAGAAACATGTGATGTGATGGATAGCAGCAGGATCCTCAAATAAGGGGGTGATCTTATGACTTATGGGTGTTCCAGGAGGAGTAATGCTCGGTGTTATCCATGTGTGGGACATTGGCTCTGCATTTTTACCCTTTCGACCTTATACATACCCATATAGGTCATGCAGGCAGGGAAAAGCTTGAAGTACAGCTCATCTGAGTGTGGCAGAACACCCTGTGGTCCTCTCAGAATGCTAGAGGATGGGAAGACTGTGATGTGTTCCTCTGAGTTAGTGTCCCGTTTGCCTCCTATCTCCCTTGAAAGGCTGTCATAAGGTAATTTCTGCAGGAAGTGGAAGTACTGCACCTTGACCCTTCTAGCAGTGTAGGTAGAGCCCTGTGTTTTCTCGCTTTGTAATTCAGACACTAGGCCTTGTATCCCTTGAAATCTCATGAATATTGCTATAGTTTTCTGAAGGCCTTTGTTATTTGCTTGAAGCAACAGTCAAGTAATCTTTGTTTCTCCCTCACAAAAGTGGAAAAAATGCCCACCCCACTCCCATTCTATGCGTCCACATATCCACCGCAGAGAACACAGCTTTTTTTTTTTTTTTTTTAAATTGCTGGTGGTAGCATTGTAGTTCACACCCAAGTGAGGCATGGGCAACTTCAGACCCAACTTCTCTTCCTAAGTGAGTCAGACACTCGTTTCCTTATCCTAATTCTGGGGGACTTGAAGTTCCCAGGGACTGACATTCACCAAAATTTCCTGCCCTTTCTTTATTAAGCACTCCTCTGGATACTACAATTGTTCAACTAGACCCCAGAGCTTTATAATAGTTGCTTCAGATAGTTCTTGCCAGCTCAGTGGTTGTTCTGGTGGATGGACCTGCCTATTCATGGTGCCTCCAAGTCTGCTATCTTCCATGACCTTTCTCAACATGTTTTCTAGATATTATCAGATTTTCCTGGTTGTGTATGACAGATCATTTTTTAAGCTCTTGTTTGAGTACAATAACTGTGAAGTTATCATTATAATCTCCAGTGTAACAGATAAGGTGACCCTCTCAAAAGTATTTGGCCATGTTTGCACAGCCCATTCCAAGAAAGGTGTCTTTTTGTTTGGTCATTTTTGATATTATCATTCCACAATGTTTACAGGGAAATGGAAGCCAGACCCTTTTATAAAAATCCAAAGAGAGGATTTCCTTCCAGAACAGATCTTCATCAATACTTTGTGAAACTTTGCTAAGGGTAAAGAGAAGGTTACTTTCTTCCCTTCCTTACATTGAAAACTGGCTTGGGGATCTGTCTTGCCCATGTCTGGCAGGAAATCTTTGGAAAGTGTTTATAGCTGTGTGGTTGCTCTTCAATGACTGAACATCCTGTAATAACTTCCACACTCTTAGAAGCTGTGTCTAGTGTAATAATTAAAACCCTACACTCCTGAATACTGGGAAATATCTGTCTACTCCAAGATGGTTTCTGATTGAGTTTTTAGTCTAGCAGGTGATGCATGTATATGTATATATGGGATTGACAGATTTTACCTCTTTTTGCCTTTCTGGTTTTCATCTACTTTCTCCTCCGGACCAACACCCTTGATGTGGTCTCCATGGAGAGAGGTGAATGTGCATAAGAGCACACCCTTATATGGTTTCCAAAGTTACAATGAGGCTTTTGGATTCTGTGATATAGAAGAAATCCTGAGCTGACATTCTCATGGATGCATTTTGAGCTTCCAAAAGGAACTGGCTGGCTCCTACCATATCCATTGCCTTTCATCTAGCTGGCTTCTAGACTCCCCCTCAGTCTGTAATCTGTTGTGAGCCACACTGCTGTTGGGGTCATGTGCCTCTTTGGGCACTTCTTGACGCTTTCCTTTTAAGAGAATCTGAGTAAACTCACTTTCACGGGATTGTCATGTTGACCATGGAAAACACAGAACTTTCTTCTTTACGTAGAAGAAGTACAGTTTACCTTCAAGTCAGCTCTCTCATTGTATATTCTGGTTGGCATTTTCAGCCCTAGGTTCTTGACTTCATTTGCATGAGTCAAACGTTATTTCCTATGTCTTACTAACTGCAGAAGACACATGTCAGGCTCATGCCAACCTTGGAGAACACAGTCACTGTTTGTGCAGGGCAGCTCTATCCCCGTCTTCTTTTCCTGTGTGAGCCAGATACTAGTGCCTGTCTCCCTTTATTTTTATTTTTTTGTAGAGACAGGGGCTTGCCCTGTTGCCCAGGCTGGTCCGAAACTACTGGGCTCAAGCAATCCTCCCACCTCAGCCTCTGAAAGTGCTAGGATTACAGCCATGAGCCTCTGCACCCAGCCTCTGCCTCCCTTTAGTTGAAGGGTCTGTGGGTTGAGCTTCTGACTAGACACTAGACTTCCCCGAAAACCCCAGAGTTATGTGGCCCTCACTTCAGTTGGAGTTTTCTGTCTTTCCAGGTTCTCCTTTTGGGAGCTTGCCTTTTAATACAATGTTTGTTCACTAACTTTTGCAGCGTCTATATATTGACCATGAAAACACTGTTCTTTCCTCTGCAAGTGTTAGAAGTGTCATAAGGCAGTCCTCTATTATACGTTTTGATCTGGGCAGATCCTGACCCAAGTTCTTAAACTTCATTTGCATGAATCAGATAGTGGTCCTAGTCCTAGTGTCCCTCTAACTCCAGGATACATAAACTAAGTTTTCTGAAGCTGTTATTTGCTTGAGGCAAGGGGGAAGCAATCATTGTCCCTCCCTCATGTTGGTGGAGAAAATGCCCACCACCATTCTCTGAGAGGGAGTGATAGCATCCCCTCTAAGCAATTGTATGTTTCATGTTTGGATGGACAAGTCATTAGGATGGGTGGCACCTCGGATTGTTCAGGATGGGTCACTGGTGGATGAGATGCCTCAATTTGGTCAAACAGCAAGGGCACACTAGGAGAGATCAAGACTCCCCTGGACCTGGTAGAGCAGTGGGGGCCAGATTATGAGAGGTATGGCTCCCTAGGGTCTGGTAGCCCACCCTTGTCTACAAGGACATGAGAGTCCTTCCACTGTTTAGTCTTCCAGGGTGTGTGGACCAGGTTAGGGGTAAGACAGATTCTCTGGTATCTGATAATGTATGCTACGTTTTGAAGAAAGTTTTGGGGGTTAGGCAGCAATAGGTGGGATTGGAATCACCTGTCTGATTTGTGCCTAATTGTTGTTATAAGCACATTTTTTGTGGCCTTAGAATGGTTGAAAGTATGTGAAAATCTTTGCTTACTGTGCCAGTTGCTCTGCCTGTATGCTCCCCCTTTTATTTTTCAAGCTTCCATCCCAGGAGAGTAGAAACTTCCACCCAAGGAGTCTCCTGGAAACTCACGTTATAAAAATATCCATGGTCTGTGTTCCTGTAAAAAGTGTCTGAATGCAACTGTATAACTTGTGGTGAAAAGATAAATAATTAAAAGTGATTTTGTCATTTGGAGACCTGCAAGCCAACTCATTGTATACAGTATATAATAATGTGTAATTGGTGTTGAAATGTGGTACGTGTTTGAATTGTGAATGTTCATATGGTTTCAGAGAAAAATTCCTCTGATGTTCAGTTCTTTCACTTTATAATGGTGTTTTGTTAATTGGTAAGTTGAAGGTGTCATTCATTCTCTATGGCCTTTGATGCCCTCCAGCAAGGGAGACTTGTGATCCCCAGCAAGATTTAGGGCATATTTGCCAGTTCTAATACTTTTTTGTAAGCAAAAATGAAATTTACGTTGGATGTGTACATGCCTCTCAGATTGGACTATGGACTAATGAGAGTTTATGGGTGGGCTCCCCTGGTCAAATAGACAGGCAAGTTGTTGTAATTGATACTGCTGAATGTGCTGTGGGAAGAGTTGTGTTAAATATTTTCTTGTTTGTAAGGGATGTCCTTGTTTGTAAGAGATGTTCTCAATGGGGAAATGCCACAATAGAATAGTGGTAGTGGGGCATTAATACAACTGGGAACCCACCAGGATTCCCAGCCTAGAGGCATTGTTAAAGCAGTTTAAGATACTGTATTAGTCCATTTTCCCACTGCTGATAAAGACACACCTGAGACTGGAAAGAAAAAAAAGTTTTAATTGGACTTACAGTTCCACATGGCTGAGGAGGCCTCAGAATCATGGCGGGAGGCAAAAGGCACCTCTTATATGGCGGCAGCAAGAGAAAAATGAAGAAGCAGCAAAAGCGGAAACCCTTGATAAACCCATCAGATCTCGTGAGACTTATCCACTATCATGAGAATAGCACGGGAAAGACCAGCCCCCATGATTCAATTACTTCACCTGGGTCCCTCCCACAACATGTGGGAATTCTGGGAGCTACAATTCAAGTTGAGATTTGGGTGGGGAC
This sequence comes from Homo sapiens, assembly GCF_000001405.40. NCBI lineage: Eukaryota > Metazoa > Chordata > Mammalia > Primates > Hominidae > Homo > Homo sapiens. The sequence continues at coordinate 23,605,024 of NC_000023.11, read as the reverse complement.
ACAGCCAAACCATATCAGATACTGAGTTGGGGTGGGAGGTGGGACATGTGAAAGAAGGACCCTTAACTAATCAAAAAACCAATATAGTAACTGAAACCTCACTGTCTTTTTGCCATGAGCTCAATGTAGCAGTAGTCCTCCTTGTTCCTTTACTTCCAGATATTGTAATGTTCATGGTCATGTGCAGAATGAATGGCTTGGTCTGCAATAGTGGACATACCAATGTTTTTTTCAGATCCCATTGTGTGTTGAAAGTCTAATTAGCTTCTTGGGGATCTGATTACAACATGTATTCACCTTGCTGCCCCAGTGTGACCTAAACTTTCCCATGATTTCTCACTGGTGGATAGGCCGAGTCCTAGGAAAGACTGAATTCTCACCAGAGGTGTCCTGGTCCCATTATATGACTGGCATCATTCTGATTGGAAGCACTAAGGACAGCATATTGTCTGTGGTAGATAGATGGTCCAATATCTGAGTAACCAGCACTGGAAGATTAATAACCCTGACAAGACCCAGTAGCCAGAACCCAGATAAAGTTCTGATGAAACATGTGAATTGATGCCCAGAGTATACTCCTTGAGTCTGCTCAAGAAAAACTGATGGCCTTAAAAACACCAGAAAAACAAATTTGAGAGAGCACATGATAAGCTTGAGCGTATTGAGTTGACTTTATACCTCATGTGGGGATCCTGCTCAGCTCATTATATAAGATTACTCAAAAGTCATTTGAGTTGACCAACAACCTGCCTTTGATATTATCTGTCAAGCTGTACAGACCATTGTTTCACTCAGGCCAGTCAGTCACGTTTTGAAAGAAAGTTTTAGCAATGAATATTAATGCTCACAGGAACTGTGGTAAAATGTTGTGGCCACTTTGGGATTCGTATGTGGTCCTTGCCTAAAACTGCCACCTGATATACCACCATTGAGAAATGACTTCTAGTTAGTGACATTGAGAGAATAACAAAGCAAGAAGTTGAGGAGAGGATAGAGGAGGCCCAGAGTCAGGATGGAGAAGAAAATGTCTACCACAGAGACAACTCCTTTCAAAATTCTTTTCCTTCTCTTTCAACACAACTTTTTATATTACAGAGGTATGTGATGGGCTAATCTAGTAGAATCAGTTTAGGTCAAGTTTTTGGTGAGATGTCTCAGAACCTTGTTTTAGAATACAGAGTACTTGACATTTATTGTTCTGTTCTTTGGAGCCTCTGGCAAGGGTGTTTTTTAATTTGTAATTTTTATGGATACATAATAGTTGTACATATGTATTTTCACCCTTATCTTAGATACTCAGGTCCATTAGCTTATTCACTTTACTTACATCAAATGTGAGGGTGAGTCAGCATCACCCCTCATTCTTTGTGTTGTTAGCATGCATGCAAATCCTGCCATATATTTGACTTCCTTCAGCTCTTTCTGTACTTAGTGCCTCTGTTGATCCCAGAATTTTTATGTTGGATTATATCCAGTGCAAAATTATCTGCCAAACTTTCAAGCATAGATATCTCGGCTAGTGGATGTTTTCTGAGAGCCTTCTTTGTTTTTCAAAGTCCCCTTAAAAAAACTTGGTATTTGTTTACTCCAGCTTCAGGTATGAATTTGATTCTGGTGATCAGTGTGTGTAGCATTTAATTTAGCAAAACCTAGTTCTCGGCATTTGTATTCTTTCTGGCATTTGGATTACTACATATTGGAGTTCTACACACTAAAGTAGGAAGTGAGATTGCCACTTTGTGTTGGTGATAGCAGTTTTAGGGGCCTCATCTCCAAGTGAACCTGGTCCTGAGCAACCATATGTGTGGGGAGGTCAGTTCTCATATTTTTTTTTGACAATTTATGCTGGGGCTCCAGGCACATACATATTTAAAGACCTCTTGAAAAGTCTTTATGTCTACTGGATTCAGCCATCTGTTCATTCTGGGCCAGCCAGTGTGTAACCCTTTCTTTTGCAAACACTTTTCCCCCTCACATTTCTACTCAATATTTTGGTTGTATTGTAATATGCCAGAGCTTCAGGCACACAGTGATGAGTTCTAGGCTTGGCAGGAGCTCAAGTTTACATGTGTTGTGGTGGCAGCATATTTCTACTATGGCCCCACCATCATGTTGGAGCTGCAGTTCATTTTCCAAGTCATCCTTGTTGTGCCTTTTTTTAGGGTTGCTCCATCCCCAGATTCTTGTCATCACTTGGAAGAATGAGACACTGGTTAATGTGTTTCAGGGGACATAAGAGAAGCTTTTTGAACCTCTGTTATTTGCTTGAAGCAAGAATCAACTGATCTTTGTCCCTCCCTCATGAGTGAGGAGAAAATAACCAGCAACTCTTTTTCTTAGGTTCCACGTATCTCCCACGGAGAATATATTCCTTTTTCCTGCATATAGTGAAAGTGTAGTTCTCTCCTAAACCAGTCCTCTTATTGTGCCTCTGACAGGGGCAGCTCTAAGTCTAACTTCTCTTCCTCAGTGATTTAGCCCCTCTAGCTTCTGGGGGCTTAAAATTTCACTGACATTTTTCAGCCTTTTTCTTCATCACATGCTCCCCTGATGCTGTAAGTGTTCAACTAGTTTGCAGAGCTATAAATTTAATGCTCCAGACAGATTTTGCCAGCTCAGTAGTTGTTCTGGTGGACAGATTGATGCCTAGGGTCTCCTACTCTGCCATCTGATGTGAGTTCTTTTGATACCTGGAGTCCAGATCATTTGGAGCTCCCAGATGTCTACATTCTGGGCAGTGCACCCTTTCAAAATGGGAGTTAGTGAGATTTTCTCCTTGTTTTTGTAAATTGACAGACTTTGTGAAAGGGGATGGAGGAAGGCCTGCCTTAGTTCCAGAATCCTTCATACATTGATGTTCTTTAGGAAAACATACAATTAAAAGATGAGAATGGGGAAATTGATTCCATTAAGACTCTCTGTGCTCAAGTTTCTCCAAGAAATTTCCCTGTAGGATAGGAGTCCTGATTGGAGCCAGAGAACCACTGCATTGTTTTCTTACATTCATCAGAAGATTGATTGAGAATAGCAGAAAGGTTGAGTAATAAGAGAATCTGGAAGAGAAAGGATGAAAGGAGATGTAGGAGACTACCAGGAGGTCATGGTAGGATAAAGTGAGGGAAAGCCAATTGTCCCTGTACTTTCAAGCCTGAGTATTTAGTCTTGTGGGTTTTCTCATAGAGCCTGTTTTGTATATTTCAAGGTTCCTTAAAAAACTTGGTATTTGTTGGTTATTGATTTCACTGCAGCTTCAGGCACCTAGTCCAATCAATGGGTAAACCTTCATTTTGGATAACACCAGATTCTGCATTTTTACTCTGTCTTCCTACTGTAATGTGACATGTTCATGTTCCAGGCCTTGTCTTGTCTTTTTTTTTTTTTTTTCTGAGACGGAGTCTCGCTCTGTCATCCAGGCAAGAGTGCAGTGGCATGATCATGGCTCACTGCCACCTCTGCCCCCAGGTTCAAGCGATTCTTGTGCCTCAGCCTCCCGAGTAGCTGGGACTACAGGCACGTGCCACCACGCCTGGCTGGTTTTTGTATTTTTAGTGGAGATAGGGTTTTACCATGTTGGCCAGGCTGATCTTGAACTCCTGACCTCAAGTGATCTGCCCACCTCGGCCTCCCAAAGTGCTGGGATTACAGGTGTGAGCCACCACGCCCGGCTTTCAGGTCTTTTCTTTTGCCATTTTGAAGGCCCCTTACGTTATTAGTAAAACATATTTGTGGATAGCTGAGAAGTCAAAATGTGCCGCTATTTCCTGCCTTGTGATATCAGGTAGTGCATATGATGGTTGCTCTCCTGCAGCACTCACTATGAATTCCAGTTTGTCAAATAAATTTGTAGCATATTCACATTAGAAATTCACCACTGTTTCTTAATTCAAATTCCTTTTGATGAGTTCCAAGAGAAACTATTCATTTTCTTTTTCACTGTGCAAACTGGCTTGGATCTGTTGTTCCCATGTCTGTGATGAAAGTCCAGGTAGGTCCCATAGACTTTGTTTCCTCTTATGAAGCCAAATGTCCTGTAGCCATTTGCAATCTTTATGAAGCTGATTACAGTGTATAATCAAAGTCCTAATTTTTGAATATTGGGAATTATCTTCCACTCCCTCCTGAGGCCTGCTTAAAGATTGGAATTCTGCATGTGATATTTGTGCATGGGTGTTGGGTGGAAATAGGCACTCAGGTTTTGCCTTTTTTCCATGTTCTCTCCAACTGTGCCACTGTTCATTTTCATTGATGCCAAACTCAGAAAGAGGAAGACTCCAGAAGAGCACATTCTTGCATAGCTGGTTAAGTTGTTTTGTGGGCATTGGGCTTTGAGATATGGAGGAAATACTGAGCAGAGCCTCTCGTGGGGACATTTTCATTTTTCTATAGGGACCTCAGACTTCATGTTCCTGTCACATCGAGTGCCTTTTATCTGACTGATCACTAGGTTCTCACTCAGTTTTGAGGCCTTTTATGGCCTTCACCTCTTCTGGGGTCATTTGCTTCTCCAGCAGGTTTTTTTGATTGACATATCTTTTAAGTTACTCTCAGGCCACTCTTTTTCCCAAGGTCCATATATCAACCCTGGAAATCAAAGATCTTGCTTCTGTAAAGGTTGAATTTGCTTTTCAATCAAAGATACACTGTTACTCTCCCTTCTTTAGGGGTACTTCAAGCCCCAGCATGTTAATTTTACTGACGTGAGTCAGACATTAGTTCTATGTTTCTCAACCAGCCTACCAGGGCATCAGTCAAGTTTTCTGAAGCTCTTGATTTGTAGTCAGTGAGTGATTTGTAGTGAGGAAGAAACAGTCCCTATCCCTGGGGATAAAATGCTGAATACACTGACAACTTTCTCCCTAAATTATTTTTGCTTCTTCCATGTCAATTCTTTTATTTATTTATTTTTTTGAGACAGAGTCTTGCTCTGTTGCCCAGGCTGGGGTGCAATGGCATGATTATAGCTCACTGAAACCTCAAATTCTCGGGCTCAAGTGATTCTCCTGCCTCAGCCTCCTGAGTAGGTAGGGCTACAGGTGTGTGCCACCACACCCAGCTAATTAAAAAAAAATTTTTTTTAGAGATAGGGTCTTGCTATGTTGCCCAGGCTGGTCGTGAGCTCCTGGGCTCAAGCAATCCTTCTGCCTTGGCTTCCCAAAGTGTTAGGATTATAAGCATGAGCCACTGTGCCCAGCATCAATTATTTCGTATCTCTGTGGTGGATGGTGGTCTAATAATATCCATTTGATTCCACTTAAAAAGTATTTTAGTTTTAATTGACACAACAATTGTATACATTTATGGGGCACAATGTGATGTTTTGATACATATATACATCATGTAATGATTAAATCTGGGTAATTAGCGAATCCTTAGCGTCTTACTTTAGAATATGGGAGTATTTGTCATTTATTGTTCTGGTGTTTGTAGCCTCTGACAAGTCTGTTCCCTGAGAAGGTATTCAATATCCTGTTCACTACAGGCTTGCAGGATCAGGCCTTCCCTTGACTGCCCACTAGAAATGTTCTACCTTCTTGAATTTTGTGAGCCATCTCTCTGCTGTGCCCCCTCCTTTCTTTCTAAGGGCTCTTTGTGGTGCTTTCATTTAATACAGTCTCAGGCCACTCACCCTCACAGTGCCTATATGTGGATATTGGAAAGCACAGGCTTTATTCTGTATGTGGTACATTTGTAGTTCACTCCCAAGCTAACCTTCTTATTGTACTTTCTGGCAGGGGCCCATCCAGCCCAAGACTTTGACTTCACTTGTGAGAGTTAGACATTACCCCTGTGTTTTTATGAGTTCCAGGGGGATATAAAGCAAGCTTTCTTAAGTTCCTTGTCATTTGCTTGAAGTAAAAGGGGAAGTAAAATTTGTCCCTTCCTCTTCAGGGTAGAAAAAAGCCCACCATAATACCTTTCTCAGGGTCCACATTATCTACATGGAGAGCACAAGTGTTTCTTCGACAGGAGGCAGAATTAATTGTAGTTAACTCGCAAGGAAGCCCACTTCTTCTCTTGTAAAAGGAGCAACTCCTGCCCCAGATTCTTTTCCTATATGAATCAATTGGTATCTGTGTTCCAATAAGTCAGGATCATGAGTGCAGCTCTTGGAATCTGTTGCTCTTGTGTCAGCCATCCTATCACTCATTTCATAATCCATCGTGGGTCTCCAGTCGTGCAACTGAGTACAGAGAAACAGGTGGTAGGTAATGGACAGTGTCAGCTTCTTCCGTGGATGATTATGCGACTTATGAGTGTCTGAGGAGGAGGAATGTCCTGGTGTTAACCACATGTAGGGCATTGCTCTGCATTTTTGCCCTGGTGACCTTGAACATATCCATATAAGCCACAGAGGGATAAGCTTCAGCAAAGCTCTTCTGAGTGCGACAGAACACTTTGTGATCCCTCTAAAATGCAGGACAATGGGAGGCATGTGAAGAATTGCTCCAAATGCTGTCTCCCACTTGCCTCTTTATCTCTTATGAAAGGTTGTTATGGGGCAGTTTCTCTTCCCCTCTGTGGTCTTTTGAGATATAAGGCTTTTTCCTGTCCATTTACCTCCAGAAGAGAGCTACAGAATAGAAAACATGTTAGTGTTCACAGCTCTGGCACATTGTAAGACCATGCTGCCCAAATCTTTGGTGACATGGGGCCAAGTGATCTTTCACCATTTTCCTGAGTTCCCTGCCGAGTTGCAAAGGTGGTTTGAGCTAGACATAAATTGGGTAGGACCACATAAATCTAATAAAAGCATTACGTAGTTATTGGGCACCCATCTGTGTCACTGAGAAACTAAAACTCCTTTCCTCTGGCTACTAGCCCTGACCATAAATGAATTCCTCCCTGCTGATCAGTGGTGGTCATTTACAGAAATGTATTGAGGCCTGTTTTTCCAATGAGCAGAAGTGGAGGGACATTAAGGATAAGTTTGGTCAAAACTTTAATGAACTATAGGATTCCTCCTTGACAAGCAAATGTGGGAGCTCTATCAGTTGTGCTGGAGGGGAAGGAGTTAAAATTACCCAATGGCCTATTGACCATTCCGGTATTCCAGCCACTCAGCCCATAAGCACCTGGGTAATGTTTAGAGGAGGAACTCGAACACCTAGAAAATCTTTCTGAGATCTGTTTTCTTCTGACTGTTTATCTAACACATTCAACACCACCGTTTCTTGCTCTTAAAAGAAGTTCTAAGGTAGAGTTTAAGACCCTGAACCTTCTCTAACTGGACCAGAAGGCTTTACCCACTGGTCAAAGGATACTGGGGGGACTTGACAGTAGACATGTTTTAAACTTTTTCGGTCATTATGGACGTGAGGCAGAAGTCACTCTGCTGAGTGGAAGTATCCACACGCATGGTCAAAAATGTACTCTGAATGTTGAAATATCTCTCAGATTGGACTATGAACTGATAGGAGTTTATGGCTCTGCCTCTATGGTCCAATACACATGCAAGTTGTTGTAAATGACATATCTGAGTATTATGGGGAATAACTATGTTAAGTGTGTGTAATTCTTCTCTTGATTGTAAGGGATGTTTCCGATGGGGAAATGCTATGATTAGAACAGTGGTAGTGATACAAATGAAAAACCTTAAGCCCCACAGACATCTCCACTAAGCCAATAATGACCAATAAAGCAGTGTAGGATTCTATGTTAGGGACCAAGTGATAAGAGATCCCTACACTTATCAAGGAACTTATAGATGCAGAGTTGCTTAAAGAGACAGTAGCATACTACAATAGCCTCCTGTGATCAGTGAGAAAAACCAGTGCTGCTTGACCCCTTACTGTGGATAACTGCAAGCTTTTTGTGGCAGCCTGTCCTCCTTACCCCTGCTGTTTTAGATATCATAGTGGTCACAGACTCCATTGTACAGATTGAAGGGCCTGGTATGTAATGCTGGATATATTAATGTTTTCTTCATATCCCACTATAATCAGGGGATCAGAGCCTTTATGGGGGCTTAGCATGCAAAATAAGCTCTATTCTGCCACATAGACACTTAACCCTTTACACGATTTCTCACAAGTGGATTGGTCAAGACCTGCAAAAGACTGAGTTCTCACCAGAGTCCTGGTACCAGTAAATATGACTGTATTCTGATTGGAAGCAGTAAAGACAGCATATTTTCTGTCTTAGATATACGGCTGAAATTTGAATAACCAGCACCGAAAGTTTAATTCTGACAAGAATCAGTGGCCTGCCACCCAGATATAGTTCTGGTGAATCATGTAGGCTGCTGCCCAGATAACAATCCCAGAGCCTGTTCAAGAAAAACTGATGGCCTTAAACCTTCTGAAAACCAAGTGTGGCATAGCATATGATATATTTGACCAGTATCACATGAATTTCTTATCTCAAGAGGACCCCGTTCATCCCATTACGTAAGATTATTGGAAAGGCACCACTTTGACCAACAACATGCCTTAGAAACTGTGCAACAAGCTGCACAGACCACCTTTCCACTTGGGCCAGTCATCAGTGCCCACCATTTTGACACAATGTGTCAGTAATCGACAGTTATTCAGAATATAATGACTGGCAAAGCTGTAGTCCACAAGGCAGTGGCACTCTTTTTTCATGACCTTTGCCTGACATCACCACTCAAGGTATGCCATTTGATAGACGATTGCTGCCTGTTATCAGGTGCTGGTGGACATAGAAAAAGTCACAAGCAAGAGCAAGGGTTGTAATGGCCTAACTTCCCTATCATGGGACAGGTCTCAAATGAGAACTCAGATAATGTAGGTATTGCCCAAGTAATATCCATTTTTTTGAGACAGGGTCTTGCTCTGTGTCCCAGGTTGAAGTGCAGTGGCATGATCAGGGCTCACTGCAGCCTTGACCTCCCAGGCTCAAGCAATCCTTTCACCTCAGCCTCCTGAGTAGTTGGGACTACAGACATGCACCACCATGCCCAGCTAATTTTTAAATTTTTTTGTAGAGATAGGGTCTCACCATGTTGCCCAGGTTAGCCTCCAACTCCTGGGCTCAAGCAATTCTCCTGCCTCAGCCTCTCAAAGTGTTGAGATTATAGATGTGAGCCACCATTCCCAGCCATAATATCCATTTTTAAGTGGAAGTGATATGTAACTTGAAGAAGTAAACTGGGCATTAATGGTGTCTTAGAGGTGCTGGAAAAAATGTCCAGTCACTCTCCACATGCAGTTGACTGACATGCAGGGACCATGACAGCACTCTGTCTTCTGCTGGTTTGGGACACCCAGGTTCCTCAGGATACCTGGGTTTAGTACATGGATACATCTGCTGAGCTAAAGACAGACTAGTTATAGTAGCTGTGGAAGGTATACAACACCAAAGAAAACTGCTTGTACCTATGCATGGAAAAGGGAGTTCTGCTTAATGATTGGGATGGAGGTATGGGCTGTGCATTTTACCTTGAAAATATCCCTTAAATACATCTTTTAACATTTAGATGGACTCCACTATTCACAATAGCAAAGACTTGGAACCAACCCAAATGTCCAACAATGATAGACTGGATTAAGAAAATATGGCACATATACACCATGGAATACTATGCAGCCATAAAAAATGATGAGTTCATGTCCTTTGTAGGGACATGGATGAAGCTGGAAACCATCATTCTCAGCAAACTATCACAAGGACAAAAAACCAAACACCGCATGTTCTCACTCATAGGTGGGAACTGAACAATGAGAACACTTGGACACAGGAAGGGGAACATCACACACCGGGGCCTGTAGTGGAGTGGGGGGAGGGGGGAGCGATAGCATTAGGGGATATGCCTAATGTAAATGAGGAGTTAATGGGTACAGCACACGTGCATGGCACATGTATACATATGTAACAAACCTGCACGTTGTGCACATGTACCCTAGAACTTAAAGTATAATAATAAAAAAGCAAAAAACAAAAAACATTTAGATGGACTCCTGGAGGGTCTGGTGGTGTGATGACTAGTTTATCCAGTCTCAGCCTCCGAGGTGGTAGATATTATTAGTCGATTTCAGAAGATGCATACCTGTTCATGGCCCATGTGACTATGTATGGATTAGGACCCTTTCAGATTAAAATTCTAGGAATCAATAAGCTGATAAGGCATGTCCTGCCCAACTCAGCACCGTAGCAACCTGGATAGACTCTGCAACAAGTCATTGTGATTCATCTATAATTCAGGACCTGGCCCAAGCACAAGACCTAGTGTTTCCAGCACATGAGGCCAAGGAAGCCTGGAAATGTGTCAAGACCATCAGCTACATGGTCGAGTAGAGTGGGGATCTCCACCTTCCAAATGCAGAGGTGTTCAATCTATCCCATTCCCTCTATTCAAGGTTGCTGGGCTGGGTATGGACTACAGTTGATTTCTTATCTGAGTATGCCACTGCCAACCTTCTGCCCAGCAGATGGAAGAATTGTATGTAAGTTTTTTCAGTCAGATATTTAAAATAATTTTACTTATTTTTATATATTTAGTGGGCACAAGTGCAGGTTTCTTACATGCATATATTGCATAGTGATGAAGTTTGGGCCAGAGTTTTAAGAAATTATTCTGTTTCAGGGGGTACATGTGCAGGTTTGTTACATGGGTATATTGTATAATGTTGAGGTTAGTGTTTTGTTTTTTTTTTAAGACAGAGTCTCTGTTGCCCAGCCTGGAGTGCAGTGGCATGATCATGGCTCACCGCAGCCTCAACCTCCCAGACTCAAGCCATCCTCCCACCTCAGCCTCCTAAGTAACTGGGAAGAATGGCTAGAATTCTTTTTTTTTTTTTTTGAGACGGAGTCTTGCTCTGTCGCCCAGGCTGGAGTTCAGTGGCGCAATCTCTGCTCACTGCAACCTCTGCCTCCTGGGTTCACGCCATTCTCCTGCCTCAGCCTCCCGAGTAGCTGGGACTACAGGCTCCCGCCACGACGCCCGGCTAATTTTTTGTATTTTTTAGTAGAGACGGGGTTTCACCGTGTTAGCCAGGATGATCTCGATCTCCTGACCTCATGATCCACCTGCCTCAGCCTCCCAAAGTGCTGGGATTACAGGCGTGAGCCACTGCGCCCGGCTTAGAATTCTTAAAGAAAAAAATTTAAATAGAAATGTATGACTGATGCTCAACTCTCAGTGGAGCACACACTTAAGAAAGTCAGTTTGGGTCTACATGTGGCATTTCCCCAGCAGGAATGTTTAATAATTTTGTTGGGGAGAGGAGGAGGAGAAGAGCAGAGGCCTAGATTCAGTCTGAGGAAGAAAATGCCTACTACAATGATAACTGTTTCCAAAGTTTCTTTCCTCTTTTTCTACCTCAACTTTTCATACTCATGAGTTCAAAAGGAATTAGATGTCTGCTGACTCAGCTTTGATCAGGTTTTTGTTGATTAGTAGTTTATTATCCTATACGTTTCTTATTTTGGCATTTAGTGCCTTTGCTAAATCTCTTTGTTTGGCACACCTGAAAACATATTGCATTAAACATCCAGTTCAAGATAGGCTTTCAGCAGAGTGGGAGAGGGGCAAGATGGCTTACTGGATGTGGCTGGAAAATGCCTCTTCCACCAAGAGAAACCACAATTTCAAGTAAACCATCACACTTTGAACAGATCTTTTGAGAGAAATCACTGAAAATCGATAGAGAGGTGACACAGACACCATAGTTGAAGAGGGAGGAAGCTGGGAAGCCTGCCTGGAGACACTGGGCATGAGGACAGGTCCCTGGCCATGAATGAGACCTAAGGAAAGTGTGAGTGAAGGAACTCCAGGGCACAGACTCCCACGGCTAACTTCTGGGATCCCAACCATAGGAGTTTTTACGACCTGCATAGAGATTTGAACTGGCAAGGGGAGCCACCCAGAGATCAGACAGTGGCAGAACTTGAACCTGTACAGAGCACAGAAGGTTGCTGAGTGGTGCAGCTGCGGGAAAGCATGACCATAGCTGCCTATCCTCCAAGGCTTTCCATTTTGCAGTCAGTGGCTGCTGTTCCTGCTGTCTGCCGGGCTGGCAGAGAGCAGGGCCACTACTGCTGCGGAATTGGGGCACACCTGATTCATATGCCCCTTTGCTTGCCGGCCCCTCCCAAGACTGCCTGCGTGGATGCTCCTGCAGGAGGGTGACCACAGCATAGCCCCTGCTGCCCTGCTTGAGTACCCTGCCTGGAGGCCTGGGAGCAGTTTGACCCTGCCAGCATAGCTAGTTAATATAGTTTGGAAGTGTGTCCCTGCCTAAATCTCATGTTGAATTGTAATCCCCAGTGTTGGATGTGGGACCTGGTGAGAGGTGACTGGATCATGGGGGTGGATTTCTCATGAATGGCTTAGCACCATCCCCTTGGTGCTGTCCTTGCCGCAGATCTCTCATGAGATCTGGTGGTTTAAAAGAGTATGGCATCTTGCTGTCTCCCTCTTGCTCCTGCTTTTGCTCTGTTTCCCTTTTAAAACTGAATGCTTTTAACAGCACCCAAGTCACCTCTTGAATGCTTTGCTGCTTAGAAATTTCTTCCACCAGATACCCTAAATCGTCTCTCTCAAGTTCAAAGTTCCACAAATCCCTAGGGCAGGGGCAAAATGCCACCAGTCTCTTTGCTAAAACATAACAAGAGTCGCTTTTGCTCCAGTTCTCAACAAGTTTCTCATGTCCACCTGAGACCACTTCAGCCTGGATTTCATTGTCCATATCATTATCAGCATTTTGGTCAAAGCCATTCAACAAGTCTCTAGGAAGTTCCAAACTTTCCCACATTTTCCTGTCTTCTTCTGAGCCCTCCAAACTGTTCCAACCTCTGTCTGTTACCCAGTTCCAAAGTTGCTTCCACATTTTTGGGTGTTTTTTCAGCAGTGCCCCACTCTACACCAGTACACCAATTTAGTGTATTAGTCCATTTTCACGCTCCTGATAAAGACGTACCTCAGACTGGGTAATTTATAAGGAAAAAAAGGTTTAATGGGTTCACAGTTCCACGTGGCTGGGGAGGCCTCACAATCATGGCAGAAGGCAAAAGGCACGTCTCACATGGCAGCTGACGAGAAGAGGACCTGTGCAGGGAGACTCCCCTTTATCAAACCATCAGATCTCGTGAGACTTATTCACTATCACAAGAACAGCACAGGAAATACCTGCCTCCATCATTCAATTACCTCCCACCAGGTCCCTCCCACAATACGTGGGAATTGCGGGAGCTACAATTCAAGATGAGATTTGAGTGGGGACACAGCCAAACCATATCAGCTGCTTTGATGCATCCAAAGCACAATCAAAATTTTACTTTGACTTGATTGAAAATAGTCCTCATATTGGATAATGGACTTATGTATGTTTATAGTTGAGCCGTTTCATGTCAATACATATGAAAGGTGTTATAAACTGGTACTGGTAAGTGTATTGTGGTAAGAGTTGTGTTAAGATTTGTAATTATTTTCTTGATTGTAAGGGATGTTTCCAATAGGGAAATGCCAATATAGAACAGTGGCAGTGGGATAAGTGAGCGATCAGAGCCCACCAGGCTTCCTCAGACCAGCCATGAGGTAACAACCAAGTGTGGTAGGATGCTGTGATTTGGGGTTTGGTGGTGAAAGGAGGACTCTACACTGACCAAGGAAGTAATGGAAGCAGAGATGTTTCACAAGACTATGGTATTCTACAACAGCCCTATTTTACCAGTGAAATAATCCAATGGTTTTTTTTTTTTTTTTTTTTTGAGACAGATTCTCACTCTGTCACCTAGGCTGGAGTGCAGTGGCACAATCTCGGCTCATTGCAACCTCTGCCTCCCGGGTTCAAGCGATTCTCGTGTCTCAGCCTCCCAAGTAGCTGGGATTACAGGCACGAGCCACCATGCCCGGCTAATTTTTTTTTGTATTTTTAGTAGAGACTGGGTTTCACCATGTTGGCCAGGCTGGTCTCGAACTCCTGACCTCAGGTGATCCACCCACCTTGGCTCCCCAAAGTGCTGGGATTACAGGCGTGAATCCAATGGTTCTTGACACCTCACTGTGTTGACTCATAAGATCAATATAACAGCAGTTTTCCTAATACTTGCCCTGCTTTTCCAGACATCATAATAGTTGTGGAGTCTATTGCACAGCATGAAGAACCTGGAATCCTGTGGTAGACATATTAATGTGAAGCTTTCTTCAGATACCACTGCAACCATATGATCAAAGCATATTTGACTCATAAAGCTCATATGACAATATATGTCCACTGTGCCGCTCCACATTGACCTATACTTTCAAGCAATTTTTCATCAGTGGGTATTCCATGACCAAAATAAGACTGAAACCTCACCAGAGGGGTCCTGGTAACCTTACACGATGACATTATTCAGATTGGCAGGCTATGGGCAGCATACCATATACCTGAGAAAGATGGTCTGAAAACCAAGAGACCAGGGCTGGAAGATTAACCCAGACTCATATTAGCAGCCAGCCACTAATGGAAAGAATGTGGCTGATGCCCAAAGAACAATCCTGGAACTTTTTAAAGAAAAACTTATGGCCTCAAATCTATAGCAACCCACATGAAACATAAAATATGATAACTTCATTCAGTATGGGATGCATTTCATATCTACTCTGGGGGTCCTGCTTAGCACATTACCTAAGATTACTTGAAACGCTTACACTTTGGACAACAACATGACTTACAACCTCTTCAACAAGCTGTACAGACCAGATTTTCTCTCAGCCTGGTACCCTTGCATTATGTTTTGAGAGAAAGTGTCAGTGACTAACATTTTTGCAGGACCCAGTGGCAATACGATGTCTTCACCATTTGGGATTTGCTCATAGTGCTTGCTTGACATTGCTACCTGATATACTCCATTTGAGAGATTATTGTTGGCTTGTTATTGGTTGCCAGTGGACACTGAGAAAGTAACAAAGCAAGACAGATGGTGTTATGCCCTGATTTCCATACCATGGGATTTGTCCTAAATGAAAATACCAATAAAGTGGGTCTTGCCCAAGTAACATCCTCTTTTTTTTTGTTTTTTTTGAAATTGGAGTCTTGCTCTGCTGCCTAGGCTGGAGTGCAGTGGCGCGATCTCTGCTCACTGCAACCTCCGCCTCCCGGGTTCAAGCAATTCTCCTGCCTCAGCCTCACAAGTAGGTGGGACTACAGGTGCATGCCACCAAGCCTGGCTAATTTTTTGTATTTTAGTAGAGACAGGGTTTCACCATGTTGCCCAGGCTGGTCTGAAACTCCTGAGCTCGAGCAATCTGCCTGCCTCGGCCTCCCAAAGTGCTAGGATTACAGGCATGAGCCACCACGCCCAGTGTAGCATCCATTTTTAACTGTAACATATATATCTAAGAAAGACAGATACCAGGCATTAATGATATCTCAGAGCTATAGGACAGTGTGTTCAGTTACTCTCCAGAAAAGGCTGTCATAGTTGCAGCAACTGTGACACCTTGGACTTCTTGGTGGCCTTAATACAACAAATTTCTGGTGGATATCTACATCTTGTTCAGGGACTTATCATCTAAGATAAAGGAAAAGAGGTATGTGGGCCAGTGCATCTGTGCAACGTCCCCCAAACTGTTAACAATTACATGGAAATGAAAATTTTCAGAGTGAAGATCTGGGCTGTGTTGATTGCCCTGGAGATCAAGTTCCCAAATATACATTGTTACATTTTGAGTGACTCTGGAGTAGCTGCCAATAGCCTGGCAGCGTGGGCTGGTGGCTGATGGATGAAGGACTAGATGACACATAGTCTCTGTGGGGATGAATCTTAAAAAAATTTTTTTTTCAATAGCTTTTAGGGTACAAGTGATTTTTTGTTATATTAATGAATTATATAGTGGTGAATTATGAGATTTTAGTGCACCCCTCACCCAAGTAGTGTACATTGTACCTAATGTGTAGTTTTTTCAATCCCTAGCCCCTTCTTACCCTCCCCTCTTCTGAGTCTCTGAAGTCCGCGATCTCATTCTGTATGCCTTTGCATACTAGTAGCTTAGCTCCCACTTATAAGTAAGAACATATGGTTTTTGGTTTTCCACTCCTGTGTTACTTAGAGAATAATGGCCTCCAGCTCCATCCAAGTTGCTGGAAAGGACATTATTTCATTCCTTTTAATGGATGAGTAGTATTCCATGGTGTATATGTACCACATTTTCTTTATCCACTCATTTGTTGACAGGTATGTAGGGTGGTTCCACATCTTTGCAATTGTGAATTTTACCGCTATAAATATATGCGTGCAAGTGTCTTTTTAATATAATGACTTATTTTCTTTTGGGTAGATACCCAGTAGTGAGATTGCTGGATTGAATGGTAGATCTACCTTTAGCTCTTCAGGGAATCTCGTGGGGATGAATCTTAGCAGCAGAATTCCCAAGACACATATTTCCTTTTCGTGCTTTATGTGGATAACCATGAATAAGGATTGTTTTAGTATCAAAATCAGAGGAACCAAGAAGCTCATCAGACATGTCCTGCCCAGGTTAGGACCATGGTAATGTGGATTGACTATGCAACAAGACATGATAATGTATCTACAATTTGAGACCTGGCCTCAAAATATGATCTAGTGTTTCCAACACACGAGGCCAAAGAATTCTAGAAAAGGTACAGAGTGTGCCTGCTGCACAGTCAAGTAGAGAGAGGATCTCCAGGTCCCATAGCCAGAAGTACCAGAACTGACCCCCGTACCCTCTTTTCAAGGGTACTGATGATCGTGGATTGCATTAGATTACTGTTTTTAGTGTCACACAGCCAACCCATTTCCACAGCAGACAGGATAATTCTATGCAGGTACTCTTAGATTTTTCTACATGGCTGGATTCATTGACTGCATATAATCAGATAATGATGCCAGGTTTATAGGAAGTACCCATTAGTGGGCAGCTGCCTGGCTTGTTTGCTTCACACTCTGAATAATAGCCAGGTAGCATGTTGTGTTGGAGAATGGCATGGATTCTTAAGGAATAGCCTAAAAATGAGAACTAGATGACTTATTTTCAGCTCCCAGTGGAGCACATGTTTAAGAAAGTCAGTATGGGTACTAAATGTGATAATTCCTCAGAAGGGTACCTCCCATTTAAATAGAATGTTTAATTAATTAATTATTTTTGTGGTGGAGTCTTGCTCTGTCGCCCAGGCTAGAGTGCACTGTCATGATCTCGGCTCACTGCAGCCTCCGCCTCCTGGGTTCAAGTGATCCTCTCATCTCAGCCTCCCGAGTAGTTGGGACAACAGGCATGTGCCACCATGCCCAGCTAATTTTTGTATTTTTAGTAGAGATAGGGTTTCACCATGTTGGCCAGGCTGGTCTCGAACTCCTGACCTCAAGTGATTCACCTGCCTCAGCCTCCTGAAGTGCTGGGATTACAGGCGTGAGCCACCGCACCCAGCCTAATTATTTAGTTAAGGAGTGGGGATACTTGGCCCAAACTCATGATGGTGAAGAGTGTCTCTTACATTGACAACTCTCACAAAATGCTGTATTTCTTCTATTTAATAACTAAATTATTTAATATCTTAGGGCTGGGTCATGTGACAATACGTGGAACCAGTTATGGTCTATTTCTTGGCAAGATTGTGCAGCACTTCACTTTAAAATATTGAGTCCTGGGCATTTAATGTTTTATCCTTTGGAGTATCTGCCATATCTCTTACATGAGGGGACATATTGCATTCAATATCTTTGTCTCTGTAATTTGTCATGTTTTTGAGTTTTGAATGTTTATTTTGTATGAGAAAAAAATTCCTGATTTCCAAAGTTTTTACTCTACAATGATGTTTTGTTGATTGGCAAGTTGAAGGTGGCATTCTTTATGTCCTTGGGTGCCCCCGGCAAAGGAGAATTTAGATCCCTAGCAAAATCAGGGCCCGCCTGCCAGTTATTGTACTCAAAATAACTTAAGTGAGTTCACACACTCAGTACTGCTGTCTTTTTTTTTTTTCTTAGACATCTTTTTTTTTTTTTTTTTTTTTTTGGGAGATGGAGTCTCTGCTCTGTCGCCCAGGCTAGAGTGCAGTGGCGCAATCTTGGCTCAGATCAGATCCTGATGGTTGAAATAGGACAAATGGATTGTGTCCTATTAGAAAAAAATGTCCAAGAATTCTACGTTCTGAGAGAAAACTTGTTGCTCCTACAAAACTGTTGTAAATACTGACTGGCTCATTTATCCTGTAGTAAAAGAGGCAATACCACACAGGCCTTTGACCAACCTCTTTTTGAGGAACTTACTACATGTGATTTTAACCCCTTTTCTTGGAGGCTGGTAAGGCCACAGTGCCCTTTTTAGGGAATTAGGTGAGAATCTGCAGGTTGACTGTCTAAGTATGGTACGGTATCTGCAAGGCAGTGGTAGACCTTTTTGAAAAAGTGTCTGTTGTAAAGGGGCAGTTGGTTATTTAAAAATGTGAAGTCTATTCCTACATTTAGTGGGAAATAAGTTATTATTATTATTTTTTTGAGACCGAGTCTCACCCTGTCACCCAGGCTGGAGTGCAGTAGCAGGATCATGGCTCACTGCAGCCTCGATCTCCTGGGATCAAGTGATCTTCCCGCCTCAGCCTCCTGAGTAGCTGGGACCACAGGCGCACGCCACCATGTCCTGCTAATTTCTAAACTTTTTTTTTTTTTTGTAGAGACGCAGTCTCACCATATTGCCTAGGTCTTGAACTCCTTGGCTTAAGCCATCCTCCTGCCTCAGCCTCCCAAAGTGTTGGATTTACAGGCATGAGCCATCATGCTTGGCTGAGAAGTAATATTGAAGAATTTTGGACAAGCACCCATTGAGCCTGTATATACTTGACTCCTTGTCTAGTAGATGAGGGAACCCTCCACATCGTGCTGGAGAAGAAGGAATGGAGATCACCCAGTCGTCTGTGACTGAGCTCTCATTTTTTAAGTTAGTCTGGCTATGACATTCTCACTAATGACAAAGGAGGACCAAGAAGACCTAGAAAACTTTGCTGAGTTTGATGCTATTCATAAGGTTATCTAACATCAAGCACTCCACCTTTCTACTTAGACCTTACTTCTTAGAAGTAAAAAAGAGTCTAGGATAGATGTCAAGGACCTTTCAGTTATAATAGCAAATGGAGGCTTTATGTACTGATTTGAGTGTATGGGGGAATTGACTGTTCCCAGGTTGAACAATCTTTTCTGCAATTTTGGACACTGGGGAACAAATCGCTGTGCTGTGTAGTGACCCCTGATGTTCTTATGAAGATTTACACTGACTCTCAGGCTGAAGAATGTATTTAAAATGAGTTTTGAGGTGAGTCCTTTCTGGCCAATACACATCCAAAGTGTTGTAGGCGAGACTGCAGAGTGTATTGGCCAGAAAGGATTCTCTTAAACACTCATTTAGTCTGAGAGTAAACATCCTTCAGTCTGAGAGTCAGTAATTCTTCTTGTGATGGTAAGGGATGTTCCCAATGGGGAAATGCCACAATTAGGATATGGTAGTGGGACGAGTTGACAACCAAGATCCCACTAGGCTTCCACGGTACAAGCTGTGATATATCAGTCAAGCCATGTAAGATACCAGGTTGAGGGCAGAGGATGAAAGAAGGTCCATACACTGATTAAGGAACTAATGGAGAGAGAGGTGCTTAAGGAAAGTATACTACCCTGTATTAGCCCAGTATAGTTGGTGATAAAATACAATGAGTATTTGATGCCTCACTGTGTCATACAGCAAGCTGAATGCAGAGTAGTCCTTGTACCTGCATTTCAAGGGTTAATGATCATGGGATCCATTGCACAGACCATGGGGTCTTGTTCTTGGTGGTGGACATGATAATGCTTTCTTTCAATCCCACTGCATCCGTGGGATTGGAGCCTATTTGACTTCATGGGGCTCAGATTACAACACATGTTCAATGTGCTGCCTCAAGATGACCTAACACCTCCCTTGTTTTTTTCAACATTACATAGGCCCAGAAATACAGAAGATTGAAAGAGCAGCCAAGCTGTCTTGGTAACATTACATGGATGACATTATTCAAATTAGGTAGACTAAGGAATACATACTGTCTGTCTTAGGTAGGTAGATTGATATCTGAGTAACCAGAACTTGAAGATTAACTCTATAAGAATTGGGGGCCAGCCACTGAAGTATAGTTTTTGGAAACCATGTTGGTTGATGTCCAAAAACAATCCATGAATTTGTTCAAGAAAAACTGATAGTCTAAAAGCCTCCAGGAAATCATATTTTGCACCACTTATAATAAACTTTTTCAGTATTGTTTTACTTTATACCTCACTTTGGGATCTTGCTCAGACCATTGCACAACTTATCTTTAAGTACATGTAATTTGACCATCAACCTATTTTAGAAACTCTCTGGGCAGCAGTGTAAGTCCACCTTTCTACTCAGATCATTCTCTGTGCAGTATTTTTGAGAAAGTTGTCAGTGAATGATATTGATACAGACTGGAGCCTGCAGCAAAAAGATGTGGCCATTAGAAAGTAGAACCTTTTGGGTTTTGTTCTTAATGTATGACTGAAACCACCACCTTATGTGCCCCATTTGAGAGATTTATTAGTGGGTGTTATTGTACATTGGGCAAGTAATGAAGCAAGATCAGGTGTAATATGGCTTGAGTTTTCTATCACAGAAGAGTGCCATATGTGAACACCAACAAAGTAGATATTACCCAAGGAATATCCATTTATAAGTGAAAGTGGTATATCAAAGGAATGCATAAACCATGCGTTAATGGTTTCTCAGAGGTATAAGAAAAAGCATCCAGTTGCTTTCTAGATGTGGCTGTCTCAGGTACAGGAACTGTGCCCAGCATCTTGGCCTTCTTGGTGGCTTTGGTACACTCAGAGTCCCCAGGATGCCTGGATGTGATTTATGGACTTATCAGCTAAGTTTAAGACCGAAGGATTTGTGAGGTGTAGAAGCTGTACAACCCCCAAGAAAACTGCTTGCATCTACGTGTGAAAAGGGACATTCTACTCAGTAGTTGGAGTTACAGGCTGTGGTGCTTGCCCTGGAAATCGCTTCCCAAAATGCACCTTCTTACCTTTCGATTAATTCCCAAGCATGTGTCCATTTGGTGAAAATGTGGACTGTTGCTTGGATGCAGGAAGCCTGATCAAGACTCAGGCTTAGAAAATATTATCAACCAATATCATAAGACACACAACTCCTACTCATTCACCATGTGATGTGCATGGATAAGGAGCTTTTGAGAATGAAATTCAATGGAATCAACAAGCTGATCAGACATGTTTTGGCCAGGTTAGTACCAAACAATCTGGATAAAGTATGCAACAAAGCATGAAAATCCAACTTCAATTCAGGATCTGGCACCAAAACAACACCTACTGATTCCATCCCATGAGGCCAAGGAAACCTGGAGAATGCGCCTAAGATGCTGGCTATACAACCCAGTGGAGGGGGAATCTCCTTTTCAGATAGGCAGAAATACCAGACTTGGTACCCTAACCTTCTTTCAAGGATACTGCTGGCCAAGGATGCAGTAGGTACCTTTATAAAAAATGGCACTGACATCCTCATTTCCATAGCAAGGGGAAGCAACATACCAGAACTCTTATTTGGACTGTGTCTTATATTTGTATTCAGCAACCACATTCAATGAGACAATGGTGGCACTTTCAGAGGAAAAGTTACCCAGTAGTGAGAGGCTTCATGGGACTTCTGGTGGATGCAACCATGTGCCACATCTTTTACCAACATCAGGGACTATTGAGAAATTGCCTGGATTCTTAGAGAAGAGACTGAATAAAATAGGAGTACGAACCAGACTAAGGTCCCAGTGGAGCATAGGCTAAGAAGACAAATTTGGGCTCTAAATGTGGCATTTCCCCAGCCAGTACTTCCCATTTAAATAGAATGTTTAATTATGAGGCAGAGGAGGGGTTGAGGATGCCCAGAGTCAGGATGGGATAGAAATGCATATCTCATTGTCCACACCCTCCAAAATCTCCCTCTTCCTTCTTCTACCCAAATGTTTTATATCCCAGAGGTGGGTGATGGGCTAATGTCTGCTTAACCATTTTTGGTCAAGGTTTTGTGAAGATAGCTGAGAACCATGGTTTAAAATTTGGGGTACTGGGAATGTATTATTTTGTCTTTTGTACCCTCTGGCCAAACTCTTATATTCTAAGATACATTGCTTTCAGTATCCTGTTTAAGGAAGGCTTTCAGGGATGTGTCTGATCCACAACATCTTTACGCTTTACACTCTTTTTTTTTTTTAGACGGAGTCTTGCTCTGTTGCTCATGCTGAAGTGCAGTGGCATGATCTTGGCTCATTATAACCTCCACCTCCCAGGTTCAAGTGATTCTCCTCCGTCAGCCTCCCGAGTAGCTGGGACTACAGCACTAGCATATCCACCTGTAGTGGGTATGCTACTCCTGGCTAGTTTTTGTATTTTTGGTAGAGACGGGGTTTCACCACATTGGCCAGGCTGGACTTGAACTCCTGACCTCAGGTGATTTGCCTGCCTTGGTCTCCCAAAGTGCTGGGATTACAGGTGTGAGCCACTGTGCCTGGTCTACTCTCTACATTCTTATTAGGTAATTGGGTGGATTAATTTATTGAGTTTACTTATTTAAAAAGTGAGGGAAGCCTGTGTTCCATCATACCATCATTCTAATTGGTGGAGTGCCTGCAGATCCTGCTACTTAAATCGGGAGAATTAACATTTAGTAGGTATTCTCTGGAGGCCTCTTTTCTATTGTCATTGGACCCTTAAAAAGTTTGGCAGGTTTTGTCTGTTGCCTTTTTCCAACTTCAGGTGCTGATTCAATTGCTATATCCAGTGTGCATAGCCCTTCATTTTAGCAAAAATGAGCTCCCTACATATGTACTCTTTCTTCCGTTTGGATTGCAACATCAGAGCTGCAGACAAGGTATGAAGCAAAAGCCCAAAGTTCCCTGAGGTGCTGGTGGAAGCTGTGGAGGCCCCATGTCCATGTTGACCGCATTCCAAGCTGCTGTGTAGACTTGGAGGTCAGGGTGCCATATGATTTTGACAAATCTACTCCTTGGATTTTTAGCCTTCTTTTTCTGGAGCCTGGTAATGTAACAGTGCTTTTTGGGAAAAAGAGATCACATCCTGATGGTTGAAATAGGACAAATGGATTGTGAAAGGATGGGAGAGCATTCCAGATCTGCTCTATGTTAATTTTGGATACATCTAATTTAGGAAACCATACATATGGATGATGAGTATGTTGAATTGCATTCCATTAGGATTACCTTGTCCAGCTACCCATAGAAATGTCTCTTTGAATTATTGGGTACCTATCTTCAGTTAGAGAATCACTGCATTGTAGGTAGCTATCTCTCAGCATGATGAATGGGATCTTGGAAGGGTTGGGAAAAAAGAGGGAAAGTAGAAGGCAAAGGGAAAAGAAGAGATAAAAGTAGTGTGACTGGGAGAAATTCAGGAATACCAATGGGTTATACTGTGCATGTAACCCAGTATCCCTTCATCTCATCCTTTTCTGAGTTGTCAGGGTACATGCAGATCCTCCCATGTATGTGACTAATTTCAGGTATGTCTTTTTAGGAGCCTTCTTGCTGTACTTGGAGGGTCATCTTCATTGTGTACTTCTCCACCCTTCACCCAACAGTGGGTGATGTGCTAATGGCAGCAGATCCCGTTTGGGTCCATTACTTTTCAAGCTGGCTTAGCACCTCACTTTAGAATATGGAAATATTTGACTTTTTTTTTTGTCTTTGCCTTTGGATCCTGTAATTGTTCACTAGGATTGCCATAGGTAAGTACCACAGACTTGGTGGTTAAGCAACTGAAATTTGTTGTCTTACAGTTTTGGAGGCTCAGAGTGAGAAATCAAGGTGTTTGCATGGATTGTCTCTTCTGAGGTATGTGAGGAAAGGGTCTTTTCCAGGACTTTCTTCTTTGCTCGTAGATGGCCACCTTTGTCTTCATGTGACATTCTCCCTGCAGATGTATCTGTGTCCAAATTTCCTCTTCTTATACCAGTCATATTGGATTAGGACCATGATAATGACTTCATTTTAATTTGGTTATTTCGTAAAGACCCTCTCTCCAAAAGATAGCCTCTGCCAAATTACTTATTTGATATTGTGTGTGTTGGACATCTCATTCAATACATGATTTCAGGAATGTGCCTTTTCTTTCACTGGCTGCTAAATGTAACCTATGCCCTAGAATTTTGTGATCTTCCTTTTGAGGCTCCCTCTTTTCATGCCAGGGACTCCTTGAATGGTTTAATTTTAATACAATCTCAGACCACTCATCATGGTAGCAAGCACATAATGTCTTTGGAAAACACAGTAACCTGCATGTGGTAGAAATGCAGCTCACTCTAAAACCAGGTATTTTATTGTACCTTCTGAAAGGCGCAGCTTCAGTGCCAGATTTCTGAGTTCATTGTGTGAACCAGATACTAATCCTTGTGTTTACAAACTGCAGGAGACTTAAAACAAGCTTTTTGGAGGTCTTTGTCATTTGCTTGAAGCAAGGTAGAATTAAACTTTGCCCTTCCCCTTTTAGAGTAAAGAAAAAGCTTGAAACATTTCCTTTCTCAGGGTCTATGTGTCCACATGAAGAACATTAACCTTACCTCTGTGGGATAGTAGGGGAGCAGTTCACTTGCTAGCCAGCCCCCAGTATAGAGGACCAATACAGGTACATAAATATAACTGATACTGCTGAGTGTATTGTGGGAAGTTTTGTTAAGTGCATGGAAATATTCTATTGATTGTAATGGATATACCCACAAGGGAAATGTAACCATTAGAACAGTGTTAGTAGGATGAGTGGACAACCTATATCTTACTAGGTTACCCAAGGCCAGCACTGCAGTGTCAGCAAAGAGGTGAGGGACTGATAGAAGCAGATGTGCTTAAAGAAGCTACACCATCCTACAATAGCCACAGTTGGCCTGTGAAAATAGTCAGGGTCAATTGACACCTCAGTGTGAATTATAACTAGTTTAATGTGGCAGCTGTCTTCTTACTCAATAATTTTCCAGGTGTCATAACAAACTAGGAGTCTATTGTGCATCCTGAAGGGCCTTGTATGCAGTAGTGGATATGCTATTGCTTCCTTCAAATCCTGATGAATTAATATGATTAGAGTCCATTTTCCTTAAATGGTTGGATTACATTATATGTTAAAATGACAAGGCAATGAGACCCACACTTTATCACCAGTGGATAGGCTGAGACTTAGAAAAGACTGAAACCTCACTGGAAGTATTCTGGTACCATTACACAGATGACATTATTTGGATTGGAAGTGCCAAGGACAGCATATTGTCCTCTTTAGAGAGAGGGTACAATTTTGAGTAATAGGCTCTGAAAGATTAAACCTGTCAAATATTAAGGAACAATCATCCAAATAAAGAAAGGACATCCACTGAGGTTTTTTTTCCCCCATTCGCCCTTCATGTTTAAATTTAAATGTTTATGAAACAGGCTTATAGTCTGTTAACGCCCTTAAGCTATGTCATTAATATAACATCCAGTAATGGTTTGTGGTTTTGTTCATGGTGCTTCTCTGAACTTGCTACTGCCTATACCTTATTTCAGGGATGAATATTGGCTTGATCCTGGTGTTGGTGGATGTCAATAGAGCAACAAACCAAGGGTAGGGGTTGTTCCATCCTGGCATCCCTTTCAATGAAAAGTCAAATGAAAATCCCATGAATTCATTCTTGCCTATGAGCGTCCTTGTTTAAATGGACGTGATATAGTAAGGAAAGAATAAACTGGGCATTATTGGTGTCTCAGAACTAAAGAAAATGTATCCAGTCTTTCTTCAGCTATGGCTGCCTTAGATGTAGGGTTTGGGATGTTTACTTGGGCTACTTGTTGGCTTCAGTACCTCAAGTTTTTTTTGTGTATGCTTAGGTCTGTTTCATTGACTTATCAATTATGTTAAAGGCCATTGGGGGTATGTGGGCCAATGCAGCTGTGCAGCTCCAAAAATGTGTTTACAGTGTGTCTAGAGAGGGACCACATGAAGCACTCATTCTGCTTAGTGAGTGTTATTCTGGGCTGTGGTGCTTGCCATGGGGAACAAATCCTCAAATGGCCTTGAGAGGTTGTGTTGCTTGCAACACCCTGTTCAATACAAACTTTTCGAGATGTGTCCGCTTCAAAGCATCTTCACTCACTGCACTCTTAAACATACCGTCGTGTATGTTTGTTTATTCATTTAGACGTTTCAAACAGTCCTGTATCCTAGGGCACAGGATAGCCCTTTCAAGAAGTAGTGCCTGAGTACCACTGTTTCCTCAGCATAGTTTTTGCTTATGCTGCTTCCCTGACACCACCACTGCCTGGATCCCATTTCAGGGACTAATATTGGCTTGTTTCTGGTGCTGGTGGACATCAGTAGAGTAACAAACCAAGGGTAGCAGTTGTGACCTCCTGGTATCCCTTTCAATGAAGGGTCAAAGGAAAATCTCATAAATTAGGTCTTGCCCAATGAGCATCCTTGTTAAGTGTAAGCGGTATACCAAGGTGGCAAGCAAACTGGGCATGAATGGTGTCTTAGACCTGCAGAAAATGTGTCCAGTCACTCCATGTATGGCTGCATTAGATGGACTGGGACTTCTTCTTGATCTTGATGGCTTCAGTATGCCATGTTTCTTACAGATGCCTGAGCCGGATTCATAGACTTATCAACTAATTTAAATGCCAGTGGGTTATGTGGTCAGTGCTGCTGTGTAACCCCAAAAAGGAATTTACAATAATTGTACATGGAAAGGCAATTCTGCTCAATGAGTGGAGTTCTGGCTTGTGGTGTTTGCCATGGAAAACAAGCCTGAAAATGCTCCTTTTTACATTTTTTACTGACTCATGGGCAGCAGCCAATGTCCTGGCAGTGTGGACTGGTGGCTGGTGGCCAAAAACTAGATGATTAATTCTTAGACTCTTTTGGGATAAGCATTATCAGCAGAATGCCAAAGACACACACTTTCTGTTCTTGCACTATGTGAATGGCCATGGATAAAGACCCTTTGGGGGAAAATTAGTGGAATCAACAAGCTCATCAGACATGTCTGCCCAGTTTAGGACCAGTGCCATCCACAATTTGGGATATGGACCCAAAACAAGACCTAGCAATTTGAATACACAACGCCAAGGAGCCTGGAAATGTGTGCAGCTTGTTAACTGCACAGTCAAGTATGGTGGGATCCCCAGATCCCATAGCCGGAATTACTTGATGATACCCCAGGTTCCTTTTAAGTGTACCCCTGGTTATGGCTGTATACCTTTTCTGAGTATGATACTGCCAAACTTATTCTCACAGAAGACGTGGAAATTTCCTGCCAGGACTCTTAGACTTTGTTTCATGTTTGGATTCCTTGACTGCATCCAGTCTGACTGAACATTACTGTGTTTATATGAAGCTATACCCAGCATTTTCAGCTACCTGTGATGTTTGCTGAACTGTTTATGCTGTCCATAAAATTTCAGTAGCAGGAGTCATTGAAGGATGGCCTGGATACTTAAAGAAGAAACTGAAAAAGAGAACCAGATGACCAATGCCCAGCTCCAGTGGAATTCATGGAATACATGGTTTAGAACCAATGGAATACATGGTTTAGAAAGTCAGTTTGGGTTTAAATGTGGCAATTCTGTAAGAGATTTGAATAGAAATTTCTCAAACATACCATGGCAAACAGGCATATGAAAAGGTGTTCAACATCATTGATCACCAGAGAAATGCACATCAAAACTACAATGAAATATCATCTCACCTTGTTAAAATGACTTTTATCCAAAAGACAGGCAATAAGAAATGCTGGAGAGAATGTGGTGAAAAGAGAACCCTCATTTGCTCTTGGTGGGAATGTAAATTAGTAAAAACACTATGGACAACAGTTTGGAGATTCCTCAAACAGAGCTATCACATCATCCAGCAATCCCACTGCAAAGTATTTACCCCAAAGAAAGGAAATCAGTATATCAAAGAGATATCTGCACTCCCATGTTTGTTGCAGCACTATTCATAATAGCCAAGATTTGGAAACAACCTAAGTGTCCATCAACAGATGAATGGATAAAGAAAATGTGGTACATATACATAATGGAGTACTATTCAGCTGTAAAAAGAATGAGATGTTGTCATTTGCAACAACATGGATGGAACTGGAGGTCATTATGTTAAGTGAAAAAAGTCAGGCACAGAAAGACAAGCTTCACAGGTTCTCACTTATTTGTGGGATCTAAAAAAATAAAAACAATTGAACTCATGGAGATAGAGAGTAGATGGATGGCTACTAGAGGCTGGGAAGGGTAGTAGGAGGGGGAATAGGGTTGGTTAATTGATACAAAAAATAGTTACAAAGAATAAATAAGACCTACTATTTGATAGCATGACAGGTGTCTATAGTGAACAATAATTTAATTTTACATTTAAAAATAACTAAAATAGTGTAATTGGATTGTTTGTAACACAAACAATGAATGCTTGAGAGCATGAATACCCCATTTTCCATGATGTGATTATGCATTGCATGCCCGTGTCAAAGTATCTCATGTACTCCATAAATATATACACCTACTATGTACTCACAAAAATTAAAAATTAAAAAAGTGTGATGATACCCCAGAAGTGTACCTCCCGTTTAAATAGTTTAATTATGTCTTTTGGGAGTGAGGGGGGTATGGCCCAGACTCATAATGGTGAAGAACAGGAGAACATATCTACCACATTGACAACTCTCACTAAAAATTCTTCGCTGAACTATCTTATATTTTTGAGCTGGGCCATGGGACAATGCCAGCAGAACCATTTTTGGTTTATTGTTAGCAAGATAGCCTATACCTTACTTTAGAATATGGTTCTACTGAGCATTTATTATTTTACCCTTTGGAGTTTCTGCCGTAGCTCTTACATGAGGCACATGTAACTTTCAATATCATGTTCAATGCAGACTTTAGGGATGTGGTTGACTCACAGACTCATCACTAGCTACACCCTTAATAGTAGGTATTATGGGCTCATTTCCTTGTGCACATTACATATTTTTAACAAGCCAAATACCAGCTCTTAAAGGATTTTGCCTGCTCTGCTACCTCTAGTAGATTCTACCTGAATGATTGAGGTATGGTCCTCATCCTGATAACCACTGCATTCTTTGTATATTATCATTCAGTGTAATGAATGAGAACACAGTAGACATGGGGAAAAGTAGAGAAAAAGGAAAAATGGGGACGAGAGAGAAAAGGAGAGCAAACTGATAAATTCAGGGAGAACTATGGGAGTGCATAATGTGTAGGAAATCAATATCCTTTCATCCCATCATTCTATGAGATGCTGGGGTGCATGCAGACCCCGCCACATAAGTGTTTCCCTTCAGCCCTCTCTGGTTCATAGCCTTCTTATTTTGAAGATATTTTCAATATTTAATCATTTCTAGTGGGAAATTCTCTCCACCTTTCAAGTAGGGATATTTGGACTAGTAGGTTTCCTCAGAGAACTTTTCTCCTTCATATTTTTGAAGGCCATGTTAACATAGTAGAATATTAGGCTTTCACCAAACTGAAATGTCTTCATGACACATCATTTCCTGCCTTAGCTGCTCTAATAGTCCAGGGTGGAGTGCTCTCCTGTTGTACTCACCATGACTGCCTGACTGCCCAATTCCTTTGGAGCATATTCAGATGGGAATTTGTTCACTGTATCAGACTTTCTTTACTTTCCCCCATGTGTACTGTGTTCTCATCCATTATAATGAATTTCTGTGGCTTGTCCTCATGAGATGGAAATAAGTGAGTTTCTTATTCTTCTGCTTACCTATGAAAACTGGTGTAGGCATTTTTTCTTTCCTTATCTGCCCATAGTTATCTGGTCCCTCTTAAGTAATCGAAGATCCTGTGGTTGCTTCCTAGCAGTTAGAAGCCCATCTTGTATAGTAATCTAAAAACTAAACCCCTGAATGTTGAGGATTTCTGCCTATTCCACACTGGCACTTCAATGAGGTTTGCATTTCTACAAATGTACTATGCATATGTACATGTGGCATAGACCCAGTCTACCTCCTTTTTCCTCTCTTATATCTTCTCCTCATGATTTTTCTTATCTCTTTAGACACGGGCCCAGGGAGACAGGATAATGGGAGAAGGGCACATCCTTGCATGGTGGGGAAGGTAGTAATGTGAATTTGGGGCCCTGTCTTGTGGAGGAAATCCTGAGCTGTTGCTCTTTTGAGAGCATATTCAGT
Source organism: Homo sapiens (assembly GCF_000001405.40). Classification (NCBI taxonomy): domain Eukaryota; kingdom Metazoa; phylum Chordata; class Mammalia; order Primates; family Hominidae; genus Homo; species Homo sapiens. The sequence goes on along the minus strand of NC_000023.11, from coordinate 23,574,873 downwards.
TTCCTCAGGAACCTCAGAGTTCCTTTCCCTGCCACATCCAGTGTCTTTGCTCTGACCACCCAATAGATTCCCTTTTAGTCCCTATGGCTTTTATGATCCCCCTTATGTTCATCTCTTCCTGTTCTACCATGCATTCCTCTTGGGTGCTTTTATTTTATTTTATTCTTTTGCAATTATCTTTTAAAAAAATCTCAACAGTTATTGGAGAATGGGTGGTGTTTGGTTGCATGGAAAAGTTCTTTAGTGGTGATTTCTGAGATTTTGGTGCATCAGTCACCTGAGCAGTGTATACTGTACCCAATGTGTAGTCTTTTATCCCTCACCCCCTCTCACCCTTCCCCCGCCGAGTCCCCAAAGTCCATTATATCATTCTTATGCCTTTGTGTCTTCATAGCTTAGGCTCCTACTTACAGATGAGAACCTACGACGTTTGGTTTTCCATTGCTGAGTTACTTCACTTAGAATAATGGTCTTTAACTCCATCCAGGTTGTTGTGAATGCCATTATTTCATTCCTTTTTATGGCTGAGTCATATTCCATGGTATATACATATACCACATTTTCTTTATCCACTCTTTGGTTGATGTGCATTTAGGCTGGTTCCATATTTTTGCAATTACAAATTGTGTTGCCATAAACTTGTGTACAAATGTCTTTTTCATATAACGACTTCTTTTCCTCTGGGTAGATATCCAGTAGTGGGTTTGCTGGATCAAATGCTAGTTCTACTTTTAGTTCTTTAAAGAATCTTCACAAATGTTTTCCATAGTGTTTGTACTAGTTTACATTCCCACCAGCAGTGTGAAAGTGTTCCCTTTTCATCACATCCATGCCAACACCTATTATTTGTTGATTTTTTAATTATGGCCATTCTTGCAGGAGTAAGGTGGTATTGCATCGTGGTTTTGATATGCATTTCTCTGATCATTTGTGCTGTTGAGCACTTTTTCATATGTTTGTTGGCCATTTGTATATTTTCTATTGAGAATTGTCTATTCATGTCCTTAGCCCACTTTTTGATGGGGTTGTTTGTTTTTTTTCTTGCTGATTTGTTTGAGTTCCTTGTAGATTCTGGATATTAGTCCTTTGTCAGATGCATAGTTTGCAGGTATTTTCTCCCACTCTGTGGGTTGTCTGTTCACTCTGCTGATTATTTCTTTTGCTGTGCAGAAGCATTTTAGTTTAATTAAGTCCCATCTATTTATCTTTGCTTTTGTTGCATTTGCTTTTGGGTTCTTGGTCATGAAGTCTTTGCCTAAGCCAATATCTAGAAGGGGTTATCTTCTATTACACAATCTTTATGGTTTCAGGTCTTAGATTTAAGTCTTTGATCCATCTTGAGTTGATTTTTGTTTAAGGTGCGAGATGAGGATCCAGTTTCATTCTCCTACATGTGGCTAGCCGATTATCCTAGGACCATTTGCTGAAAAGCGTGTCCTTTCCCATTTATGTTTATGTTTTTGTTTGCTTTGTTAAAGATCAGTTGGCTGTAAGTATTTGGGTTTATTTCTGGGTTCTCTATTCTGTTCCATTGGTCTGTGTGCCTATTTTTATACCAGTACCATGCTGTTTTGGTGACTATGGCCTTATAGTATAGTTTGAAATCAGGTAGTATGATGCATCCAGATTTGTTCTTTTTGCTTAGTCTTGCTTTGGCTATGTGGGCTCTTTTTTGGTTCCATATGAATTTTAGAATTTTTTTTTTCTAATTCTCTGAAGAATGATGGTGGTATTTTGATGGGAATTGCATTGAATTTGTGCATTGCTCTTGGCAGCGTGGTCATTTTCACAATATTGATTTTACCCATCCATGAGCATGGGATGTGTTTCCATTTGTTTGTGTCATCTCTGATTTCTTTCAGCAGTGTTTTGTAGTTTTTGTTGTAGAGGTCTTTCACCTCCTTGGTTAGGTACATTCCTAAGTATTTTATTTTATTTTATTTTATTTTATTTTATTTTATTTTATTTTATTTTATTTTATTTTGCAGCTATTGTAAAAGGGGTTGAGTTCTTGATTTGATTCTCTGCTCGGTTGCTGTTGGTGTATAGAAGATTTGTGTATGTTAATCTTGCATCCAGAGACTTTGCTGAATTCTTTTCATCAGTTCTAGGAGCTTTCTGGAGGAGTCTTTAGGGTTTTTGAGGTAAATGATCATATCGTCAGCAAACAGTGACAGTTTGACTTCTTCTTTACTGATTTGGATGTCCTTTATTTCTTTCTCTTGTCTGATTGCTCTGGCTAGGACTTCCAGTACTGTTGAAGAGGAGTGGTGAGAGTGGGCATCCTTGTCTTATTCCAGTTCTCAGGGGGAATGCTTTCAACTTTTCCCCATTCACTATTATGTTGGCTGTGGGTTTTTCATAGATGGCTTTTATTACATTGAGGTATGTTCCTTGTATGTTGATTTTGCTGAGAGTTTTAATCATGAAGGGATGCTGGATTTTGTTGAGTGCTTTTTCTGCATCTATTGAGATGATCATGTGTTTTTTGTTTTTAATTCTGTTTATATGGTGTATCATATTTATTGACTTGCATATGTTAAACCATCCCTGCATCCCTGGTATGAAACCCACTTGATTATGGTGGATTATCTTTTTGATATGTTGTTGGATTCAGTTAGCTAATATTTTGTTAAGGATTTTAGCATCTATGCTTATCAGGGATATCAGTCTGTGTTTTCTTTTTTGGTTATTTCCCTTCCTGGTTTTGGTATTAGAGTTATACTGGCTTCATAGAATGATTTAGGGAGGGTTCCCTCTTTCTCTATCTGGTGGAATAATGTCAATAGGATTGGTACCAATTCTTCTTTGAATGTCTGGTAGAATTCTGCTGTGAATCTGTCTGGTCCTGGACTTTTTTTGTTGGTAATTTTTAAATTACCATTTCAATCTCGCTGCTTGTTATTGGTCTTTTCAGGGTATCTAATCCTTCCTGATTTAGGCTAGGAGGGTTGTATCTTTCTAGGAATCTTGGCATCTCACAAATTATCTTCATTATGTATTTTAATTTTAATATCAAAATAGTATATGATTTATGATGAAATGTACAGATCTTAAGTATACAGTTTGATGAGTATACAGGCAAATACATACACATGTATGACCAAAATCCCAATCGGATATATAATATTTCTGTCACTCTAGGGGGTCCTTTTTTGCCCCATCATTGAATATTAGTCACTAATATCCTGGCTATTCTCCCTTTTTGAGAATTTGGTGCTGAAACCGGGATTTCATAATTGTAGCAGAAGGAACAATCATCTCTGAGTAGTGAGACGTGGGTTCAAATCTAAGTTTAGTCAAAAATTAGCTAGGTATCACACCACTGCACTCTAGCCTGGGTGACAGAGCAAGACTCTGTCTCAGAAAAAAAAAAATAGCTAGGTGATGTTGGGAGAGTCATCAAAATGCTTTGAATTTCTTTTATTATATGTCATATGAAAGGGTCTGATTGAATAACTCTTATTGGTCCTTTAATTTAAACATTCTAAGTCTAAACTGTTCTTTAGGAGGACTCTTCTCCTTTCCTCACAAGCAAAATAGTTGGGTGTTTCTTTCAGCAACACCTTTGCTCCAGGGATCACTATCAAGAGCCAAGTCAATTACCTTGTCTGGAAATAGAAACTGTTTTGTGTTCTACTCAGAGCTTAGGTGATGGGTAGTGTGACCTTTTTCAGGATGTTAGGGGGATTTCCTTCACACCTCAGCCCTCCTGGTTTCTCAATTAAATGAGAGCAGCGGGTTGTATAATCAACAAAAGTCATCCTTGGGCCACAGCAAGGTGAAGTGCCACTTTGGCTCTTCTCAGATTTCTCTTTAAGGTAGTGACCACTGAGGTAAGTGTCCACTTGGGAATGAAATAAGTGTTGAATAATTATATTTCTCTTTGATGGATAAGATGGAGTTTGCCCAAGACTTTAGGGCCATTACATAAGAGATGTGTGCTTGTGTACTGCACAAAAGTGTTCAGAGCAAGAAGACTTACCGTAAGGCCTCATGGTGACCCTGGTCTGTTGGAACTCCATTTCTCAAGTACATTCATGCATTGTTTGATGAGATCACACACACACACACACACACACTCACACACACTTCATTTTATTAATAGCTAAGTTATTTTAAAAATGGTGTGGTTTTCCATTCAATTTTTTTTTTTTGTAAAGTTGCTAAGATGGAACACTTGGGACTTGGCAGTAGTTTCATATTTGCTTGGCCTGTCTCATGAAAATTGATTGGAGTCTTGTTCATGTTCTTTCAAAGAATAAATTATTAGTTAGCCATTTAAGTGCATAATTTAGGATTTAATATGGATAGGACATTTCTAGTGTAATTTGGTTTGGAATGATTGATTCATACTAGCTGAAAAATTTAAAATAATGTTCACTTATGAATAACTCATTTTTCATTTTTTAAGCGTTCTCAGGGAGTCATAGGCATTCATAGGACTTACTATTAGTTTTTTCTTATCTTCATGACTGGGTTTCTGAACCATTTTTGAATTAAGGAAGAAACACTGGAATGCATAATCTCTGGTAATTAGATCTTGAGGAAATGATTATAACATTTACTTATGTAAACTTCCACAGGAGAACAGAACAGAAAATGAGTCCTTTCAAGATATACCTTAAAAATCCACTTTCTCTTTAAGTTTCATTAGTGCTATTTATGCTTGGTTTATAAAAATTAATTAGTGCCCTTAGGAAGAAGACCTATGTTAACCCCTTTTGGGGTAGTTTGTGCAATTTACTTGATTTCTTGGTGATTATTATTGTCTTCCTTTTATGTCTCTAGGTATTTTTTAGTACATGGATCCATTTGCTCTGTTCTAGTTATGCTTTAAAGACCTCAGTCAATTTGCAAGATAATGGCTCAAATTAAGTATTTGACCAGAACCCAGAGGAAACTAACCAGGCCACAACTCATATTAGCCATTACCTTGGCCTCTTTCCTACCTAGGGAACATGACATGTTCGGTTTTCCTTTGTCACACATGGGGATTAGAAGGGGAAAGGAGAGAAGTACATTGTTCTGGAGGATTGTATTATTGTTCCCAAATACTAGCTCCCTTAGTGATGAGAAATTTATATGTCCTTGCTTGTTGCCATGTGAGTTGTTGTGCCTCCTTGAAGGTGGAGTTTACAATACCACTACACTGACTTTTGGGCTTTATGTGTAATATAATTTAGCCAATGGAATGTGAGTGGGTGTGATGTATGTCACCTTTGAACATCACAGACTTCTACCATTTCTCTTTCTTGTCTTGTCTGCCATTAAAATGTCATGTTCCAAATAGGAGCTTCTCCCTCAATCTAGATCCCAGAACGAAAACACATATGGAACTACAACAGCAGACCTGCAGGTGTCAACACATGATATGAGCAAGAAATAATGTTTTTTTTTTTGCAATTTGCTAACATTCTGAGATTGTTTCGCTGCAAAGCTGACTAGTACACTTGCTCTCTCAAGGTATCAAGAGGGAACTTGGGATATTCTAGGATAGGAAGTAGAAATCCTACTTGCACATTTTGCTATGCCTGTGGCTTTCAATCATTTTGACCACAACCCACAATAAGAAATGAATTTTACATTATTACTCAGTACACTTAAACATATGTGTGTATATACACAGTATATACAGAAACAAATATATATATATATTATATCTGTAAATAGCCATATATATGAAAACAAGTTTCAGGAAACAATTTTTACTCTTATATGCACTTGAATATTTTTTCTTTTTCTATTTTGATTTATTTCCCTAAAAATGCTACTTTTGACAAGCTTTTAATTTAATAAAAAATTAATTTTATAATTCACTAATGGGTCTTAATCCTTAGCTGAAAAAACACTGATTTAGAGAAAACCATTCTTTATAAAATGAAGCTGAGAGAGACTATACTCACTCACAGTTACACTGCCATTATTTGGAATTTGGCAGAATTTAGGTGCACTTGTAATGTTCACACAGTCAAAATATTATCTGTTTGTAAGAGAAGAATGGAGGCCACTTGGATATGACAGAAAGAGAATTAGAACTCGTCACTGTTTTGCTCATGGCAACTGATAAATGAGCATTAAAATTAGCACCTAACAAAATTGAGGCCAAAAGATATATGTGTAAAAACACCCTGCAGAGTTGCAGAGATTGGCAAGAACAAACCAAAGATGAAATCTCATAAAATATTAGTATTAGGACCTATCCATAAAAAGTAACAGTTTGTTCAAACTACCTAACATTGTGAACTTATGCTCTTTTAAACTTAAGTGTGCAGAATAGAGATTTGAGTCAAGACGTGATGTTACAGATCATGAAAATATTAATCCTGGTAATACACATTGCTCAATCGTAGATGTTTAAAGTGACACATGCAATATTTCAGAGAGTGAAAGAACTTTATAGACCATCAAATTTTATCTCTTCATTTTACATACAAAGAATTTGAATTCCTAAAAAATTAAGAAAACTGAGAGCATGTGCTCTTTTAGACTTTAGGAGTCATCCTAGCATGCCTTATATTCTGTTTACCTCAGTCATTGCATTTATAAAAGCTAGTGTGGTCTTCTCAAGAGGAAACCTTTTTTTATTATTATTTTCTTATACCTTTTATACTTCAGGTCAAGAAGAGGGATAGTAGTTCTATTACAGCTTCTAGACCACCTTTCCTCCTCCCTCTTGCAAACCTCCTGCTCTACTAAGGCTCATGGAAGTGGTATACTACTCTATCCTCTTTTGTAGTGCTGTCACTTACCAACCGTGCTGGGTCTTGTCCTCATTCATGCTGCTTTCTCACACTCTTATTTACAATACTTTCATCATTCCTGATGAATTCAGTGTTCATCAACTTGGTCTCAATCCATTAACTTCTTCATTACCAGTGTGCTTTTACTGCCACTCTGTATTAGCAACCCACTTCCAAAGTGATGCTCAGTAACATCTCATTAACCAAAACCACCCATCCCTGACATCTCAAATTCAAATAGCTCCATTTCAGATACCTGTATCCTTTAGTTTCAGATTACTTGCTTAACTTCCAAAATTATAGCTGATATTTGACTTCATCAAGGTCTCTCATCCATTGACCTCATCATTCTCTTTTGGGGTTGGGGTGCTGTTAATCTTGTCTTAATCTCAGCCCGATTCCATGGTTCTTCACTATGATCACATTCTTGCAAATAACCTTAATGTCCTTGTCTTCTCGCCATTGTTATTATTTGGAAAATCCCAAACTTCAGTTTCTTCTGTATAGCTAAACTGTGATGAATTCAATCACGTACTTGGTGGACTCATCCCATTTTCTGTTAATGAACACAAAACTCAAATTTGTACTTTATGTTTGTCTTAGTCAACTTGGGCTGCTATAACAAAATGTCATAGATGAGTGGCTTGAAAAAACATTTATTTCTCACAGTTACGGAGGCTGAAAAGTCCAAGATCAAGGCCAACATATTTGGTGTCTGGCAAGCACTTTCTTCTTGGTTTGTAGACTGCAACCTTCTTGCTGTATCCTAACATGGTGGAGAGAGACAACATCTCTCTTCTGCCTCTTATAAGGACATGAATCCCATCATGACAGCTCCACCCTCATGACCTAATTGCCCCACAAAAGCCCTCACTTCCAAATGCCATCACACTGGGGATTAGGACTTTGACATATAAATTTTGGGGCAAAGGCACAAACACTCAGTCCATAGCAATGTAGATGGAAAATGACATTAAGTTTCAATAGAAAGCTTGTTTTTTCATTCTTCGAGATGACTATTTCATATCTCTCCTTTTTCTTCTTTTTCCTACTCTGAACTAATAACTTCACTTCAAACCACATTGAGAAAATGAATCATACAGGAATTCCACCAGCCCCACCATCAAATCTGTAAACTGCCAATCTCTGATCCTGTTTTCTTTCCTTATTTCCTGTTATAACTAGAAACACTGGAGGTATCTTTAGTAATAGGAGTGAAGGCAGGGTCAAAACCAAAAGTACTGTTCAACAGTCTGTATATTAGGTGGTAAGACTTTCAATTTCTGGCAGTAGTGGGCAAGACTATCTGGACTAATTTCTAGCTTAAAACAAATACAGGAGGCGGTTCCAAGATGGCCAAATAGGAACAGCTCTAGTCTACAGCTCCCAGCGGGAGCGACGCAGAAGACGGGTAATATCTGCATTTCCAACTGAGGTACCGGGTTCATCTCACTGGGACTTGTCAGACAGTGGGTGCAGCGCATTGAGCGTGAGCCGAAGCAGGGCGAGGCATCGTCTCACCCGGGAAGTGCAAGGGGTCAGAGAATTCCCTTTCCTAGCCAAGCAAAGCTGTGACAGACAGCACCTGGAAAATCGGGTCACTCCCACCCTAATACTGAGCTTTTCCAATGGTCTTAGCAAACAGCACACCAGGAGATTATATCCCGCACCTGGCTCAGAGGGGTCCCACACCCACGGAGCCTCGCTCATTGCTAGCACAGCAGTTTGAGATGAAACTGCAGTGCGGCAGCGAGGCTGGGGGAGGGGCACCTGCCATTGCTGAGGTTTGAGTTGGCAAACAAAACAGCGGGGAAGCTCGAACTGGGTGGAGGCCACCGCAGCTCAAGGAGGCCTGCCTACCTCTGTAGACTCCACCTCTGGGGGCAGGGAATAGCCAAACAAAAGGCAGCAGAAACCTCTGTAGACTTAAATGTCCCTGTCTGACCACTTTGAAGAGAGTGGTGGTTCTCCCAGCACAGAGTTTGAGACCTGAGAATGGACAGACTGCCTCCTCAAGTGGGTCCCTGACCCCCGAGTAGCCTAACTGGGAGGCACCACCCAGTAGGGGCAGACTGACACCTCCCATGGCCAGGTACCCCTCTGAGATGAAACTTCCAGAGGAATGATCAGACATTTGCTGTTCAGCAATATCCGCTGTTCTGCAGCCTCTGCTGCTGATACCCAGGCAAACAGGGTCTGGAGTGGACCTCCAGCAAACTCCAACAAACCTGCAGCTGAGGGTCCTGACTGTTAGAAGGAAAATTAACAAACAGAAAGGACATCTACACCAAAACCCATCTGAACGTCACCATCATCAAAGACCAAAGGTAGATAAAACCACAAAGATGGGGAAAAAACAGAACAGAAAAACTGAAAATTCTAAAAATCAGAGCCCCTCTTCTCCTTCAAAGGAACACAGCTCCTTACCAGCAATGGAACAAAGCTGGTCGGAGAATGACTTTGATGAGTTGAGAGAAGGCTTCAGACGATCAAACTTCTCCGAGCTAAAGGAGGAAGTTCGAACCCATTGCAAAGAAGTTAAAAACCTTGAAAAAAGATTAGATGAATGGCTGACTAGAATAAACAATGTAGAGAAGGCCTTAAAATGACCTGAAGGAGCTGAAAACCATGGCGTGAGAACAACGTGAAGAATGCACAAACTTCAGTAGCCGATTCGATCAGCTGGAAGAAAGGGTATCAGTGATGGAAGATCAAATGAATGAAATGAAGCGAGAACAGAAGTTTAGAGAGAAAAGAATAAAAAGAAGTGAACAAAGCCTCCAAGAAATATGGGACTATGTGAAAAGACCAAATCTACGTCTGATTGGTGTACCTGAAAGTGACGGGGAGAATGGAACCAAGTTGGAAAACACTCTGCAGGATAGTATCTAGGAGAACTTCCCCAATCTAGCAAGGCAGGCCAACATTCAAATTCAGGAAATACAGAGAATGCCACAAAGATACTCCTCGAGAAGAGCAACTCCAAGACACAAAATTGTCAGATTCACCAAAGTTGAAATGAAGGAAAAAATGTTAAGGGCAGCCAGAGAGAAAGGTCGGGTTACCCACAAAGGGAAGCCCATCAGACTAACGGCAGATCTCTCAGCAGAAACTCTACAAGCCAGAAGAGAGTGGGGGCCAATATTCAACATTCTTAAAGAAAAGAATTTTCAAGCCAGAATTTCATATCCAGCCAAACTAAGCTTCATAAGTGAAGGAGAAATAAAATACTTTACAGACAAGCAAATGCTGAGAGATTTTGTCACCACCAGGCCTGCCCTAAAAGAGCTCCTGAAGGAAACACTAAACATGGAAAGGAACAACTGATACCAGCCACTGCAAAAACATGCCAAATTGTAAAGACTATCGATGCTAGGACAAAACTGCATCAACTAACGAGCAAAATGACCAGCTAACATCATAATGACAGGATCAAATTCACACATAACAATATTAATCTTAAATGTAAATGGGCTAACTGCTCCAATTAAAAGACACAGACTGGCAAATTGGATAAAGAGTCAAGACCTATCAGTGTGCTGTATTCAGGAAACCCATCTCGCGTGCAGACACACATAGGCTCAAAATAAAGGGATGGAGGAAGATCTACCAAGCAAATGGAAAACAAAAAAAGTCAGGGGTTGCAATCCTAGTCTCTGATAAAACAGACTTTAAACCAACAAAGATCAAAAGAGACAAAGAAGGCCATTACATAATGGTAAAGGGATCAATTCAACAGGAAGAGCTAACTATCCTAAATATATATGCACCCAATACAGGAGCACCCAGATTCATAAAGCAAGTCCTTAGAGACCTACAAAGAGACTTAGACTCCCACACAATAAAAATGGGAGACTTTACCACCCCACTGTCAACATTAGACAGATCCACAAGACAGAAAGTTAACAAGGATATCCAGGAATTGAACTCAGCTCTGCTCCAAGTGGACCTAATAGACATCTACAGAACTCTCCATCCCAAATCAACAGAATATACATTCTTCTCAGCACCACATCACACTTGTTCCAAAATTGACCAGATAGTTGAAAGTAAAGCACTCCTCAGCAAATGCAAAAGAACCGAAATTACAACAAACTGTCTCTCAGACCACAGTGCAATCAAACTAGAACTCAGGATTAAGAAACTCACTCAAAACCGCTCAACTACATGGAAACTGAACAACCTGCTCCTGAATGACTGCTCCTGAATGACTAGTGGGTACATAACGAAGTGAAGGCAGAAATAAAGATGTTCTTTGAAATCAACAAGAACAAAGACACAACATACCAGAATCTCTGGGACACATTTAAAGCAGTGTGTAGAGGGAAATTTATAGCACTACATGCCCACAAGAGAAAGCAGGAAAGATCTAAAATTGACACCCTAACATCACAATTAAAAGAATTAGAGAAGCAAGAGCAAACACATTCAAAAGCTAGCAGAAGGCAAGAAATAACTAAGATCAGAGCAGAACTGAAGGAGATAGAGACACAAAAAACCCTTCAAAAAACCAATGAATCCAGGAGCTGGTTTTTTGAAAAGATCAACAAAATTGATAGACTGCTAGCAAGACTAATAAAGAAGAAAAGAGAGAAGAATCAATTAGTCGCAATAAAAAATGATAAAGGGGATATCACCACCGATCCCACAGAAATACAAACTACCATCAGAGAATACTATAAACACCTCTATGCAAATAAACTAGAAAATCTAGAAGAAATGGATAAATTCCTGGACACATACACTCTCCCAAGACTAAACCAGGAAGAAGTCGAATCCCTGAATAGACCAATAAGAGGCTCTGAAGTTGAGGCAATAATTAATAGCTTACCAACCAAAAAAAGTCCAGGACCAGATGAATTCACAGCCGAATTCTACCAGAGGTACAAGGAGGAGCTGGTACCATTCCTTCTGAAACTCTTCCAATCAATGGAAAAAGAGGGAATCCTCCCTAACTCATTTTATGAGGCCAGCATCATCCTGATACCAAAGCCTGGCAGAGACACAACAAAAAAAGAGAATTTTAGACCAATATCCCTGATGAACATTGATGCGAAAATCCTCAATAAAATACTGGCAAACCAAATCCAGCAGCACATCAAAAAGCTTATCCACCATGATCAAGTGGGCTTCATCCCTGGGATGCAAGGCCAGTTTAACATACACAAATCAATAAATGTAATCCAGCATATAAACGGAACCAAAGACAAAAACGACATGATTATCTCAATAGATACAGAAAAGGCCTTTGACAGAATTCAACAGCCCTTCATGCTAAAAACTCTCAGCAAATTAGGTATTGATGGGATGTATCTCAAAGTAATAAGATCTATCTATGACAAACCCACAGCTAATATCATACTGAATGGGCAAAAACTGGAAGCATTCCCTTTGAAAACTGGCACAAGACAGGGATGCCCTCTCTCACCACTCCTATTCAACATAGTGTTGTAAATTCTGGCCAGGGCAATCAGGCAGGAGAAAGAAATAAAGGGTATTCAATTAGGAAAAGAGGAAGTCAAATTGCCCCTGTTTGCAGATGACATGATTGTATATCTAGAAAACCCCATTGTCTCTGCCCAAAATCTCCTTAAGCTGATAAGCAACTTCAGTAAAGTCTCAGGATACAAAATCAGTGTGCAAAAATCACAAGCATTCTTATACGCCAATAACAGACAAACAGAAAGCAAAATCATGAGTGAACTCCCATTCACAATTGCTTCAAAGGGAATAAAATACCTAGGAATCCAACTTACAAGGGATGTGCAGGACCTCTTCAAGGAGAACTACCAACAGCTGCTCAACGAAATAAAAGAGGACACGAACAAATGGAAGAACATTCTGTGCTGATGGATAGGAAGAATCAATATCATGAAAATGGCCATTCTGCCCAAGGTAATTTATAGATTCAATGCCATCCCCATCAAGCTACCAATGACTTTCTTCACAGAATTGGAAAAAACTACTTTAAAGTTCATATGGAACCAAAAAAGAGCCCGCATTGCCAAGACAATCCTAAGTCAAAAGAAGAAAGCTGGAGGCATCACACTACCTGGCTTCCAACTATACTACAATGCTACAGTAACCAAAACAGCATGGTACTGGTACCAAAACAGAGATATAGACCAATGGAACAGAACAGAGCCATCAGATATAATACAACATATCTACAACTGTCTGATCTTTGACAAACCTGACAAAAACATGAAATAGGGAAAGGATTCCCTATTTAACAAATGGTCCTGGGAAAACTGGGTAGCCATATGTAGAAAGCTGAAACTGGATCCCTTCCTTACACCTTATACACAAATTAATTCAAGATGGATTAAAGACTTAAATGTTAGACCTAAAACCATAAAAACCCTAGAAGAAAACCTAGGCAATACCATTCAGGTCATAGGCATGGGCAAGGACTTCATGTCTAAAACACCACAAGCAATGGCAACAAAAGCCAAAATTGACAAATGGGATCTAATTAAACTAAAGAGCTTCTGCACAGCAAAAGAAACTACCATCAGAGTGAACAGGCAACCTACAGAATGGGAGAAAATGTTTGCAATCTACTCATCTGACAAAGGGCTAATATCCAGAATGTACAAAGAACTCAAACAAATTTACAAGATAAAAACAACCCCATCAACAAGTGGGCGAAGGATATGAACAGACACTTCTCAAAAGAAGACATTTATGCAGCCAATAGACACATGAAAAAATGCTCATCATCACTGGCCATCAGAGAAATGCAAATCAAAACCACAATGAGATACTATCTCACACCAGTTAGAATGGCAATCATTAAAAAGTCAGGAAACAACAGGTGCTGGAGAGGATGTGGAGAAATAGGAACACTTTTACACTGTTGGTGGGACTGGAAACTAGTTCAACCATTGTGGAAGTCAGTGTGGCGATTACTCAGGGATCTAGAACTAGAAATACCATTTGACCTAGGCATCCCATTACTGGGTATATACCCAAAGGATTATAAATCATGCTGCTATAAAGACACATGCACATGTATGTGTATTGCGGCACTATTCACAATAGCAAAGACTTGGAAGCAACCCAAATGTCCATCAGTGATAGACTGGATGAAGAAAATGTGGCACATATACACCATGGAGTACTATGCAGCCATAAAAAATGATGATTTCATGTCCTTTGTAGGGACATGGATGAAGCTGGAAACCATCATTCTCAGCCAACTATCGCAAAAAGAAAAAACCAAACACCGCATAGTCTCACTCATAGGTGGGAATTGAACTATGAGAACACTTGGACACAGGAAGGGGAACATCACACACTGGGGCCTGTTTCAGGTGGGGGAAGGGGAGACGGATAGCATTAGGAGAAATACCTAATGTAAATGACAGGTTAATGGGTGCAGCACACCAACATGGCACATATATACAAATGTAATAAACCTGCACGTTGTGCACATGTACCCTAGAACTTAAAGTATAAAAAGAAAATTTTTCAAACACAAATGTATATTGTATCTGTACAGTATGATTTTTTCAACATCGAGATTATAGTGCACATATTGTTAAACCTGCATTGTCAATATTATCTAATTAAATAACCTTCAAAAATTCTATTTTAATGGCTGAAAATTATTCCATCACAGGAATTGGCCAAATTTATTTAGCTAATTCTTAGTTGTTGGACATGTAGATTACATCTAATTTCTCACTAGTATGAATAGCACCATGAGTAACAACTTAACTCTTTACATCTTTGTGCATTTGTCTATTTCTTTGTAATAAACTACACTCACATTCTACTAATAGTGTGCATAGAAGAATGTTTGTTAACTCTCATATAGGCTCTTATATGTCTATTTTTATTTCTTGATAATTTTTTAAGCAAAACATGCATTTTATTGGTTGGCTCATTATGCTCTTATTATGTCATTTTGGCTGTCATTAAGCTGCCTTCCCACTAGTAGGTCTGGTGCCCCATGTGGCCCTTCTAAGGATGGCGATTGTTTTGTATCTAGCCCTCTTTCTGGTTTTACCTTATGATGTGAATTAGCCAAATTTATAAATGAGGTGAGGAATACAATCTGAGTATAAAGGCAAATATACATAGGTATTAACATGGTTTATATTATGATTTTCTTAGCCTCTTGTACCAATCTAACAGTTTTTACCCTATAGTACACATAACAGATGGCATTCACAGATTGAACATATCCAATGGGGCACCATGGAATTTGCACAATTCTTGACATGCTACATACAATGACACTCCTTTTCTCTTGCTCTATAAAACATTTTGGAATCCATGTTAGTGCAAGTAATGTTGTAATAGGATAACTTCTCTAACTTATACCAAAATAAATAACTCACAATCATACTTCCTTCCTTAAAATATTATTAGTAGCAAATTATTTGCCATACAATTGTAATAGTATAACATTCAGCTGCTCTAACAGAGATTAAAATCAACGATGCCTTAAAGAGGACAGAAGCTCATTTCTTTCTCAAAGTAAAATCTGAGCAATTATGGCAGCTCTCTACTGAAATGTCACCAAGGGCCCAGGCACCCTCCATCTTGTTGCTCTGCTATCCTTAGAATATTGACCTTATCCCACATGGTCCAAGATTACTCTCCTAATGTCTGAATTTCAGCCAGCAAGAAAGGTATAAAATGGCAGTGGAGGCCATGTCCTTGACACTAAGGACATGACCCCAAAGATGTAAACTCTAGCTAATCTTTCCTTGACTACAACATAGACACATGGAACCACACCTACCTGCAGACTAGTATGGGAATGTCTTAAATTGGGGATGCCATAAATCCATCTAAAAAGCAGGAGTTCCCTTACCATGAGTGAGAAGGGGGACAGTTAGAAGCGTCTGTTGTAACATTTCCCATGAGCATATTGCTTTTGGATACAATCATTCCCCGTTATCTACAGATTTGCTTTCCACAGTTTCAGTTACCCATGGTCAACCACGGTCTGAAAATATTAAATGGAAAATTCCAGAAATAAACAATTTGTAAATTTTGAATTGCATGCCATTCTGAGAAGCATGATGAAATCTCATGTTGTACCACTTCATCCCACCCAGGACATGAATCATCCCTTTGTCCAGTGTATCTGTGTTTTGTATGCTACCTGCCCATTAGCCATATGGGTTATCAGTTGGAGTGTCAGGTATCACAGGTCTTATGTTCAAGTAACCTTTATTTTACTTAATAATGGCCCCAGAGAGCAAAAGTAGTAATGTTGGCAATTTGGATATGCCAAAGAGAAGCCAAAAAGTAGTTCCTTTAAGTGAAAAGGTGAAAGCTTTCAACTTAATGAAGAAACAAAAAAAATTATATGCTGAGGTTACTGAGATCCATGGTAAGAATGAATCGTCCATGAAATTGTGAAGAGGAAAGAAATTCGTGCATAGTATATACAGGGTTCAGTACTATCAAAGACTTCAGGCATCCACTGGAGGTCTTGGAAGGTCTTGGACTGCTGTACTTGATAACAGTTGCCTTAACAAGTTCAGTCTCCTGGACCATAGTAGTATCCAATTGACTCCCCTTGTCCCAAATGAGTAGACTGCATTTCCTTTGGTTCTGTGTCTGGATCATTAGATATATCAGTGGACTAAGCTGAAGATGGGAGACATGGTTTGAGACGTACCTTGTTCAACCTTTAAACTTTTCTTCTGTTCAGAGTTTGAGTTTTAATAAGAATCTAACTTAGGCTGAGATCCTGGTCTTATTTTGAATAGACCAAAATGGTTAGCCTTACCATTTTCTACCTTGTTTACTCAGGAGAAATAATAAGCGGAATCAAATGGAAATTATCATGCCTTAGTTATTAGCACTCAGAGAATAAAGCGTAAATGCGTTAAGAAAATGTAAAAAAATTCTATCACTGCCATTCTAAAATGTGCTCTTAATGTGTCTCTTTTTTTACCCAAAGTAAAATAACCAAGTCAGAGTAAGACATTTTAACTTGAAAAACTCCAGCTCAGACTTTCTTGGTTGGGATAGAAAGGGGCAAATGGATCGTGGTAAGGTGAGATGTGTATATCTTTTACATAGAAGATGCCTCATGTATATTCTTGCCTGAAGTTGACCTTGAACCTGGTTTCATTATATGAAACTGGAAGGAATAGCCCTTGAACAGTCCTTAGTTGTGACTGATGTGATCCTGGAATGCTTGGGGCCCATTCAGATCACGTGGAAGGAAATAATCCAAACAAATGAACATTCCTATTAATGTGTGTTTTCCAGATGCAGCATGAGCCTTTGATTTGTATTCAGTTCAGGGCATATGTAGCAATTTGGAAGGTGTACTATTCTTTTTTAAAATTAAAATGTAAAATTTCCTAGCCCAGGACAAAGCTGAAGAAAGGTTCACCATCAGGTTCAGATGGGTGAGTAGATATGAGTAACAGATTCTTCTGTGTTCTGGAGCATAGCTCTGAAACTCAGTGGGCTCTGAAGGTGCTTTATCCTCAAATAATTTAACAGGCCTCATGAAGATAATGAAGCAGGAGTTAAAAAGAGACAAACAAGTTTTCCTGTACTTAGCTAACTCACTCCAAGGACAGTAATAGATAGAGCCCTGGCAAAGCTTTGATAACACTATCTGAAAAGCCAAAGCCGAAAGGAATGGGCCCCAGACACCCCCTCAGAGCAAGGTTAGGAAAGACAAATTCCTTTACTATCTCTGCATCCCGCTTACCATTACTCAATTTCCCAAGTTTTGTAAGTTTCTGTTTTTCATTTGACGCAGCTGCAAGGTCACAGGCTATGCTAGGGAAACGAAACCTGTCACTGTTTGAATAACTGCCTTTGTTCTGCTTCTGTAAGCCTGCTTGCTTGCACCACGAGTTTCACGCCATTGGCTTCCCACCATGCCATTCAAACTAGCCAACTCCCTTTCAAGAGTGTGTATAAAAGTAAAGCCCTGTCTTTGTTCAGGGCCTAGCCTTTGGATGTGAATCCACTGGGCCAGTGGCCACTTAAATAAAATCCTCCTGTTCTATCCATTGGTCTCTCTGGTCCTCTGATTCCTGCAACAATAACAATCAAACTCATCTCTCACCCTAAATCCATTCCCTTTGCTAAATCCTTGTTTTAAAGAAATATAGGTCTTTATAGGATTTATCTAGGGGAAAGTAGCTGGAGAAAGGCAATTTGCCACCTTCTACCTATTTCCTAATGCCCTTTTGTCTCTGTCCAGCTGGAGAATGTGATGGCTTTTAACCTTTAGACCTAGCTCGTCTCAGTTACTGTAAACATGAGTTCCAAACCTGATTCTCATCCCCATCAGAGGGCATTTGGAATTAATATATGTTTCTTCCTGGTTTCAGGTCTTCCTGGAACCAGATTAAGAGCACCCACTGAGCCATGTGTCCCAGCCTTCAACAAGGATGGCCTGTTCTAATTCCTGGTTTGCATAAAAAGTCTTCTTAGGGGCTGAGCCGCCCTATTCTGCATGCTAGGCTGCTTAGTTAAGGTCCTAAGAATCTGCCTAGAGCCCACCCTTGCCAATCTTCCCTTGCCCTGTAGCCATATGTCTGTCCTCTGTTATGCTTAGACCCAGGCTTACAACCCCGCTCCTGAGCCAAGAAGATGCTATGTGTCAGACTCTACCCATCATGTACAAATCCTTGATTATTGGTATCTATGTGGGTAGAGGACTTTTTGGACTGTGACAATTGGGCTATAGATCACACCTTGAGAGCCCAAATCTCCTAGGCACTACCTAATCCTTGTTTACCTCACTTTCCCTGATGAGTGGTCACTGGAATCTAGCATTCCTTACAGCTGTCCTGAGTAAAAGAAAATGCATCCTCTATCTGTTCAACCTGTCCTGGTGTAAACTTTCAGAGTTGAGTCATTTTTCTCTATTAATCTTACAATATCCTTTGATTAGGGAAACATCTCATGTGCTAGAACACTTTAATGTGTCATTGTGACCAATATTAAAAAAAATCTAAAGTTCACGTTGAATTTGATGACATAATCCATTGAAAACCATGTTTTATTTTGTAGAGAAAAGAAGGAAAAGGAATTAGAAAAACACATGTAGCTTTAGGCATAAATTAAAATTTTCATAGTAGCTCCTTTCTAATATTAGTATCTATTAAAATGTTAATTTGGCAAAACATGAGCCCCGAAAATAACTATCTTAATTTTCATATACTCACAAATGCTTAGATTTGTAATGTACTTTTATTCCAGTGACAGGTATTCTGACTGGCTTGGCGCATCAGGTATGGATCCGTAGATCTGAGTTTTGCTAAAAAAGTTTTCATATTAGAAAATATTGGAAATTAAAAGAGAATAAATTAATATTTGTACATAAAATCTTGGTCACCATTGGTGACTTTCTTCTTTCAAAGCTCAGAGATATATTTATGTCCAGCATTAACTTGTAGTCAGCAAATATTTATTGAGCAATTACTATTTGTGGGCATTGTTCTAGGTGTTGTAATACAGCAGTGAATAAAGCAAAGTCTCTGCTGTTATGTAATATTCCTGTGATGCCGTGATTATATATTAGGTTGGTGAACTGGGTGGGGTGGTGGGAGGGTAGCAAATGATGAACCAGGCATGGAACACTTCTTCTCTACTTGTCTTCTTAGCCAATGGCTTTCGATGGGATATGGTGCAGTAAGAATGTCTTAATTTGGGTTTTCCCAGAAGCAGACTGCAGCGTAAGAATGCAGTGCAAGTAGTTTATCTGGAGGTGAGGGAAACATTGCTAGGGGAGTAGGAAAGTGAGACTGGGAAGAGAAGGCAGCCAAAAGAGTCACCGTTGTGAGTGATTGGCACTTCGTCTTATGAGAAAACTCTAGGAAACAGAGCCTGTCTCCTGAGGGGATAGGAAGCTGGGATGTTTATGCATCATCTCTCATTAGTCTTGGCTGGGGGCTTCTGAGGGCAGGGTTAATCTAGGTCTGGCCTGCAGTGTGAGCAGCAAGGTGGTTTTTGGTGGCCTGAAAAAGTCCTCAGGCATGGCCGATAGGTTCTTGAAGTGGGAAATCAGATGGTATGCACTGAGTTGATAAGGATTGAAGTAAGAAGATGTGGGCTGGGCTACTGAGATGTTGAGGTAAATTTGTCTTTCCGTAGTGTATGAAATAGTGCTCCTGCTTTTTTTGTTTTTTTTTTTTTTTTTTTTTTTGAGACGGAGTCTCGCTCCGTCGCCAGGCTGGAGTGCAGTGGCAGGATCTCAGCTCACTGCAACCTCTGCCTCCCGGGTTCAAGCGATTCTCCTGCCTCAGCCTCCTGAGTAGCTGGGACTGTAGGCACGCGCCACCACGCCCGGCTAATTTTTGTAGTTTTAGTAGAGATGGGGTTGTTGTATGTTTAGTAGAGATGACCATGTTGGCCAGGATGGTCTCGATTTTTTTGACCTCGTGATCTGCCTGCCTCGGCATCCCCAAAGTGCTGGGATTACAGGCCTGAGCCAGTGCTCCAGGCTGCTGCTGCTATTTTAAAGCTAGAACTGATGCATGGCAAAAGCAAACTTAAATTATTCTAAGACTTTGTTAGATATGTAGTAAGGTAGAACGGTATGACACAGTGGATTAACTTTAACATTAGAATTTTCTCATATGGCTTAGTAAAGATACACTTGATAGAAGATGGAACATTGTTGGGCAAACACTAGATGGTGCTGTTCTTTAGGTAGAGAAGACAGTCTGCAACTAGATTTTGGTGCTGATCTATTATTATAGTTTAGCATACAATTTTAAAACAGTTGGGCTTCAATCGATCAAAAAGTGTTTACTGAACACCCATGAAGTGTCAGAGTTGATCCTGAAATAGAAAGGAAAATAGTATTAAGTCGAGAATGACAGCAAAGCACAAAACTGAAGCAGCAGCTTTCCAATTTAAATAGCCTGGATTTTTCCTTTCTTTAGAGAACTTAGAGAATTTATGTAGCATAAGAATTTTTTTTTATCCCCAAAGAACTTTGTATTAATGGAACAATATTTACTATCAGTTTTGATAATATTATTTCATGAATATTATATATCCAGTTACTAATTAAGTATATTTGCCATTTGACTTTACGATTAAATGTAAAAACATGATGTTTTCAGTAAAATGCTATTCTAATAAACTTCTAAAATATAACACCTTCTTGAACTTTCCCATGTTAAATCCCACTAGCTTTAATTACTCCAAACTTTTAGTATTACCCTGAGTAAATTTAGGGAGTCTTTACAGCAGTGCTTCTTAAACTTTAATGTGCATAATAGGCACCTGGGGATTTGATTAAAAATAAGATTCTGAGTCAGTGGGTCTGGGGTGGAGCCTGAGATTATGCATTTCTCACAAGTTCCCAGATGATGCTGATGCTACTGATCCACAGACAGCCCTTTGGGTAGATTTTTACTTGTAGATATGGTAATTGAGTTTTGCCATGGTTAGAAACATGTTTTAATTTTAATTTCCTGTAGGAGATTTTTCTGTGACTCTCTCTCTATCTTCAACTTCCTTTTCCCACATCTTCACCATGTTCTTATAATTTACTGTATATTGCATGCAGTAGTCACTAAATAGATGTAGATGATGGATGGGAGAAGAAACTTGCTCCATAAAACATGGAGTGTTGGATAGCTTTAATTTGTCCCTTCAGAGCCATTCTCCTCTTGTCTTCACCTTGTTCTCTGGCCTGGGATGCTAATCTGTATGAACTTCATCAAGGAGCTCTTATTTTCTCTGGCTTCCAGGTTGGTTTTGCTCATGGGGGCCCCAGTGATAGGTGAGAGAGAGATAGAGAGAGAGAGGAGAGTGAGATCAATTATTTATCCCTTGGCTCCCTCCCTGTAAGGTCACCTTGGGCTGTCTGAGAACGTTTACTGAAGTTCAGTAACCTTTTCAAGGTGTCCACTTGCATACTATTCTCTCCTTTTAGGTTCTGGAAACTACTCCTTTCCCTTTTTCCTTTGGGCCTAGGGTTTAGTAACTGCTCCTATATTATTAGCTCTGTGATACTTCTAGTTCCTTGGCATTTTGCCCATACTCCTTAAAAGAGTTCCTTTTTTAAAATAAATTCTCCTCAAGTTAACCTAATTTGAGTATGCCAACCTGTTGGGATGCTGACTGAAGCACTTGGTTACCAATGACTTCAGAAATATAAAAAGGTAAAATTTGCTTGAGCTGTAGGAAGACATAAAATAACACAATGTGATATACTTAGCACTTTTGTGGTGAGAACATTTAAAATCTATTAACAATTTCCAAGAAAATAATACATTATCATTAACTATAATTAACATGTTGTACAAGTTCTCTTGAACTTATTCCTCCTGTAATACGTGTTAATTACATTGATCTAGCCATTTCACAGTGTATACATCCATGTGTTTCAAAACGTACCGTACATGAAAATTATGTACAATTTAAAGCTGTCAAAGAAGCCAGGAAATTATGGAAAAAAATGTAAAAGACACAATTTGAGACATGTAGAAAAGGCTCAATTTTGACAAATAATTTTATTGCTTTACAATTCCAAGAACATGTCAGCACTGCATGACATTATCAACTCTGTTGGGGCAATGACTGAAATTTGGCTTAGGTTTTTCATTATCTTTGTGGTGTTTGAAATATTCAGGCAAATTTTGTTTCTCTTGTCAGTGTGGGTCAGAGTCCAAGTTAGATATAGCCAAGCAGGGGCTTCTGGCTCATTAGAGAATATTTCCCAGACTGCTGGTCTATATCCTCATTGCAATTGATGATGACAGACAACAGAAATAATAAACTTAACTTACTTTGAAAAACAACAGTAGTTATTGTCTTTCTTTGACTCATTCTTTTATCTGCACAGATTAGCTTTGCTGTTCTCTCATCTGAGTCCATTTAATATTGTGCATGTATATGGGAGTATAAAGGTTCTTAAATCTAAGTTTTTACTAGAGAAAAAGAGTTTTATTGTGGTCTGATTGTAGGAAATCTCACTTTATGTGAAATGTGCCCATAACCCTACTTAATTTGCACCTATTAAAATGTCAAAAAATGGTACATCTTGAATTTGACCTGGAATATTCCAGAGTGATAAAGTTTTTAGTCCTCTTAAGTGTGGCAGGGATTTTCTTCTTGGCTGCATTGATTCCTTCTCCATTTGAATGTAACCCTTGAGGCTGCAAACTCATTTTCCTAAATAAATGGTCACGGTGTTTACCAGAATTTTATTACTATGGCAGAGAGCTCATCATTGGGATTTTTTTAAATGGGGGAAATTTCATGGCATGTTTTCAAGGTTATTACCCAAAGCTGCATATATATAACAAGGTTTTATTTTTCTTTTAAAGTTATTGTCAGAATAGATGCCAGTATAGCTGTTTCAGTTACTCAAATGATCGTGGCTAGCAAGAACTTTTTAATTTGGGACTATTAGGAAATCCAGTTGGAATGTTTAGAAAAATAAACTATCATACTGGCTCACTAATTGATTTCTTCTGTACTTTAATCATCCATCCATCCATCATCTGGGATTGAAAACAAGTGCTAAGTGTGTCAAGAGGAAAAATAGATAATCTGTTTTCTCATGGAGCTCATCTTCTTAGATGAGTAGCATGTATACACAAATAAATTATAATTTATTTTAGCAATGATAAAAGTATTAGGTACATGCTATAGAGAAAGGAGGGCCTAACCTAATTTTGGGGGAGAGAGATTGGTTAGAAGACCTTCATAGAGAAGTTGACATCTGAGTAGGGTTTTGAAGTTGGAATAGAAGATGAGAGATGGTGGGTAGTTAGGCTCCAAATTATAAAAGGTCTTATACCTTCTGCTAAGGAAGTTGGTTTGATTTTTATCCTGTAGGGAATCATAAGCTTCTAGATAATTTTACCTAGGAAAGAGATATTATCAAATTTGCATTTTGGAAAGAACTTTTCAGGAATGATGTAAGAGATGCACTGGAAGAGAGGGGTGGAGTTGTGTTTATATGAGGCTGGAGGTAGAGAAAGCAACTAGGAGCTATGCAAAGAACCCACACAAGAGCTAAAAATTGCTTAAACTAAGTGAGAATGAAGAGAAAGCGGCAGATTCAAGAGATAATTAGGAAGTAGAATTGGCAAGACAATATCTGAGAAATTATTACTAAAATATAGAAGATATAAAAGAGAATATGTTGGGAAGATGGATGGGAAGAGAGAATGATTTTATGTTTTTGCTATTTTGAGGTTGTAGCACCCCTAACAGATAACTAGACTGCTATATAACCTTGGATAACTGCTAAGTAAGTCTGGAGTAGAGACATGTGTTTGGAAATCAGAGAATAGTTAAAACTAGAGGAGTAGATGGGATGTTTGAGGGGCTGAGCGCAGGGCATACTCCCCAATCTGTTTTTCTGTCTCCATGCTTTTCTTTTGTGCAACACTCTGATCTCATGTTGCTGATTGCTGATGCTTTCCACCAGGATGAGGAGGGAGGGGGGCGTGTCCTAAGCCCAGTTAAGAATCACTAGAAGCTTGACTAAGAAGTTCCTTATAAATGTAGTAAAAGATTGAGGAGAAGGTGAAGTCCCAGAATCCAAAGAAAGAGGGTTTTAAGAAAGCAAAAACCCAATTGCTCAACAGGGGGTTAGTTTACTGTAAAAGTAGAAGAAGACAGAAGGGAAAAGCTTGATATTGTTCTTGGCAATGGTTGTTTGGATATGACACCAAAAGCACAAGCAACAAAAACAAAACTAGACAAGTAGGACTATCTCAAACTAAAAAGCTTCTGTACAGCAAGGGACACAATCAACAGAGTGAAAAGGCAACCTGCCTAAAGGGAGAAAATTGTAAATCATTTATCTGATAGGAGGTTAACATCCAAAATATATAAAAATTTTCTACAACGTAAGAGCAAAAACCCCCAAATCTGATTAAAAAGTGGGCATAGGACTTGAATAGACATTTCACCAAAGAAGTCATACAAATGACCAACAGTTATATGAAAAGGTGCTCAACATCATTAATCATCAGGGAAATGCAAATTAAAATCACATTGAAATATCATCATACACTTGTTAGGATGGCTATTATTTAAAAAAAAAAGAAATATTTTCAAGGATGTGGAAAAATGGAAACCCTTATATACAGTTGGTAGGAATCTAGAATGGCTCAGTAACTATGGAGAAAAGTATGAAGGTTCCTCAAAAAATTAAAAACAGAACTACCAAATGATCCAGCAGTCTCCCTGCTAGATATATATCGAAAAGAATTGAAATCAGGATTTTTTTTTTGTTTTTTTTTGAGATGGAGTATCGCTCTGTCACCCAGGCTGGAGTGCAATGGCACAATCTCGGCTCACTGCAACCTCTGTCTCCTGGGTTGAAGCAATTCTCCCGCCTCAGTAGCTGGGATTACAGGCGCGCGCCATCATGCCCGGCTAATTTTTGTGTTTTCGTAGAGACAGGGTTTCACCATGTTGGCCAGGCTGGTCTCAAACTCCTGACCTCAGGTGATCCACCAGCCTTGGCCTCCCAAAGTACTAGGATTACAGGCGTGAGCCACCGCACCTGGCCTGAAATCAGGATCTTGAAGAGATATATGCATTTCTATGTTCATTGCAGCATTATTCATGATAGGCAAGATTTGAAAACAACGTAAATGTCCATCAGTGGATGAATGGATAAAGAAAAAATGTGTTATATAATGTTATATAATAATGGAAGATTATTCAGCCTTAAAAAGAAAGAAATTCCGCCACATGTGATAACATGGATGAACCTGGAAGACATTATGCTATGTGAAATAAGCCAGTCACAGTAGGAAAAATACCGCATGATTCCGCTTATATGAGGTATGTAAAGTAGTCAAACTCATAGAACAGAAAGTAGAGTGATAGTTGCCAGGGGCTATTGAGAGGAGGAAAAGGAGAGTTGATAAAAGTGTATAAAGTTTCAGTTATGAAAGATGATTAAGTTCTAGAGATCAGCTGTACATCATACTTTCTATGGATAACAATTCTGAGTCGTGCACTTAAAAATTGGTTAAGAAGGTAGATCTCACATTAAGTGTTCCTACAGAAAAAGCAAAAACAAAACCACAAAGGGGCATGAAGAAACTTTTGGAGGTGATTGATGTTTATTATCTTGATTGTGGTGGTCATTTCACTAGTGGGTGCATATGTCCAAACTTATCAAGTTGTACACATAAAATATGTGTGATTTTTGTATATCAATTTTGCATCAATAAAGCTGTTACAAAGAGAGAACATTTAAAAAATTTAAAACATGTATAGTGATAATCATACTTAACAGGTCTAGCTCTAGCATTGAACACGGATGACTCTGAAGTCAGAAATTACTGAGAAAGACTCTCAAGCATTTGAAATGATTGTCATGGACTGCTTTGTTAAAACCTTATGTCTTTCATAAGCTTATTTCACTTCATTTTGAGCAAGCTTTGCTATTTTTAATACCTGCAAGTATTTTGAACATGTGTTTAAAATTATTTTCTTCAGAATCTGCCTAATCATTGTCTTTT
Source organism: Homo sapiens (assembly GCF_000001405.40). Lineage (NCBI taxonomy): Eukaryota > Metazoa > Chordata > Mammalia > Primates > Hominidae > Homo > Homo sapiens. The sequence continues at coordinate 23,548,676 of NC_000023.11, read as the reverse complement.
ATATTCTGAAAATTATTCCTCCGCTAAAAACAAGGGTGCAAATTCTGTTTTTCTAGAAACAGAATGATATACTCAAACTGATATTAGAAATCAGGGTTCAAACACGGATATAATAGTAAAATTCCTTCTATCTATACTGTGGCTAACATTTGGTGGATTCAATTTGCAAAAACTGCTGCATGAGAGAATGCTACATACAGGCCCCCTGCTGCTTCTAGTTTTGCTGCTGTTAATCAGACTTAGTGCAATAATAAAAATGTCAAGCTCTGCTATACACAAGCCTACCGCAGAGATATCACACGTTTGATTCCAGACCACTACAATAAAGTGAGTCACACAAATAAAGTGAGTCACGCAAATTTTTGGTTTCCGAGTGCATATAAAAATTATGTTTACACGATACTGTAGTCTATTGAGTATGCAACAGCATTATGTCTAAAAAGAACAATGTACATATCTTAATTGAAAAATGCTTTATTGCTAAAAAATGCTAATCATCATCTGAGCCTTCAGTGAGTTGTAATCTTTTAACTGGTGGAGAGTCTTGCCTTGATATGGATGGCTGCTGACCGATCAGGGTGGTAGTTGAAGATTGGCGTATCTGTGGCAATTTCTTAAAATAAGACAACAATGAAGTTTGATGCATTGATTGACTTCCTTTCATGAAAGATTTCTCTGTAGCATGTGATGCTATTTGATAGCATTTTACCCACAGAGCTTCTTTCAGAATTGGAGTCAATTCTCTCAAACCTTGTCACTGCTTTATCAACTAAGTTTATGTGATATTCTAAGTCTTTGTTGTCATTTCAACAATGTTCACAGCATCTTCAGCAGGAATATATTTCATCTCAAGGAACCACTTTTTTTTCATCCATGAGAAGTAGCGTCTCACACATTCAAGGCTGATCATGAGATTGCAGCAATTCAGTCACATCTTCAGGCTCCACTTCTAGTTCTCTTGCTAGTTCTCTCACATCTGCAGTTTCTTCCTCCACTGAAGTCTTGAATTCCTCTCAAAGTCACCCATGAGGATTGGAATTAACTTCTTCCAAACTCTTGTTGATATTTTGGCCTCCTCCCATGAATCACAAATGTTCTTAATGGCCTCTAGAATGACGAATTCTTTCTAGACTTTTTTTTATATCTAAGAGACATCTGTACCCCTGTGTTTATTTAATTTTTTAATGCTTTGTAATATCCTTTATTTAAAAAAATTTTGTGGGTACATAGTGGGTATATATATTTATGCATTATGTGAGCTGTATTGATATAGGCATGCAATGCATAATAATTACATCAAGGTAAATGGGGTATCCCTCACCTCAGGCATTTATCCTTTGTGTTACAAACAATCCAGTTATACTCTTTTAGTTATTTTAAAATGCACAGTTAAATTATTTTTGACTATAGTCGTCTTGTTGTGATGGCAAATACAAGGTCTTATGCGTTATGCATTATTTCTATGTTTTTAAGTACCCACTACCATTCCCACTTTCCCCCCACACTCCTCTACTCCCCTTCCCACCTTTTGGTAACTATCCTTCTACTCTCTATCTCCATGAGTTCAATTGTTTTAATTTTTAGCTTCCACAAATAAGTGAGATCATGTGAAGTTTGTCTTTCTGTGCCTGGCTTATTTCACTTAACATAATGATCTCCAGTTCCATCCATGTTGTTGCAAATGACAGGATTTCATCTTTTTTATGGCTGAATAGTATTCCATTGTGTTTATGTACCCCATTTTCTTTATCCATTTATCTGTTGATGGACACCTAGGTTGCTTCCAAATTTTGGCTATTGTGAATAGTGCTACAATAAACATGGGAGTTCAGATATCTCTTTGATATACTGATTTCCTTTCTTATGGGTATATATACCTAGGAGTGGGATTTCTGGAACATATGGTAGCTCTATTTTTAGCATTTAGTTCTTTTTTTTTTTTTTTTTTTTTTAAATAAGGTCTTTTTCTGTCACCGAGGCTGGAGAGAAGTGCCATAATAATAGCTCACTGCAGCCTGAAACTCCTGGGCTCAAGCAATCCTCCTGCCTTAGCTTCCCAGTGTGCTGGGATTGTAGGCATAAGTCACCATGGCTGGCTTATTTTTAGTGTTTTTAGGAACCTCAAAACTGTTCTCCATAGTGGTTGCACTAATTTTCATTCCCCAAAACAGTGTATGAGGGTACTCTTTTCACCACATCCTTGCCAGCATTTGTTATTGCCTGACTTTTTGGGTAAAAGCCATTTTAACTGGAGTGAGATGATATCTTGTTGTATTTTTGCTTTACATTTCTCCAGTGAGCAATGATGTTGAGCACTTTTTCATATTCCTGTTTGCATTTGTGTATTTTCTTTTGCGAAATCTCTATTCATATCTTTTGCCCATTTGTAATCAGATTATTAGATTTTCTCCTCTAGAATTGTTTGAGCTTTTTATATATTCTGGTTATTAATATCTTGTCAGATGGGTAATTTGCAAATATTTTCTCCCATTTAGTGTCTTTTCACTTTGTTGGCTGTTTCCTTTGCTGTGTATAAGCGTTTTAACTTGATGTGATCCCATTTATCCCTTTTTGCTTTGGTTGCCTGTGCTTGTGAGGTATTGCTCAAGAAATCTTTGACCAATGCAATGTCCTGGAGAGTTTCTCCAATTTGTTTTGTAGTGGTTTCACAGTTTTAGGTCTTAGATTTAAGTCTTTAATCCACTTTGATTTGATTTTTGTATATGGTGGGAGAGAGGAGTCTAGTTTCATTCATTTGCATATAGAGATGCAGTTTTCCCAGTACCATGTATTGAAGATACTGTCCTTTCCCCAATGCATGTTCTTGGCACGTTTCTCAAAAATGAGTTCAATGTAGATGTATGGATTTATTTCTGGGTTCTCTATACTGTTCCATTGATCTATGTGCCTGTTTTTATGCCAGTACCATGCTCTTTTGGTTACTACAGCTTTGTAGTATAATTTAAAGCCAGGTAATATGATTCCTCCAGTTTTGTTATATTTGCTCAGGATAGTTTTGGCTATTCTGATTGTTTTGTAGTTCCATATAAATTTTAGGATTGTTTTTCTATTTCTGTGAAGAATGTCATTGGTATTTTGATAGGGATTGCACTGAATCTGTAGATTGCTTTGTGTAGTATGCTTTGGGTCATTTTTAGCAATACTGATTCTTCTAATCCATGATGATGGAATATCTTTTTACTTTTTTGTGTCATCTTTAATTTCTGGCATCAATGTTTTACAATTTTCACTGTAGAGGACTTTCACTTCTTTGCCTAAGTTAATCTCTAGGCATTTAATTTTATTTGTAACTATTGTAAATGGGATTACTTTCTTGCTTTCACTTTTAGGTTGTTTGCTATGTGGAGTCTTGCTCTGTCGCCAGGCTGGAGTGCAGAGGTGCAATCTTGGCTCACTGCAACCTCCGCCTCCCGGGTTCAAGCGATTCTCCTGCCTCAGCCTCCTGAGTAGCTGGGACTACAGGTGCTCGCCAGCATGCCCAGCTAATTTTTGAATTTTTAGTAGAGATGGGGTTTCACCATGTTGGCCAGGATGGTCTTGATCTGTTGACCTTGTGATCCACCTGCTCTGGCTTCCCAAAGTGCTGGGATTACAGGCATGAGCCACCATGCCCAGCTCGAAACGCTACTAATTTTTGTATGTTGATTTTATATTCTGCAACTTTACTGAACTTATCAGTTCTAATAGTTTTCTAGTAGCATGTTTAATTTTTTCCAAATATAAGATCATATCATCTGCAAACAAGGATAATTTGACTTCTTCCTTTCCAGTTTGGATGCCCTTTATTTCTTTCTCTTGTCTGATTGCTCTAGCTAGGACTTCCAGTACTATGTTAAATAACAGTGGTGAAAGTGGCTTTCCTTGTTGTGTTGCAGATCTTAGAGAGAAGGCTTTCAGTTTTTCCCCATTCAGTATGATACTAGCCATGGGTCTGTCGTTCTGTCGTATAAGGCTTTTATTATGTTGAGATGTGTCCCTTCCATCCCCAGTTTTTTGAGGGTTTTTATGATGAAGGGGTGTTGAATTTTATCAAATGCTTTTCAGCATCAATTGAAAGGATCATACGGTTTTTATCCTTCATCCTTCATTGTGTTGATAAGATGTATCACATTGTTTGATTCTCATGTGTTGAACCATCTTTGCATCCAGGGATAAATCTCAATTGGTCATCGTGGATGATGTGCCTAATGTATTGTTGAATTCTGTTTGCTAGTATTTTGTTAAGGATTTTTGCATCAATATTCATCAGAGATATTGACCTGTAGTTTTCTTTTTTTGATGTGTCTTTGTCTGGTTTTGGTACCAGGGTAATACTGGCTTTGTAGAATGAGTTTGAGAGTATTCCCTCCTCCTCTATTTTTCAGAGTAGTTTGAGTAGGATTGATATTAGTTCTTCTATATGTTTGGTAGAATACAGCAGTGAAGCCATTGGTTCCTGGGCTTTTTTTACTGGGAGACTTTTTATTATGGCTTTGATCTCATTACTTGTTATTGGTTTTGGATGTCTTCCTAGTTCAACATTGGTAGGTTATGTGTGTCTAGGAATTTGTCCATTTCTCCTAGATTGTCCAATTTGTTGGCATATAGTTGCTCATAGTAACCACTAATGATCCTTTGCATTTCCATGGTATCAGTTGTAATGCCTCCTTTTTCATCTCTGATTTTATTTATTTGAATCTTCTCTCTTTTTTTCTTAGTCTGGCTAAAGTTTTGTCTATTTTGTTTAACTTTTCAAAAAACCAACTTTTTGTTTGATTGATCTCCTGTATTATTTTTTTCATTTATTTCTGCTCTGACTTTTATTTTTTTTTCTACTAATTTTGGGTTTGGTTTGCTCTTGCTTTTCTAGTTATTTAAGATGCATTATTAGGTTGTTCATTTGAAGTATTTCTTCTTTGGATGTGAGCACTTAATAGCTATAAACCTCCCTTTTGGTACTGTTTTTGCTGTATCCTATAGATTTTGGTATGTTGTGTTTCCATTATCATTTGTTTCAAGACATTTTTGAATTTTCTTCTTAATCTGTTCATTGACCCAGCAGTCCTTCAGGAGCCTAGTGTTTAATTTTTATGTGTTTGTATGGTTTCCAACATTCTTCTTGTTATTGATTTCTAGTTTTATTCTATTGTGGTCAGAGAAAATGCTTGATATTCAAGTTTTTTGAGTGTTTTAAGACTTGTTTTGTGACCTAACTTATGGTCTATCCTTGAGAATGACCCATATGCTGAGAAAAAGAATGTGTATTCTTCAGCCATTCGATGAAATGTTTTATAAATATCTATTTGATCCATTTGGTCTATAGTGGAAATTAAGTCCATTTTTCGTTGTTGTTGATTTTCTGTCTGGAAGATCTGTCCAATGCTGAAAGTGGGGTGTTGAAGTCTCCAGCTATTATTGTATTGGGGGCCTGTCTCTCTCTTTAGCTCTAATAGTATTTGCTTTATAGATCTGGGTTCTCCAGTGTTGGGGACATATATATTTAAATTGTTATATCCTCTTGCTGAACTGGCCACTTTTTGATTATATAGTGACCTTCTTTGCCTCTTTTTATAGTTTTTGTCTTGAATTCTATTTTGTCTGATTTAAGTATAGCTACTTCTGCTCTCTTTTGGTTTCTATTGGCCATGGAATATCTTTTTCCATACCTTTATTTTCAGGCTATGTGTATCTTTATAGGTGAAATGTGTTTCTTGTATTCAACAGATAATTGGGTCTTATTTTTTTTTTTTTTTTATCAATTTAGCCAGCCTATGTCTTTGGATTGGAGAATTTAGTCCTTTTACATTCAATGTTATTGATAAGTAAGGATTTACTCCTGCCATTTTGTTGTTTGTTTTCTGTTGTTTTGTGGTCTTTCCCTTCCTTCTTTCCTACTTGTTTCCCTTTTTGAAGGTGATTTTCTTTGGTGGCATGTTTTTCTTTTCTTTTCTTTTTTTAGACAGAGTCTCATTCTGTCACCCAGGATGGAGTGCAGTGGCACCATCTTGGCTTACTGCAACCTCTGCCTCCCGGGTTCAAGTAATTCTTGTGCCTCAGCCTTCCAAGTAGCTGGGAATACAAGCATGCCACCATGCCCAGCTAATTTTTTTTTTTTTTTTTTTTTGTATATTTAGGAGACACAGGGTTTTACCATGTTGGCCAGCCTGGTCTTGAACTCCTGACCTCAAGTGATCCACCCACCTCGGCCTCCCAAAGTGCTGGGATTACAGGCATGAGCCACTGCACCCGGCCTCTGGTGGCATGTTTTAATTTTTTGCTCTTTTTAAAAATCTGTTTTAGGCTTTTTGATTTGAGGTTACCATGAGACTTAGAAATAATATCTTATAGCCCATTATTTTAAACTAGTGACAGCTTAACCCTCATGGCATAAACAAACTAACAAGCAAAGAAAAAACTAATGAAAACTCTACATTTTGACTTAACGCCCCCCACTTTTTTAACTTTTTGTTGTTTTGATTTATCTATTATTATACTGTCTGTCTTGAAAACTTGTAGTTATTATTTTTTATATGTTCATCTTTAGTCTTTCCATTAAAGATGTGAGTAGGTTACACAGCACAATTATAGTTTTATAATATTTTGTGTTTGGGAGTGTGTTTACTATTACCAGTAAGTATCATACCTTCAGATGGTTTCTTATTACTGGTTAATGTCCTTTTCTTTCATATTGAAGAACTCCCTTTAGCATTTCTTATAGGACAAGTCTGGTGTTGATGACATCCCACAGCTTTTGTTTTTCTGGGAAAGTGTTTATTTCGCCATCATGTTTGAGGGTATTTTTACTGAATATAGTATTCTAGGATACAAGTAATTTTCCTTCTGCACTTTAAATATTAATATATCATCCCTCTCTCTCCTAGCCTTTAGGGTTTCCACTGAAAAGTCTGCTGCCAGACATATTGGAGCTCCATTGTATGTTATTTATTTCTTTTCTTTTGCTGCTTTGAGGATCCTTTATTTATCCTTGACCTTTGGGATTTTGATTATTAAATGCTTTGAGGTAGTCTTATTTGGTTATATCTTTCTTTGGTTATATCTGCCTATGTTTGATCAAGGCCTTGGGGATCTACAATCAGCAAGTAGCAAAGCCAGTCAGGCCTGTGTTCTTCCTTTCAGGACAGCAAGTTTCCCCCAGGCCCCAGGTGGGTCCAGAAATGCCATCCAGGAGTCAGGACTAGAGTCAAAAACCTCAGAAGTCTGCCTGGTATTCTATTGTATTGAGGCTAAGCTGGCACTCAAACCACAAGACACAGTCCTTGTCACTCTTCAGTTCCCTTTCCAAAGGCAGAGGAGCCTCACCTCATAGCCACTGCTGCCCCTGGCCACCAGTAGTACTGCCAGACTACCAGCCAATGTTCCCTTAAGGCCCAAGGGCTCTTAAGTCAGCTTGTGGTAAATGTTGCCTGGTCTGGGACTTACCCTTTAGGGCAATGGGCTCCTCTCTGGCCCAGGGCAGATCCAGAAATGCCATCCAGTAGTCAAGTCTTGGGATTGGGGATCCCAAGAGCCTGCTTGGTGGTCTACCCACCCGTAGTGGTGTTGTTACCTAACGTGCAAGACAAAGTCTCCTTTACTTTTCCCTCTGCTTTTCTCAAGCAGAAGGAGTTTTGCCCCATAGCCACTGTAGCTGGTAATGTGCTGAGTCGCACCTGAAGCCAGCCAGTGTCAGATGCTCACCAAGGCCTTCTATGTAGTACCTGGGTATCACTGCTGGTTATTAAAGGCCCAAGGGCTCTTCAGTTAGCAGGTGATTAATGCTGGCAGGACTGGGGTTTTTTTTTCCTTCAAGGCAGCAGGTTCCCTTCTGGTCCAGGGTGTGTCTAGAAATGTCTGGGAGCCGGGGCCTGGAACGGGGGCATCTCTTTTGGAGCCACGAACTGTTCAGCCTTGGGGTTAGGGGACGCATGATGCTAGCACTCTCTTAGCTGCCCCAGCTGGTGTCTCAGTATGTCTCAGCACCCCCGCCCGCAGTGTACTGTCTCTGGGCCTAGTTAAGCCCAAGGACTTGCTTACAAACTGCAGTCCTTATGGCTCAGACTGCCTATCAAGTTTACTTAGAGATTGAGAGCACCTTGGCCCTCGGTGGTGAGGTTTGTTGGCACTCAAGTTTCGCCCGCTTGTATTGGCAATACCCCTCTAGCTAGGACTGGTTTAAATGCTCCCTCTGTGGGCGGGTGTCAGCTGAGTTTGTTCGGGTTTTCCCTTTTGCTCTGATAGGACAGCACTGAGTTCAATGCCTCACAATTGCTGTGTTTCCTCTCCCCCAGCGCCCAGAGACATTCTCTGCACCAAGCTGCTCCTGCCAGGGGTGGGGAAAGGGTGGCGTTAGTGATTTAGGTCTGTTTTTTCTATCTCTTGAGTACCTCTTTCAGCAATATGAAGTTGAAACCAGGTACTATTACTGCTCACTTGATTTTTGGTCCTTATGAAGGTGTTTTTTTCTGAGTAGATAGTTGTTAACTTGGTGTCCTTGTTGTGGGGGATGATCAGTGGAGCTTTCTATTCCACCATCTTGCTCCCAAGTTCCGTACATTCCTTTTTGTATCATACTTTTCAAAGCTATATTATAACATGATAGACACACACACACACACGTGCGTGCACACTGTATTTGTTCCCTAGAGCTACTATAACAAATTACCACAAACTGCGTGGCTTCAAGCAACACAAATTTATTTTCTGAAAGCTCTGGAGGCTACAAGTACAAAATCAATACGTGGGCAGGGCTGGTTCCTTCTGGAAGCTTGGGAGAAACTGTTCCATGCCTCTCTCCTAGCTTCTAATGCAATCCTTTGCACTCCTTGGCTTGTATAAACATCAATCTAATCTATCTGTGTCTTCACATGACATCCACATCACTCTAATCTGTCTCTGTCTTCACATGACATCCTCCTTCTGTGTCTATGTCCAAATTCCCCTCTTATGAGGATACTGGTCATTGAATTAGGGCCTATCCTAATCTAGTATGACCTCATCTTAACTTCACTACATCTGCAAAGATTGTACTTCCAAATCAGATCTTATTCCCATGTTCTGGGTTGACATTAAGTTTGAGGGATGCTATGCAACCCTGTGTGTGTGTGTGTGTGTGTGTGTGTGTGTGTGTGTGTGTGTGTGTGTGTGTTTTCTGAAGCATGATTTTTAGTGGCTGCATATTTTTCATGTAGTTAACTGTGTTATTTTTCTAATTTTGCTCATCTAGGCTATTATTAGTAAGTTTCTATTTTAAGTAACACAACAGTAAATGTTTTTGCATATAAATCATTGCATGCCTCTCCAAAATGTTCCTTGCAACAAACTTCTAGGTATGGAATTTGGCATTGATTCCATTACTTTTAACCCAAGTCTTCACAAGTTACTTCTCATAAAATCACTTTGGTAAGTAAATTCCAGACAACTTCCTGTCCTCATGCTAGACTTCTAGGTAGTGTCGTTCTTTGTCTTTTAATTTAAAAAATTTCAGAACTGTAATAAGAAATAGCTCTGCTGAAACACACACATACATACACACACACAGATGCACAGATATCTTTTTATTTTTTTTTGACAAACACCTTCTAGCTGGCTCCCTGTAAACCTCTTACATGGTTATGTTTAAAACCTATGCAAAGAAAAGTAGTCAAAATCACCTTTCATTATATTTCCCAAAACACCAGTTAACCACAATTCAATGAGGTATGTGCTGTTTTCTCATCTAGTATGAATCTCTTGTAAATACAGAAAGAAAGCATTTGTGAAATATTTTTTTGTCAAAATACAATTTGGATGTCATAGTACAGTGGGTGTCCCCCTGTGGGTGTTTCTTTTCTGATGCTTACAAAGTAGCCAGCTACTCTTGGCTGAAGTGGAGTCACTGCTAAGTACTAAACCCTGTCATTTACACTTGACCCTTGAACAACATGGATTTGAACGACATAGGTCCACTTATATACAGGTTTTGTTAACCAAATGTGCTTCAAAAATACATGATTCACAGGATGTGAACCCTATGTAGTCAGGTTGAATTTTAGTATACACGGGTTCTGCAGGGCCCACTGCAGGACTTGAGTATGCACGGATTTTGGTAGGTAGGTGCTGGAACTAATTTCCCACATATAGTGAGAGACGACTGTGCTGTATTTGGGAGGGAAGTTTGTTGCTATCGGAATTCTTCCTGTAAAACATAGGAGAGATACATAGGAAATACCTGTATCTTATTTCTGATGCAAAGTTGACTTTTCCGCTTGATTGGCACATAACAGTCATTTTGGATAAGCTAGTTTGATTGCATGAGTGGAATTTCTATAGGAGGGCAAGAAAAATTAACGTTTTTACTAATTTCTGAGCTTTTGGCATGGATAAAGCTTTCTACTGGTTTTGTTGTTGGGGAGAAATCATTTCTTTAAAATTTAATGACTAAATTATGAGAAACTCATAAAGTTGTATCACTGTTGCTCCCTTTGGTACTGTTTTTTGATAAAGACCAATGTCATGACCAACAGTCTTATGATTAAAGTATTGCAAGCTAGGGCTGGAAAAATTACATTGGCTTCAAGTATTTTACATGGGCTTTATTCATATTGGTCTGAAATTTATAAACAAGCAATGGCCTGAAGAGAGCATATTCAAATATACCCTATGCATAGGTTTTGGAATTAGGATTATTCTGGCCTAATAAATTGAATTGGAATGTCTTATTCCTCATATTTTTCTGAAAGATTTTATGTAAGATTGCTATAATTCTTTCTTAGATGTTTGATAGGATTCACAAGTGAAGTCAACCTTGCCTTCAGTTTTCTTTGCAGGAAAGGTTATATTAATAATTTCCCTAAAATAGGTAAATCTTTTCATATTTTCAATGTCTTTAGTTAGTTTTCATAAATTATAAATTATGTTTTTCAAGGATTTTAAAAATTCATCTATATTTTCAACTTTATTGGCATAAAGTTGTTTAACTATTCCCTTATTACCTTTTCATTATCTGTAGAATCTGTACTGATACTCTCACTTTCATTCCTGATGTTGGTTAATTTATGTTCCTCAGTTTTTTCTTTATCAGACCAGCTAGAAGTTTATCAATTTTATTAATCACATAGACAGGCAACTTTTACTGTTTGTTTTTCTGCTTTCTATTTGATTGATTTCCCCCTTTCATTTTTATTAGTTTCTGTTTTCAACTTATTTGACCTTTGCTCTTTTAAAATTCTAGGTTCTTAAGGTAGAAACTCTTTTATCTAATATAAGCATTTTAAATCTGAAAGTTTTCCTCCAAGTACTGCTTTAGAGAAATCATATACATTTTGATACATTATGTTTTCGTTATCATATAATTCAAAACATTTTCTAATTTTCTTGTGACTTCTTTTTTGACCCATGATGTATTTAGAAGATATGGCTTTTACAAATGTTTACAGATTTTCTAGTATCTTTAAAAATTGGTGTCTAAATTAATTCTATTGTGGTCAGGCAATAATTTCTTTTTTAGACTTTTAGGTTCACGGTACATGTGCAGGTTTGTTATATAGATAGAGTGTCACTGGGGTTTGGTATACAGATTATTTCATCACCTAGGTGATAAGCATGGTACCTGATAGGTAGTTTTTTGGTACTCACCCTCCTCCCATCCTCCATTGTCAAGTCTATTGTTCTTTTCCTGATGTCTCTGTGTACTCGATGTTTAGCTCCCACTTATAAGTGAGAACATTCAATAGATATTTGGTATTCTGCTCCTGTGTGAGTTTGCTTAGGATAATGGCCTCCGTCTGCATCCATGTTGCAGCAAAGGACATGATTTCATTATTTGTGGCTGCATAATATTTCGTGGTGTGGATGTACCACATTTTCTTTGTCCAGTCTACAATTGATGGGCATTTAGGTGGATTCCATGTCTTTGTTACTGTGAATAGTGCTGTGATGAACATATGCATGCCAGATGGTTGTAGGTGTGCAGCTTTAGTTCTGGGCTCTCTCTTTTTTTTTTTTTTTTCTGGGCTCTCTATTCTGTTCTATTTGTCTATGTGTCTGTTTTTATAGTAGAGCCATGCTATTTTGGTTACTGTAGCCTTGCAGTACAGTTTGAAGTCAGGTAATGTGATGCCTCTGGCTTTGTTCTTTTTGCTTAGGATTTCCTTGGTTATTCAGGCTCTCTCTTGGTTCCATATGAATTTTAGAATAGGTTTTTCTAATTCTGTGAAAAATGTCTTTGGTAGTTTGATGGGAATAGCATTGAATTCAAAAATTGCTTTGGGCAATATGGCCATTTTAATGATTTTGATCCTTCTTATCCATGAACATGGGATTTTTTTTTCATTTGTTTATGTTGTCTCTGATTTTTTTCAGCAGTGTTTTGTAATTCTCATTGTAGAGCTCTTTCACCTCCCTGGTGAGCTGTATTCCCAGGTATTTTATTTTTTGTATGTGTCTATTGTGAATGGGATTGCATTATTGGTTTGGTACTCAGCTTGGATGTTGTTGGTGTATAGAAATGCTACTGATTTTTGTACACTGATTTTGTATTCTGAAACTTTGCTGAAGTTGTTTATCAGATCAGGAGCTTTTGGGTAGAAACTATGGGGTTATATAGGTATAGACCCATTTTGTCTGGAAACAGAGATAGTTTGGCTTCCTCTTTTCCTTTTTGATGCCTTTTATTTCTTTCTCTTGCCTGATTGCTTTGGCTAGGACTTCCAGTACTATGGTGAGTAGGAGTGATGAGAGTGGACATCCTTGTCTTGTTCCAGCTTTCAAGGGGAATGCTTCCAGCTTTTGCCCATTTAGTATAATGTTGGCTGTGGGTTTGTCATGGATGGCTCTGAGTTTGAGGTATATTCCTTCAATGCCCAGTTTGTTGAGAGTTTTTAACATGAAGAAATGTTGAATATTATTGAAAGCCTTTTCTCCATCTATTGTGATGTGGACAATCATGATCATGTGGTTTTTATTTTTAGTTCTGTTTATGTGATGAATAATTTTTATCAATTTGCATATGTTGAACCAATTGTGCATCCTAGGGATAAAGCCTACTTAATTGCGGTGACTTAGCTTTTTGATGTGCTGCTGGATTCAATTTGCAACCATTTTGTTGAGGATTTTTGCATCTATGTTAATCAAAGATGTTGGCCTGAAGTATTCTTTCTTTGTTGTGTGTCTGCCAGGTTTTGTAGTAACAGAATGCAATTCAAAATGGCATAAATAATAAGAAAAATGTATTATCTCACATTTTAGGAAGCCCAGAGGTTGATGCCCAGGGTTTTCTCAACAATGTCATCAGGGGCTCAGATTTTCCATCTTCCTACTCTTCCATCTTTAGCATGCCAGCTTTCCCCTGCACACCTGCTCTTCTGATGGTATGAAGATGGCTGCCTCAATTTCCAGGATCATATGCAGATACAACAATATCTAGTAGAAGTAGAAGATACACTTTTTAAATAGAAATTTCAATTACTCAGAAAAATAGAGAGAACAATATAAAAATTACCCATGGATATGCAGATGTAATGTAGATGTAATCATTGTTAACATTTTAATATATTTTCTTGATTTTTTGCTAAATTATTTTAAAGTAATTACCGATATTATGAAATATCTTTAGAATGCACCTTTACAAAACAAAGATAGTTCCCTAACTAATCACAATATTACTATCAGACCTAAAACTTAATAATTATTTCTTAATAGAAACTAATATTCCAGTCTGTGTTCAAATTTTACAATTTTCCAAAATTTAAAAATTTTCCCAAAAATGTCTTTTTTGTTTGTTTGTTTTTGAGACTGAGTCTCGCTCTGTCATCCAGGCTGGAGTGCAGTGGCATGATCTTGGCTCACTGCATCCTCCACCTTCCATGTTCAAGTGATTCCCCTGCCTCAGACTCCTGAGCCACTGTGCCCAGCATAAAAGTGTCTTTTTTACATTAATTATTTTAATTTGTGTTTCTATGATCTATTATATCCTTTGCCAATTTTCACCTGAAGTGTTTTTTTTAAATTGATTTTAAGAGAGCTATATAAATAAATGACATTAATACTTTGTCAATATTTTTATGCTAGCTTGCCTTTTAACTTTTTGGGGTTTTTTTTGACACATAAAATCTAATCAAGGATTATGCAGTGCATATTGTTGTTATATCTACTATGTCGCCTTTAGATCTCTTTTTATCTCCTAAATCTCTTCTAGAATGTCTTGACTCTAGAACATTGTCTTCTTTTTTTTTTCCTCATAAAATTGAAGTATTGAAGGGCCCAGTCCTGTTGTCCTATAGAATGACTCAAATTCAGGCTTTGTCTGAATTTTCTTGATGCATTTCTCTGTCCTCCATATTTCCTGTAAACTGGATATTAGATCTAAAGAGTTGTATAGATTCAGATTAAATATTTTTTGGAAGAAATACTTCAGAGATGAGGCTGTATATTTATTGCATTACACTGAGTCATATAATGTCTGATTTCTCATTTTTAGTGATGTTAAAATCAATCACATAGTGATGTTAAAATAAGGGGATTTCAGCTCAATCTTTTTATTACAAAATAACATTTTATAACATTTTTTCTCTTGCAACTACTAAATAATTTTGGAGTTGATACCTTGGCTCTGGATGAAACTATCCAGTTTCTCTTTTCATGTAATGGCTTTATTTATTTTCTGACAACGAAGACCCAGAAGAGACACTTAATGGCTTTAGCTTCCACTGAAGATAGTTGCCTGAATCAATTATTTCATTAGAATTTACAAAACCATATTTATTAGCTGAAATTCTTTTTATTATTATTATTATTATTATTATACTTTACGTTTTAGAGTACCTGTGCACAATGTGCAGGTTAGTTACATATGTATACATGTGCCATGCTGGTGTGCTGCATCCATTAACTCATCATTTAGCATTAGGTATATCTCCTAATGCTATCCCTCCCCCCTCCCCCAACCCCACGGCAGTCCCCAGAGTGTGATGTTCCCCTTCCTGTGTCCATGTGTTCTCACTGTTCGAGGAGCAATCAACTAGGGCTATTTATTAGGTTACTCTCAAGTACCATTTCTACTAGAAAGGCAAGATAAATTGTTACCTCTTAAATTTTACCAATTTTCAGAGTAAGGTGTTGGTGTAATGGTGACAATTAAGTTTGATTCTTTGTTTTTACTTTCTTTTAAAAATATTAGTTTGAACTCATGTTTTAAAAAAATATTCAAAGCTTTTCAGCCAATTATAGTTCTTATTCTTTTGATACTCAAGTTCTCCCAATTTTGGTCAAGGGGAGACCCTTCCTGATGGCTATTATGTCATTCTTATGTGACTCCATTCATCTTTGGAAGGCCCTTTGCTTTCTGACAAAACAAGATGTCTATTCTCTGTTTACCTTGTACATTCTCTGAAATTAGATGTTCATTCAAGGAACCCTAGTTAGTGTGCTTTTCATTCGGGATAAAGAAATATTCCCAAGGCTGGGCGCGGTGGCTCACGCCTGTAATCCCAGCAGTTTGGGAGGCCGAGGTGGGTGGATCACTTGAGGTCAGGAGTTTGAGACCAGCCTAGGCAACATAGTGAAACCCTGTCTCTACTAAAAATACAACAATTAGCCGGGCGTGGTGGTGGGCACCTGTAATCCCAGCTACTCAGGAGGCTGAGGCAGGAGAATCGCTTGAACATGGGAGGCGGAGGTTGCAGTGAGCCAAGATTGTGCCACTGCACTCCAGCCTGGGCGACAGAGTGAGACTCTGTCTCAAAAAAGAAAAAAAAGAAAAAAAAAATTCCCAGAAATTCCCTAGTGTACTTCCCCTTCTATTTCAGAATTATGTGACATTCCCATTCCTGAAACACTCCCTGGCTAGAGGAATGGGATGCCTGTTTAATTTAGTGAAGCACATGGGCATGTGGACGAGGCTTTTAGAGGTTTCATTAGAAAGGATAAAGGCAGGGTAGACAGGATGGAGTAAATACTTGCTGGGTAGCAAATTCAATGACTTCTTTACTAATCAAAGCCACAAATTGCCAGTTTATCAATGTACATTGAGAACTCTCATTGGAAGGATAACTACCCACAGTAATTTATACAGGGGACGCCCATTCTGGAGGCAACAAACATTACATGTTTGCTTGGTAAGAAATAGGAATTAAATGGACTTAAGGTATACCCCTATTAGGTTTTGTAGCTGGTTGCAAAAGTATTTTGGTGTTTGTAACCATAACAGTTTAACATAATTAGGGCATTATCTTGCCAGAAATATTTCTGGTAAACGTTAACATATTACTGCATCACACTCTGGATTAAGGCAATCATGGATTGGAATGCCAGCTCTTCCACCTACTAGTTGTTTATTACCTAATTTCTTTTTTTTTTTTTTTTTTTTTTTTTTGAGATGGAGTCTCGCTCTGTTGCCCGGGCTGGCATACAGTGGTACAATCTCGGCTCACTGCAACCTCCACCTCCTGAGTTCAAGCGATTCTCCTGCCTCACCCTCCAACGTAGCTGGGATTACAGGCATGCACCACCACCGGCTAATTTTTTGTATTTTTAGTAGAGATGAGGTTTCACCATGTTGGCCAGGCTGGTCTTGAACTCCTGACCTCAGGTGATCCACCCACCTCGGCCTCCCAAAGTGTTGGGATTACAGACGTGAGCCACTGTGCCTGGCCTATTACCTAATCTTTCTGAGCCTCGGTTTCCGCATCTATCAAGTGGAAAGAGTAAAATGCATTTCATCGAGTAATTTGAGATGCGACTGATATAAAGCACCTAGGCCAATGTATACATAGTAATCAACCAATGTTAGTTTTTGTCACAGCCTTCCTCCTTCCTCCCTTTTCAGTTTTCACAAATTTTCTGTCTTTATTCCTCATTTTAGAGAAGTTGGTTTCCAAGACTATAGTTTATCTCACAGTAGTTATATTTTAGATTTCATTTCAGAACATAACCCAGGTCCCGTTATGGGGTTTAGAAAATCATTCTTTAAAAAATTATTTTTAATTTTTGTGGGTACATAGTAGGTCTATATATTTATGGAGCATATGAGATGTTTTGATACAGGCATGCAATGTGTAATAATCACATCATGGAGAATGGGGTATCCATCCCCTCAAGCATTTATCCTTAGTGTTACAAACAATCCAATTATACTCTTATTTTTAAATGGAAAATTAAATTATTATTGACTATAGTCACCTGGTTGTGCTATCAAATACTAGTTTTTTTTTCATGCTTTCTATTTTCTTGGTACCCATTCACCATCCCCACTTCCACTGTACTCTTCCCCTACCCCTCCCAGCCTCTGTTAACCATCCTTCTACCCTCTATCTCCATGAGTTCAATTGTTTTGATTTTTGGATCCCACAAATAAGTGAGAACATGCAATGTTTATTTTCTGTGCCTGGCTTATTTCACTTGATATAATAATCTCCAGTAACATCCATGTTGTTGCAAATGACAGGATCTCATTTTTTCATGGCTGAATAGTGTATATGTACCATTGTGTATATGTACCACAAATTCTTTATCCATTCATCTGTTGGTAGTTGCTCAGGTTGCTTCCAAATCTTGCCTATTGTGAACAGAGCTGCAACAAACATAGAAACGTAGATACCTCTTCAATATACTGATTTCCATTCTTTTGGGTGTATACCCAGCAGTGGGATACCTGGGTCACATGGTAGCTCCATTTTTAGTTTTTTGAGGAATCTCCAAACTGTTCTCCAAAGAGGGTGTACTTATTTACATTCCCACCAAGAGCGTACAAGGGTTCCCTTTTCTCCACATCCTCGCCAGCATTTCTTATTGCCCGTCTTTTAAATAAAAGTTATTTTAACTGAGGTGAGATGATATCTCCTTGTAGTTTTGATTTGCTTTTCTCTGATGATCAATGATGTTCAACACCTTTTCATATGCCTGTTTGCCATTTGTATGTCTTCTTTTGAGAAATGTCTATTCAAATCTTTTACCCATGTTTTGATTGGATTGTTAGATTTTTTTTCTACAGAGTTGTTTGAGCTGCTTATGTATTCTGGCTGTTAATCCCTTGTCACATGGGTAGTTTGCAAATATTTTGTCCCATTCTGTGAGTTGTCTGTTCACTTTGTGGATTGTATCCTTTGCCATGCAGCTTTTGAACTTGATGCGATCTCATTTGTCCATTTTAGCTTTGGTTGACTTAGCTTTTGTGACTTGTGCGGTATTACTCAAGAAATTTTTGCCCAGACCAATGTCCTGGAGATTTTCCCCAATGTTTTCTTGTTGGAGCTTCATAGTTTGAGGTCTTGATTTAAGCCTTTAATCCATTTTTATTTGATTTTTGTATATTGTGAGAGAGAGAGGAGTTTAGTTTCATTCTTCTGCATGTGCATATCCAGTTCTCCCAGCACCATTTATTGAAGAGACTGTCTTTTCTGCAGTATATGTTCTTGGCACCTTTGTTGAAAATAAGTTCGCTGTAGGTGTGTGGATTTATTTCTGTGTTCTCTATTCTGTTCATATTGTCTATATGTCTGTTTTTATGCCATTATCATGCTGTTTTGGTTACTATAGCTCTGTAGTATAATTTGAACTCAGGTATTGGGATTCCTCCAGATTTATTTTTGCTTAGAATAACTTTGGCTATTTTTGGTCTTTTGTTGATCCATATAAATTTTAGGATTATCTTTTTCTATTTCTGTGAAGAATGTCATTGGTATTTTTATAGAAATTGCATTAAATCTGTACATCGCTTTGGGTAGTATGAACATTTTTAACAATATTGATTCTTCCAATTCATGAACATGGAATATTTTTCTATTTTTTGGTGTCTTTTCAATTACTTTCATCAGTGTTTTATAGTTTTTATTATAGACATCTTTCACTTCTTTGGTTTAGTTAATTCCTAGATATTTAATTTTCTGTGGTTATTGTAAATGGGGTTACTTTTCTGATATTTTTTCAGATTGTTTACTGTTAGCATATAGAGATGCTACTGATTTTTGTATTGAGTTTGTATTCTGCAGCTTTACTGAGTTTGTTTATGGGTTCCAATAGTTTTTAATGGCATTTTTAGTTTTTTTCAAATATAAGATCATATTTGCAAACAAAGATAATTTGACCTCTTTGTTTTCAATTTGGGTGCCCTATTTCCTTCTGTTGTCTATGTTGAACAACAGTGGTATAAGTGAGCATCCTTTTCATGTTGCAGATCTCAGAGAAAAAGCTTTCAGTTTTTCTCCATTCAGTATACTAGCTGTGAGTAGGTCATATATGGCTTTTATTATGTTGATGTATGTTTCTCTTCTATTACCAGTTTTTGAGGGGTTTTTATCGTGAAAGGATGTAGAATTTCATCAAATCCTTTTTCAGCATCAATTGAAATGATCATATGGTTTTCATCCTTCATTCTCTTAATATGATGCATCACATTGATTGACTTGCATATGTTGAACCATCCTTGGTTCCCAGGGATAAATCCAACTTGGTCACAATGAATGATCTTTGTAATGTATTGTTGAAATTGTTTTGGGAGTATTTTGTTGAGGATTTTTACATCAATATTCATCAGAGATATTGGCATGCAGTTTTCTCTTTTGATGTGTCTTTGTCTGGTTTTGGTACCAGGGTAATACTGGCCTTATAGAATGAATTTAGAAGTACTCCTCCCTTCTCTCTTTGAGAATAGTTTGAGTATGATTGGTATTAGTTCTTCTTTAAATGTTTAGTGGAATTCAGCAGTGAAGCCAGAGTGTCCTGGACTTTTCTTTACTGAGAGACTTTTTACTATGGCTTTGATCTCATTAATTCTTATTGGTCTGTTCAGGTTTTGCATGTCTTCCTGGTTCAATCTTGGTAGGTTGTATGTATCTAGGAATTTGTCAATTTCTCTAATTTCCCTATTTATTGGCATATAGTTGCTCATAGTAGTTGGTAATGCTAATTTGAATTTCTGCAGTATCAGTTGTGCTGTCTTCATTTTAATCTCTGATTTCATTTATTTTGGTATTTTCTAATTTTTTCAGTCAGGCTAGAGTTTGTCATTTTTGTTTAACTTTTTGAAAAACCAACTTTTCGTTTCATTGATGTTTTGTATTTTTTTCATTTCAATTACACTTATTTCTGCTGTGACATTTATCATTTCTTCTACCATTTTGGGTTTCGTTTGTTCTTGCTTTTCTTGTTCTTTTAGATGCATAGCTACATTATTTACCGGAAGATTTTCTTCTTTTTTAATGTTGGCACTAGTAGCTATAAACTTCCCTCTTAGTACTGCTTTTGCTGTATCCCATAGATCTTGGTATGCTGTGTTTTCATTTATCATTTGTTTCAAGAAATTTTAGGTTTTTTTTTCTTAATCTCTTCACTGACCCACTGGTCATGCAGAAGCATATTGTTTAATTTCCGTTATTTTTATAGTTCCAAAATTCCACTTGTTATTAATTTCTAGTTTTATTCCATTGTGGTCAGAAAAGATGCTTGATATTATTTCAGTCTTTTGGAATGTTTTAAGACTTTTTTGGTGACCTATCAGGTGGTCTATCTTTGAGAAAGATCCATGTGCTGAGGAAAAGAATATGCATTCTGATGTTGTTGGATAAAATATTCTATAAATGTCTATTAGATCCATTTGTTCTATAGTGCAGATTAAATGTGATGTTTCTCTGATGTTTTTCTGTCTGGAAAAATCTGTCCAGTGCTGAAATGAGGTGTTGAAGTCTCCAGCTATTATTGTATTGGAGTCTATCCCTCTTTTTAGCTCTAATAATATTTGCTTCATATATCTGTGTACACCAATATTGGGTGCATATATATTTAAACTTGTTATATACTTTTGCTGAATTGACTTCTTTATTATTATGTAGTGGCCTTCTTTGTGTCTTCTTATAGTTTTGGTCTTGAAATCTATTTTGTGTGGTCTAAGTATAGTGACTGCTGCTCTTTTTTTGGTTTCCATTGGCATGGAATATCTTTTTCCATCCCTTTATTTTCAGTTTATGTGTGTTTTTATAGATAGTGTTTCTTGTAGGAAACAGATCAGTGGATCTTGCCTTTTTAATCCATTCAGTCAGCCTGTGTCTTTTGATTGGAGAGTTTAGTCCGTTTACATTCAATGTTATTATTGATAAGTAAGGACTTCCATATGCCATTTTATAATTTGTTTTCTGAATGTTTTGTGGTCTTCCCTTCCTTCTTTCTTTTCCTCCTGTTTTCTTTTTGGGAAGATTATTTTCTCTGGTGATATATTTTAGTTTCTTGCTTTTTATTTTTTGTGCATCCATTGCATGTTTTTTGTTTTGAGGTTACCATGAAGCTTGCAAATACTATCGTATAACCCATTATTTTTACCTGATAACAATGTAACACTATTTGCATAAACAAACAAGCAAAAAGAAAACTATTAAAAGCTGTACACCTTTACTTTCTCCCCTAACTTTTTTCACTTTTTATGTTTCTATTTATATCTTATTGTACTGACTATGTTGTGAAAAGTTGTTGTAGTTATGATTCTTGATTTGTTCATCCTTTGATCTTTCTACTTAGTATAAGGGTAGTTTATATATCACCATTACAGTGTTATAATATTATGTATTTTTCTGTGTACTTACTATTACCAGTAAGTTTTGTACCTTCTCGTGATTATTTATTGATCATTAATGTCCTTTCTTTTCTGATTGAAGTATTCCCTTTAGCATTTCTTGTAGGACAGATCTGGTGTTGATGAAATCCTTCAGCTTTTGTTTGGGAAAATCTTTACTTCCCCTTCATATTTGAAGGATATTTTCACCGGATATATGATTCTAGGATAAAAGTATTTTTTCTTCAGCACTTTAGATATGTGATGCCATTCTCTCTTGGCCTGTAAGGTTTCCACTGAAAGTCTGCTGCCAGGCATATTGGAGCTCCATTTTGTGTTATTTGTTTTATGTCTCTTGCTGCTTTTAGGATCCTCTATTTATCCTTGACCTTTGGGAGTTTTATTATTACATGTGTTGAGGTAGTCTTCTTTGGGTTAAATCTGCATGGTGTTCTATAACCTTCTTGTACTTGGACGTTGATATATTTCTGTAGGTTTGGGAAGTTCTCTGTTATTATCCCTTTGAATAAACTGTCTTCCACTGTCTCTTTCTCTACCCTTTCTTTAAGGCCAACAATACTTAGATTTGTCATTTTGAAAGTATTTGCTAGATCCTTTAGGTGTGCTTCATTGTTTTTTATTTTTTATCTGTTTCCTCTGATTGTGTATTTTCAAACAGCCTGTCTTGAAGCTCACTAATTCTTCCTTCTGCTTGATCCATTCTGTTATTAAAGAACTGTGATGCATTAGTATGCCAGTTGCATTTTTCAGCTTCATAATTTCTACTTGATTCTTTTAAATTATTTCAATCTCTTTGTTAAATTTATCTGATAGAATTCTGAATTCCTTCTCTGTGTTATCTTGAATTTCTTTGAGTTTGCTTAACACAGCTATTTTGAATTCTGTGTCTGAGAGGTCAGATACTTCAGTTTCTCCAGGATTGGTCCCTGATGACCTATTTAGTTCATTTAGTGAGGTAATGTTTCCTTGGATCATCCTGATGCTTCTAGTTGTTCATCTGTGTCTGGCCGTTGAAGAGTTATGTATTCATTTTAGTCTTTGCATTTGGGCTTGTTTGTACCCTTCCTTCTTGGGAAAGCTTTCTAGATATTTGTAAGGATTTGGGTGTTGTAATATAAGCTATATCTGCTTTAGGGGATACCCCAGCCCTGTGTTGCTGTGGTTCTTACAGACTTGCAAAGGTACTACCTTGATGGTCTTGGATAAGATCTGGGAGAATTCTCTGGATTATTAGGTAGAGACTCTTGTTCTTTTCCCTTACTTTGTCTAAAACAAAGAAGGTCTCTCTGTTCTGAGTCACCTAAGCTGGTTATGGAGTGACACAAGCACCCCTGTGGCCACCTCCACTATGACTGCTGGGTCTGACCTGAAGCCAGCACACTCAGTCTCACCCAAAGCCTGCTGTAACCACTTCTTGGCTACTGCCTATGTTTGCTCAAGGCCCTGAGGCTCTACAGTCAGCATAAGGCAAAGGCAGCCAGGTCTGTATCCTTTCTTTTAGGTTACTGAGTTTCCCCAGGCCACAGGGAGTTCCAGAGGGGCTGTCTGGGAGCCAGGGACTAGGTTCAAAAATATTAGACGTTTACCTGGTATTCTATTGTACTGTGACTGATCCGGCACCCAAACCAGTGGACATAGTCCTTTCTACTCGTCCCTTTCCTCTCTGAAAGCAGAGCAGCCTCTCCCTATGGTCATCACCACCACAGGCCCATGGGGAGTTCTGCCAGGCTATTGCCTATGTTCCTTTAAGGCCCAAGGGCTCTTAAACCAGCTTGTGGTGAATGCTGCCTGGCCTGGGACCCACCCTTCAGGGCAGTGGGCTCCCTTCTGGCCCAGGGCAGGTCCAGAAATGCTGTGTAGGAGCCAAGTCCTAGAATTGGGATCCCCAAGAGCCCACTTGATGCTCCACTCTCCTGTGGCTGAGCTGGTACCTTAGGTGCAATAGAAAGTCCACTTTACGTCCACTTTACTTTTCCCTTTGCTTTTTGTAAGCACA
Source organism: Homo sapiens (assembly GCF_000001405.40). Classification (NCBI taxonomy): domain Eukaryota; kingdom Metazoa; phylum Chordata; class Mammalia; order Primates; family Hominidae; genus Homo; species Homo sapiens. The sequence goes on along the minus strand of NC_000023.11, from coordinate 23,525,145 downwards.
ATGATTCTTGCCCTATAGCCACCACAGCTGGGAATGTGCTGAGTCTCACCTGAAGCTAGCAAGTCTCAGACTCTCATCCAGAGCCTTCAACATAGTACCTGGGTATCACTGCTGCTTATTCAGGGCCCAAGGCCTCTTCAGTTAGTATGTGATGAATGATGCGAGGACCGGGTTCTTTCCTTCAAGGTAGCAGATTCCCTTGTGGCCCATGGTGTGTATTGTTGTCCAGGAGCTAGGGCCTGGAGAGGGTACCTCAGAACTCTGACTAGTGTCCTATTCTGCTGTGTCTGAGCTGGTATCCAATATGCAAGACAAAATACTCCCCACTCTTCTCTCTCCTCTATTTAGGCAGAAGAAATGGGTCTGTTTTGGAGTTGTGAGCTGTGTAGCCTCGGGTTAGGGGAGGGGTGATGTCAACATTCCTTTAGCCACCTTTGTTGGTGTCTCAGTAGGTCACATGCCCCAGTCCACTGTCACTTTGCCCAGCTTAGCACTAGGACTCACCTAGGGGTTACAGTCCTTGTGGCCTAGATTGCCTTTTGAGTTTATTTAGAACCCCAGAGGACTTTAGCCTGTGGTGGCGAGGTTTGCTAAACTCAAGTTTGGACGACTGGGATCGGCGATTCCCCTCTGGCTAGGACTGGTTTAAACCCTCCTCTGTGGGTGAGCATCAGCAGAGTTTGGTCCAGTTTTCCTTTCTGCTATAACAGGAGAGCACTGAGTTCAGTGCCTCACAATTACTGGGTTCTCCCATCCCCCAGTGCCCAGAGATGCTCTCCACACCCTGCCATTGCTGTTGTGGGGATGGAGGAGGAGTGCTGTTGCCGATTCAAGACTGTTTTTTCTGTCTCTTCAGTGTCTCTTTCAGTGATATGAAGTTAAAACCAGATAAGGTGAGTGGTCATCTGATTTTTGGTTCTTATGAATGTGCTTTTTTGTGTGGATAGTTGTTAACTTTATGTCCTTGCAGTGGGGTTTGGGGAGGATGATTGGTGGAGACTTCTATTCTGCCATCTTTTTTTTTTTTTTTTTTTTTAGTATTGATCATTCTTGGGTGTTTCTCAGAGAGGGGGATGTGGCAGCGTCATAGGATAATAGTGGAGAGAAGGTCAGCAGATAAACACGAGAACAAAGGTCTCTGGTTTTCCTAGGCAGAGGTCCCTGCGGCCTTTGGCCCTGTTTGTGTCCCTGGGTATTTGAGATTAGAGAGTGGTGATGACTCTTAACGAGCATGCTGTCTTCAAGCATCTGTTTAACAAAGCACATCTTGTACCACCCTTAATCCATTTAGCCCTGAGTGGACACAGCACATGTTTCAGAGAGCACGGGGTTGGGGGTAAGGTTATAGATTAACAGCATCCCAAGGCAGAAGAATTTTTCTTAGTACAGAACAAAATGGAGTCTCCTATGTCTACTTCTTTCTACACAGACACAGTAACAATCTGATCTCTCTTTCTTTTCCCCACATTTCCCCCTTTTCTTTTTGACAAAACCGCCATCGTCATCATGGCCCCTTCTCGATGGTCGCTGTCTCTTCGGAGCTGTTGGGTACACTTCCCAGACAGGGCGGGCTGGCAGAGGCGCTCCTTACTTCCCACACGGGGTGGCCAGGCAGAGGTGCTCCTCATATCCCAGACAATGGTCGGCTGGGCAGAGGCGCTCCTCACTTCCCAGACGGGGCGGCCGGGCAGAGGTGCACCTCACTTCCCAGATGGGGTGGCGGCCGGACAGAGGCGCTCCTCACCTCCCAGACGGGTGGCAGCTGGGCAGAGGTGCTCCTCCCATCCCAGATGATGGGTGGCCGGGCAGAGGTGCTCCTCACCTCCCAGACGGGGTGGCCGGGCAGAGGTGCTCCCCACCTCCCAGACAAAGAGCGGCCGGGCAGAGGCTCTCCCCACATCCCAGATGGGACAGCCGGGCAGAGGCGCTCCTCACCTCCCAGACGGGGCAGCCGGGCAGAGGCGCTCCTCACCTCCCTGACGGGGCAGCCGGGCAGAGACGCCCCTCAACTCCCAGATGGGGTGGCCCGGCAGAGGCGCCCACTTCCCAGATGGGGCAGCCGGGCAGAGGCGCTCCCCACCTCCCAGACGAAGGGTGGCCGGGCAGAGGCGCTCCTCACCTCCCAGGCGGGGCAGCCGGGCAGAGGCACCCCTCACCTCCGAGACGGGGCGGCCGGGCAGAGGCACCCCTCACCTCCCAGACGGGGCGGCCGGGCAGAGGCGCCCAATTCCCAGACAGGGCGGCCGGGCAGAGGTGCTCCCCACCTCCCATACGAAGGGCGGCCGGGCAGAGGCGCCCCTCACTTCCCAGGCGGGGCGGCCTCTATTTTGCCATCTTGCTCTGCCTCAGGGTTTCAAAAATCATTCTCTTTTATCAGTAACCAGTGTCTTTAAGAGTTCTTTTAGATGAGTTGTCTACTGGGGAGGCATCTACTGTTTATATGCAAGCTCTTTTATTTTATTTGCTAGTTCTTGTTAACTGTTATTTCAGAGGGGATATCTTCCAATCTTTCAACAAATTCAGGAGCACATCTGCTGGGGGCCTTCTTTCCTCCTTGTATTGACTACAAAGAACTCCCAGATAGAGCTCCTTTCTCTTAATGCACTCGGCAATTGCCCTTCACAGCTTTAGACATTCATGGGAAAGTGAATGCACAATCAGCCTTGATTATCTAAAGAAGCTAGTTATCTATCAGCTTATGGAGATTTTGGGCTGAGACGATGGCGTTTTCTAGATATACAATCATGTCATCTGCAAACAGGGACAATTTGACTTCCTCTTTTCCTAATTGAATACCCTTTATTTCCTTCTCCTGCCTGATTGCCCTGGCCAGAACTTACAACACTGTGTTGAATAGGAGTGGTGAGAGAGGGCATCCCTGTCTTGTGTGAGTTTTCAAAGGGAATGTTTCCAGTTTTTGCCCATTCAGTATGATATTGGCTGTGGGTTTGTCATAGATAGCCCTTATTATTTTGAGATATATCCCACCAATACCTAATTTATTGAGAGTTTTTAGCATGAAGAGTTGTTGAATTTTGTCAAAGGCCTTTTCTGCATCTGTTGAGATAATCATATGGTTTTTGTCGTTGGTTCTGTTTATATGCTGAATTACATTTATTGGTTTGCGTGGCAAAGTCTCAGGATACAAAATCAATGTGCAAAAATCACAAGCATTCTTATACACCAATAACAGACAAACAGAAAGCCAAATCATGAGTAAACTCCCATTCACAATTGCTTCAAAGAGAATAAAATACCTAGGAATCCAACTTACAAGGGACGTGAAGGATCTCTTCAAGGAGAACTACAAACCACTGCTCAATGAAATAAAAGAGGATACAAACAAATGGAAGAACATTCCATGCTCATGGGCAGGAAGAATCAATATCGTGAAAATGGCCATACTGCTGAAGGTAATTTATAGATTCAATGCCATCCCCATCAAGCTACCAATGACTTTCTTCACAGAATTGGAAAAAACTACTTTAAAGTTCATATGAAACCAGAAAAGAGCCGCATCGCCAAGTCAGTCCTAAGCCAAAGAACAAAGCTGGAGGCATCACGCTACCTGACTTCAAACTATACTACAAGGCTACAGTAACCAAAACAGCATGGTGCTGGTACCAAAAGAGAGATATAGACCAATGGAACAGAACAGAGCCCTCAGAAATAATGCCACATATCTACAACCATCTGATCTTTGACAAATCTGACAAAAACAAGCAATGGGGAAAGGATTCCCTATTTAATAAATGGTGCTGGGAAAACTGGCTAGCCATGCGTAGAAAGCTGAAACTGGATCCCTTCCTTACACCTTATACAAAAATTAATTCAAGATGGATTAAAGACTTAAATGTTAGACCTGAAACCATAAAAACCCTAGAAGAAAACCTAGGCAATACCATTCGGGACATAGGCATGGGCAAGGACTTCATGTCTAAAACACCAAAAGCAATGGCAACAAAAGCCAAAATTGACAAATGGGATCTAATTAAACTAAAGAGCTTCTGCACAGCAAAAGAAACTACCATCAGAGTGAACAGGCAACCTACAGAATGGGAGAAAATGTTTGCAATCTACTCATCTGACAAAGGGCTGTGAACTCAAAAAATGAACTCAAACAAATGAACTCAAACAAATCTACAAGAAAAGAATCTACAAGAAAAAAACAAACAGCCCCATCAAAAAGTGGGCGAAGGATATGAACAGACACGTCTCAAAAGAAGACATTTATGCAGCCAAAAGACACATGAAAAAATGCTCATCATCACTGGCCATCAGAGAAATGCAAATCAAAACCACAAAGAGATACCATCTCACACCAGTTAGAATGGCGATCATTCAAACGTCAGGAAACAACAGGTGCTGGAGAGGATGTGGAGAAATAGGAACACTTTTACACTGTTGGTGGGACTGTAAACTAGTTCAACCATTGTGGAAGTCAGTGTGGTGATTCCTCAGGGATCTTGAACTAGAAATACCATTTGACCCAGCCATCCCATTACTGGGTATGTATCTAAAGGATTATAAATCATGCTGCTGTAAAGACACATGCACATGTATGTTTATTGCGGCACTATTCACAATAGCAAAGACTTGGAACCAACCCAAATGTCCAACAATGATAGACTGGATTAAGAAAATGTGGCACATATACACCATGGAATACTATGCAGCCATAAAAAATGATGATTTCATGTCCTTTGTAGGGACATGGATGAAGCTGGAAACCATCATTCTCAGCCAACTATCGCGAGGACAAAAAACCAAACACCGCATGTTCTCACTCATAGGTGGGAATTGAACAATGAGAACACATGGACACAGGAAGGGGAACATCACACACTGAGGCCTGTTGTGTAGTGGGGGGAGGGGGGAGGGATAGCATTAGGAGATATACCTAATGTTAAATGACGAGTTGATGGGTGCAGCACACTAACATGGCACATGTATACGTATGTAACTAACCTGCACATTGTGCACATGTGCCCTAAAACTTAAAGTATGACAATAAAAAAAAAAACAAGCTAGTTGTCATCTCCATCAACTTTGCCTCTGTTACTTTTCTCTGCTCTTTGACCCTGCTGATTGACCAGTTTACTGTTCATTAACAGTTCTTAGAAAGGTGGGCAGAGAGGGAAAAGGTTGTTACATTTTAATCAGTCTACTTCGGTTAAGAAAACAGTTCATGTAAAATGGATTCATCAAAGTGGAGGAGAAGGACGAGATTTAAAGAAAAAACAAAATGACGGATGGGTTTTTTTGTTATATTATTTGTTGTTTCAATATTATTCATGATTCCTCAGCCCAAATGATTATGGCAAATTGAGAGCTGTATTTATTTAAAATAAGTATTTTATTTATTTTAAAATATTATTACATAGCATGATCTTAATTTTGCACATTATTTCAGATTATCTACAATGAGCCTCTATTACTTTTATAATAAGAATAAAAGATGACAACTTTGTTAAAGTGCACTTTGAAAGGTGAAGAACACATGGGTACAGTGTTTTAATATTTTCTAAGTATATGTTACTCACTACTTAAAACTTTTCATTTTATTTATTTATTTATTCATTTATTTATTTTGAGACGGAGTTTCGCTCTCGTTGCCCAGGCTGGAGTGCAGTGGCGCGATCTTGGCTCACTGCAAACTCCGCCTTCCGGGTTCAAGCCATTCTCCTGCCTCAGCCTCCTTAGTAGCTGGGATTGTAGGCATGGGCCTCCACACCCGGCTAATTTTGTATTTTCAGTAGAGACAGGATATTTCCATGCTGGTCAGTCGGGTCTTGAATTCCTGACCTCAGGTGATCTGCCTGCCTCAGCCTCCCAAAGTACTGGGAGTAGAGGCGTGAGCCACCGCACTCAGCACGACTTAAAACTTTTATAAGATTGACTAGGCAGATGGGAGGTGGAGCAAGATGGTGGAATAGAATGCTTCACTGATCATCGCCCCAACAAGGGCACCAATTTAACAATTATCTACACAGAAAAATACATCTTCAGAAAAACCAAAAAATCAGAGCGTTCATAGTACCTGGTTATAATTTCATATCACTGAAAGAGACAGTGAGGAGATAGAAAAAATTGTCCTGAATCACAATGCCCACCCCGCTTCCTTGTGGCAGCAGCGGCGTGTTGTGGAGAGTCTCTCTTGGGTGCTCGGGGAGGGAGAGCGAACATAGGCAGCAACCAGGGAGTGGTTACAGCAGGCTTTGGGTGAGACCCAGTGCTGTGCTGGCTTTAGGTCAGACCCAGTGCAGTCATAGCGGTGGTGACCACAGGGATGCTGGTCTTACTTACTTCACCCCCAGCTGTAAGTGGCTCAGAACAGAGACACAACCTCCATTTGTTTTAGAGAAAGTAAGGGAAGAGAACAAGAGTCTCATTTTCATTGATGCTGAAAAAGGACTTGATAAAATTCGACATCCCTTCATGATAAAAACCCTCAAAATACCGGGGATGGAAGAAACATGCATCAACATAATAAAAACAATATATGACAGACCCACAGCTTGTATCATCCTGAATGGCGAAAACCTGAAAGCCTTTTCTCTAAGATCTGGAATACCTCAACGATGTGCACTGTCACCACTCTTATTCAAAATAGTACTAGAAGTACTAGCTAGAGCAGATGAGAGAAACATATAAAAGGCATCCAAATTGGAAAGAAGTCAAATTATCCTTTTTTGTAGATGATATGATTTCATATTTGGAAAAACCTTAAGACTACACAAGAAAACTATTAATACTGATAAACAATTTCAGTAATGTTGCAGGATACAAAATCAACATGCAAATTCAGTAGCATTTCTGTACGCCAACATGATCAATGTGAAAAAGAAATTAAAAAGTAATCTCATTTACAATAGCCACCCATAAAATTAAATAGCTAGAAATTAACTTAACCAAAAAAGTAAAAGATCTCTATAATGAAAACTAGAAAGCATTGATGAAAGTAATTGAAGAGGACACCAAAAATGGGAAAATATTTCATATTCATGGGTTGTAAGAATCAATATTGTTAAAATGTCCATAATATCTAAAGCAATCTACAGATTCAGTGCAATCCATATCAAAATAACCATGACATTCTTCACAGAAATAGAAACAATCCTAAAATTTATATGGAATCACAAAAGACCCAGAATAGCCAAAGCTATTCTATGCAAAAAGAACAAAACTGGAGGAATCACATTACCTGACTTCAAATTATGCTACAGAGTTACAGTAACCAAAACAGCATAGTGCTGATATAAAAACAGACACATTGAATAGAAACAGACACATGGACCAATGGAACAGAACAGAGAACACAGAAACAAATCCATGCACCTACAATGAACTCATTTTCAACAAAGGTGCCGAGAGCATACACTGAGGAAAAGACAGTCTCTTCAATAAATGGTGCTGGGAGAACTGGATATGCATATGCAAAAGAATGAAACTAGACCCCTCTCTCTCCCACCATATATAAAAATCAAATAAAAATGGATTAAAGACTTAAATCAAGACCTCAAACTATGAAGCTCCAACAAGAAAACATTGGGGAAAATCTCCAGGACATTGGTCTGGGCAAAAATTTCTTGAGTAATACCGCACAAGTCACAAAAGCTAAGTCAACCAAAGCTAAAATGGACAAATGAGATCGCATCAAGTTCAAAAGCTGCATGGCAAAGGATACAATCCACAAAGTGAACAGACAACTCACAGAATGGGACAAAATATTTGCAAACTACCCATGTGACAAGGGATTAATAGCCAGAATATATAAGCAGCTCAAACAACTCTGTAGAAAAAAAATCTAACAATCCAATCAAAACATGGGTAAAAGATTTGAATAGACATTTCTCAAAAGAAGACATACAAATGGCAAACAGGCATATGAAAAGGTGTTGAACATCATTGATCATCAGAGAAAAGCAAATCAAAACTACAAGGAGATATCATCTCACCTCAGTTAAAATAACTTTTATTTAAAAGACGGGCAATAAGAAATGCTGGCGAGGATGTGGAGAAAAGGGAACCCTTGTACGCTCTTGGTGGGAATGTAAATAAGTACACCCTCTTTGGAGAACAGTTTGGAGATTCCTCAAAAAACTAAAAATGGAGCTACCATATGACCCAGGTATCCCACTGCTGGGTATACACCCAAAAGAATGGAAATCGGTATATTGAAGAGGTATCTACATTTCTATGTTTGTTGCAGCTCTGTTCACAATAGGCAAGATTTGGAAGCAACCTGAGCATCTACCAACAGATGAATGGATAAACAATTTGTGGTACATATACATGATGGAGTACTATTCAGCTATTAAAAATGAAATTCAATCGTTTGCAACAACATGCATGGAACTGGAGATCATTATGTTAAGTGAAATAAGCCAGGCATAGAAGGACAAACATCACATATTCTCACTTTTTTGTGAGATCTAAAAATCAAAGCAATTAAACTCATGGAAATAGAGAGTAGAAGGATGGTTATTAGAGCCTGAGAAAGGTAGTGGGGGGCTGGGAGGAAATGGGGATGGTTAACAGGTACAGAAAGTAGCAAGAATGAGTAAAACCTACTATTTGATAGCACAACCAGGTGACTATAGTCAATAATAACTGAATTGTACATTTTAAGTTACTTAAAGAGTGTAATTGGATTGTTTGTACCTCAAAGCAAAAATGCTTTAGGGAATGGATACTCAATTCTTGATAATTTGCGTATTTTATATTATATTCCTGTATCAAAACGTCTCATGAAACCCATAAATATATATATATATAGCAACTACATACCCACAAAAATAAAAACAAATATTTTTTAAAATTTTGACCAGGCAGGTTCTTTTAAGAGGCTCATTATATCCTGTGGAATAGATACAAAAGAAATGCTGAAGGACCAGAGTAGTACATTAGAATCTTTGGTAACTCAGTACTGGGCTCAGAAGTGTTCTTAGAGATAAACTTTTTGGTAAATAATCCTGAGGCCTTGGAACTCCAAGGGCTTCATTTTACCTTCACACTAATCTTTGTAGGAAACAAAATTTAGGGATTTAAGGGTTCGTGTCTTTCTCTGGATGCTTATTTGGCATTTAGAGTCACAGACATTTGGAATTGCATCTCTTCCCTATCTTACTATCTTTCCCTAGAAACAGACCCTGAGGCTAAGACACGAGTACAAGTGCAGTCAGCCCTCTATATCCATGGGTTACACACACATCAGTAGATTTGACCAACTGTGGATCAAAAATATTCAGAAAAATGGGATAATTGTGTCTCTACTGAATATTTACAGATTTTTTCCCTTGTCTTTATTCCCCAAACAAGACAGTATAACTACTTACATAGCATTTGCGTTGTATTGGGTATTATACGTAATATAGAGATAATTTAAAGTATACAAGAATATGTGCATAGGTTATATGGAAAAACAACACTATTTTATATAAGGGACTTGAGCATCTGTGGATTTTGGTATCTGTGGGGAAGTCCCGAAACCAATCCCTCATGGATAGCAAGGGGCAACTGTAATTAATTTGGAAATTGATCCCAGGAAACACTGACAGGAGAGTGGGGAAGTGAATTGGGGAAGGGAGGGGAGGAAGGGGTGGGAAAAGAGGAAGGGAAGGGAGGACACAGGGAGGGGACAGGAGGAGACACGAGGGGAAAGCGGAAGGGGAAGGGGAAGGAGAAGGAGAAGGGGAAGGGAAGGGAGTGTTATCAAGCAAGTTAGCATCACGGGTAACTGGAGCATGATTCCACTAGGAATACTGAGAGCCAGCATGGAATAAGTGTTTCAGAGCTATCCCTCTCAGTCATAGGTTGAGGGCTGCTCCTGAGTGTATCAACTCCCTGCTGTTTCTAGCATGTTGTGGGTGGCAAAGTGGGCCCTGGTAGCCAGAGCAAACCCTCAGGTGGAGAGCTGTAGGTGCTGGCAGCTGGCAGTCCGCCAGCTTACAATGGTAAGGCCTGAGGTTAAATGGGCAGTCTCTGACATGCCTGCCACACTTCCTCTTTCATAGGAAATTGTAATGTTAAAGTACTTGTCTGTGTGGGAACAAAAGCAATTCCATTGTTTCCTTGCTTGGAAATGAGGGCTGGGTTATAAAACACAAAAGTATATTTTGTAACAAATGGCAATAAAGTGTACACCATTGAGCAGATGACCACTGTGGGTGAAGCTCAGTCTTACTAGGGGCATCTGAGAGATAATATAAAACATCCTTCAGAGTTATTCCATCCAAAGGGCAAGGAAGCTAGGGATTTTATCCTCCAATTCTATCATTTCTGGCTGAGAACTACTCCTGGGGTAACTAACTCCCGGCACTTCCTGTCTGCCCTCATATGAGAAAGCCCTCAGGTGGAAAGCTGCAGGTGCTGGCAGTGGGAGGCAGTAGGCATGTCCAGGAATGGTGCGAGCCAGAGGTGATAGGGTCAGGCTGGTATATGCTACATGTGGTGTGACCTGGACAGCAGTTATGAACAGTCATCCCTGTGCAGACCGAGACGGGAGGTAACCTCTTTGTCTGATATGTGGTGAGCAGCAGGGCCTAAGACCTGAGCTCTGATGACATCCATGGTTGAGCTCTCACAGAGACTGCATCAGGAGGGTAACAGAGAAGTGCAGAGCCCATGTGGAGTACCCTTTAGAAACATCTGACTTTGGGAAGGTGTGACAGAGGGATTGGAAAGTCACAACACTTTATTATGGTCTACTTTTGTGTCCTGGGCAATCCAGGTTCCCACAGAATTTTAGTGCTAGAGGGAGCACTGGGCATCAACCTCCCCCATACAGAATCCTGCTGCTGCTTCTCCATCTGCTTGCTGTGGGGGCTGTGAGTGTAGCTCCATCTATTCCGTTACTGGATGCCGAATGAGCCTGGGGCTGGGTCAGGGATTTGGGATGGTGTAAGAGCTATTAAGATTTCTCACATAGTAGAGCATCTGCAACACAATTAGACCTTTTACACTGCCAAGATTCACTCCCTCCTACATTTCTACTGCATGTTGGTGTGCTAAAAATACTTTCCCAGCCTCTTTCATATATTCTAGTCAGTATCTTCTTCATATGCTTGTTAATTGCTGCTGCAAATTGGTTCATAAACCTGTTTTGTTCATCCATCCAGGGAAATTTAGTCATCACCACCATCAACTTCCATAGTATGTTTGAATCTGAGGATCCAAGGGAAGTTGAATGTTACTGTGAAATACAGAGGCAAAAATATTGTGCAGGAACTTTGATCAAAGTTCAGTAGCTTCGCTGGCCTAGCTTTTCTGTTCAGCTAGGCTATCAATGCTGGATAAATTATTGAGCCAAACTAAAAAAAGAAAATCCTTACTTATTTCATGCTTATGTTTCCATTTATATTATGTATAATATTTTATTAGGAGAGCACAATTGTTTCCTTTAATGAGATTTACAGTTTTTCTTCCATTTCAGTATGTGATTTTATTTTGTCTATGGAAAAATGTTCTTTTCCACATTTCCCCAGAAAAATACAGGTATCATTTTTATAATGATAATTATAATGATAATTCTACAAAAATAGTATTTGATAAACTTTGCTGGGAACCTTTTTGTTTCATTCATTAATCAGTTAATTCCATCAAATATGTACATTGTGCTCCTACTAATGCCTATCAGTGTACTCAATGCTGGAGATACAACTATGAAGAAAATAGACATGGGCCACATCCTCATGGAGATATGGGATGAGAGGGCAGCTGCAACACCTGTGTAGCAAATGCAGCCCATGTAACTCCTTGAGAAATTTACATGATAGAGAAGGCAGCTGGTTGAGCTCTAAGCTCAGCTCTGTTTTGTCAGTCCTTGCTTCATTCCCTGCTCCTTTATCCCATTTCCTGTTATCCTTCCGTCTAGAAGGGATTTTTCTGGGCTACCTCTTCTTTCTCGTGGCTGGGTTCCCCTGGTGCTGATTCTTGTCACAGAGCCAGCTCTTGAAGGTTGTGGAAGGAATGTCACCTTGTTTTTTCTCTTAAATTGTCCTTATATATTTAGAAATCCAAAATGATTTACAGCAATGATTCATACCCTACAATCCTGGGACTGAATGGCTGAATCTCAGGAGCATAGGAACAAAGAATGGGTGAATCCCTCAGATTCAGACCTCTATTTGCCTTAGGCATTTGGGAATTATGCATTCAAGCAACACTCTCTTTTTCTCAAATTTTATCTGGTGTGTGAGCAGGTGGGTGAAAGCCTGGTAGGTGTCCCGGGCTCGAAAATGCTGTGAAGAATTCTAACAGCTCCTGCCTGAACCTTCTGACAGTGAAGCTGATTTGCACCTGAGCCTGCAGTTTTGTGACTGTGAGCCATATTATGTATGTGCTTATTTAATTGCCCTCTTTGCACACGGCTCCTTTCTGTACTTTTGAATTTGATCTGTTCCCTGCAGAACAGACTTGACTATTTTTAACTGGTTGGCATTCAACACACTGTTGTTTCCCTTTAAATTTGTTGGTGGGGTAAATTAATTTAGAAAAGCTGTGGAGATAAACATTTAAAGGAGGCTTGTTCAGGACATGCTAGACTCGATTCACCGTCTTTCCATGCTGCTGTTAATGCAAATAAATTGCTTTTAGTCACATTCCTGAGTTTGCCTCTCTCATGTCAGGATATTGTTCAGTATAGATGATGCAAAATGGAGAATTTTTCCATTATTTGTTCAGAGGAGTGACAGAAAGATACATGTTCACAGCAAAGAATAAGTTGAATTTAAAGAATGTATTAAGAATAAAATGGCCTGGAACTGTGATCGAGAAAAGGAAAACATTCACTAGATGGGCAGACTGTATACTCATAGTAGTATAATTAATTTACTAGTCATTCATATTATCTCTGATTGATTAATCATGAAAAGGGACTTAACAGAATAATTCAGAGTGCTCTATTTATAGGACAAAGAAAGGGGACAAATTTGCCAATTAAAGTGTTGCTTTAAATATTAGTGTTTCTTCTCAAAGATTTCTTTTTCAAGGAGGAGATGTTTGAGACCAAGAACCTAAATAAAATAAATATGAAATGGTGCTTCATGCTATCACGCTCCTGGGTGGTTGGTGTATCTGCTTCAAATTAAGGATTTGGTGTCATGGAAACAGCTTGTTCATTTGGAAAGCTGCTGCCACTCTGTGGGAAGGCAAAGGACCAGTATGTGCAAGTGTGTATGTGTTTAACATTCCCTATCAGCCCTCAGCAAAACAAATACCCATTCCTGCCAGAAAGTATAGAATTACATGGGAGGGTTAGACTTTTACTTTTGGCATCAGAGTTTTAGAACAGAGCACATCAGTCATCTGGAGAATAACGTTAGAATGAAGATTCTGATTCTATGGATTTGGAGTGAGGGCTGAGATTCTGTATTTCTTAGGAGCTCCCAGATGATGCCTATGCTGTTTGTCTAGAGATCATATTTGGAAAACCACTGCTCTAAAGTTGTTAACAATTTGGCTGAACATTAGAATCACCTTCCTCTTTGGCTAGTGTGAATTAATGTTTGGTCAACATTTTAAAAGAGTTTTAGTTTAAATCACTGCTTTTTCTGCTTTCTATGTCAATTTTAACTTTTGTCAAGAGCTAAGATACCTTGGCAAATAAAAGAAGGTAAAAACTGCACATGTTTAGTATACTGCTCTAAATTGGGCATTGCTTGTAGACTACCAAATTACACTAAAGTGTGAAGACCTGGAGGGAAAACAGTTCGCAGTCTCCTGCTCTTATGTGGAACCAAGAAGCCTTATAGGAGATTAATCTGCTAAGAGCTGTGACTCTTTGGCACCATATCCGATTGAGAGTGCCCACTGTAGTGGGTTGAATAGTGCCCTACAGAATATCACATCCACCCAGAGTTTCAGAATGTGACCTTATTTGAAACTAGAATCTTTGCAGTTGTAACTAGTTAAGATGAGGTCATACTAGATTAGTGTGGGCCCTAAATCCAATGACTGGTGTCTTCATATGGGGAGTGGACACACAGACACAGAAGGAAGAAGGCCATATACAATGAGGGCAGAGGTTTGAGTGATGGTGCTATATCTCAAGCTTTTCTAAGGATTGCAAGATACACTAGAAGCTAATAAGTGGTAAGGAAGAATTCTTCTCTGGAACCTTCATAGGAAGGCTGGTCCTACTGATCCCTTGGCTTTAGGCTTCTGGACTTTAGAACTGTAAGAGAATACATTTCTGTTGTTTCAAGCCACCAAGTTCGTAATACTTTGTCATGGTAGTCCTAAAAAACTAATATACCCACCATAACATACTGAGCTGCACTGAAATCTGGTCTCATCAAGGTTGAATAAAATATGCTTCTCTTTCCTTGGGATGGACAAATATTTTACTTCCTAAGGGAAGTGCGTAATTTTTATTCTATGAAGCCATAAATTTAAATCCCTGAATAAATTCAGGGACCATCTATTATCCTGTGATTATGAATAGCTGGTGTTTAAGTACATGCTTCCAATCACAGCTCTGAAATAATAATGAAGTAGTGGATCTTTCATTCAGTTTTCTTCAGCATCCTTAGGTTATACTTGAGGAGCTCTGTAGTAGTTGTGAAACTGATTTCCTGTGTATATTAGTCCATTCTTGCATTGCTATAAAGAAATACCTGAGACTGGGTAATTTATAAGGAAAGGAAGTTTAACGGGCTCACAGTTCTGCAGGCTATACGGGAGGCATAGTGGCTTCTGCTTCTGGGGAGGCCTCAGGAAACTTACAATCATGGCGGAAGGTAAAGGGGAAACAGGCACATCTTACATGACTGAATTAGGAGCAGAATACAATCATGCCTTCCCAGCAGTCCCCCCAAAGTCTTACCTTATTTCATCATTAACTCAAAAGTCCAAAGTCCAAAATCTCATCTGAGACAAGGCAAGTCCCTTCCACCTATGAGGCTGTAAAATCAAAAGCAAGTTAGTTACTTCCAAGATACAACGGGATTATAGGCATTGGGTAAATACTTCCATTCCAAAAGGGAGAAATTGGCCAAAAGAAAAGGGCTCCAGTCCCCATGCAAGTCTAAAACCCAGCAGGGCAGTCATTAAATCTTAAAGCTCCAAAATAAAATTCTTTGACTCCATGTCTCGCATCCAGGGCACACTGGTGTGAGGGGTGGGCTCCCAAGGTCTTGGGCAGCTCCACCTCTGTGGTTTTTCAGGCTTCAGCCTCTGCAGCTGCTCACACAGGCTGACGTTGAGTGCCTGTAGCCTTTCCAGGTGCAGGGTACAAGCTGCTGGTTGATATACCTTTCTTGGGTCTGGAGGACAATGGCCCTCTTCTCACAGCCCCGCTAGGGAATGCCCCAGTGGGGACTCTGTGTGGGGTCTCCAACCTCCCATTTCCCGTCTGCACTACCCTGGTAGATGTTCTTCATGAGGGCTGTGCCCCTGCAGCAGGCCTCTGCCTCAACATCCAGGCTTTTCCATACATCCTCTGAAATCTAGGCAGAGGCTGCCAACCCTCAACTCTTGTGCTCTATGCACCTGCAGGCTTAACACTACTTGGAAGCCTCCAAGGCTTATGGCTTACACCCTCTGGAGCAGTGCCCTGAGCTGTAGCTGGGCCCCTTTGAGCCATGGGTGGAGGTGGAGCAGCTGGGATGTAGGGAGCAGTGTCTGGAGGCTGCCTGGCACAGTGGGGCCCTGGGCCTGTTCCAGGAAACCATTCTTCCCTCTTAGGCTTCTGGGTCTGTGATGGGAGGGCCGCCTTAAAGATCTCTGAAATGCCTTCAAGGCCTTTTCCCCATTGTCTTGGCTATCAGCACTTTGCCTTCCTTTTAGTTATGCAAATTTCAGCAGCCAGCTTGAATTCCTCCCCTGAAAATGGGTTTTTCTTTTCTACCACATGGCCAGGCTGCACATTTTCCAAACTTTTATGCTCTCCTTCCCTTTTAAATATAAGTTCCAGTTTCAGGTCATTTCTTTGCTCATGCATATGAGCATAGGCTGTTAGAAGCAGACAGACTACTTCCTGAACACTTTGCTGCTTAAAAATTTCTTCTGCCAGATACCCTAAATCATCACTCTCAAGTTCAAAGTTCCACAGATCCCTAGAGCTGGGGCACAATGCCTCCAAGTTCTTTGCTAAAGAATAACAAAAGTGATCTTTACTCCAGTTCCCAATAAGTTCTTCATCTTCGTCTGAGACCTCATCAGCCTGGCCATCTCTGTCCATATCGTTATTAGCATTTTGACCACAACTATTCAATAAGTTTCTAGGAAGTTCCAAATTTTCCCTCATCTTCCTATCTTCTTCTGTGCCTCCAAACTCTTCCAATTTCTCCCCATTATCCAGTTCCAAAGCTGCTTTCACATTTTCAGGTATCTTTATATCGATGCCCCACTCCTTGGTACCAATTTTCTATATTAGTCCATTCTTGCATTGCTATAAAGAAATACCTGAGACTGGGTTATTTGTAAAGAAAAGAGGTTTAATTGGCTCATGATTCTGCAGGTTGTACAGGAAGCATAGCAGCTTCTGCTTCTGAGGAGGCCTCATGAAACTTATAATCATGGCAGGAGGCAAACGGGAAGCAGGCACATCTTACATGGCCAGAGTAGGAGCAAGAGAGGGGGAAGGTGCCACATACTTTTAAACAACCAGATCTCGTGAGAATTCATTATTGCTATGATAGCACCAAGGGGGATGGTGTTAAATCATGAGAAACTGCCCCCATGATCCACTCACCTCCAACCAGGCCCCATCTTCAGCATTGGGGATTACATTTCAACATGAGATTGGGGTGAGGACACAGATTTAAACCATATCAGTGTGATTCACCATAACTCTGTAGATGCTTATTGGATCAAGGTAAAGTGTTTGATTTCCTGGTAAAACAGTTAACTTTGTGTTAGTCCTTGGCCATAGACTGCTCATTTAACCCTGGCTAGAGTCCTTGAAAATGTTGATCAGAATTGAAATTGAGTAAAGATGTCTGGATCAAGTTCAACATTCTTACTGACAAAATATTTCAAGGACAGAGCCTTCTAAAAAGTGAGTCAATAGGTGTCTACTTCTTGTGCAAAGGACAGGATGCTGCTGCTGCTGATGTGAATGATGGTTAACGTAATAGGTATTTTTGGGTCAGCAGTTTCACCCTTCATCAGCATTAATTCATAGTTTGGAAAATGGAATTGTGTTCCAGGTTTGATCTCAATCTGTGCTAGATTTGTAGGCACAATTGAGATGGCTTTGAAATGTATTAAGTTAATTATTAATGCAGCTGCTTTGATTTTGAGGATGAAATTAATTTCATGGATTTTTATCATTGTCTCAGATATAGCTTTGGGAGTTCTGGGGAGATATTGAAAATATTGCTTTATAAATAAGTCTTAGAATCCTACGTCAAACCTGACAAATTTGATCAGGGTTTTGTGGCAATTCCTAGTCAGGTGTAAGCAACTTAACCTACAGGGTACTTGTGTCAGTGCATATTTGCTATTGTGATTTACATTCTAATAGAGGTTATGAAAAAAGATCTTGGGAGTTATTGTCTTTACGGCAAGATACCGTGCTCTCAAGAAAATAGTTTAGTAAAAGGCTTTCTGGAGTGCAATGTTAAAACAGGCCCACTCTGTACAGTAAATATTAATTGGTAAAATATCTCAGTAGAGATGGGGGCAAGGAAATGAGATTCATGCTTTTGCAGGGTTTGAATAATGATTTTATTACCCTAAGATGAAAGAAAGAAGTGGATTTGTCTTAAAGCATTTGAGATTTGAGAGAAAAATTTTAAAAATGCTGTATCATAAGGCAGCATTTCAGTTTCTCAGAGGTTAAATCAACTTTGTAGTAGGTTTAGTTAACTACAGAGGAATTTGGAGATCCCTTTATAGTTCCCGAGCATGACGATTGGGTGTTCACATGCATGTGTGAGATGTACCACCCTCGCATCTTGTTAGACGTTGGCACATTACCCGTCTGACCTGACAAAAAAATAAAGAGGAATTTGGCAGAATACTAGTTGATTACATTAAGAAGATGACTATCACTCCGGCTGCCCATTCTGTCTTATTTGGTATCATTGATTACAGGGATGGGTGCTTCCTTAAACATCTTTCCTATTTCTTATTTTCCTTCCATCAGAAAAAAGTCCCAGGAAAGTTGCAGAGAGACCCTGAGGTACTATTGTTGCAGAACTTTCTCCTTAGTTCAGCTCACACCGGGCTCTTGTCACATGACCAGGAAACATTAGGCTCGCAGACACATAGAAGGGTGAGGAAAATGGAATTTATTGGGCAAAAAGGAAGAAGGAAAAATAATGCTCAGCAAAGTGAGAGTCCTGCTAGCAGGTTTCCTTCCTCACAGATTGAATCCCAGGTCACCACCCAGGAACAGGAGAGGCCAGGCTCCTTCCCCCTGCAGATGGCACGAACTTCCTGAGACTCCACCAATCTTCCCAGTGAGCAGGTGGGCATTATTCAGAAGGAATCAGCTGGGAAAGGGCAGGCTTCATCCGGGACCAGCAGTCCAGTTTTTCAGCCTTCAGGCTGTTTTAGGCTTGAAGGTGGGGTTTCACCAGGGACTCTTGGCTGTCTCCTGTCTATCACTATGAGCGGATGGCTTTTATTTGTCCTGTTTGTTTTCTTTATTAGAAGGAAGAAAGGCTTAACATGTTAGGATACTCACAGAAGAGTATTTCAGTGCTCTACATATGCCTGCCTAGGAAGAGGATTAAAGTTAATGTTCACTTGAGTGCCCATCAAGTGCCAGGTTTGGTGCTGTAAGTGCACATCTCCCAGCGGCCCTCCAATGTATGGATTATGATTGCAACTTCATTTTTAGGATACTGAGACTCAGAGAAATGATGTAATTTGCCCAAGATCACACAGCAATTAAATCGGATTTAGTCAGTCTGACTCTAAAACCCAAGTTCTTTTCATTGCACCACATTACCTTTCAAAAAGTAAAATACATCAAGTGTTAAGTTCCATCTCCATGTTTCCCAGGCACTTTGACCTTCTGGGAGATGGTGGTTAAAAGGTCAGGCCTGGAGCCAGTTTGCCTGAGTTCAGACTTCACACCTGCTCATAGCTGTGTGGCCCTGGGAATGTTGCATGCCCTCTCTGTGCCTCATTTCTTCATCTGTGTCATAGGAGCCAGGAGAAAACTCCCCCTTGGCCCCGTGAGGGCTTGCTGAAAAATCCGCTGACAAAAGGCAGATTAATAAGAGAAAAGGCAGAGAAATGTATTCACGTGCATTGAGGGAAAATCACAGAATGATTACTCCAACCCTCTAATGGGGTACAGAGGCTTATATATCATCTTGAGGCTACAGAAAGATTGTGATCTCAGAGCACGGCCAAAATAAGTTATGGTGGAAATCAGGTTACAGTGGCAAGACAGGTTATGGGAGGGGGAGAAGAGGAGGCTTAGCTAACAAAGGGAGTTTTGTTATGTAGAAGAAACCTCACTGGTAGCAGTCCTCAGAGAGCTAGTGAATGTTTCTTTCAGGCCCTGAAAGGTGTCAGACTCTCAGTTCATCTTTTGAACAAGGGAGGGCTTCAGAGACAGCCTGGCTGCATCCATGCAGATTTTCTCTACAGATACATATCTTCCCCACAAAAGAAAGCTTTTTAGCTATTCTTGTATTTCCAGCCGTTCTGATTAGCCATATTGAAGTATGTCAAGGAAATATATTTTAGAGTGAAATATTTTGGTTTCCTTCAGTATAAAGGGTAGTAATATTAGCTTCTACCCAACAGGGTTGCGGTAAATCCAGAATGAGCAGCTAGAGCA
The DNA here is from genome assembly GCF_000001405.40 of Homo sapiens. Classification (NCBI taxonomy): domain Eukaryota; kingdom Metazoa; phylum Chordata; class Mammalia; order Primates; family Hominidae; genus Homo; species Homo sapiens. Next base: position 23,505,398 of record NC_000023.11, on the reverse strand, counting down.
GTGCCTGACATATGGTGGAGACCAAGTTAGTATTTATCATTGAGCTTTGTGATGACACTATTTTATCAGCGGAGGAACTAACTAATTTGCCTGGAGTGGCACAGCTAGAATGGAGAAGCGCAGCTGAAATAGAGTTTGAACCCAGCCTGATAATGTACCCAGGGTTCTTTTCATTACATCTCAAGGAAAATTAGCAGGAGTCACTGAGAATTAGGGAGGACACAATGTACTCTTCTGAGTCCCTGAAATGTTTGTGTTGGCTTCTCAGAGAGAAAAAAAACATAACAACCGTTCTCTGGGATATGAAAAATCCAATGTCCATAACCAGAGGGCTCTGATTTCCAGTTTCAGCTCAAGAAGCCAGTCATTAAGAAGGCCCTCACAGCTTCCTCACTCAGTGTTTTCCCTTAGAATCCTGACCCACTGTAGCCTGCACCCTTTTTCCCTCCCCCCAGGACTCCCCACCTCCAGGGCTGGCATGATCCCTAGAATTACTGTGGAGGTAGCAAAGAACTGATGATCAGCATGAAGTGGCTGTGATTTGGGTCTCCTTGCAGAGCTAAGCCTCACATTGGTTGCTGTAGTCCAAGCTTTGGGGAAGACGGCCATAGTACTGTGTGCTAAGCCACTTCTGCCTATTGTTTTTTTTTTTTTTTTTCTTGAGAAGGGGTCTTGCTGTGTTGCCCAGGCTGGAGTGCAGTGGCACCATATCAGCTCTCTGCAACCTCTGCCTCCTGAGTTCGAGAGATTTTTGTGCCTCAGCCTCCGAAGTAGCCGGGATTATAGATGTGCACCACCATGCCCGGCTAATTTTTGTAGTTTTAGTAGAGACGGGGAGCAAGAGTCCCAATGCACTTTGGGGTGAGATGTGTGAAGTGTCGCAAGTAGCATGAGGGAGACAGATGGGAAAACTGCTGGCGGGTTTTAACTAGGGCTGCTCTTGGCTGGCTGGGCCTGGAAAACTTACTCAGGCCAGCAGGAACTCTTAGCAGCTGCTGTTTGCCTAGAGCTGGGCTATGATTAGAATGTGTCACCACCTGCTCTACCGGTCACTGACTCACCTGGCATTGTGCCGACTGCTGGATCAGAAGGAGAAATCCTTGGTTTTCCTTGGTTACTAAGCCACAGCTGGGGACTGTGGTCGGCTTCAGAAAATTTCTGACATCCCAACTCTATTATTTTAACTTAAACAATACACAAGACAAAAAACCAGTACGAGACAGTTTCCATATACCTATTTGATTAATTTGCCAGTTACTTATTCATTATTAGTTAACAAAAGCTATAAGCATTTTTTATCTGAGGTTTCATAGCTTTCGTTTCAGATGGTAGTAATATAAAGATGAGTAAGACTTGGTACTAGCCCTTGGGGAGGGGGTCATGGTCTGACACAATACTACACTGTAACATAGGAATCCAGAATAAGAAGAACAGAAAGTCAAAAGCCCATATTATTTTGGTAGTTTATACTTCTCCAAGTTATAAAAAGAAGTCACAACTCAAGCCATATCATGACTAGTGCTTCTATACGTGTTATTTATCTCATTTGAAAACAGCTTTTTAACTGTCCTAAACTCCTCACCACTCCTCCCTCCAATTTGTAAGCTCTTTCTTCAAAACCTGACTGCAACCTCACCCTGAGATATCTTCTTAGTTATGCCCCATTTGATTCTGATTCCTACATATTTCTACACATAGGACTTTTATTCCTACTTACAGGATTCCTTGGTATTTATGGTGGGCTGTTCATTTATCCTGAATGTATTTGTATTTGGGGGTATATAAAGATGTGTATTTTCATGTAAATTTTATTGAAGTAAATTTTATTTTATAACATGTAAATTTTATTTTATAACATGCATATGGAAGAGGAAACATATTATAAGTGTGCAGCTCAATTAATTTTCACAAAGTGGACATATCCATGTAACCCGGACCCAGATTAAGAAACAGACCATTCCCGGCATCCAAGAAACTCCCCTTGTGCTCCCTTCCAGTCACTACTCCCTTGAAGGTAATCACTCACCTGACATCTAATAGCATAGATTAGTTTTGCCTGGTTTTATACTTGACATAAATGGAATCATATGGTCTTTACTCTCTTGTTTATCATTTCTTTCTGTCAACATTCACCTAATACCATCTTAACTCTACTGAAACTCAGCCTTGTTTGAGAAATTATTCATGTTATTATGTGTATTTGTAGTTTTTTCACTTCCATAATTGTATACCTTTTCGTTAAATGAATATACCACAATAACTTTTTCACTTTATTGTAGAAGGCCATTTGCGTTGTTTCCAGTTTTTGACTCTTGTGAATAATGCTGCTATTAATATTCTTGTAAATATCTTTTGAAGAACATATATGTACATTACTGTTGAGTACATACCTAGAAGAATTCCTGGGCTATAGGGTATATGTATGTTCATTCAGTTTTAGTAGACACTGACAGTTTTTCAAAGTGATTATACAAATTTACATTCCCATCAACATTTTATGATAATTGTAATTGCTGTAAATCCTTACTAACACTTAATCTTGTCTTTTTCATTTAGTTATTCGAGTGAGCATTTTGTGAATACATACACATATATGCATACATGCATATTTGTGAATATGTTAATATATATTTGAAAATCATACATGTATTTGCAAATCATATTACTGATTGCATGTCTGTGTTTCCAATGCAATTATGAGCTCTCTGAGGGCAGGGTCTATCTTTTTTAATTGTTTTGTACATTCTTATTCCATAGTACAATGCTCTATACCAAATTCATAGTCAATAGGCTGTTGCTAACTGACTATATAACCCAAAATGGTGAAGAATTAGGCTGGTGATACAGAATAAAATAAATATGGGTCATTTCTCATTGTTTTTATAGCTTTTAAATTTCAGAAGTGCTCAAGGTCCTGTAACCTTAAGAAAACTCCTCCATCGTGCATGGTGGCTCATGCCTGTAATCCCAGCACTTTGGGAGGCTGAGGCAGGAGGATCACTTGAGCCCAGGAGTTTGAGGCCAGCCTGGGCAACATGGCAAAACCCTGGCTCTACAAAAAATACAAAAATTAACCGGATGTGGTGGTGCACGTCTGTAGTGCTAGCTACTCTGAAGGCTGAGGTGGGAGGATTGCTTGAGCCCAGGAGGTAAGGAGGTCAAGGCCGCAGTGAGCTGAGATCGTGTCACTGCACTCCAGCCTGGGCAACAGAATGAGACCTTGTCTGAAAACAAACAAAAACTCCTCAACACAGTTAAGATAAACAATAATGAAAGACCTATTTGCTCTAAGGGAGAGGCAGAATACTTCTAACATGTTAAGTAGTGCTGTTTCTTGGTAGAGTTGTGAGGTCACCCATGTTTATTGATACTGTTTTCAGATTCCCTGCATCTTTTTAAAAACTGTGTTCTTCCTTTTCTCTCATGTTCTCATGTTCCTGGTGTAGGAGTCAAGAGGAACTCTTGGCCCTCTTAAGGCTTGCTAAAACATCAGTTACATGAGGCAATTGGTTAATAGGAGAAAAGGCATATAAATTTATTTAACGAGTATACACAGGAGCCTTCAGAATGAAGACCCAAAGATACAGGGGAAATTGTCTATTTTTATGTTTAGGTTCAACAAAATACGGACAGCCATGTAGAAATATGATTGGAGGAAAGGGGTATGATATAATGCTAATACACTGCTTGGGGAAACCCATCAAGGCCTGTCTGTCTAGATTTTTCTTGGCCTCTCTGAGCATCCATTCCTTCCTTCTGGGTGTGGGGCGGGACCCAATAGATCAGATGATTTTTTTATAGCCAGTTTTTATATGTAAAGGTAGAGGGGAACTTAGAGAAATATTTTTTAGGTTTTATAACTAGCTTTAGGGAGGAGTTCTGGTTTCTGTGACTTGCCTTGGGAAAGAGAGATTTTAGTTTCTATGGCTAGCCCTGGGAGAGAATGTGATTGAGAGATAGGAGGGCAGGGAAAGGTCAGAGAAAAATTTTTGCTTCTGAGACTGATTCTGAGGCCTTTATTTTTGGGTATTGTTTTCTGAAGCTCAACATCCCCCAGTATGAAACTTCCTCGAGAAGTTTCTCAATCAGAAGTTGGGTTGGTGGATTGTCTTTTAAGCCATTTGAGTAAGTCTCTAAGTCCTGATAATAGGCTGGTTCAGTTGAATAGTTAATATTTATGCTTGTATCTCATTTTAGGCATTGATGTTATAGATGGACTTTCGCCAAAGTCTGGCTTCTATATTATTTGACAATCAGATAAGAGGCATTTCCATGGAAACAAAATAAAAATAAAGATTAATGGCTAGAATAAACTGTAAACTCAGTTTTTGAGTCCAGAGGGCAGCCAGTTGAGAAGATTTTTAGATGTTGGGCTGGAAGCATCTTTAGATGAAGTGAGAGCAGATAGTGGCAATCTGATAATTTTTCTGGTTTGTAGTTTATATCAGATGTTTTAGTGAACTTTTTGAGTAGTCTATACATCAACAAACATGAAGATTGCTTTTTTTGTTGTTTAGACTAAAGGTACCTTTTAAAGTTAAGACTCGGTTAACCTTATGACTTAACCAAGGATGCATGAAGCGTCTATAAAAGGTACAAAGCAGTCCTCATAAGATCTAGAACTATCCCAAAGACGGCTTAAAGAAAGAAAAGTTGGCCAGGTGCGGTGGCTGGGATTACGCCTGTAATCCCAGCACTTTGGGAGGCCGAGGCGGGTGAATCATTTGAGGTCAGGGGTTCAAGACCATCCTGGCCAACATGGTGAAATCCCATCTCTACTAAAAATTCAAAAAAATTAGCTGGGCATGGTGGTGGGCCCCTGTAATCCCAGTTACTGGGAGGCTGAGGCAGAAGAATCGCTTGAACCCAGGAGGCGGAGGTTGCAGTGAGCCGAGATCATGCCACTGCACTCCAGCCTGGGTGATAGAACGAGACTCCGTCTCCGAAAAAAAAAAAAGAAAAAAAGAAAAGTTTTCTTAATAACAAATGAAGTATATATAATCCACATTTTTGTTTGGCCATATTTTTTAGGGTCTCGGTTTTATAGCTGACCGTGTATACATAAAGGCCCAAAAATCCAGATGTCGTCTCAAAAAGAGGAAGACAGGGACGGGCACGGTGGCTCACGCCTGTAATCCCAGCACTTTGGGAGGCCGAGGCGGGCGGATCACGAGGTCAGGAGATCGATACTATCCTGGCTAACACGGTGAAACCCCATCCACTAAAAATACAAAAATAAAATAAAATAAAAATTAGCCGGGCGCGTTGGCGGGCGCCTGTAGTCCCAACTACTTGGGAGGCGGAGGCAGGAGAATGGCATGAACCCGGGAGGCGGAGCTTGCAATGAGCCGAGATAGCGCCACTGCACTCCGGCCTGGGCGAAAGAGCGAGACTCCTTCTCAAAAAAAAAAAAAAAAAAAAAAAAAAAAAGAGGAAGACAGGAAATCAAAAGCTATCTGTACAAGGGAAAATGACTTATAACAAATGGGTACCCCCAAAACGTTAAAAGTCACACAAATATTAAATGAATCGGATTTTTTGAGCAGGAGTGAAACCCAGGCAATGGCAGTAAAAGTGTGGAATTTTGTCTATTAGAGCACAAGGCAGCATGGCTTCTGTTGTTATTCCCTCGGGGGATTTTTCATAAAGGATTTTTAACTTTGTTTTAGGTTAGCTTTTTGTTTTTGATTTTTAATTTAGTTAAGAGAATTTTTAAGGCTAGTCATGATACTATTATGTATCTTTTTAAAAAACTGACCTTGTCATAAATACAAGTTAATTGTTTAGAATGAGAGATCTCTAAATTTTTTTTAATTAAGAATTTTAGTCAAATTTAAAGGATTTCTCTTTTGGCCATTGACAACTAGAATTTTTAATGGTGTAGTTTGTTTTAATAGCAACTCTATTTAAAAGTCTCTTATGTAAAGTTTGGGATGTCATTTTAAGGCATAGAAGGAATAATTTTAAAGTTCTCTCTCAAAATAATGTACTCTCAGGAATAGGCTGAGATAGCAAATGACTCTTGTCACAGACAGTTAAGGGTGGTGTTTGCCTCTGATAACCCACAGATTTGTGTGGGGGGACTGCCAGTCACAGGTCCCTTAATCTGTGACACTGGGTAGGCCCTCCTGGGATTGGACTTTTTTAGTATTAACTAGGCAATAAGGGTTGAGAAGACAAAAGCTCCTTATGGATGGGACATTGTATGACAAACCCTCCTGAGGGCTTGGCACATTTGGAACAAAAAAAATCTTGTGTTCCCAGCCATTTTTAGACTGGTCACCTGATGTCACCCAAAAATCATGGCCCCATATGGTGAAGATCAAGAGAGTTCCCCCACTTGATCGCAAGTCAAATTCTCAAGGACATAAAACTAGAGAAGAAGGAACTTTATCTGGTACCCCTCTTTATGACAGAACAATACAGAAAGAAAAAGACAAAGGAAAAGACTATTTCTGGGAGGAAATGGATTAAACAATATGAATATTTATAACCAGAAAGTATCAAAAAGTACACCAGAGACTAGGCACTGGAACCCCAAGACTAGTCATAATGATTTTTTCCCATTAATTAAAATCTCACAGGAGACGAACAGTGATTTATATCATCTGTTCAACCAGATTGCACAGAGAAAGAGGTTGAGAGCCTGACTGGGAAGAGATTTTTACCCTATTACCAGCTGATCAAGTTCTGGATTTTTTTTACGGTGGCTTTCGGAAGAGCAGAGCAGCTTTGGTGACCCTGCACATAGCACCAAAACTGTGGGAGCTAAAGTCATTGCCCTCCTAAAAGTTCACTGAAAAATCACTGACATGAGGCAGATTAATAGGAGAAAAGGCATATAAATTTATGTAACATGTATATGTGGCAGCCTTCAGAATGAAGACCCAAAGGTAAAGGTAAAATTGCCCATTTTTCAGTTCAACAAGGTATGGACAGCCATGTCCAAATATGATTGGAGGGAAAGAGTATGACCTAATGATAAAAGATTGAATGGGGGAACCCATCAAGGTTTGTCTGTCTCGATTTTTCTTGATCTCTCAGGGCACGCATTCCTTCCTAAGGTAGTTCAGATAATTGTTAATAGCTAGTTTTTATATAAAGAGGAAAAGGAAAAATTAGAGTAATATTTTTAGGTTTATGACTAGCTTTGGAAAAAAGGGGTTCTGATTTCTGTAACTTGCCTTGGGTAAGAGAGATATTAGTTTCAATGGCTAGCCCTGGAGGCAAATAAGACTGAGAGACAGATGGGCAGGAAAAGGTCAGAGAAAAGCTTTTGCTTCTGAGACTGCTTCTGGGGCTTTCATTTTGAGGTATTGTTTTCTGAGTCCCAACACTGGTGAAAATTGTTTGGTTTAGGCTTTCAAACCTCAGGTCCAAACCTACTCTAATAAGAGTCTGGTATTATTTAGTAATATGCTTCAAAGGTTTGTATAGTCTCATACTGTCACAGAATGCTAATGTTGGATATATACCTTGAAATTTATCTAACTTCACGATTGTTGTCCTAAGCTCCACAAATGACCTTAAGAAGATATATCAACCCTTTAAAAATGAATGCAAAATTTCCTCAATACAACTTATCCAACTAGTAGCAGAGCCTAGGCCAGAACCTAGATCTCATTTCTGGATCATTGCTCTTTTTATAAAGTATATTTGGTATTTACTTAGGCCTAGACAAGAGCCTTTTTATTTTCCTAGGTCTATTCCTTAGACTGTTAGAGGTTTTCCATCTCTTTTCAGGCCTCTGGTCTGAATGACATTTTTGTGTTCATGGCTTTTCTTGGCAGGGACCATGGATACATTAAATGCTGCCACCCATCTTGGCTTAGATGAGTCCCTTCCCTCATCATGGAGACGCAATCATACCAAAAGACAACACTGAGAGGAATGAGGGGGAAAGTCCTTTCAGTGATCTGCAAATTATGTCAAAGCTTGTCATCTACTGGCCATTTTGCAAAAATGAACTTAGTATTAAACATAATGTATGATGGAAATGTAAATTTCCAAAATATGACATCTTCAACTGATAAAGACTGAAAAGTGAAGAGTGGGTTCCAAAGTGCTCCTTGAGTTTGTTTAATTAGCATCTTCCTGCTTGTGGAGATATGACAGTTAGGAATAGGATCCATGACCAGGTTTGAAATGTCTAGTTTCTCTTCACTAAGGAAAGTAATAATTTAAACAGATTAACAAAGTACTGATTTGATTTATTTAGAAAAGAGCATACTTTTTATTTAATTTTGAAATTAATTTTAAGGTTTATTTAATTTATGCAATAGTCCCTCTTTCAAGGTTGAAACCATTGTTTATTTATACCCCCAACTGAGTTTACTTTCTCTAAAGAGGTTAAAAAAGGTGTGTTTTATGAGGACAGGTCTCAAACTGGAAACATTTTACATTCTCTTTTTACAAGATTAATTTTTTTACAAGATTAAGAGATTTGTTGATGTTTTCACTGAGGGACCACATTTTCCTAGCAGTTGGTAGGAAATGAAAACTATTAGCCACATTGAATTTGGTTAGAATTTTATGAGAGCATTTTAGGAATGATGAGTTAATTGGGGGCTAGGAAGGAGGGAGGAATAGAGGGCAGCAACATCTTTTTTTTTTTCCCTCAACTTTGGGACCAAGTGCACTGACTTTCTTTTTTCTTCTTTATCTTCCACTCCTTCTGCTGGTCCTCTTGAGACATTTTTGCCTCAACTTCATCATGGGTGTCTATCTAGTATTTCTCTAATGTTTCCTTTCTTTATCTAAAGCTTTATATACATGGTGAAGGGATTAGATGACACTGAAACTGAAGGGGAAACAAATGTAGAAAATGTCTAGAGAGTGATCTATTACAGATTAATTCTGAAGTAACCATTCCCTCAAGTCTTCTCTGATGTGAATAGTGAATAAAAACAAGTCTGGTTACACATAGTTTTATGTACCTTTCATATAACTTTCAATTTTATGTTAAAAATGTAGCTCTGGCCTTTTTAATTTTTTTTTTTTTTTTTTTTTTTTTTTGCTATTTCCCCCTAAACAGTTGTGTCAAAGTGTTTTTATTAGAATGACTACATGATGTTAAATTAAATATTTTTTCATTTTGAAATAATTTCAGACTTAGCAAAAGTTACAAAAATAATACAAAGAATTCCATTATATCCTTCACTCAGCTTCCACAAATGTTATCACTTCACATAACCACAAGAAATTTATAGTTCTGAAGCTAAATACAGCATCTAGTATATTTCCTTTCCTGGTCTCAAGTGTTTACCGAAGTGGTCAGAGGGAGTGAGACAAACTGAGCCATAGGTTATCTGGACTTGGAGGGTAAATTTATGGCAGATAGATTAGAACTTTTTTTTTCTTTTTTTTTTTTTTGAGACGGAGTTTCGCTCTTGTTGCCCAGGCTGGAGTGCAATGGCGCCATCTCGGCTCACTGCAACCTCCACCCCCTGGGTTCAAGCGATTTTTCTGCCTCAGCCTCCCGAGTAGCTGGGATTACAGGCATGCACCACCATGCCTGGCTAATTGTGTATTTTTAGTAGAGACGAGGTTTCTCCATGTTGGTCAGGCTGGTCTCGAACTCCCGACCTCAGGTGATCCCCCCACCTTGGCCTCCCAAAGTGCTGGGATTACAGGCGTGAGCCACCGCACCCAGCCGAGATAGATTAGACCTTTAAGACAAAAGTGGCCTGAGGACAAATGACTTAAATATGAGTTTTCCCTACTTGTAGAAGTTAAAGGAATATCCAGATGGTAACATTTTGTTTTTAAATACAGTAATTTAAAATGTAATGCAATATTTTAAATTGAGGAGCATAGCTAAATTTTTTATATCACCAGTAATGATTCTGAAAGGGTTATTTACCCTCTATTAATCCCAAGGCAAATAAATAGCATATCCCATTATTCTGGGATGATATGGGCTTGTAGTTCAGAGTAGAGGTTCTGGATTCAGATTTTCTGGGTTTGAATGCCCACTCTGTAAATGTTCTTTAACAGAAAAAAGTTTAGGGGTTTTGTGGAGCAGGCAATTGTCATAAATAGAGCTTTATAGAATCTTAGGGATTTGATCACTGAATATATCTTTATATGTTTCTTGCCCAATTCAGAAAAAAATCAAACAAAAAACTATGATCTTAGGTTGTTTTATTTGGGTCCTTCAGGCTGTGAACTCTTAAGATTTTTAGTGTTCATTGGGTACAGCTATAACTATTGCTTGATTGTTCTTTATGGTATTGAGAGAAGAGAGACAGACCCTCTCATGTTGTTTTATATTGTTTTATACTCAGAAAAGGAAAGAGAAGCAAAACTAAAAGGCAGGTAGTCTGGCGCCTGGGAACCAGACCCGAAACCAAGGAACCAGGCCCGAAACCAGGCCTGGGCCTGCCTGACCTGAGCCTGGTAGTTAAAATTTGACCCCTGACCTAGCAACTGATTTTATCTATAGATTGTAGAAAGACATTGTGAAACTTCCCGGTCTGTTCTGTTTCACTCTGACCACCGGTGCATGCAGCCCCTGTCATGTACTCGCTGCTTGCTCAATGGATCACGACCCTCTCACGTGGACCCCCTTAGAGTTGTTAGCCCTTAAAAGGGACGGGAATTGCTCACTCGAAGATCTCAGCTCTTGATAGAGGAGTCTTGCCGATGCTCCCGGCCAAATAAACCTCTTCCTTCTTTAACTCGATATCTGAGGAGTTTTGTCTGCGGCTTGTCCTGCTACAGTATATATTGTAGTTAGTATAATAAAACTGGAATAGTGCTGAATGTCAGATGAGGGAGGCATTAACCCCACAGAACTACATAGAACATGTTTTCCAACAGAAGGTGGTTATGACTGGAAGAAGCTATGGAAGAAGCATGTTAGGAAGGCAAAAATTATAGCTACCACAGTTTCCTACAGGTATATCCAAGTAGAATGATAAGCTGGAGGGGACCTTCAAGATCTAGACTGAAACCACTTTTGCAAAAATAATAACAGTGAGAAAGTTATGATAGTTCATAGGTCTGATCTAACCAATTCCATCCTGCTTCTAACCTTCAAGCTGCCCTTGTTCATTCCTGGGCACAGGCCAAACTAACTTTGAGAGGAATGTAGTTTATAGTTTAACTTTGATGATAACAGCCCTTTCGCAAAACAAACTCCCTTCTTGCCTGGGGACCAGATTGCCTTTGTAAGACTAACAAATTAGCCACAAGATTTGCAACTTCCCCAATTACTCCTGCAGATAATATCACTATTGTAGAACCTAAGACTGGCCTTTTGAGATATCTTTTCAGGTTTTTCCATTTCTGACCACCGATGGCTCCACCTGGGCCTGCCAGCTGTTCCTGTGGCCCCCATCCAGGAACTGACTCAGCTCAAGAGGACTTCCTGTGATATAATCTCTGACCCAACCAGTCAGAACTCACCACTCCCTTGCCCCCTACCGTCAAACTATGCTTGAAAAACCCTAGTATCTGAGATTAGGAAACTGATTTGAGTAATAATAAAACTCTGGTCTCCCATTCAGTCGGCTCTGCATGAATTAAATTCTTTCTCTATTGCAATTCCTGTGTCTTGATAAATCAGCTCTATTTGGGCAGTGGGCAAAATGAATCCACTGGACAGTTACAAAACCAGTGGGTCACCACCCTGGCTGCAGCTTAGAATCACCTGAGGAGCATTAAGGATGGTCCTTGCTTCAGATGTATCCCAGGGATTTTTGAATGGGGTAGGGCCCAGGCATTAGAAGTTTTAAAAAGATCTCCAGGAATTCTAAGGTGCAGTCAGGATTAAAGACCACTGATATAAACCTATTACAACTTCTCTGAAATGTAGAGACACTAAAACAGCTTGTCCAAGACTATGCAGCTAATACATGGTGGAGCTGGCTCCAGTCCCGGTGCTTTTTCTAATATTCCATGCCTCCTGATTCATTAACTTCTCAAATTTTATCTCCCTCTCCACCTTCCCCATACACAGTCCTACATTTTGACAGGACAAAGCATACAATCTTCTTCTGGGAGTGAAATGGGTGTGTTTTGCCTCCAAGAGGTAAGTTACTTCTTATGGACACACACTTTTCCTCCAAGGGGAGCATATTTTATTTCCCCTACTTCATAGCACCATAGGGGTTTCACAGAGATGTTAAGCAGCAGGAATTCTTTGGGGGATAAAGAAGGCATTGTATTAAAAGGGCATGACAGATCTTTGGAAATACAAAGAGAAAACGAGGTTAGGAGCCTCCTGCATCTTTGAAATTTTAGTTTAAAAATGAATTCTAAGGTCTTGGGGTTTTTCTAGAACATATGACATTTCTGAGATAAAGGTCTTTTTAAAAAATCTACGTTGCAGGACATGTAGGCTTTTTTGAGTTTTAAAGAGCAGTATTACAGAAATATTTGTGAGAAACTGGTAAGGTTTATATGGAGAATGTATACAATTTTTTAAATAAGTTTTTTCCCTTTTTAAAATTAAACAGTATTTCCAACATATAAAAAGAAGAAATATAATGAATATCTGTGTATCTACCTCCAGCTTTTTCCAATCATAACATTTTAATATAATATACTGAAGGAGTGCAGGGATCTTCATCCCCCAATATGGCTCCCTGCTAAAATGAGTAATTTGAATTAAAGGCTCTTAGAGACCAACAGACACTGGAAGAAACTTTTCCCTTATCTGCATAAAAACCAGAAGGACCCACCAAGGAGAACAATTGTTCTTCCTTCCATTCCCTGTTGTCTCATTATTTATTGTGGAAAAGACCAAGAATGTAACCAGGACTGAACAGACCCTCTCACAAAATAGTGTCTATCTCTCAGGCTCATTCAGTTTTCTAAGAGAAACTCTTACAAGTTAATCTCCATTCCTCGATCCACTTATTCTCCCTAGCAAATCACTTATTGCCCCTCAACAGAATTACCTATATTCCCCATCTCCCTGCTCCCCTCTGAAATAATGCTATATAATTATCTGGGCCCTATGAGAGATATTGAGTAATCACTCTGCGATTCTCCCCTGTGCATGCTAATACATTTGTATGCCATTTCTCCTATTAATCTGCCTTTTATCAGTTAATTTTTCAGTGAAATTTCAGAGGTCAAAGGGGGAGTTTTCCCTTAGCCCCTGTAGTAGTATAATATAATATTGTGTATACAAAGTTAAATATACCAAAGTGAAATATATATTATAATGAATACTCATGTAACCTTTATTCAGTTTTAACAATTAGCAACAATTGCCAATCTAATTTTCACCTATCCTCCTCTACCCCTTCTTAAAATTTTGCCAGAATGTTTTTAAAGAAAATCCTAGACATGATGTTGTTCAGTTGTAAATATTTTGGTATGAATTACTGAGATCATTTGTTTCATTCACATGACCATTGTGCTATTGTGACAACCCAATGGGTTCTCCTTTCCTGCTGTCTAGACAGGGCCAATTTATTAATACAGGGGATTGCAATAGAGAAAGTGTTTAATTCACACAGAGCTGGCTGTCCAGGAGACTGGAGACTTATTACTCAAATCAGTCTCCCTGAGAGTTTGAGGATCGGAGTTTTTACGAATAATTTGCTGCATAGGGGACCAGTAAGTTGGGAGTGCTGATAGGTTGGCTCGGAGATGAAATCATAGGGAGTTGATGCTGTCCTCTTACGTTGAGTCAGTTCCTGGGTGGGGGCCACAAGGACTGGTTGGCAGGTCCAGGTGGAGCCATCTGGTTGTCAGAAATGCAAAAACGTGAAAAGACATCTCAAAAGGCCAATCTTAGATTCTACAATAGTGATATTATCTTCAGTAGTAATTGGGAAAGTTGCAAATCTTATGACCTCTGGAATAATTGCTGGTAATTATGTAGAATTCAAGCTCCTCCCATCCTCACTTGGTGGCCTTTCATTAGTTTTACAAGAATATTTTAGTTGTGGGGAAGGACTAATATTTAAACTATAAACTAAATTTCTCCCAAAGTTAGCTTGGCCCATTCCTAGGAATGAGAAAAGACAGCTTCAAGGTTGAAAGCAAGATGGAGTTGGTTAGGTCAGATCTCTTTCACTGTCATAATTTCCTCAGCTATAATTTTTGCAAAGGCAGTTTCACTATTATTGTACCTGAAGAATTAGTAAAATGTTCTTAATATTATCTAATACCCAGACTGTAATTAAAATTTTCCAGTTGTCTTAAAGTTTTTTTGATTTTTTATAGTTGTTTGTTCTGTATAGTAACTCTATCATCAAAATTTTTAAACAGAACCCAAAGAGGAGAGAATAATGCACCCAATGCATTCAATATCTCATCACCCAACTTCAGTATCAGTCAAATGTAGTTTTTAAAGAGTGAAAACCTGATTGCACACCTCCTCTGCTGTATTTGATGTGTTTCAATTCTGAGCATGTTTTTACAAATTTTTATTATATGCAAGTAATATATAGTATAGACAATATATGGTATTATTTGCATGCTTCGAGCCTTACTTGAATTTTATACACATTCTTTAGCAATATGTCTTTACTCGAGATAATATATTTTTAGATTTATTATTTTAATGCTCCTTTCCCCTTCATTTGCTAATTTTTATTAGATTTTTCAGGTTTTATTTGTTCTTTTTCTAGCTTCTTGGGGCATAATGTGAGGTTGTTTATTCGGGCTCTTTCTTGTTGTCAATGTAGGCGTTTATTGCTATTGAAGTAAACCAGAATATTTTACCCCAAAATATCCTTCTTTGGCATATTTCCATATGTCTATTCAGAGGGGCTGCAAACCACAGGAATACTTCTGAAAGGCTGTCTTTTGTGGAGAAGATTTGCATCCGTACAGAAAATCTACATTAGTGAGGTAAACAGCAAGGTAAACAGCTGAGGCAAACAGGCTTTCTCTGAGGCTGACTTATTCTAGGCTAGCAAAAATTAACTTACAGGGAAAGGAGACTAAAGTCTGACACTTTAAAGGTCTGACAGAGAAGCTTTTACCAAAGGCTACCACCTAACATGTCTCCTCAGTGACAAGTGAGGTGCTTAGGAGCAGAGGCAATAGCTTGTTCTCTTTTCTTTTTATTATTTTTAATTTTTATGGGTACATAGTAGGTGTATATATTTGTGGGATACATGAGATATTTTGATACAGACAATGTGTAATAATCACATCAGGGTAAATGGGGTATCCATCACCTCAAGCATTTATCCTTTGTGTTACAAGCAATCCAATTACACTCTTTTAGTTATTTTTAAATGTACAATTAAATTATTGACTGTAGTTACCCTGTTGTGCTAGCAAATACTAGACCTCATTCACTCTTTCTATAGGTTTTGTAACCGTTAATCATCTCCACTTCCCCCTCCCCCTCCCCCCTCCCCTTCCCAGCCTCTGGTAACCATCATTCTACTCTATATCTCCATGAGTTCAATTGTTTTCATTTTTAGCTCCCACAAATAAGTGAGAACATGCAAATCTTGTCTTTCCATGCCTGGCTTATTTCACTTAGCATAATAGTCTCCAGTTCCATCCATGTTGTTGCAAATGACAGGATCTCATTCTTTTTTATAGCAGAGTAGTACTCCCTTGTGCATATGTAACACTTTTTCTTTATCTAGTCATCTGTCGATGGACACAGATGTTGATGTTTTAAAATCTTCGCTTTTGTGAATAGTGCTGCAATAAACATGGACGTGCAGATATCTCTTTGATATACCATTTTTTTTTCTTTTGGATTGTTGGGTCATATAGTAGTCCTATTTTTAGTTTTCTGAAGAACTCCATAGTGTTCTCCATAGTGGTTGCACTAATTTACATTCCCACCAATAGCATACAAGTTTTCCCTTTTCTCCACATCCTTGCCAGCCTTCATTATTGCCTGACTTTTGGATAAAAGGCATTTTAACTGGAGTGAGATGATATCTTATTGTAGTTTTGATTTGCATTTCTCTGATGACCAATGATGTTGAACACATTTTCGTATACCTGATTGCCATTTGTATGTCTTCTTTTGAGACATGTCTATTAAAATCTTTTGCCCATTTTAAAATCAGATCATTAGATTTTTTCCTACAGAGCTGTTTGAGCTCCTTATATATTCTGGTTATTAATCAATCCCTTGTGAGATGAGTAGTTTTCAAATAATTTCTTCCATTCTTTGGGTTGTCTTTGCACTTTGTTGATTGTTTCTTTTCCTGTGCAGAATCATTTTAACTTGATGTAATCCCATTAGTCCATTTTTGCTTTGGTTGCCTGTGCTAGCGGGGTATTATTCAAGAAATCTTTGTCCAGTCCTATTTCCTGGAGAGTTTCCCCAATGTTTTCCTGTAGTAGCTTAATAGATTGAGGTCTTATATTTAAGTCTTCAATCCATTTTGTTTTGATTTTTGTACATGGTGAGAGAGAGTGGTCCAGTTTCATTCCTCTGTATATGAATATTCAGTTATACAATATTATTAACTATAGTCCTTATCCTGTACATTATTTGTTCCACCTAACTGCAAAGTGGTTAGGTGGAATTTTGACCTACTTTGACCTACTTCTTCCCATTTCCTTCCCTCCTCACCTCTGCTATCCACCTTTCTACTCTTCGTTTGTATTTATTTGACTCTCTTAAAAAGTCAAATAAGTGTGAGATCATACATTATTTGTCTTTCTAAGTCTCACTTATTTCACCCAGCATAATGTCCTTCAGGTTCATCCATGTCATCCCAAATGGCAGTATCTCTTTCTTTTCTAAGGCTGAATAATATTCATTGTGTATATATGCCATGATTTATTTATCTAATCATCTGTTGATGGGTACCTAGTTTGCTTTTATATATTGGCTAGTGTTAATAATGCTTCCGTGAACATTGAGTTGCAGATAGCTCTGCAATGTGCTGATTTCATTTCCTTTAGGTACATACCCAGAAGAGGAATTGCTGTATCGTACTGTAGCTCTTTTTGAAAATTTTGTTGAGGAAGCTTCATACTGTTTTTCATAATGGCTGTAACAATTTACATTATTATCATCAGTGTAGAAGAGTTCCCTTTTCTTCACATACTCACCAACACATCTCTTGTCTTTTTGATAGTAGCCATCTAACACCGAAATCGGTATGAGTTAATATCTCATGGTGTTGTATTTCTTTGATGATTAGTGATGTTGAGCACCTTTTCATATACCCATTGTCCATTTGTATATCTGCTTTGTAAAAATTTAGGTCTATTTAGGTCTGTTGTCTGATTTTTAATTTTTTTATTATTGAGTTGTCTGAATTTCTTATATGTTTATATGTATATGGCTAGCAAATATGTTCTCCTATTTTGTAGGTTACTTTTTCATTCTGTTGATTGTCTCCTTTGCTGTGGAAAAGCTTTTTAGTTTGATATAGTTTAACTGGTTCATTTTTGATTTTCTCACCTGAACTTTTGGCGTGATATCTAAAAAATCATTACCCAGGCTAATGTCATGAAGAATTTCCACTCAATTTTTTGTTTGGTGTTTTACAGTTTTGGGTCTTATGTTCAGGTCTTTTAATACATTTCAAGTTGATGTATGGGGTTAAAGAAAGTTCCAGTTTCTTCTCTTGTCTTTTTTTTTTTTTGCTTGTGGATATCCGCTTTTCCCATTACCATTTATTAAAGAGACTGTCCTTTTCCCATTGTGTACTCTTGGTGCCCTTGTGGAAAATTAGTTGACCATATAGGCTTGAGTTTATTTCTGGGGTTCCTATTCTGTCCCCTTGGTCTTTGTCTGTGTTTATGCCAATACCACACTGTTTTGATTATTATAGCTTTGTAATATAAGATGAAATCAGGAAGTATGATGCCTTCATTTGCTTTTTTGTCTTAATATTATTTTGGTTAGGAGGGGTCTTTTGTGGTTCCATACACACTTTAGAAAAGGTTTTTTTTTTTTGTTTTTTTTTTTTTGTATTTTTGTCGAAAATGCCATTGGATAATTGTTAGGGATTGCATTGAAATTGTAGATCACTTGAATCACTTGGGTAGTATGGACACTTTAACAATATTATTTCTTCCAATCCATGAATATAGCTTATCTTTTCATTTATTTGTGTCTTCTTCAATTTTTTTAATCAGTCTTTTATAGTTTTTAGTGTATGGATCTTCTACTTACTTGGTTAAATTTATTCCTAAACAGTTATTTTTTTAGGTATTGTATATGGGATTGTTTTCTTGGTTTTTTTTTTTTCATAGAGATTATTATTGGTGTAAAGAAATGCCACTGAGTTTTGTATGTTGATTTTGTATCTTTCTACTTTGCTGAATTCATGTATTATTATTTTTGCAGATTCTTTAGTATTTTCTACATATAGGATCATGTCATCTGCAACCAGGGAAAATGTTACTTCTTTTGATTTGATTTGGATGGTTTTCATTTCTTCTTGTCTGATTGTTCTTGCTAGTAATCCTAGTACTATACTAAATTTGACAGATATTTCTTGAGTGCCTGGAGCTAAAAGCAAACAAACAAAAACAAAAAGACAACAACAATACACACAAATGGAAAACATATCTCTCAGCCTTTCCACATTACCTGTGTTTCGGAGTTCTACTTCCGTATTTAGGCTTGCTTGCACTGATTCCAATATTCAGCCCAAAATGAAAACTTAGGGTTCTCTCTGTGTTTTCTAAGTATGCATCTTACCCTTGGCATTTATGTTGCTTCATAAATTCCTTGCTATACATAGGTGCTGTTGAATTTCCCAATTTTCCAAAGAAATTTTTCCCAACTTTAGCTCCCAGGCCTTACACATTTTATTATATATTGCAACATTAATCTTTTGTCCCAGATGTTGATGGGTTTTTAGTTGGGCTTGCAGTGTTTTTGAGTGGTGCCTCTTGCTTTTTCTTAGTGAGTCTGAGTTAGGTGAAACAGAGATAAGTTCCTTTTATCAATAGCCTGCCACAGACATGCTAGAATAGACATAAATGATAATCTGCAAATAAGGTCTGCTCTGTTCCTTTGGCACCAGTGATCAGAGTCTTACACTGGGAATGTGGGCTAAGGCTCCTGTTGTGGCAGGGAAGACTTGGAATAAAGGCAAATAAAAATGACCCAAAGCTTTCCTACTGTTTTGAAGTTGCTTTTATTCTTAATTCAGTGTTTGCTTGATTGTTGTAAACCTTTGACTGTTTTCCAGTTCTGAAACAGTTGGTTTTGACAGTTTCTGCTTGTGTTTAATTTGTTGGGGTGGCGGTGGGCACAAAAAAAATGAGAGCTGCCTACTCTGCCACTTTTCTCTGAAGTGTGTCTTGAAGTTCCTTTTTTTTCCTTCTAGATTTTTTTTTTTTAAATTATACTTTAAGTTCTGGGATACATGTGCAGAACATGCAGGTTTGTTACGTAGGTATACACGTGACATGGTGGTTTTCTGCACCCATCAACCCGTCATCTACATTAGGTATTTCTCCTAATGCTCTCCCTCCCCATCCCCTCACCTCCCGACAGTCCCTGGCAGGTGATGTTCCCCTCCCTGTGTCCATGTGTTCTCGTTGTTCAATTCCCACTTATGAGTGAGAACATACGGTGTTCGTTTTTCTGTTCCTGTGTTAGTTTGCTGGGAGTGATGGTTTCCAGCTTCATCCATGTCCCTGTAAATGACACAAACTCATCCTTTTTTATGGCTGCATAGTATTCCATGGTGTATATGTGCCACATTTTCTTTATCCAGTCTATCATTGATGGGCATTCGGGTGGGTTCCAAGTCTTTGCTATTGTGAACAGTGCTGCAATAAACATACGTGTGCATGTGTCTTCACAGTAGAATGATTTATAATCCTTTGGGTATATACCCAGTAATGAGATTGCTGGGTCAAATAGTATTTCTGGTTCTAGATCCTTTAGGAATCGCCACACTGTGTTCCACAATGGTTGAACTAATTTACACTCCCACCAACACTGTAAAAGTGGTACTATTCCTCCACATCCTCTCCAGCATCTGTTGTTTCCTGACTTTTTAATGATCGCCATTCTAACTGATGTGAGATGGTGTCTCATTGTGGTTTTGATTTGCATTTCTCTAATGACCAGTGATGATGAGCTTTTTTTCATATGTTTGTTGGCCACATAAATGTCTTCTTTTTAGAAGTGTCTGTTCCTATCCCTTGTCCACTTTTTGATGGGGTTATTTGTTTTTCTTCTAAATTTGTTTAAGTTCGTTGTAGATTCTGGATATTATCCCTTTGTCAGATGGATAGATTGCAAAATTTTTCTCCCATTCTGTAGGTTGACTGTTCACTCTGATGATAGTTTCTTTTGCTGTGCAGAAGCTCTTTAGTTTAATTAGATCCCATTTGTCTATTTTGGCTTTTGTTGCCATTGCTTTTGGTGTTTTAGTCATGAAGTGTTTGCCCATGCCTATGTCCTGAATGGTATTGCCTAGGTTTTCTTCTAGGGTTTTTATGGTTTTAGGTCTAACATGTAAGTCTTTAATCCATCTTGAGTTAAATTTTGTATAAGGTATAAGGAAGGGGTCCAATTTCAGTTTTCTGCATATTGCTAGCCAGTTTCCCCAACACCATTTATTAAATAGGGAATCCTTTCCCCATTTCTTGTTTTTGTCAGGTTTGTCAAAGGTGAGATGGTAGCAGATGTGTGGTGTTACTTCTGAGGCCTCTGTTCTGTTCCATTTGTCTATATATCTGTTTTGGTACCAGTACCATGCTGTTTTGTTCCTGTAGCCTTGTAATATAGTTTGAAGTCAGGTAGCATGATGCCACCAGCATTTGGCTAAGATCAAGTGTAGTATCTGTTCTTATCTGTTTGAAATTCCTTTTAAGAGAAAACATCTACTCATTACCAGTTCAGGAGGGATAGTCTTACACAGATCAGGTGATTCCATCTCCTGGAACATAGTTGGTGGAACCATGGACTATGTACCTGACCTGTGGCTTGGCTTAAATTTTTTTGTTGGTCTATCAGGTCTATTCCCTTGGGAATCCAAACTGAGAAAATAAAGTAATTGGCATCAGGAACTGAGACTGAAAGAATGTATATAGAGAGCTGGGTACCTCAGTTGGAAATGCAGAAATCATCTGCCTTCTGTGTTGATCTCACTGGGAGCTGCGGACCGGAGCTGTTCCTATTCGGCCATCTTGCCAGCCACCCCACTGGTTCTCTTTCTCTGGAGAAACTTGACTAACACATACATTTTACCTGGTATTCACACTATCGTCTCTATAATTCAACATAGTATCATAACTCTGCAATGATAGCCAACTTAGATGTTAGGTGTGAAAGTCTTGTCTCACAAATATATTAACAACAAATATTTTTGTGCTCTTTTATAGGTATAAACTGGTCACAGCATCTAGCTCAACATTAAGAAAACATATATGTGTGTGTGTGTGTGTGTGTGTTTGTATATATATGGGGGAGAGAGAGGAATACACATGAGAGCTACAGAATATGTTTATCATTCAAGAAACTTGAGTAACTGCATAACTTTGACTTTAAAATTTAGGTTAAAACTTGATAACTTTCATATCCTGTTTAGTGACGTTAAAAGAATAAATGCTTAGTGTGAAAGTAATCTTTAGTCCCATTACAATGATTTGTTTTACATCAGATTTTAATTTATTTTGAAATTTCCAATAACATTAGAAAAGGGCATGAGATATTTATGCTTGGTAAAAAGGGAAATCATTTGGAAAAAAGAACTGAGAAATACTACTCCATGTCATTTACCTAAATTTGTATTTCTGGTAATAAGACAGGAGGAAAAATGGCCCAAGTGTCCCTTCAGCTTCATTCAAACATGGGCCCCTGAGGTGCCTGCCAATTGACTCAAAAGGGCATTTATCCCAAGGAGAACATGCCACCTGCCACTTTTCAATCAGCAGCACTTCCGCCAGAACCAAGCAAGTGCTCAAATCTCCCCAAGGGATTTCTATTTTTTTGACTCAGCATGTAAGCAGGCTGACTGATTCTGGTGTCTCATCCATTTTAGAAGCTTCTTATAACAGCAATACCAAAAACGTTATAGACAGTTTAATTGCTCACCGTCAGTCTTATATAGCTGCTCTGGGCACATTTTCCTCTTCTCCTCATTAAAACAAATACAGAACGGTTGTCTGACTTAGTGCCTCTTTTGCCTTCTGTCTCTGCTATCCTATTGGGAGACAGTTCTCTCCCTTCATATGTGCTTCTATATGCCTCCTTTGAGGAAATACTGTTGTAACACTTCTTGGAAAAGCCCACCTGAGATGCATTTAGCACTGTTTCCATACGGAGCCTTTCCACTGTGGGTATCCTAATGTAAAGAAAGAGAGATATTTACATAGTCCAGAGGTATGTTCAAACTTCTCCTGGCCTTTAAATTTGGCCAAAGAAAAACCACGGAGAGCAACTGCTTATTTTTAAAGAATGGATTAATCCAGTTATATCTAGTGTTTTCCCATGAGTTGGTTTCATTTGAGGCATTTCCTTTCTTTTCGATCATTTTATTTCTCTTTTTTATTATTAATGTTGGAGGCCTTGTAAGAGAAATATAAGCTGTGTTAGGGAACTGATGAAAGCATATTTCCTAAAAATATGAGCAGTCATGGAGGCCTCTGAAGACTGTGCCAAGTTCTAACTGGGCTCCACAGGTTGTGAGAAACAGGAAATCACACAAGAAGCCTTGCGAAGTGGAGTTTGTTGTGAGGATACACAGGCACTGGTACAGGAAAAACATTAGAAGCCAAGAAAAATCTAGGGATTGGCTGTTATCTCCTCTCACACAGGCTACATGATCTCTTGCTTATGGTTTCTCTGTAGCTCTCAGAGTATCTGCTTCCTTAAAATCTAGCCTGCCACGAGGCCTCCTGGCTGCTGATTGTAAATCATGAGACGTCTCTATATACATTCTTTCAGTCACAGTTCCTGATGCCAATTGCTTTATTTTCTCAGTTTGGATTCCCAAGAGAATAGACCTGATAGACGAACAAAAAATTTTTAAGCCAAGCCACAGGTCAGGTACATAGTCCATGGTTCCATCAACTATGTTCAAGGAGACAGAATCACCATTCTATGTTGAATCATAGAGACGATGGTGTGAATACCAGGTAAAAAGTATATGTTAGTCAAGGTTCTCCAGAGAAAGAGAACCAATGGGGTGGCCGGCAAGATGGCCGAATAGGAACAGCTCCTGTCTGCAGCTCCCAGTGAGATCAACGCAGAAAGCAAGTGATTTCTGCATTTCCAACTGAGGTACCCGGCTCATCTCATTGGGACTGATTAGATAGTGGGTGCAGCCCAAGGAGGGTGAGCCGAAGCAGAGTGGGGCATTTCTCCAAAGAAGACATACAGATGACTAACAGGTGTATAAAAACATGCTTAATGTCACCAATGATTAGGGAAATGTAAATCGAAACCACAATGAGATAGCACCTCATACTTGTTAGAATGGCTATTATCAAAAACACAAAAGACCAAGTGTGATCGGGTTGTGGGGAAATTGGAACACATGTACACTGTTAGTAGGAATGCAAAATGGTGCAGCCTCTATGGAAAATAGTATGAAGGTTCCTCATAATATTAGAAAAGAGAACTATTATATGAGCTAGCCATCTCACTTCTGAGTATTTTACCAAAAGTATTGAAATCAGGATCTTGAAGAGATATTAGCACTCCCATATTCACTGCAGCACTATTCACAATAGGCCAAAATGGAAACAACCTAAATGTTTGTTTATGATTGGGTAAAAAAAGTGGTATATACGTACATTGGAGTATTATTTAGTCTTAAGAAAGGAAATCTTCCAATATGCAACAACATGGATGGAACTTGAGGACATTATGCTAAATGAAATAAGCAATTCGTAGTAAGATAATTACCGCATTATTGCACTTATATGAAGTATCTAAAATTGTCAAACTCGTAAGAAGCAGAGAATAGAATGGTGGTTGCCGGGGGTTGAGGGAAGAGGAAATGGAGATGCTAAATCATCAGGTAAAGAGTTTCGGCCGGGCGCAGTGGCTCACGCCTGTAATCCCAGCACTTTGGGAGGCCGAGGCGGGCGGATCACGAGGTCAGGAGATCGAGACCATCCCGGCTAAAACGGTGAAACCCCGTCTCTACTAAAAATACAAAAAATTAGCCGGGCGTAGTGGCGGGCGCCTGTGGTCCCAGCTACTTGGGAGGCTGAGGCAGGAGAATGGCGTGAACCCGGGAGGCGGAGCTTGCAGTGAGCCGAGATCCCGCCACTGCACTCCAGCCTGGGCGACAGAGGGAGACTCCGTCTCAAAAAAAAAAAAAAAAAAAAAAAAAAAAAAAAAAAAAAAAGAGTTTCAAGATGAATAAGTTCTGGAGATCTGCTGTATGGCGTTGTGCCTGTTTTGCATGTACTTAAAAATCTGTTAAGAGGGTAGACCTTATATTAAGTGTTCTTACTGCAATAAAATTTTAAAAGAAAAGAAAAAAAGAGTAGAAATTAGATAGAGAGGAGAGTGAAGTAGGGTTTTCTATCTTGTAGGATCCTATGTTTTTTTCAGAGAATGCCCTGACCCTGAAGATGCTATACTGAATAGCTCCTAATTCCAGTGTTAAGCCTTCAAAACTTTATTGTAAAACTGTCTCTTCAATGTCCATTAGTAATGTTGAGAACTCACAGTAGGACACTTGATTGTTTTGGAAAGGCCAATATATAGCCAATGAGATATTTAAAAGAATGTGAAGAGACTGATTACAAAGTTTATATACGATAAGCATTGCTCCAAAGAGGAAACAATTCTCTACGAAAAATGGTAGCTAGTCTATGGCTGAACTTCATTAAGTAGTCTAGGTTGACCTTGGGCAGCCATGTTGAATTCCAGTTTGTTTGTTTGTTTATTTCGTGGGCAACCTATACAGCATACCTTCTAAGATGGCTTGTATTATCTTTGTCTAACCACAGAGACATTAAGTCCTTCATATGATGGATAGACATTGTAGAAAACATCTCAGATAGGTTTTCATGTATAATCAATCTAATATGCCAAGAAAAAGCAACAAGCTGTCTCAATTCAGTAGTCAAAACTTGGTGAGAAGCCAGACGGTTTTAAGGACTACTTTAGAATGAGTTTTTATCAAGAAATAAAATAGAACAAGAAAAGAAAGAATTATTACCAAGACTAAAGCCTGGCATACAGCACAAGCTTCTTTTTACTGTGCCTGTAAGTCCCTCTGCCTTGTTTTTATTTTCTTCCTTTGGTCTGCACTCAGAGCCAAGTCTAGAGTGTTTTGAAAGCTCACAATGCGCCCAGAGGCTCTTTTTTTTCTGGAAATGGTACAGTAGTAGCCACTTACTATTGTTTCCCTCTATTGTTATTCTCTTTTGAGCTGAGTCACGTGTCCTGCAGGCTGTTTGGGCTCCATTTCAACCTCCACTACTTTGTGGGTGTATCATTTAACCTCTTTTCAGTGTAAGGGGTTCTAAACTTGAGGGAATAAAGGCCTTTAGATGTCTTAGATGTTTCTTTTCTATTTTCAATTGCCTTCAACATGATTTTGGCTACAAACTTTAAACTCAGAATCCTTCAAAACCTTTTTGTGACTCCTAAGCAGGAGGGTAAAATTTATTTTTCTTGGCATGACCAATGGGTCTTTCGTATGTAACACTAGCATATATTTCATAATCCTGTGTCGGGGGTAACTTGTCTAAATAGGATATATACTTCCACACCACCAGATCTTTGCTCACACCAGAATCTCTGCCCTAAAAACCCTTTCCTCACTACTCCTACTCAGCCTTCAAGATCCAACTCAATATGTCACTTCTTCTATAACTTTAACTTGTACCCCACCCAAGATTAATTTCTTCATAACAACTATTTCAGTCAGTATGGGCTAGGTTATACTGCAGTAGCACATGGCTTCTGTATTAGTCAGGGTTCTCCAGAGAGACAGAACTCATAAGATATAAGTATATATGAAAGGGAGTTTACTAGGGAGAACTGGCTCACATGATCACAAGGTGTCTACAAGCTGTCTACAAGCTGTCTACAGCTGGGGAAGAGGGAGGCCAGTAGTGGCTCAGTCAGAATCCAAAAGCCTCAAAAGCAGGGAACCCAACAGTGCAGATTTTGGTCTGTGGCCAAAGGCCTGAGAGCCCCCAGCAAACCACTGGTGCAAGTCCAACAGTCCAAAGGCTGAAGACCCTGGATTCTGATGTCCAAGGGCAGAAGGAAGCATCCAGCACGGGAGGAAGATGAAAGTCAGGAGACTCAGCAAGCTAGCTTATCCCACCTTCTTCTGCCTGCTTTGTTCTAGCCGTGCTGGCAGCCGAATGGAGGGTGCCACCCACATTGATGGTGGGTCTTCCTCTCCCAGTCCACTGACTCAAATGTCAGTCTCTTCTGGCAACACCCTCACAGACATGCCCAGAAACAATATTTTACCAGCTATGTAGGCATCCTTCAATTCAGTCAAGTTAACACCTAATATTAACCGTCACAGCTTCAAAATCTCAGAGACTTAAGTTTATTTCTCATGTATGTTACATATCCATTTCAGGTCTGCTGTGTCTTTCCTCTGAATCATTTTTACTCTTGGGCCCAGGCTTGCAGAGCAGGCTTTGTTTGAGATGCTGCTGATCAATGGGCATAGGGAAAATGAAATATAGTGAAACCAAGCAATGGCTCTTTGCTCAGAACGTTGCATGTCAGTTCTGCTCATATTTCACTGCCTACAATAAATCATATGTCGTTAGTCAACAGGATGAGGAAGTATAATACATGCCTAGAGAGGAACAGCTGATATTTTGAATGTTAATACTATCAGCCCAACAATTCCCCACAACACTTTGCTTATGTCACCACTGTATTTGTTATATACTGTTATTGTTTATATACCTTGTCCGTTTGGGCTATGAATTCCTTAAAGTTAGGGAATGCATTTTATTCATTTATATCTACAGTTCATACTGCATCATCAAAGTACATAAGAAATACTTGATAATTATACTTGATAATTATTTGTCCACCAATTGGATAGATAAATGAATAAATATTTTTCGCTTGAATTCAGTTGGAACGTTTGCAAAACAAAATCCTACTCTATTTAAAGGTGTTCAGTATTTTGGGAAAATGTATGTTGGTGAAATATCCTTATGGTATCTTTTGGACCTCATGCTTGAATCATTTTTCACAAAATAAAAAATCTTTGGAAGCCAGTTGACACCATCATTAGTCACTGGAGATCATCCATTTGACCTCGTAAAAACACAGGCATGCCACATTTCTCATAAGGTCTTTAAGTTAGTGGAACATCCAGCAGTAAGAATACATTCTTGTCCTTTCTTTTCAGAGATGACACAGATGATGATTTACCCTTCTCCTCTTTGGATGTGGAGGAGTGATCTTGTATATAAGTGAACCTTGGAGTATTAAATCAAATTTGTCCTTAGGACAGGGCTAACCTCTCACAAGTGACCATATAAAAGATGTTGCTTTAAGTGGCTCCAAGAAATTTTCCCTGCTCCCAAATGGCTTTATCTATAGTCTGTCAGGGCCCCAAACTTCCCCATTAGAGCTACTACCATGTTTTCATTCAGTGTGTGCTAGTTCTACTTTGCTTCTGCTCCTTTCTCTATGCCTCTCTTTAGAGGCAGCAGTTGTAGCTTGGCACTTTTTTCCCATTGTCAAAAGCAGGCATTTTTGAGTTTTTATAATTTAACTTGGATTGAGAAATGTAATTTATGTGACAAATATCTATGAAGTATATTACTGGGTTTTAGACACTATGCCTTCTCTTAATGTGTTCAAAATCTAGATGTGAAGACAGACAAGTAAACTGAAAATTCTTCTATCATAAATTCTATGATAGAAGAATTCCTGGGGTACACAGACATGGGCCATCTGTAAGATGGGGGTGGTCAGGAGAAGATGACATATGACTCTTGAAGGAGAATTGGATGTTAGACAGTATCTAACTGGGCGATAGGTATTTGAGATTGAGGAAACACAATGTATCTCTATGATATGTAGCATGAAGGTGGGGAAGATATGTTGAGCCTTTTGTGATCTGGCTGAGCCTTGGATGATGTTTCTAGCAAATGAGACTGGAGAGGTGAGGAAGGCTAGGTCATGCAAAGCCTTACGTAAGACATTAATGGTGGCTGGGAAGATGGCTGAATGGGAACAGCTCCGGTCTGCAGCTCCCAGCGAGACCAACGCAGAAGGCGAGTGATTTCTGCATTTCCAACTGAGGTACCTGGCTCATCTCATTGGGGCTGGTTAGACAGTAGGTGCAGCCCACGGAGGGTGAGCCGAAGCAGGGTGGGGCATCGCATCACCTGGGAAGTGCAAAGGGTTGAGGAACTCCCTCCCCTAGCCAACGGAAGCCGTGAGGGACTGTATCTCGTGGAACGGTGCATTCCCACCCAGATACTATGCTTTTCCCATGGTCTTCACAACCTGCAGACCAGGAGATTCCCTCAGGTGCCTACACTACCAGGGCCATGGGTTTCAAGCACAAAAGTGGGCGTCTTTTTGGGCAGACACCAAGCTAGCTGCAGGAGTTTTTTTTTTTTTTCATACCCCAGTGGCGCCTGGAATGTCAGCAAGACAGAGCCATTTACTGCCCTGGAAAGGGTGCTGAAGCCAGGGAGCCAAGTGGTCTAGCTAAGTGGATTCCACCTCCACAGAGCCCAGCAAGCTAAGATGTACTGGCTTGAAATTCTCACTGCCAGCCCAGCAGTCTATAGTCTGTAGTCGACCTGGGATGCTCGAGCTTGGTGGGAGGAGGCATGTCCACCATTAGTGAGGCTTGAGTAGGCAGTTTTCCCCTCAGATTGTAAACAAAGCCGCCTGGAAGTTCGAACTGGGTGGAGCCCACCACAGCTTGGCAAAACCACTGTAGCCAGACTGCCTCTCTATATTCCTCCTCTCTGGGCAGGGCATCTCTGAAACAAAGGCAGCAGCCCCAGTCAGGGGCTTATAGATAAAACTCCCATCTCCCTTGGCAGAGCACCTGTGGGAAGGGGCAGCTGTGGGTGCAGCTTCAGCAGAATTAAACATTCCTGCCTGCCGGCTCTGAAGAGAGCAGTGGATCTCCTAGCACAGCGCTTGAGCTCTACTAAGAGATAGACTGCCTCCTCAAGGGGGTCCCTGAACCCTGTGCCTCCTGACTGGGAGAACCTCCCAGCAGGGGTCAACAGACACCTCACACAGAGCTCTGGCTGGCATGTGGTGGGTGCCCCTCTGGAACGTAGCTCCCAGAGGAAGGAACTGGCAGCAATCTTTGCTGTTCTGCAGCCTCCGCTGGTGATACCCAGGCAAACAGGGTCTGGAGTGGACCTCCAGCAAACTCCAGCAGACCCGCACCAGAGGGGCCTGACTGTTAGAAGGAAAACTAACAAACAGAAAGGAATAGTATCAAAATCAACAAAAAGGATGTCCACTCAAAAACCCCATTCAAAAGTCACCAACATCAAAGACCAAAGGTAGATAAATCCAATAAGATGAGGAAAAACCAAGGCAAAAAGGCTGAAAATTCCAAAAACCTCTTTTCCAAAGGATCACAGCTCCTTACCAGCAAGGGATCAAAACTGGATGGAGAATGAGTTTGACAAATTGACAGAAGTAGGCTTTGGAAGATGGGTAATAACAAACTCCTCTGAGCTAAAGGAGCATGTTCTAACCCAATGCAAGGAAGCTAAGAACCTTGAAAAAAGATTAGACGAAGTACTAACTGGAATAACCAGTTTAGAGAACATAAATGACCTGATGGAGCTGAAAAACACAGCACAAGAACTTCATGAAGTATACACAAGTATCAATAGATGAATCGATCAAGCGGAAGAAAGGATATCAGAGATTGAATATCAACTTAATGAAATAAAGTGTGAAGACAAGATGGGGAGAATGGAACCAAGTTGGAAAGCGCTCTTCAGGATATTATTCGGGAGAACTTCCCCAGTCTAGCAAGACACGCCAACATTTACATTCAGGAAATACAGAGAACACCACAGTGATACTCCTCCAGAAGAGCAACTCCAAGACACATAACCATCAGATTCATCAAAGTTGAAATGAAGGAAAAAATGTTAAGGGCAGGCAGAGAGAAAGGTCGGGTTACCCACAAAGGGAAGCCAATCAGACTAACAGAAGATCTCTGCAGAAACTCTACAAAGCCAGAAGAGAGTGGGGGCCAATATTCAACCTTCTGAAAGAAAAGAATTTTCAACCCAGAATTTCATATCCAGCCAAACTAAGCTTCATAAGCAAAGGAGAAAGAAAATCCTTTACAGACAAGCAAATTCTGAGAGATTTTGTCAACACCAGGCCTGCCTTACAAGAGCTTCTGAAGGAAGCACTAAATCTGGAAAGGAAAAACCAGTACCAGACACAGCAAAAACATACCAAATTGGAAAGATCATTGACACTATGAAGAAATGCATCAACTAGCAGGCAAAATAACCAGCTAACATCATAATGACAGGATCAAATTTATACATAATAACATTAACTTTAAATGTAAATGGGCTAAATGCCCCAATTAAAAGACACAGACTGGCAAATTGAATAAAGAGTCAAGACCCATTGGTGTGCTGTATTCAGGAAACACATCTCACGTGCAAAGACACACACAGGCTCAAAATAAAGGGATGGTGGAATATTTACCAAGTAAATGGAAAGCAAAAAAAAAAAAAAAAAAAAAAGCAGAGGTTGCTATCCTAGTCTCTGATAAAACAGACTTTAAGCCAACACTGATAAAAAAAAAAAAGACAAAGAAGGGTATTACATAATGGTAAAGGGATCAATGCAACAGGAAGAGGTAACTATCCTAAATATATATGCACGCAATACAGGAGCACACAGATTCATACAGCAGGTTATTAAGAGACCTAAAAAGAGACTTAGACCCCCACACAATAATAGTGGGAGACTTTAACACCTCACTGTCAATATTAGACAGATCGACGAGACAGAAAATTAACAAGGATATTCAGGACTTGAACTTAGCTCTGGGCCAAGTGGATCTAAGAGACATCTACAGAACTCTCCACCCCAAATCAACAGAATATACATTCTTTTCAGCACCACATTGCACTTATTCTAAAATTGACCACATAATTGGAAGTAAAACACTCCTCAGCAAATGCAAAAGAATGGAAATCATAATAGTCTCTCAGACCATAGTGCAATCAAATTAGAACTCAGGATTAAGAAACTCACTCAAAACCACACAACTACATGGAAACTGAACAACTTGCTCCTGAATGACTACTGGGTAAAGAATGAAATTAAGGCAGAAATAAAGAAGTTCTTTGAAACCAATGAGAACAAAGACACAACTTACCAGAATCTCTGGGACACAGCTAAAGCAGTTTTAGAGGGAAATCTATAGCACTAAATGCCCACAGGAGAAAGCGGGAAAGATCTAAAATCGGCACCCTAAGATCACAATTAGAAGAACTAGAGAAGGAAGAGCAAACAAATTCAAAAGCTAGCAGAAGACAAGAAATAACTAAGACCAGAGCAGAACTGATGGAGATAGAGACACAAAAAAACCCTTAAGAAAATCAATGAATCCAGGAGCTGGTTTTTTGAAAAGATCAACAAAATAGATAGACGGATAGCCAGATTAATAAAGAAGAAAAGAGAGAAGAATGAAATAGACACAGTAAAAAATGATAAAGGGGATATCACCACCGATCCCACAGAAATACAAACTACCATCAGAGAATACTACAAACACCTCTACACAAATAAACTAGAAAATCTAGAAGAAATGGATAAATTCCTTGACACATACACCCTCCCAAGACTAAACCAGGAAGAAGTCGAATCCCTGAATAGACCAATAACAAGTTCTGAAATTGAGGCAGTGATTAATAGCCTATCAACTAAAAAAAAGCCCAGGACCAGACGGATTCACAGCTGAATTCTACCAGAGGTACAAAGAGGAGCTGGTACCATTCCTTATGAAACTATTCCAAACAATGGAAAAAGAGGGACACCTAACTAACTCATTTTATGAGGCCAGCATCATTTTGATATCAAAACCTGGCAGAGACACCACCACCACCACCGCCACCACAACAACAACAACAAAAAAAAAAACAAAAAAAAAGAAAAAAGAAAATTTCAGGCCACTATCCCTGATGAACATTGATGCAAAAATCCTCAATAAAATCCAGCAGTGCATCAAAAAGCGTATCCACCACGACGAAGTCAGCTTCATCCCTGGATGTAAGTCTGGTTCAACATATGCAAATCAATAAATGTAATCCATCACATAAACAGAATCAATAACAAAAACCACATGATTATCTCAATAGATGCAGAAAAGGCCTTTGATAAAATTCAACACCCCTTCATGCTTAAAACTCTCAATAAACTAGGTATTGATGAAACCTATCTCAAAATAATAAGAGCTATTTATGACAAACCCACAGCCAATATCATACTCAATGGGCAAAAACTGGAAGCATTCCCTTTGAAAACTGGCACAAGACAAGGATGCCCTCTTTCACCACTCCTATTCAACAGTATTGGAAGTTTTGGCCAGGGCAATCAGGCAATAGAAAGAAATAAAGGGTATTTAGATAGGAAGAGAGAAAGTCAAATTGTCTCTGTTTGCAGATGACATGATTGTATATTTAGAAAACCACATCATCTCAGCCACAAATCTCCTTAAGCTGATAAGCAACTTCAGCAAAGTCTCAGGATACAAAATCAATGTGCAAAAATCACAAGTATTCCTATACACCAATAATAGACAAACAGAGAGCCAAATCATGAGTGAACTCCCATTCACAACTGCTACAAAAAGAATAAAATACCTAGGAATAAAACTTACAAGGGATGCGAAGGACCTCTTTAAGGAGAACTACAAACCACTTCTCAAGGAAATAAGAGAGGACACAAACAAATGGAAAAACATTCCATGCTCATGGATAGGAAGAATCAATATCATGAAAATGGCCACACTGCCAAAAGTAATTTATAGATTCAGTGCTATCCCCATTAAGCTACCATTGACTTTCTTCACAGAATTAGAAAAAAACTGCTTTAAATTTCATATGGAACCAAAAAAGAGCCCATATTGCCAAGGCAATTCTAAACAAAAATAACAAAGCTGGAGGCATCACGCTACCTGACTTTAAGGTATGCTACAAGGCTACAGTAACCAAAACAGCATGGTACTGGTACCAAAACAGATATATAGACCAATGGAACAGAACAGAAGCCTCAGAAATAATGCCACACATCTACAACCATCTGATCTCTGACAAACCTGGGAAAAACAATCAGGCCATATGAAATAGAAGAGTCTAGGAAAACTAGGGGTTTCTCATTCAGATAAATAATTAGATAGTGTAATTGTCCATGCAGATGAGGCAAAGTAGTAGGTTACGTGGCTGAAGAGGAAGAGAGTTAGGGTAGGAAATAATAAGACAGGGTTTTATGTACCCTAGAACTTAAAGTATAATAAAAAAAGGGTTTTAAATATTGGATTTAAGGAGCTTATGTGGTACTTACATGGAAATATGGTGATGTCTAGTAGGGAGCTTACTCGATAGTATTGGAGGTCCGGAAATTTGGAGTAGAGAAAAGTATTTAGGAGCTATAAGTGCATAGACTTCAATTAAAGTAAATAGAGGAAGGGAGGGAGGAAGGACAAAATGAAGGAAGGGAATGAAAGAGATTAATGAATGAAAGAGAGAGATGAATAAAAACTATCATTAGAGGAAAGAAGAAGGCTATATCAGTCAGAGTTTTAATTCCAAGAAATAGAATTTGATATGAAGCTCTGGCTGATTTACCATAATTTCCAGGAGGGCAGGAGGATTAAGTGTGGAGGTTACATAGCCAAGATAAGTTTCCCAAATTATGCCAGATGGCTAGCTTGCTGCAGAACCCATTGCTGCTAGTATCAAAGACTCTACCAACCATAAACCAATTTTTTTTTACTAGGATGGATTTAGCAAGGTTCCTGCTTCATTCTGTTACTACTTTCTTTATCAGAAAGGGTTCAGACAGGAAATAGATGGTGGGCTCCAAGTGGCTGTCAAAGAGAGTTTTAAGAAAGGATTATTTTCGAAGGAATAAGAAGAGATGATGACCATATAGGAGATAAAAAGAGGGATAAGTCTTTATCACCCCTAGGTCTGAAGGGGCAAGCAAGCGAGCAATTATAGGAGTCTAACAAGATCTAGTGCTAAAGGAGAGGGGCTGTGGCCTTACATACAGGAATGCAGCCATCACAGAAAGGAAGAAGTAGAGGAATAGATACCTCAACCTCATTCTCCTTTGGCCTCTGATCTCCTGCCAGTGTTTCTTACTGGCCAAATGCAATGAGGAGGCAACTGGCAAAGGAGTTCCAGGGGATGTGGTGTCTGAAAGTTAGTTTTCTGGGCACACAGCAGGGTAGAAAAGGCTGGAAAGTGGATCCAGAAGGGTAAATGGGAATACTCAGCAGAGTTTCCAATTGATACCATGATCGCCAGAGCCCAGATTATGTGATCATGACTTGGCTTCCAGGGACCTTAGGGAAGCAAGCTTCTTGCATTTTCAGAATATATACTGGGAAACTGGCTAGGTTCAAATCATAGGGGAGAAAGATTAGCCATAAAAATGCCAAGTGTCTTCTCAATGGTCAAGGATAGAGCCCTGGGAAACACCAACATTCAAGATGGAGGCGTTTAAAAAGCACACTTTGAAAGGCAACTGAAATGGTGTGACTTAAAGAGGAATGAAGGAAAACCAGCGGAGACGAGAGTAACACAAGCAGAATAAGCAGAATTATCAGTGTCAGGGATTCAGAAGGGTTGCCTGAGGAAAGACTTGTTTCTGTAGGGTGGAGGACACGGAAACTACATCACCAAAAAGTCAATGAGAGACGATGGGGTGCTGAACGTGAATATATATTACTTTTTCTAGAAGCTCGGCTTTTTTTGAGGAAAAGGAGAGAGACAGGATAATTCATTGGGGATCATGAATTTGAGAATTTAAAAAAATGAAAAGGAGACTTGAGTGTTGTTTATATGTGTGGAAAGAGCTTGTGAATAAAGGGCTAATGGAGATACATTAACCACTACAAAGACATAGCACCTCTCTCTCTCCCTCTTATGTCTATGCTGTATTCTTATACCTACTACCTACCTGCTTTGTTAAAAAGTGAGATTATTCCACTTATGCTATTTATGGTTTGTACTTTTAACTTATTTTCATATCAGGAACTATATCAGTGCCATAACTTTTAACTGTGGTAAAACATCGACGTAAAATGTACCATTTTAACTCTTTTTAACTGTAAAGTACATTAGGGTTAACTATATGCACATTGTTGTGTGACAGACTTCTGAAATTTCTTCATCTTGAAAACCTGAAACTCTATAGTGTTTGAACTATTCCCTTCACCCCCTCGCCACCCAACCCCTGGCAACCACGAGTCTACATTCTGTTTCTGAGAGTTTGACAACCTTAGATTCCTTATACAAATGAAATCATGCAGTATTTATCTTCATGTGAATGGTTTATTTCACTCATCATAATGTTCTCAAGGTTCATCCATGTTGTATATTGCAGGATTTCCTTCTCTTTTAAAGATGAATAATATTTCATTTTATGCGTATAACACATTTTCTTTATTCAGTCATTTTTTGATGGGCATTGACTCTTTGGCTGTTATAAATAATGCTACATCAAACAATGATGTGCAAATATCTCCTTGAGATCCAGTTTCCAATCCTGTTACGTATATACTCAGACATGGGATTGCTGGATTATATGGTAATTCTATTTTAATTTTTAAAGGGGACTCCATACTGTGTTCCATAGAGCTACACCATTCCCACCAAACACCACACAGGGTTTTAATTTATGTACAACCTTGCCCACACTTGTTTTCTATTTTTTAAATAGCCATCCTAATAATGAGTATAAAATGGTATCTCATTGTGGTCTTGATTTGCTTTTACTTAATGATTAGTGATGTTGAAAATATTTTCATATGTTTATTGGCCATTTCATTTCTTCTTTGGAGAAATGTCTATACAAGTCCTTTGCTCATTTCTCAATCAAGATATTTATTTTGTTTCATTTTGAGTTGCAGAATTTTTAGATTTTTTGTTGTTAGTGTATAGAAACACAACTTATTTCTGCATGTTGATTTTATGTTCCGCAACTTTGCTGAATTTGTTTATTCTAACAAGTTTTTTTTTCTTTTTTAAGACAGAATCCCACTCTGTTTCCCAGGCTGGAGTGCAGTGGCATGATCACAGCTCATTTTAGCCTCAATTGTCCAGGTGCAAGCAGGCCTCTCACCTGAGCCTCCTTAGCAGCTGGGACCACAGATGTATGTCACCATGCCTGTCTAATTTTTAAATTATTTGTAGAGATGAAGCTGTCTATGTTGCCTAGGCTGGTCTTCAACTCCTGGGCTCAAGCAATCCTCCTGCCTCAGCCTCCCAAAGTGCTGGGATTACAGGCATGAGCCACTGTGCCCAGCCTTATTCTAACAGTTTTTTGTGTGTGGAATCTTTAGGGTTTTGTACATACAAGATCATGTCATCTGCAAACAGGTATAATTTTACTTCTTCATTTCCAATTTAATGCCTTTTATTTATTTTTCTTGCTTAATAGCTCTGGCTAGTACATTCAGTACTATGTTGAATAGATTTGGCCAGAGTAGGCATTCTTGTCTGGTTCCTGATCTTAGAGTAAATTTTTTTTTTAATGTTGAGTATGATGTTAGCTGTTGTTGATTTTTTTATATATGACATTTATTATGTTGAGGTAATTTCCTTTTATTACTAGTTTATTGAGTGTTTTTATTATGAAAGTGTGTCAAATTTTGTCAAATGCTTTTCTACATCAATGGAGATGATCATGTGCTTTCTGTCCTTCATTCTGTTAATGTGGTGTATCCCAGTTGTTGATTTTTATATATAAAATCTTCCTTAGATGTCAGGAATAAATCCCACTTGGTCATGGAATATAATCCTTTTAAAATGCTGCTGAATTTGATTCGGTAGTATTTTGTTGAGGATTATTGAATCAATATTTATCAGCAATAATGCTCTGTTGTTTTCTTTTAGTATCTTTGTCTGGGTTTGATATCAGGATAATTCTGGCCTCATAAAAATAAATTTGGAAATATTCCCTTCAATTTTTGGAATAGTTTGAGAAAGATTGGTGTTAATTCTTTTTTAAATGTTTGGCAGAAGTCTTCAGTGAAGCCATCTGGTCATGAGTTTCTCTTTGTTGGGAGGTTTTTGATTATGTATTCAATCTGGTTACCAATTATAGGTTTGTTCAGATTTTTAATTTCTTCATATTTAATCTTGGTAGGTATATGTTATTAGGAATCTCTGCATTTTTTCTAATTTGTTGGCCTATAATCGTTCAATTGTTTCATAGCAGTCTCTTTTGATGCTTTTTATTTCTGTGGTATCAGTTGCAATGTCTCATCTTTCATTTCTGTTTTTATTGAGTGTTTTTCTTTTGTTCATTAGTCTATCTCAAAAGTATTTGTCAATTTGTTGATCTTTTCAAAAAGCTAACCCTCAGTTTTATTGATGTGTTCATTGTTTTCTACTTTCTTTTTATTTCTTCTCCAATGTGTCTTATTTCCTTCTTTTAACTTTGATTTTATTTACTTCTTTTTTTTTTTTTCATTCCTTGAGGTGTAAAGTCAGGTTGTTAATTTGAGATTTTTCTTCTTTTTGTATATAATTTATACTATTATAAATTTCCTTCTTAGGACTTCCTTTGCTGCATCCCATAGGTTTTAATATGCATTTTTGTTTTCATTTGTCATGAGGTATTTTCTACCTTCCCTTATGTATTGCTCTTTGACCTATTATTTGTTCAGGAGTCTGTTTTTAAATTTTCACGTGTTTATGATTTTCCAGTGTTTCTGCTATTGATTTCTAGTTTTATTTCACTGTAGTTGGAAAAGATACTTTCTTACATTTTTTAAAACTTGTTTTGTGGCCTAATATGTGATTTGCCCTGGAGAATGTTCTGTATGCCCTTTAGAAGGATGTGTATTCTGCTGTTTTGCTTGGAGTGTTTTGTACAAGTCTTCTAGGTCCAGTTGTTCTGCAGCATTCAAGTCCTCTGTTTCCTTATTAATCACATTCTTCTCAAGTGCATACAGAGCATTCTCCAGGTTCTCAATTTGTTGCCTAGGCTAGCCTTGAACTCTTGGGCTCAAGCAATCCTCCTGCCTCAGTCTTCCAACATGCTGAGATTATAGGTGTGAACCACTGTGTGTGGCCTGGGATTTTTTTTCTGAATTTTTTTTTTTTTTTGAGGTGGAGTCTCACTGTCACCCAGCCTTGAGTGCAGTGGCATGATCTCAGCTCACTGCAATCTCCACCTCCCAGGTTCAAGTGATTCTCTTGTCTCAGCCTCCTGAGTAGCTGGGACTATAGGTGCGCGCCAACATGCCTGAGTCATTTTTGTATTTTTAGAAGAGACAGGTTTCACCATGTTGGCCAGGCTGCTCTGGAACTCCTGACCTCAAGTGATCCTCCTGCCTCAGCCTCCCAAAGTGCTGGGATTACAGGCGTGAGCCACTGCACCTGGCCATTTTTCTGAATATTTTTGATCCACAATTGGTTGAATCCATGGATGCAGAACCCATGGATATGGAGGGCTGGCTGTATTTACTTTTACCAGAGAGCTTCATATTTCTGTATAGTTTTGTGTTGGTACGTAGCTTCCTTTTGTTTCAATGTGAAAGACTCTCTTTAGCATTTCTTGTAAGGCAGATATAGTGATGATGAAGTTTATCAGATTTTGTTTATATGTAAAGGTCTTTATTTTTCTGTCATTTTCCAAGGACATTTGTGGGATGTAGTGTTCCTGGTTGGCAGAATTTTTTTTCACTTTGAATACATAATCTCACTCCTTTCTGGCCTAGGTTTCTCCTGAGAAACCTGCTGATGATCTTATGGGAGCTCTCTTGTACTTGATGAGTTGTTTCTCTTGCTGCTTTCAAGATTCTCTCTTTGACTTTTGATAGTGATTATAATGTCTCTCACTGTGGATCTCTTTAGTTTCATCCTAGGTGGAACTCTTTGAGCTTTTAGAATTTTCTGTCTTAGATTTGGGAAGTTTTCAGCCATTTTCTTTCTTAGATTTGGGAAGTTTTCAGCCATTATTTCTCCAAATAATCTCACTGCTCCTTTTTCTCTTGATCTTCTCCTTCTGAGACGCCCATATTTCATAAATTGATCCTTTGTATGGTGTCCCATAAGTCCCTTAGACCTTCTTCCCTTTTCTTCAGGTTTTTTGTTCCTTTGATGTGATAATTTCAAATGAATGTTTTCAAGTTTACTGACTTCTTTTTTCGGCTTGATCTAGTCTGCTGAAGTCCTCTAGCAAGTTTTTCAATTCAGTTATTGTATTTTTTAGCTCCAGAATTTCAGCTTGATTCTTTTAAAGAGTTTCTATCTCTGTTGATATTCTCATTTTGCTCATGCCTCATTTTTCTAATTTTTGTTAGTTTTCTGTGTTGTCTTGGATTTCATTGAGCTTTTAAAGACAATTATTTTGCATTTTTAGTCTAGAAATTCATAGATCTCTATTTCTTTATGATCAGTTTCTGGAGATTTACTTTGGTTCTTTAATTGGGCAATGTTTTCCTGTTTCTTCCTATGCCTTGTATTTTTTTTTTTCCTGTAATTTTGGCATTTGAAAAAACAACCACCTCTCCCAGTCTTTATGGACTGGCTTTATACAGGGAAAGACCTTCACCAATAAACCAGGCTAGAGATACTGGGGCCCTTTCAACCCTCTTCTGGCTATACATTTTCTCTGGGCTTGTGCATATAATTTCATAATTAAAGAGGTTTGCTTATTCCTTTTTCAGGAGCTTGTTTTCTCTTGCTTTCTCTGGTATCTGTTTGAAGTGCTGCAGGTTCTTTGGCACTGCAACAAGCTGCCAAGGTCACTTTTGTTCTCTGCAACCCAAGGAAATTTGCCATTAACCCATCAATGATTTAGTTCAGGCGAGGCAAACCAATCCTTTTCTGGAAGCCCCCTGAAAGGCTAGAATGGTAGACATATTAGGTGGTATAAAATAACAGTGGTTTTTGCCATGGAAAGTAATGGCACCAACCTAATATATTCCATTCTTTTTTCCTTTCAAGAGAGAAGCTATGATTTCGTCATTTTCTCCTAATCATGCCAAGCTGTGCTGACTTAGGGGAGGGGCTACCATAGGTAAACACAATGGCTTTTCGGACCTGTTTCAATGTGACTGTACTTGGCTTTGTGCTTTCCTGGGGTACTGTAACTTCTTAACTTGTTCCTGGAGTTCTCATAAGGCTTTTTGGACTATATACTGTTAAGTCAGTTTCTCCTTGGAGGAATAAAGCCTGGGGCTTCCTATTCTGCCATCTTACTAAGGTCATTCCAGATACTATAAATTTTAAACCGGAATTCCACTCTAATAAATCCACGATGATTTGCTTTACCAAACCCCTGTTGTTGGAGATTTAGGTTGTTTTTAGTTACTCCTTATTTTAATCAGTTGTGGTAAATAATCTTTTAAAATTTATTAATGTTTATAAATTTATAAATTATATGAGACAACCAGAGATATTAAAATACAAAATAGTTTTGTGCTTTCGAAAAGGGAAATATAGTCAATTCTGATAAATACTTTAAAAATTTTAGGGTAGAATATTGATCAATTAGGTGATTTTTATTATAATGCTTTTAAAAGGAAGGATTTAGCATTTATTTAAAAAGAAGAATGCCCTAGTTTTATTCCTTTTCAGAGACTATTGCTAGATTAGAAGAATAGAAAAACACTATAAACATGATACATCTTGATATTAGTAGAGCATCTGAAAATCGCTCTCATGACACTGCTATGGGCAGGTGAGACATGGGAGTGGTCATTGCACCTTTAAGTATAATTCACAGCTGGTTGATCAAAGAGCCTTGGTTAATGTATTGATGTTGATCTGGAGAATAGTGTGGTGCTTAACAAAATATCAGCATATTTATCAGCTTTTTAGATGATACATAACTGACAGAGACCAGAGATAATGAAATTAATATTAAAAATGTCCTTGATGGGCATAAATATTAATTTAAAACTAAAAGGTTCC
The DNA here is from genome assembly GCF_000001405.40 of Homo sapiens. Classification (NCBI taxonomy): domain Eukaryota; kingdom Metazoa; phylum Chordata; class Mammalia; order Primates; family Hominidae; genus Homo; species Homo sapiens. The sequence continues at coordinate 23,464,400 of NC_000023.11, read as the reverse complement.
AATTAATCATGGATAAATGTACATGCCTATATTTTAGCTTATGGAAAATCAAGTGCAGAACTATAGAAGGCAAGTGAGCTGGCTTGGAGGTAGCTTTTTTCAAGAATGTGGGTTAACTGCAAGCTCAATATGAGCCATCAGTATGCTATACTTTCTTAAAAAGGTAACGAAATCATGGTCAACATAAACAGAAGAGCAACCCAGTCTCCCTGCATGCCATCAAGTCTCCTCTGGAGTGGTGCATGCTATTATTGGTCTCATCCTTGTTTAGTTGGACTGTGACAAAACAGAATAATCTGACAGATAACTTAAAAAATGGTTCATTGAGTTATATCAATGTTATATAAGGAGGGGTTGAAATAACTGAGGGTGTTCATTCTGGGGTAAAGAAGACTAAAAAGGGTTAAGATAATTCTCTCCAGATAGTTGTTGAAGTGTGTGTGATTTTTTCTGCATTCCTCTAGATGATAGGCCTAGAGGTTCACTAAGTGGAATTTATGAGGAAAAGGATTTTAGAGATAGTTTGTTCTAATCATTACACTTCTGACTACTGGGGGGTCATCTTTATACCAAACTATCTATTGCTTAAGTGAGCTCACTGGTATATGAAGTAGGGAGCAGTAGTGTGGCAGGATGGAAAGACTGGTCTTTGAAGTCAGTTAAACCTGGGTTCAAATCCTTGATGATCTTGTAAAATTTTCTGAACCTTTATGGACTTTGATTTTCTCAGCTAAAAAGAGGAGACAACAATGTTTATCTTAAGATGTTATTATCAAAATGACAAATGTTAAGTTTCTGGCACATAGAAGTTCCTTCAACAATTATAGGCATTATTAGCTAGGATGTTGTAAAGAACATTCTCACTTCATCTGAATGTAGGATGGTTAGGTTGGTTAACTTCTAAGCTTCTTCAAACACTAAAATTTGGTTCTGAAATTGTAACCACTACTCAAAAAATAACTCATAGATATCACCTAAATTGGCAGAGTAGTGAATTCCAGGGCTTTGTCCCTCCACAAAAAATAATATTAGCTGCAAAAAATGGAGAGTATCAACTTTCACAGAACTCACAAATAAAAAGTTAAAGCAATCAGGGGAAATCTTTAGGAAGAAAGAAGCTGCCATAGCACTGTGTTAAGATAGCACTGTGGCATTTTGTTTCCCACTTGCCATTCCTTACTTACAGATAGCCGGTGTCTATGAAAATGGCAGCCTGTACTCCTGGTGCAGGTTGCTAGTGCCAGAGGGGGAGATACGGACTTATTTCAAAGAATGATTGGTTGTGGATTTATCTCTCTTGTGGAAACCTCAAAGACGGGTGCAAGGGCTTGTCTTTGTTTTACCAGAGTCAGAGAATTCCCAAGAATGTGATGGCTTAACATTTTTCATTTCTGAATAAACGAAGTGCAGAATTTGGCCACATGGGTCAAGTGATAATTGTTGACACAAAAGATAGAGAAACAAACAAACAAAAGCCTTGGAAGAAAAAGGTTGAAAGGAAATACAAAGAGGAATAAAAACATTTAAATGCAATCACATGTACTGAGGAATAGAGAAGGGCATGTACATGCTCACAACTGGATGTGTGCTTGGAGAAGGCTTAGAACTACCCTAAGGTTTTATCTGTGGCTGACTTTCAGGCTCTTTACAAAAAGGAAGTGAAGACTAAAGCAGAGGTGAAAGTGGCCTGGCTAAGCATTAAAGTGATATGCCAACCCTGAACCAATCCAGTGTCTTGGAGAGTCTCTTTCTTTTTCTTTTCTTTCCTTCCTTTTTGTATTAGTTCCAGTCATTTAAGGCACTCTCTTTAAAAACACAGTCTGAACTCTAAGTTATAAAACACATACTTCAGTGGCTGCACATGGCAAATAATATAAAATTTACTTTTAAAAGTTTAGAAAAGTCACTAACCAAACAACAAGTCACAACAAGAGAAATAATGAATAGCATGGAGGAAGGAGAATCTGATGTCCAAGTTGAGATGTTATAATATTCAAAAAATTCTCTTTTCAGCAAAAATACATGATGCCTTCAAGAAACAAGAAATATGATTCGTTCCCAATGAAAGAGAAGTTAATACAAATTGTCATTGAGGAAGCCCACGCATTGGCCTCAGTAGATAAAAACTTTAAAACAGCTGCATAAAACATGCTCAAAGAGCCAAAGGAAACCATGGACAAAGAACTAAATATCTCACCAAGTAGGATATTTCAATAAAGAGAAAGAAATCATAAAAAGGAGCCAAACAGAAATAATGAAGATGAAAAGTAAAATAACTGAAATGAAGATTCATTAGGGGGATTCAACAGCAGATTTGATCAGGCAAAAGAAAGATCCAGTGAACTTGAAGATGCGTCAATTGACATAATCCAGTTTGAGAAGCAGAAATAGAAAATAATGAAAAATTGAACAGAGTCTATGAGACCTGTGAGGAACAAAACAAACAAATATAGACTTCCTGGGAGTCACAGAGAAAGAGGAATAGTAGAGAGTAAAAAGACAAAAAAAGAATATTTAAAAAAAATAAAGGACAGAAACTCAACAAATTTGATGAAGCACAGGAATCTATACATCCAAGAAGCATAACGACCTTGAAACAGGATAATTCAAAGAGACCTACAAATAAGTGTTAAGTTGTCATCAGTTTAAAATAATGGTTTATAATATAGTATTGGCAAGCCTCATGGTAACCTTAAATCAAAAAACATGCCACAGATATACAAAAAATAATAATCAAGAAATTAAAACATACCACCTGAGAAAATTACCTTCGTTAAAGGGGAGGCAGGAAGGAAAGAAAGAAGGAAGAGAAGATGGCAAAATAATCAGAAAACAAATAACAAAATGGCAAGAGCTAGTCCTCACTTATCAATAATAACATCGAATGATAAAGGACTAAAACAAAAGACACAGAATGGCTGAATGTATGAAAAAACAAGACCCAATGACCTGCTGCCTACAAGAAACTGACTTCACTTGTAAGGATATACATAGACTGAAAGTAAAGGGATGGAAAAAGCAACTCCATCCCAATGGAAACCAAAAAGGAGCAGGAGTCACCATTCTTACATCAGACAAATAGATTTTAAGACAAAAACTGTAAGTTGAGACAAAGAAGGTCGTTATATAATGGTAAAGGGGTAAATTCAGCAAGAGGATATAATGATTGTAAGGATACATGCACCCAACACTGCAGCACCCAGATATATACAGCAAATATTATTACAGCTTAAGTGAGAAGTAGACCCCAATAGTATAATAGCTGGAGACTTCAACACCCCACTTTCAGGATTCGAGAGATGTCCCAGACATAAATTCAACAAAGAAACTTCAGACTTAATCTGCATTATAGAACAAATGGACCTAATAGATATTTACAGAACATTTTATTTAATGGCTGCAGAATACACCTTATTCCCCTTACCACATGGATCATTCTTAAGAATAGACTATATGCTATATCACAAAACAAGTCTTAAAACATTAAAAAAATTGAAATAATATCAAGCATTTTCTCTGACCACAATGGAATAAAACTAGGAATATAACAAGAGGAATTTTGGAAACTATACAAACATACAGAAATTAAACAATATGCTCCTGAATGACCAGTCAATGAAGAAATTAAGAAGGAAATTGAAAAACTTTTTGAAACAAACTATAATGGAAACACAGCATACCAAAACCTATGGGATACAGTGAAAGCAGTACTGAGAGACTAAGAGGGAATTTTATAGCTATAAATGCCTACATCAAAAAAGAGAAAAAACTTCAAACAAACAATCTAAGGATGCATCTTGAACTAGAAAAGCAAGAGGAAACCAAACTGAAAATTAATAGTAGAAAAGAAATAATAAAGATCCGAGCAGAAATAAATAAAATTGAAATAAAAAATACAAAAGAGCAACAAAACAAAAGGTAGTTTTTCAAAAGATAAACAAAATTGATGAACCTCTAGACAAACTAAGAAAAAAAGGAGAGAAGACCCCACTAAATAAAATCAGAGATGAAAAAGCAGACCTTAAAACTGATATCACAGAAATTCCAAGGATCTTTAGTGGCCACTATGAAACACTTTATGCCAGTAAATCGGGAAATCTGGAAGAAATGGGAAAACTTGTAGATACATACAACCTACCCAGATTTTTTTTATTTTTTATTTTTTGGAGACAGGGTCTGGCTCTGACGCCCAGGCTGGAGTGCAGTGGCATGCATGATCTTGGCTCACTGTGAGCTCTGCCTCCTGGGTTCACGCCATTCTCCTGCCTCAGCCTCTTGAGTAGCTGGGACTACAGGCGCCCGCCACCGCGCCTGGCTAACTTTTTATATTTTTAGTATAGACGGGGTTTCACTGTGTTAGCCAGGATTGTGTCGATCTCCTGACCTCGTGATTCGCCTGCCTCCGCCTCCCAAAGTGCTGGGATTACAGGCGTGAGCCACCGTGCCCAGACGCTACCCAGATTTAACCATGAAGAAATCTGATATATGAACAGACCAGCAACCAGTAATGAGATTGAAACCAAAATAAAAAGTCTCCCAGTAAAGAAAAGCCCAGGACACAATGGCTTCAGTGCTGTATTCTACCAAATGTCTAAAGAAGAGCTAACACCAATGCTACTCAAACTGTTTTGAAAAACAGAGGAGGCAGGAATACCTTCAAACTCATTCTATGAGGCCAATATTACCCTGATATGAAAACCCAGCAAAGACACATCATAAAGAAAAGATCACTATAGGCCAATATCTCTGATGAATATTGATGCAAAAATTCTCAACAAAATACTAGCAAACCAAATTCAACAGTACATTAAAAATATTATTCGGGTGGAGCCAAGATGGCCAAATAGGATCAGCTTCAGTCTACAGCTCCCAGCGTGAGCGATGCGGAAGACGTGTGATTTCTGCATTTCCGACTGAGGTACTGGGTTCATCTCATTGGGGATTGTCGGACAGTGGGTGCAGCGCACTGAGCATATGCCAAAGCAGGGCGAGGCATCGCCTTACCCAGGAAGTGCAAGGGGTCAGGGAATTTCGTTGCCTAGCCAAGGAAAGGGGTGACAGACGGCACCTGGAAAATCAGGTCACTCCCACCCTAATACTGCACTTTTCCGACGGTCTTAGCAAACGGCACACCAGGAGATTGTAACCCACGCCTGGCTCAGAGGGTCCTACGCCCACGGAGCCTTGCTCATTGCTAGCACAGCAGTCTGAGATCAAACTGCAAGGCCACAGCGAGGCTGGTAGAGGGGCGCCCGCCATTCCTGAGGCTCGAGTAGGTAAATAAAGCGGCCGGGAAACTTGAACTGCCTGGAGCCCATGATAGCTCAAGGAGGCCTGCCTGCCTGTGTAGACTCCACCTCTGGGGGCAGGGCATAGCCAAACAAAGGGCAGTAGAAACCTCTGCAGAGTTAAACCTCCCTGTCTGACAGCTTTGAGAGAGTAGTTGTTCTCCCAGCATGCAGCTTGAGATCTGAGAATGGACAGACTGCCTCCTCAAGTGGGTCCCTGACTCCCAAGTAGCCTCACTGGGAGGCACCCTCCAGCAGGGGCAGACTGACACCTCACACGGCCGGGTACTCCTCTGAGACAAAACTTCCAGAGGAACGATCAGGCAGCAACATTTGCTGTTCACCAATATCCGCTGTTCTGCAGCCTCCCCTGCTGATACCCAGGCAAACAGGGTCTGGAGTGGACATCCAGCAAAGTCCAACATACCTGCAGGTGAGGGTCCCGACTGTTAGAAGGAAAACTAACAAATAGAAAGGACATCCACACTAAAACCCCATCTGTACGTCACCATCATCAAAGACCAAAGGTAGATAAAACCACAAAGATGGGGAAGAAACAGAGTAGAAAAACGGAAAATTATAAAAATCAGAGCGCCTCTCCTCCTCCAAAGGAACAGAGCTCCTCACCAGCAATGGAACAAAGCTGGACAGAGAATGACTTTGACGAGTTGAGAGAAGGCTTCAGATGATCAAACTACTCTGAGCTAAAGGAGGAAGTTCTAACTAATGGCAAAGAAGTTAAAAATCTTGAAAAAAGATTGGACACATAATTGTCAGATTCACCAAAGTCTAAATGAAGGAAAAAATGTTAAGGGCAGCCAGAGAGAAAGGTGGGGTTACCCACAAAGGGAAGCCCATCAGACTAACAGTGGATCTCTCGGCAGAAATTCTATAAGCCAGAAGATACTGGGGGCCAATATTCAACATTCTTTTTTTTTGTTTTTTTTTTTTTGTTTTTTTTTTGAGACGGAGTCTCGCTCTGTCGCCCAGGCTGGAGTGCAGTGGCGCGATCTCGGCTCACTGCAAGCTCCGCCTCCCGGGTTCACGCCATTCTCCTGCCTCAGCCTCCCGAGTAGCTGGGACTACAGGCGCCCGCTACCACGCCCGGCTAATTTTTTGTATTTTTAGTAGAGACGGGGTTTCACCTTGTTAGCCAGGATGGTCTCGATCTCCTGACCTCGTGATCCACCCGCCTCGGCCTCCCAAAGTGCTGGGATTACAGGCGTGAGCCACCGCGCCCGGCCAACATTCTTAATAAAAAGAATTTTCCACCCAGAATTTCATATCCAGCCAAACTAAGCTTCATAAGTGAAGGAGAAAGAAAATCCTTTACAGACAAGCAAATGCTGAGAGATTTTGTCACCACCAACCCTGCCATAAAAGAGCTCCTGAAGGAAGCACTAAACATGGAAAGGAACAACTGGTACCAGCCACTGCAAAAACATGCCAAATTGTAAAGACCATCGAGGCTAGGAAGAAACTGCATCCACTAACGAGCAAAATAACCAGCTAACATCATAATGACAGGATCAAATTCACACATAACAATATTAACCTTAAATGTAAATGGGCTAAATGCTCCAATTAAAAGACAGAGACTGGCAAATTCGATAAAGAGTCAAGACCCATCAGTGTGCTGTATTCAGGAAACACATTTCACGTGCAGAGGCACACATAAGCTCAAAATAAAGGGATGGAGGAAGATCTACCAAGCAAATGGAAAACAAATAAAGGCATGGGTTGCAATCCTAGTCTCTGATAAAACAGAGTTTAAACCAACAAAGATCAAAAGAGACAAAGAAGGCCATTACATAATGGTAAAGGGATCAATTCAACAAGAAGAGCTAACTATCCAAAATATATATGCACCCAATATAGGAGCACCCAGATTCATACAGCAAGTCCCTAGAGACCTACAAAGAGACTTAGATTCTCACACAATAATAATGGGAGACTTTAACACCCCAGTGTCAACATTAGACAGATCAACGAGGCAGAAAGTTAACAAGGATATCCAGGAATTGAACTCGGCTCTGCACCAAGCAGACCTAAGAGACATCTACAGAACTCTCCACCCCAAATCAACAGTATATACATTCTTTTCAGCAGCACACCACACCTATTCCAAAATTGACCACATAGTTGGAAGCAAAGCACTCCTCAGCAAATGTAAAAGAACAGAAATTATAACAAACTGTCTCTCAGACCACAGTGCAATCAAACTAGAACTCAGGATTAAGAAACTCCCTCAGAACCGCTCAACTACATGGAAACTGAACAACCTGCTCCTGAATGACTACTGGGTATGTAACGAAATGAAGGCAGAAATAAAGCAAGACCAAACACATTCAAAAGCTAGCAGACGGCAAGAAATAACTAAGATCAGAGCAGAATTGAAGGAGATAGAGACACAAAAAACCCTTCAAAAAATCAATGAATCTAGGAGCTGCTTTTTGAAAAAAAAAACAAAATTGATAGACCGCTAGCAAGACAAATAAGAAAAGAGAGAAGAATCAAATAGACGTACTAAAAAATGATAAAGGGGATATCACCACCAATCCCACAGAAATACAAACTGCCATCAGAGAATACTATAAACACCTCTATGCAAATAAACTAGAAAATCTAGAAGAAATGGATAAATTCCTGGACACACACACCCTCCGAAGACTAAACCAGGAAGAAGTTGAATCTCTGAATAACAGGCTCTGAAATTCAGGCAATAATTAATAGCTTACCAATCAAAAAAAGTCCAGGACCAGATGGATTCACAGCCGAATTCTACCAGAGGTACAAGGAGGAGCTGGTTCCATTCCTTCTGAAACTATTCCAATCAATAGAAAAAGAGGGACTCCTCCCTAACTCATTTTATGAGGCCACATCATCCTGATACCAAAGCCGGGGAGAGACACAACAAAAAAAGATAATTTTAAATAAATATCCCTGATGAACATTGATGAAAAAATCCTCAATAAAATACTGGCAAACCGAATCCAGCATCACATCAAAAAGCTTATTCACCATGATCAAGTGGGCTTCATCCCTGGGATGCAAGGCTGGTTCAACATACGCAAATCAATAACCATAATGCATTATATAAAAGAACCAATGACAAAAACCCCATGATTATCTCAACAGATGCAGAAAAGGCCTTTGACAAAATTCAACAATCCTTCATGCTAAAAACTCTCAATAAATTAGGTATTGATGGGACGTATCTCAAAATAATAAGAGGTATCTATGACAAACCCACAGCCAATATCATACTGAGTGGGCAAAAACTGGAAGCATTCCCTTTGAAAACTGGCCCATGACAGTGATGCCCTCTCTCACCACTCCTATTCAACATAGTGTTGGAAGTTCTTGCCAGGACAATCAGGCAGGAGAAGGAAATAAAGGGTATTCAATTAGGAAAAGAGGAAGTCAAATTGTCCCTGTTTGCAGATGACATGATTGTATATCTAGAAAACCCCATTGTCTCTGCCCAAAATCTCCTTAAGCTGGTAAGCAACTTCAGCAAAGTCTCAGGATACAAAATCAATGCGTAAAAATCACAAGCATTGTTATACACCAATAACAGACCAATAGAGAGCCAAATCATGAGTGAACTCCCATTCACAATTGCTTCAAAGAGAATAAAATACCTAGGAATCCAACTTACAAGGGATGTAAAGGACCTCTTCAAGGAGAACTACAAACCACTGCTGAATGAAATAAAAGAGGACAGAAACAAATGGAAGGACATTCCATGCTCATGGATTGGAAGAATCAATATCGTGAAAATGGCCATATTGCCCAAGGTAATTTATAGATTCAATGCCATCTCCATCAAGCTACCAATGACTTTCTTCACAGAATTGGAAAAAACTACTTTAAAGTTCATATGGAACCAAAAAAGAGCCTGCATTGCCAAGTCAATCTTAAGCCAAAAGAACAAAGCTGGAGGCATCACGCTTTCTGACTTCAAGGTATGCTACAAGGCTACAGTAACCAAAACAGCATGGTACTGGTACCAAAACAGAGATATAGACCAATGGAACAGAACAGAGCCCTCAGACGTAATGCCACATATGTACAACTATGTGATCTTTGACAAACCTGACAAAAACACGTGATGGGGAAAGGATTCCCTATTTAATAAATGGTGCTGGGAAAACTGGGTAGCCATATGTAGAAAGCTGAAACTGGATCCCTTCCTTATACCTTATACAAAAATTAATTCAAGATGGATTGAAGACTTACATGTTAGACCTAAAACCATAAAAACCCTAGAAGAAAACCTAGGCAATACCATTCAGGACATAGGCATGGGCAAGGACTTCATGTCTAAAACACCAAAAGCAATGGCAATAAAAGCCAAAATTGACAAATGAGATCTAATTAAACTAAAGAGCTTCTGTCCAGCAAAAAGAACTACCGTCAGAGTGAACAGGCGACCTACAGAATGGGAGAAAATTTTTGCAATCTACTCATCTGACAAAGGGCTAATATCCAGAATCTACAATGAACTCAAACAAATTTACAAGAAAAAAACAAACAACCCCATCAATAAGTGGGTGAAGGAGATGAACAGACACTTCTCAAAAGAAGACATTTATGCAGCCAAAAGACACATGAAAAAATGCTCATCATCATTGGCCATCAGAGAAATGCAAATCAAAACCTCAATGAGATGGTATCAGTGAGATACCATCTCACACCAGTTAGAATGGTGATCATTAAAAAGTCAGGAAACAACAGGTGCTGGAGAGGATGTGGAGAAATAGGAACACTTTTACACTGTTGGTGGGACTGTAAACTAGTTCAACTATTGTGGAAGTCAGTGTGGCGATTCCTCAGGGATCTAGGACTAGAAATACCATTTGACCCAGCCATCCCATTACTGGGTATATACCCAAAGGACTTTAAATCATGCTGCTATAAGGCACATGCACATGTATGTTTATTGCGGCACAATTCACAATAGCAAAGACTTGGAACTAACCCAAATGTCCAACAATGATAGACTGGATTAAGAAAATATGGCACATATACACCATGGAATACTATGCAGCCATAAAAAGGATGAGTTCATGTCCTTTGTGGGGACATGGATGAAGCTGGAAACCATTATTCTCAGCAAACTATTTTAAGGACAAAAAACCAAACACTGCATGTTCTCACTCATAGGTGGGAATTGAACAATGAGAACACATGGACACAGGAAGGGGAACATCACACACTGGGGCCTGTTGTAGGGTGGGGGGAGTGGGGAGGAATAGCATTAGGAGATATACCTAATGTAAATGGTGAGTTAATGGGTGCAGCACACTAACATGGCACATGTATACATATGTAACAAAGCTGCACGTTGTGCACATGTACCCTAAAACTTAAAGTATAACAACAAAAAAATTATTCATTATGACTATGTAGGATTTATCTCCAGCTTATTCGGCTATGCAAAAAATTTTTGAGTAATACCCCACCAACACAGGCAATGAAAGACAAAATGGAGAAATGAGAGCTCACCAAGTTAAAAAGCTTCTTTCACAGCAAAGGAAACAATCAACAAAGTGAAGATACACCTCACAGAATGGGAGAAAATATTTGCAAACTACCCATCTGATAAGGGATTAATAACCAGAATATATGAAGAATGGAAACAACTGTATAGGAAAAAATCTAATAATCTGATTAAACCATGGGCAAAAGATTTGAATAGATATTTCTCAAAAGGAGACATACAAGTGACAAACAGGCATCTGAAATGGTGCTCAATGTCATTGTTCATCATAGAAATGCAAATAAAAATTACAATGGGATATCATCTAACCCCAGTTAAAAATGGCATATATTCAAAAGAGGCTATAACAAATGCTGATGAGGATGTGGAGAAAGGGAACCCTCATACACTGTTTGTTGGAATCTACAATTAGCACAAACACTATGGAAAACAGTTTTGAGGTTCCTCATAAAACTAAATATGGACCTATCAGGTGACCCAGGGATCCCGCTGCTGGTATATACCCAAGAGAAAGAAAATCAGTATACCAAAGAGATATCTGTACTCCTGTGTTTGTTGCGGCACTGTTTATAACTGCTAACATTTGGAAGCAACCTAAGTGTTGCTTAGGTTGCCTAAGTGTCAATCAACAGATGACTGGATAAAGAAAATGTGGTGCATATACACAATGGTATACTATCCTGCCATAAAAAATAATGAGATTTTTTTCATTTGCAACATTATGAATGGAACTGGAGGTCATCATGTTAAGTGAAATAAGCCAGGCATGGAAAGACAGTTCTCACGTGTTCTCACTTACTTGTGGGATCTAAAAGTCAAAACAATTGAGCTAATGGAGATAGAGAATAGAATGTTAATTACCAGAGGCTGGGAAGGGTAGTGGGAATCTCAGGGATGTATGGTTAATTAATGGGTACAGAAAAAGTTAGAAAGAATGAATAAGGCCTAGTATTTGATAGCACCACAGAGGAACTAAAGTCAATAATAATTTAAGTGTACTTTGAAAAATTACTAAAATAGTATATAATTGAATTGTTTGTAACACAAAGGGTTAATGCTTGAGGTGATGGATACCCCATTTTCCATTATGTGATTATTATGCATTGCATTGCTGTACCAAAATATCTTATGTACCCCAATATATACACGTAGTATGTATTAGCAAAAATTAAAAGAAAAAATTTTATAAGAATATATTTACACCAAGACACACTGTCATAAAACTCTTGAAACACAACGTGAGAATCTTGAAAGTAGCACAAGAAGCAACTTTTCATATGCAAAGGATAAGTTGTTTAGTGGTACATAAATACAATTAGATAGAAGGGATGAGTTCTAGTATTCAATAGTACAGCAGGGAAATTACATTTAACAATAATTTGTCATATATTTCAGAATAGCTGGATAAGAAGAAGTGTAATATTCCCAACAGAAGGAAAAGATAAATGTTTGAGGTGATGGGTATCCTATTTACTCTGATTTTATTATTACACATTGTATACATGTATCAAAATATCACATGTACCCACAAAATACATGCAACTATGATATATCAATATAAAATGCAAAAGACAGGGAAAAAGCTGATTTCTTATTAGAATTGTGGAGGCCAAAAGAGAGTGGGATGACATATTTAAAGTGCTGGAAGAAAAAAAATCAAGAATTGTGTATCTGCAAAACTGTCCTTCTAAAATAAAGGAGAAATTAAATTGTTTTTGATAAACAAAGACGGAGGGAGTTTGTCACTAGTAGGCCTCCCTTAAGGGGTATGCTAAAGGAATTCATTCAGGTTGAAATGAAAGGAACTCAAGGCCATAAAAAGGAATAAAAAATAATGGTAATGGTAGTTGCATAGGTAAACGTAACAGCCGGTCGTCTTAGATTTTAGGTTTATAACTCCTCCTTTTTTTCCTAGATGATTTGAAATATGAGTGCATGATGGGCACACAATGTATAACAATATAATTTGTGATAATACCAAATGGGAGAGAGGTATTAAAGAGGATTTTTAAGATGCTATTGAAACTATGTTGATATTAATTCGAGTATTTTAAAGTGAAGAAGTTAGTTGTAATTCCCAGAGTAACCACTAAAACAACCCCTTAAAGATATATAGAGAGGAAATGAATAGAGAATCAAGAGAAACGAAGAGAGATAAAGAGTGTATTGAAACTATTAATCAAACGAAAGAGGGTAATTGTTTAGGAATTGAGCAGCAAAATAGTTATAACACATATAAAAATCAAAAAGTAAAATGGCAAAAGTAAGTCCTCTTTTTAAATCAGTAAGTATTTTCAATGTGAATGTATTAAAGTCTCCAATCAAAAGGCAGAGATTGGCACAATGGATTATAAATATGATTTAACTATATGCTGGCTATAATAGACACTTTAGATCCAAAGACAAAAATAAATTCAAAGTAAAAGAATGGGAAAAGGCATTCTATGCAAATACTAAAAAGGACACCTGGGGTGGCTGGACTAGTACTAGATGGAATAATAGGATTTTATATAGAAAGTGGTATAAGTGACAAGGAAGGATATTATATATTTTATTTTGTTTTTCTTTTTTTATTTCTGTTTTAACTGAGACATAATTGTACATATTTATGAGGTACAGTGTAATGTTTCAATACATGTATATGTGGTGTGCTAATCAAATCAGAGTATTTAGCACTTCCATCATCTCATACATTTATCATATCTTTGTGGAGGGAATATTCAAAATAGTTTCTTCTAGCTATTTTGAAATATACAATACAATGTTGTTAATCATAGTCACCCTACTGTGCAATAGAACACCCAAACGTATTTCTCCTATCTAAGTGTAACTTTGTAACCCTTGATTTATCCCTACCTATTTTGCTCTCCACTCCCCCATCTCCAGCCTCTGGTAACCACTACTGTACTCTCTAGTTCTATGAGTTCAACTTTATTTAGATTCCACATATGAGTGAGATCATGCAGTATTTGTCTTTCTGTTCTGGGCGTATTTCACTTAACATAATAACCTCTAGGTTCATTCATGTTGCTGCAAATGGCAGGATTGTATTATTTTAAAATACTATTAAATAATAGTATTGCATTGTGTATGTATACCACATTTTATTTATGCATTCATCCTTTGATGGACGCTTAGCTTGATTTCATCTTGGCTATTATGAATAGTGCAGCAATAAACATAGGAGTGCAGATATCTCTTCAACATACTGATTTCTTTTTCTTTGGATATATATTCAATAGTGAGACTGCTAGATCATATGGTAGTTCTATTTTTAATGTTTTTGAGAAATCTCCATAGTATTTTCCATAATGTCTATACTAATTTACATTCCCATCAACAGTATGTAAGTGTTCCCTTCCTTTACATCCATGCCAGTGTTTGTTATGTATTCTTTTCTTTGTATTAGCCATTCTAATTGTGATGAGGTAACATCTCATTGTAGTTTACACTTGCATTTACCTGATGATTAGTGATATTGAGCATTTTTCATTTTATTGTTGGACATTTGTATGTCTTCTTTGGAGAAATATTTATTCAGGTCTTTTTGACCATTTTTAATTAGTTTCTTTTTTACTATTGAGTTGTTCATGTTCCTTGTATATGCTAGATATTAACCCCTTTTCAGATGCACAGTTTGCAAATATTTTTCCCGTTCTGTAGATTTTGTCTTCACTTTATTGTTTCCTTTGCTGTGCAGAATTTTGTGAGTTTGTTGTAATCCAATTTGTCTGTTTTTACTTTTGTCGCCTGTACTTTGAGTTCTTATTTTAAAAAATCCTTGTCCATATTATTGTCATGAAGTGCTTCCCTTATGCTTTCTTCTATTAGTTTTATTGATTTAAGGCTTACATTTAAGTCTTCAAACCATTTGGAGTTGATTTTTGTTTATGGTGAGAAATGCAGGTCTAGCTTTGTTCTTCTGCATATAGCTATCCAGTTTTCCCAGTACCATTTATTGAAGACATATCGAAGACATAGTCCATTCCCCAAACTGTGTTCTTGCCATTTTTGTCAAAAATTGTTTTGTGGGTAAGTGTGTGGATTTATTTCTGGGATCTCTATTTTGTTCCATTATTCTATATGTCTGTTTTAATTTCAGTACCATGATATTTTCGTTACTATAGATTTGTAGTACATTTTTAAGTCAGTGTATTAGTCCATTTTTCACACTGCTATATATCTTCTATGATCACAGTAGAAATGAAATGGCAGGAAGAAAACTGGAAAATTCACAAACGTGGAAATTGAACAACACACTCAAACAACAAATGAGTCAAATAAGAAATTACAAGTTAAATTATATGGTACTTTGAGATTAATGCAAATTAAAACACAATATACTAAAACTTATAGAATATTTCAAAAGCAATCGTCAGATGGAAACTTATAGCTTTAAATGACTATATTCAAAAAGAAAAGGTTGGGTGCTGTGGCTCACGCCTGTAATCCCAGCACTTTGGGAGGCTGAGGCGGGTGGATCACGAGGTTAGGAGCTCAAGATCAGCCTGGCCAACATAGTGAAACCCCGTCTCTACTAAAAATATAAAAATTTGCCAGGCATGGTGGCGAGCGCCTGTAGTCCCAGCTACTTGGGAGGCCAAGGCAGGAGAATTGCTTGAATCTGGGATTTGGAGATTGCGGTGAGCGGAGATCATGCCACTGCATTCCAGGCTGGGCAATACAGCAAGACTCTGTCTCAAAAAAAAAAGAAAAAAGAAGAAGAAACATTCCACATTGAGAATATATCTGTGCTCCCTGAGGAACTGCAAAGAACACCAAGCTAAACCAAAAGATAGAAAAAGGAAGGAAGGAAGAAAGATTAGAATGGAGATATGTAAAATTTAAAATACTGAATCAGTGCAGTTGAAAGTTGAGTCTTTGAATATATTAACAAAATTGAGAAATCTTTAGGTAGACTGATCAAGAAGAAAAGAGAGAAGACTCAAATTGATAAATTCAGAAATTAAAGTGGGAGCATTACTGCAGAACTCATAGAGAGAAGATTATAAGAGAATACTATGAACATTCATATGCAAATGAATGAAATTAGTTAGATAAAATGGACAAATTCCCAGAAATTCAAAAACGACCTCAACTTCCTTAAGAAGAAATAGAAAATCTTAACAGACCTATAAATCTTTTTATAAAGATTGAATATGTATGAAGTCCATAAAAAGACTGAAGACATATGAAATCCAACTACCCTGAGACCACCATGCTAGAAGGACTGCATGTAGGCACCCTGATTGACAGTTCTAGCTGAACACAGACTTTAAAGCATCCCTGCCAAGGTGACAGATATGTGAGTGAAGTCTTCTTAGACCCTCCAGACCAGCCTATTTGCCAACTGAATCCCACCAGATGACTTCAGTTGACACCACATGGAGTAGAAGAATCACCTAGCTGAGTCCTGCTTGAATTTGTGACCCTCAAAATTTTGAGATGTATTTTTTTAAAGGGTACTGTTTTAAGCTAATGAATTTTAGTGGTAATTTCTTATGCAGCAATAGATAACCAAAACAGTGGAGTTTGAAATAGTATGTTTCAGACTTCTAAAGGTGAAACTATTTATTATTTTTACTTTTGATTGAAAAAACAACAAATTATATATCTTTATGGTGTACAATGTGATGTTTTTACATAGGTATACATTGTGGAATGATTAAATAAAGCTAATTAACATATCAATCGCCTCACATACTTATCAGTTTGGTAATGAGAACATTTAAAATCTACTCTCTTAGCAATTTTCAATTACATTACACTTTATTATTAATTATAGGAATGAACTTTTCAGTAAACTTTTTATTCAAAATTCAATATTAAAAAAATCCACCTTCCAAGATCAGACGAGATCAGGCGCGTTCAGGATGGTATGGCCGTAGACATTTTATATATAATATATATGCATATATTTTATGCTGTTCAAAAATAAGTGCTGTGCTTATTTTCATCTTTATGTATTTCCAGGAATTATTTTCTGAATACACTAGTTGATGCACTAAATTTATTATAGGTACTTATAAATTATCATAATATCACTTGATCTTTGACACTTGCTTTGATCAAATCTTGCTTTAAGATATCTCATATTTGAGAATGGGAAGCCTTCTTTGGACAGGTAAGTAAAGGAAAATTGTAAGTTTTTTTTCTTTTTTTTAAAGATAGAATGTCTGATTTTAAGCTACTTTAACACTGCAGTTGATTCCAGTATCAATATAATTTCTTTTTCATTACTTTGTATTAGGGGTCTGGTATATTCTTAGAATAGTTTGAAAAGCAATGGAGTAGACTACGTAAGTGTTCTTTCTACTGAGCAATACCTGGTACAAATGGATTATATAGGACCATTTACCTCTGTGGAATGCAGTGTGTAATGAGTAAATCTACTAAATTTATTCCTGTCTTCCCATAACTCAAAGGATGTGAGCTTAAAACAAGAAAAAAAAAGCTGCATCTGAAACTAAATTCACTGAGGCTGAACATTTACCTACAAGATATATATAGCTAAACACATGAAGCTGTCTGAAAATGAGAGGAGGGTGGCTCACAAGGTTGGCTTCTTCCTCATGCCATTAACAAAAATAAGTTCCAGATGGATTTAAAATTTAGATGTGAAAAATGACACCATGTGATTACTGTAGGAAAAATAGAAAAATCAGTTTGAATATTGGGAGGGTATGAGAGATTTCCTTGGTTTGGCCCTAAAGTCCTACTCCATTAAAAAAAAAAATGGATCAATTTGATCACATAGAAATAATAAAATTGGCACATCAACAGTAAAAACATGATTAAAAAGCGTATAACAAAGATGCCACAATGTTAGGATCATATTCTTATGCAAATATACTTTTACAAATTAATAGAACAGACATAAATATAAATTTTAAAATGGGCAAAGGGCTCAAGTTGGTAATTTCCAAAAGGAGAAGTTCATATAAATGTCGGTAAACAAGAGAAAAATGCTGCTTAACTTCACAAAAATTAGAGAAGTACAAATTAAAATGACAATAAGGTGGTACATTTTTTTCTAGCTACCATACTGTCAAAGATTCAAAAGATTGCTAATGCCCAAGAATGGATGAAGATGTGAGGTAACAGGCAATTTCCTACAGTGTGGAGGTAGTCTAAATTGACTAACTTTCCTAGAAGGCAAGCTTGTATTAAAATATACTCACCATTTTTTTGTCCCAAGAATTCACTTAGTGAAAGGAGATAATCACATTAGTATCCAAAGGGTGTTTTGTTTCAGTGTTGTTTATAAGAGCAAAACTGTCATGAACCCAAATATCCATCCATACAATGGAAAAAGAGGTGTTTATTTTAAAGGACAGGCTATATTTATAGGCATTGACATAGAAATAATACCACAAGCTAGTAAGTGATTTTTAAAAGGCTACAGAATAGTATGTATGGGGTAATAACATTTTAGCTTACATGTATATCAAAGTTTTCCAGACTAACACAAGGTAAATAGCAGAACGGTTTCTCTTAGGGGTGTATAGGACTTTGTTTTATTTTTTGTTTCATTTTTGTGTTGTGTAATTTTTTTTACAGTGAACTGTATTACTTTGAACCGTGAAAAGACACCGAAGGCTTGCATTTTAAATAAAATTGAAAATTAAGGATAAACTGTTTTCTGTGAAGTACCAGAAATTTACCCAGTCATTTGAGGATCCCTCGGCTCAAGGCTTTATAAAGGACATTTATATCTTTGTTCAGATCAGATTAGGGTGGTGTACACACACCTCGACTGTGGCTTCTTTTTTAGCAGTGAGGGAAGTAATTCAATTCTTCCTTCCCCACTGCCTCCCGACTTTTCCATTTCTTTGTCTGTACCTTGTTAGACGGTAACATTATGGCAAGAACAGATACGTGAGACATTCTTCTCAAGGACTTCTGAACAATACCTTGTTTTGTGCATATAGGGGACCAAAATAAATATATAACCCACGTCAACTTCAATAAAGGCAGCTGGAATGATAGCGAATATTACCTGAAGTATTGGCGGGCAGAGCTCTCAAAGGTAAGCTTCTGCTGCAGGGAAGACTTGTTAATAGCTGCCATTAGAGAAAGGAGGTCACCAAAGGTTGGCCTTGCTGAGTTTCTCTCTATCTCTTCCCTTCTCTGCTCAATAGATAATCCCAATACAGCCTTTTTTTGTGGAGGGGTAGGGTCTATGCAGTGGTTCTCAATCAGGGATGAATATCAGATATGTGGGAAGATTTTTGAAACTAGTGGTTCCTGCCGAGGTACCTTTAAGAGATCAGGCTGTGTCACAGGAATATATTTCATTTTTAAACACTCCTTAGATGATTCTCGTGGTCAGTGAGTGTTGGCAAACCATAGCTCATTGCATAAGTCTGCAAAGGTTTGAAGACCTGGAGGCTCTGTAGGTCTCTAGATGTGTCTTTCAGAATTCATTGTCTTTATACATCGTCTTTTAAAATTATTTTGTTGGTTTTCTCTCCAATAAGCAGTGAGCTCTCTCTTCTCTGAGTGCTTAAAATAATTCTTGTGAGCACTGCCTTACTCAAATGGTACTTCTTGTATGAAGTGTTCCCGGATTCTGCATTATGTCACTAATTCATGTATTTAACAAATACTTATTTCACAGCTACCACATTTCAGGCTGTATTATAGGACTCAGTGCTATTGTCTGTTCCTGATTATGCGTTGTATCCATCCTTGTAGGTAAATGTGTTCATCACAAACCATTATAATAAGGAATTTACATGTCTGTCTGCCCATTCCACTATTGTGGAGATCAGAGATTGTCTCTTATTCATATTTGTATTTTCAGTGCTTGAAAGCTTCCCTGGCATTTAATTAGTATTCAATGAATATTGCCTATGTCATTATTCATTTCTTATAATTATTACGGATACATAGTGGGTGTACATACTTATGGGGTACATGATATATTTTGATACAGGCATAAAATGCATAATAATCACATCTGGTAAATGGGGTATTCATCAACTCAAGTATTTATCCTTTCTTTGTGTTACAAACGATCCAGGTTTTTTAAGTTATTTTAAAATGGACAATAAATCATTATTGACTGTACTCACCCTGCTGTGCTATCAAATACTAGATTTCAGTCTATTTAACTATATTTTGGTACCCATTAACCATCCCCCTTGCACCACTCTTCTCAGCCTCTGGTAACAATCATTCTATTCTCTGTCTTAACGAGTTCAATTGTTTTAATTTTTAACTCCCATAAATGTGTCAGAACAGGTGAAATTTGCCTTTCTGTGCCTGGTTTATCTCACCTAACATAGTGACCTCCAGTTCCATTCATGTTGTTGCAAATCACAGGATCTCATTCTTTTTTATGGCTCAGTAGTACCCCATTGTGTATATGTACCAAATTTTCCTTATCCATTTATCTGTTGATGGATACTCAGGTTGCTTCCAAATCTTGGCCATTGTGAACAGTGCTGCAGTAAAACATGGGCATCAAGATATCTCTTCAATATACTGATTTCCTTTCTTTTGGAAGGAATATACCTAGCAGTGGGATTGTTGGATCATATGGTAGCTCTATTTTTAGTTTTTTGAGGAACCTCCAAACTATTCTCCATAGTGGCCATACTAATTTACGTTCCCACCAATAGTGTATGAAGGTTTCCTTTTCTCCATATCCTCACCAGAATAGCCAAAGCTATTCTGGTTCTTTTATGGTTCCATATAAATTTTAGGATTGCTTTTTCTATTTCTGGGAAGAATGTCATTGTTATTTTAATAGGGATTGCATAGAATCTGTAGATTGTCTTAGGTAGTATAAACGTTTTAACAATACTGATTCTTCCAATCCATGAACTTGGAATATCTTTCCATTTTTTGGTGTTCTCTTCCATTTATTTGATCAGTCTTATATACTCTTCATTGTAGACGTCTTTCATTTGTCTGCTTAAGTAAATTTTTAGATATTATATTTTATTTATAGCTATTTTAAATGGGATTACTTTTTAATTTCTGTTTCAGATTGTTTGCTATTGGAATATAGAAACGCTACTGATTTTTTCATGTTGATTTTGTATCCTGCAACTTTACTGAATTTGATTTTCAGTTCTGGTAGTTTTTAGTGGAATCTTTAGGTTTTTCCAAGTATATCATATCATTTTCAAACAAGGATAATTTGACTTCTTCCTTTCTTGTTTGAATGCCCTTTATTTATTTATCTTGTATGATTGCTCTAGCTAGGACTTCCAGTACTATGTTGAATAAGAGTAGTGAAAGTGGACATCCTCATCATGTTCTAGATCTAAGGAAAGGCTTTCAGTATTTCCCCATTCAGTATGACACTAGCTGTGAGTCTGTCATATATGGTTTTTATTGTGTTGGGGAATATTCCTTGTAAATCTAGTATTTTTGAAGGTTTTTATCATGAAAGGATGTTGAATTTCATCAAATGTTTTTTCAGCATCATTTGAAATGATCATATGGTTTTTGTCTTTTAATCTGTTTATATGATGTGTCTCACTGATTTGTTGTATGTTGAACCATCCTTGCATCCCTGAGATAAATCTCACTTGGTCATGATGAATGATTTTTTTTAATGTGTTGTTGAATTCGATTTGCTAGTATTTTGTTGAGGATTCTTGTATCAATGTTCATCAGGGATATTGGCCTGTAGTTTTCTTCTTTGGATGTGTCTTTGTCTGGTTTTGGTATCAGGGTCATATTGGCCTCGTAGGATGAGTTTGGAAGTATTCCCCAGTCCTCTATGTTTCAGAATAGTTTGAATAGGATTGGTATTAGTTCCTATTTAAATAATCAGCAAAATTCTGCAGTGAAGCCATTGGGTTCTTGTCTTTTTTTTGCTGGGAGACTTTTTATTATGGCTTCTATACTTGGTCTTAGCCAAAAGGCTGAGAAGCGATACTTTCAATTATGGCTTCTATCTCATTACTTGTTATTCATCTGTTCAGGTTTTGGATTTTTTCATGGTTCAATCTTGATAGGTTGTATGTGTTTAGGAATTTATCCATTACTGCTAGCTTTCCCAATTTATTGGCATATAGTTGCTCAAAGTAGCCACTAATGATCCTTTGAATTTCTGTGATATCAATTTTAATGTTTCCTTTTTCATCTCTGATTTTATTTAGAAATTCTGTCTTTTTTTCTTAGTTCATCTTGCTAAAGGTTTGTCAAATTGTTTTAACATTTTAAAAAACCAACTTCTAAAAAAATGTTTTGTTTTGTTTTTTTTTAGTTTTTATTTCCATAGGTTTTTGGGGAACAAGGGGTATTTGGTTACATGAGTAAGTTTTAGTGGTGATTTATGAGATTTTGGTTCACCCATCTCCTGAGTAGTATATACTTAACCCAATTTGTGGTGTTTTATCCCTGTCCGCCTTCCTACCCTTTCCACCCAAGTCCCCGAAGTCCACTGTAGCATTCTTATGCCTTGGCATCCTCATAGCTTAGCCCTACTTATGAGCGAGAACATACAATATTTGGTTTTCCATTCCTGAGTTACTTCACTTATAATAATAGTCTCCAATCCCATCCTGGTTGCTGTGAATGCCATTAATTCATTCCTTTTTAAGGGTGAGTAGTATTCCATCATATATATTATACCACAGTTTCTTTATCCACTCATTGATTGATGGGCATTTGGGTTGGTTCCACATTTTTGCAATTGCGAATTGTCCTGCTATAAACATGCATGTGCAAATATCTTTTTCATGTAATGACTTCTTTTCCTTTGGGTAGATACCCAGTAATGGGATTGCTGGATCAAATGGTAGTTCTACTTTTTTTTCCTTAAGGAATCTCCACACTGAAAAAAACAACTTTTTGTTTCATTGATTTTTTTTTATCATTTTTTCATTTTAATTTTATTTCAGCTCGGATCTTTATTATTTATTTTCTTCTACTAATGTTGAGTTTGGTTTGCTCTTCCTTTTCTAGTTCTTTAAGATGCATGGTTAGCTTGTTCATGGTGAGTTTTTCCTCTTTTTGATGTAGTCACTTATAGCTATAAACTTCCCTATTAGTACTGCTTTTTCTGTATCCCATAGGTTTTGGTATGTTGTGATTCCATTATCATTTGTTTCCAAAATTTTTTTCAATTTTCTCTTTAATTTCTTCATTGACCCACTGGTCATTCAGGAGTTTATTGTTTAATTTCCACGCTTTGGTATAGTTTCTAAAATTACTCTTGTTAGTGATTTCTACTTTTATTCCATTGTGGCAGAGAAGATAGTTGATATGATCTCAGTTTTTAAAAATGATTTAAGACTTGTTTTTTGGCCTAACCTGTGGTCTATTTTTGAGAATAATCCATGTGCTGAGGAGAAGAATGTACATTCTGCAGCCATTGGATAAAATGTTCTGTAAATATCTATTTGGTCCATTTGGTCTACAGTTAAGTTTAAGTACGATGTTTCTTTCTAGATTTTCTGTCTGGATGATCTGTGTAATGCTGAAAGTGGGGTGTGGAAATCTGTGGCTATTATTGTATTGGGGTCTATCTCTTTCTTGAGCTCTAATAAGATTTGCTTTATGTGTCTGGGTTCTCCAGTATTGGATGCTTATATATTTGCAATTTTTACATCATCTTGCTGAATTGACCCCTTTATCATTATATAATGACATTTTTTATCTCTTTTTATAGTTTTTGTCTTGAAATCTATTTTTTTGCTCTTTTTTTTGGTTTTCATTTGCATGGAAAGTCTTTTCTCAACTCTTTATTTTCAGTTGATGTGTTTCTTTATAAGTTAAGTGTGCTTCTGATCGGCAACCAGTCACTGGGTCTTGTGTTTTTTTTTTTGTTTTTTTTTTTTAACCCATTCAACCACTGTATGTCTTTTGATTGGATAGTTAATTCAGTGAATTTATTGTTAAGTAAGGACTTACTCCTGCCATTTTGCTATTTGCCTTCTGGTTATTGTTTGGTTTTCTCTTCCTTCTTTTCTTCTTTCCTATCTTCCTTTTAGTGAAGGTGATTTTCTCTGGCGGTGTGTTTTAAAGTCTTGCTTTTTTTGTGTGTGTATCGGTTGCATTTTTTTTTGATTTGAGGTTATCATGAAACTTGCAAATAATATGTTATAACCCATTATTTTAAAGTGATGACAACTTAACACTGATTGCATTAAAAAATAATCTAACAAACAAACAAGCAAAAACAATGTTAAAAACTCTATACTTTAACTTCATCTCTCTGCTTTTAAATTTTTTTGCTTCTATTTATATCTCATTGTGCTATGTCTTGAAAAGTTCTTGTATTATTTTTGATCGGTTCATCTTTTATTCTTTCTACTTAAGTTATAAGTAGTTTACACACCACAATTACAGTGTTATACTATCCTGTGTTTTCTGGGTACTTGAAATTACCAGTGAATTTTGCACCTTCAGCTGATTTCTTATTGCTCATTATTGTCCTTTTCTTTGAGATTGAAGAACTTTCTTTAGCACTTCTTGTAGGATAGGTCTGTTGTTGATGCCATCCCTCAGCTTTTGTTTGGGAAAGTCTTTATTTCTCCTTCATGTTTGAAGGATATTTTTGCTGGATATACTATTCTAGGGTAAAAAAATTTTTCCCTCAGTACTTTGTCTGCTGTCAGACGCATTGGAGCTCCATTGTATGTTATTTGTTTCTTTTCTTTTGCTTCTGTTTGGATTCTTTCTTTATTCTTGACCTTTGGTAATTTGATTATTAAATACCTTCATGCAGTCCTCTTTGGGTTAAATCTGCTTTGTGTTCTATAACCTTCTTATATTTGAATACTGATATTTTTCTGTAGGTTTCAGAATTTCTCTGTTATTATCCCTTTGAATAAACCTTCTGTCCCTATCTCTCTCTGCACCTCTTGTTTAAGGCCAATAACTCTTAGATTTTCCCTTTCAAGACTATTTTCTTGATCTGGTAGGTATGTTTCATTCCTTTTTATTCTTTTTTCTTTTTTGCATCTGATTATGTATTTTCAAATAGCCTGTCTTCAAGCTCACTAATTCTTTCTTGTGCTTGATTAATTCTGCTGGTGAAAGACTCTGATGCATTCTTCAGTATGTCAAATGCACATTCAGATTGCATTTAAGTAGATTTTCTGCTTAATTCTTTTTTAATATTATTTCAATGCGTTTAAAAATTTATCTGATATGATTCTCAATTCCTTCTTTGTGTTTGTTAACTTGTATTTAATTGAGCTTCCTCAAAACAGCTATTTGAATACGCTGTCTGAAGAGTCACATGTTTCTGTCTTTCCAGAATTGGTCCCTGGTACTTTATTTAGTTCATTTGGCAAAGTCATGCTTTCCTGGATGGTTTTGATGCTTGTAGAAGTTCATTGGTATCTGGGTATTGAAGAATTACATTATTTATTGTAGTGCTTGTTGTTTGGGCTCGTTTGTATCCATCCTTCTTGGCTTTCCAGGTATTTGAAAGGACTTTGTTGTTTGTATCAGGCCATTCTTGCATTGCTCTAAAGAAATACCTGAGACTGGATAATTTGTAAATAAAAGAAGTTTAATTGGCTTATTGTTCTTTAGGCTTTACAAGAATCTTCTTGGCTTCTGGTGAAGCCCCAAGGAGGTCACAATCATGGTGGAAGGTGAAGGAGGAATAGATACATCACATGGCCAAATCAAGAGCAAGTGAGAGAGAGTTGGGGGGAGGTGCTACACACCTTTTGTTTTTTGAGACGGAGTCTTGCTCTGTTGCCCAGGCTGGAGTGCAGTGGCGTGATCTTGGCTCACTGCAAGCTCTGCCTCCTGGGTTCATGCCATTCTCCTGCCTCAGCCTCCCCAGTAGCTGGGATTACAGGCATGTGCCACCACGCGTGGCTAATTTTTTTTTTTTTTTTGTATTTTTAGTAGAGACAGGGTTTCACCGTGTTAGCCAGGATGGTCTCAATCTTCTGACCTCGTGATCCGCCTGCCTTGGCTTCTCAAAGTGCTGGGATTACAGGCATGAGCCACCGCACTTGGCCACTACACACTTTTAAATGATCAGATCTCATGTGAACTCGGATCGAGAGCTTACTTATCACCAAGGAGATGGCCCAAGCCATTCATGAGGGTGTCAGGCCTCTGAGCCCAAGCTAAGCCATCATATCCCCTGTGACCTGCAAGTAGACATCCAAATGGCCTGAAGCAACTGAAGCTCCAGAAAAGAAGTGAAAATAGCCTTAACTGATGACAATCCACCATTGTGATTTGTTTCTGCCCCACCCTAACTGATCAATGTACTTTGTAATCTCTCCCACCCTTAAGAAGGTTCTTTGTAATTCTCCCCACCCTTGAGAATGTACTTTGTGAGATCCACCCCCTGCCCCCAAAACTTTGCTCCTAACTCCACCGCCTATCCCAAAACCTATAAGAACTAATGATAATCCACCACCCTTTGCTGACTCCTTTTTTGGACTCAGCCTGCCTGCACCCAGGTGAAATAAACAGCTTTGTTGCTCACATAAAGCCTGTTTGGTCTCTTCACACAGACACGTGAGACAGAGGGATCTGGCCCCATGACCCAAACACCTCCCACCAAGCCCCCACCTTCAACATTGGAGATTACATTTCAACATGAGATTTGGGCAGAGAGAAACATCCAAACTATATCATTCTGCCCCTGCCCCTGCCAAATCTCATATCCTCACATTGCAAAATACAATCACGCCTTCCCAATAGTCCCCCAAAGTCTTAAGTCATTCCAGCATGAACTCAAAAGTCCCAAGTCCAAAGTCTCATCTGAGATAAGGCAAGCCCCTTTCACCTGTAAAATCAAAAGAAGTTATTTATTTCCAAGATACAATGAGGGGGCATAGGCATTGGGTAAACATTCCCATTCCAAAAGGGAGAAAGAGGCCAAAAGAAAGGGGCTACAGGCTCTATGAAAGTTTGAAACCCAACAGGGTAGTCATTAACTCTTAAAGCTCCAAAATAATCTTCTTTGACTCCATGTCCAACATCCAGGGCACACTGGTGCAAGGAGTAGGTTCCCAAGGCCTTGGACAGCTCCACTCCTGTGGCTTTGCTAGATACAGCCCCCATGGCTGCTCTCACACATTGAGTGACTGTGGCTTTTCCCAGTGCAGGGTGCAAGCTCCCAGTGGATCTACCATTCTGGGATCTGAAGGATGGTGGCCCCCTTCTTACAGCACCACTAGGCAATGCCCCAGTAGGGACTCTGTATGGGGGCTCCAATCTCATATTTCTCCTTGGCATTTCCCTAGTAGAGGTTCTCTGAAGAGGCTCTGCGCTTGTAGCAGTCCTCTGTCTGGGCACCCAGGCTTTTCCATTTATCCTCTGAAATCTAGGTGGAGGGTGCCAAGTGTTCTTCATTCTTGCATTCTGCATGCCTACAGGCTAAACACCATGTGGAAATCAGCAAGGCTTATGGCTTACATTCTCCAAAGTGGCAGCCTGAGCTGTACCTGGTCCCCTTTGAGCCAAGGCTGGAGTTAGAATGGCGGGATGCAAGTAGCAGACTCCCAAGGCTGAACAAAGGTAGCAGGGCCTTGGGCCTGCCCCAAGAAGCCATTCTTCCTTTCCAGGCCCCTGGGGCTGTGGGGGGGGAGGTTGCCACAAAGTCTTGGAAATGCCTTCCTGGCCTTTTCCCCATTGTTTTAGATAAGAGTACTTAACTCCTTTTTAGCTATGCAAAATTTTCTAGCAAGTGGTTGCTCTGAAGCCTGCTTGAATTTCTCTCCCCAGAAAGCTTCTTCTTTGTTTGCCACACAGCTAGGCACCCAAATTTTCAAACTTTTATTCTCTGCTTCCCTTTTAAATATAAATTCCAATTTTAAGTCCTTTCTTTGTCTGAGCGTAGGCTATTAGGAGCAGCCACCCTACTTTATGAACACTGTTGCTTGGAAATTTCTTCTGCCACATACCCTAGGTCACCACTCTCAAGCTCAAACATCCACATATCCCAAGGGCATGAACAGAATGCACACAAATTCTTTTCTAAGGCATAAGGTGTGACTTGTTCCAGTTCCCAATTAGTTCTTCTATCTGACACCTTGTTTGCCTGGATTTCACAGTCCATATCACTATCAGCATTTTGGTCAGAACCATTTAACCCAGCTTTAGGAAGTTGCAAACTTTCCCTCATCTTCCTGTCTTTTTCTGAGCCCTCCAAAGTTTCCAGCCTCTGCCTATTACCCAGTTCCAAAGTTGCTTCCACATTTTAGGTATCTTTATAGCAATGGCCAACTGCTTGGTAGCAATTCCTTGTATTAGTCATTGCATTGCTATAAAGAAATACCTGAGTCTGAGTAATGTACAAACAGGTTCATTTTTATTTATTTATTTATTTAGAGACAGGTTCTTATTATGTTGCCCAGGCTGGTCTCGAATTCCTGGGCTCAAGTGATCCTCCCACCTTGGCCTTCCAAAGTGCTGGGATTAAAGGCATGAGCCACTATGCCTGGCCAGCAAAAAGGTTTAATTGGCTCATGGTTCAGCAGGCTTTACAGGAAACATGGTGCTGGCATCTGCTCAGCTTCTTGTGAAGACTTAGGGAGCTTTCAATCATGGTAGAAGGTGAAGGAGGAATAGGTACATCAAATGGTTAAAGCAGGAGCAAGGGAGAGAGAGTTGGGGGGAGGTGCCACACACTTTTTAACAATCAGATCTCATGTGAAGTCAGAGTGAGAGCTCACTTATCACCAAGGAGATGGCCCAAGCCATTCATGAGGGATCTGGCCCCATGATCCAAACACCTCCCATCAAGCCTCAACTCCAACACTGGGGATTACATTTCAACATGAGATTTAGGCAGGGAGAAATATCCAAACTATATCAGTGTTGTAATCTAAGTTTTTGGTCTCTACACCTGTATCTGCATTAGGGGGCACCCCAAGCCCAGTAATGCTATGGCTTGTATAGACTTGGAGAGGTACTGCCTTGATCGGCTTGGATAAGATCTAGAAGAAATCTCTGGATTACCAGGCAGAGTTATTCCTAAACAGTCTCTTTCTCTGTGCTGAGCTGCCTGGAGTTGGGACAGTGGTGATAGACGCACTCCTGTGGTCACCACCACTGGGACTGTACTGAGGCCATATCTGAAGCTAGCTCGGTACTGGATCTTGTCTAAGATCTACTGTAACCACTGCCTGGCTACTGCCTATGTTTCCTCAACATCCTAAGGTTCTACAGTCAGCAAGTGGCAAAGCCAGCCAGGCTCGTGTCCTTCCATTCAGTGTTGCAAGTTCTCCCTAGCCCCAGACAGGCCCACAGATGCCATCTGGGAGCCAGGGCCTGGAATCAGAAACCTCAGGAATCTATCTATGGCTCTGTTCTTCTGTATCTGAGCTGGCACTTAAGCCACAAGACAAAGTCCTTCTCACTCTTCTCTCCTCTTTGCACAAGTAGAATCATCTCTTCCTATGGTTACCACTGCCCCAGGGCCACTGCAAGTACTGTGTAGCTACTGCTAATGTTTACTCAAGGCCCAAGTGCTTTTTAGTCAGCTTTTGGTGAATGCTGTCAGGCCTGGGACTCTCCCTTCAGGACAGTGGGTTCCCCTCTGGCCCAGGGCAAATGCAGAAATGTTGTCTAAGAGTCAAGGCCTGGAATCAGGGACCCCCAGAGTCCACTTGGTACTCTACCCCACGGCAACTGAGCTGGTACCCAACCTGCAAAGCAAAGGCCCCTTTACTTTTCCCTTTCATTTTCTCAAGCAGAAGAAGTTTCTTTGCTTAGCCACCACAGCTATGAAAGTGCTGGGTTATCCCTGAAGCCAGCATGTCTGAGTCTTATCCCAGGCCCATGGTGAATACTACAATGGCTCTTTAGTCAGCAGGCGATTAATCCTGCCAGGACTGCGTCCCTTCCTTCAAGGCAGTGGTTTTCCTTCTGGCCATGGGTGTGTGTAGAAATATCATCCCGGAGCTAGGGCTTAGAATGGGTGTATTGGAACTCTTCCCAATATCTTATCTTACTGTGGCTGAGCTGGTGTCCAAGGTTCAAGACAAAGTCCTCTTTATTCTTCCTTCTCCTCTCTTTGAGAAGGAGAAGGAAAGAGTTTTTCCCAGAGCTGTGAGCTGTGCTGCCTGGGGTTGAGGGAAGGGTGACACAAGCACTCCCTTGGCTGCCCTGGCTGATGTCTCAAGTCCACTGGCTGCAAGCCCAGCACTGCAGCAGGACTTGGCCAAGACTTGCAGTCCTTTGTGGCTTGGATTGCTTCTCAACTTTATTTAGTACCCCAGAGCATTTTAGTTGGAGCACTGAACTGCTGCTTGCCAGAACTCAGGTTTTGACCACTGGGATGGATATTTCTCCTCTGGCTAGGCCTCGCATAAATGCTCCCTCTGTGGATGCTGGCTGAATTCTGCCCTGCGTTGCTTTCCATGGTGACAGAGCAGCCCTGAGTTTCAATGCAAAGTCCCACAGTCATGTGCTCTCCCTCCTGCAAGTGCACAGATTCTCTCTTAATACCACAATGCCACTGCTAGGGGATGGGGGAGTGGTGGCATCGAGTGGTGGCAATTCAAGACTGCCTTTCCTACCCTCTTCAGTGCCTGTTTCTGTTTTATGAAATTAAAGCCAGGTACCTTGATTGCTTACCTGATTTTTGGTTCTTATGAAGGTGCTTTTTTTCTTACAAAGGTGTGGATAGTTGTTCTATTTGGTGTTCCTGTAGGGAGGATGATCATTGAAGGCTTCTGTTCAACCATCTTGCTCCTCCTTGAGTCCCAAATCTTATTAGTCTTGAGGTGTGGGTAGATGGTGTATTCTAGGACTAACAGGTCAGTGATGACCATTTAGCATGGCTAGTGTATAGCAGGCATGGAAGGAGGTGGTGTAAGTTGAGGTTGAATAGGCAGGCCAGACAGACTATAAAGTTTTGATTTTATAGGCAATGGTACATCACTCAAAGGTTTTTGCACAGAAGAGGTGTGATGGGCATGTAACTGGGAGGGAGCTAGGAGAAGACCCAGGAGTGAGTCAGCCATGGTGGGTCAATTCGAGTTTATTGCAGTAATATGGATGAGGCATCATACAGACCTAAACAAAGGCTAGGGTGGAGGGATAAGAAAGAGAGTGTATCACAATTCATGAGGCATTTCCAGTGGTTCACTGGAGCTAGCTTGTACTAGCTTGTGAGAGCTGATTCTTTACTTGTCTTCCAAATTTCATGATCAGTGTTTTCATATTAGTAGCTTAAAATTGTCTATTGTGTGAACATTTACGCTATGGAAATTGGCAAACATTGCAAATAAAGACTTTAGTTCCTTTTTCTGGAAAGCCATTTTACTAGCATACCACTATATTTAACCTCTGTTTATAGGTCATTCCACTTCGAAAGCCTTACCTTATTGCTAAACCTGGATAACGTTCATCTTTTGTGTGCCCTCATAGCATTCTACTCCTTCCACATTGTAATACTCAACACTCTATATTTTGTTTTATAAAAAATACTTTAAATTTTTATTTTAGATTCAAGGGGTACATGTGCAGGTTTGTTACATGGGTATGTTGTCTGATGTTGAGGTTTGGCACAGCAGCCTATTGCTGCCACCACTGG
Source organism: Homo sapiens (assembly GCF_000001405.40). NCBI lineage: Eukaryota > Metazoa > Chordata > Mammalia > Primates > Hominidae > Homo > Homo sapiens. Next base: position 23,433,118 of record NC_000023.11, on the reverse strand, counting down.
TGCCTGAAGACTGGCCTACCTGGCATCCTACTACCCAGCAAAACTTCACTATAGCCTCCACTAATAAGAGCACACTAAGCCCCTGAGGAAACATAATACCTGATAGGTAGTTTTTCAACCCTTATCCCCTCCCTCCCTCCCCCAGTCTGGAATTTTCAGTGCTTATGATTCCCATCTTTGTGTCCATGTGTACCCAATGCTTAGCTCCCACTCACTTATAATGAGAACATGCAGTATTTGGTTTTCTTTTCCTACATTAATTTACTTTGAGTAATGGCCTCCAGTTGCATCCATGTTGCTGCAAAAGACGTGATTTTATTCTTTTTTTATGGTTGTATAGTATATCATGTTGTGTATGTACCACATTTTCTTTATCCAGTTCACCATTGATGGGCACCTGGGTTGCTTCCATGTCTTTGCTATTGTGAATACTATTGTAATAAACATATGAGTGCAGGTGTCTTTTTGGTAGAATGATTTATTTTTCTCTGGGTATATACCAAGTAGTAGGACTGCTGTGTCAAATGGTAATTCCTTTTTTTTGTTGTTGTTGTTCTTTAAGAAATCTCCAAACTACTTTCCACAGGGGCTGAACTAATTTGCATTCCCACCAACAGTGTATAAGTGCTCCCTTTTCTCCTAAACCTTGCCAACATCTGTTGTTTTTTTACTTTTCTTCTTTTTGTTTTTTCTGAGACGGAGTCTTATTCTGTCACCCAGACTGGAGTGCAGTGGTGCGATCTCGGCTCACTGCAACCTTCGCCTCCTGGGTTCAAGCGATTCTCCTGCCTCAGCCTCCTGAGTAGCTGGGACAACAGGTGGATGCCTTTACACCTGGCTAATTTTGGTATTTTTAATAGGGACCGGATTTCACCATGTTGGCCAGGCTGGTCTCGAACTCCTGACCTCAAATGATCTGCCCGCCTCGGCCTCCCAAAGTGCTGGGATTACAGGCGTGAGCCCCATGCCCAGCCTTTTTTACTTTTTAATAACAGCCATTGTGACTGGTGTGAGATGGTATTTCATTGTGGTTTTGATTTCCATTTCTCTGACGATTAGTGATTTTGAATGTCTAAGTCAATGTGTAGAAGAGTTTTTCCTAGGTTTTCTTCTAGGATTTTTATAGTTTGAGCACTCTGTTTTGATAACCTGTTTGCTTATTTGCATGTTATGCTGAATTGTAAGCTTTGTGATGGCAACAACACGTCTACCATGTTAACGATATCGCTGTGCTTATTACATAAATAATTGTTCAAAAATATTTAGTGATTGTCTGAATGGATAATGTTTTATCCCAATAGTTCGTGTGGCCGATATTCATCTACGGCAATTCCAGAAATAGTGTATTTATGTGATCCATACTTTTTCTTCTTTAGGATCATTTGCATATTGAAATTACATTGCAATTATCAGAAAAGCCACACATACCCTCAGCTCTTGAAGGAGAACAGGAAGAATAGAATATTTCTCTGATTATAACATAAAGGAAATGTTTTAAGAGATAAATTATTTAATTTTTCTTCTATGTAGATATGAAGAATGTAGTTTTCTTTACATATTAAGTATAGCATGAGAAAGAAGAAATTTTTGAATATCTCAGCCTGTGTTTTAGAAAAGTACCTCTTCATTCCTTTGAATTGAATAAAACATAAAAGTTATTAGGAAAAACTGAGACTTTCTCTAACTTTTTCATGTTGTTGACATTACACCTGTCAACATAGATTACTTCCTGTTAGATTTCCTGTTATACTTCCATGCATATATAAAAATATATATAAAGTATAGCCATTAAAATAATGTTTGTGAGAAATTTATAACATAGTTGTGCTCGTTATCTACTGCTATATAACAAATGACCCCAAAGTGTAGTAGCCTAAAACAATGCACATTTATTACTGAACCCAATTTCTGTGGGCTAGAAACCTGAGAGCAACTTAGCTGGGTGGTTCAGGCTCAGGGTCTCTCTTGAAGTTGAAGTAAAGATGTTGGCCTATGTTATAGTCATCTAAAAGCCTGAATGGGGTTGAAGTACATACTTCCAACATAGCTCACTTGCATGCCTAGCAAGTTAGTGCTGGTTGTTGTCAGGAGACTTCCACTTAGCTGCTTGAGTGTTCTCATGTCATGGCAGCTGATTTCCTCCAGAGCCATTGGTGTGAAAGAATAAGCCAAAAAGCCAATATGCTTTTTATGAACTAGTCTCGGAAGTCATATATTCTAGTATTGCCATATTCTATTCTTTGGAAGCAAGTCACTAAATATAGGAATAAGGGTGATTAGGTTCTACCCTTTGAATGGAAGAGTATAAAAGAATTTATGGACATATTTTAAAATCACCATGATGGTAAAATGCTATGTTGTAATGCTTAGTTAAAAAAAAAAAAAAAGTCAAACTCAAAATTATTTATGTAGATTTTTAGAGCCTAACCTCCAAAGGTCTCTGTGTTGTCATGGGGTTAGAGTTGAAACTGCTGCTGCTGCTGCTGCTGCTGCCTCGCCAAGAAGGGAGAGTGGAGACCAGGCATTTTACTGCACTTTGAGGACAAATCCCAGTGCTGCTGCAGGCTACTATGGGAATGAAGTGTGAGAAAACTGCACATCACACAGCTACCTCCCTACATTGAAACCACTGAAAGTGGCCTCATCCTACATGGTGGCAGGCCTGCAGCACAGCCACCACTGCCCACACCTGAGCATTTTGCCAGTGGCCTGGGGTCACCTCACCCTTGCCTATCAGAGACAGCACCTGAACACACTACCAGGCGGCCAGCTCTGCCAGCCCAGTTCGTGTCTTCCCATCCCCCTCCCCTGAGTTATTGAGCATACTGTGTAGGAGCCTGGAAATTGTTCAGCCCAGTCCACCATCATTGGTACCTAACACTCCTCCTGGAATCTGAGGTCAGGCTGACACAACCTACCAATACTACCACAGCTGGCACCCACCTACACACACCACCAGTGGCCATAACTAATATGTTATGGACACCCAACTTGTCATAGCCACCACCAGGACTAGCATGGACTGCTTGGGTTTCAGTAGGTTGCTCCACCATTGCTACTGCCATCACCCATATCATATTCGCTGCCCAAGGACCTGGGAACCTATCCACATGCCAGACTTACCACTGGCCACTACCAGATTGAAAAAAGCCATCTGAAAGCCCAAGAATTGAATCATCTAGGCCCCCTAACATTGGTACCAGTGTAAGTCATGTTGGAGGCCAAAGACAGGCACACTCGGCCTACTGCTGCCACCGCTGGTGCCCAAACACTGGCCCTCCTGGCATCCTACTCCCTAGTAAAACTTCACCATAGCCTCCACTAATAAGAACACACTAAGCCACTGAAGAAATCACAGATACCATTGACAATGTTTACAGCTGAATAAATCATACGGAAATCACACTACTGCATGCACCCAAAATAAAAGCCAAAATGCCCTACCTAACCAACAACATATATAGATCTTCAGAAAAAAGTCTTCCTCTATGAAAGCAATCTAAAAAAACAGGAAGAAGTGACTATTACAACAGATGCACAGATATAAATCTAAGTACACAGAAAACATGAAAAAGCAAGGACATATGACACTTCCCAAGGAAGACAATAATTCTCCAGCAACAGATCTCAATCAAAAAGAAATTCATAAAATCCCCAGATAAAGAATTTTAAGGGAGGTGGAGCCAAGATGGCCGAATAGGAACAGCTCCAGTCTACAGCTCCCCGCGTGAGCGATGCAGCAGACGGGTGATTTCTGCATTTCCAATGGAGGCACCGGGTTCATCTCACTGGGGAGTGCCTGACAGTGGGTGCAGGACAGTGGGTGCAGTGCACCGTGTGTTAGCCGAAGTAGGGCGAGGCATCGCCTCACCCGGGAAGCACAAGGGGTCAGGGAATTCCCTTTCCTAGTCAAATAAAGGGGTGACAGACGGCACCTGGTAAATCGGGTCACTCCCACCCTAATACTGCGCTCTTCCAACGGGCTAAACAAATGGCACATGAGGAGATGATATCCCACACCTGGCTTGGAGGTCCTACGCCAACGGAGCCTCGCTCATTGCTAGCACAGCAGTCTGAGATCAAACTGCTAGGCGGCAGCGAGGCTGGGGGATGGGTGCCTGCCATTGCTCAGGCTTGAGTAGGTAAACAAAGTGGCCAGGAAGCTCGAACTGGCTGGAGCCCACCACAGCTTAAGGAGGCCTGCCTGCCTCTGTAGACTCCACCTCTGGGGGCAGGGCACATACAAACAAAAGACAGCAATAACCTTAAATTAAGACAGACTTAAATGTCCCTGTCTGACAGCTTTGAAGAGAGTAGTGGTTCTCCCAGCATGCAGCTTGAGATCTGAGAACGGGCAGACTGCCTCCTCAAGTGGGTCCCTGACTCCCGAGTAGCCTAAATGGGAGGCATCCCCCAGTAGGGGCAGACTGACACCTCACACAGCCGGGTACCCCTCTGAGACAAAACTTCCAGAGGAATGATCAGGCAGCAGCATTTGTGGTTCACCAATATCCGCTGTTCTGCAGCCACTGCTGCTGATACCCAGGCAAACAGGGTCTGGAGTGGACCTCCAGTAAACTCCAACAGACCTGCAGGTGAGGGTCCTGACTGTTAGAAGGAAAACTAACAGAAAGGACATCCACACCAAAAACCCATCTGTACGTCACCAGCATCAAAGACCAAAGGCAGATAAAACCACAAACATTGGGAAAAAACGGAGCAGAAAAAACGGAAACTCTAAAAATCAGAGCACCTCTCATCCTCCAAAGCAACACATCTCCTCACCAGCAACAGAACAAAGCTGGATGGAGAATGACTTTGACGAGATGAGAGAGGAAGGCTTCAGAAGATCAAACTACTCCGAGCTAAAGGAGGAAGTTCGAACTAATGGCAAAGAAGTTAAAAACTTTGAAAAAAAATTAGACAAATGGCTAACTAGAATAACCAATGCAGAGAAGTCCTTAAAGGACCTGATGGAACTGAAAACCATGGCACAAGAACTACGTGATGAATGCACAAGCCTCATTAACCGATGTGATCAAATGGAAGAAAGGGTATCAGCGATGGAAGACGAAATGAATGAAATGAAGCATGAAGGGACGTTTAGAGAAAAAAGAATAAGAAGAAATGAACAAAGCCTCCAAGAAGTATGGGACTATGTGAAAAGACCAAATCAACGTCTAATTGGTGTACCTGAAAGTGTCGGGGAGAATGGAACCAAGTTGGAAAACACTCTGCAGGATATTATCCAGGAGAACTTCCCCAATCTAGCAAGGCAGGCCAACATTCAAATTCAGGATATACAGAGAATGCCACAAAGATACTCCTCGAGAAGAGCAGCTCTAAGACACATAATTGTCAGATTCACCAAAGTTGAAATGAAGGAAAAAATGTTATGGGCAGCCAGAGAGAAAGGTCAGGTTACCCACAAAGGGAAGCCCATCAGACTATCAGCGGATCTCTCGGCAGAAACTCTACAAGCCAGAAGAGAGTGGGGACCAATATTCAACATTCGTAAAGACAAGAATTTTCAACCCAGAATTTCATCTCCAGCCAAACTAAGCTTCATGAGTGAAGGAGAAATAAAATCCTTTACAGACAAGCAAATGCTGAGAGATTTTGTCACCACCAGGCCTGCCCTAAAAGAGCTCCTGAAGGAAGAACTAAACATGGAAAGGAAAAACCGGTACCAGCCACTGCAAAAACATACCAAATGGTAAAGACCATCAAAGCTAGGAAGAAATAGCATCAACTAATGAGCAAAATAACCAGCTAACATCATAATGACAGGATCAAATTCACACATAACAATACTAACCTTAAATGTAAATGGGTTAAATGCTCCAATTAAAAGGCACAGACTCTCATATTGGATAAAGAGTCAAGACACATCAGTGTGCTGTATTCAGGAAACCCATTTCACGTGCAGAGACACACATAGGCTCAAAATAAAGGGATGGAGGAAGATCTACCAAGCAAATGGAAAACAAATAAAGGCACGGGTTGCAATCCTCATCTTGGATAAAACAGAGTTTAAACCAGCAAAGATCAAAAGAGACAAAGAAGGCCATTACATAATGGTAAAGGGATCAATTCAACAAGAAGAACTAACTATCCTAAATATATATGCACCCAATACAGGAGCACGCAGATTCATAAAGCAAGTCCTTAGTGACCTACAAAGAGACTTAGACTCCAACACAATAATAATGGGAGACTTTTAACACCCCAGTGTCAACATTAGACAGATCAACAAGACAGAAAGTTAACAAGGATATCCAGGAATTGAACTCAGCTCTGCACCAAGCAGACCTAATAGACATCTACAGAACTCTCCACCCCAAATCAACAGTATATACATTCTTTTCAGCACCACACCATACCTATTCCAAAATTGACCACATCGTTAGAAGTAAAGCCCTCCTCAGCAAATGTAAAAGAATAGAAATTTTAACAAACTGTCTATGAGACCACAGTGCAATCAAACTAGAACTCAGGATTAAGAAACTCACTCAAAACCACTCAACTACATGGAAATGGGACAACCTGCTCCTGAATGACTACTGGGTACCTAACGAAATGAAGGCAGAAATAAAGATGTTCTTTGAAACCAATGAGAACAAAGACACAACATTCCAGAATCTCTGGTACACATTCAAAGCAGTGTTTAGAGGGAAATTTATAGCACTAAATACCCACAAGAGAAAGCAGGAAAGATCTAAAATTGACACCCTAACATCACAATTAAAAGAACTAGGGAAGCAAGAGCAAACACATTCAAAAGCTAGCAGAAGGCAAGAAATAACTAAGATCAGAGCACAACTGAAGGAAATAGAGACACAAAAACCCCTTCAAAAAATCAATGAATCCAGGAGCTGGTTTTTTGAAAAGATCAACAAAATTGATAGACCGCTAGCAAGACTAATAAAGAAGAAAAGAGAGAAGAATCAAATAGACGCAATAAAAAATGACAAAGGGGATATCACCACCGATCCCACAGAAATAGAAACTACCATCAGAGAATACTATAAACACCTCTACACAAATAAACTAGAAAATCTAGAAGAAATGGATAAATTCTTCGACACATACACTCTCCCAAGACTAAACCAGGAAGAAGTTGAATCTCTGAATAGACCAATGGGAAGCTCTGAAATTGAGGCAATAAGTAATAGCTTAGCAACCAAAAAAAGTCCAGGACCAGATGGATTCACAGCCGAATTCTACCATAGGTACAAGGAGGAGCTGGTACCATTCCTTCTGAAACTATTCCAATCAATAGAAAAAGAGGGAATCCTCCCTAACTCATTTTATGAGGCCAGCATCATCCTAATACCAAAGCCTGGCAGAGAGACAATAGAAAAAGAGAATTTTAGACCAATATCCTTGATGAACATTGATGCAAAATCCTCAATAAAATACTGGCAAAAAGAATCCAGCAACACATCAAAAAGCTTATCCACCATGAACAAGTGGGCTTCATCCCTGGGATGCAAGGTTGATTCAACATATGTGAATCAATAAACGTAATCCAGCATATAAACAGAACGAAAGACAAAAACCACATGATTATCTCAATAGATGCAGAAAAGGCCGTTGACAAAATTCAACAACCCTTCATGCTAAAAACTCTCAATAAATTAGGTATTGATGGGACATATCTCAAAATAATAAGAGTTATCTATGACAAACCCACAGCCAATATCATACTGAATGGGCAAAAACTGGAAGCATTCCCTTTGAAAACGGCACAAGACAGGGATGCCCTCTCTCACCACTCCTATTCAACATAGTGTTGGAAGTTCTTGCCAGGGCAATCAGGCAGGAGAAGGAAATAAAGGGTATTCAATTAGGAAAAAAGGAAGTCAAATTGTCCCTGTTTACAGATGACATGATTGTATATCTAGAAAACCCCATCATCTCAGCCCAAAATCTCCTAAGCTGATAAGCAACTTCAGCAAAGTCTCAGGATACAAAATCAATGTGCAAAAATCACAAGCATTCTTATACAGCCATAACAGACAAACAGAGAGCCAAATCATGAGTGAACTCCCATTCACAATTGCTTCAAGGAGAATAAAATACCTAGGAATCCAACTTAGAAGGGATGTGAAGGACTCTTCAAGGAGAACTACAAACCACTGCTCACTGAAATAAAAGAGGATACAAACAAATGGAAGAACATTCTATGCTCATGGGTGGGAAGAATCAATATTGTGAAAATGGCCATACTGCCCAAGGTAATTTATAGATTCAATGCCATCCCCATCAAGCTACCAATGACTTTCTTCACAGAATTGGATAAAAACTACTTTAAAGTTCATATGGAACCAAAAAAGAGCCCGCCTTGCCAAGTCAATCCTAAGCCAAAAGAGCAAAGCTGGAGGCATCACGCTACCTGACTTCAAACTATACCACAAGGCTACGGTAACCAAAACAGCATGGTACTGGTACCAAAACAGAGATATACACCAATGGAACAGAAGAGAAACCTCAGAAATAATACAGCATATCTACAACTATCTGATCTTTGACAACCTGACAAAAACAAGCAATGGGGAAAGGATTGCCTATTTAATAAATGGTGCTGGGAAAACTGGATGGTCATATGTAGAAAGCTGAAACTGGATCCCTTCCTTACACCTTATACAAAAATTAATTCAAGATGGATTAAAGACTTACATGTTAGACCTAAACCCATAAAAACCCTAGAAGAAAACCTAGGCATTACCATTCAGGATATAGGCATGGGCAAGGTCTTCTTGTCTAAAACACCAAAAGCATTGGCAACAAAAGCCAAAATTGACAAATGGGATCTAATTAAACTAAAGAGCTTCTGCACAGGAAAAGAAACCACCATCAGAGTGAACAGGCAACCTACAGAACGGGAGAAAATTTCTGCAACCTCCTCATCTGACAAAGGGCTAATATCCAGAATCTACAAAGAACTCAAACAAATTTACAAGACAAAAACAACCCCAACAAAAAGTGGGCGAAGGACATGAACAGACACTTCTCAAAAGAAGACATTTATGCGCCAAAAAACACATGAAAAAATGCTCATCATCACTGGCCATCAGAGAAATGCAAATCAAAACCACAATGAGATAACATCTCACACCAGTTAGAATGGCAATCATTAAAAAGTCAGGAAACAACAGGTGCTGGAGAGGATGTGGAGAAATAGGAACACTTTTACACTGTTGGTGGGACTTTAAACTAGGTCAACCATTGTGGAAGTCAGTGTGGCGACTCCTCAGGGATCTAGAACTAGATATACCATTTGACCCAGCCATCCCATTACTGGGTATATACCCAAAGGATTATAAATCATGCTGCTATAGAGACACATGCACACGTATTTTTATTGTGGCACTATTCACAATAGCAAAGACTTGGAACCAACCCAAATGTCCAACAATGATAGACTGGATGAAGAAAATGTGGCACATATACACCATGGAATACTATGCAGCCATAAAAAATGATGAGTTCATGTCCTTAGTAGGGACATGGATGCAGCTGGAAACCATCATTCGAAGCAAACTATCGCAAGGACAAAAAACCAAACACCTCATGTTCTCACTCATAGGTGGGAATTGAACAATGAGAACACATGGACACAGGAAGGGGAACATCACACACCTGGGACTGTTGTGGTGTGGGGGGAGGGAGGAGGGATCGCATCAGGAGATATACCTAATGCTAAATGATGAGTTAATGGGTGTAGCACACCAACATGGCACATGTATACATATGTAACAAAGCTGCACGTTGTGCACATGTACCCTAAAACTTAACATATAAAAAAATAAGTATTTTAAAAACTGATTTTAAAGAAGCTCAGTGACATACAAGAGAATTCTGAATACCAATACAGAACAATCAGAAGTACAATTCAGAATATGAAAGAAAAATTTACCAAAGAGATATACATTTTAAAAAATAACCAAACAGAAATTCTGGAGCTAAAGAATGCATCAAATGAAACAGAAAATACACATGAAAGCTTCAACAATAGACTAGATCAAGGAAAAGAAGGAATCTCAGAAATTTAAGACAGGTCCTTTGAAATAATCCAGTTAGACAAAAATAAAAACGTATAAAAAAGAATAAGCAAAACTTTTATGACATTTGGGACAACATAAAGTGACCAAATATTCATGTTATTGGTGTCCCCAAGGGCAAAGAGAGAAAGAAAGGTTTAGAAGATCTACTTAATGAAATAGTAAATGAAAATTTTCCAGGTTTAGCTAGAGACCTAGACATTCAGATATTCTGGGGCCCAAAGATCCCCAGACATGAGGCATAAAAGTCTTTTCTAAGCCACATATTGCCAAACTGTCTAAAGTCAAAGCAAAAGTGAGGACACTAAAATGAGCAAGAGAAAAGTATCTAGTCACCCATAAAGGAATCCCCAGCAGACTAACAAGGAGTTTTCCAGCAGAAACCTTACGGGCCAGAAGAAGATGGATGACATATTCAAGGTGCTAAAATTTAAAACAACAACAACAACAACAACAACAAAACCCCCTGCTACCCAAGGATACTACTAGATTTGATACATAAATTCAATAAAGGTGTAAGATACAAAATCAACATACAAAAATTGGTAGCATATCTCTACACCAATAACTAGTTAGCTGAGAAAGAAATGAAGAAGACAATCCCTACTACAATAAATATGAAAAAAATACCTAGGAATAAATTTCACCAAGGGGTGAAAGAGCTTTACAAGGAAAGCCATAAAACACTAATGAAATAAATTGTGGAGGACAGAAACAAATGGAAAACACCTATGCTAATGGATTGGAGGATTTAATATCATTAAAAGCACCATACCGTGCAAAGCAATCTGCAGATCCAATGCAATCCCTACCAAAATACCAATGTCATTTTTCACAGAATTAGAAAAATTATAAAATTTTTATGAAATAAATAGCCAAAGCAATCCTAAGGAAAAAGAACAAAGTAGAAACATCACATTACCTGACTTCAAAATGTATTACAAGGCTATAATAACCAAACAGCCAAAAGGCTATATGTGCTTTCCTAAGGGCAAAAGCTAGCTTTAGGGCAGGACAAATTATGTCCTGCAGGACAAAACAAGGTGAGTTAATTAGCAGGGAGGAAGGACTGTAAGTGAGCCTGGTGGTAGGGCTGAATTCTGGTGTTAATGGTTTGTCCTTAAACGAAAGTGTCTCCCCTAGGTGTTTGGTCTGATCTACCCATCCTGCCTTTATTCCAGTATGTATTGCATAATGTTTTTATCCTTTATTCTGCCTTATTGAATTGGATATTCTGATCCAACCATTTGGGATTGTGGTCATCAAATCTCTCACTTCCTGAAGGTGGATATTCCAGGTGAGGGGATGCAAATATTACAAGCAAAAAGATTATTGTCCCGTGATAACTCAAATGAAATTTGAGGAATGCAGTGTAAACTGGTAACCAATGACAAACAATGGAGAAAAATGACTTACGGAAATCACTGCTCTTTACAGTCAAAGTACAGATCCGAAAGATAGACAGTGACATCTGATTGATGCTCTTTCTGACAAATTGTTTTTCAGCTTTGAATATTTAGTGTGAGTTTGCTTCTGTTGATTTATATACAGAACATAGCATGTTCTTAACATATGCAGGCTCATTGAAGTATCTCCCAAGGAGAAGAGAGAAAGAAAGTCTCCAGAAAGACAAGTTGAATTGGTGACTTTCCAAATAAACTATTGTTTGTATTGAAAGGTCACTTTGCGCTATAGAAATTGAGTAGGCTACGTCTCAATAGAATGTCTGCAAAATATTTTGTTTTTTCAGGAGAGTTGGTAGTTGTATTAGGCTGTTCTTGCATTACTGGAAAGGAATACCTGAGTCTGAGCGATTGATAAAGAAAAGATGTTTCATTGGCTCATGGTTCTGCAGGCTGTACAAGCATGGCAGCAGTGTCTGCTTGACTTCTGGTGAGGCCTCAGGAAGCTTTAACTCATGGTAGAAGGAGAAGCAGGAGCAGCCATATCACATGGTGAAAGCAGGAGCAAGAGAGAGAGTAGCGAGGAGGTTCCACATAATTTTAAACAACCGGATAACTGAGAGAACTCACTCGCTATCCTGAGGGCAGCACCAAGCCATGAGGAATCTACCCCCATGACCCAAACATCTCCCACTAGGCCCCACCTCTAACTTTGAGGATTACAATTCAACATGAGTTTTATGGGGGACAACATCCAAACTATATTAGTAGTCTTAAAATATTTCCTCCTCAGATGCTGCAATAAAGTATTTCAGTTCACGTTATACCTTTCTGATGAAGACAAGAACAAAAATCTCCTAGATTTTTCTTGCCTATTTAACCATGTTTCCTTACCTTCTTAATATTCCTCAAAATGGAACAAACTCCCGCGTCTGCCTTTGGGCCTTATCCCACCCCGTCATGTTCTTCAACTCTCTTACACCTGGTTGAAAACTTACCTTTTCTTAACTCTTCAAAAACTCTTTCAAGATTAACCTCCTCTATATTCTATTATTGCCGTACTCAGAGTCCTCTTAATTCTCAAATCTTTAGTTGATGGGTGTATTATTGATAAGTGGTTGTTTGTTAAATAATTCCCAAGCTGCATCTTTTCTGTTGTCCAGTGTGGTGATATCACAATAGTTGAGAGCATGGGCTTGAATTTTAACTGCATAGAATCAAATCCTAGTCCTACCACTCATTAGCTGTGTGACTTTGGGCAAATTACTCAACTTCTCAGAACTTCAGTTTTCTCATCTGTTAATTGAGGATAATATTAGTGCCTATCTTTTTTTTGTACAAATTTACAAGGTATATAAGTGTGATTTTGTTACATGGTTATATTGTGCAGTGGTGAAGTCAGGGTTTTTAGTGTATTAATCACTGGAATAATGTACATTGTACTCATTAAGTAATTTCTCATCATTCATCCCCCCAACCTCCCCCATACTTCTGAGTCTCCACTGTCTATCGTTTCATACTTTTTGTCCATGTGTACACATTATTTAGCTCCCACTTATAAGTGAGAACATGGGTTGTTTCACTTAAGATAATGGCCTCCAGCTTTATCCATGTTGCTCCAAGTGACATGATTCTATTCTTTTTATGGCTGAATAGTATTCCATTGTGTATACATACCATATTTTCTTTATCCATTTGTCTTTTGGTGGACACTTAGATTGATTCCATATCTTTTCTATTGTGAATAGTGCAGCAACAAACATATGAGTACAGGTATCTTTTTGATATAATAGTTTATTTTCCTTTTTGTAGATAGCCAGTAGTGGAAGTGCTACATCAAATGGTAGTTCTATTTTTAGTTCTCTGAGAAATTGCCAAACTTTATTCTATAGAGGTTGTACTAATTTACATTCTCCTCAACGGTGTGTAAGCATTCCCTTTTCTTTGCATCCTTCCCAATATTTGTAATTTTTGTCTTTTTTAAATAATAGCCATTCTGACTGGTATAAGATGATATCTCATTGTGATTTTGATTCACGTTTCTCTGAAGATTAGTGTCGATGAGCATTTTTTTTTCCCATATGCTTGCTGGCTATTTGTATGTCTTCTTTTGAAAAAAATGTATACTTTTGTCCTTGGTACACTTTTTTTTTTGAGGCAGAGTCTCACTCTGTCGCCCAGGCTGGAGTGCAGTGGTGCAATCTTGGCTCACTGCAACCTCTTCCTCCCGAGTTCAGGTAATCCTCCTGCCAGCCTCCCAAGTAGCTGGGATTACAGGCATGCACTACCACGCCCATATAACTTATTTTGTATTTTTAGTAGAGATGGGGTTTCACCATGTTGGCCAGGCTAGTCTCGAACTACTGACCTCAAGTGATTCTCCCACCTCTGCTTCCTAAAGTGCTGTGATTACAGGCGTGAGCCAATGCACCTGGGTTGGCCCACTTTTTAATGAGATTGTGGTTGAGTTGTTTGAGTTCCTCAGGGATCATTTCTATAGTTTGTTACCAGTGCCTATCTTATAGGGTTGTAAGCATTGAAGAGTCTATATATCAAATGCTCAGATAGCATTCAGTAAATGTTAGTTATTAGTATTAAATAGTAAGAGAAGCTACATCAGCAGGAGAAGCATGTGTAGAGGAAAGAGCATGATTTTATTGAAACCCATATCTGCAGCTTTGTTGCGTGGTGATATTGGGGATGTCACTTACACTTTCTGAGCTGTAGTTTTTAATATACAAATAGAGATAATAATAAATATACTAACTTCGGGGCCGAACTGCTAGGGAATAAACACAATGCTCGTGTTTTGAGGTGCTGACAAATATTTATTTCCTTCCTCCCTAAGTTATCAATTAAAATAACCTTAGTTTTTAATACACAAATAGAGATAATAATAGATATACTAACTTCTGTGCTGAACTGCTAGGGAATAAACATAAGGCTTGTACTTGGAGGTGCTGACAAATATTTATTTTCTTCCTCCCTAACTTTTCAATAAAAATAACTACTGCTTATTTTAATCAAGCTAATATTTTCTTTCCCATCATCTCCCAACCCTGCTAATTAGTTAATTCAGCAAAACTTTGGTGAAGAAAAAAATTAATCAACCTGTGTATTTAGCATCTTGGAGATTGAATCACCTAGCGTGTTGATTTTTTTCACTCTTCAGCCTGGATTCACATTGCTTGCATTATTGTCTAGGTTTACTTATTTCTAGAGACCATCTACATTCCCAAGTAATATTCTTATGTACACAGAATTTCCTGCCCTAAATTAAAGAATAGGTATTTGTGAATTGGAGGCAGCAAAATGGGTAGTCAAATCAACCAGAATTGAATGTTCAGTTGCTCCCTGGGGCTGTGGAATTAACCTAAGTGGCTGATTCTGAAACGTGATTTTAATTTTGTTATTGTTTCCAAATCCTCAGTGGATGTGGATATTGTCTCCAGAAGCATCCCTATAGCTTTCATGACAATAAGATCAAATATTGAGGTTGATTTTTTGGTCCTTATACTGCATGAAGAAACAGTAAGGAGTTTGAATGTTTATCTTTCTTCATAACATAAACCTCAGATTTGTGAAAAAACCCCTACAGTCTGTGATCTGGGCCTTGGCAGCATCAGCATCAACTGGGAGCTAGATAGAGATGCACATTCTGAGGCTGCACCCTAGAACTATTTATTTAGAATCTCTGGAGCTGAGGCCCACTATCTTTGTTTTAAGAAACCCTCCAGGTAATTCTTATGCCAGAGTTTGAGAAGCCCAGCTCACTAGAGTCTTGTCAAATTCTGAATGACTTGTAACAAACTGCTTTAAAAAAGAGGTAAACTCTACTTTTAGGCATAGAAATTTTAAAAGGTTGGCTTAAGTCTAGGCACAGTTTCTCATGCCTGTAATGCCAGTGTTTTGGGAGGCCGAGACAGGAGGATCATTTGAGACCAGGAGTTTGAAGCCAGCGTGGGCAACATAGTGAAACCCCTGTCTCTAGAAAAAATAAAAAAAAAAATTAGCTGGGCATGGTGGCACATGCTTGTAGTCCCAGCTACTCAGGAGACTGAGGCAGGAGGGTCATTTGAGCCCAGTAGTTTGGGGTTACAGTGAGCTATGATTACACCACTGCACTCCAGCCTGGGCGACAGAAGGAGATTCTGCTCTAAGAAAACAATAACAACAAATGAACAACAACAAAAATGTTGGCTAAGTTACAATTTGTACTGTTTAATTTTTGAAGCCCTGAATCACTTATTCTTCACTTTATATTTTTTCACAACTGAAAGACAACTGGGCTGTCTTTCAGTACCCTTGAAGGATGTCATGGAATTCTAAAAAATAAGCCCCTCAAAACAAAATAAGTTTTAATGTAGTTTTTAAAACTATGACATTCTGGGGCAGAATATGGAACCATTGGAAACTAAACAAATAAAAGGAGGCCAAAACTTCATAAGTCTGAGAGTCACTGTCTTCAATATTGGCCAGATGAATTTTATGATTTTAAGGCTAATTGTACCCATATATATGACTGTACTTCTTTTTCTCTTTAAATCCACACTTAATTGAAAACTGTAGAATTATAGTTCATAATATAAAATCTTTTCTCGGAAATGATAAATAATTCTGAATGGAATTAAGTAAATACCTAGCATATTGAACTATCATGGTACAGATCATTCTTGAATTAGCTTTCACTCCTTTGGTGGAATACGTAATGTCAGGGCAGCCTGTCACAATCCCAGCAAAACAAAACCAACCCATCAGCTGCCAAGCATACGTCTATTGAAGAGGTGAAGGGTCTGGCGGACTTCAGCATTTAATGAAGCCTATTATTTCCTAGAAATTAACTGAGTGTTATTAAACTTTGCTGATGGCAAATAACTATTCTGACCACAAATTCTTCCATTTATGAAATGTGAAAGGCAAGTGAGGATATGGAGTGATGCACACACAAAAAAAAACCGTAGAAAAAAATCCCCTAAAAGAAGGAATCTTATGGCTTTGTAACATACTGGCCTCCATGTAGAGAGATATTGTTGGTGACCCACTCAGTACTCTAGGACAGCCCATTTGAGTCATTTTTCTAGGGCTAGGACATAGAAATACGGGCATAAATTATGGCTTGCATACTCAGGACCAGCTGACTTAACTCCTTTCAGTGGGAAGTGTCTCAGAAGCAAGGCCTGTGGACACTGGAGAAATGACAGTAAGTGGCAGAAACCACAAGAGGGGCTTCGCCCTTCTTGCCAATGAGATATTCTTATAACTTGCTCCTCAATCACCTAATCTTTTGGTAAAATGGGCCACCTATAGATCCCCCAGTTTTTGCTTTAAAAATAAGTACAAGAATTAAAGTGTCTAAAGCAGTTGCCGTGCATGATTAGAGAGGACTAGATAGATAGAAGGATGATAGATAGAAGAAGAGATAGAAGAATAATGCCTGCTCTGTTGATCTGCGTGCTCTTGTGATCTTGCTGTTGAGAGGTGAAGTCCAAGGAGCAGGAAGAGGTGGGGATGGCAAGGAGGTAGAGAATACGTGATGGCCACAAATGGAAGTGATTGTTCTCAGGTAAGTCATGCATTTTGGGAGTTATGTTTCAAGGGTATTCTCCTCTATCCTTGGCTATGTTGTAAACAGTTCTTGAGTCCTTTGACAGCCATTCTGTTGGGCAGCTCTTTTCTTGTGTGCTCATGTTCCCCAAATAACCAGCGTGTAGAATTGTCTGATGTGATGGATGTGTTGATCTTAGCCCTGTTATGGCTACAGCTCCTGACAAATGACACTGTCTAGCCTGTGGATCTCCATTGGCTAAAATTGTTCAGCTTAAAAAGTGGCTCATTTTGTTGAAAAGGAAAGAAAGATTTCTGACTTCAGGCCCGTAAGTGTCATGCCCTCACGTATTCCTTCTCTTTCAGAATGCACAACACCCAGCCTTATGGTGCCATAACAGCAATGAGAAAGGATGGAGTGTGGATGGTGGCTTCCCCTTGTAGGGAAAAATTTCTCCTCTGAGGTCTTCTTTCTCCAGCCTAGTAATCACAAGTGTATTTCTGTGCAGCTTTTCTTCAACCTTGAGGTTTTGATTCCATTCCTTCAATTGCTTTTGGGAAAACTGATCCCACCCGTGGCTCTAGAAGTGAGATCTCTTTCTTAGGCCCGAGATTCTGAGGGTAATCCCATTCCTTGACCATACATATTGGTTCATGGATGGATTTGTGATATCATAGTAATACTAGCAACTCCTGGGAAAGAAGCTTCTAGGATCTTAAAGCTAGATTGATTCTCTCCCTCCCTTGAAGAGTATGTATCTCTAGGAGCCACTGGAACTGTCTTCAGACTAGAAAGGGGAAACATCCTGAGGATAAAGTTGTCTCATGGAGGAACGAATCTGGGCCTTCTGTTTCATTGTTGAGCTACTGAATCAAATCTACCCTAAAACCTGTCTGCCCTAACCCTTAACTTTCAAATTACATTGGCATTTTATCGTTTAAGCTATTTTGAGTTGGCTTTTCTGTTACTTACAACCTAATTGACCCTAAAAATACAGTGAATAGAAATGGCATTTGAGTGGGGTGGTTAAATGAAGACAGTTTTCATCATGTTTTCAAATTAGCAGATGAGACCTTTTGGAGGTCGTGGAATTCAGAGATAGGTAGAAGGCATTGCCGACTTATAGGAGTCTCTTGGATGCTAGTATTGATATGCCTATCTTCTTTTTCAGTCTATTTACAAGTCCCTCAGTAAGATGAGTTTCTGCCATAGCTGCATGATATTGAGCAGGTACTTAATGACTGTCATATCCAATTGAGTAAAAGCAATGTTATACTACTGAGAAAGCATGTATACTTCTTCCACTCCCTTCTTGGTAAATTTGCTAGTGTCATAAAAAGGTCATATTTTCACAGTTCATCAGATCTTGAGTCTTTGGGCCTTTTATTGAAGAGTGGATCTTTGGGATTATGGGTGATGGCCTTTTGCAGGACACTGGAAACAGTGCCATAGAGCACAGGAAGGGCAGGCAGCACAAATTAAGCCTTTATTATTGCTGCAGTTGCCTCCAAAATGTTTTGACACTCCCTTGCCCTCTTCAGTTTCTTTCTAAGCTGCATTGACCTCTGTATCTTTCAGTGTTACTTATACCATATACTTATTATTCCAGAATGAGTACATGTCAAGGAACTTTCACTTTACGTAATCAAGAACAAATAACACATTGTTCATTCATAAAGGAAGCTGATGGTACATACTTGCCAGTAAGATGATTGAGAGGTATTTCTCTTGAGGAAGGGGGTCCCATGTTACTCTTCATAATTTCTTGGCCCCATCATGGGTCCCATTACAATTCATGCCCATCCTATGTAGGGTCAACAGTTGATCTGAGTATACTTGCCTTTAAAAATAATCTACTTAATATCTGTTTCTATAACAGACTCTATAGTAGGCCATCCAGTTAAAGCTGCAATGAATGTGATCTCTTTCACAGAATCATCCGGTTAGAAGTAAGCAACAATTTAAAGACTTTTAATACATACGGCATCCATCAAAATCCTGTGTGATTTGAAGTTTTAATAAATTTTCTTGTCTGTAAGAGAAACCATTTATGAAACAAAACAGAGAAAGCATTAATACAAGATTTAAATAAAAGCCTTAATGATTTGTTTGTTCTAATTTATTTATTTATTTTGGAGACAGAGTCTCGCTCTGTTGCCCAGGCTAGAGTGCAATGGCATGATGTCGGCTCACTGCAACCACCGCCTCCCAGGTTCAAGCAATTCTCATGTCTCAGCCTCCCGAGTAGCTAGGATTACAGGCATGCACCACTATGCCTGGCTAATTTTTGTATTTTTAGTAGAGACAGGGTTTCACCATGTTGCCCAAGCTGGTCTCGAACTCCTGAGCTCATGTGATCTGCCTGCTTCAGTCTCCCAAAGTACTAGAATTACAGGCATGAGCCACCATGCCTAGTCTCTAATTTACTGATTTTGATTTCTTATGTTATACCCAATAGTTACATACAAATGTACCAAAAATGAGGACATACATAAAAGATAACATTACTGCTATTAAATGAGCTAAAACTTGAGTCATTTCCAAGTAGTTGCAACCATTTACAAATATCCTTTTCTATGAGATATTAAAATGTCTTTGTCTTTATAGAATTACTTCCCACTTTTCATCACCTAAAGCAACTTATTTTGGTAGTGAATTAGAGGTCAGTATGGGCAGGGGAAATATTTAAATCCCACCTGATTTCCCACCACTTTCCTCACCTGTCTCATATGTTCTGAATATCCTCTGTTTTCCTTGGCAGGTGACTTGAGGAAAATTTAGGTGACTTTTATGTAAGCGGTTGGAATATTTGAAGGGAAAATGGTTACAAGGAAATGAATAATTGATAATCGATAGTAACAGAACATCATGATTTGTGTGCCACAGTTAATAATCAAGTTTGTTCCTTATAGAGGATCACAGTGCCAGAAATACCATTTTTCACACAGATCAATTCAGCATATAAAAGTTATAATCAAATCAACAATCTTTTTTTGCCAGTTGAGGAAATAACCTTGTTCCTTAATCCTCTCTTTCACAGTGAGATATGTTGTGATACCATTCGACCAAGGGATTCTTTGAAATAGAAGGACTTTGACAATCATTAGTCAAAGATTGGCGAGCAGAACAATTTAAACCTAAATCTAATTTATCAAAAATTAGTTTGAAATTAAGAAAAACTTTCTGGAATGATAATATAAATTAGGGTTACAACAGAAAAAAAGTACATTTAGGCATCTTTTTATAATATGATTTTTAAAGAAAGAGGTATACTCCCTACCATTGACAAGTTCTAGGATAGCTAGAAATGACAGTTTCAAACAGCCAAGCACCTTATGAAAAAAATACTGTGCTAAATAAATGAAGTCTACTCAGATACAGATTAGGCACTCCATTCTTCCCCTTCTCACCCCCATCTCCTATCTCATCTACCTCTTGCCGGTTCAGGTACTCTAATCTCATGGTAATTTCTTTCTTTCTTTTTTTTTCTTTCTTTGAGATGGAGTCTCGCTCTGTTCCCGAGGCTGGAGTGTAGCGGCACCATCTCGGCTCACCGCAACCTCCACCTCCCGGGTTCAAGTGATTCTCCTGCCTCAGCCTCCTGATTAGCTAGGATTACAGGCGTGCGCCACCATGCCCGGCTAATTTTTGTATTTTTAGTAGAGACGGGGTTTTACCACGTTGGTCAGACTGGTCTCCAACTCCTGACCTCGTGATCCGCCCGCTTCGGCCTCCCAAAGTGCTGGGATTACAGGCGTGAGCCACAGCGCCCGGCCTCTCGTGGTAATTTCGCAGTGGCAGGCTGCCATCTTAAATCCTATCATTGTCCCTGGCACTCTTCCATTTTGAGATGAAGCTGAGCGATTAGAAATATTGTGTTGGGACTTATGATGCTGGGAAATGTTAAAGCTGGTACTTTAAAAAAATTTTAATTTTTATGGTACATAGTAGGTGTATATATTTATGGGGTACATGAGATGTTTTAATACAGGCATGCAATGTGAAATAAGCACATTTTGGAAAATGGGGTTTCTATCCCCTCAAACATTTATTTTTTGAGTTACAAACAATCCAATTATTCTCTTTAAGGTATTTTAAAATACTTAATTGAATTATTATTGACTATAGTTACCTTGTTGTGCTGTCCAATAGTAGGTCTTATTCATTCTTTTAAAATATTCTTATTTTGTATCCATTAACCACCCCACCTCCCCCGCCACCCTCCCACTACCCATCTCTGCCTCTGGTAACCATCCTTCTATTCTCTATGTCCATGAGTTCAATTGTTTTGATTTTTAGATCCCACAGATAAGTGAGAACATACGATGTTTGTCTTTCTGTGCCTGGCTTATTTCACTTAGAATAATGATCTCCAGTTCCATCCATGTTGTTGCAAATGACTGGATCTCATTCTTTTTTAAGGCCGAATAGTACTCCATTTGTGTGTATGTACCACATCTTCTTTATCCATTGATCTGTTGATGCACATGCATGCAAATCTTTTTTTTTGCAAATCTTAATTAGTGTAAATAGTGCTGCAACAAACATAGGAGTGCATAGATCTCTTTGATATACTGATTTCCTCTCTTTTCGGTATATACCCAGGAGTGGGATTGCTGGATCATATGGTAGCTCAATTTTTAGTTTTTTGAGGAACCTCTAAACTGTTCTCCATAGTGGCTGTAGTAATTTACATTACCACCAACAGCATACAAGGATTCCCTCTTCCCTTTTCTCTACATCCTTGCCAGCATTTGTTGTTGAAAGCTGGCACATTCTTGTTACTGAGAACCAAGAATGGATACCTGGGAAAAATATATCAAGTAGTATTCCTAATTGTTCAATGGCCAGTTTTTCTTGTCTGATTATTTCTTCAGCTAATAAGAAGTACCATCTGGCTGCTGTGGACAGAAGGATGGGATGTGCTATAGTAGAAAATAAAATATTGTGTAGATTACAACTTCTTCAAAGGAAAACCTGTCAGGGAATATTAAAGAAATGCTTCTATTTGGATATCTCTTGAAGAAATATTAGAACTACATTGAAAGACTGTTGTTATTCAAATTGCTACTTTCTGCTACTAGTCTTCAGATGACAGTGCAAAATTGAACAAAGGAGTTTAAAATCATAGCCTTGATCCGAGCCAAGGGGTAGCTACCACAAAGAGAAGCCCTATAAAGAGAACAAGTTTTAAGCCACAAATAGTTTCTTCTTCTCCAGACTTTCCTTGAGATGCCTTCTGAATACAAGAACTTCCAGAGTAGCGTGTCCAAATAATTGGAAACTTATACTCATTTTTACTCTAATTCTATAATTGACATAATTAAGGACTTCTTTTCATAAAACATAGACGCAGAAGAACCCAACTCAAATTTGCCACCTTCGCAGTGAAGAGGGCCAGCAAGTTGTGGGGAAGTTTCATGGAAGTGAAAGGAAATTCAAAGAGTACATGAGCGATGTCTTACTAACTTCTTTATGTATGACCAGAGGAAGACAGGGAAAGGGGGATATTTTACTTTGAAAATGGATCTACTATTCTTTCTGAACACAGAAGAAACAATCAAGAGAATGGAACACAATTCAGCATGAATCCGGAGTAGAACTCATGTGGCTATCAGGGAGATTATAGAAGTGTAGCACTTAATATTTAAAAATATGAAGGTCATGGGAAATGCCGACTAATGGTGAGTAGCTTGCTTGCAGACGAGGGGTGGCTTCTTGTAGCTATGGTTGACAATTACGTCTGTTTGTTAAGATTTAATGGGGGAGATACAGGTTTCCCTGAACTCTGGGTGGAGAGGAAGCCCAGTGTATGAACTGAACATGCGTTTCTGTTGTTTTCATGTGTAACATTTCGTTCATGGCTTGGGCAGCCGTAATCTGCATTAACTATGATATCTGGAAGAGAGTTGAGTATATGACTGTGCTGTGATGTGTTCATTAACTGAAGTACTTATGACAGTTCTAGGTTCTTTTGCTTTTGGATATGAGTGTAATTTGATTTTATCTATAAATACATGGAGCAAATGTTAGTGCATAAGCCATTGGAATAGATATGGCATGGATAAGACACATTATAGATGCCGATCTGCAGGTGGTAAAGGACTGCCAGAATCTGACCTAGAAGCACTTCTTCCAAAATCCTAATTCCAGACTCAAGGAATGTCGAAGGCTCCGAGGAAGACAAGAATGAGGGAGAGTCAGAGGTTTTCAAGAGTTCAGCCTCCACTAAATATCCCCAAGACCCAAATCAATGGTGTTACCCACCCACACATGTACTGAGGTAGTTACAGGCACAACTTTCAACACCAGGAACTGGATATGTTTTAGTTGTAGTCAATAGCCCTTCAAAAGTGGCTGGATGTTGGGTGGAGAGATACAGGCAATGGCATGCTGAAGCTGGCTCATTCCAATTTGTGAGAACCAATTGTTACATTTTCAGGAGTTTTGCAAGCCAATTATTAAACCATGAGTAGCTTGGTATAGGCCATGCCACCCCTCTTCCCCTGGCAGCCAGTTGTTAAAGTTTATCAGCACACAATTGGATATGAAGCCTCTGGTACAAACAAAGATAAACTAGAATTAGAGCTCTTCTTGGTGCTGACACTATACCCCAGTTTTTCTCCAGTCATCTGTTTTCTTAATCCTGTTCATACCTTAGAATGACGTAGCTTCCAGAGTACCTCGTGAGCTATGATCTTTATCTGCATCTACTATGCCTATGGCCTTAGTTTTTCAGTATTGTTAACCAGCTTTTACTTTTCCCTTGGTGGTCTTATTCTGCTGGAGCCCTTACCTAGACCTTAGCTTACCTGCCTTTAGTCTTGGCTTAGATCCCTGCAGAGCCAACCTCGTGGTGTCTCAGAGAGCTAAAGAATCTGTTCAGTGTCTGCATATATATATATATGCATACATGTATATAAAATATGCCTCATTGTACCAGACTGCTGGTGCTCTGTCCATATCCTTTAACACTTACTATTTTACTATATGCCAAGAGCATCTACTGCAGACACCTGTAGCTCTCTCCTTGAGGCCTCTTCTTCAGGTCACAGATGGGGCAGGCTGTAGGTGCTGGCAAGTTAATGAGGAGTTAATAATGGTGAGTTAATAAGGAACCTTTATCCAATATTTGATGGAAGTGGAAGTTAAATACCCCAGATTACCCAGATAGAACTCTGAAGTATGTTCCATAACCATCTCCCAGAAGTCTCCAATGGGATTGGGCTCCAGCTGCCCATAGAGGTAACCTGTTCATTAATATATCCCCTGTTGTCTTCTCCCCAGTCCCTGTATCACTTTGCCTCTCCCCTGCTGGTATTCCTGGGATTACCTCCTAAACAAACCACTTACATGCACATATTGTCTCCTAGTCTGATTCTGGGGGAGACCCATTCTGAGACACTCATCTCCCTCATCATTATGTCAATAACAGATTGTAAGACATGTATGAACCAAATTCTGAAAAATGCTTGAGTTATAACACCTGAATTAGAAGATTCTAGGCTGGCACATCACACACTAGTAAATGTTCAACTCGGCATCTGCTTTATTTTTAATGCTGTGTGATGGCCAAACGTTTTGCAGTAGTGTTTGTTGTGTTTTCCCTTTGCCATGATCCAAGTAATGCAATAGGGGTACATACGTAGTTGTTTTTAGTTGTGTGCTTAATTTTAAAATCTGTATAAATATGAAATGACAGAGGTGTCTGTTTATTAAACACTGCAAGATTGTAGGATATTACACAGTATGTGACAGTATTTCAGCTTGTAATTGTGTCCTTTAGCTGTTGATACGTAATTCTATAACTTTTAGGAAAGAGTTAATCTGGAAGCCGCATCAGCCACCCTTTAGCGGAACCCAGGAATCCTTACAATCGCAAAAGTTTGGGAAACATTTGAGCCATACTAGCTGAAGTCTATGGATTGTTTTTTGAGTATTCTGAAACAGTAAAAGAATAAGGGAGGAGGGAGAACACTTTTAGAGAGAGAAAAAACATTCAAATTAATACAATGATAAAAATATTTTCACTTGCTAAGATTTCCAATTTCTTTAGTAATGGAAAGGAAATGCCCAGACCCTAGAAGGATTGAAAGTAAAGTCCTACTGTGAATTTGTATTTAATGACATTGCTGAATTTCCAGATTTTCTTTTCACACCTACAAAAGAAATGCTGGGATACAAATCTCACAACTATAGTTATTTCAAGTTTAAGCTTTGGACTCAGTGTGTATATATACAGAAATTATTTAGTAGTACTAGATCATTCTAAAATTTACCTTTTAGCCATGGAACATCAATTGCCAAGGTCTGTTAAACATATTTAGTACTACTTCCTGGTTTTGGGGTTTTTTTTTTGGTCATTCTATAATTCTTCTATAATGCAAGGTCAAGCGAAAAATTAAGTGGGCCCCTTTTTCTAACAACCATACATTTTTTAATTCATATAAATGCAGACAAATATGACAGCCTGGGATCCTTTACTTGATGGCTTCTAGGACTCTATTCTTACAGATTCAACATCTGTATTCCTGTTCAAGCTATAGTGATGGGTACTTATTATACATTCTTTTGGGGGTCTCTCCCAATGGATGTTTTTGAACTTGGCTTAGGTACTGTGACTCAAGGTTTTTTGTTTCTGTTTTTGTGTTTATTTTCTGTGAGTCAGTGATGCTCTCTGCAGAAATGAAGATTTTCATGTAGATGATGAAATGTCATCTCAGTGTAACACCTCGGGGGAGATAGCACTTGCCTCCAAGAGGGCAGGGTCTGGCATCTTGAGCCATGCCTTAGTATAAGAAATGTTAGTTTTCTCACCTCTCACTCTTTACTGTTAATTATTTTTTATTCTAAGAAATGACTCTTCCATTTTATAAAGTAAAATCATTGCTCCCCATGGTGGTTTTGAATAGACTTTAGCCCTTCGTCAATTTTCTAATTCTAAAAATATTTAAATTTTATAAAATATAACAATTGCTTCCCCCACCCTAGTTTTGAATATAGACTATCAACACCCTCATTCTTTCACAAGTCTGCCTATTCAAGTATGAGGCACAAATGAGAATATGCTATATTGAGGTTTTTTTTTTTTTAAATATCTCCTATGGGCTGTGTGTGGTGGCTCACACCTGTAATTCCAGAACTTTGGGAGGCTGAGGCAGGAGGATCATCTTGAGGCCAGGAACTTGAGGCTAGCCTGGGAAACATAGGGACACTCCCATCTCTACAAGAAATTAAAAAAGAAATTAGCCAGGCATGGGGGTGTGTGCCCATAGTCCTAGTCACTCAGGAGGCTGAGGCAAGATGATTGCTTAAGCCCAAGAGTTCGAGGCTACATGACTGCACCACTGCACCCCAGCCTGGGCAACAGAACGAAATTCTGTCTCTAAAATAAAATAAAATAAGCCACTTATGTTTAAGATCAAGCCCTATTGTCCTGTTGATCTATGCCAGCTGAAACATACAGCTTTTCATCCCATTTTAGATTCCAGCAAAAGCTAAATATTTTATGAGCTGCAACACTCACCAATTTTGCAAAGGGGATGGTAAAATAACCTAATTTAAGATCCAAAATCATCATCTACAGTCCATTTTAAAGTGAAAATTCTTTAAAAAGAAATCCTATTTTTATCTTTCCTCATAGAAAAAAAGGACAGAAATGGGAAGTAAAATATTTTCGCCTATCGAAAATTTTCCATGTATAGAAGTCATCCAGGTTGCCTGGTGACCTCATTGAAAGGAACAGTATTCATTCTTCTTCCACCCTTATGGGGAGGTTTTATCAGTACCCTTTTATAGGCAGCAACTTGAGCGTTGGCCTGTCTTCAAGGGAGATGTGGACTAAGATGGAATCATTTATTATAAAATGTCCCCAGAAATCTGGAATATGCACCTATCATTTTTCCATTAGGATAGAAACTTAACAAAGTATATGTTGAAAAATTAAAATAAATTCATTCACTTTCTCTTTTCCCTTAGCCTTTATTTTCCGGGCTATATAGGGAAATGTCAATGCTTCAGAGTAAAGCAAAGTGGGCAAAAATCCAAGGGATTAAATTTAGTTTCAGTGGCTGTCTGCTCACCATAAAATATTTCCAAGTTAGCTAAATTAATTGAATATGCAGTTACGAAATGGAATGCCCCAAGGAATTGGTAGCAAAGGCCTGGTGTGATATATTTACTTTTCTAACCCGATTTTTTCATCTGCATTACAGGTTTGGCTTCTAAAAAAGGAAGTCAGCCTGGATTGCTGACCCTTCTTCCATTTGTTGGAGAGTTACCTCTGATGAGAGAATGTTCACGGAGAAATTATCCTGTGTATGTTTACACACACACACACACACACACACACACACACACACACACTCTAGACATTCACCCGCCAGCGTGTGTGTGTGTGTGTGTGTGTGTGTGTGTGTGTGTGTGTGTGTGTGTGTTAGAGAGAGAGAGAGAGATCTGATTTCAGTTTCCATGGAAATGGGCTAAATAAGGACTTTAGCAGACAGGAGTGAGTGCTACTTCTCCTTTAGCTGTTCCCAGCTGCTGGGTTCCAGCTCAGCACTATTGAAACAAAATCTGAAATAATCCCAGTTCTTTACATTATGATATTGTAATTTGGTACCTGTAACATATAATTTTAGATTCAAACTTTCTTTTGTGACAGTGATAATCACTCATCCATTTATTTAGTCCTGTGAAATGAACTAAAAAAGAACACTAACCTAGCAACTCCCGACAATTGTTTTGACACCCCATGTATATATACTGCTTTGTTACTTTCCTCCTAGGTTTCTCCCCTTTCTCTCCATACAGGTGATGACCTATAACTAATACACCCAACATTTCCTCTTCCCAACCCTAAATACCCAGGGAAAACCAGAATTCTACAGAAAGAAGAGGCCAAGCTTATATTTTTTATTAGGCTTCTGCTGACTTCTTGTAAGCCCAGGCATGCAGGCATATAGGGTGCTTCCCACTACAATTTTATTTCCCCATTTGTGATTATATATTAAACTAAGGCCAGGAACTGGTTTTTCTTTTCTTACTTCAGAGACAGAGGTGTACCATTGTGACTGTTAAGCCAAAGAAGGCACCATATACAAGGTTTTATAAAAAGACATCTGCTGCTAAAGAAATACACAAGCAAGCAAACACAAAAAAAACCCCAAACCTCTGCCTGTAGGATATTGAGTCATATACACTTTTTTTTTGATTGCTAATCTGGTATAAACAAAACAAAACATAAACAACACTGAAGAACCCATACTAATTACTCTTAAAGAGAAATGAAATACCTGGACATAAAAAAGAAAGAAAAGGCCAGGCGCGGTGGCTCATACCTGTAATCCCAGCACTTTGGGAGACCGAGGCGGGTGAATCACTTGAGGTCAGGAGTTCAAAACCAGCCTGGTCAACATGGTGAAACCCCGTCTCTACTAACAATACAAAATTAGCTGGGCGTGGTGCACATCTGTAAATCCAGCTGCTTGGGAGGCTGAGGCAGGAGAATCGCTTGAACCCAGGAGACAGAGGTTGCAGTGAGCCAAGATCACGCCATTGCACCCCAGCCTGGGTGACAGAGTGAGACTCTGTCCCCCCCCCCCAAAAAAATCAAACTGGAGATATTCCCCTGGCCCACCGACATTTGACTCTTTGTTGTGTGCTTAGTAGAGGATTAGAAATAAACCCGAAAAAGTGAAAGCAAAAAGAGAAATATGTGAGATGATAGATATGTTAATTAGCTTGATTTAATCATTCCACAATGCATACATATATCAAAACATCACATTGTATCCCATAAATATATACAATTTTTATGTCAATTAAAAATAAATGAATAAAAAAGAAAAGGTGAAAGCAATACATTTGAAATCTCCTTTACATTCGAAATTTGATATCAGTATTGAAAACAGGATGCTTCATTGGAAGATGGGATTTTAATATGAAAAGATAGTCAACTAAGGACTCCATGTATTTGGCATGAGCCATTTCCCAGGTGACTTGGGGGCTTCTACATTGTATAAACTCGATGTGCAAGCATGAAAGATCGCCCTCTGGTGAAAGCTGGTCAGATGGAGAGGAACGGTGGAATTGCCAATCATCAGTGGGATGGTTTTCCCTGCTGATTTTGTTTCTGTGTAGGTGTGGGATGATTTAAATGCATATTTTAGGCATTAGAGAAACTCAAGTAGTACAAAATACCGGATTTTTTTTTTCCTGAAAGAGTTGGCCGTTTTTTATTACCTTGATTTTTTAAACTATCTTTAAAAGGGAAAAATACTGTACATATTTGCCTCAAATGTAACAAGTTTAGTCATATTTTTATAGATATTAAGAAATGCAGGGGTCTGGGGTGGCATACACAGCCTCTTCAGATAAAACATTTCTGTTTATATCCACGAACCATTCCCCTGTAGATACTGCAAATAAGCAGTAGAAACATCTAGGCTTGTTAATGTTCAGAAGGGCCTTGCTATGATGATGTAGAGGGTACCAAAAAAGATCTGTGTGTCTCTTGACTTTCGGTAAAAATTAGAGTTTATTAATGCCCCTTGCTGCAAAGTATTACAGCTCTTTGTGGGAAATTGTTCTGGGTACATTTTTGATTAAATTCCACCCTGAGCACGTTCTGCCTTTCCTGGAGAAAAGTGATGTGACTCACATTTTTTAAAGCTTTAGGTTTGACTATTATTTTTTTCTAGTAGGGTTTTATGCTTATCTGTCTCAAAACTGACCAAGCTGAACTCATTATGTGCTCTAGCATTTGGATACTTTTTCCTAGTTTGAAAATAGTTTATTATGACCAGAATCACCCACTTGCCTAAGTGTGAAGAAACCCAACTAAAATACTGGGAAACACAACATTAACTATGGGGTCTTTTTGGAGGAACAGATGATAAGGTTTCTGAATACTGAATTAGTGGTTACTTTGACAAGCTGTGGTCTTACGATCTATTGCCATGGAAGCAACTTAAAAATGTATTGTGATTTAGCCCAAAACTTTACAATGTAATATGCAATTTCAGGAACTTCTTTCACTAGCAATGACAATAAGAGAGGGGCCATGTTTAAATGTTTAAACTATTTTATGTCTAGGGTGAGGATCTTTTCCAACATTACTAAATATTCAACATAGCTTCTCTTCTTTTTTGTTTTCTCACCTACTACAATTGGACTGTTAAAGCAACATTGAACAGTTATCACTATTTTGTCATTAATAATTATTGGCAGAGATTATCTTTGCTGTTAAAAATACTAAGAGCATTGGCTATGTAGACATATTTTTTACAACTTTGAAACCTTTGTACATTTAGAGGAATGAGAGAAGTTTGATCAAGAAATTACTAAAACCAAGCTGAAATTTCTTTTGTTTGGGCCTAGCATTCAATAATTCAATAATTTTGCTCAAGGGTTCTAAGCTGGATTGTAAACCACAACAAATAGTGGGTGGTTGTATTATGGGATCATAAACAATAGGAAGAGAACTTGAGTGTATTCAAAGCTGCTGAAGAGGAAT
This sequence comes from Homo sapiens, assembly GCF_000001405.40. NCBI lineage: Eukaryota > Metazoa > Chordata > Mammalia > Primates > Hominidae > Homo > Homo sapiens. The sequence continues at coordinate 23,402,587 of NC_000023.11, read as the reverse complement.
TATAGGTCAATAATTCAAAAGAGAATATGGGGTCTCTTTATTCAGAAAAACATAGATTCAGGCTCTGTATCTTTATCTTATAGACAATCCAGAACAATTTACATTATCCTCAGCTCATATTCAGTCATTCCTCACATATTTGATTGTTTTCAGCTTCCCAGTAATTACTTTTTCCCTGTTATACTCTATGCCAAGGTTTTTTGGGGGAACTGCACTAGGGTTCCTCTTAATGTCCCCTCCCATCCACTCTGTGTGTGTGTGTGTGAGAGAGAGAGAGAGAGACAGAGAGTTTGGTATAAGCTTCTAAGCTTCTAGTCTTGGATAGTTCTTCTGTTGCTTGTGTGACTGTTCTTCTAAATGGATGTTGCCTATCACCAGGCCTCCATGCATGGCACTTCCTTTCCTTGAGGTTGATGAAATGCACCGGTTTTCCCGTCAAACTGATGCTAGGGATCAATGGAAACTGCCCACTTCTTCCTAAGACGAGGAGTTGGCAATTTGGAGGGATCACCCCATATATTCTTCCTCACCACTTCTTTCCCCCTTCTCTGGATCACCAAGCAAATATTCTAAATAAATTTCCACAATTCCATACCTTGGAAGAGATCTCTGTCGTTTTGGGTCTATGCTATTCTTCTTGCTTATGACTTGGAAAATTCCAACAAATGCAATTTTCCCACTGTGAAACTGTTAGCAATTTTTAAATTGCAAGGCACATTCACTTTTCCAGGTTTCTTTTCTTTAAAGCTTACTATTTGGCTGCTCTTAGCTGTGCTCGTGCATAAGAAACATATAGAAGGGGAAGATAACATTTTTTCAATGGTATCCTGCAGACATCCGAAGCCTTTGGCCTGCCAAACCTTACAGAACTATAGGGCTGGGCCTGCCAAGGCATTTTAATGTGCCTCAAATGTGTCAGGCATATTGTAAAAGGTGGTGTGCATGTGTATGTGTGCATGCACATCTGTGATATGTGTGTATGTAAGCATGTGCATATGTACAGGTATATGTTTCTATGTTTTATAGTTGTGTTGTACACACATATATGCATGTGTACATTTATGTGTGTCAATGTGTATGTGTGTGTGTGAAGCAGAGCCAACGGGTCATTACCAGTTTGCCCAGTCACCCACAGTCCTGGGAGGCATCGTGGCAACTGCCTTGGTGATTCTGGATCAGTGCGTAAAGGCAATTTTGACAGGATGGTAATTTAAAGAATAAATATCTGAAAGGCTGAGCTAAACATGTTCAAGATTCATCCTAGAAAATTAAGGAAATTGTTTTGTCAAAGAGAACGTTATTAGTTTTCCTGAGCATGAGCCTGGAATGAGTAATGGAAATGGGCTGGGTCTTTGCCATTTTGCAGGAATTAGACAAAGCACTTTGTTGATCCTAATGAACAAAGCCCTTGCCGGGCACGGTGGCTCACGCCTGTAATCCCAGCACTTTGGGAGGCCGAGGCGGGTGGATCACGAGGTTAGGAGATCGAGACTATCATGGGTAACACGGTGAAACCCCATCTCTACTAAACACACACACACACACACACACACACACACACACAATTAGCCGGGCGCGGTGGCGGGCACCTGTAGTCCCAGCTACTCAGGAGGCTGAGGCAGGAGAATGTCGTGAACCTGGGAGGTGGAGCTTGCAGTGAGCTGAGATGGCGCCACTGCACTCCAGCCTGGGTGACAGAGTGAGACTCCATCTCAAAAAAAAACAAACAAACAAACAAAAAAGACAAACCCCTCAAACTTTACATCAGATGCTACAAAGTTGAGCTAATATTCCTCCATCTCAATAGAAGGCTTTCCTTATCATGGCTGGGCAGAAGATGATGGAAGGGCCACTGATCAGCCATTGGTGTGTCCTTTGTGCTTCATGCAAGGCCAAGCAGTGATTCACCCAGCCCTTCCCATAGGCCAACCGAGGCGGCTTCCGTTGTGCCTGAAGTTATATCAGCAGCAGCAGAGCCAACAAGTACAGTATAGTCATTTATTTTCCAACTTCCCCCAGCAACCTCTATTTTATCTAGCTTCTGACTTGGAGTCAAGAGAACTGGGCTTCTGCATATTTGTGTATAAAACACACTTGTCCTTTATTTTTTTGAGACGAAGTCTCACTCTGTTGCCAGTCTGGAGGGCAGTGGTGAAATCTCGGCTCACTGCAACTTCTACCTCCCGGGTTCAAGGGATTCTCCTGCCTCCTGAGTAGCTGGGACTACAGGCACGTGCCACCACGCCCAGCTAATTTTTTTGTATTTTTTAGTAGAGGCGGGGTTTCACCATGCTGGCCAGGATGGTCTCAATCTCTTAACCTCGTGATCTGCCCGCCTCCGCCTCCCAAAGTGCTGGGATTACAGGCTTGAGCCACTGTGCCCGGCCACACCTGTCCTTAAATGCACCCATCTGTCCATGGCCACGGTTGCTTCTTTGCCCACTAAAAATATTAACGAGATGAATGAGACTTATTCTCTCCATACTTGTTTTGAGAGTAGGGTACTGCACGTGTGTGAAAGCATGCCTGGTGTAGACATCTCAGAGTAGGGCTCATTTGGGAGCAGGCCTTCTAAGGATGTGGTATGCAGTTGTAAACAGCATATCACTGTATATAACCTGGAAATAGGCTGCTCTTCCTGGTTCTTTGACAGGGCACACTTCTATATGTTGGCTTTGTTGGCTGCTGCCTTTATGTGTGTATGTGTGTGTGGGATGGTTACTGAAAATTTGAGGCTATATATAATTTGTTGCAACAGTGAGAATGTGGTAGCAACCTGGTGTTCCTCTTGCCAACAAGAGCACAGTACAGAGGGCTCCTTTCCTGGTCCTGCTGTGGAGGGCATATTTAGCTGCTGCTAGAACATGAATTGGCACTGAAAATACATTTGCAGAATAAAGAAATGAATGAATGAAAGAATGAATGAAGAATAAATGAATAGAAGTAGGCACTTGGCTTGGGATGAAGAAACCAATATTTTGAAGCATTTTTGGATCCTTAGAGAAAAGATAGTTCAAAAGTTCTTGATTGCTCATTAGCCAAAATGAGGACACCAGGATCACACTCCCAATGAGGTCTGTATTAATTTAGGACAGTGGTTCTTCACCCTTTTTCGGTCATAGACCTCTTTTGGAATCTGAGCCCTCAGTTTAGGAAAATGCACATGTTGAACATATACACACATTTTTGCATGTAACTTAATTGTAGGAAACTCAGAGACCCCTCCCATGAACTCATTTGGCCCCCAGGTTAAGACCCCAATAATTTAGATGAATAGAATTTGGCAGTAAAGTGGCAAAATGGAGAAAGAATTGAGGCTAAAAACTAGATTTCAATTATAGTCTCCTGTTTCTAATTAGCTCTGTGAATATAATTTCATTACTCGAGGGTTCAGTTTTCTCATGTGAAAAACAAAGGGGTAGGCTTAATTCTAACCAAAGATTCATCTGGTGTCAGCATTCTGGAAGGAGAAGCTGCTGGCACATTCCACAAGAACATCACTTCTTCCACCAAGCTTTCTCTGCTGGTTTTCTCCTTGGTACACATCGCTTTTTTTTGTACTTTGAAAAGAAGGCTTTTTTCCTCACCAGGTAGGCTCCTAATCAGGTGGTACTAATTTTAATCTAACTCAAAAATCTGCACAGAGGCCATAGCTCTCCGGTCGCCTCCCTTCTTCTTCCTTCCACGGTGCTCTCATAGATATCAAAGAGGACTTCAAACAAATCAGCTGGGCAGCAGCGGGGCGGGTGAGAGGCAAGCTGGGGGGGACATCCTGGCACTGCCTATTCAGGTGAACGGATTATAGCTCATCCACTTTCCTCTTTGCTTTCTCCTGGACTGGCATGAAACAGAAATAACAGTTGTAACCACCACAGGGAGGAACTCTGCAGTGTGTTGGCTGCAGCCATTCTTAGTTCTTTGCCAGCGAATCCACTAACTTAATATTTTTCTTTGTATTGCAGATTTACTATTCTTTTAAAAAACGGGAACTTTATGTCTCTAAATACCTGGTGCTTTTTACACAAAATTAAAAGCAAATTACCTCAAGGGAATGTTTACATTCCCTCAGACAAGCCAGCCACAGTTATTCAGTAATCAGTGGTGTCCCTTCCCCATCCCCAAAAGCAAGTGCCTGTATCTGTTTTTTTCAAAGATCATAGTATGATGCCAACATCCAGGACTTGCAGCCCCTTTACAGTGGCCCCACTATGTGGTGATCAGCTTCATTTTGATGTCCTAAAATGACTGGTAATTAACTACCTTCTGTGGCAACTCATTGTATTTGTAGCCCTAATTCTCAGGCTCAAATCTACTTCTCAGTAGCTTTACATCCCGAGCCCTAATGCTACTGTGCGAGATTGCTGAATTACAAATAATGTCTTGAGTCTCTTTTCTTTGCCAGGCCTTTCCAAGAGTGCTTTCCAAATGTCATCTCTCATCTCATTCAATCCCCACAATATACCTGCAATGTCACTCAAAGGTAGACTCTACAAGAGCAGATTTTAAAAAATCTGATTTGTTGACTGTTGTGTCCCCAGCCTCTCGAACAGTATCTGGGCGATATTTGGCACTCGATAAGTATTTGCTGAATTTAAAGACATTTACTGATATTATCCCCATTTTACAGATGAGAAAACAGAGTCACAGAGGTCAAACACTACTATAAGCTACAGGGGTACTTTAATAGGATCCAAAAGAATAAAGCCATTATGAGGAAGATAACATTTGTGTCCAAGAGGTTCTGCCTCTTGCCACACCCCCAAGACAGCTGCCCATTCCACCTTTTCTTGTGATGGACACAGCTGAGCTCTGTCATTGACACTGGAGAAAAGTGGTATCATGGTCCCATAATGCCACTTACGATTGGGTGATGGTTAGTTAGAATTAAAGGGTCAAGGGTTACCAAGGTCCTCATTTGGAGCGGTATATTGCATACATAAGCGTGGCCATGGAGGATGGCATCTGATTATCACACTTCTGACTGAAAACTGAGGGAGTAAAAGGCAGAAGGTAGGAAAGGCAGAAGCAAACACAAGCAAACACAAACCACAAACCAAATTAAAGCAAAACAAACATCAAAGAAACTAAAAACTCCAAAACCCAAAACAAAGTAAAACTTATGAGCTGGAACAATGGAGAAACATTTCACGAGGGTTTGTCTTCCTTTTTCTCTGAAACAAACTGTACTTCTTTTAACCTGAGGAGCCCTGATGCTGCTTGTTGAAATGTTGCTGTAGGCTAAACAATAATGCCCTATTTCAAGTATCATTTTCTTTCTTGCGAACACCACATTCCCTGTGAATTGACATCTTCTTCTTCCACTAAATGAGAGAATATCACCCTTACCTTGACTTTTAAAAATTTTCCTTATGAATGGCCAAAAAAGTCCCAGTATCACAGTTTTTTAGTTGACCAGGAGCAATATTTTTGATGAATCGAATATTTTCTTTGGTAAACAAACAACAAACACCAACTAAAAACCAACCAAGTAAGTTTCTTTGGTAAAGTGGACGTTAATGTCTTGGTTGGAATTAATTGAAAGAAAAAAAACACAGCTTCTTCAAGTGTTTGCAGGGATCAATTTTTCCGTCTTTATAGCAATTCAAAAAGTAAAACTTGATGAAGTAAAGACTTAGATTTTATGGGGATGTGATTCTGAGTTACTTCTAAAGTGTCTTCTCCATAGCGGGGCTAAACCAATGCAGCAGAGCAATAATCAATAATCAGTATTAACAAATAAATAATAATTATCTAACAATAAATAATAAATCTTGGCATGCATAATCTCCCAATAGAAAAATTCATTTCACAGTCAGAATTCCATAAGCCTTCATTTCAAGTGCTGAAAAGAGAAGTTGACAAGTTTGAAAATGCCCTTCATTAAAAAATACAATATCCCAGGGTATACAGAGACTCAATCAAGTTGGAAAACTATTATCTGTCATAAAACAGAGTTCCACAGGAAGTCATTCTGGTTGACCAAATTGAATGATTAAATTCTCAACAAAATCCATTTAATTGGTGTGTGTGTTGTGTCAGGTTTTGTGGAGCTGCTTTAAGCCGAGGTGCTCCACGTGGCTGACACTAAATCAATGACTGATTTAGAACACACTGTTCAGAAAATGATTTAGCAACACATGATTTAACAGTAAAACCAATCCCCTCTTCAGTTGTGTTTTATGAATAATAGCCTAGTTGCGGGCCCCTTGGAGAGAGAATTGATCGAAGATCTATTATGCAAACTTGCCCTTTTGTCAGGACTGTACTTGCCCTCAGATTAAAGCTTATTATCTTCTAGTTGAGTGTATAACACGTTGGTATGATCACTTAGTGTGTCTGCAGAGAAGACTGAACGACTGTGTAATGCATTAGCTACAATCCCCTGCACATGTATTTAGAACTGTATGGACAACAGTACGTGAAATAGAAAGCACAGGTTTGCACTTGGTGTGGTTACATCTGAATTATTTGGCCTTTTGGAAAGACAATGGCAAACCTAAACCTCAAACATTTTAATTCCAGACACTAAAAAAATGTCTGCCCTGTGGCCAACGAAGTCCTATGTTCCTACTTTGGAAATGCATTTTGAGAGGAGTAATAGCCATCTTATGAGAATACTGAAAATTGGACTGCCCTGTCTTAGGTATGCTGAAATGATGAAAACCCTTTAGTGGTGTGACCTGAGTGAGTCACTTTATTCTCCTAGGTCTCAGTTTCCTCCTCTGCAGAAGATAGGTAAGCTGCACAGTATGTCTGCTAAGGTTCAGAAAGGTAAGATGCTTTTGGGAAATGCTTACCACTACAGATGTCTAAGGAAGCTACATCTCTAAAAGGGAAAAATACTGTAGATATTTGCTTCAAATGTAACCAGGTTTTAGCTTCATTTTTATAAATTTAAAGAAATGCAGGGGCCTGGGCAACGTATACAGCCTTTTTAGATCTAAACCATTTCTGTTTAGATCTATGAACCATTCTTCTGTAGATACTGGAAGTCAAGAGTATAAATATCTAGGCTTGTTAATTTACAGAAGGGCCTTGCTATGATGACGCAGAAGGACATCAAAAAAGGTGTGGGGGGGACCAGCAAGGTGAGGTGCAGCCACTTTAGCAAGAGAATTGGACTGCCATCATTGATAGATTTGTATCAGTGAATACTTTTTCCAGTGTTTTCCATCTATCTCCCTTTTGGCCCTTTATCTCCCTGCACTTTTACAAAGCTTCTCAGCGTCAGGACTTAGACTTACCAAAGATCTTCTTCCCCTCTCTGTCTCTGAGCAGGTGTGTTTCACAGCAAAGGCAGACTGGCACTACAAGTTGGAAGCAACAGCAAATAACTATTTCAGTGTTCATTTTTTTTCCCCGCAGTTTTGTGTGGGCAGATGTTTCTGGATATCCATGCAAAAAATGCATGTAGGGCCAATGCAAACAGCTGTACCAGCTGGCTATTTTGTTGTTGTTGTTAAAATGGAGACACTATATCTGGGTCCAAGTAGACACCTGCTTTTGCTCCATCATGCCAGGTATTTGGGTTTGGCCCTGTGGTTTTGGGTCCCTGGATCCTCCTGCCAAGAGCTGTAACTAATAAAGCAGACCCATTTGGTGACAAGTGACAAGCTATTCCAAAGTAGAATCACACCAATTCTGCAGTGCTGGAGCTGTCATTGGTTTTAAGGTGTTTTAAGCAAACCAAACTATACAAATGTTAAAGGCATACCAATGGCGGAATATGATAATTTCATTCTAGACAACGAAACTGCTTCACCTGGGTAAATTTAGCGGTGAATCAATTTTAGTCCATGAGTGATGGCCACTCTACCACATATCAGTTTCCAAGGCTCTGGCTTGCTTTTGCTGGTCAGAACTTTCACAAGTATCTCCTTCAGTGTTAGGGAGCTAGGTGAGACAGCTAAAACCTCAAACCACAGACCATGACTGGAGCTACTGCTCTACAGAAGTTCTGGAAGCCTTATTGTTTGAACAATGCTTAAAGGTGTTTCTGCCTTGGCAGTTGACCTTTCAATCAGTGGGTTTTGTCACAATGCCAGCAACATCTGCAGTTTGGATAAGGCAGGATCCTGCTTGTTAATAAGCTTTCTTCTACTTGATCTTAGTTTAAGAGACTATAGGTCTCCCAGGGTGTGTGTGTGTGTGTGTGTGTGTGTGTGTGTGTGTGTGTGTCTATGTGTGTGTGAATTCTCATAACAACTCCTTTGTTTTAAAGACTGAAAATATGCCAGGCCCATTTCTCCCCACTGTCCTTTCCTTTTTTTTTTTTTTTTTTTTTTGGCAATGCCTGTTTCCTATCTTTAAAAAAGGGAAGAACTTTGAATTTAATTGTTTCATTAACATAATCTCTTTGGTCTTGATAAGACCTAAGGTGAAAATATGCCAAGCAGACATTATCACACTGTTGTAATTTGGTCAACCACACGGGTACTATCGATATCTACCATTTCTACACACTCAATTTCCTCCCGGTTCTCAGGATTTTTCTTCTCTTTCCTTTTTTTCTTAGAGGGTGGCAGGAAAGTCAGTATCACAGGTAAAATGGCAAAGCAGTGAAAGAAGGTGACAAATGCTATTAAAAACAAGCACCTGAACAGTGTACAGGTCAGATTTGAAGGCACAGCTGCAAGAGGAATCAGACCAACAATATAGCAGAGGTAACTCTGTAAAATAGCTACCCCATGCACTTCCAGGGCATTTTTTACCCATTTAGTTCTTGTGAAATCCTTGCCCAGAACAAATGTGGATAACATTGGAGCACAATTGTCAATTGTGTAATTAATTCCATAAATTAAGCATAGCACAGAAATGCAGTCCAGTTCTACTTTCCATAATGTCATGAAACCTATCACTCCAAACTCCACGGACACAACTGTGAGAGTGATCCAGACGTTAATCAGTGAATCTGCCACCAGGAATGCCGAGAAGAAGAGCAGGAACAAAGCACTGATGCAGGAGTTGTGCAGGGGGGCTCCCAGAGAGGAGGCATATCGATCCATGTATACAAAGGACGGATTGAAGACGATGAACTTCACCTTGGAGGTGACAGAAAGTCTCCTCAGGGTTTCCAAGAGATCATAGAGTTCTTCTCTGTTTGTTTCCATGGTCTTGGCCACCAAAAACATTCTGGAGGCCACTACATCGACCTCATCATTGTATTTTTTAGAGAAGATGATGTCCTCTTGAAAATGTGAAAATTGAGGGGCTTTCAGAAAGGAATTCCTCAACATGTCTGTGAAATTTTTCTTAGGCAAGCCAGTGGATACATTGAGTTTCCGAAGGTAATTTAAATAGCTCTCAAACCAGGATATCCGCACAAACCCCTTGGTGTATTCTAGAACATCTTCTTGGACACTAGTGTTCCAGTATTCTATAGACTCATATATGTAAAACCCAATCACAGGACTGTAGTTGCTGAAGTACTTTTGCTGGGCAGTAGTGTACTCAATGGTTTGTGTCGCGGTTGCTACAATGTTACTAAGGTCTGACCCTTCACTGACCTGCAGATAGCCCATTAAGGCAAAGGAAATATAAATAAGGTAAAAGAGAACTACAAAAGGCTTGACATAGGTGTTGGTTATCCAGTCACAGTAATAGCGTTTGAGGAAACATACCAATAGGTGACTCTCGTAAGTGTTCGCTTCCTCGCCTTCAGCTGTGTCCTCACTGAATCTGGCCGTCAGGAGAAACCTGTACCATGCCGGCTTCTCCTGCAATGCCTCAGGCTTTGGGACTTTTCTACAGAAGATACTATGCTGGTAATTGTTTTCTATGTAGCCAGTGAACACTAGGCTGGAACCATAAAACGAGAGTACATAGAGGTAGTTGAAGAAGATTGCAATACAGGAATTGCAGCAGAAAATCCTGGCTGCCTCAATGTTCGTGAAAGGGCTGGCCCCTATGCCAAAGGTGACCAGGTACATGGCAGTGGTGAGAGAAAAGGAGAGCATGGAGTCTGCATAGACTGCTGCAGTTCTCTCTTTAACATGTTGGTCTTCTCTAGTTTTCCTCCAGGAGGATAACATTTCAAAAGTCCCATATAATCCATGACCTAAGAGGGCAGAAAAAGACCAGAGCAGAAGTTTAAAGAACTAATCTCTTAAGAGGGAAATCAACTTGATTATGAGGGACTACTGGGTCAAAGGAAACGTAATCAACCCTAGTGGTGACGGGTATGTAAATGCCAATGATTTCTCCTATGCGGAGATAGACCCATGTTTTTATGAATCGTAAATGTTAATGGATAACGAAAGGGCAGCTAGAGAAGCAAAGATCTTCATATTCCCTCTGGCTTAAGAAAGTTCTCTTCTTTGGAGTGTTCCACCAAACAAACAGCACTTAGATGAACTTTTGCCTATAGAAAGCTGAGTAGAGCCAGTCATGGTGGCTCATGCCTGTAATCCTAGCAACTTGGGAGACTGAGGAAGGAAGATGACTTAAGACCAGGAGTTTGATACCAGCCTGGGCAATGTAGCGAGACCTCATCTCTCAAAAAAAAAAAAAAAAAGAAAGAAAGAAAGAAAAAAGAAAGAAAAAAAAAGAAAGAAAATGAAACAACTTAGCCAGGAATAGTGGCTCATATCTGTAGTCCCAGCTACTTGGGAGGCTAAGGCAGGTGGATCTCTTGAGCCTCGGAGTTGGAGGCTGCAGTGAGCCATGATTGTGCCACTGCACTCCAGCCTGGGCAACAGGGCAAGACCCTGACTCTAAAAAGAATAAAAGCTGATTAGACTTGTGCATATGTCTCTTGGGGATTTTTCCCATTAATAGCTTAGAGTTATTGGTGCAGTTTGGTTGGTGGAACGCTCCAGAGAAGAGAAGATGTCTGGACACTCATCATTTTGCTTTCCGTCCCCACAAGTCTGGCTAGGGGTCAGTGCAGAGGAAGATAGTGGGCAGAGGGTTCTGAGTTAATGTCCTGTCACCTCATTTAAAATTTGCCAACTAGAGGGTTTTAGTGATAAAGAGGCAGTGTATTTCATTTGAGTCTTGACAGGAAACTAAATCACAGCCCCCTCTGTTTTCCCTCCCCAAATATCAGGGCAGGAAGCAATAAATCTTAGAAAGAGGGAAGCAAAATAAGTAGGAGTGAAGAAGTTTCAGTGAAGAAAATACAGAAAAAATAAGATAAATATGAACTCTCCTGGTTATTGATAAAAATTAGGATTCAGGTTGAAGGTTTATGACTTGCAATTTGTCTTCAGGGATCTGTTTGACCAATTTGGTTATTCATACATGACTTATCAAGCAGTGATATAATACGTCAGCAGCGACTCTGCTAGCTTCTCCGCGCTATTTGATAGTGGCATCTGTGGGAAAGAGCCAGATCAGTAACCCCGCTGCGTAACTGCTTAGTGCCTTCGCCTCCTGGTTTAGTATTTCAGCAATACTGAAATAGCAGAGGTACAGTAAATGCTCATGTTCTAAACTCCATTCTGCTGCCTGGAACCTGATCTAGCATGACTTCTACCACCTCTCGTAGTTGGAGCCAGACATTTCCCTACTTCGAGTCCCTGTGTTTCCAGGCCACTGCAACATTGGAAGGCTCACCAAAGTGACCCGTTGTGGATTTCGATAACTCCTGTCTTGGCAATGGGGATCAGCAGATCTAATTTCCTGCTTCCATCGCCTTGGCATATTCAATCCCATTATTGAGGATAATAAAATCTTTACCCTGTGGTACAATAGTCTTGTATTTAAAAAGGAATTTAAAATCTCCAGCCAAGCATAATGCTGAATAAAGTGAGTCACTGTTATCTTGTGTGTACAATAGCTAGGTGTACATCTTCCCTCATGCCCAAGCTAGTATTTATATCCTTATTGTGAAGTCCTGGCCTCATACCTGAAATGCCCATTTCAAAGTAATGATTTAGGCCTGTTTCCTCAGAGGAATTTGGCATTTATCTTAATTGACTAGGCATCGTTTTACAGCCACTTTTAGAAGTCAGGTCAAGACTGTCAATTTGTTAACTAGCACCGAGGCCCCTATTAAATTGAAGGCACCTAAACTCCCCAGATATGAAGTAAAAAGTACACTCATTGACTGGCATCCTGTTGTTAATTATGCTTAGGTATTAACATCTAGTCTGGAGAGGGAACATGATTAAATCTGTTTCTAGTATATTTTCAAGATGGACCCACTGACCTTTAATTAAGTAACCATTCTCTTGACAATGAGGGTAAAAAGAGAATACTTCTGAGGCACTGTCCCTGAAGAAATAATATTGTTTTTTTTGTTTTTTTTTTTTTTTTCCTGGGGCCATGTAGAGCAAGTAAGCTTTGGTGGGCAAAGCACACTTCAGGGGATCACTATAAATGGCAAATAATTTTTTAATGATATTTACTTGCCAGAAACAAAAAATTTAAACAGGGTTTTAGTACTGAGTTATTAAATATGGCAAGAAAATAAAGCATATAGCGGAATTAGAATTAGTCATATAATAGAACTTAAATCTGTTTTGCAGTTCTTTTAAAAATCAGTGTGATGTTTTATAATGACATTATCTGACCCTGATTTTTGGAAAATACAATAAGAATCAATTTCATACCTTGCTGTTGAATAATCTTAGAAGCTAATTGAGAAAAGGAATTTGAATTAACAGAGATATTAGGTGACAAGACTGAGGCTCCAGGGTCAAGAATGAAAGTAATCAAAATCAAGGAAAGGTGGAAGTAGGCTGTTAGCTTCTCTCTTGAGTTCTGTTGCTGCATTTTAAATGCCTTGTCCTTCTATAGTTTGATCTTTTATTTTGAGTCCTGGCTCTTTTTGCATATGTTCTTGGTTTGGGGGCAGCTCCAAAGAGAATTCTAATTTTCTTCTGAGGGGCTTTTGGAAACGATGCCTTTCCTTAGTTCTTCCTTCTTGCTACAGGTGTGTACATGCAGCCACTCACAGAAATCAGAAGAGGCCCTGAGAAAGAATTTGTTCTAACCGATCACTCAGCATTTGTTGCTAGTTGTGCCTGACTTTGCCTCCAAAGGCCCCGACCACCATTCCTGATAGGTCAGATTCCTTTCTCAAGCCACACCTCTCGAGCAGATTGCTACACCCGAATCCCCAAACTGGAGTTCTACAGCATCTTACAAGAGCCCTTTGGATTTCTGGGACAATTGCTGATACCATAACTGGGCCTCCTTCCTGAAGGTTTGTCAGTCAAGGGAGGGACAAGTGCTAACATAGCTGTGGTCACCTCTTAAGGATTAACAGCCTGGAGTGCCTGGCTGGCAGCTGTCCTGGCTCATAGCTGGGTATTTTTGCTGAAGAGGTCGGCCTGTTATCCTATAGGAAAGGCCATCGGTGAGGACTCTTGTGTTCTGGCCTGGATTCAAGGGGAGACACATTCCAAAAGCCCTAGGACACGAGGACCATCCTGCCCTCCAGAATGCCGGAATTATATCCGAGTTCCCCTTGGAACTTTCAAGGGTATCCTTTTAAATGTAAACTCCTCTGGGACAGTGGTCTACTGAAGCAGCTTCCCTTAGGTCTGGGGAATGGGACAGAGAATGGACATGGGAATGGAATAAAGAGGAAATGGCAGGTAGGAGAATTTCACAGAGACGAATTTCTTCAGTTTTTCCTTCAGTCAGGTCTGACCTTATCTTTTACTAGCACTCCAGAAACTGGGCCACCTGGAGTCAAGGAGAGGCAGAGAAGATAGATTTTGGTAGGTTCTGTTCCTCTCCACTTTCCTCTTTCAGTGGATGGCTACCTCCTTTAGCATCATCATCATTCATTGCTTTTTTTTTTTTTCGAGACGGAGTCTCACTCTGTCTCCCAGGCTGGAGTGCAGTGGCACAATCTCTGCTCGCTGCAGCCTCGGCCTCCCGGGTTCCAGCGATTCCCCTGCCTCAGCCTCCTGGGTAGCTGGGATTACAGGCACATGCCACCACGCCCAGGTAATTTTTGTAGTTTTAGTAGAGATGGGGTTTCACCGTATTGGCCAGGCTGGTCTTGAACTCTTGACCTCAGGTGATCTGCCTGCCTCGGCCTCCCAAAGTGCTGGGATTCTATACAGGCATGAGCCACCACGCACAACCCACTCTCCTAATTTTGGGGCTGTAGTTCAGCAAGCGGAACTCTGACGCCAAATCTTACAGACGTAGGCAAACAGATATTGCATGTGGACTGAAGATACTTTTCAGAGGTCTGACTGTTGTTTCCTACTTTTTAAAAAGGTGTTTTAAAAGCAAAAGTACTGCTGTTTGCTTTGCACTCTAGTTTTAAAAACTTCTCTACAAAGTAGGAGTTCTATAAGCTTCTCTGTTAAATCTGACCAGTGGGCCTATGTCATTGGCACAAAGCATGACTTTGGCAAATAACAATTTCCCATCTCCAAAGTCCCAAGTCTGTTCACAAGGACTCCCTGGTGACAGAACTCATGGGGTGGGGCCAGGGCAGAGCTACCTAAATACAGATTTTGATTTTGGTCAGTAGGGACCCTGTGGTGTTATTGGGAGTCATGACTCATCATTTGAGGGCCAGGTCGCAGCCTGAGACCTTGGGGTAAAAAGACTATATATCACAGTGAGGATATCAGGAACCTCCACATCCTGACATCCTCACATTCCAAGGATTACCCTGGATGATACAACATCCCAGGGGATTCCTTCTTTTACAGTCACAGTGCAGGACTGAGGAGTTGCCAACGGGAACTGTTAAACACATACTGATTCTATCAGATTTTGAAGATAAAAATGCTTCTAAAGCATTCTCTTGTCCTTTAAAAGCATATTCAAGATGTTTGTTTCTATTTTTGTTACCCTGCATGTCTGTATTGTTACATGCATAAGAACAAATGCATATCAGTATGTAAAAACACATACACACACACATAAAGAGAAAGAGAGAGAGAGAGATTGAAGGGAGCGCCAAGTTCTAATTATTCGTGAGTGAATACTCTGAGGCAGCTCGAGGTTTTTGTCAGGCCAGCAGGGCTCTTCACTAATGTTGAGGCAAAATTTGGGCCGGGAGTGTGATTTTAAAAAGAAAACTGCTTTTATTAATTTTATTTGCAGTACACTTTGGGGTTGTCATCTAATAAAATAAAATACTAAAGAATTTAGGCTAATAATTTTTCTTATTCTCAAAAGAAT